>NC_000017.11:65685980-66935980 GCF_000001405.40 Homo sapiens | reverse complement strand
GCAATCTCCTGGTTTTGATAATGTATGACCATTACAGAAGATGTTACCGTGTGGGGAAGCTGGATAAAGGGTACATGGGAACTCTCTGTACTATTTTTGCTACATAACCTCTTGTGAGTCTATAATTATTTCAAAATAAAAAGGTACTAGGTGTGGTGGATCATGCCTATAATTCCTGATAGTTGGGAGGCTGAGGCAGAAGGATCGCTCAGGGCCAAGAGTTTAAGACCAGCCTGAGCAATGCAGCAAAACTCTGTCTCTCAAAAAATAAAAACAAAATTAGCTGGGCATGGTGGCACATGCCTATAGCCCTAGCTACTTAGGAGGCTGAGGTGGGAGATTGCTTGGAGCCCAGGAGTTTGAGGCCAAAGTGAGCTATGTGGCAGCAGTATGCTCCAGCTTGAGTGACACAGTGAGACCCCATCTCTCAAAAAAAAAAAAAAAAAAGGTGAGAAAAACTGTAGAAAGGTGAAGAGTGACAATCTCCCCTGCTTCCTCATCGTACCCTCTGGCTCATTCCTGCCCCAATGGACACTCCAAGAAAACACTTCAGTTTCTTATGTATCCTTCCAGAATTTATTTTTGCATATACAAGTTAATGCAAATAGAGATGATGGTCTTCCTCTAATTTACATATAAAATAGTATATTAATATACTATTCTGCCATATGCTTTTTTTTTTTTGCTTAACAATAAATCCTATAAATCCTTCCTTTTCAATACACAGAGAGCATCCTGGTTATGTTTAAATGTACATACAATTCTATGGTCTGAGTAAACTGTAATTGATTTAACCCTTCCCTTTTGGATGGACATCTAGATTACTTTGTGATACGGTTTGGCTGTATTCCTACCCAAATCTCGCCTTGAATTGTAATAACTCCCACGTGTCATGGGAGGGACCTGGTGGGGGGTAATTGAATCATGGGGGTGGATTTTTCCCATGCTGTTTTCATGATAGTGAATAAGTCTCACGAGTTCTGATGGTTTTATAAAGGGGAGTTCCCCTGCACATGCTCCCTCTCTCTGCCTGCCACCATGTAAGATGTGCCTTTGCTCCTCCTTCACCTTCCACCATGATTGTGAGGCCTCCTCAGCCATGTGGAACTGTGAGTTCATTAAACCTCTTTTTCTTTATAATTACCCAGTCTGGGGTATGTTTTTATTAGCAGCATGAGAACAGACTTCGGTGTTCCAAAAACAGACTTGCCATGACTAATCTTGCACAGATGTCATTTCTTTTTTTTTTTTTTTTTTTTTTTGAGACGGAGTCTCGCTCTGTCGCCCAGGCTGGAGTGCAGTGGCGGGATCTCGGCTCACTGCAAGCTCCGCCTCCCGGGTTCACGCCATTCTCCTGCCTCAGCCTCCCAAGTAGCTGGGACTACAGGCGCCCGCCACTACGCCCGGCTAATTTTTTGTATTTTTAGTAGAGACGGGGTTTCACCGTTTTAGCCGGGATGGTCTCGATCTCCTGACCTCGTGATCCGCCCACCTCGGCCTCCCAAAGTGCTGGGATTACAGGCGTGAGCCACCGCGCCCGGCCAGATGTCATTTCTTACCTGCCCAGAAGTGCAGGATCACTGGCTCTTTTGCCCACTCATCCTACAATTGAGAAGTGATCCTTGGGAAGGCTGCCTGTTGCTGCAGCGGGAACATCCACTTTGCAGTCACAGCCTCCTGAGTTTGAATCCCAGCTGTGCTACCCATGAGCTGTGTGACCCTGGGCAAGGTCTTTCACCTCTCTGGGCTCCCATTTCCTCATCCAAATATGGGAACTGATCCAGGACCTGCCTCCTAAGATTGCTGAGATAAGGAATGTCATCAGTGTCAGTGGTCAGCATGGTGCTGACACCATTTGTTGTTGTCAATGTAAACGGGATGTCAGGCCCTTCCTGCCTCAGCTCTATAGCAGGTACTGAAGAGACAAATCTGCCAATTTTCAAGGGAAATTTTTAAGAGCCTGCTTCACCATCCTAGAAGCCACTTGTCCAGCCAGCTAATAAAACACCAGTGGGGAGGGAAGAGAGGCAGCCCTCTGGTGGAAGGCTCACCTGATGCCAGCCTCTGCCCACCAGCCCCCCCCCCCCCCGCCAGCCGTGGAGGTTGCCCCTCACCAAGGGTCTCCTGGGAGCCTCCTGATGTCAAAGGTGGGTCCCATTGTCCCAGCGTTGGTTGGAAAATAAGGTCACTATAATCAAAGCTCCCTTGGCACAGGACAGCCAGGTCTGCCCTGGAGGGAGGGAATTGGCTTTCCCTGTGCTGCCTGCTGTCATAGGACCTGAGACCCACAGCTGTTTCAAGGAATATTCTGGTCTTTGCCAAGCAGAAGGCTAGCACAGTGTGAGATCATGAGGATGGACCATGCAGATCCTAGCTCACGGGCAGTGTGACCTTAGGCAGGTCACCTTACCTGCCTCTGTGAGCCTGAGGGCTCTCATCTGTAAGATGGAGATCATACACCTGGTTCCAGAGCTTTCCATACACCGTCTCATTGAATCCTCGAAACTACCCTGGAAGACAGGCATCTTCAGCAAACTTCATTTTGCAGTTGAGAAAAGTGATGTTAAGGCAGTCCTTATGGCTGCTAAACAGCCATGCAGAAATCCAGCCCAGATCTGTCTGGATCTAGAACCTGGGCTCTGTCCCGTCACAGGCCTTTCCACTAACACAAACATTCATTCATTGGGAAAGGGTAGTCCACTTGGCCCGCAGGTAGAGAGAAGTCCCCATACCACTGTACTCAGGATTGCCTGCCATCTCTGAAGGTGCCAGCTCCAAGCAGGCAGAGCCCCTCCCCAACCCCAGGCTGGCTGGGAGCAACCTGGGGAGAGATACAGTTGGCAAAACACATTAGCATCTTCTTATCTGCTAATTAATTTTGTGAAAAATTACTTATTTATCTATTTATTTTCACCCAAGAGCAATTGGGGTTACGGGAATGTGATGACATGTTTCACATGTAAAGGAAAATGCCTCTCACTGAGAGGTTTAAATCATCTCCCATGAGGCTCAAAGTCCAGGAGGGTGACTAGGGGAGCACACAAGAATCCCAGACATTATTTCAGTGCAGGAGCCTGAGAAATACGGACAAGAGTAAGAATGGGGTCTTGCACTCCAGCATTCTGGAAAAAGATGCCCACAGCCCAGGATGGTGTCTGTGAAGGGTCATGAGACAGGGGTGGAATTAAAGGCCATTCCCGCTGGGTGTGGTGGCTCACGCCTGTAATCCCAGCACTTTGAGAGGCCAAGGTGGGCAGATTGCTTGAGCCCAGGAGTTTGACACCAGGCTGGGCAACATGGTGAAACTGTGACTCTACAAAAAATTTTTAAAAAATTAGCTGGGCATGATGGTGTGTGCCTGTAGTCCCAGCTACTGGAGAGACTGAGGTGGGAAGATTGCTTGAGCCCAACAGAAAAAGGCTGCAGTGAGCCATGATCGTGGCACTGCACTCCAGCCTGGGTGACAGAGCTATAGAGCCTGTCTCAAAAAATTAAATTAAATTAAATTAAATTAAATTAAATTAAATTAAATTAAATTAAATTAAATTAAAAAGGCCATTCCCCACCTCCATGTCCTTGCTAGCACTGTTTTCACTGCCTGGAACACTCTTCCCCACCTCGACTGCCTTGAAAACACCTATCCATCTCTCAAATGTCAACTTAAGCAGCACTTCCTCTGGGATAGTTTTTGGGAACCTCAGGGTTGGCAAGCAGCCCTCCCTCCAGTGCCCCATTAGCCTCTTAATAAGCCGCCATAACACCTGTAAATAGGTTAAGCATCTCAGTGCTTTCTAGGTTTGTCTCATGACCGAGCATCCTGGGTGCTCCGTAAATGTTAGTTGAAGAAAGGATGAATGGTATGGAGCTGTGGCTGCAGGGTGAGCTGGTGAAGGAAGGCTTCCTGGAGGAGTGGGCATTGAGCTGTGTATCAGTGATTATGGACACGGTCAGGTAGTGGGAACAGTGTCTTTTTTTTGAGACGGAGTCTCGCTCTGTCGCCCAGGCTGGAGTGCAGTGGCGCGACCTCGGCTCACTGCAAGCTCCGCCTCCTGAGTTCATGCTGTTCTCCCGCCTCAGCCTCCCGAGTAGCTAGGACTACAGGCGCCCGCCACCACGCCCAGCTAATTTTTTGTATTTTTAGTCGAGACAGGGTTTCACCGTGTTAGCCAGGATGGTCTCGATCTCCTGACCTCATGATCCACCCACCTCGGCCTCCCAAAGTGCTGAGATTACAGGCGTGAGCCACCGCGCCCGCCCCCCAACCCCGGGAAGAGTGTCTTTTAGCACATGGCGCTAGCTGGCTCACTTACCTGGGGTCTTCCCTACCACACTGTAAGTTTCCTGAAGGTAGGAGTGAAGTCACATTTGATATTGTGTCCCAGTCTTAGCACTGTGTCTGGCACAGCATGAAATACTTGCTGAAAGAATGAATGAAAACATCATGTATAACCAACAGACACTGGCCCAAAAGCTGGCCAAGCTGAAGATTGTGGCTATCACTAGAATTCTGGTCATAACCTTTCACTCTCTGTGTGACGCTGGGCAAAACCCTTCCCCTCTCTGAGCCTCAGTTTCCTCATCTGTTAATTGAAAATGTCAGGGAAAGTGTGGTCTCTAGGATTCCTTCTGTTTGTCGTCTTGGAGATGGCCCCTCCTATGTTTGGAGAGCTTCCCACATTATGAATTTCCGTCCTTTGCCCCCAGGTAGAAACCAGAACTCACTTTCCCAGCCTCCTTTGCTGCTGTGGTACTGTCATGTGACCTGGACACCACCAATCAGATGCACAGGCATGAGCCTCCCATGGGCAGGGCAGTATTAGGCAACAGAGAGGCACTGCTTGTGCCTTGTCCTTTAGTGGGGAGGGACAGCAGTGGTGGAATCCTGGTGGTAACACCCATGCAGGGCATACCTGTGGTGGGGGCTGAGGTGTCTGTGTTGGCAGCAGGAGCCTCTCTACTGGGAGCTACTGGTGGAACGTGCTGCCTCCTCCAAGCCTGATTCCCTGACCTCCTACACAATCTGTGATTTGCGTACTAGCCCTTAAAAAAATTCCATTTCAGCTGAGACCAGCTAGGGTGGGTCCTGGTGCTTGCACCTAAGAACCGTGATAAATGCACCACCCAACTTGAAGATTCCATCATTCCAAATAGGGTCTGGTGGTCTAAGACTAGGTTTTAATTTGATGTGATTTTTTGAGACAGGGTCTCAATCTATCACTGGGGCTGGAGTGCAGTGGTGTGATCATGGCTCACTGCAGCCTCCACCTCCCAGGCTCAAGGGTTCCTCTGAGTAGCTCAGGCACACACCACCATGCCCAGCTAATTTTTAATTTTTTTGGTAGAGACAGGGTCTCACAGTGTTGCCCAGGCTAGTCTCGAACTCCTGGGCTAAAGCAGTCCTCCCACCTGCACCTCCCAATGTGCTGGATTACAGGCATGAGCCACTGTGCCCAGCCCTAAGACTAGGTTTTTAAATGAAGATAGAGTGGCTATTCCACAGCACTGATTTATAGGTCTGTTACCCAGCTTTCTTTACCTTTCAGCACATGTTTCCTAGTCATTTTCAAAAGCTTGGAAAGCTGTGTTTTTGAGAGATCTCACCACTTCAAATCACTAATTTGGAGAAAGTGTCTCAGACCATGGTGCTGGCCTTCACATCTCACTAAGATCCAGGGCCAATGCTATTTAGTTTTCTGCCAGGTGGATTCTGAATTTGGTGTCACATAGGAACAGAGACAAACATGCATTGCTTGTCTGCACACAGACCTCAAAGCTGCAGTGCTGGACAGTGGGGCTGAAAGCAAAGCCTTTAGAGTTTGACAACCCTGAGTTCGAATCCCAGCTTGAGCACACACAAGCTGTGTGACCCTAGCTATGTAATTTAAGCTCCCAGAATCTAGTTTCCTCATCTGCAGGATGAGGACAATAATGCCTACTTTGACAGTTGCTGTGAGGATTAAATGAAATAATGTTTGTATGGCAAGATAACATTGTTGATGTGTTCTCCAGAATCCATTTTCTATTCCTGTATAAAATTCACCCCTGAATTTGGTAGCTTAAAACAGCACTCATTTCTTTGCTCATAATTCAGCAATTGGACAGGACTTGACAGAGCTAGGTCAACTCTGCTTCACAGGGTGTTGGTTGACACTGGCTCTTCAGCTGAGATGGCTTGAACAGCTGGGGGCTGGCTGGATCTGCTCCCTCCTTCCTCTCTCTCCTCTTGATCTTTTAGTCCCTGGGGCCTTTCTCTTCCTATGGTGTCTGCTTGGACTCTACAAGGCAGCTCCCGGTAACAACAGAGGGAAAAATGGAAGTTAGAAAGCAACTCCTATAACTTGCACAAGTTCTGTAGGTCACTTCTGAGGTAGGAGGTGGGACTCAACCCCAGAGGCAGGGCTTGGTCTCCAGACCAGACTGAAGACTGGCTGAAACAGGGAAGAGGCAAAAGCACTGTATTAGTTCATTCTCACACTGTTATAAAGAACTGCCTGAGACTGGGTAATTTATAAAGAAAAGAGGCTTAACGGACTCATCGTTCTGCATGGCTGAGGAGGCCTCGGGAAACTTACAATCATAGCAGAAAGGGAAGCAGGCACGTCTTACATGGTGGCAGGTGACAGAGAGAAGAAGGAACTGTCAAACACTTACAAAACCATCAAATCTCGTGAGAACTCACTCACTATCATGAGAACAGCATGGGGGAACCGCCCGCATGATCCAGTCACCTCCCACCAGGTCCCTCTCGAGACATGTAGGGATTATGGGAATTACAAATTGAGATGAGAGTTGGGTGGAGACACAAGTCCAGCCATATCAAATTCCTCTCCATAGGACATGGATACCAGTGCCATGTCAGTTTACCATTGCCATGGCAACGCTAGGAAGTTACCCACCCCTTTCCATGGCAATGACCCAATGATGGGGAAGTTACCATCCTTTTCTGGAAATTTCTGCATAACATGCCCCTTAATTTGCATGTAATTAAAAGTAGGTATAAATATGGCTACAGAACTGTCCTGAACTGCTACTCTAGGCACAGTGCTCATGGGGTAGTCCGGCTCTGCAAGGAGCCTGGACATCTGCTGCTGCCGTGCTCTGCTGCTTCAATACAGGCTGCTGTCTAACACCACCAGCTTGCCCTTTAATTGTTTCCTGGGTGTAACCAAGAATCCTGCCAGGCTAAGACTTAATTTGGGGGCTCACTTACCTCCATCACTTCTACTGCCTTCAATTGGTCCTAGCAAATTGAAATCAGCCCAGATTCGGCATGAGGGTTCACACAAGGCTGTGACTTCAGAGAGGCAGGATTCATTGGAGGTCATCATGTAAACTATAAAATTTATCTTAGTTTTTTTTTTCTTGTTTTTTCCTCCCCGCTTTCCTGCCAACAGAGGCACCTAGACTCTTGCACATTGTCTTAGGGAAGAGATGCAACAGGACAGAACATAAAGAGGAAAACAGAAAGGATCTTTCTGGCTTTGGTTTTTAAAAGCCTAAGCCTGGCAAGGCAGGTATCACATCCCCCTCTCCCTCCTGACACGCAACTGTCAAGAGAGAAGGGACTCGAAACTGACTTTGCTCTATAACGTAGCAAGGTAAAGACCCCAGCATCCCACAAGACTATGAATATGAAACAGAAATTAAGGAATATAAAGCAAATTAGAAGCCAGTTACTCATCCTCAAATAATTTTGTTTTTTTATCTTTATATTTTATTTATTTATTTGAGATAGGAACTCACTCTGTTGCCCAGGCTGGAGTGCAGTGGTGTGATCGGCTCACTGCAACCTCTGCCTCCCAGGTTCAAGCAATTCTCCTGCCTCAGCCTCTCAAGTAGCGGGGACTACAGGTGTGTGCCACCACTCCCGGCTAATTTTTGTATTTTTAATAGAGATGGGGTTTCCCGGTGTTGGCCAGGCTGATCTCCTCACCTGAAGTCATCCACCTGCCTCAGCCTCCCAAAGTGCTGAGATTACAGGCGTGCACCACCGCACCTGGTCTTATTTTAATTACTGAATTGGTAAATATGTTCTCATGGTGGACAGTTGAAAGGTACAAGCATGTATAGATGGGAAGTCCTCTTCCTTCTCCTGGTCCCAGCCACCCAATTGTCCTCTCTAGACCAGCCACAGTTGCTCAATTTACAGGTATCTTTTCAGAGAGTGAGGAGTGAGTCTCTAAAAACAAGCAAATATATTTTTTCTCCTCCTTTTTTACAAAAATAACAACATACTATAAATTATATCCTATATCTTGCTTTTAACAGTCTTATCAACATATCTTGGAGATAATCCCATTTCTGTATATAAGATCTTTCTTATTCCTCTTTTATACCTATATATTTTTCCATTACGCAGCTGTATCATAATTTATTTAACAAGTCCCTATTGATTGGTTGTTTCTCAACTTTAACACAAATTACACCACAATAATAATCTCACATATGTGTCATTTCACATGTGTACAATTCTGTTATGGGATTTGTAATTGTGATTGATATTGTCAAATTGATCTACATGAGGTTCTACTATTTAATGCCTCCATCGTCAATGTATGAGAGCACCTGTCTCCTCTCCCACCTTCCAACACTGAGTATTATCAAATTATAACAACCTTGCCCATCTTGTAGGTAAAATATGGTATCTCAAGATAGTTAACATCTTTTCATTTATTTCAAAGCTATTAATATTTCTTTTCCAGTGATCTCCCTGATCGTAGTCTTTGCTTAGTTTTCTACTGGCTTATAGACTATTTTCTTATTGATGGGAAGGAGTTCTGTATACAATGGGGAATTTATGCAAATATATTTGGATCCTCCCTGGCTCCCTATTATGAAATCTGGAAATCACAGAGGCTTTACTTGTGAGATTGATTTTCTTCTCCCCTTGGTGCTTCATTTCTAGTGTTGTCCTCCCAATGTTAGGACATCAAATTAACCAAACAGATAACATAGTCAGTGGAACTGAGTAATCATGAGCGTTTCTAAAAATCATAGAGGAAAGGAACACATCAATGTGCTGTCCTCCAAATCTAGAGATAGGACACCTCACTTTTTGCTAGGCATGTCTCTAGGGTGCTCAGCTAGGGATTGGCATGATTGGTAATGACTTTTCTCCCCAGAGGCTGTTTGAAGTTGTGGGCTCTGTCCTTGTCTACACAGCAAAACTGTAACATTCACATGCTTTACCCACCTTTGCTAAGTCTATTTTCTTGTTTCAATCCAATTGGAGGTTGGTTGATTGCTGCAATGGGGAAAGATTAAGAAGTGAAGAGTAGGAGCGCTGGAATGAAATAGTGATGTGCTGGGCATTGCTATGTTTAGAAGGTATTATCTCATACATGCCTCTTAGCAATCCTATTATTCCTATTTTTCAGACATGGAAACTGAGGAACAGAGAGATCACATATCTTGCACAAGGTCCTACAGTTGGTATGTAGATAAACCAGGTTCCAACCTCAGGAAATCTAGCTCCAGAGTTCTCTATTTTACCCTATGATTCACCTTATCTGGAGCCTACTGAATATTTTTGTCTTTTGTCCGCAGGAGAGAGAATGACTATTTCAACAATGGCAAATAGGGTTCATCATGTATGCACACTCTGATTGCTTTGTGGTGGCTTCCTGGATCACTGGGTTGAAAAAGACCCAGGCTCTGTAGGAGGTGGTTGATTAATGATGTCTGCCATTCAGAACAAAGATGTAGCAGCAGGTGTACCTCATTTTTGCTGTCTCTGGACTATTCCATTGAAGCCTTTAGTTCCTGGATTATCCAATTAGCCCTAGCTTTCCTGGCAGTGTGATCTCCCTCTGCCTTAATATCAGCCCTCAGCCCTCGGGATTCTTCTCTCTGATATCCACACTCATTGCCTTTGCTTCTCTGTGCTCCCTAAAACACCGACTCTCCTCCCACAGCCCAACTGCACTTAGTCCTACCTCCAGTGTGAGACTGTCCACGGTCGCCCCCGACCTCACTCATCTTGGAATGAGTGTTATGACGTGAGTCAGCATTAATGAACTAATCTGAGATGTATCTCAACACCGTCATAGTCCCTGAAGGTAGGAGTAAGTGGGGGGAAATTCATCCTTAGTCTCTGTCTCCCCCAGAGTCTAGCACAGAGCCTGGTGCAATTTGGATCCTCAACAAACATCTAGAAAATAAATAAATGAAAGAATAAATGGATGGCATTCTTTTGATGTTTCACATTTGTACATCTCACTCACTCTTTGGGAGCAGGGATGGTATCAACATAGCACCACTGTGATGGACGATAATAGTTTCTTTAAATCTGTGAGGACAGAAATTGAGCTAATAAATCATCTTTCACAGGGTGGTTATGGAGAAATCTGAATGAGATAGAGAATAATAAATGCTTACAGCAGGAACTCAGTAAATATTTGACTGTTACTAATAGTAACAATAGCAATAATAATGTCACATATTGATTTAACTGTTGTAACTGTACAGAAGCTATTCATCTTATGCTTTTTCATGCTATTTATTCAATGCTTCTCTTTCACTGTCAATGTTAATACGTAATTTATATCAGTTAGCTTTGGCTGTGTAACAATCCAAAAACTTAGTGTCTAAAAGCAATGATGATTTATACACTTTAAATGGGTAAACTTTATGGTATGTAATTTAGGCCTCAAAAAGATATTTAGAAAATAGCAACTAAGAGATTTTACTTTTTGCTTAACAAATTAGTAAAGATTTTTAAATTTGTTTTTTAAAGGTAATGTTCCCTGGACCCCTAGGGCTTCCTGAGGCCCTTTGAAGATCTGCAGGTGATCAAACTATTTTCATAATAGTACTAAGATGTTTTTTTCTTTTTCTACTCTCATTCTCTCCATGGTAGACAATGGAGCTTTCCACAGGCTCTATGATGTGTCATTTTGCAACATATTGATGCAGAAGCAGATAGGACAATCCAGCATCTTTCATTAAGCTAGATTTTGATGAGATTTGCAAAAATGTAAATCCATGCCATTCTTCACGCTAAATATTTTTTGTTTTGTAAATAACATGTTACCTTAATTTATGTTAGCATTTAAGGAGTTTATCGTCATTATTTTAA
Source organism: Homo sapiens (assembly GCF_000001405.40). Taxonomy (NCBI): domain Eukaryota; kingdom Metazoa; phylum Chordata; class Mammalia; order Primates; family Hominidae; genus Homo; species Homo sapiens. The sequence goes on along the minus strand of NC_000017.11, from coordinate 66,924,903 downwards.
GTGAATTAATATTCTTAAAATCTCTATGCTTTAATTTCTAAAATAGCTAGTACCCACACCATCCCTTTTGCCTCTCTGTGCTCCCTAAAACGCAGCCACATATTGATAGAAGTAACTAACATAAACACAGGCTCTTTGGGATCTTCAGTATTTTTTAAGAGTGTAAAAAAGCACTGAGACCAAAAGGTTTGAGAACTGCCTCTGTACAGCAATATGACAACATGATCTGAGGCCTTGAAAACGGAACTTTTCTTTAATCCAGCACTTCCATTTCAAAATAATTTGTCGTAAGGAAATAATCAGAGGTAGATCTTAAGATATTTTTGTAAGTATAGTCATCACAATCTTATTTAAAATAGCAAAATATAAAAACGGTGTCAATGTCCATCCATAAGGGGTTATTTCAATGAACAACAATGAAATAAAATACATATGGCTAAAAAAAATACTATAAGATAGTACTTCATTGCAACAAAAGTGTTCACAATTCTTTAAGTTAAAAAAAGTAGAATACAATTTAGTCTGTAGAGTGTGATCCTATTCCCTTTTTGTTTAGTTTAATGAATATGGGAGACTAGAATATACCTCCCAAAATATGAAAGATTGTTGAATTGAAGGCAGTTAAGAAGAATCAAATACAGGACAGTGTTCCATCCTCCCTCTATTGCCTGAAAGCAGGACATAGATTTGCAAAGACAAGTATCCTGCCTCCCTCTCTACCAGACAGAACAAAGGTTAATCATGGAAGACAGCTTTAGATGACACCACAGGAATTTATATTAACAAGCTTTACAAACTAGCTTTTATCTGCCATTTGCTTGTCTCTCCACCCCCTCAAATTGCTTCCCATAGAGACTCAAAGTCCTTTTCCTTTGTTTTGTCACTTCTCTAAAGATTTACACTACCAGGCAACCTACAGAACGGGAGAAAATGTTTGCAATCTATCCATCTGAAAAAGGGCTAATATCCAGATTCTACAAAGAACTTAAACAAATTTACAAGAAAAAAGCAAACAACCCCATCAAAAAGTGGGGGAAGGGTAGGAACAGACATTTCTCAAAAGAAGACATTCATGTGGCCAACAAACATATGAAAAAAAGCTTGTGATCACTGGTCATTAGAGAAATGCAAATCAAAACCACAGTGAGATATCATTTCATGCCAGTTAGAATGGTGATCATTAAAAAGTCAGGAAACAACAGATGCTGGAGACGAAGTGGAGGAATTGGGATGCTTTTACACTGTTGGTGGGAGTGTAAATTAGTTCAACCATTGTGGAAGACAGTGTGGTGATTCCTCAAGGATCTAGAGCCAGAAATACCATTTGACCCAGCAATCCCATTACTGGGTATACGCCCAAAGGATTATAAATCATTCTACTATAAAGACACATGCACATGTATGTTTATTGCAGCACTGTTCACAAGAGCAAAGACTTGGAACCAACCCAAATGCCCATCAATGATAGACTGAATAAAGAAAATGTGACACATATACACCATGGAATACTATGCAGCCATATAAAGGATGAGTTCATGTCCTTTGGAGGGACATGGATGAAGTTGGAAACCATAATTCTCAGCAAACACAGGAACAGAAAACCAAACACCGCATGTTCTCACTCATGAGTGGGAATTGAACAATGAGAACACATGGACACAGGGAGGGGAACATCACACACCAGGGCCTGTTGGGGAGTCAGGGGCTGGGGGAAGGATAGCATTAGGAGAAATACCTAATGTAGATGATGGGTTGATAGGTGCAGCAAACCACCATGGCACGTGTATACCTATGCAACAAACCTGCACGTTCTGCACATGTATCCCAGAACTTAAAGTATAATAATAATAAAAAGATTTATTGTTCTTTGTTGAAGATGCCATAGAAGTTAGAATTCAAAGCCACCTCTTTGAGAACTACTCATTCTCTGGTTGTCTCCCATGCATATATGAAATATACATGTTAATAAATTTCTGCTTGTTTTTCTCTTGTTAATCTATCCTTTGTAACAGGGGTCCTTTGCAACTAAGAACCTACTGGAGGTTATTATTACTCTCTATGCAATATTGTGCAATGTTGTACATGAATATCTATGCAATATTGTAAAAAAAATATTTGGTCTTCCTCCTCATTCCCTGTCATACAGCTCCAAAAACCTTTGGAGTCTCCAGAGTGATAAAAATATCCTTTGTATGATAACGAATGACTGGTGGCCAGGAGGTTCCCTAGGTAGCTTCAGGATGGGGGTTGGTTACTGGGAAGACTAAAGTATGATTAGGAGGTTGGAACTTTTAGCCCCATCCCCCAACCTCTTGGGAGGGAGAGGAACTGAAGGTTAAGTTGATCACCATTGGTCAATAATGTAATCAATCGTGCCTATGTAATGAAGCCTCAATAAAAATCCCAAAGGAAAGGGTTAAGAGAGCCTCCAGATAGCTAAACACAATGGAGGTTCTTGGAGGGTGGCATGCCCAGAGAAGGCATAGAGGTTCTGCACTCCTCGCCCCTACAGCTTGCCCTGTGCATCTCTTCCATCTGGCCATTCGTTTGTATCCTTTGTAATTTTTTTTTTTTTTTTTTATCACAAATGGGTGGTAAAGTGTTTCCCTGAGTTCTGTGAGCCACTCTAGAAAGTTGATTGAACCCAAGAGGGGGTCTTGGGAACTCCAACTTACAGCAGGTTGGTCAGAAGTATAGGTGACAACCTACTATTTGCGACTGGCATCTGAGGCGGGGGGTAGTCTTGTGGGACTGAGTCCTCAACCTAGGGGATCATACACTATCTCCAGGTAGACATGGTCAGAGTTGAATATAATAAGAGGACACTCAGCTAGAGTCTGCTGGAGAATTGCTTGGTATGTGGAGAAACAACCCCAACATAGCAGGTGTTGGAAGTGTTGTGTTGAGTAGTGTATTAGTCCGTTTTCATGCTGCTGATAAAGACATACCCAAGACTGAGAAGAAAAAGAGGTTTAATGGACTTACAGTTCCACATGGCTGGAGAGGCCTCATAGTCATGGTGAAAGGCAAGGAGGGGCAAGTCATGTCTTACATAGATGGCAGCAGGCAAAGAGAGAGAGACAGCTTGTGCAGGGAAACTCACATTTTTAAAACCATCAGATCTCATGAGACTCATTCACTATTACGAGAACAGCGCAGGAAAGACCCGCCCCATAATTCAATCACCTCCCACCAGGTTCCTTCCACAGCACCTAGGAATTGCAGGAGTTACAATTCATGATGAGATTTGGGTGGGGACAAAGCCAAACCATATCAAGTAGAGAGTAGAAAAACCACTTTGGTTTTTCCAATATCTCAGAATACAAAGGAAAAAGGAATTTGTTGTTTTTTTCCTATCACATCAGAATCTATACATAGTAGATATCTTTGTATGCATAAAACAAAGAATACTGAATGTTAAGAGTAGTAGTATGTATTTTCAAAACATTATATAAAATATGTATCACCGTATTAACTGAAAAACTGGGCAAAAAACATTATTAAAGATTAAAAATCAATGATGATTTCTTTAGCCCACAGTTTTGTGAGTTGGCAGTTTAGACTGGGCTCATCTAAGTGGTTCTTCTGGTCTGAGCCAGACTTAGCCGATCTTGGCTGGGCTCACCCATGTGTCTGTATTCAGCTGCCAGTCAGCTCGGTGGTGCTGCCTCTGGAAGTCAGCTGGCTGCTGGCTGTGATGCTGGGGGTAACATGTGTCTCTCATCACCGTCACCCAGCAGGCTGGTCTGGACTCCTTCACATGATGGCTCAGGGTTCCCAGAGCAGCAAGAAGGGAAGGTGCAGGGCCTCTTGACACTTATGATTAGCAATCACATGTCAGTTTCATGGTATTCCATTGGCCAATGCAAGACAAGCCCAGCCCAGATTCAAAGGGTGGTGAAATCGATGACTTCATCTCTTACTGGGAGGAGCTGCAAAATATCCTGGTGCTTTATGCAATCCACCACATAATAATACCAAAGACCCTTTTATGTGACAGAGATTTAGTTTATGCCAAGCACTGCATTAGGTGCATGGTCTTTGCTCCCATTCAGGGAGAGGGACGCACATCTCGCTAGGATGCAATTTCATGCACTCAGAATGCTAGGCACACAGTAGCTGCTCAGGAGATATTTGTGGAAGAAGAAATAGAGCTCGCACAACCCCATGCTCCTCCTACCAACCCCACTAATAAGCTTTGTTATTCTTCCCCTGTCATGATATGTCACATGGCATCAGCAAATCGTTCAGACGCAAATTCACATGAAAGCAAAGAAGGGTTTCTTCTAAGATGAACAGACAATATGCTGAGTTGTCACGGGGTGTGGTCTGATCCAGTACTAGCAAACTGCTCGCTGCTCCACTTTATACGGGCGAGGGAAAGCAGCGAAGAGCTATTCATTTAGGAGAAAATCATTACTCTGGATTTAGACACAAGCAGACAAGCATATGAAAAGAACACATTTCTTTGATGTTGCCACTGATACCGAGTCTTGACGCTCCAGAAGACAGACTTGCTAGGCTGAGCTTCGCAAACAAGCTTCAGAGAGAAGAGGAGGCCAGCAGGAGAGGAGGCTGGGGAAGGGGTGTGTGTGTGTGTGTATGTGTGTGTGTGTATGTGTGTGTGTGTGAGAGAGAGAGAGCATGCTTCAAATCTTTTCATCTCTGAGAACAGAACACAGGATACCTGTGAAGATTTTGGTTTACTTTAGATTTTTATTTATTAGAAAAAAAATCAATGACTTAGTCCCAGGAGCCTTCCTCCTTCAGGGAGAAGGTGGTGCTTGGAGCAGAACCTGCACCTGCTGTCTGCATCTCTCTCCCTGCCCTGCACTTTCAGAGGCAGCCACTCATCAAAGCAGGACCACGAATGTGTGGCCACAGGTGTGCCATCCGGAAACCAGCCTATCACTCCCTCTGAAGAGCTCACAGCATCTCATGAAATGCAAAGAAAGCAATGCCCAGGAATGCTCTCGCCTTGTCCTGGTCCTCTCCTGGCCCTGGAATGCAGAACAGCTTGAGTTCCTTGCAAGTCAGAGCAGAAGAGGCTGGTCAGGAGGAATGAAGGGATGTGGGCTTTTTCATCTTCTGGGCCTGTGAAGTGCCGTGGGCAGGACTGTCCACAGTGGTTAAAAAGCGTGGACTTGGCAGGGCGTGGTGGCTCATGCCTGTAATCCCAGCACTTCGGGAGGCCAAGGCAGGTGGATCACTTGAGGTCGGGAGTTCAAGACCAGCCTGGCCAACATGGCAAAACCCTATCTCCACTAAAAATACAAAAATTAGCCAGGCATGGTTGCTCATACCTTTAGTCCCAGGTACTCGGGAGGCTGAGGCAGGAGAATCGCTTGAACCAGGGAGGCAGAGGTTGCAGTGAGCCAAGATTGCGCCAGCCTGGGTGACAGAGTGAGACTCTGTCTCAAAAAAAAAAAAAAAAAAGAAGGGCAGTTATGCATTTCACCTGGGACACCCAGGGGAGTGTATTATGCAGATGAGTGGATTTGAGTCAGAATTCTTTTGATTGTAAGTGACAGAAGCACTCAATCAAGGTTAAGCCAAAAGGAATGTATTTGGTTTGTTGGGTGAGTTGAAGAACTAGCTGTGGGAAGTACAGGGATGTAGCTGGAAGCTCGGGGATAGCTGCATCTTTACAAAGACCCAAATGCCACCAGGACCATTTCCATCCCCGAGCACTGCTGCTCCGCCGGTGGCTTCCTTCTGCGTTGTTAGCTAGTCCATGTTGTAGGAGGGAAGCACAAGCACAGCCTTTGGACGTGTCCCATTGTGACTTCTCCATCCAGGCACCACTGGGCTCCTCAGCAAATTGCTCTGTGCCAGCTCAGCGGGCACTCCCAAACGTCCCTTCTAATCATTCCCGTCCTTGCCCAGAGGTCCTCTCAGAGCCCAGTCTCTTCTTTTCTGATCTTGTGTTCCCCTCCCCTCTCCTCCCGACCACTCCCACCCACCCAGGCCTCCAGCAAGACTGAGCAGCGCTTTGGCGGCCTACTGGGGCAGACAATTGGAAATGCAGGAGCCATGTCCACCCCAGAAAGGTATCGTTCAAACCCTTATCAGTGAGCCCCTTGCTACCATCAGATCATTGGTGTGGGGCTCACTGCGCTGGCTTCCCAAGCCAAGCAAAGTCTTCAAAACTATCTTGGGGAAATGCTAATGCCCTAGCAGGGAGGAACAGGAAGAAGGTCCCAGTTCCCTTCCCGAGCTGGACCTGGTCTCTGGGTCAGCCTGGGGTTCAAGGAGCAGGAGCTATAACAAGGCTTTTGGGCTTGGAATAAAGGGATAGCTTAAAAAAACACAGAAACACAGCAGCAGCAGCAATAAGACCAGTGCCCCCAGACACAAGGATAGGGCTGAGAGGCAAGAAGGCAAAGGACAAGCCAAAGGCAAAGGGTCTCAACCAGAGAGAGCAGGATGGGAGGGGGCCCACCAGGGGGCAAAGCAAGGTGGAGGGGCCACTGGTGAGGGTCACATAGCAGAGCCAGGGAAGCTCCGCAGGGGTTGAGGACTAGCGGGTGCCTGCAGCCTGACCGTGGGGACATAGCAGCCGATAGGCAAGAGTCCAAGGTGGTTCAGAAAAGTCCACTGGAGGATCACTCCATCCTGCCCACCACATGGGCCTCTGTAAATGCTCTCAGTTGAGCAAAGACTCTCAAGAGATTCTGCCCACTGTTTAAGAATGACCAGGCTCTGGGAGGCCGAGGCGGGTGGATCACGAGGTCAGGAGATTGAGACCATCCTCGCTAACACGTTGAAACCCCGCCTCTACTAAAAATACAAAAAAATTAGCTGGGCATGGTGGTGGATGCCTGTAGTCCCAGCTACTCGGGAGGCTGAGGCAGGACAATGGTGTGAACCTGGGAGCGGGAGGTTGCAGTGAGCTGAGATCATGCCACTGCACTCCAGCCTGGGCAACAGAGCGAGACTCCATCTCAAAAAAAAAAAAAAAAAAAAAAAAATGACCAGGCTCAAAGTGAGCCCTTATTCTGACTGACAACTTCTTTGCACGCTACCCTGCACCTTTGGCTTGCTATGCCCTATTAGCCAATGTAATAATAATAATATAGTAAAGAGAGAGTGAAAGTTTTCTTTTTCCTCTTGGGACCAGCTTTCTTTGGGTCTTTGTGGGTCCCATCTCCTTGACTCTGGGGTCCCCACTGACCTTTCCCCTTTGGAACCATCGTGGGTGCTTATGCCTAGAACCATCTGTTTTACATGGATTATATCCATGTTGGGGGGTGCTTGTTTCTTGTTAGTTTCTATTGTCTATTTTGTGCCTTTTTTTGGACTCTTGAAGGAAACTGTAAGCTTTGCAGACCGTCTTACATCTCTCTCATGTTCCCTATGATGTCCGGCACATCATCGGAGAAGAGGTTGGAGTCTGCAGCTCAGTTTGGAGAGAATATCGTCTGAGGGAGGAAGGTGGGTGTGTTCATGTGTCTGCCTTTGGTCAAAGTAATGTAGTGTAGAAGCCTCCCAGCTAAAGCCAGGCTCACGACCACTCCACCACCAAGTGCCATAGTCACAGAACCCTTAGTGTTTGGCTGGGCACCTGGCCACCTTGAATAAAGACTGCATTTCCTAGCCTCTCTTTGTAGCAAGGTGAGACCCATATGACTACATCCCACCCTAAACTATGTAAGATAATTTGTATAGGTAACTTTTAGTAATTGTCCTTAAATAGAAGGTATTGTTTTCTTTTCCCTTTTCCCCCTAACTGGAATGTAGATGTGATGCCTGGAGCTCCAGCAGCCACTTTGGATCACATGATTATAGGAATGGAATCCCTTTGTGTCACAACAACAAGATAGAAAGCCTAGGTCCCTGATACCATGAGAGCCACACAAGCCATACCTCCCCGCTTCTTGGATATGAGAGAGAATTAAGAATTTTACCTTGTTAAGCTACTATTATTTTGGATTTTTTGTAGCCAAATCTAATCCTATGCTATATCCATGGGTGCCTCTGGGCCTTTCTATCTCTAGTACCATTCCCACTCCTTTCTGTCTCCACCAGCGTGACCCCCATGTAACACAAATCTAGTGACTTCCAACAGCTCTCCATCACCCAAACAATAAGGCTGCCCAAGCACCGTAGTCTTGCACCAGCTCCTTAGTGATGAGGTCCCTTTACTTCTCCAGCCTCGCATCCTCCACTTGCCCTCCACCTCCCTGCCTTGCTGTGATCACACAAAACGATTGGTAGCTCCCCAAGGGGGGCAAGCTCACTTAGGTCTCTGTCCTTTCTCTGCTGCCTGGAGTGTCTTAGGCTCCTTGCCTGCCTGGCCAAATGCCTGCTCACTCTTTAAGGCCCTGCCCAACCATCCTCCCCTTTGTAGTCCATCCAAGCAGGTCTGACAACTCCCATCTGGGTCCCCAGGGTCTCCAGTAACCATATAATAGCACCTAACATCCAGAGCTGCCCCTCTACTCTCTTGCCTGGATTGTGAGCTCTTTAAAGGCAGGGCCTGAAGCTTCTTATTTCTCATTTCCTGGGGTCTGAACAGCGCCCAGCAGACTACAGGTGCCTTTGCTTGCTAGCAGGATGATGATTCCCCTGCACCTGCAGAAATGAGTGGTGTTGATTCTAGAATGCCGCCTCCTAGCTGCTCCTGGAGAGTATCCTGAGCATGCATCTCCTCTCCCGGAGGTGGGCCTGAGGGTGGGCAGATCAAGGCTCAGGACAGGAATTTGGGCGTGACGGAAGCCATACCCTGTGGGACGTGTCTTCAAGATGGCAGAGCAAAGCTAGGACCAAAAACTCCTAGAGAAGACTTAGGGGAAGAAGGGGTGGTGTGTGCGTGTGTGCACCTGTGCACGTGCGTGTGTCTGTGCATGTCCGTGTGTGCATGCGCCTGTGTGTGCATGCTGTGTGTGCGTGCATGCATGTGCTCAAGAATGTGTGTGTGCCTGTGTGCATGTGTGTGTGTGTGTCAGGCATGGGTATGGGTGAGGCTCTGGGCTTGCATATGTGTCTTTCTGGAGAGAGGTGCGTTCGAGGTGTGTGTGGGTGAGGAGATTGGCAGAGACCCTTTGGGCCTTTCTGTGTACATGAGCTGCAGGCACACACGTGTGCATGCTTGTGGGAGAGGTAGGAGTGTAAGATGTGAGGGGTGCACTTGCGTGTGGACTTCTGTGGGTGGGATGAGGGATGCATGCCTTCTGTGTGTGAGGTGGAGGAGTTAGGAGGGATGATCGTGTGTGTGTGTGTGCGTGCACATGTGTGTGTGTGTGTGTGAGAGAGAGAGAGAGAGAAGGAAGAGGAAGATGGGGAGGAGGGGGTGGAATTACAAATGAACAGAGAGAATGCAGGTGAGATCGGCACCTGTGTGACTGGGTGCGGCTCAGGACCTGCGTGGGATCTATAAGTGCTTCCTTAAAGTGACGACAACTGGTTTTCGGGGGCAAAGGGGGTTTTCCGGGCTGCTTGTGCACCAAGGACACATCTCCTGCTATTTCCTGGCCAGTGGGTCAAGTCTGGGCTGGACACCCTGGCAGGAAGGAGGGCTGAGTGCTGCCCCAGTGCTGATTTCCGGGGTGGCTCCTGCCAGCCTCCCTTCCACCTCCCACTTCTGCAGAGCTTCCAGCAGGCAGAGGCTCCCCCTCCTGGGCTGGCAAAGCCAGTGGGAGCTCCATTGGCACAAGGGAGGCTCTCATCATACCACTGTCCCTGGTAGGTGCCTGCCTCCCTCTCCCTGCCCCAGGGTTTCATCTAACCCCTGAACAGCAGTGAAATACTGGACCAGCCACAGCATCAGCAAGACCCAGGACTTCTTAGAAATGGTGCATCTCACCTCCTCCCGAGACCCCAAAGCAGAATCTCTGGGGCAGAGTCCAGCTGTCCACTCGACCAGCTTTCTGTGTCATTATGACACATTCTAAAGTTTGCAAAGCACCATCCTGGACGGCCTCACAGAAGCATCATGGGGTGAAATAACTTGGCCATGGATTCCCTCACTTTTCCATGCACCAAAGGTTTATTGACCACCTGATATCTGCCACGCCCTGGTTTAGGCACTGTGGATATGTCAGTGATCAGAGTAGACAAAAATCCCTGCCCTCGTGAGCTTATGTTCTAGTGAGGGAGATACACAGTGAAGAACACACCAGAATGCTAAGCGTGTCGGGTGTTTGCAGGTGGAGGGAAATAGTCCAGGAAGAGAGGTAGGGGGTGCTTGGCTGGAGTTGCAATGTTCAATGGTCCAGCAAGGGAAGGCCTGGCCAAGAAGGTCAGAAAAGACTGAAGGGGTGACAGGGGTAGCCAAGCAGATATTGATTAGAAGAGAGTTTCAGGTCCAGGTGAGGTGGCCCACACCTATAATCCCAGCACTTTGGGAGTCCAAGGAGGGTAGATCACTTGAGCTCGGGAGTTTGAGACCAACCTGGACAATATAGTGAGAGCCCATCTCTACAAAAAAATACAGAAATTAGCCAGACATAGTGGTGTGCATCTGTAGTCTCAGCTACTTTAGGGAGCTAAGGTGGGGGGATTGCTTGAGCCCGGAGGTTGAGGCTGCAGTGAGCTGTGATCTTGCCACTATACTCCAGCCTGGGCGATAAAGAGAGATCCTGTCTCAAAAAAAAAAAAAAGAGAAAGAAAATAAGAGAGTTTCAGGGGTAGGAAGCAGCTGCCCTGGGGCAGGGAAGCATGCTGGGGGGATCCACGGAGGGGGAAGAAGTGAGAGGTGAGGCCAGGAAAGCACGCAGCCTCTAGTGCAGACCCAGGACTTCGGCCCTGACCTTCTCTTTGCCTCATTTGGAGACAGCCAGCAGCTGAGCCCACTGATGTTGTAAGGCTGCTGTAACCCAGAGGGTGAGAGGGGAGCTATGGAGGGCTCGGATTTCCCGAGATCCTCCTGGCTGCTGGCGGAGACCACAGACCATGTCAATAATTCCAGTGAGAGTTGTCTGTGGCTCGGACGGGGATGGTAGCAATAAAGTGGGTAAGAAGGGATCAGATTCTAGGTGGGTTTTTTGGTTTTGTTTTGTTTTGTTTTGTTTTTGAGATGGAGTCTCACTCTGTCTCCAGGCTGGAGTGCAGTGGCACAATCTCAGCTCACTGCAACCTCCAACTCCCTGGTTCAAGCGATTCTCCTGCCTCAGCCTCCCAAGTAGCTGGGATTACAAGCACATGCCACCATGCCCAGCTGATTTTTATATTTTTAGTAGAGAAAGGGTTTCACCATGTTGGCCAGGATGGTCTCCATCTCCTGACCTTGTGATCCTCCCTCCTCAGCCTCCCAAAGTACTGGGATTACAGGCGTGAGCCACCGCGCCCGGCCCAGTGTTTTATAAAAATTTATTTTAACTGTGGTATAATACACAAGACATAAAATTTATCATCTTAAACATTTTATTTATTTATTTATTTATTTATTTGAGATGGGATCTCACTCTGTCACCCCAGGCTGGAGTGCAGTGGCACGATCTTGGCTCATTGCAACCTCCGTGTCCCAGGTTCAACCTGCCTCAGCCTCCCAAGTAGCTGGGACTACAGGCGTGCTACCACGCCTGGCTAAGTTTTGTATTTTTAGTAGGTGTTTCACCATGTTGGCCGGGTTGGTCTTGAACTCCTGACCTCAAGTGATCCACCTACCTCAGTCTCCCAAAGTGCTGGGATTAGGGGCATGAGCCACCACGCCCAGCCCCATCTTAACCATTTTTCAGTGCAGAGTTCAGTAGTAGCCTTACATACATTCACGCTGCTATGCAACCACCGCCACCTCCCTTCCACAGAACTCTTCATCCTGCAAAACTGTAACCTTGTCTTCGTTAAACACTCACTCTCCGTCTCCCACTCCCCTAGCTCCTGGCAACCCCTCTTCTTCTTTCTGTCTGTAGGAATTTGACTATTCCAAGTACTTCATATAATTGAAGTTGTACAGTATTTTTCCTTTTGTGCCTGGCTTATTTCACCTAGTCTAGTGTCTTCAAGGCCCATCCATGTGGCAGCATGTGGCAGAATTGCCTTCCTTTTAAAGGCTGAACAATATTCCATTGTGTGACTAAGCCACATTCTGTTTATCCATTCATCTATCAGTGGATGTGGATTCTGGATGTATTTTGAAGGTAGAGCCAAGATGATTGGGTTGGGAGAAGGTGGGAAGAAGCAAAGAGCTAAAAAAGATCCTAAGAGGTTTGCTCAGAGCAATGAAGAATGGCACAGTCATTACGAGAATTAGGAAGACTGACGGGGAGTGGCCTTTGGGTGGAGTCAGAAGTTCAGTTCCAGAAGTTAAATGAGTGATGTCTATTAGCTCTTCTGGTGGAGAAGTCAACCAGCCAACTGGGGTTTGGAGCTCAGGGGCTGGGTCTCGGTGGAGATGTATGTTTGGGATGTGTCGGTGTAGACATGTGTGTGGTATGTAAACCATGAGATCAGATGGACTCCCCAAGGAACAAGTACAGAGGAGAGAAAACGTCAAGGAACTGAGCCCTGGAAGCCTTCGATGAGGAGGAGTCAGGGAAGGGGCTGGAGAGTGAGTGTCTGGGAGGGATGTATCCTGAAGGACAGATGAAGGTCGTGCTTCGAGGAGGAGGAATTAATCAACTGTATCTGATGGCAGATAGGTCAAAAAAGACCATCCTGGCCAGGCACAATGGTTCATGCCTGTAATCCCAGCACTTTGAGAGGCTGAGATTGGTGGATCACTTGAGTCCAGAAGTTCAAGACCAGCCTGAGCAACATGGGAAAACCCCATCTCTACCAAAAATACACAAATTAGCCAGGCATGATGGTGGCACCTTGTAGTCCTGGCTACTCAGGAGACTGAGGCGGGAGCATTGGTTGAGCCCAAGAGGTCAAGGGTGCAGTGAACTGTGATTGCGCCACTGCACTCCAGCCTGGGTGACAGAGTGAGCACCTCTCTCACAAAAACAAACAAACAAACAAAAACAAAAACTGTCCTGAGGGCCGGCATTGAATTTAGCAATGTGGGGACTACTGGTGACGCCGATGACAGCAGTTTCAGTGTAGTGGTTGAGGCAAAAGTCTGATGGACAGGTTAAAAAGAGGATGGGTGGGGGGCCAGGCACGGTGGCTCACGCCTGTAATCCCAGCACTTTGGGAGGCCGAGGAGGGCACATCACGAGGCCAGGAGATCGAGACCATCCTGGCTAACACGGTGAAACCCTGTCTCTACTAAAAATACAAAAAATTAGCCGGGCGTGGTGGCGGGTGCCTGTAGTCCCAGCCGCTTGGGAGGCTGAGGCAGGAGAATGGTGTGAACCCGGGAGGCGGAAGTGAGACTCCATCTCAAAAAAAAAAAAAAAAAAAAAAAGAGGATGGGAGGGAAGGAGCCCTAGGCAGTGAATATAAAACTGGGCAGTAGCAGGAGGGTTTGAGGGGGCCAGAAAAGCTTTTATTCTGCTCTGTTCCTTTTTGAGATGGGAAACGAACCATGCAAGAAGAGTCTAGCAGAGGGAAACTCAGCGATACGGGGAAGAGGGAAGGGTGGCTGGGGCCAAGGCCTTGAGTGGGGTCTTGGGATCCAGGAAACAGGAGGGGGACATGGACAGGCCATCCTCAGTGACAGGAGGGATGATGGCACAGGTGACACGGATGTCAGCAGAGAGGTGGCTGCTTCAATTTCCTCAGTGAAGGAACACGAAGATCAGTCTGCTGAGATGGAGAAGGTGTTGGGGGCTTGAGGCCAGAAGAGAAAAGTCCAAGCTAGTGACCAGGTGGCCGGGGGCTGAACAGGCTGAGACACAGAGCCCGACCACCAGCAGCTCTGAGGACCCATTGGCGGCCCCGGCTATGACCGCAAGGTGGTGAGTTCAGCAGGGCTGGAGGTGTGCCCGGTGAGTGTGCAGAGGTGAGAGGCAGAGCCTGGGTACAGGGGCGGGAGTCCAGGCGTGGACCACTGCGTGCAAACCACACAAGAGCTGCACGGAGCTGGGGTGAGAAACTGGAGCTCCTTGCTCCCAGACCTGAGTTCTTTTTCCGAGACACCATGAAGCTGCCTTACTAAAGCTCTGGGACAGTCAAACCCACTCTTCACCCACTGGTGTCCACAGGTGGGCGTGAGGCACATGTAACAGTTTGAGCATCCTTGGTGGCCTCTGCCCCGTGACAGCCCGGGTGCAAGCATCTAGATTCTGGGAACTTGCAGCTTAGCAAGGGGGTGCCAAGGGCTGTCCCAGCTCTAACAAAGGGCCTGACACACACGGGTTGCACGTTAGTGTAATCCATATCTGTTGAATGAATAATGAATGAACCGATTTTTGGCCTCAAAATTTCCATTTAATGGTTTTCAATCTTTTGTATCTGTAGCAGTTTTAAATAATTAAATTTTGGGCAATTTAATATTAAATTCCTGTCCAGGTGCAGTGGCTCACACCTGTAATCCTAGCACTTTGGGAGGCCGAGGTGGGTGGATCACCTGAGGTCAGGAGTGCGAGACCAGCCTGCTAAAAATACAAAAATTAGCCAGGCATGGTGGCACATGCCTGTAATCCCAGCTACTCAGGAGGCTGAGGCAGGAGAATCGCTTGAACCAGGGAGGTGTAGGTTGCAGTGAGCCAAGATCGCACCACTGCACTCCAGCCTGGGAGGCAGAGCAAGATTCCGTCAAAAAAAAAAAAAAATTAAATTCCCACTTGAAGAAGTTAAAAATGTGAAACTAAATACGTGAGCACCATTCACAACATAATCCCCAGTGCTGTAGAGCTGTCTCCCAGTGTCACTAAAAGTTTCCGCAATTATCATCATTCATTTTTGTCGCCCTCAATGCTGTGATAGAAGTCTACCCCTCCCTGCTCTCATACTGCAACGTTAACCCCTTTCTCAGGGGTCAGGATCTAAAAGTTAACATCTAAGGAGAAAATGCAGCTTGATGAGATTTACCCTTGAACATAATTGAATGTGTCTAATAAGTGCAAAATTCCTGCTTTGCACACGCCATTCTCTGCCCTGAGATGCATGTTCAGTATGCTCTGAAATGTGCGGCACACAATTAAACATTATTATGCAAAGTAAGAGTTACAGTATTTTTGACAGTGAAAGGGCAAAGGGTTGGAATCCACTTAAATTCTCAAATCAGGCAATTCCCTTGTAAATTTATAAAGCAAAGGTCTTGTATATCTGGGCTAACTCACCATTCCTCTGTCCCCGCCAACCTGACCCAAGACCCACTCACCTCAATTATCTGCTCAGTCTGGGCAGAGGTGGTGGAGGGGAGATGAACACCTAACCCCAGGTCATTGGAGGGAACCTCTTTAGGTTGCATGAATCCAAAACAATTGCTTCATCTAAAATTCTGGAGCCACACACCCTGAGTTGAAAAAAGAGACTATCACTTAAGCTCAAACATCAATGACTGCTGAGGGTGGGGTGTGGAGCCCAGTCCCCATGTCTCTGCATTATAGATGCTATTTGTATGAATGATCTAAAGCAGAAGAGACTCCCAGGAAGTGGACCTCAGACTCCAAAGGGACAGTGACCAGCTGTCAGAGTCTCAGAGTTCACGTGGACAAGCTGCCCCCACAGACAGAGCATAACCCTGCATCTCAAATGTGCACAGATGACTGTTTTCACAGTTGGGTAGAAGCTGTTGTGATGAATAAACTACACATTTATTCCACAGTCCAATGAAATCCAATAGTAAATTTTAGTGGGTTTGTGTGTTCTCAAGCAGCACCTACTAACCATATAATCGCTTGGATGTGGGCCTTGTAAGAACAAGGTCTGCACCTTCTAAGTTCAGAAAGCTCAAAAGCTCTGGTCCAGATGTTGTAGCAAAGCAATCTCTTAACCAGGCCTTTCACCCTTTTCCCCACCAGGAAGTCAAGGCCACTGTCCCTTTAGGGTCTGTGTTTCCAGCTGAGAGCTTCAGCAGACAGAAGAGCAGATGAAGCTGGGGAGAAGTGGAAATCTCATTATCCAGGCTGCCAGCATGCTGATTTCCACTGTCTCCCATGGAGGGGTCCCAGGGAAGGTGGGAAGGACCCACTCTTGGTCCGGATGGTGTCCCCATGCTCAGAAAACAACTTGGCTTTCTTCAGTCTTGGGAATCCCAGCTTGAGCTTCCCAATTTCTTACATTGTGTCTGCTCTTCCTGATCTCATTTCCAATCAGGTTTTATAAGCAGATCCTTAGGATTTGGAAATGTATAGTCTGGGCTAAAAATGGCAATTGGCAAGTGACTGATTAGGGACATTTGGCACTGGCAGCGTGTTGGTGAGTTACATCTGCCTGCTATGAAATCCCATCCTGGTCCTGGTCACCGTCTGGTCAGCCTCCTCCAGCCGCCATCCAGTCTCAAGTCTCCAAGTGGATCAGAAAAAGACCTGTTTCTCCAGAATGATGAGGAATTAGGCCGTGAGATGAATTCTGGAGAACAATTGCACATGGTAACTTCTCTGAAAATTCTACTTTGGGAGGTTATGTTTGTATAATCACTTCTCCATTACTTCCCCCTTGACTACTAAATCATGATGCACAAACTTAGTAAGAAGTACTCAGAGTCATACGTATAACTCAGATTTGTTGTGAAGTAGCTTTCAAAGGATGAAACATAGTTGTATGAAAGGAGGATTTTGGCTGGGTGCGGTGGCTTATGTCTGTAATCCCAGCACTTTGGGAGGCTGAGGCAGGCTGATCACTTGAGGTTGGGAGTTCAAGACCAGCCTGGCCAACATAGTGAAACCCCATCTCTACCAAAAAACACAAAAATTAGCCAGGCATGGTGGCATGCACCTGTAGTCCCAGCTACTCAAGAGGCTGAAGTGGGAAAGTTGCTTCAACCCGGGAAGCAGAGGTTGCAGTGAGCCAAGATCATGCCACTGCACTCCAGCCTGGGCAACCAAGACCCTGTCTAAAAAAAAAAAAAGGGAAAAAAAAAGAAAATGGCTGGGTGCAGTGGCTCATGCCTGTAATCCTAGCACTTTGGGTGGCAGGTGGATCACCTGAGGTGGGTGAATCACCTGAGGTCAGGAGTTCAAGACCAGTGAAACCCCATCTCTACTAAAAATACAAAAATTAGCTGGGCATGGTGGTGTGCGCCTACAGTCCCAGCTACTCGGGAGGCTACAGGAGAATCATTTGAACCCAGGAAGCGGAGGTGACACCACTGTACTCCAGCCTGGGTAACAGAGAGACTCCGTCCAGAAAAAAAAAAAAGGAGGATTTTATTGCATTTAACGGATGACACTGGCCTCCCCAGGTGCAGAGAAAGAGCACTGGAGTGGGAATCAGGAGACCCCATTTCTCTTCAGGTTTATCATTCCTTGTGTGATCCTTTAATACTCAATTAACCACTCTGGGCCCGAGGGGGAGTGAGGGGTGGGAGTTGGTTTATGGTCACCAGGGCCATTTTCCAGTCTTCCTTGTCAACTCCGTGCCTGGACAAGAAAACATGCATAGTCTTGAGTTTTTGGAGTCCCCAGGGCATTGCACCCCAGAACTTTAGGGACCCAGGAGCATGACCTTAAATAATAACCAATCTCCCAATGAGAAAATTATTCTCCTCTCAGTGTCTTTCAGGCCCTTTAATTAACGCAAGCCTCAGTCTTGCTTTTTTATCTCTCATACCCCAGCCACACTTTCTGATCTCCCCCTTGTAACAAACACAGAGCCAGGCCTGAGGTCCAGAAGAAATCAAACCATGTGATTTGGTGTTGCGTGGATTAGTCTTATGGCTATCTTCTACTTTTTTGGTGCATGATATTGGATTTCCATTTACTGTAGGAGGTGGCAAAAGATTTTTCTTTTAAATGAAATGTATCTTAGCAAACAAGTTGATTTACAGGAAAAAGGTTGATATTAAGATCACAAGTGATACCTAGATGTTGCAAAAAATATGGCATGTGCAGGCATAGATCTACGTGAAGTTTAGATATTTTTATTTATTTATTTAGGGGATGTTTACTGATTTATGGCTTAAGAACACTCATCGTACTGCCTCTGAATTGCAGGGGGTTATGCAAGGAATTGTATCTCTCTTGTGTATCTGCGGATGTGGAATACACCCCGAGTTTTGAGTTTCTGCCGGCTCAATCCCTGCAATTGCTGGATCTGGACACCAGAGGGAGCGTCTCCCTTTGCGTCTGAGGAGGCGACCTTGACCATGGCTCCGTGCCACATTTCACATGCATGTGAATTAAGCCGCCATTTTCTGAACCTAATCACAACCCTTATTGTTAATGGAGTCCACAAATGTCCCCTGCCATTCATGTCTCAACCCAAATGTCACGTCTTCAGGCCTCCCCTGAGTCTCCTCCACCTGATCCCATTGCATCTTCATCATTGCACTACGCCTGTGATGGGTGTGTGTTCTGTGGTTCTTGCATTCCATCCTCTCATCCCCACGCCAGAAGATAAGCTCCTCAAGGGCCGGGGCTCTGCCTAGAACAGCCTCTGGCATGCAGTAGCCACTCAATAAATATCACTCAATGGCGGAGTGAGTGACCCTTCAACGAAAACTCAGTTGCAGGCGGCACGCAAATTGTGCCAGGACGGAAATTAGGTCAGACAAATCTTATTCCAAATCTGAGGATCCTTCACATGTTGGCCTCCTGGTTTGGGGCAAGTTATTTGGATTCTCCAAGACTCTGTGTTCTCATGTAAGCAGTTGGGGAAAATAGCCACTGTTTCATCAGGCCGTTCTCTACCTGGTAGAGAAAGACATTAGGCCCTTGTGAACTGGTCTGTCTGGATTGGGAGAAGTTTGGAGTTGACCGTTTTTGTTGTTGTTGTTGTTGTTTTCTTTGAGACAGAGTCTCACTCTGTCGCCCAGGCTGGAGTGCAATGGTGCGATCTTGACTCACTGCAACCTCCGCCTCCTGGGTTCAAACCATTCTCTTGCCTCAGCTTCCCAAGTAGCTGGGATTACAGGCAACTGCCACCATCCCTGGCTAATTTTTGTATTTTTAGTAGAGACGGGGTTTCACCATGCTGGCCAGGCTGGTCTCGAACTCCCGACCTTAGGTGATCTGCCTGCCTCGCCCTCCCAAAGCGCTGGGATTACAGGTGTGAGCCACCACACCTGGCAGGAGTTGACTGTTTTTATGAAAAACCGTGCTCATCACCCCTGCCCCCTTTAAAAAATGCCAAGTAACGGGCACAACAGTTATCGCCTGCATTTTCACCCCAACCATAGCCTCCACCCCTTATGTTCTTCCACTCTCCTGCTTGCTATCCTGGGCTCCTCTTAGTTTCTCAAGCCCACCTCAGAGCCTTTCCCATGACAGTCCCATGAAATCCTCTGTCCAAGACCTTTCCTTGGGGAGCCCTCACTCATTCATCCAGGACTGGGCTTAAGCATCATTTCCTCAGGGAAGCCTTCCCTGACCACAGACCCCACTGGTCAGCAAACCCTTTAGGTCCCCTGTTCAAATTCGTATTTATTTACTCAATGTCTAGCATTCCCATTATTTGTTGAGTGATAACGTGCTGGTGGAAAATATCTCAACGTTGACGTGGTTTGGCTTTTAGCCATGGACAGGCTCCAGGGCGCCAAGATGGGCTGCATCAGAACAGCGGGGGAGTTTGCTCTGCCCCAGAATATGCCAGAACCTGCCAGAGCCTGCATCTGTGCACTGAGGGTTTCCATGCCAACCAGCTGGGCCCTAGTGAGGGGCACTTGATTCCCTAAATGGCCCCCCAAGTCAATGACAGGTGTGCCTCTCTGAAGTCGGGAAACTTGTTTTGAAGTCATGGCTGGTGAATTCATAGAGCTGGATCTTTACTGTTTAGAAATTCATTCTCAAAGGCAGAAAGACTACAGGAAGTGAGCAGCACATTCCCAGATCCAGGGGCAAGAGCTGAAAAAATGGGAACTCTGCCAGCAGTAACTTGCTATCAGCGAGTCCTCTCCCACAGTCCCAGACACAGGGGCTCAAACCCTGTGCCCGGGGCCTGCCCCCTCCTGGCCTCTCCTTCTGTCATGGCCCTTCTCTGACCCCTTCCTTGTTCTTAGATTGTACTGGCACTAAGCGAAAGCTTTTGGAGGCGATTGCTAGATTCTCCACATTTTTCTTCTCCTTAGCTAGAGAAGGTGAAATTTCCTAATGATCTACAATGTTCTCTGGCTACAGCCATGCCTCTGTACATGTTTGTAGCTTAATTATCAGCCAGAGCCTCCTGATGGCAATGTCCTCCCGGTGGGACACACCTGCTCTGCATTCAGAAGCTTGGCATTTGGGGTGTGTGTGTGTGTGTGTGTGTGTGTGTGTGTGTGTGTGTATTGCAGCTATCTTTTTTTTTCCCTAAAAATTTTCTGTCCAGGTAAGTGTGTTTGAACTGCAGTGGGTTTTTGGTGTTTCTTCTTTTAAAAAAATCGATTTAATTTTAATTATCTTTGGTTAATTTTAATCATCTTTGGGGCTTCTGTTAGTCCTCTGGCACTGCTGCAACACAGTACCATAGTCTGGGTGGTATCTAAACAACAGACATTGTTTCTCGCAGTTTTGGAGGCTGGAAGTCTGAGATCAGGGTGCCTACGTGGTCCGGGGCTGCTAAGGGCCCTCTTTCGGGCTAAAGACGGCTGGCTTCTCTTTGTATTCCCACTTGATGGAAAGAGGGGTCCATCTTTGGGGTCGCTTTAATAAGGGCAGTAACCCCATTCGTGACCCAGTTGCCTGCTAAAGGCTCCATCTCCTAACACTGTCACACCAGGGGTTAGGATTTCAACACAGGAATATTGCAGGGACATTCACATTCAGTCCATTGCAGGCTCCTCTCCCAGAGGAAATCCCCTTCTCTCATAGAGCACGTACCAATGACTTCAACCAAGAAGCAATGTAGGAATGGCCTCTCTTTCTGTCAAGGCGTCTATGTGTGGGTCCATGCCGGCCGACTTGCATCCCTCCCCTCTGCCCTCACTGCTGCCCCCAGGAGCTGGGCCAAGATTGTCCCGGGGATGATTCCCCCTCTCCCCAGACTCCCTAGGGTGTGGCCTCTGAGCCTGGCCATGAATGCTGCCATTGCCTCCCTCTGCCTTTTGAGGACACCAGGAATCGGCGGGCGGGGCTTCTGTGTTCTGAGTGGGCAGAGGCAGGTGACGCTGCTTCATGCCATCCCTGCCCTCTGCTCCACGCCTGCCAGCTCCAGAACCTTTCCTGACTCCCCTCCACCATCCATCTATCCACCCTATGGCCTCTGCTTAGTCTCTGCTCTTGCTCAGTTCTTTGAGTCAAAGCGTCCTGCTGGATTCTGGATTTCCTTTCCAGCTTCCCATTCTGCAGCCTGAAAGCCTTGATGTGATTAGGCTTTATGTCCCCACTCAAATCTCATCTTGAATTGTAATCCCCATAATCCTCACCTGTCAAGGGAGAGACCAGGTGGAGGCAATTGAATCATGGGGGTGGTTTCCCCCATGCTGTTCTCTGATAGTGAGTGAATTCTCGCGAGATATGATGGTTTTATAAGGGGCTCTTCCCCCTCGCTCGGCACTTCTCCTTTCTGCCCGCCTTGTGAAGAAGGTGCCTTGCTTCCCCTTTGCCTTCCACCATGACTGTAGGTTTCCTGAGGCCTCCCCAGCCATGCTGAACTGTGAGTCAATTAGACCTCTTTCCTTTATAAATTACCTAGTCTCGGGCAGTTCTTTATAGCAGTATGAAAACAGGCTAATACACCCACCCTGCTCCAACTGCATCTCCATCTTCATCTCGAGTTCCCAGCCCCAGCATGTTGCTTCTTAATAATTTGCCGATTACACAAACTGTTAGTCCTTGGCTTGGTCTGTGATGAAAGAAACTCCTCTGTTGAGACACAGACCTTTCAAGAACTGTGAAGGTATTAGCTGACATTTACTTTACTCTTACTCTGTGCTGGGCACTGGCTAAGAATCTTATAGGGCTGTCTTCCTTGAATCCTCTTGCAGCTCATAAAGTTGATTCTTATTATCCTTTTGTTAAGTTAGGAGGAAGAGAGAGGTGAGGTGAGTAGCTGGGACCCCAGAGCTAGCACATGGCAGAGCCTTAAACCAAGTCCAGTCCTCTGACTTCAGAGCTTCCAAAATTAACTGAGAGATGTGCTGTGTCCTGAGAGCTGAACTTCTCCACGTGGCTTCGGTCAGTTTCTCACACCTGTGTTTGGACGGATCTGCTTTGAGATTGCCTACACTATGCTACGTTACAATACACGATGAGGTGCAGGGTTGATGCAGACAAAGCAGAGGGCTGGTCTCCATCTTCACAGTCTCGTGTGGGTTGAGAATTAGCAGGTCCTGGCCTTAGGGGGCTGCCCTCCAGCCCCCTGGCCCCACCTGGGCTCCCGAGTGGCCCCGACTCCTGTCCCAGCCCAGCCTCTCTCCCTACTCCTTCCACCATCTGTACTACTGCTCAGCAGACTTTTCTCAGAAATGAAGCTGGCTTGCCTGACCTCTGCCTGAAATGTCTTTTGGCTCCCTATTGCCTGTTGGATGAGGTTCACAATCCTTCGTCTGGAGTTCAAGGGTCTTTTGTCTCTGGCCCCAACATATGTCTCTGGTCTTTAAGCTCCAGCCTTAGGGAACTTTGCATTCCCAAACACGCCAAGTTTCCCTAAACCTGTGTGGCACGGCATAGTGTCCCCTCCCACCTGGGAAACTCCCATTCATCTTTTCCCTTTGCGAAGAGTCCCATCAGTCTTGCTGGTCACTCCCTCCTTTGGTCCACTGTGAGTCTCAGTACCGACCTCCATTGTGGCCCTTGAATGGTAGCGATGCATTGTTGTGGATTCTGGTGGGGATGAATGTGTTAGGCTGTGTAGGAGAATGTCCTTTTGCAGGAAACACACACTAAAGAATTTAAGGATAATGGGGCACCAAGCTGGCAACTTACTAGCCCAGAACCACGGTTCCCAAGCCATGTTTCGAGGTGCCCCAGGGCACTACAGTAAACTCTCAGAAATGCCATAGGATACTTTATTTTATTATTTTATTTTATTTTATTTTATTTTGAGACAGAGTCTTGCTCTGTCGCCCAGGCTGGAGTGCAGTGGTGCAATCTCAGCTCTCACTGCAACCTCCGCCTCCTGGGTTTGAGCGATTCTCCTGCTTCAGCCTCCAGAGTAGCTGGGATTACAGGCACACACCACCATGCCCGGCTAATTTTTGTATATTTAGTAGAGACGGGGTTTCACCATGTTGGCCAGGATGGTCTCGATCTCCTGACCTCATGATCCACCCACCTCGGCCTCCCAAAGTGCTGGGATTACAGGCATGAGCCACTGTGCCCGGCCAGAATACCTTAAATGTTTGACGGAAACACAGCAACATCTACCAGCCTACCACTATTCAGCCTCCCTGAGAATGGCCTCTCCAAAACCTGACAAAGAAGTGGCCATTCTCAAGTCATTTAATCAGGGCAGACTGCATAGAGGGGAATGTGTGATGTGGTTGTTTCATGGCTTTGGAGCAGAGGGAACGCACAGGGGCCAGAAGAATAACAACATGAATATTCACGACTTCCAGATTTGTGTCCAAAAAAGGAAGATGAAAGAGTGGCTTCTGGAGGGGGGTGGGCAGATGCTACATGTGGATGTTATTGCCGGAAACGATCCCTGTGACCCTACACTGGGGCCTGGGGCCTTCCACACAGCAGAGCCTGTGCAGCTCCTGGGTGGAATGAGGACCGAGGCACAGAATCCTAACTACAGATGCTCCTTGTCTTACTATGGGATTACGTCCCAATAAACCTGTTGTAAGTTGAAAATATCATATATTGAAATGCATTTTTATTATTTATCCTTTTAATAAATCATTAATTAGAGACAGGGTCTCACTATGTTGCCCAGGCTGGTCTTGAACTCCTGAGCTCAAGTGATCCTCCTGCCACGGCCTCCCAAAGTGCTGGGATTACAGACGTGAGCCACCATGCCCTGCTGAAAATGCATTTAATACACCTAATTCGCTGAGCATCATTGTTTAGCCTAGCCTGCCTTAAACATGCTCAGAGCACTTACATTAGCCTACAGATGGGCAACATCATCTAATACAAAGCCTGTGTTATGATTAAGTGCTGAATATCTCATGTGGGAGTATTGCACTGTGCATCCCTAGCGGGGGAAAAGATCAAAATTCAAAATTCCAAGTATGGTTTTGACTGAATGTGTATCACTTTCACAGCACCGTCGTAAAGCAGAGAAATCATAAGTGAACCAACGCAAGTCGGGGCCTGTTTGTACTTGATAAATAGAATTGTTGGGTGCTTTTGGCCTAGGAGTGCTGTGAAGAAGTTTCTGAGACCTGAGGGTGCCATTTACCATAAAAGCCTGGGAGCCCTCCTTTACAAAGGAGTTCTTTGTTCTGGACTCGCAACTTTTCTGTAAGTTTGTTTCTATAGGATTGTTTCAGAATTAAATAGGAAGCACTGGAGGCTGATTTCTAGTCCTTTTGGAGGTTCTTTGTAGATAGAAGTTTCTTCTGCCTTCCAGGGCAGCCACAGTTGCCAAGCATGGTGGGTGGACAGCTAAGGCTTAGGAGGCAGGCTCCTGAAACTATCCTCACCGGCCACCTTATTATAGGTTCTTCTCCATTTCCACCAGCAGATGGGAGTTATCCTAAAGAAAATGTGTGCTACACAATGTCCAAACTATGTATGGAATCGCTTGTCCCATTCTGTTCCAGGAAAATATGTTAAAGAAGAGGAAAATAATAAATTGGCCATAAGAGGGCAGAATTGTTAGCTTTTTTCCCTGATAAAATTGGGTAAGCATATGAATTTGGGGGAAAAAAATGACTCTTCGCAGGTGCAAGTTCTATGTTCAATGGTCAAAGGTATAATTTGGTAAAGGGGTAAATGTAAAGTATTGACTTCTGGCTCCCCAAACCAATTTTCCATGCACAGGCTGGTGAAGACAGCTTAGGCACTACTGACCTGCAGATCACCTGTGCATTGGAGATTACAGGTTTAGGACATTTTCTTAACAAACAAAATGAGCAAATACACGAAGCCCACGTCAAGAAACATAATAGTCCCTGGCATTTGGTGCTGGAGTTTTTAATCAATTCTGGAAATTATACTTTAAAGAGACATTGCAATCTGGAGGTTCTACAGAAGACAGTGAGCAGGATGATGAAACATCCCTGAAGCACATCACCCACAGGAGGGAAAAGAGGGAGGGGACATGGTTGGCCACTCAGTGAGGACAGGTAACTACTCTCAGGGGCTAAGTTGAAAAGCAGGGTCTATTTGGTGTGGTTCCTAAGGGCAGAGCAAAATCAGTAGATTGAAGTGACTTGAAGCAGACAGAATTGCATGCAGGAAAGGTCAGCTGCTTGGAGCTGTCTGATTCCAGAACCACTTCTGCGTGGAAAAGTCAACATGACATTGGGAACATCAAGCACAGGCTGCCTGAGATGCCGGCACAGGGCGGCATCTGCCTGGCATGTGAAATCCGTGCAGGTTGAGTTGCCGCCGTTGAAGGCTGGGGAGCACCACCTACTCAGCCTCCCCTACTCAGCCTCCTCTTCTCAGCCTCCTCTTCACCTCCTCCTCACACTCTTCCCTCCAGGGACCCCATGAATGTCCCAGGGTCCCTCGGAGCCTCGTGTGAAAAACATTGAATCCCAGCCCCACCACTCATTAGCTGTGTAACCTTGGACAAGTGATCTCTTTAATCCTGTGAGATGGGGACCCATGATTGATGTGCTTAGGTGCAGTCATGTTCACAAAAGGCCTGACCTGGTGCCTGGCACTGCATGAGCTGCCCAACCTTACCCCTCATCAGCAGAGCCGGGATGAGGAACTATAACCCAGCCTGAGTCCTTTCCTCACTCCTTGGCCAAAAGAAGGGGAGAGTGGCCCTCGGGCAGGCAAAAACTAAAGTTGTTCCTTATGACATGCTCCTGCGGCTGCCTGCAATTTCTCTCAACTTAGGCTCACCTGCAAGCAATCCTGGGCGACATCATCCGCACTTATACAATTATAGTGATAATATGTTGCAGGTTGGATTCTTCAGAAAGCGGGCAAGGAGAAAGAGCTGGCAGGGGATTGGGGATGTCCTGGAGCCAGGCACTTGGGAAAGGAAGGGTGGGAGGAGCGATGGGTGGAGGGCGGGGGGATCCCGGCTGCAGAGCAGGCCCCACTCCTAGGGTGTGCTGGAGGCAGACCAGCCCTTCAGAGTTATCCTGAGTTGCCTGAGATTGCCACGACTTTGTTTCCAGCCCACTGGTCCCTGGATATGGACTGCCCAGGGCAGGGCATGACCAAGGGCGAGGTGGCGCTCTGCAGCTGAGGCAGCTCCCAGGGTAAGGGCTGATGGCTGAGGGTCACCTGAGGACAGTCCTCCCAGTAGCCCAGAGTGACATGGCCTTGACAGCAGGGACATCCGGGTGGGCTCACAGCATCCACCGCATGGTGATCACGGGAG
Organism: Homo sapiens; assembly: GCF_000001405.40. Lineage (NCBI taxonomy): Eukaryota > Metazoa > Chordata > Mammalia > Primates > Hominidae > Homo > Homo sapiens. Next base: position 66,898,596 of record NC_000017.11, on the reverse strand, counting down.
TCATCGACAGCAGAATCATGGCTTCTCTGCTCCCTGGACAGCTTCTTGAGGACAAAGGGGCAAGACCTGGGCTTGACTGCTGTCTCCACCCAGTTCCAGCCCAGAATGTGGCTCCTGGGAAGGCCCTTTATGGCTGTAGCCCCAGTGATATCCCTAATGGGCACCTGTCACATGCATCCTTTGCATAACGTGTGATGTTGATAGCCTGACACAGAGGCAGGCATCATGCGGAGATGGAGGCTCAGAGAAGGGGACTGATCCGCCTGTCAGAGCGAGGAGCGGGCTGCTGCCAGGACGGGCCCCATTTGCTGCAGGACACAGGCTCCTGCAATCATGTGCCCAGCCTGGCCAGCCTGGCTGGAGTGATGCTCAGATCTGTGCTTGGGGCACCCCCTTCCTGGGCCTCTCACCTCCCCCATGACCTTGTGTCCTCATGCCAACTTGCCAGGAAGCTGGCCTCTGCTGGCACCTCACCCCTCCTCGATCCCCACTGTTCTGCTCTCCTGCAAGGGACCCTGGCCCAAACCTGGCCCTGGGCACAGGCCACCCCGAGCAGGGAGATAACGGAGCTCCCTGGAACAGAGCAGCCTTCAAAAGCCATGGTGCCATGGGCAGGTACTTTGAGGTGAAGCGTCTCTAGAGAGACAGAGGAAGATATTGGGGAGAAGAACATTTGGAGCAGCAAGTCAGAGCAAAAGGCAAAGGTCAGAGGTTGCTCAAGCCCAGGCGTTCATATCCTCAAGCCCAGTGACCGCAAGGCAAGTTACATGGCCTCTCTTGGACTCAGCTTGCTAATCTGTCCAATGGGAACAACAGCATTTCCTTCATCAGGTTGTAAATCGAGTTTCATACGTAAAGGGCCTGGCACTTAGGTGTTGAAGAAATCTTAGCTCCCATGATTTTATCATTTCCCAGGGAAACAAAGAGGTTCTGGGAGCTTGCTTGAGGCCCCTTTGCTCTGCAGCATCTTGCAGAGAAGGAAGGAGGAAGGACCACAGGAGCAGCGACAGCCCTGTGTTTGGGGGGGGAACAAAAACACCCTGAAAGTTCCAGATTGAGCTACTGTATGGGAATAATTATGGCTGCTATTTTGGTGCATTTGTTTAATAACGTTAATTTGCCGACAGCCTGATATTATAACATCCTCTCCCACACGGAGGTGGCTTGAGTTCTCTATTCACCAGAATCCATTTGCATTTCTTCTATGGGGTTTGGGGCTCAGGAGCTGGTGACTCACAGCTGGCGGGGGCCTCCAGGAAAGGCCCCTCTCCACGTGGGAGCAGAAGTGGGGGTGTTAGCTCCCGGCAACATCGCTCTGTGCCAAGGCAAACTTGAAACCCTCCCAGCCTCCCTGGGAATGGCCTCTAGCCTTGCCCTGGGCCTCTCCAAAACCTGGCAAAGAAGTGGCCATTCTCGAGACATTGAATCAGGGCAGACTTCTTAGAGGAGACGTCTCAATGTGGTTGTTTCATGGCCTTGAAGCAGAAGAAAAACACAGGAGCCAGAAAGGATAAGGACACAAATATTCACGACTTGGAGATTTGTGAAAAATGAAGATGAGAGTGACTTCTGAGGATGGGGGGCTGGCAGAATGTTACAGGTGGATGTTTTTGCTGGAAACGGTCTCCATGTCCATGCACTGGGGCCTGGGTGCATCTGTAGGGCAGTTGTGTGCAGCCACAGGGTGGAATGAGGACCAAAGTAGAGAAACTTGAGAGCAGTTGAAGGGCGGTTTCTCAGAACAGCAGTACTCCAGCTCATAATGAAGAAAGAATGGTGTTAGAACATCACCTCTGCGCAACCACTAACAGCGTAATGAACCTGGGCTGTGACTATTAATGACTGCTAACTTCCCGGAAGACAGATAGCCACGGCCGGGCGCGGTGGCTCATGCCTATAATCTCAGCACTTTGGGAGGCTGAGGCGGGAGGATCACTTGAGGTCAGGAGTTCGAGACCAGCCTGTCCAACATGGTGAAACCCTGTCTCTACTAAAAATACAAAAATTAGCTGGGTGTTGTGTGGCCATCTGTAATCCCAGCTACTTGGGAGGCTGAGGCAGGAGAATTGCTTGAACCCGGGAGGCGGAGTTTGCAGTGAGCCGAGATGGCGCCACCGCACTCCAGCCTGGATGACAGACCGAGACTCCGTCTCAAAAAAAAAAAAAAAAAAAGAGACAGCCAGATGGCCAGGTGTCACATGTCTCCTGAAGGAGTTTCACTGTCAACAAGTCAGACCTGCAACCAATCAAGCTTCTAGATCCGTCTACCAATTCACAGGAAATGCAATGGAGGGAAACATTCACCAACCCCAGGGTGATACAGTCAGAACATTCCGGGCTATGGGCCGACTGATAGTGGGTAAGGCTGAGAAACTCAAGGATGAAATGTAAGAGACCTGAAAGCAATTGTGAGGCCAGGATATTACATGGGTCTTGATAAACAGGAAAGCACCGACACATATGCATGTTTTAGATAATAACTAGGAAAATCGGCCAGGCTCAGTGGCTCACACCTGTAATCCCAGCACTTTGGGAGGCTGAGGCGGGTGGATCACGAGGTCAGGAGTTCAAGACCAGCCTGGCCAATATGGTGAAACCCTGTCTCTACTAAAAATACAAAAATTAGCCGGGTATGGTGGCGGGTGCCTGTAATCCCAGCTACTCGGGAGGCTGAGGCAGAGAATTGCTTGAACCCAGGAGGCGGAGGTTGCAGTGAGCCAAGATTGCGCCGCTGCACTCCAGCCTGGGCGACAGAGTGAGACTCCATCTAAAAATAATAATAATAATAATAAGGAAAATCTGAACATTGAACTGGACATTTGAGGACATCAAGAAACTATTGTTTTAAGTGTATTATTGGCATTGTGATTTTAAAAGAATCCTGATTTTTTGCCAATATGGCGGGAAATCATTGCAGAAGAAGTGATATGATGTTTGGGATTTGCTTCTAAAGAATCTGGGGTCAGACATGAGTTGGTCCTCGTGGAAGCTGAGTGATGGGTACCAGGGAGTTCGTTGTACCATCTTCTACCGGCCGGGTACTAACCAGGCCTGACCCTGCTTCACTTCTGAGATCAGGGGTTTTGAGGGTAGTGTGGCTGTAGGATTGCTGGAAATGTAGGGTGGAACCCACTACATTGACAAAAAGGAGAAAGCTAGGGAAGCCTAGGTAGCTCACAGCTGGAGACAGTTTTCCGCTCAGGGGACATTTGGAGATTTTGGTTGCCACAAGCAGAGGATACGAATGCTACTGGCATCCTGTGAGTAGGGGCTAGAGATGCTGCTGAACTTTCCTGCAATGCAAAGATCAGCACCCACAACAAAGAATGTTCTGGCTCAAAATGTCAATAGTGTTGAGACTGAGGAATTCTGGGCTGTTTTAGCGGGGATGGGGGACACGGGGAGTATGAACTGGAGCATCTTTGCTGAAGAACAATGAGAACGTGTTGGATTAAATTAAGTGCAAACATAGCCTGCGATGCATTACATCCACCCCCCGGTGTAGCCCCAAGAAATGGTTGCCAGATCTGTAAGGGGAGACGGACAGCTGTATTTTCAGCAGTGCTGTTTGGTGCGTGTGTTGTAGGGGAGTTGGAAGCAACCCTACCTAAGAGAAGTGCTGGGGGAATTGGTGTCAGATCCTAAACATGAGTCAAGTCAGACTCTGGCCTCCAAATCCCACTTTCCTGGTGTTAATTACTGAGATTTTCACTGGGGTTTAGGCAAAAAGTAAAGGCTGTGGAGTGCTTGGCAGCAGTTAGGAGCAATGAACTATATGTTCATGGAGGAAAGCAGAAGATTGTAAAAGCAGTGCTGGATGAAAAAGTGAGAAAGAGAGATGCATATATAATGCAGTACCCTTTATTTAAATTAAAATACACATGCCAGAAAACAATATACATTTAAGGAGCACATAGAAACAAAAATATATATATTAAACACATCTGAATGGTTGCTCATGGGGTGGAGGGGGAAGGAAAAAAAATGAATGAATGAATAAAAAATCAAGAGCCAGGCCTTATGTGAACCAATAATGGCTGCACATCATGAACTGGAGAGGGTAACTAACTCAGATTCTGCACTAGGATTCAAAGCAAATAAAATGAAATCACACCGGAGAAACAGCCCAGGACAGAAGCTGTTATATAGTAGGTGCTAAAGAAACAGTAGCAATAACCAAAATAATATATTAGTACTAATTTATTATTAATAGGATCACAGGGTAAATTATTATGAGTACTTCATTTTCCCCATCACTTTTTCTTCCCCCAATCCAGGCAAAAAAGCCCACCATTGAGTTTCTAAGGATCCACTGAGGAAGGATGTGCAGGATCCTCCCAAGGGGGTGACAGATTGAAAGGAGTCCTTGGAGGTCGGGGAGAGCAGTCAACGCATGGGGACAGTCCCCACACCTGGAAGGACATGAGTGAGGAGGTGCAATTGATGGGTTCCTAGAGCAGCAGTGAGCAGAGTCCTTGGCAGGGCCTGAGAGGGGTGGCGGGATGGTGTTTACGAGGACACAGGACAACAGGTGTCAAGAACCCTGGCACCTACACCGCTGGACTTTGGATTTCTAGCCTGGCAGCCACTGCCATCCCCTCCCCATTGGATTCCCATGCAACCCTGGGGAACACTGAATTTCTCACCACCCAGGTGAATAGGGGCTCAGACAGACTTAATTTAACACAACAAGGTGACACTTCTTGCATCTAAGTAAAATTTATTCTCACTTCACTTTTTTTTTCTTTGCACCCCACACACCCATCAACTCAGGAATTTACGCTTCCAGTGCTTCAGGAAACATTGTGAACAAATGAAACATCTCTTCCTCCTCTCCAGCTGAAGGGCTTCAGAATGCCGGGTTGGGGGGGCGGGTCTCACCTGCCATGGCACACCCACTGGCCATTTGCTCCATGGTGCCCTGGGAGTCAGCCAGGAAAATGGAATCTGGAGGCCAGAGTCTGACATGAGCTCATCTCTAGGATCTGAGCCCAATTCCTCCAGCACTTTCCTTGGGGTCACGTTGGTAGGATGCATCAGATGACCCCTAACCACACACGCCAAACATGTTCCATGGCCAAACTTGTGTCATGAGTCTTTCTCCAGTTGCTTCAATTTATCCAGAACAAGAGTGTGGCGAGGTTCCACCACGGGCTGACCACAGTTAGGAAAATCCAGAGTTTTCCTGGAGCCATTTCCAACATTGGTTGGCATCATGAGTAGAGATGGGAGAGAAGGAGTCAGGATTAACGTGTAGAGGCTTTCAGGAAACGACACATCACCGTTGTTTGCATTTAGACCTTTCCTTCCCCCATTTATCTTTGGATGGGAACCTGGATTATTTCTCTGATTATAGAAGAGGGTACATTTACCATGCAGAACATTTAGGACTGTAGGTGCCATGCTCTTGGGGGTGCACTTGAAACAGGACTTGCAGAGCAGAGCAGTGCAAATATTACCAGCTGTGCGGTCATGAGCAAGTCCCTAAACTTCTTTAGGTCTCAGTATTCTACGTACAGGATGGAAAGGGTTACATGAGATAATGCTTGCAAAATACCTATTATGTGCCAAGGACTCTGATAAGGACTTTAGATGCATGTTGGTGGTCATGATGTTGGTGATGACCTGCTGGGGTTGAAGCTGAAGTCGTAGTATCTGAATCGACATTTGCAAGAGACTGTGCCTGGGTTGAAGATGGTGAATCCATTCTTGGGTGAATCCCAAGCCTGTAAACAGACCTTGTAGGATGCTCTCCAGAATTGATCATTTAGGACACTGAGAAATGCTATGGATTGAATAGCTGCTACTCACCTTATGTGGTTTAATTTAGTCTCTTCACCATTTTGTTAATGAAAATAACTTAGTCCAAAGAGGACTTTACAGTTTACACGGTGTTTTCACACACATTGTTGTATCTGAAATAGGGTGGGAGGTGTATGAGTGTGGGTGGATTTAAAGTAAAAATTGGCCCAAGTTAGTCTGCTGGGAACGTTGTGATACGTGGTTCCTTTATTGCCTAATCAGAAACCTCTAAAGCCTTTGAGCCTTGTTCTTTTTCACAACTGCTGAGCACAAAATGAATTATTCAAAGACCAGTGATGAAGATTGACCTGAACTTGATAGTCAGAGCCCGAGACTATGAGATCATTTCTAAGGATTTATCATCCCTGCTTGCATCCCTGCTTGCTTGGCCCTGACAGTGGGCTGGAGAACACGTTGGCTCCAGAATGTTCTCTATCCTCTTTCCAGGGGCAGGCTCTAGCTGCATACCAGTGAATACCAGTGAATACCAGCTCCTTGGGGAAAGGGCTCAGAGGCAGAAGGGCTGGGCATGAGCCCATGAATTTGGCGTCTTGCCCCAGGCACAGCCTTGTCGGAGGAGGTGGGGCTGGTGCAGGCTGAGACAGAGCGAGGAGTGGGGGGAGGTCCCTGGGGCTTCCACCTCCTCAGGAGTCCACCCAGCACCATTCTCCCTCCTTTTCTTGCATTTTGTTTGGGATGCCACCACTCCCCAGCCAGACTCAGAAGGTGGCCTTATCCCCAGCTACAGTGATAAATCCCAGTAGGTCTAAGCCAGTGGTTCTCAACCCTGGTTTCACATTAGAACCATCTGGAGAGCTTTAAACAAATTTCAGAGATCTGGGACTAAACCCCTAGAGCCTAGAGCATATCATGGCCTTGACATTGCCTGGAAGCTTTTAAGAGAAACAGACCCTCAGGTCCCACCCCAGAGTAACTTCAGAATCTCCAGGCTGGGAGAATAACTTACTAGTCAAAGCCAGTCATGGTACAGCAGATCGTGTTTCTCAAAGGTGGTTGCTACCATAGATCCCATCTCTCATGTGTTCCTCACAATGGAACTCTGACACTCCTCACATCTGAGATGGTGGGATCTACGTTCTCTTCTCTATAAACCTAGGTTGTCTGGGGATTATGATGGAAATGACATCAGGTAACTTCAAAGGCTGCTTCCAGAAAGGCAATGAAGCTTCTGCCTGTCTCTTGGGACCCTCACTCTTAAAACCAAGCTGTCACCCTATGAGGAAGACCAGGCCTTAAGAAGAGACCGTGTGCAAAGATGTTCTAGTGACAACCTTAGCTGAAGTCTCAGTGGATGCAATTGCCACACCAATGAGCAGGGAAGCCTTTGAAATGACAGCCACTGTCTGACTCCAACTGCCTGGGAGATCCTGAGTGAGAACTGCCTTGCTGAGCCCAGCCAACCCCTAAAGCTGTCAGAAATAATCATGATATGATTGTTGCTGTCTTAAGCTACTAAATTTTGGGGCAATTGCTTGTATATTAATAAACTGGAGCACATGGCCACCCTGTTCCCCTTGCCAGATTGTGGTTTAGGAATGGGCATGTGACTTGGTTTTGGCCAATGAGACATGACATGAAGTCTGCTGGGGTTGCTTCTGGGAAAGTTGTCTTTATTCCTTAGAAAAACATAGAGAAAAAGACCACCCTTCTCTTCCCTCTGAAGCTGTTGCATCTTGATAGGATGTTTGGAATCACTGTTGCCATCTTGCTACCCACTCGTGGATAAAGGCAGCAGAATTCTGCCTTCCTCCAACTGTCTCCCCACTGCTACTGCCAGCCATGTGCACTCCATTATGCATAAATCTTATTCTTCCTTGGGGTGCTGCAAGTATCTGATCTCTTAGCTAAATTCCACATTCTTTGGAGTGTTGTCATCTGGGTGCCTCCATCAGGAGGCAGGGGCTGGGAGGAGTCTACTACTTGAGCTTGGTTGCATTTTGCTTGTAAAACTTACAGCCTCTAGAGTTGGGTATAGAGTCTGGGGATAGAGCCTGATGAGGTGATTTTATCTACACTCCCCCATTACAGGAATGAAAAGACAGAAGTTCCGAGGGCTGCTGGTAACACACAGAGGGTGCAGCAGCACCTGATGAGAACTCAGGCCTCTGAACCAGCAGGACAGAGAGCCCACGCATGCAAACCTTCAAGGATGGGGCCACCTGGGGCAGAAAACCTTAGCCCCACAGTGAGCACACAGGGAGTCCTGGCTTCACACACCAGAAGGTGGAGGCAGGCCCAGAAGGATGTGATATGTCCAAGGTCACAGAGCAGAGGTCCAGGATCCTGGTTCAGGGATGTGAGACTCCAGAGACCTCAGCTCTGCCAGTACCAAGGACATGAGGCCCTAGCACCTGTCCTGGGAGACGTGGATGCTAGAGGGGCACCTGCCCAGTTCCTATTCACTCATCTGCATGCCTGGAACCCAAAGAGCAAAAGCAGCCCTGGTGAGGGCTCTGACTGGCTCCAGCGTACCACCCTCCACCCCCTGTAGTGGTGACCACTGAGCCTCGTCTCTTCTATGGCACACTGGAGCAGCCACTGCTACCATGGATGAACCCACACTCACAGTGCTAGCCGGGCCTCAGGCACAGGTGCATTAGACAGAATCCACTCATCCATCCACCTGTGCACCTACTCCCTAGGCAGAGTGCTGTGTTCCAAAGGCAGGTTAACTTCCAAGTGTCACACGAGCATATGAAAGTGGTTCACTGAGTGTGGGGAGAAAGTCAAGACTTGGAGAGCTGCCAATTGGCCCTCATACCCAAAATCCAGGCAGCTGGTGAAGGAACAGAGCCCAGGTGCCAATTTGCTCAGGCCTTAGGTGGAATGTGGCTCCCCCGGCCTCCGCTGTCCTTTCTCCACTTACAATGGTTAGTTTTACATGTCAGTGTGGCTGGGCCATGGTGCTGCCCAAATATTTGGCCAAACATTTTTCTAACTGTCCTGTGAAGGTGTGTTTTGGATGACACTAACATTTAAATCAGTGGACACTGAGTAAAGCAATTACCTTTTCTAACGTCGGTGGGCCTCAACCACTGCACTGAAAGCCTGAATAGAACAAAGGCTGACCTCCCCTGAGCAGCCAGGATTTCTGCCAGGAGACTGCAAGTTTGGACTTGAACTGCAAGTCCTCACCGGGTCTCCAGCCCAACCAGCCTCTGCCATCAGATTTTGGTTGTACTCACCAAGTCTCCACAACTTCTTGAGCTAATTCCTTAAAATAAATCTTTCTCTCTCTATATATTCATCCTGTTGATTCTGTTTTTCTGGAGAACCCTGATAGACCACCTGTATCTAGGGAGAAGGGAGAGTTACTCAAACATTAAGGAGGGGTGCCCCCTACATGTGATTCTCTAGGGACATCACTGATAAGCCTGTGGCAACCTATGGATTTCCCCCACGCCCCCACCCCAGCTCTGCATGCAGCCCTGGTAACACAGGATTCTTCTGAAGGTCACTGGTGGGGCTGGGAGGACATCATTGACTCACCCATGGGACAAGAAAGAGGGTAGAGGATGGGCACAGTGGCTCATGCCTGTAATCCCAGCACTTTGGGAGGCCAAGGCAGGTGGATCACTTGAGGTCAGGAGTTCAAGACCAACGTGGCCAACATGGGGAAACCCCATCTCTACTAAAAATTAAAAAATTAGCTGGGCATGATGGTGCATGCCTGTGATCCCAGCTACTTGGGAGGCTGAGGCAGGAGAATTGCTTGAGCCCAGGAAGCAGAGGTTGCAGTGAGCCGAGATCACACCACTGCACTGACAGAGCAGGAGCTTCACCATCTTGGACAAGCACTGCCATTTTAAAGTTCACCTTGATCAAAAACCACCTAAATTCAAAGGGCATCAGCCTAATGGCTAAGGTCAACATGACCATAAACCACAAATGACATCTCTGACCAGAAACATTCCAAACTCTTCCCCAACCAGAGACATGCCAGCCCCGAGATAACCTTCCCTCCAACCAGAGAGATGTCAGCCCCAAGATAACCTCTTCTCTGACCAGAGACTTTCCAACCCTGCCATAAACTTCTCCCACACACAGAAACATTCCAAGCTGTCTCACCAATAAATACTCTTGGTCTGTAAGAGAGAGTGCTCCTGACTGAAATCGTCCAGAAGCCCCTCTCAGGTTTATTCTCCAAAATAAACCTGTCTTTGACTATTGAGCCACTTTTCATGGTTCTTTCCTCTTTCTTTAACTCTTTTTTTTTTTTTTTTTTTTTTTGAGACGGAGTCTCGCTCTGTCACCCAGGCTGGAGTGCAGTGGTGCGATCTCGGCTCACTGCAAGCTCTGCCTCCCAGGTTCACGCCATTCTCCTGCTTCAGCCTCCCAAGTAGCTGGGACTACAGGCTCCCACCACCACGCCCAGCTAATTTTTTGTATTTTTAGTAGAGACAGGGTTTCACCATGTTAGCCAGGATGGTCTCGATCTCCTGACCTAGTGATCTGCCTGCCTCGGCCTCCCAAAGTGCTGGGATTACAGGCATGAGCCACTGCGCCAGGCCTCCTCTTTCTTTAACTCTTACATGCACTCCAGCCTGGGTGACAGAGCAAGACATCATCTCAAAAAAAAAAAAAAAAAAAAGTAGGGTAGTAAGTTCCAGGTGTGGGGGAACCAATGTCAGATTGTTCTCTGTTAATGGCTGATTACCCCAAGTTATTTTATTCCATAAATCATGACACTTGGGTTTATTAGTCTACCCCTCCCATTTTTTTACAGTGCTTGAGGAAACAAAAGATCAGAATGTATATTGAAGAAGAGACCCTAATTTATGATTTCTGAGTTGAGTTTGTACATGTTAACGTTTGGTAAAAGTCTCCTGATTGAGGAGAGGCTGCAACTAGGCCCTGATTCGGAGATGAATTTATAGACAGAAAGGAAATTGTGATGGTGATGTGATTATTGACACATGCACCCACCCCCAAACAGGTAATGACCGAGAACCTGTTCCTAAGATGCGTGTAAACCACATCTTCCCAGGCTAAGGGCTCCTTCATTTAGCAGCTCAGCATCAGGGCCAGTGAAGACCGAACCTAGTGATGTCTGAGTCCACAATCAACTTGTATTTAGGAGTGGATTCTACTTTTTCCAGGTGCACCAAAAACAAGCCTGGCACAGTGACAGAGAAAGAGTGTTCTAGAGAGAGAAAAGTGCAATTAGGAGCTAATTACATTGATAAAAATTGGAATAGCGCTTACCTAAATGATTGTCCAGTTTGGAAACGCTATCTGTCTCCAAGCACAAAAACTGATTCCTTTACTTTGCGGTGAGGAGAACATGGTTTTGGTATTATTCTGTAAACAGTAACTGAAGAATACAACAGTCATTGCAAGGGTGCCAGTGGAGAGGGAGGGGGGCCTTGCAGTTGCTATCAGTTTATAGGCAAGGATTGAAAAGTCACATACAAAAGCAACAGAGAGCCTCCCACAGGAGGCTGAGTCATTGGAGTTGTGGGTGGGTGGGAGGGGAGTGGGCTTGGAAACCATTTAGGCCAAGCCCCTCAGAGTGGAAGGGTGTTGCCCAAGGATTCGTGGTGAATGAGTGGCTGAATTGGGACCAGAACTGGCTTCTCTTACCCTTCTCCTCCACCCTGCTGTGAGACAAATGGAAGAATCCAGCAACAAAATACCTGTCATGGGCTAAACTCTGTCTTCCCTAAATTCATTTGTAGAATGACCCTCAGTACCTCAGAACATGACTGTATTTGGAGATAGAGCCTTTAAAGAGGTTATTTCATGAAAATTAACCACCAATTAATCGGGGATGGACCCGAATCCAATCTGACTGGTGTCCTTGGACACCAGGAGAGGGAATGTGGACACACTGAGGGACACCAGGGACACGGGCACACAGACCACATGAGGACACAGCGGGAAGGTAGCCGTCTGCAAGCCAAGGACAGAGGCCTCAGAAGAAACCAATCCTGCCAACACCGTGATCTTGGACTCCGGTACCCAGAACTGTAGGAAAATTCATGTGCGTTATTTAAGCCACTCAGTCTGTGGTAGTTCATTGCGGCAGCCCGGCTGCCTGACACACCGCCTCTCCAAGGCTGCGCACACCAGACGTGCAGCTTTCTGGACTACGTGCTGGAGCCCACGTGTCGCCACCATGGCTTTCTGTTCTCAGAACCTAGCGGCGTCTTAAAGAGGGCAAGGAGAGAGCGGGCACAGCAGCGACACACAGCATTGCTTTGCTACTCAAAATCTCAAAACCAAAAACATCTAAGCTAAGCTGACACTTGGAGAGCTGAAGGGGGGCATGGCTTGCAGTGGCTTCTGTGGACTTACGGAGGGTAATTGAAACCCTCCTGGCTCCGGTTTCCCACCAGAAGAATGGGTGTCACACTGCCTGGTCTTCTGGAAAAATCTGATTTGCCCACATCTGTCCTACACCCAGGAAGCAGACACTCCTCTATATTAGGATTAAATTGGCAACCCCCCAATGTTCACAGGCAGCCTTCGGAGAGCAGCTGGATTATTCCAAGTCTGCCTTTGTTTGCACTCAAGCTGCACCAGGTGTCCTCAAATCCAGCTCCCACTCCCAGGCAGCCTCTTCGAAGGCAACCTTCCACTTAGGTGGTTTAGACAGATGTCTACAAGATTCCATCTTAGGGCCTTGGTCCGGAAATATTACCCTTGTAAGGGGACAGTATCCCCAGGACCAGAAACAGTGTCTGGTAATAGGAACTCAGACCAGCCCGATTCTAAAATTCTCATTGTCAGAATCAGTTATTTGGGTTAAGGCATAAAAGGCTCCTGTAAAATATGTTATCAAAGGGCCATACATATTAGGATGTCTTCAGCCATTAACACCTCTTTGTGACTTCATCAGTGTGGCCTCAGAGCCACCCTTAGTCCCTTAGTGCCAGGGCCCAGGGCAGCTGAGTTCTGGTGTGAGGAAAGGAGAAAAAGTTCACCACAGCCTGTGTCAGGGAGGGAAGAGCATGGACAGGTGTGTCATGTGGAGGGACAGGGGTGACAAGGAGAAAGGAGTTCAGAAGGAACACTGACAGCTTGACATGTCTAAGTCAGCCAGACCTCTATATCAGAGTCACCTTTCGGCCAGATGGTGCAGATCTTGAATGTGAATGGCCAGGCCAGTTGGCAAGTGCACGAGTCCAGCTGCATCTGTGTAAGGAGCTTGGCATCTCAGAGCTGGCCCTGGCCCAGGGCCATGAAGTTGGGGGGTGCAGGAAGAATATACAAAGGGAACATCGGTGTCTCCTGGGCTTGGGGGGAGCTGCTGGCTTCCTGGAGCCACTGCTGTGATTGGCACTCACATGGGCGGGGCTTCTCCCATGTTCCCAGACAATCAGCTTGCCCACAGACTCCAGACTCCCACACCCATGCTGGGGCAGTTAGAGCCCTTCTGGAGAAGCAGGGAGAGGACTGGGGTCAAGTGACAACAGCTAAGCATGGGTGGCCTGGGCCTGTCAACCACAGGCCTGGGGCTCAGGGGTCACCTGGAGAGAACAGGAAGGGTTGTCTGGCCACCCACAGTCCAGGGATGGGGGCGGCCGAGGCTCAGCAGGGTGAAGAGGACATCTGATCATAGTCGGGGCACTTGAGCAAGGCGGGGTAGTTGCTGTTCATCTGCAGGGAGGCCTCGCTGGAGATGTCGGAGGGGCTGCGGCCCCTGACCCAGGCGTCTGGGTGTAGGAACTGGCCTGAGTAATCGGAGCAGTTGCTCAGCCGAGGGCGGTAGAAGCCAGGGTGGGGCCTGTACATGTCCTCCGCGGTGTACCGCTTCATAAACAGGTACACAGACATCACCCCGGCACTCTACAGGGAGAAGACAGCAGAGGATGGGCTCGCTGCTGGGGCCTGCCTCATCTCCCTTGGCTGGGGTCTGCACAGGACACAGCTCGAGTGGGGTGGGAAGTGGACGTGGGGACAGGAGCAGGGTCCTGGGGACATCCTGGCCGGAGGAGACCCAGAAAGGTAAGACAGTGACACATTCTGGGATGAGGAAGGGAAGTAGAGTGGGTGGTCCGGGGTCCAAAATGGTTGTGGAATGTCCCTTCTCCCCCATCCCCACTCTCCCCGGCTCAGTGGGGCAGTGCCCAGGCCCAGCCTATCCATACTTAGGGTGACGGGCTTTACCTCCGTTAAAAGGAAGGAGATGGCGGCGAAGGCAAACGACCACCCATACTTGTAGTTGAAGTAGGTCTCTGCATCCTTGGTCCTGTTGAGCATCTCATCGTTGATGCTGGAGATGTAGAGCACCAGGCCCACCACGAGAGAGAGGCCTGGTTGGGCAGCAGGGGAGAGGGGATGCTCAGCCCAGAGGCCCAGGAAGTTTGCTGAGGTGGCACCCACCTCCCTTTGCAATTCAGGAGCAAAGCCACCAGCCTTGGGGTAACAATGCTCTCAGTGGAGTTCAAAGGAGAGCAGAAACTTTCCTCCCAAGCACCCTGTTCAGACCAGCACCTTCTAGACAGCAGATAGTTTGAGGGAAGAAGCTCCTATATAGCTGCCCTCCTAAGCCATGGGCTAAGCCCGGTGGTTCTCACCCTGCTGTGCATATCTGTCACACAGGCCTGAGCCCCAGCTCTGGACATTCTGATACACCTGGCCTGGGATGGGGACCTGGCACTGTATTTTCTTCTTTTTTTTTTTTTTTTCTTTTTTTGAGGTGGATTTTCACTCTTGTCGCCTAGGCTGGAGGGCAATGGCGCGATCTCGGCTCACTGCAACCTCTGCCTCCCGGGTTCAAGTGATTCTCCTGCCTCAGCCTCCTGAGTAGCTGGGATTACAGGTGCCTGCCACCATGCCCGGCTAATTTTGTGTGTTTAGTAGAGACAAGGTTTCTCCATGTTGGCAAGGTTGGTCTCGAACTCCTAACCTCAAGTGATCGCCAGCCTCGGCCTCCCAAAGTGCTGGGATTACAGGTGTGAGCCACTGCGCCTGGCACTGCATTTTCTTAAGAGGGCTGTGAACCACTGAGCTAGAAAGTGGCTTTTACAGAACTGAAGGGTAAAATACGCCCCATGGGCAGAGATAGCCAAGGTGGTAGGTGGCACCTATCATTGTGAAGTTCCCTCATGTGGCCCATGGTCTGTCCAACACACCTGACCACAAGGTGTGGCCTGTCTGAGATCTTTAGGTAGGGGAGGTAAAGGGATTTTGTCCAGATTTTGGCAAACTTTAAATCAGGAGGCCGGGGGGACCAACCTCCTACTGCCATTGTGCAAATGACTGCCTCAGGCATCAGTTCTATCAATTAGTAGCTGTAATTGAATCAAGACATAATTAATTACTCTCTTTTGAGTTGTTCAGGTTTAATTCCACTCACATTATTTTATGAAAGTAGGGCATCTGGAAGGATGAATGCCAAAGGAAAACTGGTGTGACCGAAACCTTCCTAGTACTTATGTTTGAATCATTGGTGCACTAAATGAACCCTCTTTATTGTTATCATTGAAATGACTTCATGTGGCCCATCTCAATCCTAGATTTCTGATCTGGTAGCCCACTGCTGAAAAACCTCACGTATGTCAAAGCTACTGTTTATAGCTTTGGCTATCGTGAAGTTCACAGAAGGAAAAATAAAAAGCTTAACTAACCCTGAGTCTGTACCTCATAGACTTCGTGGAAATATCACCATGCAAAAGCTGGGCTGATAACATTCCTGGTGCTCAATAAATATGTGTTGGGTTGATGCATGGAAGGGTGGAAGGATGGGTTGATAGATGGAAGAATGGATGGATGATGGGTTGGTGGTAGATTGAAAAATGGATGGACAGATGGATGGAAAGAAGAGTGGGTAGGTGTGTGGATGGATGGATTGATGGATGGATGGATGGATGGATGGATGGATGGATGGAAGGAGAAAGAAAGAGTGGCTCTTGGACATCAGACTTTCTGACTGCCACCTGGCTCCCAAGCTACGTTGACAAGAAAATATTGGGAAAAGGATCCTAAAATTACTCAGGAGTCAGGTGGTAATCAGAATGCTTGGTATCCAATAGCTGTTTTTCCTTTCTTCCCATCCGCCCATCCACTCACCAATCCATCCATCCATCTATCAATTATTCAAGCCATTCACCCATCCATTTTCCATCCAAGCATCTTCTCCCCAGGATCCCTAACCAGTCAGTCATCCGGGGCACCTAAATTACATGCCCCGAGAGCCACTCCTTTGGCCCAAGTCGTTATCTCCAAAAGAAAAGGTCTCCATGAAAATGCACAGGTCACCTTGAAAAGGAGAAAGAGCCCACCTTTATTTGCTGTTTTCTTTCCCCTTCTCACTCTACACACCAGCCATGAGTAATCTCATCCATGTCCATGGATTCCTCTCCCACTCCCTAGGCTGATAGCTCTCCAATCTCTATCTTTGGTCCAAGTCACTCCCATGAGCCCCAGACACTGACCTCTGGCAGCCTTCTGGACACCTCCTCCCAGATGTCATAAGGACACCTCAAACTCAGCATTTCCCACACTAAACTCATGAGCTGCCCAAATCTGCTCCTCCTGTGATCCCTGAATCAATGATGTGATATGCCATCCACCCAGTGCTCAAGCAAGAAATTGGCACTTACCTTGACTCTTCCCTGGAAGCCTCATCCTAGTTCTGTTGAGTTTACCTCTCAAATGTCACTTGAACCCTCTCATTTCTCTCTTTTCCACCATCAACCCCCTGTTTGGGCCATCGCCTCTACTACTGGAATAGCCTCTTGCCTAGTCTCCCTGCCTCCTGTCTTACTTCCCTCCCTCCCTCCATTCCCCAGCATGGTCATTCGAAAATCCAAACCCAATCGTGTCATCCCTTGGCTCAAAATCCATCTAAGTCTTCTCCTAAAGTCCCGAATCCATAAGACGACCTCAGATGCCTTCCCCAGTCTCTCTTCTCACTACATTTTTCCTTGCACCTGCCATGATGAGCAATGATTACACTCAGTTCCCCCAGTGCTTCATCCTCCCACTTTCCTCCAGGCCCATTTTCCACCCCCACCCCCAACCTCACTTCTTTGCCTAATTCTTACTCATCCTTTAGTTTGCCTCCTCCTGGTAGTCTTCCATGACCAACATTTGCCCTGAGTTTCAGTCACTGGTCTTGGCCCCCTTGCAGTCCTTGCTGGCCACCATTCATAGTCCTATTCACACTGGGTTCCTATCTTCTGTCTACTGTTTCTATCTCCCATTGCACTGCCCTTTTTGTAGGCAGTGATGCCAGCAGCCAGAATAAGGCCTGGAAGATATCATCAATGAATAAAAAGAAGAAAGAATGAAGTACAACCTGGCATCAGTCCAGGAAGACAAGTCCATGTTGAAGGGGTCTAGGAGGGTTTATGGTGTGGGGTGTGACTGGAGAGGGAAGGAGACAGCAGGAGTCTCCTGAGGACAGCTGGGGGATGGGGGGTAAAGGACCCATTATTCCAAAGGCAGATTGTGTTTAATATTCATGCACAAATATGAAGACATAGCCCCTTCAAAAATAGGAATACTCAAGATGGTGGGAATTAAAAAGTCATTAGGTGCAGTGATGTGTGGAGTGAGGAAGGAACCCTGGGTTCCAATCCCAGATTTGTCAGAGGGGAGTCTGTGCAGTCACCCCTCCTGTGGAGCCTCTGTTGCTCTTCTGGAAGGTAATAATGGGCCCAGGGTCCTCAGATGTTTCCTCCATCTCTGACTCAATTCTGTCTGAATAACTGACTCAGCCTATCCTAATTCCAGGACTTTCCAATGCAGAGCCTTTTGGGAGTTAAACAGCAAAAGTCCAGGGTGGCTGGGCACAGTGGCTCATGCCTGTAATCCCAGAACTTTGGGAGGCCAGGGCAGTTGGATTGCTTGAGCTCAGGAGATCAAGATCAACCTGGCCAACATGGAAAAACCCCATCTTTACTAAAAATACAAAAATTAGCCAGGTGTGGTGGCAGGCACCTGTAATCTCAGCTACTTGGGAGGCTGAGGCAGAATTGCTTGAATCCGGGAGGTGGAGGTTGCAGTGAGCCAAGATCGTGCCACTGCACTCCAGCGTGGGTGCCAGAGCAAGACTCTGTCTCAAAAACAAAAAACAAAAAACAAAAAATTCCAGGGTGCAAGAAAAGAAAACAACACAACTTACCTGAGAGGATAAAGAAGATGCCAGAGACAAAGGCCAGTATCGTCCGGTGGGGACGGATGTGTCCGATGTTGTTCAGGATAAACCCAATGAACATGAAGAAGAGGCTGACCAGAGGGAATGGTGTGGCTGAGCGGATCATCTCTAATTAACGGGACAAAAGGGCGGCCTGTCAGCCTCCAGGCCTGATTCATTCCTCATCATCCTGAGTTGAGTGTTCCTGGCAGTGTCTACCAACTGGTCCTCAAAGCCCCACCCCTGCAGGGGTTCCCCAGACTCTACCCCCATCAGGTGGCCTGGGGATCTCCCATTACTAGCAGGGCTTTTGTCCCTGAGGTGGGCCCGGAAGGTCTGACTTCAAGTGCCAGCATCTTCAGGGCCTCTGTCATTTCCTCCAGGCATAAGCTACTACCCTCCTGGGAGTCCACACTGTCTGCCAATATGGAGTCCATACCACCTGCAAATATGGCAGCTGTGGAAGGGCCAGGTCATTCCATCTTGCTTCCTCTTCCAGGCAGATTCACCATTTCCTTGGGCAAGGGGTTGCTCTGAATGGTGCAGGGGACAGTTACAGCCTCTGTTTTCTTCAACTTATAATTACTTGGGGAGCAATTCTGTTGGGGCTAGTCTTTGTCCCTGGTTCCTGAGAGATCACCTCTAAATTCTTGGAATTTTCCAAGGTTGGGAGTGTCTTTGTTATTCATGGTGGGTCTCTCAACCACACCTGAGTTTTTGCTAACCAGGTGACTCAGGATGGGGGCTAGAAACACCAACCATGGGATTAGAAGATTGGGGTTTTGAGCCAGGTGATATCAGCCTGGCCTCTAGGCAAGGTAAGGGGCTAGAGGGTGAGTTCAATCACATGATCAATAATGTAATCAATCATGCCTATGTAATGAACCCCAATAAAAACTCTGGACACCAAAGCTCAGTTGAGCTTCCTGGTTGATGAACACATCAGTGTGTGAAGATGGTGACACAACCTGATTCCATGGAGAGAAGAGTCTGAAGCTCCACATTCAGGACCCACCCCCAGACCTTGCCCTATGTGTCTCTTCATCTAGCTGGTCCTGATTTGTGTCCTTTGTAATAAAATTGGAATGGTAAGTATAGCACTTGCCCGAGTTCTGTGAGTCATTTTTGCAATTATTGAACCTGATGGAGTTATGGGAGCTCCCATATTTGGAGCTAATTGGTCAGAAGTGCAGGAGGCCAGGGACCTCTGAACTTGCAGCTGGCATCTGAAATAAGGGTAGTTTCTTTGGGGACTGAGACCTTAAACCTGTGGAGTCTCTGTTAACTCCAGGTGATTAGCATCAGAATTGCATTGCAATATTGCAAATTCATACTGGGGGCAGAAACGACTCTGTTGAGGTCAAGGCCATGAAGTCAGGCTCCCTGGGGTCCAGAGAGCTCAGTTCCCTGATTGATGCCTGGGTCAGTAGACTGGGAGACTCCAGCAACCTGTTTTCACTACTGGAAAATTAAGCTCTAGTGGATCATCTCTAATTAACAGGACAGCACACCCAGCTGAGTCTAAGGGCATTCCTCTTGAGAAATATGCTGGCACACTGACTCTTCCCTCTGCCTTGCTCCTCTCTGTCCAGCCAGTGGCCCAGGTTGCCAGACTCAAGGCACTTACTTAGAACATTGACCGTGGACTCGGATGTCAGCTGGGTGTTCATGGGCATCACATATTCTATGGTGAAGCAACGCCCCCGCTCCTCACCTGTGGAGACAAGAATCACATTTCCAGGTCCCTCTTGAACATGGATTTGAAGTTGGTCCATACAAATGGTATTTCCAAGTGTGTTTTTAGGATCTTTGACCTGCTGTGTCTTTGCACCTGAGCTGGATCCAAACCCTATGGGGGTCCTGTCCCTGGCTCATAGCCCACAGCAGGGGTGGAGGCACGTCCTGACATGACAACCTTCCTGGAGAAGCGCCTGTGTGAGGATGGACCCAAGCACCAAGAGTCACATGAAAAGAGGTTGGTATTGCAAACTCTCCATGCTGAGTGAACATCTGGTGCCATCTCACTGCGTTTGGCCAGATGGGGCTGACAATGGTGCATAGCTGACTTAGATTCTCCAGTGTGGGTGTCATGGAGCAAAACTCCAAAAGCCCTGTCAACCACCCTGGAAATCAGATCCTAGTGACTTCAAACTCCAGATTTAAGCACAGACCAATGCCACGCAGTCTGAGGCAGAAGAAGCCAGAGTTGGATGTCATTCACATGGCAGACTCAACACCTTGAGGTGTCTTCTCTGCTAAATACTGGTAGGAACAAATACCCACTCCATCCCCCAAAGCTGTACTATCAAGCTGGGAGGTAAAAGGCTGGGAGAGCCAAACTGTGTCTCTTCCCAGTGCACACATAAGTTACAAGCCCCTACCAAGAAAAGCCCAGTGACCACACTGTGGCAATCCAGGCCAGCCCAGCTTGCAGCTATTCTTGTATGACTTGGAAATGCTTTTCTTGTGCAGGCTGGTCTTGGGTCATGATAAAGGGATAAAGGATAGAATTCTTGGAGTGGTAACTTGAAGGGTTACAGGGAAGCCCTAGTGAGTAAAAAGGTAGGCCCAGATAAGTGGGGTCAAAACCTCTACCATGCTGCAGAGCTGGAGGGACCTGCTCATGTGTTTCCTCTGTGCCATTTTATGGAGTGAGGAACAGAGAAACTGCCAAGTATTTTCTAATCTATAAACTAGTGGATGCAAGGAAGCTGAGTTAAGGAGACTTAACCTCTTTGAATCTTCATTTCTGCATTTGCAAAGTGGAAATAACAAGTCCTGTCTTGCAGTACTGTTGGGAGAATTATATGGGATCAATACTTCAATGAGCTAAAGCATGCATGAACATTTGAGATCTGTGCAGTGTCATTGGCATCCAGTCCTGGGAGCAGAGTGTGGGGAAGGCATAGTTACATTCATCTTTCAGGAAGGAAGACCTGGGAGGTGAAAAGACTGGCTCAAATGGACATCGAGAATCAGGACTTGAGTTTGGAATGGGGTCCCAGTCACTGCAGGGAGCACCACCCGCCATATATAGGGATCATCCGTGGTGAATGGTCTCCTTCCAGCATCTCTTGGCCATCTCTTCCCAGGGAGGGACCTCTTGGGGCAGGTGATGTCAGGGGGCAGGGCTGTCCCCAACCCTGGGCACCCTTACCTGCAAGGAAGCAGACCCGCCAGAGGCCTGAGTGCAGGGACATCTTGATCTCGGTGCTCTGGTTCTGGGGCACAATCACACCCTCCTCCAGGTACAGCCAGTAGTCGGTGCTGACCGCGATACCCAGGAGGCCCAAGCCACAGACAGCAAAGACACTGCTCAGCAGGGTCAGGGCCTTCCTCCCGCAGGCACTCATCTTCCTGGACCGTTGCTGTGCAACTAGTCGCCACGCTCCCACCAGCACGGACTGCGCTCTGGGGCTAGGGAGAGTGGGTGAGCAGGTGGCAGTACCCACGGCTCTGAGAAGACGAAGATGAGGAGCCAGTAACTAAAGTCAAACCCCAACCTGGCTCAATGGATGGGTAAAGACCACCAGGCAACCCCCTGGACACCAGGTCACTGCAACAGAGGTGCCACCCTCCCCCTAACCCCGCAGCAATTCAGAGCGTTCTTGGCATGCCACTGCAAGGACCCCCTTGTCCTCTCTGGGAGTCCCCTTGCTGGGTACTGCCATTCATTCATTCATTCATTCATTCATTCATTCATTCAGCAACCCATTGTGCCAGACATGGGAGATACAAAAATGAACATGACACTATCCTTGCCATTGAAGGGTTTCCCATCTAGAAGAACAAAGGCACCCCCAAAGCAATTAAATGCGACCTATTGAGGGCTGTGGTAGAGACCTGTCCAGGAAGTAGAGAGGAAGAATGGAGGAGACAACTCTGCTGGGTGAGCTTCTCTGTGTTGAAAAGGATTCTGAGGCTCAAATAGTCTCTGTGAGAGATGCCAGCTCCAGACAGGAAAATGGCAGCAGCCTTGGGAAGGAGTAGAGAGGCAGGGAAGATTTCTTGGAGGAAAGTGTCCTCCTCATGTGACTCTAATAAGTTGCAGCACTTGGTCAACACAAGTAAAGAAGCCATACCACAGTCCAAGTGCAACAGCCTCCTAAATCCACCTAATCAGAAATGGGCTGACTCTTACCTGCTCAGCACGCTGTATCGGCAGGGGCCAGCAATGAACGAGAAAAAGAGAAGCTAAGTGTCTAAGCAAGGTCAACCACAAGCCCCACCTGCTGATATCTGCCAGGGTCAGGCACTGGACTTGGAGCTGGAAAACAGTGGAGAGCAAGGCAGATGGATGCCAGCCCCCGTGGAGCCCATAGCCAGTCTCAGGGCTTCTGTGCTCTGGCTGTAATCTAGAATCACCTAGGAAGTGTCTAAAAATCCCTGATACCCTGGTGCTGCTCCAAGAGATTCTGATACAATTGAGCTCAAGTGGGGCCTGGACAATGGTATTTTTTAAATTCTGCCAGGTGATTCTAATGTGTAGCCAAAGTTCAAAACAACTGATCTTCGCTACTCAAAGTATGGTCCATGGACCAGCCATGTAGGCATCACCATGCAGCTGGTTAGAAAAGTAGACTCTCTGGCCTCTCCAACATCCTAAATTGAAATCTGCATTTTAACAGGATCCCGGTGAGTTGTCTGCCTACTAAAATCTGAGAAGTGCTGTGCCAAGCAAACAGTTGATGGCATTGTAATGTAGCAACTGCTATGATGGGGAAAGCCCAGGATATGACAAGGGCCCAGAAGGGGTCATCCAGTGGGGCTGGAGGGGGCAGGCAGAGCCATCTCTAGAAGAGAATGAGGCCTGGGGCAACTC
The DNA here is from genome assembly GCF_000001405.40 of Homo sapiens. Classification (NCBI taxonomy): domain Eukaryota; kingdom Metazoa; phylum Chordata; class Mammalia; order Primates; family Hominidae; genus Homo; species Homo sapiens. The sequence continues at coordinate 66,875,863 of NC_000017.11, read as the reverse complement.
AGAAAGGTTGTGTCACCCAAGCCACCCTTGGCTGCAAGTTTGCTATCCTGTCGGCATCTTTCACTGGCACCTTGCAATATTGCAAAGTCAGAACTTTTGAAACTGGATGTTAGTGATGTTTGGGAAAGAGGTGCAGCAGTGCTTCGGTGCAGTCCACCAATATCAGGGCTCCAGTGGAGTCCTAGGGCCCTGCCCCAGGGATGGTATCATGTTCCAGTTGAGATTTGAGGCACAGGTGGGTATTGAGGCAGCTGAAAATGGACAGAAGCCAGATTTGTCTGCAGAGTCTGAGTTGACTGTAGGAGGAGAGTGGCAGAGTTTAGAGCCTCTTTGTGAGAAGGGGTTGAGGGGTGCACGCTGGCCCTGATTCCACAGCGCCGGCCCTGCTCTAGCAGTTGATCATGGGAAAGTTGATTGATCTACAGAGTGAGCCATATATTGGCTTCCTGGAGGCATGTGTGAGTCTATGTCCATGTTTGCAAGGCTGAAGAGCACAGGGCTTTAAGCCACAATGATCCTTCCTGTGTTGGCTTTGACAAAGGAGGGAGAAATGAAACACCAAACAGCCCTCTCCACCCAGCCAAATCATTCTCCATGCAACAGCGTGGGCAGAGGGGAGCAGGACAGTTTGTATCTAGCATGAGTATCTAGTAAAGCGCCTATAAGCCCTGTGCTTGCAGCTGAGGAAGAGGCAACAAAATCAGAGGTGCTGCCGCTTGCAGAGTTTGCGAGCTGGAAAAATGGGAAACCACAGCATCCCATTCTGACTGAAGGTGGGGTAGCATCATAACAGGCAGAACCCAGGTCCTGGGGAAGAGAAGCCAACTCCTAGCAGAGGTCCAGGGCAAGGCTGCTGCCGACTGGTGGGAAGTGCTAGTGACGTTGTACTGATAGTATTTTTATATTAATAGTAGTTAGCCAAACCCTGTCATTTACACTTGAAGCTCACAAAGTCCCAACATCTGCCAAAGGAAATGGAATTGAAACACCAAGGATGGTTAGCAGGAGTAAGGGGAGCAGTGGAGAACAAAGGGATATGGCTCCCAAAGGCGAACAGAGCCTTGAACTTACACTCAACCGTGCCACTAAAGATCCATGTAAGCTTGGGAAATTAACCTCTCTGCTATGGTTCGGATAAGGTGGTTTGTTTGCCCCCACCAAAGCTCATGTTGAAATTTGATCCTCAATGTGGTAGTGTTGGGAGGTGTGCCTAGCAGAAGGTGTCTGGGGTCATGGAATCCCTCAGGAATGGCTTGGTGCTGTTTTCATGGTGGTGAGTTCTCACCCTCGAAGACTGGATTAGTTTGAAGGAATGAATTAGTTCCCTTGAGACAGTTGTTATAAAGCCTCAGGTTTTCTCCGTTTCCTTCTTGCCCTTCTCTGCTCTGTCGTGATGCCCTATGAAAGCCCTCATCACAGGCCAGGGATATGGCCTTGAACGTCTCAGCCTGCAGAACCAAGAGCTAAATAAACCTCTTTTCTTTATAAATTATCCAGTCTCAGGTATTCTGTTATAGCAACACAGAACAAACTAAGACACTCTCTGAAGACTGATTTTCTCCTGGATAACATGGAGGAAGAGACTAATAATAAACACCAAAGTACATTGAACGTTTATCATTGTTAGGCATCCTGTTAAGCACCTTACTCCCCATTTTAATCCTGGCTATTCTATTACCACACCCATTTTACAGGTGAGCAAACTGATGATCAGTGAGGTTAAGAAGCTTGCACAAGAGCACTCAGCTGGCAAATGTTGGTGCCTGCATTTGAACCTTACCTTGCCCCACTCCCAAGCCCTTTTTCAAGGCTTGCGTTCTCAAACTCCCACCCCATGAGTTTATCCAAAGTGGGGTCCATGGAGCAATAATTCCATGGAATATTCTAGAAAAAGTGACTCTGGTTAAAAGGAAAAAAAAAAAAAAAACAGCTTGTGAGAAGCACTGCACCTAGCTCTTGAAGAACCGCATTGCACATTATGGTAAAGGCTTTGAAAAGCCTGCTTAGCTTTGCTTATTTCTGTATTTTCCAAACTTATTTGAGCAAAGAAAAAAAAAAGACATCATGTTCTGTGAAACCCACTTTGGGAACCACACTGCCTGCCAGGAAGAATAGGAAGACCTGCCTTGCTCACTCCACAAAATTGCTGGTGTGATTAAACACGACAGCAGATATGACTATGCTTTGAAAAAAGTCTAAAGCATGATCCTGGTATAAGGTATTGTTATTAAGCAACAGTGGACTAAGCCCCTGAGTCTTGCAGAGAGAATGGATCAGAGCTTCTGAAGCACGACTGCTGTTGCCTGGTCGAAGCTGAGCAGCCAATCTTAATGTTAAGCTTGGCAGGGAGATGAAAAAGATTCATGTTTGGAGATTTGGAAAGATGAAAGTGGAGAGGAGATTGGATCTTAATCTACAAAAGCGAGAAATAAAAGAGGCTGAAAGTGACCTTGCCTGCCAAACTCTACAATAGCAGATCCTAAAGCCTGGAATATACCTAGGAAAACCAAAAAGTTTCATCTATTTCCAGAGTATGTAATACATTTATGGAATGCTACCTGGGGTGGAAAATAGCAATCTTATTCATTACAAAATTATATCTATGCTTCTATTATGTAATCCTATTTATTTATAAATAAATCATATTATTGACTGAGTAGGTTTAGCTCCCAGGCACTGTGCAAAATCCTTCAGGTACAGGGTTTCATCAGGACCTCACGATAACCCTGTGAGTAGGTGGGATCAGCCCCACTTTGTGGATGGAGAAACTCAGGGTTAGAGATGTGGAGTAGCCTACAGGAAAGCACAGGTGAGCCGTAGGCTGGCTTTAAACCCAGGTCTAACTCCAAAGTCTATGCTTGGACTACATCATCTCGCTACTGAAGAAATATGGGCTCAAAGAGTGTTGGGAAGAAGGAAAATAATCCAAAGTAGGTCACTCAGGCTATCTAGAAATGTACGAGACACAGTATTCAGAAATGTTTCTTTAGAAGTGGCCAAGTGTCACATAAAGGCTTCTCGTTTGATACTATAGGGCATATTGTTGGGAGTCATCCAGTCATATCTTCTGGTAGCTTCTTGGAGGTGCACTCTGACCCAGGATTTCTACTTCTGAAACCCACCTAGTGGGGTGGCAGGACTAATACTTTCCTCAAAGCACACACAGGAAATCAAGATCCAGAGGGGAGAAGTGCCTGGGATAACCCAAACAGTTACTTGAAAAGATAAAAGTGTGCACCAGCAATAGTTTAGATCCTGACCCAGTGCTTTTTCCTTCTGTATTGCGCAGAAAATTATATAACACAGAAAATGAAAATTACCTGCACTTTCCCACTCTTAGAACACCATCATCATTAATATCTTAGTTCATTGCCTTTTAGTCTTTTTTTCTACGTAGTTGTGCATGTGTGTACATATTCTCTCACCCAGTGTCTTCAGTAGGGACAGGAAGGCCCTTGAAGACACCCTAGTCTGAACTGTATTCCTAGACCCTTGTTCGAGCTTCTGCTTTTACATGGTTCCTTCTCTATCCCATGAATCTCATGTTCATTTGATTTTTCTTATAGGAGAGGAGCCATTTTTTATAAGTTGCTATCACAAGATAAAATGTTTACACTATAATAGTAAATTAATGAAGTTGAATGCAACATCACACTTTTAACTTAAACTCAACCGTATACAAAATTCACAGACTGGAAAGAAATAACCCAAAATGTTGATGATGGCTGCTTCCAGGTAATTAGGTTATGCATGGTTTTTAAAATACTTCTCTGTGCTCAACAAAGCTTCTCAAAGAACATGTATTGTTTCCAGAATCAGAGAAGAAAACTAAATTAAAGATTAGAGTGATCTATTCTCCAATCACTCTCCTTGTATACAAAAGTGCAGGGCTCCAGCTAAACTCCTGGGCTGGAGATGGCAACATGTAGTGTCATCTTTTGAGGGCTGGGTTCCAGAAGCAGGCAGCCTTCTTGAGTTTTTTGTTTGTTTGTTTGTTTCTTTTTGAGATGGAGTCTCGCTCTGTCACCCAGGCTGGAATGCCGTGGTGCGATCTTGGCTCACTGCAAGCTCCGCCTCCCAGGTGCACGCCATTCTCCTGCCTCAGCCTCCTGAGTAGCTGGGACTACAGGTGCCTGCCACCACGCCCGGCTAATTTTTTTGTATTTTTAGTAGAAACAGGAGCTTTTTAAGATGATTACCCAGGCGCCATTACCTCTAAGTATTAGCTTGTTAATTATCAGGAATTAACAGTCGCTAATTATCATCCATGACTAGCAATTAGGGAGAAATGTCTTGTGGAGATTAAATCATTAATGGCACATTCCCCTGCTCAAGCCAATAATAAAAGGACTTGCAATGAAGTGCTTAGGTGCCCAGAGGTAGGTGAGGTTAGAGGAGCAAGTGAGAGCCCAGTTATCAATTGCTGGGAAGGATGGATGGGGTTTAATTGGAGAGAAGGAGGAAGGAAGTGGAAAGAGAGTCAAATGCAGACACCCTGATCTCAGTTTCCTACTGGCTCAGAGAAAACTCAGAGTGCTTTGATAAAAGGTTCATGGTGTAGGGGTTTTTGACAAAGCTTTGGAGCCAGTGACAAGAGCTGCTCCTGGGAGCTTGTCCAGTGACTCAGTGTCAGCGTAGCCAGTGTCCAGCAGGATGGGCTGGTGACCAGAGGAAAACCCCCAGTGCTTCTCTGGCCCTGCCTGCTTCCCACCATGCTAATCCCCATTATCTTCCTTGGTTGTGAAAAAATGACCGCAAAATCTTTGACACTCCTCTCACTGAGAGGCGGGGGCCCTGTCTCCTGTCCTTGAGTCTAGGCAGCGTTGTGACTGCTTTGACAAATAAAGTACACAGAAGTGATGCTATGTGACTTTTTTTTTTTTGAGATGGAGTTTCACCCTGTCATCCAGGCTGGAGGTGCAATGGCATGATCTCCGCTCACTGCAAACTCTGCCTCCCAGGTTCAAGCAATTCTCCTGCCTCAGCCTCCCAAGTAGCTGGGATTGCAGGTGCCCAACACCACACCCAGCTAATTTTTGTATTTTTAAATAGAGATGGGGTTTCACCAGGTCAGCCAGGCTGGTCTTGAACTCCTGACCTCAAGTGATTCACCTGCCTCGGCCTCTCAAAGTGTTGGGATTATAGGTGTGAGCCACCACACCTGGCGCTATGTGACTTCTGAGGCTGGGTCACAAGAGGAGATGTAGGTTCCACCTGGTTTTCTCTGGCGTTCACTCAGGGGAAGCCAGCCTCATGTAAGAAACCTGACACCCTGGGACCACCATGCTTTAGAACAGGGTTTCTCCACCTCGGCCCTATGGACATTTGTGGCTGAATATTTCTTTGTTGCTGGGGGCTATCACGTGCATTGAAGGTTGTTTTATAGCATCCTTAGCCTCTATCCACCAGATGTTGGTAGCACTCTAGTTGTGACAGACAAAATTGTCCCTTTGAGGGGAAAACCACCTCTGGTTGAGAACCACTTGTTTAGAGAGTATGTGCAGGTGCTCTGCTTGACAGCCCAATTAAACTTCCAGCCAGTGGCCAGCACTAGCTGCCAGCCATGGGATTGGGCCACCTTGGATGGATGTCCAGCCCAGTCGAGCCTTCGGATAACAGCAGCCCCAGCCAACATCTGACTGCACCTGCATGAGAAACTCCATGTAAAAACTGCCTAGTTGAGCACTTCCCAAATTCCACACCCGCAAAATCATGAGCACAATAAAACAGTTGTTGTTTTATACCATTATCTTTCTTTTACACTTTTTCTTTTTTTTTTTGAGACGGAGTTTCACTCTTTTTGCCCAGGCTGGAGTGCAGTGGCGCAATCTCAGCTCACTGCAACCTCCGCCTCCCGGGTTCAAGCGATTCTCCTGCCTCAGCCTCCCAAGTAGCCGGGATTACAGGAGCCTGCCACCACGCCCCGCTAAGTTTTTGTATTTTTAGTAGAGACGGGGTTTCACCATGTTGGCCAGGATGGTCTCAATCTCTTGACCTCGTGATCCACCCACCTCGGCCTCCCAAACTGCTGGGATTACAGGCATGAGCCACCGCCCCCAGCCTTATACCATTACGTTTCAAGATAATTTGATACACAACAGAAGTTACCAAAATAACTTCTTTATTCACTTACTTAGCTCCTTCTCACTACCTAGATGTGATATAAATTCCAGGCATGGCCTTGTCCAGAACGTGACAGTGACAGAGGGCTTGAGGGTCATAGTTTAGTCCCTGGAGTTTACAGCTACATGGGGGAGTGAATGGCACACGGAAGTAGGCAAATCTGGGATGTAATGCTGGCTCTCCCATGTACCATCCTGGGCCAGTCACATGGCCACTCTGAACCTCAGTCTCTTCATCTGTAAAACAGGGATAACTTCATAAGAGTTATTGTGAAGACTTATGAAAGACTTATCAAGTAAGTCTGGGCTACCTCATGCCATCTCAGTACAATGCTGCAATCAGAAAGTAGCACAACTTGGCCAGGCGAGTTGGCTCACACCTGTAATCCCAGAACTTTGAGAGGCCGAGTCAAGGAAATCACTTGAGGTCAGGAGTTTGAGACCAGCCTGGCCAACTTGGTGAAATCCTGTTTCTATTAAAAATACAAAAATTAGCCTGGCGTGATGGCACACACCTGTAATCCCAGCTACTCGGGAGGCTGAGGCACAAGAATCACTAGAACCTGGGAGGCGGAGGTTGCAGTGAGCCAAGATTGCACCATTGTACTCCAACCTGGATGACAGAGCGAGACTCCATCTCAAAAAGAAAAAAGAAAGAAAGAAAAAAAGAAGCACAACCTGATACCCAAAGAGCGATAAACAACAAGGCAGATTTAATAAGGTAAATTTGCCCCTGAAAAGGGCAAAATGGCTCAGACTTTCTCTTCTTTGTCCAGCTCTCCAACTTCCATGGCATTTGCTCCCTGCAGAATTTTATTTTCCATCCCTGGCAAATTTCAGCCCTCCTGTCTCCTCTCTCATCTCCATATCAACAAATTGGAGAGATTTGAGTTTTTTCTGATGTGAGGAGATAAAATGCTCTGTTTAATGATATAAAAGGTGTCTTCATGGTGGGCACAGTGGCGTCTCAGTAGACAAAGAATAAATATGATGTTAGCAAACATGGGTCAAGTGCGTACTAAGGACACGTCAAGCACAGCAGGGACTCAGCATCAGAAGGGGATGTGTCACCTGGAGACTGGAGACCTCTAGGTGTCATTACAGTCCTGCTCTTCCAACCTGGGATCCTTTTAGTTAGAGACACTGGCCCCCAACAAGTGGTCATGAAGCTGCCAGCTAATGAGGGATGGAGGTCCTGATGAGTGGCCTGTTTTCCCTGCTGACCCCACCAAACTCTCTCTGCCACATTGTTGAGGCCCTTTGGAGAGTGAGCATTGCCAGGCAGGGATTCCTGTCCTTTGACAAAAACAAAACCCCAGGATTATGCTTTTGGAGTGTGAGGCTCTCTCTGCCCCAAGACTAAAAGCAAAGCCACAGCTAGCCTGTCTGCCAGGAGTCCAGGCTACAGAGATGAGGATACAGAGCTCTGGCACACCCCTGCCACACTGCATTCCAAAACTTCCTGGAGTGGAGGTCAGTGTCTAATACAACTTTCTCATCCTTGGTTTGGCAGAAGGTAACTGAAGGTCCATTTTCCGTAGGGACCAAGGGGCATGACAGGCACCCAGCAAGGGTCACTGCTCTTAACAAAAGAAGAAGTCCAGCTGGAGAGAGAGCTGACGGTGCCTTTATTGAAAGTCCAACAAGATGTCTCATAAATATCACAATATTTCCCCAAAGGCATGGGCATAAACACCAAGTAGGAGCGCTGTCTAACCAGGTAGTACTAACCAAGTAGTGATAATAGCAATTATATCATTGTTTTCTTTGCAGAAATTTTCTATGCATTTAAAATGGAAGGTCAATCCTAAGCAAAAAGAACAAAGCTGAAGGCATCATGCTACATGACTTCAAACTATACTACAAGACTATAGTAATCAAAACAGCGTGGCACTGGTATGCAAACAGACACATAGATCAATGTAACAGAATAGATATCTCAGAAATAAGATCACACATCTACAATGATTTGATCTTCAACAAACCTGACAAAAACAAGCAATGGGGAAAGGATTCCCTATTTAATAAACAGTGCTTGGAAAACTGGCTAGCCATATGCAGAAAACTGAAACTGGACCCCTTCCTTACACCTTATACAAAAATTAACTCAAGATGGATTAAAGATTTAAATGTAAAACCCCAAACCATAAAAACCCTAGAAGAAAATATAGCCAATACCATTCAGGACACAGGCATGGGCAAAGATTTTATGATGAAATCACCAAAAGCAATTGCAACAAAAGCAAAAATTGACAAATGGGATCTAATCAAACTAAAGAGGTTCTGCACAGCAAAAGAAACTATCATCAAAGTGAACAGACAGCCAACAGAATGGGAGAAAGTTTTTACAATCTACTCATCTAACAAAGGTCTAATACCCAGAATTTACAAGGAACTTAAACAAATTTACAAGAAAAAAACAAACAACCCCATAAAAAGGTAGGCAAAGGACATGAACAGATGCTTCTCAAAAGAAGACATTTATGTGGCCAACAAACATATGAAAAAAAACTCAACATCACTGATCACTAGAGAAATACAAATCAAAACCACAATGAGATACCATCTCATGTCAGTCAGAATGGTGATTATTAAAAAGTCAAGAAACAATAGATGCTGGCAAGGCTATGTAGAAATAGGAGTGCTTTTACACTGTTGGTGGGAATGTAAATTAGTTCAACCATTTTGGAAGACAGTATGGATATTCCTCAAGGATCTAGAACCAGAAATACCATTTGACCCAAGAATGCCATTACTGGGTATATACCCAAAGGAATATAAATCATTCTATTATAAAGATACATGCACACATATGTTTATTGCAGCACTATTCACAAGAGCAAAGACATGGAATCAACTCAAATGCCCATCAATGATAGACTGGATAAAGAAAATGTAGTACATATACACCATGGAATACTATGCAACCTTAAAAAGGAATGAGATCATGTCCTTTGCAGGGACATGGATGAAGCTGGAAGCCATCATCCTCAGCAAACTAACACAGGAACAGAAAACCAAATACTGCACGTCTTCACTCATAAGTGGGAGCTGAACAATGAGAACACATGGACACAGGGAGGGGAAAAACACACACCAGGGCCTGTCAGTGCAGGAGGCAGTGGGCAGAGGGAGGGAGAACATCAGGACAAATAGCTAAAGCATGCAGGGCTTAATACCTAGGTTATGGGTTGATAGGTGTGGCAAACCACCATGACACACATTTACCTAGGTTAACAAACCTACAAACCTTGCACATGTATACTGGAACTTAAAATAAAATAAAATTTAAAAATAAAATAAAATGGAAGGTAAGGTGTGGTGGAGTGCTCTAATCCCAGTGCTTTGGGAGACTGAAGCGAGAAGATCACCTGAGCCCAGGAGTTCGAGGTTATGCTATGATCACACCACTGCATTCCAGCCTGGGCGACAGAGCAAGATCCTGCCAAAAAAAATTTTAAAAAGGGACCATACTGCACATACCATCCATAGTGGGGCCTAGTTTTATTTTACTTAATAGCATAAATATTTTCTGCACTGTTTTTAGTAGCTGCAGAATATATATAGTCTCTGATTTGCATATACCAAAATTGATGTAGCCATTTCTCTACTCTAGAACATCCAGGTTTTTTCCAAAATTTCCTTTATTGTAATCTACAGTAAATAACCATACTTACAGCTAAATATGTGTGGGCATCTGCAAGAATTTTCTCAGGATAAATTCTGCAAGTGTAATTAAGTGGAATTTCTGGATTAAACAATACGAATTGTTTTAGCATTCTTAGAAATTTTGTCAGACTTGGCCGGGTGCGGTGGCTCATGCCTGTAATCCCAGCACTTTGGGAGGCTGAGGTGGGTGGATCACGAGGTCAGGAGATCGAGACCATCCTGGCTAACACAGTGAAACCCCGTCTCTACTAAAAATACAAAAAAAAAAAAAAAAAATTAGCCGTGCATGGTGGTGGGCGCCTGTAGTCCCAGCTACTCGGGAGGCTGATGCAGGAGAATGGCATGAACCCAGGAGGTGGAACTTGCAGTGAGCTGAGATCGCGCCACTACACTGCAGCCTGGGTGACAGAGCGAGACTCTGTCTCAAAAAAAAAAAAAAGAAATTTTGTCAGACTTGATTTGAAAGATTTTAAAGGCATTTTTTTACCCCTGATGCCTGAGGTACAACAAATGTCCTGCTACATAGACAGAGAGAATTTGAAACAACTCCATAACAGAAGAGTCCCTATTTCTACTGAGAATTTGGAACCTGGGCTCTGCTCAGCTCTGTTTGCTGTAGCTACATGATTTGCTAGACTGAGAGCTCTATACTATTGATGATACTCCAGAAAATTCCAAGACCTCCTATGTAAAGCAGAATGTCTTACATCAGCGATTTGAAATTTTCTGGGGTGCATCATCACCACTTGTGCAACACTGTAAACATATGCATGCCCAGATCAAAACCAGCTGAAAAAAAAAAAACATAAAAATAGTACAAGAGTTGAGATAAATGGCTGTGCACAAAAATAACATTAAAAAATAAACAGCTACACACAAATAGCCAGTTGGAAAATGTAATGCATTAAAAAATAATATCTATACAGTAACAAAATGGTAAACTATTGGAAATAAACTTAATAAGTTATATGCCGGTGCTACATAAAGAAAACCTTAAAACTACTGTTGAACGATCAAGGCATGGTGGCTCATGCCTGTAATCTCAACACTTGGGAGGCTGAGGCAGCAGGATGGCTTGAGTTCAGTAATTCAAGACTAGCCTGGGCAACATAGTGAGACCTCACCTTAAAAATATATATTGATGAACATAAAACAAGACTGATAAATAAAATATCACATTTTAAAATAGGAATACAATGTTGTAAAAATATCAACTCTTCTTTAAATTAATGTGTGAATTAAATGCAATGAGTTTGGTTTAGAAGATGACACATGGTTCTGGGGTTAGTCTAAAGGATGCATTTTAGAATAACCAGGATATTTCTTTTAAAGATGAACATAAATGAGTGGGAACTACCAGCTATTCATGCTTATTGAGCAGCTACAAAAATTAAAACAGTTTGATGCTGATGAAAAAATAAATCAATCAATGGAAATAAAAAGAGAGTTCAGACTTCCATTTCTGGTGATAATGAACTAGCTTATGTAGCATGGACCAAGCTTCTTGCTGAAAATAATTGAAACAGTTGGATTAAATCTATTTGAAGACATTGGAGAGCAATCAAGGAAACCAATAGTTTAGAGGTCAATAACTGAAGATGAAGGAAATGCATTGAGATAAGACTTATATTTTGTACAACCTCTGCAGTTGAGGTATGTGTCAGTTCACACAGAATGAGAGTCTGAGAGGCAGAACAAAAGGTTGTGCAGATGGCACAGCAATCTTATGATGCTATGGACTCAACATTGGAGTTGAGAGCTTGCCAAAGAGGACAGGTCTGGTAAATAGCTCAATCTTTCAAATGGGGGTCTGGGAAGGCTCCTACTCTAGGTGAGCAAGTAATAGATCCGCCTTCACAAAGACTGAAACTCATCTTCAAATCAGCTCAATTCATGACTGGATATAGGCAACCTTCTCCTATCTAACAGATTGCCAACAGGATTCTAACAGGATATCTAACAGATTCCCCAAGGTAGGATTCTAACAGCAAAAGTGAATCCTACCTTGGGGAAGATGACAATGCCAAAACTTCTATTGTGTTCCACACAGATGTCTAGCATTCAATCAAAAGTTACCGGACATATCAAGAGGCATGAAAACATCAGACACAGGAATGATGAATGCCAGAACATAACATGAAAACACCTTTAATATGCTTAAAGAAAGTAATCGTCCACTTAGAATGTCCTGTCCAGTAAAAATATCCCTCAACATTGAAGGCAACATAGAAATATTTTCAGACAAACAAAAATTGAGGAAAGTTGTTATCAGCAGACTTGAATCAAAAAAATTACTAAACAGATTCTTCAGGCAGAATGATCAGCATTGAAGCATAGAAATGCAGAAGAGAAGAGAAGCAATGAAAAGAGGATTATGTGTATAAATCTCAATAAATAGTGAGTGTAGGCCAGAGATGGTGGCTCATGCCTGTAATCCCAGCACTTTGGGAGGATGAGGTGGGCAGATCACCTGAGGTCAGGAGTTTGAGACCAGCCTGGTCAACATGGTGAAACCTTGACTCTACTAAAAATACAAAAATTAGCTGGGCGTGGTGGTGCATGCTTGTATTCCCAGCTATCTGGGAGGCTGAGGTAGGAGAATTGCTTGAACCCAGGAGGCGGAGGTTGCAGTGAGCCAAGATGGTACCACTGCACTCCAGCCTGGGTGACAAAGTGAGACTCCATCTGAAAACAACAACAACAACAGCAACAACAACAATAACAAAAAAAAACAGTGAGTGTGAAACGGAAAAAAGGAATAATAATATTATCTTGTGGGTTTGAACTATATGTAGAATTACTTTGAAGTTAATGTGCCTTTTGTTCTCTGACTAAATTTAAGATGTTCTCTTTGTCTGTTGAACTGAATAATGATAGACACATAACTTATCAAAACTTGTTGGGTAAAGCAAAGTTAGCTTAGAAGGAAAATCATAACCTTAAGAGCATATATTAGAAAAAAAAGAAGGGCTAGAAGTAAACCATCTAAGTACCTAGCCCAAGAAAGTGGAAAAAGAATGCAAATAAACCCCATAATAGGAGAAAAGAAATAATAAGACAGCAGAAATTAATGAATAAAAAACAAACATACAATATCCACCTGTAGAACTGGTAAACCCCTTCTGAGACTGAGACACACACACACACACACACACACACACACACACACACACACACACAGAGAATATGCTGGCAGACAAGGTTGTAAGATGCAGCACTCTCATATACTCTTGGTAGGAGTGAGTGTACATATCTATTTGGTGGAATCCACCAAAATTAAACATGTAATTATTCTATGACCTAGTAATTCCATAGCTATGAATGTACTTTACGGCTATATTGAGAAAATCATGCTAAGATGCATGTGGAAGCATATCTCTGCTGCTTCAATGACCAATGCTGGGGAGGGGGGCGGGCGATGCTCGTTAAATAAATTAGGATTCAACCATATAATGGAATATTCTGTAACTATTACATATGACGAAGTTCCATATGCTCAATGTGGGAAGTGTGATATTCTTGGGTAAAAAAGTAATCATATATACTACATAAGCATTTTATATATTATATATATGTGTTTATGTATGTGCACTTTCGCATACACACATGTGCCTATGTGCACACACACACACATATACAGAGAGACAGAGAGCTCTCTAAGGCAGCTTGTAAGTGACACAAGCTGGATTGTGACACTTGTAAGTGACACAAGCTGGATTGGATTCATAGCTGGGCGTGTGTAGCCCCCAAGCACAGACCCTATTCACGTCTCCCCAACACCTGTACCTATGAAGAGATAGAGACCATCTTTCTCTTCCATTTAATCCATACATTTAAAAAATTCTGCCTTTTTCCAACAACATAGAGATGAGTTCTTGAGCAAATATTTCTGCTTCTTGGGGCTTTCTGCTCCTCCAATTAATGACTCGAATCACTCCCGGACCCACCATCAGCCATGCCCTGCAGATACAACCCAACTCTCTGCCATGCCAAGTCACAACTCGGCCATAGGGCATACCAGGGACCTCAGCAGCAGGAGAAACACTCCAGCCCAAAGACCAGCCCCAAGATGAAGGGAGCCACCACCCAACTCCCACACCAGAAATTGATTTTTATTTTTCAGCATTTGCAGAAAGCAAAACACCCTTTAGAAAAGGCAGGATTGCATGCTTTCTTCTTCCTTAGATTCCACTTAAACATAGTGGCAACGGGGGTGGCAAACTTCATAATTCGGTGACATTAAGTCTTAACTGTTGGCAATTAGGAGCCTGCTCGGGCCACCACCTCTGGCAGCTCCAGCTGAACACCAAATGCTCACTGCCCCCATGGCTACCGGGTGCAATAACAGCCAGCGAGAAATGGAAAACAATTTGGTACCCTGTGTGTTAATATGTGTAGACAGAAACAATGTTCAGACTTGATCTAATTCTAGTGACACTGGTCATCTATCAGACCCAGGCTTCAGAAGCCTGCAAGGAAGCCAGGCCAGGGCCTTTTCACCCTTCCTCAGCCTCCCTCACCCATGTATATCTGCACCCCTATTCCAGTAGGATGACATTTATTGGACCAGGACCACGTGCCAGACACTGTTCTAGCAATTTACACATAGTAATTCACACCATCTCCCAACAACGCTTTGCAGTAGGCACTATGATTAAAACAGGGATAACAATGGCATCTTCTTTAAAGGGTTACGAGGTAACACATGTAACAAGCTTAAAATAGAGACTCTAGCCTGGCACATGGTAAGTGCACGTAGGTCTTCTTTTAAAACAAATGTGTTACATTAACCTTTTAATTAATTATTCTGGTTCTCTCCATTTCTTCCTGTGTATGTGAGTTACCACTTGATGTCATTTCCTTACTTCAATACAGCTTGGCTTCTCCTTCTCCCAACTCCTTTGTGCTGTTATTGTCAAATATATTACAATTCTGTATGTGATAAGCCCAACAATTCAATTGTATACATATTTTTATACAATGGCTTTTTATATCTGTCGAGAAGAAATATGCAATTATACTTCTGGTGTGTGTGTGTGTGTGTGTGCGTGCATGTGCACAATATATAAAATGCTTATGTATTATATATGATTACTTTTTTACCCAATTATCTACATCAGGGTTGGCTTCCCTGTGCCACATTGGAAGAATTGTCTTGGGCCACACATAAAATACACTAACATTAATGATAGCTGATGAGCTAAAAAAAAAAAAATGTCAAGAAAGTCTTATATAATGTTTTAAGAAAGTTTACGTATTTGTGTTGGGCTGCATTCAAAGCTGTCCTGGGCCACATGCAGCCCATGGGCCATGAGTTGGACAAGCTTGATCTACATAATTATCTTCACTGGTCCTCTCTGTTTTTTATGAGAATTCAAATTAATGTCTGATGTCACTTGCTTTCAGTCTGAAGACCTTCTTTTAGCATTTTTTTTTTTTCTGTCAAGTGGCTCTTCCAGCAACACATTCTCTCAGTTTCTGTTTATCTGGGGTATTTTCATTCCATCTTCATTTTTGGAGGATCGTTTTGTTGCTATAAGATTCTCAGCTGACAATATTTTTTTTTTCTTCCAGCACTTTAAATAGACGGACCCACTGCCTTCTTGACTCCAGTGTGTTTGATGAGAAGTCAGTTCTTACTCTTACAGGGGAGTTCCCTTGTGTGTGATGAACCACATTTCTCTCCGAGCTTTCAAGATTTTATCTTTGTCTTTTGACATTTTGACTATGATGTGTCTGGGTGTGGCATAGCTCATCTTTATCAAGCTTATTGTCCCCACTTTACAGATAAGGAGGTTGGGACACAGAATGGTAAAGCTTTTTGCTTTACCCAGCTAGAAACTGGGGGAGCTGGGATTTGAACCCAGCAATCTAGCCCAGTTATCTGCTATACTAAACTGTCTCTCATTCACCTCTCAGCCTGGTTCTCGTGGGGTTGCATAGGTAAGCTTGGACAGAATGCTTAGCTCACCACCTTGAAAACTCTCACTTCTGAAAAACAGAGATTCCTGAATGGCAAATGGAAACTCTGACCTGATTTTTCTCAACAGTATCAGCTTCTTGCCTAAGATAAGTGAGCTAAAGATTCAAGTCCTTTTCTCCTGGGCCTTTGCATCATGCGGGTGGATGGACGAACCCAGCATTTTCCTTACAAAATAGTGATTATGGAAGAGGTGGAGAAGAAGGAAGAAGGGAGGAAGGAGAGGGTGGAGAGGGAGAGAAGAGGGGAAGGGGGAGGAGAAGGAGGAGGGAGAGGGGAGAAAGTAACCGAGTGTTTCTTGCTGGACACTGAGTTATTCTTGATCATGCCCAGCCCCCTCCATGATTAGAGCTAGTATTTCTGTTTCAAGAGAAAATGTATTTTTCTGCTGATTCTTCCTTTTGGGGTGAAGGGAGGAAGGAGGGATTGGAGAAGCCTGGGGAGGGAAACCAATCTGGCTTTAGCAAAGCTCTCTAGGATGTACTTGGAGCCAGCCTCGGCGCCGTGCAGAAGACACGCCCCTCAAGAGAAACACGGTGCTGCCCAAGGAGGATTCTCACAAGACAACCAAATAAGGCCCTGCCAGGTTACAAAGCACTGTGATGCGCTTCTATAAATACCTCCTCCCAGCATCGTTTTCCTGCCTCCAGCACATTTTACTGTAAACCAGGATTCTAATGATATGTAGGACACATACCCAAACCTCTCCTTCCCTCCACCACACTCTATCCCTCCGCTTCTCCCCCAAAACTGAGTCAAACAGAGGAACTAGACAGGTTGCTGGGGGTCCAGACACAACAGCCATAAGCCCTGAGTTCTAGCCCCACAAACATGAGTACAAAAAGAGAAATGATGTACCAGCTACTTCAGGGCGAGGCTCTTGAACTAGATGCAGAAGGAGAGAAAAAAACTTTACAATGGATGATGTATTTCTCAGAGGAGTCAGTTCTCAACTTGGTGTTTTCTCCTCCCCATCTCTGCCCCCGTGACTTCAGATGAAAAGGTGTCTGAGCACAGCTGAGCGCCTGGCTGCCTGGGTTGGAGCATGTCCCTACGAGTGAGGAAGCCCAAGGTCATATAGGAGCCACAGCAAAGGCCATCGCTTCTCATGGCCCTGGAAGGTGGCCCTTGGAGGGTGCGGTTGCTGTCACCACAAGGCTGTGCCTTGGCAGATGACTGGTGACTCTTGAGTGATGAATTCAAGGTATTCACACCTTGACCACCTCTCTTTAAAGAACATTGTGAGTATCTTGAATTCATCTCTCAAGAGTCACTTTAAAGAGTGGTTACTATCTCCTGACTGGATGGCAGAATAAGAGGCCTGGGGAGGGACACCACTGCCAGGATGCAGGGGGAGATTTCACTCTTCAGGGGGCCCCTGGGAGACAGTTGGTGAGAAGGTGGGGGGAGGGAGGGGGGGCTGCAGCTTGCCCTGTTCCTCAGCCAGCAATGTGCTGCTGGGCATCGGAGAGCACTGGTCTGGAAAAAGAAGTGCAAGGCAGGACAAGCGTTAACCTCAGCCTGGCTCATGCCACCCCTCCTGCTTGCCGCTCAGCTGGAGATCCCATCAGGCAGATGCAGAGGTGCTGGGGAGAGCGTGGCGGGTGGGGGAGGCCCAGGCCTGGGACTGTTAGTCCTGCGAGTTGAGGAGCTGGGGCTATCGGGGAACTCACTCAGCCACTCAGAGCCTCATCAATAATACAGGAATGGCTGTCCCTCTGCAGAGCTGCTATAAGGATGTAGGCCCTGGGCTGT
The DNA here is from genome assembly GCF_000001405.40 of Homo sapiens. Taxonomy (NCBI): domain Eukaryota; kingdom Metazoa; phylum Chordata; class Mammalia; order Primates; family Hominidae; genus Homo; species Homo sapiens. The sequence goes on along the minus strand of NC_000017.11, from coordinate 66,858,337 downwards.
CATCAAATGGCTGTCTTCACTCCCGGGTCCAGAAAGGAGGCAAGGTTGACCACCAGGCTGGCTGAGCCCAGGGTGGAAAATACTGGGCCTCAGAAGATGGCACTCATGGGTTGGGAAGCTTGTGTGCACCCCAGTCTAAAACCAGCCTCTAGATGAAGGAGGCAGAGATTTGGGGTGGGCCGGGGAGGTGCAGGATGTTGCAAGGCCAGAAAGCCCAGAACCTCCCAGAAGCTGCTAGAGAGGAAAGTGTCTGCTTTCCAAGAAGTCAGGTAAGGAACTGAGAGGAGAAAAGGCATGGTGTGCCCATGACCTCTCCCAGGAGCCCATGCCCAGACAGGATTGGATAGAACCCAACCCCAAACCCATATATCAATGGTCCTTAATTCCCGCTGCCCATGAGTGTCATCTGGGGGGATTTAAAATAATCCCAATGCTGAGTTGCTTCTGAGACCAACTATATGTGACCTTCTGGGGGTGGGATGGAGTGGGCTGGGACCGGATATTAGTGTTTTGTAAAACTCTCAGTTGATTCTAATGTGCAGCCAAGGCTAAGAGCCACTAGCCCATGTGAGGTCCCCCACAGGCCTAAAGATATGCAGACCATGCACTCATGATCTGATTTTGGTCTAATCTGGACTAGAGCGGAGCTTCCCAATATGGCGGCCACTAGCCAGCCACAGGTGGTTCTTGGGCACTGGAAACGTGGTAAGTCCAAAGTGAGACATGCGGTAAGTATGAACACATACCCCAGATTTCTAAGATGTAGTATGAATAAAGAATGTAAACTATCTCAGTGATTTAAAAAACATTGATCACATGCTGAAATGGCATATTGGGCTAAATAAAATATATTATTAAAATTAATTTAACCTGTGTCTTTATACTTTTTTAGAGTGGCTATAAAAAACTTTCAGTTACATCATGTGGCTTGCATTACATTCCTATTGGACAGTGCTGGTGTACGGACCAGCCAGTTTAAAAACGTGTTCTCAGGCCAGGCAAGGTGGCTCATGCCTATAATCCCAGCACTTTGGGAGGCCAAGGTGGGAGGATCGCTTGAGGTTGGGAGTTCAAGACCAGCCTGGGTAATATAGTGAAACCTTGTCTCTACAAAAAATCTAAAGATAGCCCATGCATTTGCAGTCCCACCTACTTGAGAGGCTAGGTAGGAGGATCCCTTGAGCCACGGGGAGGAGGAGGCTGTAGTGTCCCTGCACTCCAGCCTGGGTGACAGAGTGAGACCTTATCAAAAAAAAAAAAAAAAAAAAAAAACTTAAAAATTGAAATAAAAATGTGTTTTCTATATTTCTTCTATTGATAAGTTTATTTGTTTTTGATGATAATTTTCTTTAAAACTTCACTTCATGATTCCACTTATATAACATTCTTGCAATGACAAAAATAAAGAAATGGAGAACAGATTAGTGGTTGTTAGGGTCAGGGACAGAGAGGGGAGAGAGGAAGAGGCCAGTGTGGCTATAAAGGGACAACACGAGGTCAGGTGTGGTGGCTCACACCTGTAATCCCAGTACTTTGAGAGGCTGAGGCAGGTGCATCACCTGAGGTCAGGAGTTTGAGACCAGCCTGGCCAACATGGTGAAACCCTGTCTCTACTAAAAATACAAAAAAGTAGCCAGGCATGGTGGCATGTACCTGTAATCCCAGCTGCTCGGGAGGCTGAGACAGGAGAATTGCTTGAACCTGGGCGGCGGAGATTGCAGTGAGCCGAGATAGCGCCATTGCACTCCAGCCTGGGCGACAGAGCGAGACTCTGTCTCAAAAAAAAAAAAAAGGCGGGGGGGCAACACGAGGGATCCTTGTTATGTTGGAAATTTTCTATATCCTTGACTATATCAATGTCAGCATCTTGGTTACCAGGATATCCCTTTGTACTATAATTTTGCAAGATGTTGCCATTGGGTGAAACTGGGTAAAAAACTACATTGAGTCTCTCAGTATATTTCCAACAACTGCATGTGAATCTACAGTATCTCAAAATCAAAAGTTTAATTATTTAAAAAATTTCACCTCTGAAACAATAACTTCCATTATCTGCTGGCAGGAGCATAAAAGTATTTCACTCTTTTGGAAAGCAATTTGGTTGAGCGTTAAGCATTTTCATCTCTCTTGGTTCCAGTGATTCTACTTCTGGGAATTGCTACTAAAAAATATAAACACAAGTACAAAATACACAAAAATGTTGATTCACTGTTGTTGATAATAGCACAGTGCTCAAAGCCACCAACATGCCTCTCTGCAAAGAAGAGTTATAGGAACTATGGTTTACCCACTCAAGGGACTATTATGTAGTCATTGACGGAAAATGTGGCAAGGTAATGTTAAACGACAACAACAACAAAATGTTGGGATACAAAGCATCAATAGTTTGTTTGCTAATTCCTAAAAAAGAATCTTTTAAAATGTGGGATGATGAGTGTAAAAATATTAATAATAGTTACTTTGATAATAGGATTGTGGATGAATGTGTCTATCCTTTCTACTTCAGTTTCTTTTCCTTGATTTTTTTAAATACATATGCATGGCCGGGTGCGGTGGCTCACGCCTGTAATCCCAGCACTTTGGGAGGCCAAGGCGGGCAGATCACCTGAGGCCAGGAGTTCAAGACCAGCCTGACCAACATGGTGAAACCCCGTCTCTACTAAAAGTGCAAAAATTAGCCAGGCGTGGTCCGAGCCTGAGGCAGGAGAATCACTTGAACTCTGGAGGCAGAGGTTGCAGTGAACCGAGATCGCAACACTGCACTCCAGCCTGGGTGACAGGGTGAGACTCTGTCTCAAAAAAAAATACATATGCACAACTTTTTAATTTAATGACATAATGATCATTCCTCTTTTTAAAATTAAGGAGTTTCCTGGAGCTGTCTTCCTGGAGCTAAGGGGCAATGCCCAACCAGGGAAGAGGTCGCCCCCTGTCGGTTGAACATGGTGGTGCGGCCCAGAGACCTGAAGAGCCTGAAGGCACAGCCAGGACAGAGGCCCCGGGCCTGGGGCCAATTAAGGGCAGATTTAGGGTTCCCATTCCTGCCGCAAAGCCGCTCAGAGAATCGCTGCCTGTTAAGAGAGTAGAAAAAAGAAAAGAATCGGGAACATTGCAGCTTATGTGAACTCTGACAAGACACTTGAGCTTTCTGAGTCTCATTCAGTAAAGATATTAAACGGTGGCAATAACATGATCCCTGTATTGGGGGGTGTTTAAGGGGTGAAATGGGCTTTATTCTGCTAGGCAACGCCAATTGTTTTTCAATGTAGTTCTACCACCTGCAGTATGTAAGAATTCTCAGGCCTTCATATCCTCACCAACATTTGGTATTGTCACATATCTTAAATTTTATCAATCACAGTGAGAATCAAATGATATTCCATTGTCATCTCAACTGGCATTTCTATGATTGCCGGTGATATGGGGTATCTTTTTATGTTTGGCTATTTTTCTCTTCCCTTTTCTGTGAAATGCCTGTTCATGTCTTTTTCCCATTTTTTTTTCTATTGGATTCTTCATCTTCTTTCTTATTCATCTATAGGAGTTCTTGAGGTGTTGTGGATATTAATATTTTGCCATATGTATGTGCTGAAACGTTCTGCACAGTCTACAGTTTTTCTTTTCTTTTTTCTTTCTTTTTTTTGAGACAGAGTCTTGCTCTTGTTTCCCAGGCTGGAGTGCAGTGGCGCGATCTTGGCTCACTGCAACCTCTGCCTCCCAGATTCAAGCAATTCTCCTGCCTCAGCCTCCTGAGTAGCTAGGATTACAGGCGCCCACCACCATGCCTGGCTAATTTTTTGTGTTTTTAGTAGAGATGGGGTTTCACCATGTTGGCCAGGCTGGTCTCGAACTCCTGACCTCAAGTGATCCACCCACCTCAGCCTCCCAATCTTTTCACTATTTTTTTTTTTTGAGTTGGAGTCTGGCTCTGTCACCCAGGCTGGAGTGCAGTGGCGCGATCTCGGCTCACTGCACTCTGCCTCCCAGGTTCACGCCATTCTCCTGCCTCAGCCTCCCAAGTAACTGGGACTACAGGTGCCCGCCACCATGCCCGGCTAATTTTTGTATTTTTAGTAGAGACGGGGTTTCACCATGTTAGCCAGGATGGTCTCGATCTCCTGACCTTGTGATCCACCCGCCTCGGCCTCCCAAAGTGCTGAGATTACAGGCGTGAGCCACCGCACCCGGCCTTTTCACTTTTTTAATGCTAACTTTTCAGACATTCTTAAATTTAAATTTAAATTAAATGTATTGTACTATTATTGATTTACATATGTTGGTCTTGCATCTAGTAACTTTGCTGCATAATGTTCCTTTGGATTTTCTATGAGGATGAGCATATAGCCTGTGAATATTGACAGTTTTGTAGTTTTTCATTCTAATTCTGATACCTCATTTTTTTCTTGTCTTGGTGCACTTAGGGACTCGATGACATAAAAGTGATGATAGTGATATTCTTGTCTAATTTGAAAGAGAATGATTCTAACATTTTACCGTTACATATGATATTTGTTGAAAATACAGCTTATCAGGGTAAGGAAGTTCTCTGTTTGCAAAGAGGTTTTGTTTTTGTTTTTGTTTGTTTTATAATTATATTGATTTTTACCATATGTTTTTCTGCATTTATTGAAATAATGTGCTTATTTCAATTATATTTATAGATTTTGTAATGTTAAACAACCCATGCATTACTGGGACATAGCTTGCTTTTGTTGTCTTACATATATACTCTTAATCTGTTTAGTTTCATCATCAAAGTTTCAGTTGAACCACAATGAGATACCATTACGCACATACTAGAATGGCTAAAATTAAAAAGATTGGCCATACTAAATATTGGAGAAGGTTTGGAGAAACTGCAGCTCTCATATGTTGCTGGTAGAAATGCAAAATGGTACAACTGCTTTGGAAAGCAGTTTTGCAGCTTTTTGTAAAGTCAAACATGCTCTTGCCACACAACCAGAAATTCTACTCCTAGGTGGAACTCCTAGAAAAATGAAAACTTGTGGTTGCATAAAGACTTACACCCGAGTACAGCTTGATTCATATAGTCCCAAACTAGAAACAACCCCAGTGTCCAAAACTGGTGAATAGATAAACAAACTGTGGTATATAGAATACTACTCCGCAATACAAAGGAATAAACTACTCATGTATACAACTACATGGGTGATATCTTGAAAGCATTAGGCCAAATGAGAGTCCAGACACAGCTGGGCATGGTTGCTCACACCTGTAATCCCAGCACTTTGGGAAGCCAGGGTGAGAGGATTGCTTCAGCCCAGGAGTTTGACACCAGCCTAGGCAAGATGGTGAGAAGAGAAGAGAAGAGAAGAGAGAAAGAGAAGAGAGAAGGAGAAGAGAGAAGGAGGAGAGAAGGAGAGGAGGAGAAGAGAGAAAGACAAGAGAGAAAGAGAAGAGAGAAAGAAGAGAGAGAAGAGAGAAAGAGAAAAAGAGAGAGAAAGAGAGAGGAAGGAAGGGAGGGAGGGAGGGAAAAGGGAAGCGAAGGGAAGAAGGCAGGCAGGCAAGAGTTCAGACAGAAAAGACTACATATTGTATGATTTCCTTTATATGAACTTGTAGAAGAGCCAAAACTATAGGAAGAGAAAGCAGATCAGCAGAGGGCAGGGCATTAGCTGCAAAGAGGCACAAGATACTTTTTCGAGGTGATTGAAATGTTCTATATTATCATGATTACACATTTATCAAAGTGTATACCTAGAAGTGATACATTTCATTATATACTAATTATACCTTTTTAAAAGTGATATTCACTTTCTAAATAAGTTTGCATAAAACAGCAATTTTCAGTTTCTTAAAGGTTTGGTAAAACTTGCCAAGTAAAACCATGTGGGCCTGTTTCTTTTTGTGGGTATATTTTAATTCTGCTTCAATTTTCTATTAGGGTTCTCCAGAGAGAGAGAAATGGGAGGTGATATATACATATATGAGAGGGGATTTGCTGCCGGAATTGGCTCACATGATTATGGAGACTAAGAATTCCCACAACAGGCCGCCTGCAAGCTGTGGACTCAGGTATAACAGCACTGTGGCTCAGCCCAACTCTGAAAGCCTCAGAACCAGGGAAGACCTACAGCGCTACTCTCATTCTGAGGTCAAAGGCCTGAGAACCTGGGAGGCTGCTGGTGCAAGTCTCAGAGTCCGAAGACCAGAAAGCCTGAAGTTCTGATGTCCAAGGGCAGAAGAAAGGTGGTGTCCCACCTCCAGGGGAAAGAAAGCAAATTTGCCTGTCCCCTGCCTTTTTGTTCTATCCAGGCCCCAGCCGATTAGATGGTGCCCATCCACACTGAGAGTGGATCTTTCCTACTCGATCCAACTCACATGCCAATCTCCTGCCAAAACGCCCTCATGGCACACCTGGAAACAATGCTTTATCAGCTATCCAAGTATCCCTGAATCCACTTGGATCAAGACCTAAGATTAACCATTATCAATTGTGTTAATGGCTACAATCTATTTAGGTTTTCTATTTCTTTTTGAGTGACTTCCCAGAAAGTCACCCATATTTGCATAAACTCTTTCATGATATTCTCTTAGGTGTTAAATAATGATTATCCCACATATCATTTTGGTCTTTTTCTCGTTCCCAATATTGTTTGTGTTTTCTCTCTCTTTTTCCCTTTCCGGTATTTCCTCAGTTTGGGCAATTTTATTCAGCTCTTACAAACAACAAGCTCTAGATTTTGTTGTTCATCTTTATTTCATTGTTGCTGATTAGAAATCTGCTCTGTTATTTTAATATGGTTTCTACTCCTCCTTGTTGTTTTAAACACATTGGATTTATTTTATAGACTTTTCCACACTGTTCTACAACCATGTTTTTGAAATGCTAATTTCCCCATTTGCTGTCTGTACTAAGTTGCCTCAAGGTTAAACCATGCTCTCATGTGGTCTGTAATTTTTATTGTGAGCTCATCTTCAGCAAGGCTTCCCCTCAACCATCCCCATGGGAATCCTATGTACTCTGGGTCCTGGAAGAGTCTCTGGAAAGTGGTTTTGGATTTGATTCAGCTGGGTGAGCTAGAAGTTCCATCAATCCAGGATCTGATTTTACATTAAATTCTTAGCTCAGGATTTCTCCCCCTGGGGGGCGTTAGAAACTTAGATTCTGTACCTGTGGGCAGCTCATTCTTCGGTCTTTGTTTTTTTTGGAGGAGACCCTCCTCCACCTTCCTAGAGAATCTGGGCAGATCTAAATGTCCTGGCAATTTTTTGGGCTGGTAGTTGGCAAATTTTAGCCTCCCCTTCATGGAGGGGGAGTCTCAGTGCGAACTTCTGGCCTTGCGGGGGCCCAAGACCACGTTTTACAGTCCATGGGTAGGCATTAAAATTCCAGACTTGAGCTATGATGGCACATATCTGGATCCAGTACCCCCTGGTTCTCCTTAGTATTAGTTCACATGCTCAAGGCTTTGAGTTTCAGTTCCCTGGGGATTTCCTTCTCTCTTATAAGTCAATGATGTATTTTAAAACCTTCTGAAGTGCTGACAGTTGGTACTCTGTTGCCAAAACTAGAACTCTCAAATTCAGTACATATTTTTCATCCCCCTCCCTTTCCTAGGGGTGGTATTGGAAAGCTCTAACACCCCCAACCCCACATTATGGATGGAGGAGAGGAGGAAAACCTGCCTCTTTCTATTCTTCTGCATTTCCCAGTGTGCTGCAATGAGCACAAATTATTTTTCCAACTGCATTGTGTGTGTGTGTGTGTGTGTGTATGTATTTGTGTATGTATATATATATGTGAACTTTAATTTTAAAAATCAATAAAAGATAACCTATATGTAAAAAAAAAATATACTTTAAACCAGAGCATTTCATGGAAGAGGGAGGCCAACAGTGAATTTCCTCCCCTCTCCCTGGGATGGCTTTCTCTGCTTCTTCCTGGGGCACAAGCCAGCCTGCCCCAGGCTTTTGCAATGTTCTATTTTTGTTTCATTATTTAACTGTGTCCCATATACACTGCTAAGTGGAGTGCTCAGTTCCATCGTTTAATGGACAACTGACCTCTGTCTGCAAATGCCCAAGTCACAGGGAGCTCAACAGGCCATTAATGGGGTCTCAGACCCCCTCCCCCAGTCCATTTCAGTCTGAGGCCAAAAGAGCAGGGATGGGGAGAAGTCTTTCAAGGGAAGACACAGAAGGGTTGCAGAATGCAGGGCAGGAAGACAGGCTGGGGTGGAGTACACTTGCAGCCTGCTTTTGAGAGCCAAGGGGCAGCCTGGCTGCAGGGGCTTTCTCACCTCTCCTGACCCCTTTGTGATCTGCTGAACTTGGCTCCAGGCTGGATTGACTGGCAGTTGTACCGGGACCCACCTCCTGAAGCACCAGGGGATTTTAATTCTTCTTCCTTAATTATTTAATTTCTAGACCTTCACAGTGATCTAAACTGTATCTTTTCACCACTTGACCGCAAAAAGATCACACACCCAGGAGCTTGGAAAGGCAACGGCAGAATCATCAGGCAAGAGGGAGAAAGGATACGTCACAGAGGTGTGTGCGCCTCCATTGCCTGACCTTGACCCTGGGATTCACAGTGTTTTACCCAATGCTTTCCTATGGGGTTGTGACCTCCGTGGCTCCTTCCATCAAGCCTAGGAAGATGACATTGTGGGTGGCGTGATCCGTCTCACCTGTGAGAACACGAAGGCTGAGAGGGGTGTCCTGCCCAGGGAGGCTAGGGCAGGACCTGAACTTTGTGCCTTCTGGGATGTGGTCCCCCACCTGTGTTCAGCCATTCAGCCTGCAGAGGTAGGGTGCATTCCCCAGGCAGATCCCAGAACACAGCCCAAGGCCACTCAGCCAGGAAGTGTAATCCCAAGGTTCAGGGTTGGGCACCCTGAGTGAGGGGCTCCTGGCCACCACCCCACTGCTGGATCTGCCCTCCCGGGGTGGGAACACTGCTGCCTTCTGCGTTCCTGCCCTGCCTTCCTGGGCTGGCTCCATCGGGCCTGCTGGCCTCCTCCTCCTCTGCCCCTCCCGTCCCAGTGCGGCTCCCCCCACCCCTGCCCCCAACCCCGGGTGCCTCAGAGGATGAGTGTTCCTCACCCTCCCCACAACAATGCATCCATCAGGATGGAGACGGCCGTTCCCATCCGGAGGGAAGAGGGGGTGGAGGAAATTGATCACCGGGAATGATGTCTCTGTATTCTGCCTCCCCTGGTTTATTTCCCTCCGCAGAGGCAGATGGGGAAAATGTTGGCTGCAGTTTTGACATGAATTGATCTTGAAGCTGGGTGAACCCCGCGGTACTCCCTTAATGGGCAGCCATGGCCTCCCGGCTCTAGGGCTGACAACAAGCACTCAATCAATGCACACGGCGGCAGCCTATTCATCTGATTGCACTCCAGAAAGCACAAAGTTCAGGTCCTGCCCTGGCCTTCCTGGGGAGGACACCCCTCTCAGCGTCTGTGTCACCCATAATGCCATCTTCCTAGGCTTACTCGAAGGAGCCAAGGAGGTCACAGCCCCATAGGAAAGCACTGGGTAAAACACTGTTAATCCCAAGGTCAAGGTCAGACGTCCTGGCTTCTCCTTGCATCCAGCGCTGGGGTCTGCTCAGCAGGGTCTGAACTTGGGTCACCAGCTGGGGTAGGGGCTGGGGGAGAAGGTCCAAGGAGGGGAGCAGGGCCACTACCAGGACCTCAAATTCGTCTCCCCTGCCAAGGTAAAATTCTCCTACCCAACTCGGACTCAAACGCCTTCAAAACTGAGCAGAAATCCAAGTGGTGCAAATGGTCCCATCAGCCAGTAACACTTTAGTCTGAATCTGTAGAGGTTTGTCCTCAGTGAGGATAGTCCCAGTGTTGTTTCAGGGATGTGGTAGGGAATATGAGGTGACCGTGTGCAGGGCCCAGCCCATACCTGGGACTGTCCCCACTGCTGATTAAGCCGGGTTCTGGCCTTGGCCCTGCAGCCCCCATTTGATGGGGTGACATTCAACGGTGTGCTGTCCCTGAAACTTCAGTCACCTATGGAGCCCTCCATCTTCTCACCTGGGAATGCTTCCTTGGTATTTGGAACTTCTGGAAGTTTCCTGTGGGATTGGAATGAGGGGAGAATACAGGGATACCCAGAAATGGAGCAACGTCCCTCAGGAAGGATTCAGAGTGGGCAGCAACCAGTCACGGAGGGCTGGGCTGTCAGGTTCAGATTCAGAAAAAAGATCAAGACCCCTGCTACCGGCAGTCTCAGGTGGAGCTGGAGTTGAAGGTGGGTGGGAGCAACGAGGTTGTCCCGACATGAAGGGTGAGAAAGACATTTTCCATGCACAGAGCAAATCCCACCCTTCTCCAGGAAACAACACTCTTTTTGGGAAGCCAGTGGGGGCCCACCTGACCCCATCACTCACAGCCTACCCCGGCCAAGGGTCTGGGCTCCATCAGAGACATGCCTTGTGCCCTGGAAGGAGGGAGCTGGCCTTGGTGCTGTGCATCTGCTGGCCTCAGAGCACCTGGTATGCTCCTTCTGCAGAGCAAGGTGAGGTTGGCCCAGTCATCTTCACCTCTGCAATGAAGAGGTGCAAGGGAGGGCCACCCACCTGGGAAGAGATACCTATTTTGAGACCAAGTGAGATTTACATAGGAAGTCTCCTGTCTCCTAGGGCCATGACTGGGGGAAGGTGGGTGAGGGGTGTCTGGATATATCACCCTAGGGGGAAGGTGATATGGTTTGGCTGTGTCCCCACCCAAATCTCGTCTTGAATTGTAGCTCCCATAATCCCTATGTGTCATGGGAGGGACCAGGGGGAGGTAGTTGAGTCATGGGGGTGGGTTTTTCCCCGTGCCGTTCTCGTGATAGTAAGTCTCACGAGATCTGATGGTTTTATAAAGGGCAGTTCCCCTGCACACACTCTCTTGCCTGCTGCCATGTAAGATGTGCTTTTGCTCCTCCTTCGCCTTCTACCATGATTGTGAGGGCTCCCCAGCTATGTGGAACTCTGAGTCCATTAAATCTCTTTTTCTTTATAAATTATCCAGCCTCAGGTATTTCTTCACAGCAGTATGAAAAGGGACTAATACAGAAGCTGTTGCTTTCTGGCACACCAACACTTACTGCCCATGAGTGGGGCCTCTAGAGGGCAAGTTGTGTCCAGGTACAGAAGTCCAAGGGACACTCTGGGAGACAGAGGGTGCCAGGTACACAGACAGGAGCCAAGAACAGAATGGAGCTCCTTCAAGCCTCAAGCCTCTGACTTCTCAGCCTCACAAGAGCCATGAAGTGAACAGGTTGGTAGCTAAGTGTGCACAGTCCCTGAGCACAAACTCTGGCTCTGCCACCAAGCAGGTGTGTAGCTTTTGACAAGTTTGCTTCACTGCTCAGTGCCTCCACGTGTGTATCTGTAAAACATGGGTAACCACACTTCGAAAGGTTTTCAGGAAAATTGTAAGTTTTGGCGAGGATGTGGAGAAATTGGAACCCTCATACTTTGCAGGTGGGAGCGTAAAGTGATGCAGCCACTGTGGAAAGGAGTTTGGTGGCGCCTCAGTATGTTGCACACAGAGTTACCGGATGATCCAGTAACCCCACTCCTAGGGATATACCCAAGAGAATTGAAAGCAGGTGTTCAGACAAATACTTGTACATGAATGTTCATCACAGCATTATTCATAAGTCCAAAGACGGAAATAACCCAAATTTCCATTCGTGTGGTAGCATGCATTTTATGGCGAGATAATATTCCATTTCATGAATGGACACACTGTGGTACATCCACAAAATGGAATATTATCCAGCCATAAAATGGAAGGAAGCACGGACGCATGCTGCAACATGAATGAACCTTGAAAACATTATGTGAAGTGAAAGAAGCCAGACACAGGGGCCACTTGTTGTATGATTATAATTCCATTTATGTGATGTGTCCATAAAAGGCAAATCTAGAGGGACAGAAAGCAGATTAGAGGTTGCCAGGGCCTTGGGAAAAGAGGGAATGGAAGTGACTGCTTCACGGGTGATGAAAATATTCTGAAACTAGAGAATGCTGAGAGTTGCACAACATTTGAATGTATCAAATGCCACTGAATCACACACTTTAAAATGGTTAACATGGTAGATTTTATGTTATATGTATTGTGCCACAATAAAAACCCCTAAAGACTGCATCTATTTATATCAAAGAATATGATTCACCACGATTTAAAAAACGCATACCCAAAGTGTATGCATATAAGCAATTATGAGGGTCAGGGAGGTTGCTGGGGGAGGATATTAAAGGAGACTGGAAGTGAAGTGCTTGGCACAGAGTGGGCCATGAAGTAACGGCTCAGTAAACACCAGCCTCTCTCAGCTACCCCTCATGTTAGAGAACATGCCTCTGTTGGCCACGCCCTTTCACACATCACCTGGTCTTGGAGCCCCAAGAGGCAGGAGGTCAGGTCCTTAAGGTCTTACAACTGCACATTGTGGGTCAGGTGGCTCCCTGCCTCCCAGAGTGGATGGAGACAAGACCCCAGGGATGGTACTTGCCTTGAAGGTCTTAATAACTGACCTCCATGGAGGTCTGTGATTAGCACTGGGGGACATAATCTTCTTGGGCCAAGGCAGATCTCCAAAGGGCAAAGGAGACACAGGGCATTGATTTCAGTGACCATGGCATGAATGCTATTCAACAAGCAGGTAGTAATATCCCTTTGGTGATCCCCTGGTCTAGTGGGGTAGCTGGGAAGGCACCGATGTTGGCAGTGCAGGGGGCAAGTTGGCTGATGGAGGTGTGCTGGGGATGCCACGGGAGCACAGACAAGGACCCCTAATTGGGGAACATCTGGCAAAGCTTCCAGGAGAAGCTGATCTTTGAGCTAGTCCATTCCGTCACCTGGTTCCTGTATATAGGATAGTTTTTTGTTTTTTTTTTTTAAATTTTACTTTAAGTTCTGGGACACATGTGCAGAATGTGCAGGTTTGTTACATAGGTATACGTGTGCCATGGTGGTTTGCTACACCTATCAACCCATCATCTAGGTTTAAGCCCCATATGCATTAGGTAGTTGTCCCAACATTGTCCTTCCCTTTGCCCACCACCCCCCTAACAGGTCCCTGTGTGTGATATTCCCCTCCCTACGTCCATGTGTTCTCATTGTTCAACTCCCGCTTATGAGTGAGAACATGCGGTGTTTGGTTTTCTGTTCCCGTGTTAGTTTGCTGAGAATGATGTTTTCCAGCTTCATCCATGTCCCCGCAAAGGACATGAACTCATTCTTTTTATGGCTGCATAATATTCCATGGTGTATATGTGCCACATTTTCTTTATCCAGTCTATCATTGATAGGCATTTGGGTTGGTTCCAAGTCTTTGCTATTGTAAATAGTGCTGCAATAAACATACATGTGCATGTGTCTTTAGGGGAATAGTTTTTGTTTTAAATGAAGAGAAGAGAATTTTGGAAGAGTCAGACCCTATGCTAGACATTTTGGTTACATTCGCCTTTCACAAATTCCAAGGGTTCAGAAAGAACATGGGGCTCCTGAGGTTCAAATCCTGGACCTATGAGCTTGGTGACTTTGGATGAGTTACTTAACCTGTCTGTGCCTCAGTTTCTTCACCTATAAAATGTGTTTCATGATAGTGACCTCGTAGACATTCAGTAGAGCACTCAGTATGGGAAATCCAAAGTAGGAACTTGTCATCATCATAGCCATTCCCTTGCACACAATGGCTGTGGGGCCGAGACCACTGATACTGTGGTCTATAAGGACCTGTTAACTTTGCTCTTCCCAGCCACAAACTTCAGCTGAGCCTCATTCAGACAATATGGAGAGGATATGATGAACTCTGTGTCTGCAGCACCAGGAAGACAAAGTGAGTGGCTATCAGTATATCGAGGACCTCTTGTATGACATCTGTCTTCTCCTTTATAATTTTATCATCATGTCAACCTTATATAGTAGCTGCTCTCCTTCTCATTTTAGAATTGAGGAAGCTGAGGCTCAAAGAGGTAAAATGACTCACCTAAGGCCACATGGAACAGTTGAGCTCCAAATCCCACATTCCCTTTGTCCACTGCACAGTGCATATGTCAGGGGCCCAGGACTAGTGATTAATAGCACAGGTTTGAATTCCCAAGCTAATGCTTACAGCAGAGCTGGATGCCTGATCTGAAAACACACATGATGATAAGGTGTACCTCATAAGGATTAGACAACAGGATGCTTATAAAGACTTTGACAGTGATAAGCACCCAACGAGTATTAGCTCCTAGCATTACTCTATCATCCTGCTACCTCCTATCAGAGAACACCGGTGACCCATGCTCTTGCAAGCATCTGGCTCTGGAAGGGACAGCACAGATCTGCTGTCTGGTTCATCACTCCAGACCCCAGAGAGTATGGACAACCCCCCCAGCCCAGGCTCTCTCCCCCCGAGTCAAGGGCCTCTTTCTTCCCAGCTGCGTCCCCCATGCCAAACTGCACAGAGACAAATTCCAGGAGCAGCTTGTACTCTTTTGCTTGAGAGCACCCAGTGTGAGAGCAATTGCAACACTGGCTTATTCCAGTGGTTCCTGCCTCCCCCCACCCAGGACCAGGCTGACAGCTGGCTTCTTTCCAGATAGGAGCAGCACCCTCTACCTGACCTTCACTACTATGCCAGCTGCCTTTGAGTTGGGAGCAGGCTGTCTCCACCCACGAACGGCTCATGGAAGTCCCAACTCCTGGAACAGGACCACCCCCCTGCAGCATCCTTGCTCCAATGTGATTCAGGTAGCCTGGGTTTAAACACAGGGGAAGATGGGAAACTCCCCATCAGCCAACCCTATGTGAGCAGAAGTTTGCCCAAGACTGCACCACATCTACCTCCTGGTAAGGTCATTTTCTACAAATTCAGATTTACTCTCTGGGATTACGGAGATAGGTCTCATTTCCCAAACATTCTGCCAGAAACAGAAATTACTTCAATAACCAGAAAATAAAAACCAAAAGCAACAAGGGTCACTGAAGCATGAGCAACTTCCGTCCAAACTGTAGCTCTTGAAATGTCCTGTCCCCCTTTGCCTTCCAAGCTTTTCCCCTCCTTTGTTTGGTGCCTTTACTTCTTTAGGTGCTGGACTTCAGAGTGGCACAGTGAAAGCTTGCCCCCATTAGCATCAGAAGGGCCTAGGTTCAAATCCTGGCTTTGCCGCTTATCAACCATGGGATTGTAGGCAAGCTACTGAACCTCAGTTTCCTCATCTGTAAAATGGGAATCATAATACCCTCAACCAAGATTATGGCAGGGGATTCCATTAAATAGTGCAATACATGTCAAGTACAAGCTAGATGCTTCCAAAGTGGTGGGAGTTATTATTGGCCACCATCTTTCGGAAATGTCCTAACACATCAGCCTCTTTCCAGTTGCTGGCGTGCAGGACTGAAGACAGTGCTTTAGAAAATTACTCAGCCAACTCATAGGCCATCTGTCCCACTTGCCCACTGGCCTGTTTGCTCCCCACAGTCCCTGCTCTTTCTCCAAGAACTGACCCCTCTACCCTAGGAGTGGTCCTTGTAGGCACATCACCTGGTTCCAGCTGCTTGGCCAAAGGTGAACACCCAACGTAGCCAGCCCCATCAGACGCTTCCTTTTAGGAAGTGCTCGTCTATTTTTAAGGTCCATCAGGCTGCCTGGGGCTCTTATGGCCTGAGGCCTGCAGAGGAAACTAGGTCTGCTGGCCCTGGTGTTAGAGAGGCTGCAAGAGCTGTGGGTCCTGCCTCTCTTTAACTCCAGATTCCGGGTTCTCATGAAATCAGACTGTGAGGCCCATCCTTGAGTTCCAGGACACACCTAAGGCCTCTAATCAACTCCGCCTTTTTCTTGAGCTACACTGAACAGAAGGAGCCTACAGGCTTGACTTCCAAGAGGCCTGGGTTCAAATCTCAGCACTGCCACTTATTAAGTGGGTAGCTGTGGGCAGTGGCTCAACCTCTCTGAGCCTTGGGCTTCTCATCTGTAAAGTTTCCTTTTTCTGCAACAACCACAAACCCTCCTGACAGTGCTCTCATTATCTGTCTTACCCATGGAGAAGACTGAGCAAGAGCCAGCAGGGAACTTGGTTAAGGTCCTGGGGCAGTGGGTGGTACAGGCCAGATATAAACCCTCCCAGGCCAGGATGCCACCTTCTCACCACCTTGCCTTGCCTGGTAGAGGCTGATAAGCCACTCCCCCACCGTGGGATCACTTTTATATTTCACAGGCCTCCTCTGCAGACAACCAGCCCAGCCCATTTGGCAGTAAAGGTGAGGGCATGGTGGGCAGTGGGGCCGGAGAGAGCCGGGAGTTGAAGCCCCCCTAAACCTCACTGGGAAAGTGGCACCCTCTTCTGGCCTTTACTTTTTGTGTGATGGAAGATACTCTGATTCCTTGCTTGGCTCCACAGCTCCATCTGCTCAGTGGTGCCTCTGTCCAGCTTGATTTTCAAATAATCACAGTCCCTTGAGCTCTGGTGCTAGAGGACCTTCAGAGGTTCTGGACTGGAAACCCTCTAAGGGAGGGACAGTTTAATTCCATAAAACACACCTGACCCTTGACACAGAGCAGACGTTCCAGAAATAGATTGTGGAGAAGATGAATCCTCTCCCACCCCGTCCTTTTACAGATGGAAAGCAGAGGCCCAGAGGAGTGTGGGGACTTGTCTAAGCTCACGCACTGAGTCACTGGGCCTCAAACCCCGGTCTCCTGTTGCCCATCCTGAAGCCAGGGCTCCTCCTGTGGCAGCCCCCTGAGAAGATTCCTGGGCAGGAGGCATCTCTGCTGTCCTGCCCGGCTCTCCTTGCCTAGGGCAGTGGGAGACAGCTGGGTAGGATGCTCCTTTGGACAGGTACAGAAAGGGCTGCCACCTGCTGGAAGTTATCTTCAGGTGAGTGGAAGGAGCCAATTCCAGCAGTGGGCGTTTGAGGATGTTCTCCTGGATGGGGCTGGGAAAGGAAAATAAATCTTGGGGGCCCCAAATCACTAAGCTAAAGGGAAAAGTCAAGCTGGGAACTGCTTAAGGCAAACTTGCCTCCCATTCTATTCAATGTCATCCCTCTGCTCACTGAGATAGATGCATATCTGATTGCCTCTTTTGGAACGGCCAATCAGAAACTCAAATGAATGTGACCATCTGTCTCTCACCTACCTGTGACCTGGAAGCCCCCTCCATGCTCCAATTTGTCCTGCCTTTCTGGACAGAACCAATGTACATCTTACATATATTGATTGGTGTCTCATGTCTCCCTGAAACATATAAAACCAAGCTGTGCCCCCAACCACCTTGGGCACATGTCGTCAGAACCTCCTGAGGCTGTCACTGGCACACGTCCTCATCCTTGGCAAAATCAACTTCCTAAATTAACTGAGACCTGTCTCAGATATTTGAGGTTCACAGGGCCTGCCCAGCAAAGTCATATGGCTGTGACATCCCATCATCATCAGAAGCCACAGGCTCTGGAGGACACACCACCTCCGATAGCCACTTACTCAGGGATCAAACAGGGCAAACACACACACCTCCTGAGAGGGACCTCACACATCTGGAGCACACAGCAACACACCGGTGTGCCCGACAGTCCCAGGAAACTTCCTTCCTGGGGTCTCGCTGTCACTGCGGTCCATCCCCAAGGAAGACATCCCCACACAGGAGGAGCAGAGGGGTTTGACAGTGAGAGTTATTGGGGAGGTGTCTGTGGATACCAGCAGCTGCTTCTCGTTTTTCAACTCTGGGGTATTTTTAAAACCCACATTTCCAGTGATGAACCTGCCTCTGACATGTGCCTCTGCAATAATGTGAACCTGCCAGATGGGTTCATTGAGGCTCTCTGGATTTAAGTCTTAGGGGTTCTGAGGCTGCAGAATCCTGCTAATGGAGCCTGTGCTGGCTGCCCCTGCTCAACCATGATCCTTAACTTTGGGTTCAGGCTTAGCTTCCTGGGGAAGCCGGGGCAGCATCATCAGAGGGAACCCAGCAGACTGGCCCTGAAGATCCCGGGAGATGCTGACTCTGAAAGGGCCAGACCTCCTCCTCAGCTCTGGGAGAGGGAGTGCTTAACTTCCCCTGACCTCCTGGGATATTGGCTTTGACCTCAGCAGATGGCATTGCTGCAGCTCGGTGAATAGATACACAAGTCCAGAGCACATGCCCGTGGCTGGGCGGATTGGGAGGGGGCCACCTGCCCTCTGGCTTCTCTCTGGCACGGGTGCACAGAGAGGGGGCCAGTGAGGGGGCACTGAGGACAGCACTCCCAACAAAAGCCCCGCAAAGCGGAGATCACCGGTCGCCAGAGAAAACTGAGGGCCAGAGAGATTCTGTGGCTCGTCTAAGGCCACCCGGATAGTAAGAGACTGTGCTGGGATTTGAACTCAGTTCTGTGTGGCTCCGAAGTCCACATTTTAGTGTGGACAGTAGAGAGTGGGCTGCCCATACTCATGCCCCAACAGCGCTGCCTGAATTCCTTAACCCTTCTGGGCCTTGCTTTTCTCAGTTGAGCAATCAAGAAAAGGAATAACACTTACCCGACAGGACTTCAGTGCACGTGCGCGGAACAGCCCTGGAGCGGCGTTTGTGCCTAGCAGGTAGTGAATGCTCACTGACCTCCCCTTTCTACTCACAGAGAAAGCTCACAGCCCTCGGTGATGCAGGGCCCAGCAGAGCCCACCCAGCTGCTCCCACACTGCCCAGCCCCCAGACTCACTGACCCCCCTCCATGTTCCTCCATTTTCTCTTCCTGCAGCTGCTTGGAAGCTCTTTCCCAGACCTCCCCCTCTCGCTCTCTCCCCACCTTCCCATCTCTGATAAATGTCACCTGTGCAGTGAGGCCCTTCCTGGGGCTCCTTTCGAAAATGGCAACCCTGCCTCACCTGTGCTCTCTAAACCCTGACCCTGCTTGACCTTTCTAGCATCTTCACCACGCAGCCTCCTCCATTTTCTACTCCTACAGCATATGTATTGTTCATTTCGCTCTGTGGAATGCTTGCTCCTAAGAAACAGGATTGATTTTTGTCTTTCTTTCTAGCTGTATCCCCAGTGGTTCTCAACAGCAGACTACTTTGCCTCCCAGGGGATTTTTGGCAATCTCTGGAGACATTTTTGGTTGTCAGAATGGGTGGGGGTGGCCAGCCATGGTGGCTCACGCCTGTAATCCCAGCACTTTGGGAAGCCGAGGCGGGTGGATCACAAGTTCAGGAGATTGAGAACATCTTGGCCAACATGGGAAAACCCCATCTCTACTAAAAATATAAAAATTAGCTGGGCGTGGTGACACATGCCTGTGATCCCAGCTACTCAGGAGGCTGAGGCAGGAGGTTCGCTTGAACCCGGGAGGCGGAGGTTGCAGTGAGCCAGGATTGCACCACTGCACTCCAGCCTGGGTGACAGAGTGAGACTCTGTCTCAAAAAAAAAAAAAAAAAAAGAATGGGTGAGGGACTGGGGTGCTACTGGCATCTCATGGATAGAGACCAGCACTGTTACAGAGCATCCTACACTGCCCAGGACAGCCTCCCCTGCACCAAACAGAAGAACAAGGCAGCCCCAAATGCCAATAATACTCCAGTCGTATCCCCATTACTTAGAACAGCAGCCAGCACATGCATAGCAGGTGCTCAATAAATGCTCATTATGGAAGACTGAGGAGCTGCTATCATCATTGTTGTCATCGTTATTATTATTTAAGAATAGATGTGGTCGAGAATCATCCTTAAGGATGGTCCCTTGGGTGCTCATGGCCAATAGGTCATACTGTTGACTTAAAACATCTTTCTTTTGGTCCAGGCTCTGCCCCCTGGAGCATCCAGAAAAGGCAGTAAACTGCTCATTGCTGGGGCTTCACCAGCCAGGACCAGTCCACATCATCAAGCCCCCTGGGCGCCCAGGTGATGCCAGCCTTCTCCTCCCCACAAGGAGCCTGGCCATGGGCTGCCGTGAGCAGGGACTCTCAATTCTCACCCCTCTGTCCCCCCTTCTGCTTGCTCCCACACTGGAAAACTCAGGACCTTGTGCACAACTGAGCAAGGAATCACCTCCACAGGCCTTTTCAGGGTGATCCCAGCCGAACTCTGCTCCCCCCAGGCCACTCTCAGCCCAGGAAACTCATGGGTCTGAGTGAATTATGCCATTTTTGCTTCTTTCAAGAAAGGGCGAGGGGAGTGACAGGGGAATTTTCAGGGAGGCACAGCCAGGCAGGGTATACTCTGTCATTTTGCTGACCTAACAAATTATCATTGACAATTTTAAACAGCCAGCGTGACCAGGCCAGACTCTTCTAATGCAGAGGGCACCACCCATAGAACACACCAAACCCCACGTGGTGTGTTCTGAGCAGCGGGTAGAGCAGCATGAAAAGAAACGATGCTTTTGCATCAGGGACTATTTCACCTCTCGAACAGGCTGCCGGAGCCCAACCCAGACACAGGCCTGGCACCCACCCTGTATTCACACCGAGAATTCCCACTTGATATTCACAACTTTCTCTGCCTGAGGCCTGCCCCTTCCCCCTCGCCCCAAGCCTCTCCTTCTCCCTGGGGCCTTCTTGAGCTTAGCAGCTGGGCCTGTCTCTGCAGAACTATGAGGCTGGCAAAGTACAATGTTCTCTCTCCTACACTCCCCAAGCTTCTCTTTCCCTCCTCTCTGTTCTGCCTTCTCTTTCTCTCCTCTCCAAGGCCCTGAAAGCTTCTCAACAAGTCATTGATGTTAAGGATTAGTAACTGACATGAGACTATGAACCACAGTCATAAGTCTCTAATGGTGGGATATTAAGCATCAGATGGCTAGGTTTGGGGGAACAGGATGATATTTGGTGGGCAGGGGTTGTCCTGGTGCCCCTGAAGTCTTAAGTAGCTAGTCCCAATTCTGCCAGGGAGTAGGACTGGCCCAAAACTCAGAAGAAGATGACAGAGCAGGCATGTGCCAAGTGTCAGTGAGCCAGAAGGCTGTGTGGGGTGGGCCCAGGACACCAATGGCTCGGGGCAGAAGCTGGGGACAGAAGTGCCAGCTCCCTGCAGAGGCAGAGTTTGCTGGAGACTGGGTTACATCCTCCATCCTCACTTTTTGGGAATCCAAGCTCAATCTGTGAGCTACCCTGCTACTAAAATTCACACCTCTTCCCCCACCTCTAAGGATGGCATGAGGGATCCTAGCTACACAGCCACTTCCCTCAAGTCCAATGTCAGAGAGTCAAGCTGGGGGCTAGAGAAAGCAGAGGCCACAACACCAGCCCAGAACCACCTCCAGTAAAATGGACACTGTCATTCATTCATGACCTTACTTGATTCTCAAAACCCCCTGCCAGACCCATCTTACAGGTGAGGAGGCTGAGCCTCCAAGCATTCTGTAAGTTGGCCAGTGTCACACAGTCAGGAACCTAGCAGGGTTTGGAGCCGACGTTTTCCACAACAACCTAAGGCCAGTCTCTTCCAAACAAGCGTGAACAATTCAGCCAATCTCCCCCTGCACCAAGTCACAGAGCCCCAGCTGACAAGCCTGAGAATGGCTGAGCTCCCTCAAGTGTGCTGTTGGCTTGTGGGGCCTGGGGTGCAGCCAGCCAGGATGCTGGGGTTCTCACATCACCAACAGCCCCAGCCACAGCAGGGCCACCTCTATCTTCCGTTGAACTGGACTACCCAGCCCCTCAGCACATCCACTGCCTTCCACATGACAAGAGAGAGGAGGTTTGGGGGTGGGGAGGTCTCAGGCACAAGCACAGATTTCACCCTGTTAGGCACCCTGGGGACCTGGCCCTGAGATGAGGTGTCCCCCAGCTACCTCCAGGGGCTGCGTTAGCAGAGAAGTGAGGCAGATCTAGGGCTTCTCAGGCAGGCAGGAGACTTCGGCATGAGGGGCTGGCTACAGGGTCTGCAAAGAGGTGCCACCAACCTGCCACTGAGATGCCTGTGGTCCTGAGATACTCTGAATCCAGGACATCAGAGCCAATCAAGGTCCCACACCCACACCCAGGCAATCCTGGCTGTTAATTGATCAAGACTTCAGGTTTGTGGAAATGAGGGGAATGGGTGTGAGGTGGCTGGGAGGGGAAGCCCCATCTTGTGTTCCCCAGGATGGATGTGGAGCAGAAGCCAGCCTCGGTGACAGCTTGTATGTGACATCTGTCAAACTGAGACAGCTCCCACTTGGGGATCCTGTCCTGGGTCCTGCTCTAACCCAGTCACTGATAATCCAGTGCAAAGTGGGTGAATCCCTTCCTTTCTGGGAACAAGGGCTTCCTTAACCACCGGCGTGCCTGGCAGGTACCGGAGGCAGCCCCGGGGCAGCCCTGGAGAAGCTAGTCAGAATATGAGCTTCTTTCCTCCCCAGCCAGGCTCCCGGAATTATTTCTCAAATCATTTTCAGTCCTAGGAAGTGATAATTTGATTTCACTTTAACATTTTTAACGAGCTGCATCTTCATCAACTGCCAAATTAGGATGAGAGCAAAGATCGGGGAATCACAATGAGAGGTTTTGGAGTGATTGGGGAAATCCAAATTTGGGGTGTGCCTGGGTGGTTGACACCTCACGCCCAGCACCTGCGGTGGGGTCCCCATAGCACCACCCTGATCACCCCCGCGAGTCCATCTCTGCTCAGTGGCTCCTGGCAGGGACACCTCCTCCTATCAACCCTTCTCACAGGCGGGAGAAGGAAGCCCCGGGTCCCACGAGCTGGAGAAATGAGGCCACCCTGCAGGCTGTGATAAGCGGGGAGTTGGACCCGCATAGGCCGACAGCCCAGCTCAACAGGTGGTGGTGGGCTTATCCCTTCCTGCATTATCCGGATAATAATCTGCCAGCCCCATTCAAGTCCGTCGTGGAAAAGTCTGCCCTCAGCTTTGGCATGGGTAAATTGCCTAGAAGCGACTGCAAAGAGGGGGCGTCATCATCTCCCCCGATACATCCTTGGGACAGACAGATGGACAGACAGACACACGCACACGCGCATACACACGCCCGCGCTCCCCACCACACTGCCCCTTCCAGGGTGCGCGATCGCTAGGGCTCTCCAGCCCCTGCCCCTGGCTGGGCTGTCATGGGGGCGCAGCCCGGC
The DNA here is from genome assembly GCF_000001405.40 of Homo sapiens. Lineage (NCBI taxonomy): Eukaryota > Metazoa > Chordata > Mammalia > Primates > Hominidae > Homo > Homo sapiens. The sequence goes on along the minus strand of NC_000017.11, from coordinate 66,835,338 downwards.
GCCGCGGCCCAGCACCGGTGGGAGACCGTCCCCCAGGGACCCCCCCAGGATGGAAGAGGTGGTCTCTCCCGGTCTTCCCGGCTCTTACCTCGCTGGAGCGGCCGCGACCCCCGACCCTGGTCCAATGTCCCTCGCCGGCTGGGCGCGCGGGGCGGGAGGTACCGCGCTAGGCTGCCCGGGACGCCCGCCCCGTCCAGTCAGCCGGAACCGCTCGGCGCCAATGACCGTGGCCGCCGCCGCCGCAGCTCGCGCCCCGGACCCCGAGAGGGAGGGGCGGGCAGGGGGCGGGGCCGAGGGCGGGGCCTCCCCACCCCGGCGCTGCCAGCTGCAGGCGGGGTTTGGGACCGGTCAGATGCGGTCTCCCAGCCCGGGAGGTGAGCACCTCTGGGGTGAGCACCCTTGTGGGGGTGGCAGGTGAAGAGTTGGGGGCCGGCGTGGGAGAGGAGAGGCTTTCAGAGTCCGCATAGGGCTGGGAGACCCTGCCTGGAGTCAGACTCACCTTCAAATTCCAGCAGCTGGGGCTGCAGCCTCTGCCGTTGCTGCTGCTTTTAAATAAGGATGATGATGATGATGATGATGATGATGATGGTGATAGAACAACAATGCCAGCTAGTATTTATTGAGCACTTACTAGTGTAAGCGTTCAATGAGCTTCACATGTATTAAGTCATTTAATTCTCACACGAATCCCATTTTACAGATGAGAAGACTGAGGCACAGGGCGCTTAAGTGAGGAGTCTGAGGACACACAGCTGGAAAATGGCAGAGCCAGGACTGCAGCTCAGGCCTGTCTAAGTGCAGAATCTGAGCCTTTAAAGCCCCACTCTGCTTTTGTACTGTGTGGCCTTAAGCAAAGTGTTTGTCCCTCTTAACAGTAAAATGGTAATATATGTCCAATAAATGGTGGCAACTAACAATAAAACATTTCTTCCTTTCTTAGGTTCTATGTCTCCTTTAGTCTCTGGGTCCTGGACACCCAATAGGTGCTCAATAGATGTTTGTTAATCTATGACTAATTTGAAAGTGGCAGCTGGAGCCAGTGTGGTCAGCCAGGTTGGAAGGGGAACCCAAGGGCTAACTCTTCCTGGCCTGCATAGCCACATATCTTTTATTGCTTTGAAATGGCAGCCTGACCGATATCTTTGTCCGGCACACTTGTGCAGATGCTCACAGACCAGCAGCTTCCCCTCAAAGGCCTGTAAAATCCCTGCAGACCAAGAGGGGGTCAAAGATGTGGCATGTGGAAATATTTGGGGGCAAAGTTGGTTGCTAAATAATGAGACATCAGCAGTGAACATATTAGTTTAAAACTGTAGGGCAGAAACTTTTATAGAAGCATCTATGTTGCTGAGGTCTCCTGACATGGGAGGACTTTGTCACATGTGAATGGGGCCAGGTGGAGTTGGGACAACTGAAGGTTTTTGGAAAGGATACACCACGTGTCTATTCACAGCATTTTAGGCCTATGCAGTTTTCCGCTTTTTCTCCCTTTTCCCACCTACCCCAAGAGTGTTCTTCTCTATCCCCCAGAATACCCTGATGGAAATCCAAGAATGGATTTCTTCTTCTTCGTCTCTGGGCCCAGGAGCCTCTTGCACAGCTCTCACCAGTATGGCAATGATGAATTTACTGTCAATCTCCCTAACTATGCTGGGAGCCCCTTAAAAGGAGAAAGTCTGACGCATAGTAGGCACATTGTATTTGCTGAATGAATGACTGGAAGTTGGACACATCTCCCCAAGACTAAAGCTGTCAAGGAGAAAACCACCAAAGAAAACCTCAGAGGTGGCTGGATCAATGAAATGAAAAGATGAAAACGGGCAAAGCACCCAGGAGATGTGCCTTTTGCAAAGTCTGCAGGTCATTTTCCCAGCAAAGGCCAGAGAGGCTGGCCTGGGATCCATGCCCTGTGGGTCACCTCTGCGGGCCGTCGCCATGTCCTCCAGCCATTGAAGAGTAAGTGTATGGAGTGGGGGTGAGCAGACTGCCTGGTGTTGGGTGTGAGGAAAGGGGTGGGTGGAAGAGGGAATGTCCTCCCTTGTGGGTTAATTGAACAATCCCAGAATGTCCACTTGCCCCCTAGATAGGCCCCCTTTTTGATCTGTGTGACCCTATTCTCTGGATCATCTTGCAATGCTTATGGAGAAATAACAGATCAATTGGTTGCAGAAAACACCCTTCAAAAGGGAAGCTAGTGGCCGGGCGCGGTGGCTCATGCCTGTGATCCCAGCACTTAGGGAGGCCAAGGCAGGCAGATCATGAGGTCGGGAGATCAAGACCACCCTGGCTAACATGGTGAAACCCCATCTCTACTAAAAAACACACAAAAAAATTAGTCAGGCATGGTGGCAGGCGCCTGTAGTCCCAGCTACTCGGGAGGCTGAGGCAGGAGAATGGCATGAACCTGGGAGGCAGAGCTTGCAGTGAGCCGAGATTGCGCCACTGCACTCCAGCCTGGGTGACAGAGCAAGACTCCATCTCAAAAAAAAAAAAAAAAAAAAAAAAAGGAAGATAGTGTCCAGGGGTGCTCAAAGCCTCCTCCCCAGTCATTCTGCCCAAGGCAAGTGGGGAAGTCCCCACAACATGGGTGGTTGAAAAACAGCAATTTGGATCTGATGGAATGAGGTCTTCAACGTGGCTCTGCCCCAACTAGCTGTGTGACCTTGGACAAGTTACTTAACCTCTCTGAGCTTTCGTTCACTTCTCGATAACCAAAGCTGGCTTCATGGTTCTCAAAGCCTTGCTCTTAGGAAAGCTCTGTGCCTGGTTTGATGATCTGATTTTGCCATCTCGAAATTCTTAATCAGTTTTCAACAAGGGGCTACATCTTAATTGTTGCACCGGACTCCATAAAATTATGTCTCTGATGCTGGTGATAACGCCAACCTCACTGGTTTGCGAAAGCGAGATCATGTTTGCACAAGGGTCTGACACATTGGGGGCTCTCAGCAAAAGTTAGTTTCCCTTCCTCTGATCTGGCCGTAAATGATAAATAGAAATTCACCAGGTAGACAGAGGGCTGGGAAGGGAGTTTCAGGCAAAGGGGTCATCCTAGACGAAGGCCTGAGAATATGAAATTACATTCAGGGAAAGGCAAATGGTCTGAGGTAGGGTGGGCATGGGAAATGGAGGGAGACAAAACTGAAGAGACAACTGGGGCCAGAGTGGGAGAGGCTCCCAGTTCTTGTAAGGAGCTTGGCCCTCAGGCCCTCAGGTCTGTGATCAGGGAGCCTGGGACGTGAAGGTGGGTGAGCAACACCAACATCTGTGTCCCACGGTTGGGCCGCGGACTGGTTCAGATAATGAGACAGGCAGTGGGTGACGTGGGCGGGAGCACTGCTCGGAGGCTGCCAATACGGCGTGTTTGAAAGGCTGACTGTAGACATAATGGGAAAATGCTGTAGGTGTAAAAGCCAACAGCTGTGCTTGGGGATTTGGGGACTCCAGGCCTGATGAATAATGGAGCAGCCCTTCCACCCTGGGTCTCTTTTTCTATCCTTTTAATAATTCATGGATTCCCCATTGGTAGGGGAGTTTCATAAAACCTCAGCTCTCTCTCTGAATCCTGGGCCAGTCTGAACAAATCTGATGGCTTCACTCATTAGATCTTAATGAGAAACACACATCCATGTGCACATTATTTGCAGAATGTGCCTGTGTGGATGACAAGGAAGAGGCCCAGTTATGTCTAGGAGGAGGAAATGTCTTCCAGCCAGGCAGCCTCCTTCTGGTCCCTTGGGGGTGGAGGTGGTGACATGTGTCACTTCCAGGTGGAAGCTTTCGGAATCACTGAGTGCTTTGCCATGCTCGTCTCTCTGCCTTTGGGATTGTGGAGACAGTTGTCAAGATGGCACTCTGTCACTCTGAACTCCCACGTGATGACGAGGAGTAGAGATTCCTTACTGACCTCTGGCAGCCACATAGCATGAGCTGTATGTATCTTCTAGTACACACGGACTGGTTTATTTGAGCAAACAGATGTTGCTTCCAGTGTAGAGCAGAGATGGAATTCCAAACTCCAGATCTAAGTGGTCATCAACACTGATGTGGGACGATCAATACCAGACTGATCAATACGAGACCGATCAAGGCACCTTCAATCGTGTTGGGGATGGAGGAGACCAGAGCTTCTCAGCAGATCCAGGTCAAGTTTGAGATGAGCAGTATCTGAAAATGTGCAGAGTGTGCATACGTGTGTATGTCAGGAGGCTGGGGGAGAGGGAAGAGGGCCCCATGAAGTTGGGAGGGGGTGTAGGCAGAAAAACCTGGTCAAGGTCAGAGCAAGAAGAATTGAGCTCACTGTGGAGTTGCCCCTATAAATAATAATATTTATTGGCTAATAATAATAATATTAATCCCCACTACAGCTAATATCAATTACATGCCACGCACTCTGCTAAGTGCTTACCATGTGTTAAGACATTTAATTTTCACAACAGCCCTCTGAGCTAGGACAATTGCTAGCCCCTATTTCCAGATAAGGCTATGGAGGATTAAAAAGGTAATTTGCCCTACATATGGCCAAATTCTAGTGCTCAAAGGAGAATGGCACATTGAGGCTCCATCCACATCAGCATCACCCATGCTGTGAGTGGGCACAACAGCTGGAATCTTTAGGCCAGCTGTCAGGGCTTAAGCATGCAAAAGTTGGTCTCAGCAGGGGACCCAGGGAGCTGTGTCAGAGCCATGTAGCCTGGATGACTGAGCAAACAGGGAAGGCGGAGGTGACAGTCGCTGGCAAGGAGGCCCAAGGAATACTGTGCTTCAGAAAGCAAGAGGCTGATTGTCCATTCTGCTTCACGCAGGAGGCTGGGCCACCAAATGGCACTTCCTGTCCGAGCTGGTTGGTGGGGACCTAGAAGGTGGGGCTGTGCTTTTGGGTGTGCTAAGCCTCCAGATGAGATTGTTCACTCACCTGCTCCTGCTTGCTCATGAACTCAGTCCTGTGTTTCCCTCTTTTTCTCCTGGACTTGACTTTGTGTGTGGGGGTGGGGGTGGAGTCTGCAGGGACATTGGTCCTACCTCTCCCTTCCCCCCTCACTCAGCCCTCGCCACATCCCTCCTTTTCCCACCACCTCTCAATTCGGTCTGAGCTGTTCCCCACAGCCCCTCCCAGCTAGCGTCCCTCTCCTCTCCACAGCCCACTAAGGGCCTCATCAGGGCTCATATGTGGCTTCCTAAGAACCCTATCTCTTCCTCATTGAGAGTGTGCGGTCTCCTGTTCCGGATGCATCCGAGTGTGAAGCCTGGGAGAGTTCACACAGCCATCCGCGTCCCTGCCGGATCACCAAGCAGCAGCTCGGATTCCCACTGGCTGTTCTCCCAGCTGCCCTTCTGGCTCCCCTAAGACCAGCTGTTCGTCCTCTGCTCTCATCATTTTTCCCCTTAGTAACTGGATGATTGCTTATAAAACAGTTCCAAGGGCAGGGCTCCCATCAGCAAAATGAAGACTCTTCTCCATTTTGACTGCTGAGAAAGTTATAGGGTGGTAAAGGAAACGACACCCAATAAAAGCCCCAGATGGAGCAGAATACATCAGGAACAGGGAGGAAAAAACCTTGGCGGGGAAGGTCTGAAGGCGGCCGAGGAAGCTGCGCTTAAATGGGTCAGCATCTGGACAGCTCCCTGCAGGGCTAAGGCACCAGGTGGTTAGGGGAGACTCTTTCTAAGAGGCGATTACAGCCTTGTAAGACCCGGACTTTTCCTTGCTCTTTACTGGACCCCATAAAACTCCAGTGACTCGTGCCCATGGGCCTCAGGGAGATTAAATCTCATCTGATCCGTTCATCTGTGCGGATGTCAGCACGGATTCACATGGGCTATGGTGTTACACACGAGCGGCTCCTTAGAGAACTTCGGGACGCTCAGCCCGTGAGAAGTGTGGCTGCTGTGGCCGCCAGCTCAGCAGGTTTCTGGATGGTTGCAAGGGAAGAGAGGTCAAATAGCTGCCGCCTTCCACAGGGCACACTGCACAGGGCAGACATCAGTGACATGGTGTGGGGAGGGCCCCCAAAACAAAGCCAAAGGCCCTGGAAAGTAGGGACGGGGATAGGAGTGAGGAGAAAGGGAGGCCAGGAAATGAGAGCATTTCCATGTATTTCAGAACAAATAAAGCAGGACCAGGCTCATGCCACCTCCCCAATTTCCTGGTTCCTGGGATGACAGAAAATAACATCTTAAATAGCCATTTCCTAGCTTTGACGTTAATGGAAAAAAAAAAGCTTTGAAAGAGTGGTTTTCTAGGCAGGCAGCATCTGGGAAGGAAAGAGTGTATGCCATGGAGGTGCCAGCCAGTAGGGATGGGGGCCAGAAGTGTCCCCTCCAGCCATGACAGTGTCTTCCAGCCACAGATCTCCATAAGGGACCCACCAGCTGCCATCCCAGGCTGGTGGTCAGTGATTAAGGCTTCAGTCAGTGATTAAGGCTTGAGAAAAGGGTGATTCTATGGGTACTTTCTGTGGGGTATCTGCAGTTTGGACCAAAAACATTGCAATTGTTCCTATCCCTCTTCTAGGAATCTAAATATCAATATTCATCTTCATTTTATTTTATGATGGAGACGAATAGGAGACTCTCTAAATATCTACCATTGGGGAATTAATTAGCTTAAGTATCTTGCACCCACAGGATGGAATATTATGCAGCCACTAAAAATTAAGTTTCAATCACAATTGATATAGTTTGGCTGTGTCCCCACCCAAATTCCATCTTGAATTGTGGCTCCCATAATTCCCATGTGTTGCGGGAGGGATGGAGTGGGAGATAATTGAATTATGGGGGCGGTTTCCCCATACTGTTCTCGTGGTAGTGAATAAGTCTCACGAGGCCTGATGGTTTTATAAGGGAAACCCCTTTTGCTTGGCTCTTATTCTGTCTTGCCTGCTGCCATGTAAGACATGGCTTTCACCTTCCATCATGATTATGAGGCCTCCCCAGCCGCGTGGAACTCTGAGTCCATTAAACCTCTTTTTCTTTGTAAATTTATAAATTACCCAGCCTCAGTTATGTCTTTATCAGCAGCATGAAAACGGACTAATACTTAACTTACAGGTAGAAAAAATGTTCATGGTATAATGTTAAGTAAAAATCAGGGCAAAAAACTATATAATTTATTTTTTCATTTCATTTATTGTTCACTGTGTGTGTGTGTGTGTGTGTGTATATATATATATATACCACTGATATACCACTGTGTAAAAAAATAAGAAATGTTATTTGTTGTGACTATATGTTTATGGTAAAAAAATGAGCAATATAGAAAAGCATGAAGAAGAATATAATTATCATCTATAATATCTGTTTCAGGGTAAACAACAATAGTTCTTTTCATTTTTCACAGTGTGTATATATACACAGTATTTCACACTGTAAAACATAAAAAAAGACTACAAGGAAATATACCAAAGTGTTAGCAGTTGTTAGCCCTGAAACAGACATTGTGGGTGATAATTATATTCTTCTTCATACTTTCCTATATGGCTCAAGGTTTTTTTTTTACCATGATCATATAGTCAGAAAAAATAACATTTATTATTATTTTTTATACTGTGTTAAAATATGCAGAACGTAAAATTTACCTTTGTAACCATTTTTAAAGTGTGTAGTTTATTGGCTTTAAGTACATGGACATTATCACCATCATAGAAAACATTTTAAATGTAACTTGAAACTTGAAATTTTCTGTCCAGATTGAAGTAGAGGTTTGGAAGCTAGAATTTTCACATTGCAACTTGAACATCTCTCAATGGCCTCTTGAAATTAAACAAAAACTAGGGTATGCTCCACGGAAACATTGAAGATGGCTGTATCAGTCAGGACTGTTTCGATGGCAAGTGACAGAAAACCAGGAAAGTGAATGAATGGACTCAGATCACTGGCGTCTGGACTGGAAAGTGTGATGGGAACAGGTCCTCAGGAGAAACTTGGAGACAGCTATTGGAAGAAGGGGCAAATGTTGTTTACTAAAGCAACCGGTACAGCTGTCCTGTAGAGCTTAAGGAAGAATACAATACTTTTAGAATGCACCCGTCCAGCCGCCTGCCCAGGCTGGTGTAACTATGATGCTAATTTTTTTTAATTAAGAAACAAATTGTATTGAGATAAAATCATGAATTCATAACATAAAATTAACCTTTTAAATTGAGCAACTCAGTGGCATTTAGTACATTCACAGTGTTATGCAACTACCATCTCTATCTAGTTCCAAAACACTTTAATTACCCCAAAAGGAAATCCATGCTCTTTAAGCCGTTATTCCCCATTGTCCCCCGCCGGCAACCACCAATTTGCTTCCTGTGTCTGTGGAGTTGATTATTCTGAATATTTCATGTAAGGAGGATGGCTTCATACATAACCCTTTGTATCTGGCTTCTTTTACTTAGCATAAGTTTCGGAGGTTCATTCACATTGAAGCATGCATCAGGACTTTGTCCCTTTTTTCTGATCGAGTAATATTCGTGTGTGTGTGTGTGTGTGTGTCACAATTTGTTTATCCATTCATACACTGATGAACATTTGAGTTGTTCCACCTTTTGGCTATTGTGAATAGTGCTGCTGGGAACATTGGTGTACATGTACTTGTTTGAACACCCGTTTGTACTTCTCTTGGGTATATATGTTGGAGTGGAATTGCTAGGTCATATGGTAGCCCCATGTTTAACTTTTAGAGGAATGGAAAGGCTGTTGACCATAGTGACTGCATCCCGCCAATTATGTAGGAAGGTTCCAGTGTCTGCACATCCTCATCAATACTTGTTATTTTCCTTGTTTGGTTGGTTGTTGAGACTCTAGCCATCCTAGTGGGTATGGAGCCTATGACACTGGTTTTGTGCAAGCCTCCTGAGGAAATGGCAAGGGATGGTGAGCCCCCAGGTAGGAAACACCCGCTGCTGAAATCCAAGCAATGTTGCTTTGCCACAGGCTCCAGCTGCCTTTCTGGAACCAGCAAAGCTATGTAGGATTCATCTGAGCTTGGTTATAGGAAGTGGGACTCCACCTGGGCACGGCAAATAGGCCTCTTAGAAAACGGGCCTGTCACACCAGTTAGAATGGCAATCATTAAAAAGTCAGGAAACAACAAGTGCTGGAGAGGATGTGGAGAAATAGGAACACTTTTACACTGTTGGTGGGACTGTAAACTAGTTCAACCATTGTGGAAGTCAGTGTGGCCATTCCTCAGGGATCTAGAACTAGAAATACCATTTGACCCAGCCATCCCATTACTGAGCATATACCCAAAGGACTATAAATCATGCTGCTATAAAGACACATGCACACGTATGTTTATTGCAGCATTATTCACAATAGCAAAGACTTGGAACCAACCCAAATGTCCAACAATGATAGACTGGATTAAGAAAATGTGGCACATGTACACCATGGAATACTATGCAGCCATAAAAATGATGAGTTCATGTCCTTTGTAGGGACATGGATGAAATTGGAAATCATCATTCTCAGTAAACTATCGCAAGAACAAAAAACCAAACACCACATATTCTCACTCATAGGTGGGAATTGAACAATGAGAACACATGGACACAGGAAGGGGAACATCACACTCTGGGGACTGTTGTGGGGTGGCGGAAGTGGGGAGGGATAGCATTGGGAGATATACCTAATGCTAGATGACGAGTTAGTGGGTGCAGCGCACCAGCATGTCACATGTATACATATGTAACTAACCTGCACATTGTGCACATGTACCCTAAAACTTAAAGTATAATAATAAATAAATAAATAAATAATAAATAAATAAATAAATAAAAGAAAACGGGCCTGGCTCCAGTTATCTGGAAGCCTCTAGCTTCTGGAAGCCTCAATGAAGGTTGACACATCGCTCAGCCATCACTTATGAAGACCAGAGATTCTGCTCCCACAGTGTGGTAGAAAAGATTCCCAGCTCCTCAGCCACCACCATCTACTGGGAAGTGCCTAAAATTTCCTGTCAGAGTTTGCTTTTATAGGAGAAAGTTTAGCACAGGCTGTGATCCTGCTCTTGTTCAAGACAATGACAGTTATGGAGGGCCCCCGAGTTGAGAGGGCAACGCTGCTTGCAGCCAGAGGGATGAGTTCAGGAGCTTCAGTCACTGGGAAGCAGCGCCTCTGCCTACCTGGAACTCACTGATGGAGCAGTCCCAGCGGAGGCTCACCAAGGATTAGGAGCATGTGCCTTGGAGTCAGCTGGGTCTCAGGTTGCATCTCATCTTTGTCTGCCACTGTAGCCAAGAACCTTTGGTAAGTTACTTAATCCTTGTAAGTTTTGGACTCATCATTTGAAAAGTGGGCATAATGCTTATAATACCCACCTTGAGAGGCTATTGAGAGAAGGAGGGAGATGCTGTATTCAAAGTGTGCAGCACAAGGCCTGGCCCAAAGTAGCAAATGATTCCTGTTATAATTTGAGTTTTAGTGCATATCCAATTCTAAATCCCTGCGGGGAGGGTCGTGTTTCTAGATCATTCACAGTTGTCTGCTAAAGTGCCAGGCTCCGTCCTGGGAGCAGGTGTTGGTAGTGTGTAATCACAGGAGATGCAGGGAGGGAATAGTAAAGGAAGAACGTTTTCTGGGTGCTGTTGATGAACCTGGTAATGAGTCACCTGGGCATGCTGGGGCCCCTCTGTGGCCCCCCCGGGGGGAAGAAGGGAGGTGCCACCCTACCCAGAAAGGGAGGATGGGGGATACTAGCTTAGATCTCACCTGGTCAGGTGTCTTCTGTGAGTCTGTAGGCATTGCCCAGTGCCAGCCCCTGTGGCCATAGTCAAAAGTTCCTGGCCTGGGTCAGGACCATTCGGTGTCTTCCCTAGACCTCATGAGTGCTGGACTCTGCAATGGGGTCAAGCAATTCTTCCACTGATGGCTCAAGACAACCTCAGAGGAGCGGGAGATACGACCTCTAACCCCTGCCTCTATTCCCATGGGTGGGGGGAGGGTGGAGACCCCCAGCTTTCCCCATGGGATTCCCGGGGATGGAGGACAAACCCTAGTGTCCCAGTCTTATCATGGTTTCTCAACCTCAAGACATTTTTTTTTTTTTTTTTGACAAGGTCTCACTCTGACACTCAGGCTAGAGTGCAGCAACACAATCTTGGCTCACTGCAGCCTTGACCCCCTGGGCTCAGGTGATTTTCCCACCTCAGCCTCTTGAGTAGCTGGGACTACAGGCATGCATCACCACACCCAGCTAATTTTTTTGTATTTTTAGTAGAGATGGGGTTTCACCATGTTGCCCAGGCTGGTCTCAAGCTCCTGGCCTCAAGCAATCTGCCTGCCTCAGTCTCTCAAAGTGCTGGGATTACAGGCATGAGCCACACCCAGCTCAACCTTAAAACTATTGATGTATCATTGATGGGGGCGGGACAGGATGGGGGTCGTGGTGCTGCCCTGTTCACTGCAGGATGGTTAGCAGCCTCTCTGGCCCCTGTCCCTCTAGATACCAGTAGTACCCCTTTCCCAACTGTGACAACCAAAAATATCTCCAGATGTTGCCAAGGTTGGTAATTGCCAGAGTTACCAGTGGGTGAAAACCACTGGGCTAGATGTTAACTGAGACTTTTTTCTGCCTACACATCTATCTGCTGGCTTCAAAGCAAGCGGGCATGGGGGTATGGCCCTATTGATATGGGAAAACATCTCCCCTGGCTCTGAATCCTGACGAATTTCCCTGCTAGTGAAAGACACAGACCCTCACCCCTTTTTTAGTTACTTAAGAGCAAAGTGTCTCACTCCACCAAGTCCTAATTTTCTTCCAAGGACATTATGGTCTGGTGTCACATGAGGACTGAGACTTGCTACTCTTACCATGCTCCTGGTGAAACAGCAGGTTAGTCCCTATTGTACTCATGGAGTGGCCCTCTCCCTCCAGGCCTCACTTTCCTTACAAAGACCCCGCAGTAACCAGCAGTGGCCATCCGCCAATAGATGCTTCTGGATCTCCTAAATGGCCTCTGAGAGAATGGGCTGGAGGAGGTCATTTCACCCTGCACCCATGTAAGGCAGATCAGCAATCTTTTCTTTGTTGTTCCAGTGAGCAAATTAAAAATCAGAGAAATTAAATGCACTCACACAGAGTCCATCAGTGAGTTTAAGACTAAACTGGAATTCATTCATTCAATGTGCCTGGCATGTCCCAGTGGGGTGGGGGTGACCCAGCTACAATCTTCCCACTGCAGGTGCAACATGTTTCTGGACTGTACCCCCGCTTGGTTCTCCAGGGGCATGGAGGTCATTTGGTTGGGAGGCTTGGATGGTCTCCTATGGAGACACCAGCCCCTGCATGTCATAGCAGGGATTCTAGAAACAACCTTGGGGAAAAAAAGAACATATTTCTCCCCCTTCTTGAGGGGTTCTCCACAGCCCCATTTTGCCCATTCTCATAGGTGGCCTCCTGCCCTGCCTTGTGACTCAGTCTCTCTAGGCCCCAAGATTAGAAAGCCATTAACTGTCCAGGGAAGCTTTAACCCAGAGGCACACCTGGGCCAGAAGGATGGGATTAGAGCTATTTGCTCCCCAGGGGACATTTGCCCAATGTCCAGAGGCACTGTGGGAAGAATTATCACTGGCATCTAGTGGGTAGAGGCCAGGGATGCTGTTAAGTATTCTACAAGGCATGGGACAGCCCCTCACAATAAAGAATAATGCAGCCTCAAATGTCAGCAATGTCGAGGTTGAGAGGCCCTGAAATAGATATGATATCAGAGTCACAAGCTTAGAGAAGGGGATGGGCATCTCCCAAAAGGTGAGGGGAGGTTGGGCAGGTGGCAGGGCTCTTACCAGAAGCAGTGAGGCAGCTTGCTGGGTGACCCTACAGCTGCTTTGGGTGGTCCTGGCTCATGACCATGACCCCGGGAGAGTTAATGGCTCTCTCTTGTACTTTCACACCTGTCCTGGTTTGGAATATAGTTATATATATAACAGTTAGTTATATAGTCACCCCACTGATAGGTGAGGACGATGTCCACTCCCTGGGTGGGCTAACGCTGCTGGACGAGGGGACAGTGTTCTGTTCCTTTGGAACTGCAGCAAAGCCTGGGGACACCAGGCTTCGAGTACCAGGTACCTGGGGAAGGCATTAGAACCTTCCCAGGCATAGAAACCACGTGGGGCCTTTGGAGTCAACTCACAAAATGATTACACTGCATTTTTTTAGTCTAATAAAATTTCCCGGCATCTCCTCTCTGGCCGTTTGTCTTCTCTCCATAGTTACTGGTTTTTGTTCTGTTTTGTTTTGCTATAAACTGCTCATGCCACAGCAGCGGTTTTCTGTCCAATATTCCCTGAGTAAGGCCCTCTGGAGAAACCACACAGAATGATGCTATCTCCTATTTGAGAAACCCTTGGGAGCTCTTTGATGTCGAGCTGATCTCCAGTTCATTCCCACAGGACTTTTGGAGGCCAAGAATGGCTCCTCGGAGTTCTCACTTGGGTCTCGTTGTGTCTCACAGGCTCTGCCTAAACCAGCCACTGGTAAGGAAAATGGAATTCCCATGACGGGCTTATGCCCAAGAGCATCCATGCCCTGGGGCCCTGGAGGATCCAGGGAGGGCATGGTTATCATAAATCAGCCCCAAACTGGAGTTCTATTAGCAAGAATTTAGGCTCTTTCCAATGACCTGTGAAGTAGATATAGCAGTTAAAGCATCCGCCTAGCAGAGCCCTTCTCAGAAGGGATCTCCCTTTGTTCATCTCTTTGATGACGGGATGGGCAAGGTGGCCCTGTTTTGTGTCAAACAGCTTGCTCCGCTCCGCCACAGATGAATGGACCAGACATGGGAGCCTGACCCCTGACAGTAAATCCAGCCAACTTGTCAGTGACCGATGACATGGCCGGACCCACACATGCACCGGGCCATAGGATTCCCTCTCTCAGGGCAAAAGTACCAGGTGAGACCCACTCATCAATGGACGCTGATGTGAAAAGCATGATCAGAGGCTAAGGAGGGGCCAGAAGAAGTTGTGGTCGGTTGACCTTTTGAGAAAATGCAGGCTGGGGAGGAAGAAATGCACCAGGAGGTTAAAGGTTATATCCTGTGTGCTTCCATTTATATCACACTCCTGAAATGACAAAATTACAGTGATGGGGAACAGAGCTGTGGTTGCCAGGGGCTACGGTGGGGGGTGGGGCAAGATGACAAAGGGGTAGCATCGGTGAATTTCTTTCTGGATAGAAGAGTTCTGGATCTTGATTATGGTGGTGGTTACATGAATCTATACATATGATTTCATAGTCACACACACACACACACACACACACACATAATGAGTGTATTGTGTATGTAAAACCTGGTGAAATTCAAATAAGGCCTATAGTTTAGTTAAGAGTATTCTAACCCCATCTCTATTTAAAAAAAAAAAAAGAAATACAAAAAAGTTAGTCAGGCATGATGGTGCTCTCCTGTAATCCCAGCTACTCCGGAGGCTGAGGCAGGAGAATTGCTTGAACCCAGGAGGCAGAGGTTACAGTGAGCCGAGATCGCACTGCTGCACTCCAGCCTGGTGGGTGACAGGGCGAGACTCCGTCTCAAAAAAAAAAAAATTCTACTGTGTCCCTTTTCTGGTTTTAATAATGTACTAATGTTAAGTAAGGTGTTATCATTGAAGAAGCTGGGCGAAGGGTACAGGGGAACTATTTTGGCAAATTATTTTGAGTCTTAAATTATTCCAAAATAAAAAGTTCCAAAAAGAGAAAGAGGCTGAGGAGCTTACATGAGTGAGAGAAAAAAAATCCATCTCCCAGAGCTGCCTTGGCTCTAGAGATTTCCAGCCCAGAACTGCCTTGGCTCCAGAGATTTCCAGCGCCAGCCCCTGGTTGGGTCCATCTGTGTTTACTGCCACCCAAAGAGGCGGAGCAAAACAAACATCTCGTACCTAAGTCTTTGGTGCATTTTTGGTTATTTCTTTAGAGGAAAAAGATCCCCCAAAGCAGAATTGCTGTGTGTAAGCACATTTTTAAGACTCTTGTTACTTAGTGCCAAATTGCCCTCTAAAAAAGATTGTACCAATTTATATTCCCACCCACAGGGCATGAGAGGGCAGACTTTCCCAATTCTTGCCAAAATTGGGATTTAATCTTTCAAGAAAGCATATTTTCTGCCAAGTTAACAGATAAAAACATGGTATTTCATTGTTCTTTTCCTCCAGGAATTCTAAATTCTTTTTTTGGACCAAGTTGGACTAGATAATTGGTTATTTACCTGGAGACTTGGGTTGAGTTTCTTGGTCGGTCACCTTCATGAAGTTGTATTTTAATATGCCCCAAACTTGACGAAGAACACTAAAAAAAGGCTTTATGAAATTTGATAGTGCATTTATTGTTTCAACAAAACTTCAAAATGTTGTTGAGGACATCATTTCTGATATTGCTTGGTGTCTTTTCTAGGTAATAAAATTATACTCAAGAAATTCCTTTTGGATTCAGTGCTAGGAAAAGCTTTATTTCCCAAAGGAACACATATGCTTCCTCTTTTCCAGTAATGACAATCACATAAGTGACCATGGTTCCCACTTTTATTGGCTGTTAGAAAATGCAAAGCCAAGTTTGAGAATCAACAACAGCAATTTTGTTGACTCTTGCGGAAAAGGGATGTGTTGTAGTTTGTTTAATATTGCTGTAACAGAATGCCTGAGGCTGGGTGATTTATAAAGAAAAGAGGTTTCTTTAGCTTATTGTTCTGCAGGCTGAGAAGTTCAAGGCCATGGCCCTGGTTTCAGTGAGGGCTTTTGTGCCGCGTCACCACATGGCAGAACGTCAAAGGGGAAGCAGACACCTGAAAAGGGGCAAAACCCGAGGGGCATCCTGGCTTTCACACAGCCCGCTCAGGAGGGAACTAATCTATTCCTGAGAGAACTCACTCCCTACTTTGAGAAGAGCACCATGCCATTCATGAGGGATCTGCCCCATGACCCAAACACCTCGCACTGGCTCCCAATTCTCAAACGCTGCCACACTGGAGATCAACTTTCAACATGAGTTTTGGTGAGGACAAACTACATCCAGACCACAGCATTCTGCCCCTGGCCCCATGAAACTCATGTCCTTTTCCCATGAAAAATACAATCAGTGCATCCCAATAGGCTTCAAAGTCTTGACTTGTTTCAGCATCAACTTAAAAGTCCAAAGTCTCATCTGAGACCTAAGGCAAGCTCCTTCCAGCTATGAGCCTGTAAAATAAAAAGCAAGTTATCTGCTTCCAAGACAAAACAGTGGCGCAGACATTTGGTAAATATTCCCGTCCCAAAAGAGACAAATAGGCCAATAGAAAAGAGTAACAGGCCCCACACAAGTCTGAAACACAGCAGGGCAGACATTAAATCTTTTTTTTTTTTTTTTGAGACAGTCTCACTCTGTTACCCAGACTGGAGTGCAGTGGTGCCATCTCAGCTCACTGAAAGCTCCGCCTCTTGGGTTCACACCATTCTCCTGCCTCAGCCTCCTGAGTAGCTGGGACTACAGGTGCCCGCCACCACACCCGGCTAATTTTTTGTATTTTTAGTAGAGACGAGGTTTCACCATGTTAGCCAGGATGGTCTCGATCTCCTGACCTCATGATCCGCCCGCCTCAGCCTCCCAAAGTGCTGGGATTACAGGCATGAGCCACCACACCTGGCCAAACATTAAATCTTAAAGCTTCATAATAATCTCCTTTGTCTCTATGTCCCACAACCTGGAGGCGCTGGTTCCAGGGCTGGGCTTGCAAAGGCCTCAGGCCTTTATGTCTAGTATGCTGCCATGTCTTTGTTGGGTGCAGCCCATGTGGCTACTTCCATGGGTTGCAGTTGGGTGCCTGTGGTTTTGCCAGATGGATGTTGTATGCTGCCAATGGCTCTATAGTTCTGGGGTCCCAATGGTGACCCTGCTCCACACTAGGCATTGCCTCAGTGAGAACTGTCTGTGGTGGCAGGTTTCTCCCTGGGCTCCCAGGCATTTTGATATATCTGTGAAATCTAGGTGGAAGCCACCACACTTCTACCACTCTTGGTTTCTGCACACCTGGCCTGCAGAACTAGTACCAAGTGGACATGGATGCCCCAGCCCTGCACTGCTTTGTGACTGCTTCCTGCTCAAGCAGCCCCAGGTTCGACTCATGCCTCCACTCCAAAGAGCCTAAGTGGTAAGCATTGGTGTCATCATCATTTCCATCTGACACCTCATTATCATGGCCTTTACTGTCCACGTTTCTATTGGCATTCTGGTCATAAACACTTAACCAGTCTCTTAGAAGTTCCAGCTTATCTTCTAAGCCCTCACCAGAATTGTCCTTAATGCTCCACTCCAAGCAATGCAATCTCTTTAATGCCTGTTCCTTCAAACTCTTCTAACCTCTGCTCATTATCCTGTTCCAAAAGCCACTTCCACATTTTCAGGTATCTTTATAGCAACACCCCACTCTTGGTACCAGTTTTCTGTCTTTATCCATTTTGTGTTGCTATAACAGAACACCTGAGACTGAGTAGTTTATAAAGAAGCAATTTGGCTTATAATTCTGGTGTCTAGAAAGTTCAAGATTTGGCATATGCATCTGGTGAGGGACTCAGACTGGTTCAACTCATGGCGGGGGAGTTGAAAGTGGAAGGGGAGCTGGCATGTGCAAAGAGATCACTTGGTAAGAGAGGACGCAAGAGAGCAAAATCAACGAAGTCAGACTCAGACTATTTTTAACAACCCACTCTTCATGGAATATCCTTTCCCTTGAGAGTGAGAACTCACTCACCCCTAAGGGAGGACATTAGCCTATTCATGAGAAATCCACTCCCATGACCCACATACCTCCCATAGGCCCCACCTCCCAACACTGCCATAATGGAGATCAAATTTCATCATGAGTTTCGGTGGGGACAAACAAACCATATCCAAATCATGGCAAGATATTTGTATTGACCTTCGTCCTGATGTACTCTTATTTCATTATTCACTTGAAGTCTTTTACTTGAAAGCCACTTAAAAATCTATAAAAAGAGGCAAAAATCAAAAACACTCCTGGCTATGAGCCCTGGTAGTCACTGAACCCCTGGTGCAGAGTTTAAAGCTCACATAAATATTTGTTGACCGAATGAAGGCACTTGATAACAAACCAACTAAGAACAGCATGACATTGAAAAGAAACACTCGTTACTACTTGATCTGAGAGCAAGAAAATGTCACCATAGAAAACAAGGCTTTGGCCAGGTGTGGTGGCTCATGCCTGTAATCCCAGCACTTTGGGAGGCCGAGGCAGGCAGATCACTTGAAGTCAGGAGTTTGAGACCAGCCTCTGGCCAACATGATGAAATCTTGACTCTACCAGAAAAAGACAAAAATTAGCCAGGCGTGGTGGTGCATGCCTGTAGTCCCAGCTACTTGGAAGGCTGGGACAGAAGGATTGTTTAAACCCAGGAGACGAAGGCTTCAGTGAGCTGAGACTGCATCACTGCACTCCAGCCTGGGTGACAGAGAGAGACTTCATCTAAAAAAAAAAGAAAAGAAAAGAAAACAGGGTTCAAGAAGAAAAACAGGAAATAAGAAGTACCAAGAGTCTAAAAAATGTTCAGCTATTGGCCGGGTGCAGTGGCTCACGCCTGTAATCCCAGCACTTTGGGAGGCCGACGTGGGTGGATCACGAGGTCAGGAGATCGAGATCATCCTGACTAACACGGTGAAACCCCGTCTCTACTAAAAATATAAAAAGTTAGCCGGGCGTGGTGGCGGGCGCCTGTAGTCCCAGCTACTCGGAAGGCTGAGGCAGGAGAATGGCAGAGCTTGCAGTGAGCCAGGATCGCACCACTGCACTCCAGCCTGGACGACAGAGTGAGACTCCGTCTCAAAAAAAAAAAAAAAAAAAAAAGTTCAGCTATTGTATTTCCAGGAATCCAGTGGAAGATATAATCTAAAATGCATTCAAAATTTTGGGAACAAAGGTGTTCAACAATGAGTTTTCAAAATAATTTAAAAACCAGGAAAACCTAAAATTCCAACAATAGGGGAATTAGTAAGAAAATGTCAATTTCATTCCCAAAACATTGAATGTCTGCTACGTTGCTTTGTAGTTAAGTAATTAATCAAATTCCACATAAACCAATGAAATACAAGTGCAAAGCATAGAGTTGTTTCAGTGAACACAAAATGGAATGTTTAAGAAAAAGAATAACGAGTTTTTAAAAACAGCTACAGAGACAGTTGTGGGCAAGGCAACTGTAAAAGATTAAGAAATATTGCAACAATCTAAATGGACTTTGCATTCAGCTTTCTTTGTGAATATCTGGCTTCTCTTCGAATAAACCCTAACTGGAAACTGTAAGACAAGTATTATGGGTATAGTTAATGCAAGAAAGAAATTCCCTGCTCAGAGAGAAGTCCCCACCCTTACTGAATGGTCATGCATTTATTGGCTTTTAAGTTACAATAAAGGCCAGGCACGGTGGCTCACACCTGTAATCCCAGCACTTTGGGAGGCTGAGGCGGGTGGATCACAAGGTCAGGAGTTCGAGACCAGCCTGGCCAACATAGTGAAAACCCGCCTCTGCTAAAAATACAAAAATTAGCCGGGCATGATGATGCAAACCTGTAGTCGCAGCTACTCGGGAGGTTGAGGCAGGATAATTGCTTGAACTCGGGGGGTGGAGGTTGCAGTGAGCCAAGATCACACCACTGCACTCCAGCCTGGGCAACAAAGTGAAACTCCGCCTCAAAAAAAAAAAAAGTCATAACAAAATGTTTAAAGGATGTGTGTGTTAACATCTGTGATCCTAGCTTTCAGTGACCAATGTCAAGGCCCAGTGGAGTCTCATAAGAGGGCTTTGAGGTTGATATGGTTTGTCTGTGTCCCCACCCAAATCTCATCTCGAATTGTAGCTCCCATAATTCCCATGTGTTGTGGGAGGGACTCAGTGGGAGATAATAGAATCATGGAGGCGGTTTCCCCCATACTATTCTCGTGGCAGTGAATAAGTCTCGTGAGATCTGATGGTTTTATCAAGGTTATCCCTTTCAGTTGATTCTCATTCTCTCTTGTCTGCCGTCATGTAAGACATGCCTTTCGCCTTCTATCATGATTGTGAGCACCCCACCCCCAGCCACGTGGAACTGTGAGTCCATTAAACCTCTTTTTCTTTGTAAATTACTCAGTCTCGTGTATGTCTCTATCAGCAGCGTGAAAACAGGCTAATACCATGGTACAGTCTTGAAAAGATAACAAGATGATGAATAATAAATAAAGTTAGCAAGGAATCAAAAAGTTTAACCATCTTGGGAAGTTGGGATTTTCTTTTCCTCATCTGTATTAGCTACAATAAGCAGGTGTTATTTTTTGTAAATTTTCCAAAAACCCAGAAGCATTCCCACAGTATTCTGACCTAACCAAGCCCAACCTTTCCTCCCCGGGCTGCCCAGTGCCCCCAAGAAATCAGTGATTTCTCACAAGTTGTTCTGCTCACTGGATGATGCTTGCCTTGGATTGTTTTTGACTCCTGGGGTAGGTGGAGCTGGGGTCTCAATGTAGGGCTGTCCTGTGGTGGGAGGGGGAGCCTGGGGCCCACCAGCCGTTCCTGCCCGCTTCCTCCTTCCTCCTGGGCCTTCCAGGCAAGTCAGTCAGGTGAGGGCGGCTGCAGAGGCACCTGCTGTGTTCTGAGAACTGTGATGCTATTTTTCTCTCTCCTCCCACGCCCAGACAGCTCCAAAAAAAAAAAAAATGTCGAGAGAAGGAGGGTGATGGTGGAAGAAAGCCTTCTGGAAACAGTTCCAGGAGGGCATCTAGTCTCATAGGCATCAGAGTCAGCTAAGGGCAAGGAACATCCCCCTTGGTAATAGGATGGACTTTGAATGAAACCACAGTGGGGGGAGAAGTTCCCCAACAGGGTCTGGCCCTGAAGCTCCCTACCCAATGCTACATCTGACCCTCTCATGGGACAAGGCTAGGAAGATCAGACTCAGTGCCCAGCCTGGCTGTGCTGCTTAGGAGTTGCGTATCTGGAAGCTGGTTAATTACTTTGGGGTTCAGTTTCTCCATCTGTGAGATGTGAACAATGGCCTCCAGCCCATGGAGGTGTCATGAGGATTAAATGAGATGGGTGTGTTCAGATGACAAGCTAGGCACTGCGCGCATGCCAGCCCTTCCCCTCCTCCCTGCGTGCTGGTGTCTGCTTGTTTGGGACCTCTCCTTTCCAGCCTTTCCATCAGACCTCAGCCTCCCTGCCTCCTCCCCCAGGAAGGCATCTGGCGTGCTCACATCTCTGCTCTTTCGGTTGGCTCCATTTGTCTGGTGTTGTTCACCTATGTGTTGTTATTTAAGTTCCCTGGAATTCCCTTTCTTCTTCTGTAAAATGGGCACAGTAAACAGCACCTATCTGGGGGCAGGGGCTGTCATTGTGGGATTGAAATAAATGCACATAAAGAACTTAGAAGAGTGCCTGGTACACTTCTGGTAATCAATCAGTGTGTGTGCCTCTGTGTGTGCACATGTGTCTGTGTGCATGCGTGTGTTTGCGTGTCTGTGTGCATGTGTGTGTGTGCATCTCTGTATGCATGTGTGTTCGTGTGTGTGTGCGTGCACAGTTTGCGCGTTCCCATTTACAGCCCCCTTTAGACTTTTGGTTTGTGCCATTTCCACCTGTCTGTTGAGTCCCTGAGCCCACCACTAGCTCTTTCATTTCACTAGAACCATTTTCCACTTTCTCCCCTTATGGCTAGAATAGGCCTCTTTGCAATGTATTTATTGAATTAGCTTTGTTAAAAAAAGAATCTTGGGGAGACATCCAGTTCTGCTTTCTTAGAGCCAAAAGCACTTCTCACCCACTCCCTGCAGGCAATGCCCTGCTCTCTGTGATGTGCACTCCCAGGATGGGGACAGAGTGTGAAAATAGATGGCCTTGGCCTTTGCCCGTGTGCATTAGCATTTTAGCTGAACCATAATTTCATCCCCAGAGCACACAATAAGCCAGGGGCAGGGGGGAAGCTCAGGGAGTTAAATAATCACTCAAGTGTAACCATAGGCAGCCATCGCCTCTAGATTCTGGGCTGAAGGACAGAGGTTGAGAACTGGTGTTTCCTAGGCTGAAGCTCATCATGAGTTTGAGAGATGATCTTTAATTAGTTCTTTTTTGTATATCTTATCTACTTCATTAGTGTGTGAACACCTCCAGGGCAAATCCCATGGCCCAGTAAGGGTGTCTGGAACACGTTGCTAGGCTCAGAGCAGTTTTGGGAACGATTAATTGACTCAGTCATTCAATGAACATTTTGAGCTCCTATTATCTACCAGGCTCTGCTCTAGGCACTGGGATGTAGCAGCAAACAGGATGGACAAGCCGGCTCCTCTTAGAGCTTCTATTCTCATGGGAAAGGGTGTGCGTATACACACACACACACACACACACAGAGAGAGAGAGAGAGAGAGAGAGAGAGACAGAGACAGAGAGAGAGAGAACTCACTCTCCCCAACCATTGAATCCTTGGTCCCAGAGCTGGGCATGTGAGGATGAAAGGCCATGAGGAAGGCTGGGTGATGGGAGCCACAGAGGGCTTTCAACAGGGAAGGGGCCTGCTCAGGCAAGGTCCTGCTGGCTGCTGAGCAGAGAGGGCCATGAGGGTCAAGGAGGCCAGAGAGAAAGAACAGGGGAGATGGAGAGAAGGGGAAC
The DNA here is from genome assembly GCF_000001405.40 of Homo sapiens. Taxonomy (NCBI): domain Eukaryota; kingdom Metazoa; phylum Chordata; class Mammalia; order Primates; family Hominidae; genus Homo; species Homo sapiens. Next base: position 66,812,733 of record NC_000017.11, on the reverse strand, counting down.
TCGGAGTGTGTTTTAGAATAGGGTTTGTAACAGCAGCAGCGCCGACATTTGGGTGGGATGACACCTTGTTGAGGGCTGGGGGTATCCTGTGCATGGCAGGATGCTTAGCAGCGCCCCTGGCCTCTACCCACTCGATGCCAATGCAACTTCCTTCTAGTTATGATAACCAAAACAGTCTCCAGGCATTGCCAAGTGCCCCGTGGGTGGCTACATGGCCTCTGGCCGAGAACCCTGACTTAGAGTAGCCCCAACAGTGCCTGCTCATGAACTTGATGGGCATGGTGGGCATGTGACAGGGAGGCCAGTACTGGACAGAAGGACTCGTTTTTGAGCATCCACTTTGGGTGGCGCACAGTGCCCCTGGAAGAGCAATTGTCCACTGCCTGGTGCTCAGGTTGTCCCTGCTGCCTCTGTGGGGCCGGGAGGACCAGCCATATTGGATACACCCGAGACCTCCCTGCAGGGGTAAACTTGGGTGGAGCTACTCAGTTCCTCGGGTCACCAGCTGCCTGTGAGGATGCTGCTTGGTGGCCCACTCTGCTTCATTCCGCATTGCAGCAAAAATGAAATAAAACAGCACACTGGCGGAAGCAGAGGGCATGCTCAATGGCCATGGTAAGCTACTCTGCTGGGCAACGTAACGTGACGAATAGCCACAGCTACACACGTATGTGAGGTCAACCAGCCCGGAGTGAAGGTCAGGGCCAGCCCAGTGGGGCAGAGACCACATTGCTCTGAAGACCTGAAAATTGCCCTTTGTTTTTCTTCAAAATAGCTTCCCCGCCAGCCCTCGCATTGGCAGCTGAAAGAGCCTTCACTTCCAGGAGGTTGAGTGTGACCGCGGCATCTTAGGGAGGGAAAAATCCACTGAGAGGATGCTGACACTCGAGTAATCTGGCTGGGAGCAAGGCCCAGAGGGAAGAGAACGCAGGGAGGCATGTGTGTGGATGCAGAGTGTGCTGGGAGGAACAGGCTGGGCTGGGCGGCTGCAGGATTAGGGGGCTATGGGAGGGAGGGTGGCAGCAGTGGGTTGAAGCCATGAGCACGAGGGGAGAGCATTCCCCAAAAGGAGGTGAGGAAATCAGCAAAGATTGACTTTACCAAGGTTGGATCTTGGCTTTGGTGTTTGTTGTTGATTTTTTTTTTTAAGAGACAAGGTCTCCTTCTGTCACCCAGGCTACAGTGCAGTGGTGCAATCGTAGCTCACTGCAGCATTGACCTCCCGGCCTCAAGTGATCCTCCCACCTTGGCCTCCCAAAGTGCTGGGATTATGGGCATCAGCCACCATACCCAGCCTGTTTTAATTCTTTTTGAGGACAATTCCCTCTATTGCGTTGAGTTGTTAAGTGCTGGGTATTTTTGAATGTTCCACATTTGAACATTTCCCCCAATTTTTCAACCGTGAATAAATGCAGAACGAGGCGGCTGACACTCAGAGTGGGGACGGTCCTGAAGCTGCATCCACAGTGTGGCCAACGGGATGTGTGAAAAATACCTATTTTTGGAGAAAACATCTCCAGACTTGAGCAGAATTCATTCTGGAATCGTTCCTTCCAGGGGAAGGGCACCATCCAGCCTTAGATGATGTCATCAGTTGCTGGGCATCCCTTGCAGTTTGGGGCAGAAGACTGTAAGCTCCGTGCAGGCAGGGGCCATGCCAGCCTCTTCTTCTCCAGGGCCTGACACAACTCCTGGCCCTAAGCAGGGGCTCTGTGAACAGTGCATGAATGAATGAACGCAGGACCTGCCAGAACGCCATCCCAGTCACTGTCTGGGCTTTGATTCAAAGCAAGATATATTTTTTAAGTAAAAAAAAAAAAAAAAAAAAAAAAAAAATGCCACTATAAATGGAGGGTCATGCCTGAAAAACAGGTGAAGAGATGAAAGTGTTCTGCGGAGTGTGTCTGAAGTCAAATGCTATTTTTTGAACACTGGAGGAAAAATAATTGCCATACCGCAAAGGGATGTAAATAAGGCCAACTACACAAAGGAATGATCATTATCTTTATTCATACACACTTGCTTCCAAACTACAATTAATGTTTCTAACAAAGCGTATCATGCAAACGGAGATTAGAGGTTATACAAACTGAAAAAAAAAGCAATGCAGTAATTTACACATCCGTCTCCTCTGCGATATAACCAAATGGTGTTTGACGGTTGAATGGCCTCTACATTTTGTCAGTAGGTGCTTATACAGAAGGAAAAACCTCAACCTCCGTCTCTTCCTCCAAACAAAGTTGGGGCTTATATGATGTTTTTCAATTAATGATTTAAACGTGGTATGTCCTTCACACACACAAATCATGTAGCAAAAGCAATGACTTCAAATGCTTCTGTTTATAAAAGATATTCTGAAAGACCCTAACAGAAGGGATGTGAGGTTAATTTTTAGAAAACCTTTAGACTCAAAATAGTAACTGCCTTCATGATTGATTTTGAATATTCTAGTAAACCAACCCTTCAAGAAAAGAATGATATTCTTCCAGGAAGAATATCAACAAAAGTCTACAATCACAGGAATGGATACTCCTAAAGTTAAGCAGAGGTGACAAAGACACAGTCGTTTAATCAGAAAATGCAAAGCCACCTTTTATCTTATTTTAGAAAAAAAGGTTCTTATAAAGTGGACTTGACACCTATTTTCTGAAAAGCCGAGTTCTGTCTACTCGCGTAAGTGGTAACTATGAAACAGACGTCAATAGGCACGTTTGCTGCTGCCTCTTATATCTTGGGAGATCGAAGTATTTCTGAGTTGCCCAGTGGGCAAAATCCTTACAGGGCATCTCTGAATCTTCACCCAAGGTGAGAGACCTGGGGACCAGGCGGGTCTGGGCACAGAGCCAAGGAAGCATCCTCCTCCTGCCAAAAGATGGCCACAGAGCCTCACGGAGCAAGGAAAGGGGTCCCAGAAACCCCTGGGAATCCTATTCCAGGGCTGCCTCTGGATGGGGGACACTAAAAATGTCTTTCCTGTGGTTTGGAAGTTTCTAAACCTTAAGCAGTTGTCCCCAGTGTCTATTAAAAACTCGCAGAGCATCAGTCGGCCAAGTTCCACCTGAACTTGCAGTCATTCCCACGTGGACTCCATACCCTAGGAGCATGGGAAAATCTGGCAGTGGGAGATCAGGTCGGGGGTGCTCCAGCTGACCCAGGCTAAGTCCTCCTACAAGCTCCAGGGCATTGGAATCTTAGGAAATCGTCAGTTGCTTTGTTCTAAAAACTCATTTTTAAAGAATTATTATTAAAGTTCTCTATAAAAAAGTACAAATAGCCCAGTATATTCAGTTGCTCTACTGGAATTAACAAATAATTTCTTCCTTTAGGTTAAGAAAAAGTCTTTGGAATTTGGGGGCTTTTGTGTAGGGTCACTGTAAGGCTGTTGGATGGCTGAGTGTGACCTCCACGGTTATTAACTGTCACCTGATCACATAAATGGGAGGCACAGGGGTCAGAATCCTTCATACTGTTGACCTTCCCGAAGAATCCCTGACACTACGGAATTAACACAATTGTGGTTGACCCCATTTCTAGATGATGGCCTTCATCCATGTGTGCGTCAGGTAACCTTCCCAATTTCCTGGATCTTCTAGCAGCAGAAACAGGTAACATTCCCTGGATCTGCTGCATCAGCCCAAATGGGAGGAGACAGGAATGTTGACCGTCCAGTGTATTTCACATGTAGCCCAAGCAGCTTAAGGAAAATGACTTTAAAAAAATATTTTGGCTGGGCGTGGTGGCTCATGCCTGTAATCCCAGCACTTTGGGAGGCCGAGGCAGGCAGATCATGAGGTCAGGGGTTCAAGACCATCCTGGCCAACATGGTGAAACCCCATCTCTACTAAAAACACAAAATTTAGCTGGGTGTGGTGGCACGCACCTGTAGTCCCAGGTACTTGGGAGGCTGAGGCAGGAGAATCGCTTGAACCTGGGAGGTGGAGGTTGCAGTGAGCCGAGATTGTACCACCGCACTCCAGCCTGGGCAACAAGAGTGAAACTCCATCTCAAAATAAATAAATAAATAAATAAAAATTTCGCAACACTCCTTGTCAAATTGGTGTGTGGCCACTAACAACAGAGCACCCTTGTCCTTCCTGGTGACTGTCATGCCTACTGCTGTCCCGGTAACTCTCATGATCACACCCTTTGGGCCCCTGGCTCAGTGTCTGTTTTGTGATTACGATTGTCTGGTGTGCCCAGCAGGGGAAACAGGCACTCCTACCCTTGTCGGGTTATAAAGAAACAGGAAATGGTGTGATGTGCACACACAAGAAATAGGTGACTTTAGAAGACCAACGTGAGAAAATGACTGTCAGATGGTATCACCTTTCCGAGGCTTTTAAAAATACAAGATTGTCACTTTTTCTCTTTTCAGTACTGAGAAAACAAATTCCAGCAAAAAAAAAAAAAACAGGAACAAAAACAAAAAAAACCCTCCGAAATGTCTCCTGCTAAGTGGAACCCAGGTGGGAACTGCGGTGTTAGTTGTTAGTTGTGCGGTGTTAGTTGTTTTTACTTCTCCATTCATCCTCAGCTGCCATAATTCTTGGCAGGAAGCCAGAGAGGAAAATGGGCAGGAACCTACTGGCCTCTGGGGTACACTGGATGGTCTGGCTCTGCCCAGAGAACTATGAGCTACTTCAAGGTGGGGAGGGGAAAGGGGCTTCTAGCAGCTGGTGGGGATGTTGTTAGCATTTGGGGGGTGTTTTCTGAGGAGGAACAGACTGTGTCCCTGGCAAAACACTCTCTTGAGGGCCAGCAGACAGAAACTTCCATCTGCACCAACCACCTCCGATGGGAAGCCGTTGACGGTGGCACCCCTTCCTCTCCCTCCTACTGCAGGCATATTTCTGGATGCACCCAAACCCTGTTCTTCTCTGGCTCCTTCCTGACTACAGCCCCCGCCTCCCTCTCCCTTCTCAGCACGTCCGTTGGGGGGGCTCTCTGGAAGTCTGCATCCTCCTTCCAGGAAGTCACCACACTCGCCTAAGGACTTTGGCTCCGAGAGGTGCTCAACAATCATTTGTTGGGCTGCATGAACCTTGGTCTTTCCGGCCAGGCTTCCAGAGCTCTTGGCCCCATGGTTTTCTATCAAAATTCTGAGTAAGAAAGCCTAATACGTGGCATCAGAAAGGGCAGACAGTGGCCCTGCATGGACCACACGAGGCCAGTGGATGAAAGGAAGGGAAGCACTGCCGGAGCAATAATTTTGACTCCTGTGGTTTCTGATCTGCCTTTTGAATTAGTTCTTGCCTGGATGTGGGCCTCTCATTAACCTTGGAGGGCGGCCCCTGGCAGCACTCCAGTGACTTCCTTTCAAACCCAGCACCTGGTGACCTTCAATTGAAATGCCAAGAGACGGGCTGCCAGCCCACGGCCTGCAGCCTCAGGGAAAGGCCCTGCCACCGAGGAGTGGCCACCTTCCAAGGGAAGATAATGCAGAGCCATTTGAATGGCCTGGTGTGGTCATAGCTCCATGGGTCCTGCGGGGATTCGGACGGTGCTAGATTCTGCCAGGCGGCCTAGACCTCCACAGGCCCTGGCAATCAGGCAGTGCTCAGGGGCAAGGACTTCCCAAAGCATCCCCCAGGGACCTCCTGCGTGGCTGCGGCAGTTCCACAGCGCACCCCTCGCCACCATCTCATTTCACACAATACCCACGAAGGGGCCAGTACCATAGAATTTTATGAACTGATTCTGAGGCGAGCCATTGCTCATGGTTATCTACATGACAGTCTTCCAACAATAACTGTCTTTGGCTGCTGAGATCTGGAAAGCCCTAACCATTACCCACATTCAACACTCAGCAATGGATAAAGCAGGTTCCACATGACAACACTGCACCGGGCCCTGATTTTGACTGTTTCTCTCTGGGGGTTTGTTCTGATGTCTGTTGTCCCTCAGGCAGTGTGCTGGGCACCCCTGTCGGGGCATTTTCTTGGAAAACTTTGCCATATGGTCTGAGAGAGTAACAGCCAGCTGAGACAGTGAATGTGTTTCCTAGAGAAACAAACTTGTGGGTGTTGGGGTTGCAGGGAAGGCCTAAGCCTGCTGCCTGCTTTAAACAGGCAGGCTGTTTGGGGTGCTGAACAAGGGTCCCTAACCTCATGTGTTCCTCCGTGGGATCTTCCTCCTCTCTGGGGGGCCTCGTGGGGGTCTGTCCTGCTGCTGCTCCATTCTGGGCAGGGGGACTGGCCCTTTTGTCTCCTAGGCTCTTTCTATAAACCAGTCCCTTTCCCCTCGGATCAAAGGAGGAGCACCTGGTCAGGACACGAACCCAGATCATGCACTGACCTGCAGGGCTGCAGGGACAGGGGAGCCAGGACCCCCTGGAGTCTCGATGTCTATGGTGCATAAAAGATGGCAGAAGAAATGGTTCTTTTCTGGCCGGGCCCGTTCCCTACCCCGTCTCTCCTTCTACTCAGGGTTGCCAGGACCACCTGGGCCTCTCACCTCAAAAAGCCTTTCATGGTTGTGTGTTCTGTGAACTTCAGGCAAACAGCCAGAGGAGAAAAATAATGCGAGCTTAGCTGGGAGATGCTTCTGGGAGGAAACAGAGCGGCTCTCTACAAGGACTGACAGCTACTTTCATTCTGTTTCTGTTTGTGGTAGAACCCGGCTACTCTGAGGACCTTGCATGGGGGTGTCTCACCAAAGCAGCGCGCTCCTCCCAAGACTGGAAAGGCCAATGCCACAATGGCTGGAAGAAAGTCCGCAGCCTCTGAAAAGCACGTGCTGGTGCCTGCAGGGCACGGCTGTGTTGGTCTCACGAAGTTTGTGCATGCTGGAGCAAACGACAGGTCGTTGCAGAGGCAGCAAGACAGCATGCTTCCTGCGTGTCCAGTACACACAGCAAGAGGGGAGTCTCCCCATCCCTCCCACCCCTGGAGTCAGCAACAGTCACAGGCTGAAGGGAAGAAGGAAACACACACACACGCACACACAAAGGTCAGCCCAGGTGCTGCGGCAATGCCACGTGTGTACCAACGTACTAGGCAGACTGGAATCAGACACTTCCTGTTGTCCCCAAGAGGAAGAGTGGCGGAGGAACCAGGACGAAAGGTGACATGAAGAAACTAAGAGGGAGTGTCAGCTCAAAAATAGTCCTCACCAATAAAAATTTGTTTGCAGGTAGAATCAAATACATATATATACACACACATATGTAGTAAGAGCCTAATCTATCACGTAAACTAGCCATTCATTTTTGAAATTTTATCTACATTTAAAAAGTAATCTATCTGATACAGTGCCCATGTGCAGGGAGGGAAAGCACAGAAGCAAGGGATTCAGCTAAAACTTAATTAGAAAAGAGGATTAGAAACAAGAACCTGCACAAATAGAGCACAATTGTGTCTTATAAAATTATTATAATACTCTCTTTATACTTGATACGATTATATCAATAATATAGATTCACTTGTTATTAAGGTTTATTATAAACATGCAAAATTCATTGCATGATGCATTTGCAAAACGTATTAAAATCCTTCTATTAACAAAACATCTTTGAGCTGTTAGGCATCCGGGTTTCCTGATTCTACAGCTCCAGGCCTGTCATTCAACGTGAACTAGAAATGGGAACCAAAACCATATTCTTTTTATCCCTAAGTGGACATCCAGGGCTAGAGAAGGGAGGAAAATCAATCGGTAGAGGCTGATGCTAGAGTCAGCACTTCCATTAAGTTACTGTACATCGTACTTTCATAAGCGACACTGCAGCCTATTAAATAAATAAGCACAAAAGGGGAGAGGGCGTACACTTCAGCTTCTTGAGAAGGATAACAAGGTAGGCAGCAAAATGTTGGTGTGTGTGGGGGTGGGTGTTGGTGAACAACACTGGTGAGTAGTGGCATGATTACTGATGGCACCCTGGATGGAAAAATAATCTCCCAGAGATTAAAATGAACATATGTACACACTGGCTTATCCTTGATCTGAAATGATTTCACACGCTTGTTCAGCAACGTCCTTAGACGATTTGGCCTCTTACAAAGAATGAAAAGTATCAAGACAGTTATCAACCAAGGAGGGTACCAGATGACAGATTCACCCAACACTCATCTGAGGTTTTTTTGTTTAAACTGGTAACTGCTGGACCATGGTTGGGTTAGGATTTGTCAATGTTTGGGAACAGTGATTAGGTTTATCCCGGCCTTTCAGATTCTAGGGGCTGTTTCCATGGAGGCAGAGAATGGACGCAGTCGGTATTTTGAGGCCTCCCCCACCCCCAATCCCTCCCTGCTCACTCTCTTGGCTTCCTGTTCTTGGATTCCAAAGACGTCTTGGGTGGAGATGTTTCCTGGGACAGGCTCACTTTAACATCTCTGGTTGGGGGATTCCAATGCTGAAAAATCCACAGATGGAGGGTATGGAAAGTATATCAAATTGTACCCAAAATGGGGCAACAGTCTGCTTGCTTTCTAGGAAGGGTTAACCTAGAGCCAGACGTAACTTCTACAGAATTAAACTGGACACTGAGCATGACGTACCATCTTCCACTAAGATAATGTTCTTGGTTGTAAGAGAGAGACCCTGAACAGTTGATCACATTTGGACTAATAACCCTACAATTTTCAGGCCTCCATATGGAATCAGACACAAGGCCGTGGCCTTAAAATTTTAGGGTTAAGGATTCACTTCCCACTGCGGGGAGGGCTGGGGGCTGGGGAGGTGTTTGTTCTCGCTGGTGAGTTTCATACTGCACTCTGTAAGATGGGGTGCACAAACTGGGGGTTGACATACGAGAACCCTTCAAAATCAGACTGGTCTATGTTAGCAATAACCAGCTGATCAGGTGGTGTTAAGACGGGCTGTCCTCGTGTGAAGAACTTGTCAAAGTTCTCTGCTCCTTTGCCACACTGTGGAGAAAAGACAAAAAGAAGGAAAGGTCAGTCAACATGACAATGCGGGAGCAGCTCTCCGAGGGCCCTCTCTGGGGAGGGGCACGGCCCTGGGGAACTCCGGGCTGGTTAGGAGGAGGAATCTCGGAGGACTTGCAGGCCTATTGGATTGAAAAGCCAGGCACAGCAGACAACAACGAGTTACCCAACTGTAAACCCTGAAACACCCCGAACAGAAGCCCTGGGTGGGAATTGCACGGCTGGCAATGAGGCAGCAACAAGGGGACAGCCCCTGTCCCCTCACGTCCACCTCACCGAGCAAGCGGAGCTGAGAGCACGGAAGCCACGCACGCAGGGCCGTCAGTCACAGCTCCGTGTTGAAAGGCCAGGATGTCGGCTGGGGCTGCAGGCAGTTACCCCTGGACCAAGCGACGGGGTGAGTTACTGCCCCACATCTGTTTTTTTGCCGCAATATTTGTAGTGAAGTAAAAACTGTGTTATCCTTGCCTTCCTACTGGGCTGCTCCAGCAACCCCAGCCCCTAAATTAAGCTTCAAGCGATATGAGGTAGGTGTGGCGGCAAGGCTGGGAGATTTGCACCTGGCCCAGCTAGGATTTAGCACACCTAGACAGAGCTGGCCAGCGGGCAGGCTGGGTGACTGACTGGAGCTTATTTGCAGGGTGGTCTCAGGCTGGAGGATGTTTGCATGGCGCCCTGGGGAGGCAGGGAGAGGCCTGCTGTCTCGGCTGTTCCTCTCCTCCAGGGTCCACTCCAGGCAGAACTGTTGCACTGGGGTCGCTGAGACACACAGCCGCTTAGGCAGCACGGCTTGGTAGCCTGACCCCAAAAGTGGGGAAGGAGTGTTCTCTTCACCTTGTCAGCCACCCACAAGGGTAGTGGCGTGTTGAAGTCCCCGGGAGCCCAGGGTGACTCTGAAGCAGGAAGAGCTGGGAGTTTCACTAAGGATCCTAAGAATGATTTTCAAGATGCTGCCAATTACTGCCCTTGGACCTGCTGCTAGCACCACAGGGCCAATATGAATTAACTCTGAGCTAGCACACATTTCAAACTAACCAGGCATCCTTGGGTCTCTAACAGAGAATAGCTCTGGATTAACTGTGAAGTGGGGTCCACCAAGTTTGCTCATCTGTAACACTGGGAGAACAATCACACCTCCTGCCCAAGGCTGTCAGGAAGGTGAAATGTATGGGGTTTTGCACAGAACCCAGCCGAGGCGAGAGGCCAGCACGTGCTGCTAGTGTTTTTATAAGGCAGTTGAGTCTCACGGGCTGTGCTTTCTCAGCTCTTTTTTCACACTTTATCTTCTAGGAGGTGTGCTTGAGAACCTACTTTCGTTTTTTTTTTTGAGATGGAGTCTTGCTCTGTCGCCCAGACTAGAGTGCAGTGGCGTGACCTCGGCTCACTGTAACCTCTGCCTCCTGGGTTCAAGTGATTCTCCTGCCTCAGCCTCCCGAGTAGCTGGGATTACAGGCATGAGCCACCACGCCCAGCGACGAAGCTACTTTCATTACCCTTTTCCCACCTACTTTTCATCAAATAAAACCTGCTCCTAAGTACCTGTTGAGGTGGAAAGCATGTCATAAATTCAAAGTAAGGTCTTTATGACAAACAGCTTTCCTTTCTGGGCTTATTAATTTTTTTTTCTTTTTTGAGACAGGGTCTCACTCTGTCACCCAGGCTGGTGTGCAGTGGTGGGAGCACGACTCACTGCAGCCTCAACACCTGAGCTCAACCGTTCCTCCCACCTCAGCCTCCTGAGTAGCTGGGACTGCGGGTGCGCACCACCACACCTGACTATTTTTTGCATTTTTTGTATTGACAGGGTTTCACCATGTTGCTCAGGCTGGTCTCGAACTCCTGGGCTCAAGCAATCTGCTGGCCTTGGCCTCCCAAAGTACTGGGATTACAGGTGTGAGCCACCGCGTCCAGCCTCTGGGCTTATTTCCATTTTAATAAGCAACCATCTACTCTTCACCCAAGGAGATTTCACACCACAATGAATGGTGAGTATGTGGGTGATGTGTGTGGTGGGGCAGAGGGGATGAGAGGCAGGGGCTGCCTGTGGGCTTTCAAGTTACTCTGTGGAGCCATACAGACATGAGGCTTACTGTCACATCCGTCCTGCCTCCCACATGTGGGCTGGCAAAGCTTCCACTCTCACACCCCACGTTTCCATGGTGTATTTCCTTGGAAGAGCACAAAGTACCTCAAAGCCAAGGTCAGCAGAGGCAGAATCTGCAATTCACATCACCCTATGTGCACAGGCCATTTGCAAACACGGAGAAAGGCTCTTTGAAAAATAAATAAGGGCATGCTGTTTCTTCCTAGAAATTAATCGGGAGTCTGTACTTAATTCATCAGTTAAACAAACAGAAACCAACTTTCCTTGGAATTCCACATTCAGATGACAACAGCCAAAGAAATAGCCCTCCTCTGGTTATACCAGTGGTTCTCAACCAGGGATGATTCTTCCCCCAGGGAACCCATTTTTGGTCATCATGACTTGGGTGGGACAAGCCTGGCATCTGGGGGCAGAGGCCAGGGATGGTGTGGAACATCCTGCAAGGCCCAGGACACTGCCCCCGCCCCAAAGAATGACTGGCTCAAGATGTCAACAGTACCTGCTGCTGAGAAACTCAGGGATATAACAAGACTACTGTGTGAGGCTGAGTAGGTCCTAAGATCAGAGTGAGGGCAGACATGAAGCCAAACTAGGGAATCAGGCAGGAGCAGCCGTATGTGAGAGCGGAGAATGGAGAAGCGGCAGAAGTCACAAGGCAAAAGCATTTGGAGCAAGTGTGACAGCTCAGTAGAGTCGGCATTGGGAACATCCTTTTGGAACCTGATTCATCAATGCTTATTGCCTGGAAGAATTCAAGTGAATCAACAGTCAGGGCTCCCAGAGGCTGGGATGTGTGCTCCTTTAATGAGAGATCATCTGTGCTTCTCTTGATACTCACTAACCATGCAAAGATGAGCAAGAAGGAATTTCTGGAAAAAATCTAATAAAAGGACTGAGTCCCTAAAAGGATGAGCAAAGCAAAGTAAAATGTTCTCTCCCCATTTCACAGGACACGTTGATGAATTTAGGGCTGCACAGATAGACGTCTAGGCTGGATGTCTGTCCTGCTCTAAATTTATCAATGTGTTCTGCAAAAAGAGTGCACAGGTCTGACCCTTTCCTTTTAGTCCTGTCTTTATGGCATTCATGAATCATCGTCCAATGGGACGTTTCCAAAAGCCATGGCTTTACTGCCAAGGAAAAATTAAAAAGCAAACTAAAAGGAGATTTCCCAAGCTCTAAAAAGGGGACCACAGAAACCTCCCCACTGAGAAGCCTGGAGAGGGAGGCTTGAGGACATCCAATTCCAAAGCTGGTGTCCAGAGAAGGGTCACTCCTGAGGGTGCCCACTGCTCAAAAAGCTAAGTACTGTGATAAAATGGGGCAAAAATCCCTTCCTGGTTAAGGGCTCGTGCTCCGCCTGTGCTGAGGTCTGCAGAGCTAAAGGGGAAGTTGTGGAGCCTAGATCAACCCAGTTGCTGCCCTGCAGTCACACTGAGTGCTGCTGTGTGGCTTCTGGTCTCAAAACTGCTCACTGCTGGAAACACCTTCCTCTTCTTTCTCACTGTAAATCTCTTTGGAATTTTCCCTGAACTCAAAGAGGGAGAAATCTCACTTTAACAAATGAAAGCTTTTCTTAAATTGGTTCACTTCGGTGGAGAGATAAGAGGCAGGCACAGGCCGAGGGCGAACAGTAGAAACTGAACCACTGAAGTTCAGCCACATCAACCACGGGACAGAAATGAGCCATGGGTGTGTCTTAGCAAGAAACCGGAAGAAAGCCTGGAAGGGCTGCAGGATGACCTGAGGGTTAGATCAGCTACGAGACTCAGGAGAACTTTTTATTCTGAGGGAGATCAAACCACAGAGAAGTCCCCTTCCCCCACCAAGAGGCAGGGGGCAGCACAGCTATTTCTACTCCAGATTCGGCCTGGTGAGAAACATCGTCTCCTTTTCCACCATAGAAGGTCTGCCAATGCATTATAAATGAGCCTTCCACAGCTCTTAGCAAAAGTAGCCCTGGAAATAGACAATCTACTATAAGTCAAACTGGAGAAGATCTTGAACTACTTGTTTTGCAAGATGTTAATGTGGAAAACTACCCTCATCACCACCACCACCACCATTACCACCACCACCACCACCACCGTCACTACCACCACCATCACCACCACCATTACCATCACCACCACCACCACCACCACCACCATCACCACCACCACCATCACCACCACCACCATCACCACCACCACCACCACCACCGTCACTACCACCACCATCACCACCACCATTACCATCACCACCACCACCACCACCACCACCATCACCACCACCACCATCACCACCACCACCATCACCACCACCACCATCACCACCACCACCATCACCACCACCACCACCACCATCACCACCACCACCACCATCACCACCACCACCACCACCATCACCACCACCACCACCACCACCACCACCATCACCACCACCACCATCACCACCACCACCATCACCACCACCACCACCACCATCACCACCACCACCACCACCACCACCACCACCACCACCATCACCACCACCACCACCACCACCACCACCATCACCACCACCACCATCACCACCACCACCACCACCATCACCACCACCACCACCACCACCACCACCACCGTCACCACCACCACCACCACCACCACCACCACCGTCACCATCACCACCACCACCACCACCACCACCACCACCACCACCACCACCACCACCACCATCACCATCACCACCACCACCACCACCACCACCACCACCACCACCACCACCACCACCACCACCACCACCACCACCACCACCACCATCACCACCACCACCACCACCACCACCACCACCACCACCACCACCACCATCACCACCACCACCACCACCACCACCACCACCACCACCACCATCACCACCACCACCACCACCACCACCACCACCACCACCACCACCATCACCACCACCACCATCACCACCACCACCACCACCACCATCACCACCACCACCACCATCACCACCACCACCACCACCACCACCACCACCACCACCACCATCACCACCACCACCACCACCACCATCACCACCACCATCACCATCACCACCACCACCACCATCACCACCACCACCACCACCACCACCACCACCACCACCACCACCACCATCACCACCACCACCACCACCACCACCACCACCACCACCACCACCACCATCACCACCACCACCACCACCACCATCACCACCACCACCGTCACCACCATCACCACCACCGTCACCACCGTCACCACCACCACCACCACCGTCACCACCACCACCACCACCACCACCACCACCACCGTCACCACCACCACCACCGTCACCACCACCACCACCACCATCACCATCACCACCACCACCACCACCACCACCACCGCCTACTGAAAAAGATAAGGAAAACCAGAGATTTTTGGATCCTTGGAGAAAGGAAAAGCAGTAGATTCAAGAAGGTACTGCATTCCTAATGTGGAAGAGATTCTTCCTACTATCAATGATCTAACCTTACTCATCACCATGAGCTTGATGGGCAATGGCCTCGGGTGCCATCTTGGAGCTGAGCAGGGAGCAAGAAGAAGCAAAGAGGCTAAAGGGCTGAGGGGGCACCTAGCATGACTGCATGAACGCCAAGTGAATGAGTAAAAGATGACTGCAGGCAGCCTCCCGCCACTCCTCAGGGATGAGGCAGGCAGGTGGATCACCACCTCCATTGGAAGGGCAGCCTCTACAGCAGTCTGTGACAGCGGGCAGGTGTGGCTGTCCATGGCCTCAGAGCTGTAGGCCACCCAACAGCACATGGCCACTAAAAGTAACATTTATACCTTGTGAGCAAAACTGGGCTGGGTGCGCACTGTCTCCACCTCCAAAGGTCACCCGCGCCTTTTGCCGACTGAGGCTTTTGCCCTCTGGGATGTGACGTACCACACGATGGGTATGGGACAGAGATAAAGGGGAAGAGGGCACTGGGGTGGTCAGACCCAACCAGTCAGCGTGTGACTGCTGAACTCCCTGAGACCAGGCGATGTCGGCACCCAAGGGAAAGTGGGGACACAGAGGGGAGAAGGATGTGGCCAGAGATCAAGAGCCCCAATGTATATAGCTTTGGCAAACTCAGTGCATCTCTCTGCGAAGGTAAGATGGTGATGTGACCATCCACCTTCCCAGGCTGTTGTGAGGATCCAGGGAACTAGTGGGCATGAGGCCCTTCCTCAGCGAGGAGGCAGGACAGACATAGGGTACACCCTGCGAAGCAAGCACTAGCATGTAAAAGGCATGTGATCGATCTCTGAGGGACGAAGGAACGTTATTAATAAGCTACCTCCCTCTTTCTGATCTCTGGATTCAGGAATGAACTCCTTTGTCGTTTTTGATATTCCTACCCATTTGGTCAAACTTCAATGAATGCAACGGACCCAAGAGAAATCAGGCATTGGTAAAGATGTTACAAAACATGAATGACACGGACTCTGGGTGGAATCTGGGATTGCAGTGTGCCCCCACTGGAGCCTTGTGTGGCAAACACATTGCTCACAGCCCCTTTCATTCTGTGATAGGGTGTGGGGGAGACTGAGATGCAATGCAGGAGTTGGCTTCGTGGCTGATTCTTACCTGGGAGAGGCCTCTGAGCATGAGCAATACACGTGTTGGTCTCACCCCTGCCCTTTACCTCGGCGTCTCAGTCATGTAGAATACAACCCCATGGTCTCAGCTATGGGAATTATGGGAAATATGAGTAGCTCAAAACACTGCTGTTAAAAAGCAAAACCAAACAAAACCCAGAAGAAGAGGAAAGATGCAGAACAAATAAAGAGTAAAGGGATGTTGCAAGACTATGGAGAAAGGAAACCTAACGAGGTGGGAGCTACCCCTTACGATGACCAAATGCAGGAGGTACTTCATCGTAGGGGAACCCTCACTTGTATTCAGGTCCCAGTGCTGGGGTACAGTGGAGCGCCTTAGCAACCGCATCGCCACCATCTGCACAGCTCTCTGACTTGTGGTTGCACAGCGTCTTCTTTTAAGTTAAATAACAGCAGAAATGGGCTGGTGCATTTCACTTGGGCTTCCTGGGAGGTAATGTCCATACTAAGGAGCTATCCAGCAAAGGGGTCTGGCCATTGGTCTGCCCTTTCTCTGAAGATTAGCATGCTCAGGGAACGGGCTACGTGCATGACCAACACAAGCAGGGGCACACGGTTAAGGGTTATAAAGTGGGGTTAGTTTGCTCATTTAGTCACCCAAGGTTCTGGAAACGTGCTCACCGAAGACCTGGAGGCCCACTGAAGCCAGTGCATTTTGGTACACAAAGTCTGGAGAATAAGAACGGACAAAGGAGAGGATTTGGAGAATAGTCAGTTCCTGGCCTTGCAAGTCCAGAATCGGGAATGGACACGCAAAGAATGCTATAAACCCACGTGAGCTGATGCGGAAACACCTGTCGGATACATTGCTACGTGAAAGACGCAAGGTGTGTTTAACACAGCACAACCTCATCTGTGTATACGTTTATACATACAGAAACATTCTAGAAGGTTACAGAAAAGATCATGAAGAGTAGGACCAGTAGTTGGGGAGATATCTTTTCATTTATGCCCTTCTCTACCACTTAACTGTTCATTTCACCATATAGAGAGAGCATGTTAATAGTAATTTTTTCTAAGGGATTGGGACCCCTTTCACCTCCTGCCAACTTCATATAGTCTTTGGTTTCTCTGACAAAATTAAACAGTACTCAGCTCACCTACAGCACTGCAGCATTATCTCAGAAAGGGAAAACTCTCTTCTGGAGGAAGGCTGATTCCGTTGATGAGTTTGCTGATAGACAGAGGCCATAAGCCACACATTAAATGAGGGGATTCCTGTAGGTGTGAGAGCCACGTGTGTATGAGGGTGAAGGTTCTGGCTTATCATGGGCTGTAATCTATGGAATAAAAACATGTACTCCATTTGGTCTTTATGTTAATGGCCAGATTTAGAGGATTTAAAGCTCTTTTTCCAAGAAAAGTTGTAATGGCCATCGTTGTTGGAAACCTTCACTGCCAACAATGGAAACCTGTCAATTCATACACTTTGATGTACACAGGGTCTGTATTTATGCCGTCACTCATCATTGAAGCTCCCAGAGGCTTGCAGTAGTGATGCTTATTTATATTATTAGTTTAAATGTCTCATTTCTTCCAATTTCTCTGCTAAGCAGAAAAGTATTTGAGAGAGTAATGATTAAAGAATAGGAAAAACTGCTTGCCTCTAATTAGCCAAGTAAAAGGTGCTGTCTTAGACTAGTTTAGAGGCTTAAATCAAACCTAGATACAGCATGATGTGACTTCTGTAGTCTCCAATGGCTGGTTAGTGTTTGTATGTTGTTGACAAACCTTCCCATCTTGAGATCTCAATTTTAATTGGCATCATTGTTACTGGCCCAACAGAAAGGCCAAGAGAATGAAGCTGCCTGCCACCCTAGAGAACTGATGAGATGTGGCCCAAGCTGCCTATGGTATCTGATCTGTGACACAGCCATGCCAGGGACCCTCCCTCCTCCTTTTACCTGCAGAGCCCCTGCACTACATACCTAGCTTGCTGGAGTAATTATTAAAAGAACATAGTACCAGGAGATGTCCTTATGTTCAGGAAATACACATGGAATTATCTAGGTGTAAAGAAGCATTAACTCTGCAACTTACTCTCAAATGGTTCAGAAAAAAATAAGTATATATTAAGGTTGGTGCAAAAGTAATGGCAAAAAAAATGAAAAGTAACGGCAAAAACCGCAATTACTTTTGCTCCAACCTAACAGATGTGTATGTCTGTACCTACACACAGACAGAGATATAGAAAAAGAATGATACCGAGGTCAGCCTGTAATCTCAGCACTTTGGGAGGCCGAGGCAGTCAGATCACTTGAGGTCAGGAGTTTGAGACCAGCCTGGCCAACATGGCAAAACCCCATCTCTACTAAAAATATAAAAAAAATTAGCCAGGCATGGTGGCAGGTGCCTGCAATCCCAGCTACTCAGGAGGCTGAGGCAGGAGAATTGCTTGAACCTGGGAGGTGGAGGTTGCAGTGAGCTGATATCGCGCCACTGCACTCCAGCCTGGGTGATAGAGCGAAACTCCGTCTCAAAAAAAAAAAAAACAAAAAACCCCCCCCAAAAAACAAAAAAAACAATATAACACGAACATGCTAAAATGTTCACATTTAGGGAACCTGGGTAAAGGAATACAGGAGTTCTTTAAATTACTTTCCTGGCCCTTCCACAAGTCTGAAATTGGAAATTATTTCAAAATAAAATTAAAAAAAAAAAAGGATCCTTGCACCAGCTTCGATAATTAAATGATCATCAAGCTCTCTAAACAAGCTAATGGCACTGGGAAATGAAGGACTTTGTGGTGACTGGGAAAAGGAACCCCGATTGTGTGTTCTCACTACAGGGATGTCCTCAATGTTCTTATTCTCTTTGGCTCTTGCTGTGGGTCATTGGAGACAATGTCCTGAAGAAAGTTCTATTTTTCTGCCTTTTAAAAAACAGAATACTTAAAGTAATTTCACAAAAAAAATGGCCATCTGTGAAAGGTCTATTTCCAATGTGCTCTGCCTAACCACTCTGGAATACATTTCTTGTGTTAACATTATAGATTAATTTCTCCCTCTCTAATAACCATTTAAGTACAGTGAATGATTCTGGCTTGCCTATGAACTAGCTATTCTGCTCCTTGGTGCCAACGGCTAGAACTAAAAAAAGAAAAATCAATTAACCTTATGCTCCTGGTATTTGTATAAACTGCTACTGATTACAAGCAGGATGAGTGGAAATTTGAAGGCTGTTCTTGGCCATTTCATTCACATTAATTCTAAATCAGAATAAAAAGCTACAAAATTCAAAGTGACGGTGGATCAGAATCCTGGAGCTTTTATTTTTCTGGCAAAGCCGAAAGTGCTTTCCTTCCCTCGGTGAGCCTTCTGGTTGCTGGGCCAAGCTGCTGGCTGTACCCTCCTCCCCACAGTGCCTCCACGCTCACCTGACGCTGGGAGGTAGGGTGGACATCCACTGCTCCTTCAGTCACTGAAGATTACCCTTTCCAGAGGCGACATCTGTTTTAAACTTAAAATTTCTCCTTACCTAGACTCTTCTGAACATTCCGGTTTTTTTTTTTTTTTTTTTTTTTTTTGAGACGGAGTTTCATTCTTGTCGCCCAGGCTGTAGTGCAATGACGCAATCTGGGCTCACTGCAACTTCCGCCTCCCAGGTTCAAGCGATTCTCCTGTCTCAGCCTCCCAAGTAGCTGGGATTACAGGTGTGTGCTACCATGCCCAGCTAATTTTTGTATTTTTAGTAGAGATGGGGTTTCACCATGTTGGCCAGGTTGGTCTCGGACTCCTGACCTCAGGAGATCCACCTGCCTCGACCTCCCAAAGTGCTGGGATTACAGGCGTGAGCCACCACGCCTGGCCTACAGGCCTCTTTTTGATGACTCGGGTTTGTTGTTGAGAACATCAGGCTGAACTGATGGCCCTCACTGAGCTGACGGTCCTCACTGAGCTGACGGTCCTCAATGAGCTGACCGTCCTCATGTCCGGGGAGCAGAGGATGCTTCACATTGTGCTTCCTTGAAGAGATCCCCGAAACCAGCTCGTTTTGTGTTTTGCTCATAAAGAGGAAGAGCTAGTTGTTGGCTGCCTGTGTCCAGGGCTCACAGCACTGCTGTCTGTGGTTGTCTTTGCTTTTGTTTTTACAAAATGATCCCTGAGAAGTGATTGTCCCATCTTCCAGAAAATCATCATCTTCACGGTGGCACATGGTAGCTTTTTAGGGACAGACATGGCTCTGTCCAGGACAGGACTCTCCCACTGTTGACTGCCACAGGGGCAGGTTCTTCCCTCACATCTCAGCCTCCAGGCTTGCCACTGCCAGGAGAGATGACCACCGCCATGGGACCCTGCCACCACCAGGGGAGATGGCCACTGCCAGGGAAGGTGGCCACTGCTAAGGGAGATGGCCACTGTCCCACACACTCGATGCTGGTCACTCTCCTCTTTCTGTTCTCCTTTACGTGTGACCTTATACAGAATCCAGCCCACAGCTGTACTGCAGATCTTGATCTTAATGTCGCCGTGAGATGGAAAGTCCCGTGCTAACCTCCTGATGGATCACGGCATTGTGAGATGCTTTTTGCGCTGGGATCGCATTTTGCATGGCACTGCGGTCTAAAGGTTAACTTCAGTCAAGTCACTCTGGCAGTCAGGAAGAGGGATTAAGACAGCACACTAGAGGAACCATGATTCCCTGATAAGCTCTGTGGCTGTCCAGCAGTGGAATGCTTCTACCCTCCTTAGGGAAGTCAGTGATTCTGGAAGACTCTTTCATTGGAGGTTCAAAAAATTTAAAAATTAATAAAACAAAGATGATAGACTCCTGATCCTACAAGCTCAATCTGATCTGTAGAAGCAGTTTGCAAATAACTGTGAGAACCTGAAGTCCCGCTACTGGTATTTGGTAGTAAGCAAAGGTTTAATTCCATGGGAGCCAGGAGCATCACCGCACGTGAGAACAGCTACCTGTCCTTAAGCCTGCAAGTCTCAGGGAAACTGACTCACCAGCGCTTGCTAAAAAACCATCAGGCAGACTTCACCAAGACAGAAAAGGTTGGTGAGCCAGGATTATAAGAACTGCTGAGAGGCGAGAGCCACTCAGAAATGGGCTCACGGTGAGAGTCGCTAGCTGTGTGACATTTGCCTGATCGTTTCTCCAGCAGCACTATTTAGGCTGGCATTGCTACATCTCTCTTTGAAATAACAAAATGACCCGTTAGAGAATGCTCAGCTCTGTAAACACATTTCACTTTTCAGTTAGCTCTGGATCAGGAAACTACAGTACATTTTTCACCAAGGAAGCTGGAACACCACATCCCAGAATAACTTTTCTACGCCGCTAGTTCTCTCCTGCTGTTTGTATTAACCAGAGCGTATTGTGCAGCTTCGACTTTGGTTGCTTTTTGCTGTTCTAAATGTCCTCTCCAGCCACTGGAATGGCTCTTGGCGTGGTGTCTCTGCCCCAGCGTGTCACCACTGAACAGAGTGCAGTCCTCAGAGACCGCTGAAGGCGGTGGTGCCAGCCCTTGCATGACATGCTGCGATGAGCCTCACTCGGCTGCCTGGCACGGGGCAAGGACTACAGGAAACAGCTCTCAAGAGGCACATCGCTGCCCTTCCAGGAACCAGAGCTTGCCCCATTTATCTCTCTGCCCTTGACGCTCTCCGCTTTTGAACACAGCGTCTACGGGTCTCCCTGCAGCCACGTGCTTCTATCTTCACTGTCGTTGTTCCCTCTGTGGGTCCATTTCCTGTCTGTCTGTATTCTTTCTAGCTCCTTCCTCTTTTGTGCACAGGTTTTCCAGCAGAACACGGGCTTCTGCCTGAGAAATCTCTTCCTTCCTTCTGGCCAGAGCTTTTACCAAGCGGGGCCTTTTGCATGAAACCTCCAGTTTTAGGGCCTGGGTCGACAATTTCTGCCTCCGTTTGTGAGTTCAGGGGCTATTTCTTCACAGCCAGGGGCAATTTATCCTTCCTTCTTAATTTTAACGAGCATTCAGTTAAAAAACAAACAAAAGGGAGGGGGGAGGGACAGCATTAGGAGATATACCTAATGCTAAATGACGAGTTAATGGGTGCAGCACACCGACATGGCACATGTATACATATGTAACAAACCTGCACATTGTGCACATGTACCCTACAACTTAAAGTATAATAATTTAAAAAAAAAAAAAACCAGCAAACAGTAGCGCTCCAGGAATAAAATATAAATAAACACTGCTCCTAACTCAGCTGCCTGCCATGGGTACAATTTTGCTTCCTGTGATTTCCGTGGACCACAGAGAACAGTTCACATTCTTGCCTGCGGAGCCAAGTCGCCCTGTTGTCTTCCCTATATCCGAGCTTAGGGCCGAGTATCCACAAAATGTGGGAGACTATGCAAATAAACACTCTCTTCTGCCATAACGTGGCAATAAATAGAAAAAGACATGTTTTATGGTTGGTTTTGCTGCAACTCATCGCTTTCTGGAAAGTGACTGACAGGTAATTGGATTTTGCCCAACCCTCAAGGCGGGGTCAGTACGCATCTCTACGTTGTTCCTATAAAGAAACTAAGCTGTGTTCAAGATGCTGTTGCATAACCTTCATATTTTAAGACAACAAATAAATATTAAAGGCAGAAGAGGAAAAAAAAATAATCCCTAACAGAATTTTCTACTGAGACCACTTGCAGCACCATTAATCACTCTCCCCACCCCCAAAAACCTCCAGACCGGGTTTTGTATGTTGAGGGGCAGGAGCCCGTGAGACCCCCCTGAAATCAGTGTGCAGGGCTGACTAAAGAAAAGGCGGGGGTGTCAGATACAAAAGGGCCTTATTTGAAACGATGATTCAGGAGGAAGTCAACTGACCTGATTAATTTTAGTTTTTCTTCAGTGTGTGCTAAAAATATCTTCGAAAAATAAAATCCAGTGGGCTCACCAACAGCAGTTTTATTCTTGGGGTAGAGGACACAGAGGCACACATGGTGAGGAAGTTGCTGCTCTAAGAATAAGGCTGTGTGCCACCCAGTTGGCAACTGTGCCACCCCAGGTGGGTCCCCTGGCCTGCTCATGGGGCACCTGTCAGAGGAGACACATTTGAGCGAAACCAACAGGGCGATGCTTCTGAAACTGACTGTGGCATAAAGCAGCTCTCTGCAGTCCCCGGGCAGAGGCACAATGGGGAGCTGCCTGATGCTGGCCAAGATGGTGGCAGAGCTGGAAGGCACAGTCCGCCCGGCCCTTAGAAACAGGACGCCCTTGGAGGCTCTGCAAAGTGGCAGGTGGTGAGTGAGCAGGCTGACTTCTTAAAGGCTCTCAGTTTACCTCTAGAGATATAAACATGAAAGGCACTTGCTGGCCGCAATCAACAATTAGGGCCCACAGCATCAGCGTCAGGGCAGTTGCTGAGATGGAGCGATGGTGCAGTAGGTGAGGACAAAGACTCGTCCTGGTTTCACCATCTATCAGCTGTGTGTCTTCTGGCAAGTTACTCAGCCTCTCTGTGACTGTTTCCTCCACTGCAAACTGGGGACCATAGTACCCATCTCACAGGGCTGCTGGGATGATTGAGTGAATTAATATTCGTAAGGCACTCAGAACAGGGCCTGGCATACAGTGTTTAAATAAATGAAAAAAATGGGAATCAAACAGGGAGAGTGTGAAAAAAGCTGACAACATTAGAATTGGTGGCTGACACTCACTCCCCGCAGTGGAGGCAGTGGTGGAAGAGGGGGCGGGGCCCAGGCCCTGCCTAGTTGCTGGCTAGGACGGGGTTGTGCTTCAGAGCTCCCTTCGGTGCCAGGCAAACCCAGGAAAACCAGAGACAGACACGAAGCCTGAGTCCTGCTGAGGACTGAAGGCTGTGAATACGGCCCTGCTGGGTGCGAGTCCACAAAGTCCAGACCTAAAGCACAGCTGCCCTCACTCCCTAGTCGTGCGGGGGTGCTCTGCAGCTGTCCAGCTGGAGGATGAAGTGTGCACAGGGTTCCCCTCCCTGCCTTATCGGTCCTTACTCTCTGAAGGCAGCAGGAATCCCGGCTGCTGAGGCCACAGGACTGAGGACAAGGCTGAAACCTGGCCCGTTTCCTCACCCTGTACAAGCCAGGGGCACCGGCCTCCTCTCTCCAAGAAAAGAGGTGAGTGGGATACTCCCAGAATTTGGGGACATGGGGTTCCGAAAACAGGCTGCTTTTCTGGACTCACCACTTTGGGCTTGAATGGTGGCTGGATCTCCCTGTTCTCCAGTTTTTCCCAGTCGATCCTCCGGAAGAAGGCATGCTCTCTCACGTCCCTCTCCCCCTCAGGCCCACAGCCCAGCCGCTTGGCTGGGTGTTTGGTCATCAGCTAGAAAGGAAAAGGAGAAAAGGAGAACAATGGATGTCAAGGGCTTCCCACAGACAGCACCTTCCATTTGCCTAGCTCTGCCTACAGCCCTGACTTTGTGGACGCCTGGACAGCATCTCAGAGAGCTGACCAAGACACTCAGTGGCTTGTACGAAGTGAAGCCAACTCACAAAAATGACATTGGCAAGAATAGCCCTTCCTATGGTGGTTTTCAAGACAAGGGAACAAGGAAGCAATCTGAACCCATGGCCAAATGGAAGAAGAATTTAAACAGACATCTCACACGTTGTCTGTTTTGGAGACACCATGCTATACATGTATCTAGTAATAAAAAAAAAAGCATGCAATCACTAAAAATTGTGTGTGCTGAAAGCATCACAGTCTAGCATCACAGAGGATGCCATAATAAGCATCATATGTCTACGTATTGTCTGGGCCAAAATGTTATCAATCAAAGACTCATAGATTAGAAAAATAAATGCTATAACAAGGAAGGCGACTAGTTAATTCCGACTTGCCCACTGCAGGACACAGAGACAAACACTGTCTATGAACTCTCTGAAGGCAGAAGCCAGTTCCTCCCGATCTCAGTATCTCTTCCAAGTGCCTTGCTCTTGGATGACACGTGACAAATGCCTCACAAATGATCACACTCACCAGATACTGTTAAGGGTATATTGTACTCCATCTTACTAAGCCTGAAAATAGCTTTGTGATCTAACTCTTGACCATTCAAAACTAGACAAGTCATGACCAGCAACTCTATTCCTAGAGCATTTCCTCAACCAAAGTGTGTGCATATCTTCACCAAAACACATGCCCCAGAAGGTTCACAGCAGTTCTGTTTGTAACAGCCTCAAACCAAAGCAGGAACAATCCAAATAGCCACCAGAAGTAGAATGGATAAGGAAACGATGGTGTGTTCACACAGTGGAACACTGCACAGCAATATGACAGGAGGAACTATGGCCCCACACAGCAATGCAGACAAAATCCTCAATCACAATATTGAGTGAAAGCAGCCAGGCCAGGAGCAACACTGTAAGGTTCAGTTTGTGCAGAGTTCAAAACAGGCAAGACTAATCCATGCTGTCCAAAGTTGGGGGGCAGGTTATCTTGGGGCGGGGTAGTGACTGTAGATGGGACAGGAGAGGGCTTCCAGGGTGGTGGAAACATGGTTTCTTGAGCTGGGTGCAATTACATGGGTGGATTCATTTTGTGAAGATTCATTTATCAGCATATTGATGATTTGTGCCAATTGCTGTATGTATGCTATAGCTCAAGAAAAGTGTAGCAAAGAAAGAACTAAGTCACACCAAGTAAGACAGGAGACGAGAGCACATACTTTCTAAGGGACTCTGATGACATCTGGTAGTCCCCACCACAATTTTATGAAATGGATTAGAATGAAAAGTGCGGTACAGTCATTAGGTGACTGGGCCAGAGTCCCAGGAAGTATTGGGATTCCAATCCATTCTCTTGGCCTTCACTTTCGCCACTGTGCCCTGCCCAGTAGAATGGATAAGGAAACGATGGTGTGTTCACACAGTGGAACACTGCATAGCAATATGAAAGGAGGAACTAAATCCTCAATCACCATATTGAGTGAAAGCAGCCAGGCCAGGAGCAACACTACAAGGTTCGGTTTGTGCAGAGTTCAAAACAGGCCAAGACTAATCCATGCTGTCCAAAGTTGGGGTGCTGGTTATCTTGGGGCATGACACCAAGCCCCAACCCTCGATGGCCAAAATGCAGTGGTGTGGGTTTGTGGTGTTTCTGCCATCTCTCTTAGAAGTGTGGGGAAAGTATTTCTCCTACCAAAGCTCTTGGTCCATGATCACAAAAGGTATCCAAATCGACTTACTCCTTTGCAGACAGAAACAGCCTCCTTGGACAAGGATTTTGGATAGGAAACGTTGTGCTCCATGATAGACTGAAATAGCTCGTCTTCATCTTCACCATCAAATGGAGGCTGTTCCGGAAAAAAAGAAAGATGGGAAAGTATTTAGGCAGAGTAATTCATTCACATGGTGCCTGAAGAGCCAATTCAGCACCAAGGAACAGACCAGGTTTCTCAGCCCCACCACAGGCTGCACAGTTTGCTCAGCTAACTTGACGGTTTATTTGATCATCTTTAATGAGATTGACGGTTGTGTGTTTTTCATTTTTTCCCCTCTGTCTCGTTAATTATCTTGCCCTGGGCAACCCAAACAATCTTTAGGGAAAGTGTTTTTGAGTAATGTTTTTAATGATTTGCAAATAAATTATGATTAATCCATTAATCTTGTAATTATGTGCTAAAAATCTAATTACGATCAAGTTAGGTTACAGATGGCTTTGTGGTCAGAAGGTGGGGGTGGCCGGTAGAAAATGCCAACACTTTCATTTGGGGTGAAGGGGACTTGAGAACGTGGCCTAAGAGGATGTTCCCAGTAATTCACACTGGGCCTCTGACCCAACAAGCAGCTGCTCTGAGGGAGGGCCTTCCAGCTGCACAGCAGCAGTGATGGGACCTTAGCTTCCATTGGACTCCTCCCTCATCCGCTTTGACTGGGTTTACAGTTACCAGGCTGAGAGAGGAAGGCACGGTGGCCCCGTGGGACCTTGTGGCTTTAGAGTCAGGTGGATCTGGACCAGAATTCTAGCTCTACTAACTTCCCAGCTGGGTGTCCACAGGCAAATGACTTCGTTCTTTAAAACACAGTTCTCCAGGCCGGGCGCGGTGGCTCACGCCTGTAATCCCAGCACTTTGGGAGGCCGAGGCGGGCGGATCACAAGGGCAGGTGATCGAGACCATCCTGGCTAACATGGTGAAACCCCGTCTCTACTAAAAATACAAAAAATTAGCCGGGCATGGTGGCGAGCGCCTGTAGTCCCAGCTACTGGGGAGGCTGAGGCAGGAGAATGGCCTGAACCTGGGAGGCGGGGCTTGCAGTGAGCTGAGATTGCACCACTGCACTCCAGCCTGGGTGACAGAGCGAGACTCCGTCTCAAAAACAAAAACAAAAACACAGTTCTCCAACTTGTAAGATGGGGTTTCTGGGAGTAAAGTGCCTTGTATTTTATGTTGTACCCAATAAGCGCCGAATGAAGGCAACTTAGCAGTATTATTATTTAAGACAGAGCAACTCTCTTGGGAGGGGCCTTGAGCACCTTCTAGGAGGAAAGGCTGAGCTCACAATGCCCTTTGAACTTTTTCCTCCAGCATGTCTGTAGTCCTGAGGGATCCATCACTTCCCGGTCACTCTGGCGGGATGGCACAGGAGGAAAGCGTTCATGGGAAATTCCGTAATGCTCCCCCTTTGGCTGCGTAACCTTGAGCTTAGCGTCAGAAAGGCAGAGCAAGGACCAGCGCTTGTACAGAATCCTCTTGTTTAATCTTGAGATGTTCCTTTCTCGTGGGAAAGAGGAGTCAGTCACTTTGGCTGACACGGGCAGGTCACACAGTGATGGTGTTTGGCTTAATTTTGAACTGAATCCTCGATCACAGGTAACTTCGCAGTAGTCAGAAGGATGCCCTTCTTATCAAACATTTTCTCCCAAGTCAGAGGCAGCCGTTGAGCCAAGTAGGTCCCTCCCCTCAACCACCACCCACAAATCACCTCAACCTGTTCATCCAACACCCGAGACCTGACCTCAGTCCCCTGCCCAGTCCTGGACAGGAGCCACGTGCCCTGAGGGAAAGATGCCAAGTCTACAGAGAGCCCCAGTGGGAGGACAGAGAGAGGCCTGGGTGTCTGGTACCACTCAACATTTTTTGGTCTGGAAATACAAATAAATAGGCCTCTTTTTCTGTTGTAAGTGCTTGGTGTAAGGAAGGTTCAATTTGGTGGAAGCTGCAGGTGGGTGAAGAGAGCTAAAATGAGCCTGCCTGTGAGGGACTCAGAACAGGGCAGGGGCAGCTGGCCACAGCAACTTCCACCAGCAGGAGCAACATGGAGCCTGAGAGGCCCCCAGGGCAGCTTGGGGGGGCACCCACCAGGGGGTGCAGGCTGCCGACGGCCACCTGTGTCAGCAGGGACAGCTACCTGTGCCATCAGGGGGACGTGTGGCTTTCATCTGTAGAGGGCAGGGCAGGCAGGCAGTGGTGGGGGAGAGCTGTGACGGAGCTACAGTGCAGGTCATCCTTGTGTCCACCCCACCGTATCTTCCCTGCCTAACAGCACGCAGCCTGCTTCTTCTGGACATCTATTTTATGATACCCATAACATTTCTCATTTTCCCTAATCAGTGATCCATAAACCTGGCTGAGTTTTGGCGAAGGAGATTTTCATAACTAAAACAAATGTAGTAGCTGGGCGTGGTGGCTCACGCCTGTAATCCCAGCACTTTGGGAGGCCAACGTGGGTGGATCACCTGAGGTCAGGAGTTCAAGACCAGCCTGGCCAACACAGCGAAACTTCATCTCTACTAAAAACACAAAAAATTAGCCGACTGTGGTGGCGCACGCCTGTAGTCCCAGCTCCTCGGGAGGCTGAGGCACGAGAATCACTTGAACCCAGGAGGCGGAAGTTGCACTGAGCTGAGATTGCGCTGCTGCACTCTAGCCTGGGAGACAGAGCAAGACTCTGTTTCCAAAACAAAAACATGGTGTGGTTTCTGCTGAGGGCGTGGCCTGCACCCTGCAGGGGCTCAAGGCTCCTGAACTGGCTGTGTGACCCTCTCTGCAATGTAAATGTGCCCTGGCAGGGAGCGGGGCAGAGGCTCTGCTTCCAGGTCACTGACTGGCACCTCACCACATGGCCCAAGAGGGCCTGTGGTCAGGGCCAGACACATACTTTCCAAGTCTCAGTGCAAAATGAAAACGGGAGTCCCTCATTGAAAAATTATTAAGAATTTCCAGATGCGACAGCGGAGCACCAAACCAAATGCACAGAGCTCTTGTGGGCTTGGGCCCTGTGCGACCGTGTAGGCTGCATGCCCCCGAAGCGGGCTAAATGGGGTGCACCTTGTTGGGCAGTGACAAAGGCGCCAGCAAGATTCAATCAGCCTCTCTGGAGGTGCTTGAATCTTAGCTGCAGGAACGCTGCAGGGGCCAAGTCACAGACAATGCAAACCAAAGGCCTAAGAGAAACGTTCTCTAAGGAACACAGGTGGAGCTTCCCCAGAAATCTGTCTTGAGTAGGGTAGTGAGAAGCTTCTCCTCATTTGAAGACGATTAGGTCAATGCAGCTGCAGCCACCCCACCTTCAAATGTGGAAGGCCAGGAATCGTTTGGGGAACATTCTGTGCAGGGCACTGGCCTACCACACCTACTTAATTGTCTCCTGGCATGGGAACCAGCTTTGCCAGGTGAGCTGTCCCCACGTATGCTCATTTCTGAAGGTGAATGGCTGTATCAGGGATTCGATTCTATAGATGAAAGGAGGACTTTTACTGTCAAGTCTTCTCTGGGCCCCACTGAAGGCTGGATACTGACACTCCCCAAAGAATATTCCTTAGAACATTAATCCTACAGCATCTTCCTGGGTCCAAGTTTGCATCCTCTACCCCTCTCTGGCAATTTGCTTTAACATTTAAATTGTACAGGCCCTGAGAAGTCCTGCAGTGAACAAAGCTGTTTAACTCAATGTGAATTCTTAGTCTAGGGCTGGAAGGATTCTCAGAGGCCTCTTAGGCTTGCCTGGTGGAATAAGATGCCCAAGCTGTAACAAAGCCACAAGACCAAACACCCGTGACAGAGCCTGTGCATTCCAGCCTTGATGTGGCCCCAAGGATTAGGGATTCTCTGTCACCACATGTCAGGGAGGGGACATGTCTCTGCTCCTCACGTTTTTCACCGCTGTGAGTCTATGTTACCCAATAAGGCAGGAGCATCGTGGGCATGAGGGTAGGAGCAGCGAAAGTGACCACAGTGGCGTTCATTTCTCAGCCTCTCTCTGCATGTCACGTGCTGTGCAGACGGCTTGGGTGGCACTGCTCACTCCGCAAATCAGTCTCAGGACACAGGTGCTAACCCAGGCATCCTGAATTTGGAGCCTGGGGCTCTTAGCCATTATGAGCAATTCCGCCTGCCCCACTGTGAAGGGTGACATCCAACACTGCTCCTGGTAGGGGTGAAGTGAGGCAGAGGGTACTCGGCTACAGCCCCACCCAGCATGTAAAGAAGACTCTAATGAGGGCAAGGGTGTTGGGGTAAATTTTAGAAGGCTGATTCACAGCCTGCACAATATGCAGTGATGAGTTCTGAAAATGAAGGGGGTGGGGCAGCCCTGGGGGCCTGAGATGTTTCAAGTCATCCCGTAGAGAGCGACTGGCCTCTGCGCTAGAGACCTGGCATGGTTTTCCAGCTCTAATGAATTGATGGGAATCAGGCTGCCTCCCTCCTTCCCAGCTGCTGGCCGATGCAGCTTCTGTGTTGCTTCCCCAAATTCCTGCTGGTTGAAGGTGGCATGAACCTGAAGAAGGTAAAAGGGGGCTGTTCTTGGGTATAGGGAAGAGGAGTAGTTAAGTGCCTCCTCCCAGCTTTGGAATACCATCAAATCAAAGGCATCCTTTTTCCTAGTCTGTTTCCTCTGTTGCAAAGATAGAGACTATTTTTTTTTTAATTGTGATAAAATATATATAACCTCTGTTGCAAAGATAGAGACTATTTTTTCTTAATTGTGATAAAATATATATAACACAGGCTGGGTGTG
This sequence comes from Homo sapiens, assembly GCF_000001405.40. Classification (NCBI taxonomy): domain Eukaryota; kingdom Metazoa; phylum Chordata; class Mammalia; order Primates; family Hominidae; genus Homo; species Homo sapiens. The sequence continues at coordinate 66,782,200 of NC_000017.11, read as the reverse complement.
GTGGCTCACACCTATAATCCCAGCACTTTGGGAGGCCGAGGTGGGCAGATCACAAGGTCAAGAGTTTGAGACCAGCCTGGCCAACATGGTGAAACCCCATCTCTACTAAAAATACAAAAATTAGCTGGACATGGTAGAGTGCGCCTGTAGTCCCTGCTACCTGGGAGGCTGAAGCAGGAGAATTGCTTGAACCCGGGAGGCAGAGGTTGCGGTGAGCCGAGATTGCACCACTGCACTCCAGCCTGGGCAACAGAGCAAGACTCTGTCACACTCACACTCACTCACACACACACACACACACACACACACACACTATATATATATATATATATCTCTCTCTCTCTCTCTCTCACAAAATTTACCATCTTAACCGCTTTTAAGTGCACTGTACTGTGGCATTAAGTACGTTCATGTTTCTCCGTAACCATCACCACTGGCCATCTCCAGAACTTTTTCATCTTCCCAACTGAAACTCCACTCACAAAAGAGACTCCCCATTCTCCTGTCCTCTCAGCCCCTGACAGCCACCATTCAACTTTCTGTTGCTATGATTTGACTACTCTAGGCATCTCATGTAAGTGGGGTGATACGATACACGTCCCTGTGACTGGCTTACTTCAAGATGTAGACTATTGGTATCTTAACTGTGCCTTCCGGTATCAGTAAGGATAGGCTGGGTCCTGCTGTGGAAACAAACAACCGAGACCATCTCCAAAGCATAAGACAACCCGTTTCACTTCCTGCTTATGCTACCTGTACGTTGAGGGTCAGAGAGGCCTCTGCTGGTTGCATTCGGGGACCCACCGGGATGGAGCAGCTGCCATCACAGTCTTGCTGCAGCAAAGGCTGGAGCAGCAGCTCTGCCATGTCTTGTACCTGCGCTTCCAGCCCCACCCTGGACACCTCCCCTCTGATCTCATTGGCCGGTGCTGGTCATATGTTGCTCCCTGACACCCCACAAATACACATGAGAAAGGAAGTACAATCCTACTGAGCCAGGAGGGAGGAAGACTGGGAGTACCTGGTGAATAGCAGTAATGACCAGCACATTCAGAAAAGCTCCCTGGAGCCCGTGTTTTATTTTTATATTTTTTATTTTTTTGAGATGGAGTCTCACTCGCTGGAGTGCAGTGGTGCGATCTCAGCTCACTGAAGCCTCTGCCTCCTGGGTTCAAGTGATTCTCTTGCCTCAGCCTCCTGAGTGGCTGGGATTACAGGTGCACGTCACCACGCCTGGCTAATTTTTTATATTTTTATTAGAGATGGAGTTTCACCATGTTGACCAGGCTGGTCTTGAACTCCTGACCTCAAGTGATCTGCCCGCCTTGGCCTCTCAAAGTGCTGGGATTACAGGTGTGTGTCACCACGCCTGGCCTGAAGCCCTATTTTAAACGAAAATTATGTAATATGGTGTGGAAGGGAAGTCTACGAAAAAAGCATCCCCATTCCCTTTACCTGGACACAAAAATTGCGCTTATTTTTATGTGGGTTCTTATGCTTTCTTATATTATTTTCTCTTTTTTTTGAGACTAAGTCTTGCCTGTCACCCAGGCTAGAGTGCAGTGGTGCGATCATGGCTCACTGCAACCTTCCGCCTCCCAGGTTCAAGCGATTCTCCCACCTCAGCCTCCTGAGTAGCTGGGATTACAGGTGTGCACCACCACGCCCAACTAATTTTTGTATTTTTAGTAGAGATGGGGTTTCACCATCTTGGCCAGGCTGGTCTACAAACTCCTGACCTCGTGATCCACCCACCTGGGCCTCCCAAAGTGCTGAGACTATAGGTGTGAACCACCGTACCCAGCCTCTTATATTATTTTCAAATTATGATGCATAATTTGGAGTTTTTTTGTTTTTCACCGACTGTTGCAAATACATTTTCTTTGTTGCTGCCAGTGTTCCCATGAGTTGAATGCCATTGAGGTGATGCGTCATCAGGACAGATCCACTGTTCCATGGCACATTTACAATTGCTTCCAGCATGTACCCTCATCACTAACGCTACTAGAGACACCTGTGCATATCATTGTTTTCTTCTCTGAATCACATCCCCATAATAACGTCCCAGGTGTGGCATCCTGCAGCCTAAAAAAATGTGAACACATTTACGGCCTTTGTTAAGTCTCTCTAGGCTCAAGTCTCCCTGGAGCATCTGACAGGTAATCACTCGCTCTCAGGCCCTGGCGTTGAAGGCAAGGGAACGGTGAAAAGTTACTAATTCTATTCCTTTTCCTTTCTGGTACTGCCAGCCACTTAGCCTGGGGACCATGGGGGTAACGTGTCACTCAGGTGCTTTAGTACATTACCATTTTGGATGCCTTCTCTCGCCTCTTTCCCCCATTCCCATGGTTTTTAATTTCTACAAATTTGGACTCAATGTTCCAGGCTAAGCTACCTGTTGAAAAGTCTTGGGTTGGTGTAAACATTTTCTGAATGGGTTCTATCCCCTCTCACCCGCTCCTTCCCACTTTAACAATATGTGATTTGTGGAAACCAACACATGAGGAGTGATGGTTCACATTTTGCAAAAAAGGATTCCTAATCACAGCTGTGAGCCACCTCACTGCACTGGTGTGATCTCAGCTAGGAAGTGGTCATGGAGGCCACGCTTATTTGCAAATCACGGAAACCTGGGCTGGGGGCTAGGCATGCTCCCCTGGACAATTCAGGCCGAAGTTAAGATGAAGTGGCGATTACTGATTCAGTAGGAGTGAAATCAAAGCATAAATAACCCAGGGAGAAAAGGGCATAAGGAGAGGGCTGGTCCCTTTATGACGATCACCGAGAACACTTGCAGGCACAAGGTGCTCATTAGAGTGCTGGGTAAACACTATTTATGCCCCAAAAGTGATTGTATTTGTCAAGCAGTCCAGGAACTGAATAAAGACTGAGGCTGTTTATTCTTAACTGCCCCCTTGGCTGCTGACAATAAATAAAGCAAATGAGAAGAAAATGGCAATAAACTATTTTTTTCCTGCTCATCTTCAGCCCTCTGCGATTAAAGAGGACAAACTTAGACCAAAACCCTGTCAACGACTTTATCATTAATCTTACTTTTCAATAACAACATCTATTCCGTTTGCTGGGTCTCTGGGATTGCTGAAGCTTGGAGGGGCTGTGGATAATACTGGGTAGAGCCTTCATTATCCTTTCTGAGCTGAGTGACAGCCTAGGAATACATTTAAATTTGCATTGAGGAGTCAGAGAGAAAGATGAAGAAGGGGATTTGAATGAAAACACTGTGTTTGAGGCGGGTGAGGTGGAGATTTAGAGGAACAAAGGCTGTTATCTGTGCCTGCCATTGCACCAGAATGTGGAGTGCCTTTAAGGAGTTGTTGTTTTTTTTTTTTTTTTTGGAGACAGGGTCTCACTCTCTCACCCAGGCTGGAGTGCAGTGGTGTGATGATCACAGCTCACTGCTAGCCTTGACCCCCCGGGCTCGATCAATCCTCCCACCTCAGCCTCCTACGTAGCTGGGATGACAGGCACTTGCCACCACGCCCAGCTCATTTTTGCATCTTTTGTAGACGGGATTTTGTCATGTTGCCCTGGTCTCGAACTCCTGGACTCAAGTGATCCACCCACCTTGGCCTCCCAAGGGCCCCAAAGGGATGAGCCACTGCACCTGGTCTAAGGTGTCATCTTTAAAGAATATCACCGTTTTCTTTTTTTCTTTTATTTTTTTGAGATGGAGTCTCGCTCTGTCGCCCAGGCTGCAGTGCAGTGGCGCGATCTCGGCTCACTGCAAGCTCCGCCTCCCGGGTTCACGCCATTCTCCTGCCTCAGCCTCCCGAGTAGCTGGGACTACAGGCGCCCGCCACCACACTCGGCTAATTTTTTTTTGCATTTTTAGTAGAGATGGGGTTTCACTGTGTTAGCCAGGATGGTCTCAATCTCCTGACCTCGTGATCCGCCCGCCTCGGCCTCCCGAAGTGCTGGGATTACAGGTGTGAGCCACCGGGCCCAGCCATCACCGTTTTTAATAGAGATGATGGAGACCTGAAAGTATGCATATAAGGCAGGCTAAGTGGCTCTGAGAAGCAGTGTGGGAAATATTGGAAACAGGCCAGAAAGTTTGCAGAACTATTGAGAGCTGGAGCCTGGTGCTCTCCAGGGGGCGTGAGCTTAGTAGGGAAACCTTTAAATAAGGCCTGTAAATCACCTCAGGCCAATTTGCAAATGAGGTCTGAGGCCAGTGTGGCAGAGCTTCAAAATGCACCCCCCAAAGGGGACTTCTCTGCCAGAAGAAAGCATTCCCTGAGTTCTCCCCTAGTGAATGAGATCCCAGGAAGGCTTGGAGAGGGGAGAAGCCAGGCTGCGGGAGGGAGGAGGACTTTCCTGCAGACCTGGGTTCTGAAATTCTTGTCTCCTGCTGGCCAAGAGTCTACTCACGTGACCTCTTGTAAAGCGCCCTCGGAAACAGATCCTGGCTTCGTTTCCGCCCAGCCCCTTTTGCATGTTAGCATATGCAAATGTGACTCTTAATGAAAGCAGGGTTTGTTTTCCAGACTCAAGAGCTGAACATTCAAGTGGGATCAAGAGGGGGACTTGGCTTTTTGTGACTTCATGAAAAGCAGGACTCTTAGGGGGCCTGTAATTCAGAGCCGAATTTTACTGTAAAAATTTTAAAGAGGGGGAAATTAACTTGAGGAGCAGACAACTCCTGTTTCTCCAGCCATTGACTCACTGATGGTGACTGTGTACGAACTGCCTTTCTGTGTTTACACCCGGACGTATTTGGCCTAAGAGGAATGCTTTGATTTGGGGTGGGGGGAGGGGAACTAAATAAATAATAAACCACTCTTTTGATGTCAGTCAAGCCTTAACACCATTGAGAAATAATGATCAAATGCAGGCTAAAGCTTTATGTCTTTCAATGTCTACAAGACCATTTCAGTATTTAGGAAATATAATGAAAGACACATAAAGGAGAGATCATCCACAGCCTCCCATCCTAGAGGCAAAGCCGCTGATCTGGAGATGACGTTCATGGTCACAGTGTTACAACAGGTGGCTGTTCGGACATGGGCAGGGCAGGAGAGGGCTCCCCCTACCCACCAGGAATGTCAGGCGACCATCAGGTGGTTAACTCTCTCTCTGTAAAATAATAATTGGTCGCAGCCAGCACCAAGGAAAGGCAGTCTCCCAATAAAGGGAAACACCTGAAACTGGTGAGCAGCAGCTTCCCAATAAGATTTCAGGAGTTGGGCGAGTGGGCTCAAGCACGCGCATGAAAAGGCAACATGGCGGAGTTTAACTGGTACACCACCTTCTAGGACATCTGACTGGTAAGGGAAGAATGCCTCAGCTGAGCACACACGTAACTCCAGTAAACACACTGCACATGCCGCCCCTCCCAAGCACTAGCAGGCCACTGCGCACGCAGACAGCCCAACCCAAGGGAAGAATCAGGGGAGAAGAGATGTAAGACCCTGGAAGAACACCAATGCATAAAACCCCAAGTCAAAAGTCAAAGAGTGCACTAGATCTCTCAAGTCGCCGGCTTGGCCCTCTTCCAAGTGTACTTTACTTCCTTTTGCTCCTGCTTGAAAGCTTTTCCATGAACTTTCATTCCTCTCTAAAACTTGTCTTAGGCCAGGTGCAGTGGCTCATGCCTGTAATCCCAGCACTTTGGGAGGCTGAGGCGGGTGGATCACGAGGTCAGGAGCTCAGGACCAGCCTGGCCAAGATGGTGAAACCCCGTCTTTACTAAAAATACAAAAATTAGCCAAGCGTGTTGGCAGGTGCCTGTAATCCCAGCTACTAAGGAGGCTGAGGCAGAAAATTGCTTGAACCTGGGAGGCGGAGGGTGCAGTGAGCTGAGATCGCGCCACCGACTCCAGCCTGGGCAACAGAGCAAAACTCCATCTCAAAAACAAAACAAAACAAAACAGAAACAGCTTGTCTTAGGCTCTCACTCTACCTGATGCCCCACAGTCAAATTCTTTCTTCTGAGGAGGCAAGAACTGAGGTTGCTGCAGCCTCATGGGGATGCACCACTGCTAACAACAGGATCCAGAGCCTCTTCCTCTCTGGCCTCAGGCCTCCTACTCCCTCCCTCTCTAGCTCAATTCTGCTCTAGCCCTGCTGGGAGCTTCCATTTCTTAAACGTGGCTGCACATTCCCTGGCCTTAGGGCCTTCGCGTGGTGGCTCCCTCTGCCTGGAATGCCCTTTCAACAGATATGCACACAGACAACCCCATACTTCCTTTAGGTCTTAACCTTATCCTCTCTGGCCAATTTCAACCTCCCCCAACACTATCTTCTTTCCTGCTTTATTACTTTTCTTCCTAGCTTACCTCTGCTGTGTTATACATTTTCCTTATCTAACCTGTCTGCTGTCTCTCCTCCTCTAAGCTGTAAGCTTCACGAAGTTAAGGATTCTCGTCTGTTTTGTTCATCCTTATGGCCATGCACATTGTAAGCATTCAGTGAATAAATACGTGGTGAGTGAATGAATAAATGAGTCAATGGACGTAACATGTGGGAAGGGAAGACTTTTTCCCCAGAAACAAAGATGTCTTTGGGGGTGGCTCTGTCGCACAGCATGGCCATCTCTTTCCATTGTCTCTGACTAAGGCTTCTGGCTATGGAGAGTCACAGGTCTTGGCACTAGCATGTGAGTGCTGGGAATTATAAAAAGCTGCCCACGGCAGAATCATGTTTAGTATAAGGCAGAGATCTGCTGGGTGATTACCAAGCCTGCTTCGTGATTACCAAGCCTGCTTCCCCTGCTGAGCTCTCAGATATGCTATACTTCCTGCCTCTTTGTGTCCCACTGGGGCCAAGTGGCCAGTGGAACCTAGGCAGAAGTGATACATGCCATTTCTAGGCCGGCCCCTAAGATATCCTATGTAACTGATCTGTGCTCGGCTGAAAGGAGGAGGAATTAGCGGAGAAATCTGAGACCCTAAAAGGTAGTAGGGCTGACGGACAGGAGAAACCTGTGTCCTTGAATGAACCTGTGGGTCAGTGCCCCACCCCCACATGGGACTTTGCCACGGAAGTGTCCTATGTGGGGGTGGGCACTGACCACAGGGTCATTCAAAGACTCAGGCTTCTCGCATCCATCAGCACCACCATCTTGTAGGGTCTCAGATTTCTCCACTAATTCCTCCTAATTTCAGCCTAGAGCATGAGGACAGTCATAAAGGATGTCTTAGGGGCCAGGCCTAGAAGTGGCAGATAGTACGATTCACCCTGATGACACAGATATTAAGGCCATTATATTAGAAAGTGCCATGTTAGGCAATAAGGCACATGGTTATCTGGTACATGTCACATCATAAGAGAAAGCTAATTTACCTTCCTTAACTGGATGTTCAGCCTCACTGGACTTCAGTGAAAATTACAACGAATTGCCAAGGGTGAGATAGGAGGAGATGGGGAGAAACTATTAAAACACTTCTTCAAGGTAACTGTCTTCTTCCTTAAATAATAATACTAATTACACACATTGGCAGCAGCTGGGGCAATCTTTGCAGACAAACTTGCAGGGAACCATATAACCCAACCCCAGTTTTAAGATACTGAAAACTTAGAGGCCACTGCTGTCATCAACGTGCACATTTTTTTCTTTTTTGAGACCGTCTCACTCTGTTGCCCAGGCTGCAGTGCAGTGGCACGATCTTGGCTCACTGCAGCCTCCGCCTCTCAGGCTTAAGCAATTCTCATGCCTCAGTAGCTCAAGTAGCTGAGTTTACAGATGTGCACCACCACGCCTGGCTAATTTTTGTATTTTTAGTAGAGATGGGGTTTCGCCATGTTGGCCAGGGTGGTCTCGAACTCCTGACCTCAGGCGATCCGCCTGCCTTGGCTTCTGAAAGTGCTGGGATTATAGCCATGAGCCACCGCGCCTGGCCAACATGTACATTTCATAACGTGAAACTGACACTGTCTACACTCCAGGTTGTAGCTTTCAATTTGGAGTTTCTATGACCAGAGATAATTTCTGTGCATACTGAACGTGATCCACTTTGAAGGGGGCGTTTCTCCCTCTTTCGCCTGGGTCAGGGAAGTCACGCCAACACCAGCTGCACTAAAACGTCAGGTCTTGCTCTCGAGGCCCAACCAGAGCTGAAGTATTCACATAACACAGCAATAAACAAACATGAAAATGTAGCAAAACATTACCTGCCCGGCAAGCATTTCATACAACAGGACGCCATAGGCCCACCAGTCCACAGATTTTCCATACGGCTGATAAGCGATTATCTGTGTGAAAACAAACACATCAATTACATTAGTGGTAAGTCCAATAGCCCCTGTCAGAACAGGTAAGTCAAGCAGGTAGGCATTTATACACTCAGTTCATGCAGATGAGGTGCTAAGATCTGTCTTTGATGTTACGCCAAGGGAAGAGGACCCTTCAAATCAGACACACGGAGAACTATCACCCCGTGATTCACTGCCCACGGCTGGTTTGGGGAATCTTGTTCTGAATCCACCTGGAGATGCCACAGCACTGTCTGAAGGTAGTTTTAATTATCCTCCCTGGCAGAAAGTATGTGGACACTGAGGTGGATTTAATTTTGAGAAAAAGCCAGAGGCCGGGTGCAGCAGCTCACACCTCTAATCCCAGCACTTTGGGAGGCTGAGGCAGGAAGATTGCTTGAGTCCAGGAGTTTGAAACCAGCTTGGGTGACATAGTAAGATCCTGTCTCTATTAAAAAAAATTTTTTTAATTAAAAAAAAAAAAAAAAAAAGGAAAAGCCAGAGGTCATTCAGAGTTTGAGTCTGACATATAAGATGATCAAACTATGTAACAGGGCTTTACTAAGAGTATAATAGTAAGGATGATGATAAGGAAACATTATAGTTTTCTTGTGTTGCACAGAGAAGTGCAATGATATACATTCAGTCTATTGAAAAACAGAAGTTTTAAAACACTTTTTAAAAGACATAAAATATAGTAAGCAAATATAGTATCTAGAGCCAACTGCAACAAAGAAAATTTGAAACAACTGGGAAAATTAAGATACAATCTGGATGTCAGATGATACTGAGGACTTACCATTCATTTTGTTAGGTGGCATAATGGTATGTTGACTAGTTAGAAAACATGTTTTCTGGCTGGGTGTGGTGGTGTGAGTCTGGAGTCCCAGCTACTTGGGAGGCTGAGGCAGGAGGATCACTTGAGCCCAGGAGTTTGAGGCTAGCCTGGGCAACGTAGCAAGACTCTGTCTCTTAAAAAGTAATAATACTATTAAAACATTTTTAAAGTGTGCTTATCAGTTAGAAATGAGTATATTTATGGGTGAAATAGAAAAGAGATAAAGTATTTATGGGTGAACTGACATATCTTAAATTAAAAAAAAACACTTCAATAAATGAGGTGGGAGAAAAATAAATGAAATGAGTTGGCAAATGCTGGCAGCTGTTGAAATTGGTGATGGGTCCACAGGGAGCTCATTCTACACTTCCTTCTACCTTTGTGGCTATCAGAAGTACTAGAATAATTCTATAACCTCCCTTCGTGGAAGGGAGTAACATGGATTTGAATTTCTAAGTATGGCAGGGCTTATTAAAACACTGGCTTCATTACCTCTCAGGTACGCTGTGTACCTGCTGCACACAATTCCCAGACCCATGGATCACATGCCAGGATTCAAGGTCAAGACACACTAACAGGTACTCAGCATAACCATTCTGCCATTTCGCTTACAACTTTTACTTTGAAATGTTCTGGGATTTTTTTTTTTTAATGGCCCAGAATGTCTAATTAAATGTCCTCGGACATAAAACTTTCTGCATGTCTGCCCACTTTCATTTCTTTAATGTATTACTAATATTTCTGCATGTAGGATGAGAAACACAAGCACCAACAGTTTAAGTGTGGGCAGTAACAAGGGTAAACAAGATTAGATCTGGCACCTTTGTAGCTCATTTCCTTGACAAGAAAATGATATAAACATAGGAACCTACAAGGAGTCTCTAATTTCTTTTACAACCTTTGTTCTGCACATTCTTTTCTGAAAACTTGGAAAATACACACATAAGAAACCCCAAGAAATGAGTCTCCAGTCTATTACCCGGGGATGATACATCTCATTCCAGTTCCCAGACAAAATTTTGCATCAAAGGAGTTGCATATTTTTATAACCTTTGATACAATGGTAAATTGCTCTCCCAAAAGGACTGGACTGAATTTATCTCCCTGATACCAATGTCATTATATTTTCCATTACCAGGTAAAACCATTCTGTTAAAAATAATCTTTTTGTGCTTTTAAAAAAAATTCCAGAAGCCATGCATGCTCATTAAAGAACAATTAGGAAGAAAATGAAAAGCTAAAGAAATAAGGAAGCGGCGGGCGTGGTGGCTCATGCCTGTAATCCCAGCACTTTGGGAGGCCAAGGCGGGTGGATCATGAGGGTCAAGAGATGGAGACCATCCTGGACAACATGGTAAAACCCTGTCTCTACTATAAATACAAAAATTAGCTGGGCATGGTGATGCCTGCCTGTAGTCCCAGCTACTTGGGAGGCTGAGGTAGGAGAATCGCTTGAACCCGGGAGGTGGAGGTTGCAATGAGCCAAGACTGCATACCACTGCACTCTAGCCTGGGCAAGAGAGCGAGACTCCGTCTCAAAAAAAATAAAAAAAAAGAAATAAGGAAGTAAAATTGTTTATGATCACTATCCAGAAATATTAATGTTATTTCCATATAAAACCTTTCCATATTTTTTTCTAGGTGTGATATGTGTGTACATATGCATTAAAAACTGAATTATGTGAGCCTGCTATTTTGTGGTCAGTTTGTTTATTTAATAATATATCATGAGTATCTTGGCAAGACCTTTGACTATTTCTGCAAAATAAATTCCTGTCAATAGAATTGGTGGGTCAAAATAAATGCTTCTAACTCAAAAGTAAAACTTTTTAAGACACATTGCTGGCCAGGGGCAGTGGCTCACGCCTGTAATTCCAGAACTTTGGGAAGCCGAGGTGGGTGGATTACTTCAGGTCAGGAGGTTGAGGCCAGCCTGGCCAACATGGTGAAACCCCGTTTCTACTAAAAATACAAAAAAGGTAGCCAGGTGTGGTGGTGCATGCCTGTAATCCCAGCTACTCGGGAGGCTGAGGCAGGAGAGTTGCTTCAACCCATGAGGCAGAGTATAGTGAGCCAAGATCGCCCCCACTGCACTCCAGCCTGGGCGACAGAGTGAGATGCTGTCTCAAAAAAAAAAAAAAAGACACATTGCCAGGTTACTCAAAACAGTAGCACGCTCACTCCCACCAGTAAACAAGTGCCCGTTTTCCAAATTCTCAAACTTCTGGCCTTAAGATTATCCCAGTTATCTTCCCAGACACGTGCATCTTCATCTAAGCCAGCCCAGCCTTTGGCAAGGAACTCCTCAAACTCATCGCCTTCACCAAGAGACCTAGGTCTACTGGCTGCTTTTTCTCTGACACTGCAACCCTCCACATCCACTACTTCCCAGATCAGCAGAAAAGTTGGAACCCTCACTCTTCCTTAACACAGCTGCTCCCATTGCTACTGCTGCCGTGGCAGACACTACCATAGGGCTAGAAACATTTAGACACGTACTTCTACCTGGATCAGAAAGAAGGTGCTATATTAATTTTAGGACTACGTTTAAGTCTTTAAAGGGGGCCAGTCAGGGGGCATTGCTGATCTTGGCTGGGTGCTTACACATCTGGGAGTCAGCTAAATGCTGGCTGATCTAGGCTGGTGCCATTGTAATCACTGGGCAATTCTGTTTCCGTTTGTTTTTTTGAAGTTAGAACAGAAAACACAGAACTGCTATACCATATAAAGACAGATTGACTATATAATTTCCCAATTGCCTAGATTAAAAAATTGTGAAAAACTTAAAATTAGCAAGTGTCTGAACAAATGTTTACATGGAAGATTTCCTACTCCAGCATTCTACTTTTAAACATCCTATCATATTACCTCCTATGGGAGACACTGCCATAGTATATTTAATAACTTTGTTTAATGAATAATGAATAAATAGATAAGTGACTGGATGCATGAATGAACAAATGAACTTACACATACTTGGATCTGCTTCTTGTCTTTCCATCTGTTTCTCTAGTGGCATTCTCTATTTCCTGCATCTGAACGGCAGAAGCTGTGCCAACTAGAAATGTATAAATCTGAGAGGAAATATAAAGTATTCCCAAGAATGGAAGCATTCCACCCATGGGAAACTCTGCTTATCCAGAAAAACCAGGGGGATAATTAAATGAGTGAATGTAAATGGATTTTGTTTGAAAACTGTAGGGTAGTAGGCAAACATCAAGCACTGCTATAATTTTGATCAAATGATAAGTCTCTTCCATTTATCTTAGTGGGAAATCTTCAATTAGTCAAAATGGAAAATATCATTTTAAAAAAGACTTGAATCAAAGGATTAACGAGCCCAACGATTTTCTTTGAAAAGGATCACAAGACCCAATGTCTTGGCTTAGGGCTGTTCTCTAAAATAATAGTCTAAGAAAATGTGACAAGGTTCCACAAACATAATTATTGTCTCACACACCTTGCTCCTATCAACACAGTCTTTGTAGAGCTGCAAATTATAAAATTAAAGAAAAACACACTCTGTGATGCTAGGTGGGAAATGTGGCTTTCCCCAACAAAATTTGCAAGGGAGAAAAGCTTGTGCAGCAGGCCACACTGTTCTCAAGATGGTCCTGGGGGACTAGAATGTTAAAGGATAAATGCATAGGAAAAAAATCAACATATTTGTAACTCAGCAGCTAGCTACTGAAGTACTTCTCTAACAGTTCAATCCAAAGCAAAGTATTAAACACAGGAAAATTAAGATCTGATTCATACTGGCTATTTGGCAATACTATTTTTTTTTTTTTTTGAGACAGTGTCTTGCTCTGCTGCCCAGGCTGGAAGGCAGTGGCATAATCATAGCTCAATGCAGCCTCAACTCCTGGGCTCAAGCAATCCTCCCACCCAGCCTCCTAAGTAGCTGGGACCACAGGCATGCACCACCACACCCAGATAATTTTTTAACAATTTTTTTAGAGACAGGATTTTGCTTTGTTGCATAGGTGTGTTGGGATTACAGGTATCAGCCACTATGCCCAGCCTGGAAATGCCTATTTTAACTGAAATGAGTTGTCCCTTCCACAGCCCGTCAGTCTAAAAGATCAAGAGCTGATTTATACACTGGATTCTCATTTCAAACTAACAAAAACAAAGCCATTTCCTTGAGAATAGTGGCAGTATCAAGTCTGCTTATCCATTCTCCACTTAGCACATGCTTAGTACACTTAACCTACACCCTTAAGCAAAGGAAAAAAATCCATTAAAACTGCTCGGCCAACTCCTGAAAGCCACTACTTACCTCCCAATATGGTTTGTGTCCATAAACCATATCGTGTCCCCACCCAAATCTCATCTCAAATTGCAATCCCCACCTGTTGGGGGAAGGTCCTGGAGGGAGGTGATTGGCTCATGGGGGCGGATTTCCCCTTGCTGTTCTCCATGATAGTGAGTGAATTCTCACAAGATCTGATGGTTTAAAAGTGTTTGGCGCTTCCCGCCTTGTTGTCTCTCTCTCTCTCCCCTGCTCCGCCATGGTAAGACATGCTTACTTCCCCTCTGCCTTCCGCCATGATTGTAAGTTTCCTGAGACCTCCTAGTCATGCTTCTTGTTAAGCTTCTTTACTTCGGAAATTACCCAGTATCAGGTAGTTCTTTATAGCAGTGTGAAAATGGACTAATTGCAGTGGGGGGATAATTTCACTTCAATTCCAGTGGTGTAAAACCTAGGTTAATGATAAAGATAAACCTACCCCAGAAAGCAAACTTAAAAATGAATAGGGGAAAGGCACAGTGGCTCATGCCTGTAATCCCAGTAGCTCGGGAGGCCGAGGCAAGAGGATCACTTGAGTCCAGGAATTGGAGACCAGCTTGGGCAACATAGCAAGACCCTAATCTCTCCCCCCCAAAAAAAAAAAAAAAAATGGCTGGGCATGGTGGCTCACGCTTGTAATCCCAGCACTTTGGGCGGCCCAGGCGGGCGGATCACTTGAGGTCAGGAGTTTGGGACCGGAGTGGCCAACATGGTGAAACTCTGTCTCTACTAAAAATACAAAAATTAGCTGGGTCCGGTGGCACACACCTGTAATCCCAGCTACTCAGGAGGCTGAGGCAGGAAAATGGGAGGCAGAGTTTACAGCGAGCTGAGATTGTGCCACTGTACTCTAGACTGGGCAACAGAGTAAGACTTCATCTCAAAACAAAACAAAACAAGTCAGTGGGAAGACGCTTAATAGGCTATCATATTGCCATATCAGAGAATAAATTAGAATGATAGGAGCAAACCTTCAGCATCAGATAGTATTCCCCAAACAGCCCATGTGCTCCCCTACATTTCATAATCTCCTCTGCTTTGGAGCCACATGACTAGTTCTGGCCAATGGACAGGGAGAGGAAGTGATGTTGCCCTTTTGGGTTGAGGCAATTAAAAGCCCATTTGCCTCCTGTCACTGTGATTCTAGGGGCCACCTGTTCCAGATGGCTCAGTTGCAAGATGGAGGAGGGTTGCCTGATTTGCATCAGACTGTGTGTGAGCAGTAAGGAAATATTGGTTGTGTTAAGCCACTGAGATTTCAGGGATTGCTGTGGCAGCAAGAGTTGTCCATTCTAAAAACTTCCTCCTTCATGTAAGTGAATCACACAATCTCAGCTTTTCTACAAATCCTGTCCTGACCAAGTAGAAGGGCAACAGAAATTCTCTTTGGGTGAGTGAAAATCCACCTTCTGGGCACCAAATGCAGGTTGTACCCACTACACACATCTTGTGTAATCTGATGATGCAGAGTTGTTATTACAGTCCGTCTTCACTCCGTACCAGCAGTAAGTTCTTGGAAACTGTGATTTTAAGCAAAACAACATACAGCAGGTCCTCAAATAACATCATTTCCTTATAATGCTGATGAGGGAGAAAAACCTAGTTTTGTTATACATCATTTCACTTGAAGTCACAGTTTCCAAGAACCTATCGATAATGTTAAGTGAGGTCTTACTGTATATTCTCATTTTATAGGGAGAAAATAGGTTCTCTAAGTTTAAAGACTTGCTCAAAGCCAATCAATTAATATGTGGAACTGAATACTGACACATTTATTTTAAAGATATAATTTTATCTTTTCAATGTATTTTCAAATACATTGATACTGGGATTAATGAAATATTAATCAAAGGGCCCAGAGGATTAAGATGATTTATTGGAAAGCATCATTTCAGTTGTTTTAAGTAACTATATTTCAAAAGCACTTGAATAAAATTTGCTCTTGTAACTATGTTAAACTATGTTTAACTTGGTTAAAGCCAGTCCCCACCATCTGTGTATGTTATGTTACTTGGTGTTTCATTAAATTTTTTTTTTTTTTTTTTTGAGAAGGAGTTTCGCTTTTGTTACCCAGGCTGGAGTGCAATGGTGCAATCTCTGCTCACTGCAACCTCTGCCTCCCGGGTTCAAGCAATTCTTCTGCCCCAGCCTCCTGAGTAGCTGGAATTATAGACTCCCACCACCATGCCCAGCTAATTTTTGTATTTTTAGTAGAGACAGGGTTTTGCCATGTTGCCCAGACTGGTCTCGAACTCCTGACCTCAGGTGATCCACCTGCCTTGGCCTCCCAAAGTGAGTTTGTTTTTAACAGTGGCAGGGCTGAAGCAACAGTGTTGCTGTGTGTATCAGGTAAAGGATCAGTGAGGGCTGAACAAAGGAGGTTATACTTTGTTTCCTATCCTATATTCTACAAATATCTGAGCAGTCTTGCCAACCACATCTCTCTGCTTGGGTGATGGAAACTGATGTCCGAATTGGAAAGCCATCAACAGGCAAGGGTGTGGGAGCCCTGTTTCTGGTCAGAAGGATTCATGAATCCTAAAGGCCATGGCCACCTGATTGGTTTTGCTTTAAGTTCTACAACAAGTTGGCTCCCAGCTGGCTCTTCATTTTCTATTTCCAAGGCATTAAATTCCCATGACTCCTTCTGATAACACGCTCTCCTTCCTCCAAGGCTTACCAAAAGCAGAATGCCAAGCGCCAAGGCTCGTTTTTCTCGTGACAGCACTCATCCTCATCAGCCGCATAGAGCCCGCCTGCTCAGCCACTGGGCCAAGATTACAAAGTCACTCTGAACACTGCAGTGCCTTCAATTGTAACAATAGGATGGGGTTTAGAATCTAGCCAGAGCATTTTTTCCCAGAGAAACGTGTCACCTTTGGCTTGTTGTGTACCAGATAACACGGGAGGTCCTGAAGATCTCAGTTACAGGTATAGGGCACAACCTCACCGCTGCAAATTCATTTTTGGAATAAAGCATATCTTTCTCTCAATGAGCAGTTGTGGTTAATAAATACCTCTGGTTAACCAAAGCCTCACTGTAAAAGGGAAAATAGTGTTAGAGAGCCCCACTGGAAGATAAACATTCAGATACACACGACTTAGGATGTTGGCTATACTGTCCCTATTCAGCTGTCTAGAGCCACTATCCAATACAGTGGCCACTGGCCACTTGTGGTTTCTGAGCAGATGAAATGTGGCTAGTCCAAACTGAGATGTGCTGTAGGTGTGAAATCCACATCATATTTTGAAGACTTAGTATAAAAAATGCAAAATAGCTCATATATATATATATATAAAGACATATATATATAAAGACATATATATATAAAGACAAATATAAAGACATATATATATAAAGACAAATATATATATATGGACAAATATGTATATATATGGATATATATATATATATATATATATATATATATATATAGACAAAGTCTTGCTCTGTCGACCAGGCCGGAATGCAGTGACACGATGACACGATCTCGGCTCACTGCAACCTCTGCCTCCCAGGTTCAAGCGATTCTCCCGCCTCAGTCTCCCGAGTAGCTGGGATTATAGGCACCCATCATTATGCCTGGCTAATTTTTATATTTTTGTAGAGATGGGGTTTCACCATGTTGGCCAGGATGGTCTTGAACTCCTGATCTCAGGTGATCTGCCTGCCTCGGCCTCCCAAAGCGCTGGGATTACAGGCGTGAGCCACCATGCCTGGCCTTCATTAAATGTTTTTATTAATAAATTAACTTCATCTGTTTCCTTTCCAACTTGTTAAAAACTTGGCTGCTAAACGCAGTTTCGGCTTGTATTTTACTTTTGTTGGACAGTGCTGGCTGAGACCCTCTGAATTCCACCGGCTCCTATGGCCCATTCTGGTTCTCTGGCTCTCATTGGTCTAGGGAGCCAGCTTTGGGCTGAGGACCAGGCTCAGAGACCATGGAATGGATGAGGAGACTCTCTTGTCTGTCCCCTATGGGGATAGGAGCAGGTGTCTCTGGCACTTGTGGGCCAATGTGGGCTTACAGCCAAGCCCAGGGCTGCCTGATATCCTGAAGCCCCAGGCAAGGGGCTGTGACGCCAATCTGGTTTCCCATAATGGAGAAACTCACAAAAGGAGAGGCAGAGTTGGCAAGAAGGGCTAGAGCTGGCGGATTTCCCTGCTGCACATGGGAGGTTGAGCTGTGGCTTCAAAGACAGACCCCCAACAAGGCCACTGTCATTCAATTTTACTGCTATTTGTCATTTAGATCATTATTATTATACTTACAAGAGCCAACTGCTTGGGGGAATGTCAGGATGTTACAAATGGCTGCCTGTCTTGTAAAAGTGAGATATGAATGAGCTTTCTTCCAGCCCGGGCACAGGACCAGGGCATGAAAGGGACCAGGGGGTAGCTTCTTGTCTTGTACAAGGCCAAGGGCCTGCAGCAGCTGGAAGGATGTCACTCCAAGGCCACCCAGCCTTCCACTCTCTACCAGGGCTTCACATTCAAATGCCTCCCAGAGAGGATGGGACTCCAGGAGCTTTCTAACTTCTGAAATCTCCAGCCTGGGAGAGCTTGAGGACGGCACAGGAAGGTTTTAGATGCCACTGGCAATATTGACAGTAGCTGTAACCAACATCACCACAGTAGGCATGTGCCGAGAGCCAGGCTCTTTAGCTCTGAAGCTCACCTAATCCTCATAAGGCCCATTGCAAAGGTGAGGAAATAAGGTACAGAGAGACACAGTAGCTTGTCCAATGTTACAGAGCTTGCAAGCAGCAACGCTTGGATTAGAACCCTGGTCATCGGCTTTGGCATCCATACTTCTGACCCTTTTTCTATACTGAAGGCCTTGATCCAGTGGGGTTCCCTAGACAGCTATGGTGGGTACTCGCCCAGTTTACATGAGTCCTGCTGAAAAGGGGCCCAAATGCTTAACAGGATCAAAACAGCCAAGATGCCTCCTTCACTCAGGAGCTCTTGGCTCTAAAGGCTTTTTCTTGAAGGAACCCACGGACCTATAAAGTACGTGTGTGGAGATTCACTCTCCTGTTCTCGGCTGCACTTGAACTGGGATTTCACTCTTCATTTTTGTGCTGTATGTATACAGCAAACCCCTAGAGCCCAATCTTAAATAAAAGGCCTGGCCACAAAAGCCTCTTCCCAAGCTGTCATTACAAAATAACGGTGGCCTTTATGCATAAAACACACTCAAGTCCTTTTACTGTTTCAGGGAAACAAAGAATATCCTTTCTTTTTCAAAAAACAAAAACATTTTGATGGAAAAATTACATTTGTTTTGAAAAACATCATCCATTCCCAAGGATAGAACACAGGACCCCAGAGGCACTCTTTACATGTAACATGGTCAAAGCACTGTCTGACGCGTCCAAACAGCACCATTTGGAAAGAAAGAAGACAGGCCTGAACGTTTTCTGGGTGTTCTGATCTGACAGCTGGGATCTTGGGTTTGATAACTGTCTCCTCCACTTGCTACTGTGGGACCCACAACTCCTGGAGCCTTTGTCATGTCTACTGAGACTGTCTGCCCCTACTCAACCCAGACTTCTCCCTGGTTGGGGCTGGGCCATCCACTTCTGTACCCAGCACCAGGACCTCAGGCACGGGGCAGACACAAGGTTGTGTTGGAGAAGTAGTGGATCTGATCCAAGACCACTCCATAGACACTGCCTACCTCTAAAGTGCAAAATCAAAAGGGCTGTTAGAATTGCTGGATTGCTAAGTCTGGAGGGATGATTTAGAAAAATGTTTTCAAGCTGGGCACAGTGGCTCATGCCTGTAATCCCAGCACTTTGGGAGGCCAAGGCGATAGGATCACTTGAGGTCAGGAGTTCAAGACCAGCCTGGCCAACATGGTGAAACTCTGTCTCTACTAAAAATACAAAAATCAGCTGGACGTGGTGGCACATGCCTGTGATTCCAGCTACTTGGGAGGCTGAGGCAGGAGAATCGCTTGAACCCGGGAGGTAGAGGTTGCAGGGAGCCATGATGCACTGCACTCCGGCCTGGGTAAGAGAGTGAGACTCCGTCTAAAACAAATTAAAATAAAATAAAAAAGGTGTTTTCAGGGTTCTGAAGAGGCTCCTGAGGCTCAAAGTGGCACAGTGGCTTGCTGAGGTCATTGGGCTGGTTAACAGCAAGGTCAGGAAGAGAGAGGCCTCAGGTCTCCTGACCGTGTCCTCTTTCTAAAGCATCAGAACAGAGACCAGAGCGTCATAAACAGAAAGCCCCGCAGCAGGGGAGAAGTGAAACACCCCCAGCTCTCAATCGAGATACTTCCTAATTAAACTCCTTTCCAATGGCATAGCCAAAGCTCAGAATACAAGCGGGAAGCAGAATGAGGTGAGAGAGCTCCGAACCCAACTGCTGGAGGCCAGGAGCTGTGTGACTTTGGGCAAGTTGGTTAGCCTCTCTGAGCCTCCATTTCCTCAGCTGTGATCTTGGGATTTCAGCACCCACCTGACAAGCAGGTGGTGGGGATTAAATGGCATTATGTGTATTAAAATGTGCTTACTGCAGCTGAGTATACATAACTCCATACTGCCTAACATTAGAAATAAGAACTGGCCTACCAGAAATAAGCAGGTGGGTGAAAGTTATTCAAGGAAATAAACTAAACTTGGCTCAGAGGGGGACAGAGGAAACATTTTGGTATATGTTAAACACTCAAATGATTGTTGGCACCTGAAAATTCTTAAGCGACAATAAACCTTCCATTCGTTCTTTCAGCAAATATTAATTTACTGTGTACCAGACATAGTAAATCAGAAGTGAATCAGTTACAGAAGTGAATCAAACAGATTTTTAAAAATCTCCCCTTAGGCAATTAAATTGATTTTTTACTGGAGCAGCAAAACTTCAGGCTTCTCTGTTTTCTTATGGTATTAGGACACCCTCCTTGGCCCTCTCCTTTGCTCACTCCCACTGAGTATGGCTGACTGTACATTTCTATGGGTTGGGCACTCTGCTAGGTATCACAGATTACCAAACTAACTGGGATAACAGACAAATACGCTAAGATACGATATCCAAGATCAAGGATCTTACTATGTCACATGGGAAATGACTACAATATTTGAAATCCTTGGACAAAGTGCATTATATAAAAAAAAAAGAAAACTGGCCGGGCACAGTGGCTCACATTTGTAATCCCAGCACTTTGGGAGGCCGAGGTGGGCAGATTACTTGAGGTCAGGAGTTCAAGACCAGCCTGTCCAAAAATTAGCCGGGTGTGGTGGTAAGTGCCTGTAATCCCAGCTGCTCGGGAGGCTGGGGCATGAGAATTGCTTGAACCTGGGAGGTAGAGGTTGCAGTGAGCCAAGATCGTGCCACTGCACTTTAGCCTGGGCAACAGAGCGAGACTCCATCTCAACAACAACCACCGCCAAATAAATAAGTAAAGAAAAATAAAGAAAATTACCACAAGATTAAAAACAAAGAGTCTAGAGTCCAAACTATGTATCTTTTTTTTTTTTTGAGACGGAGTCTTGCTCTGTCACCAGGCTGGAGTGCAGTGGCGTGATCTTGGCTCACTGCAACCTCTGCCTCCCGAGTTCAAGTGATTCTCCTGCCTCAGGCTCCTGAGTAGCTAGGACCACAGGCACACGCCACCACACCCGGCTAATTTTTGTATTTTTAGTAGAGACTGAGTTTCACCATGTTGGCCAGGATGGTCTCAATCTCCTGACCTTGTGATCCGCCCACCTCGGCCTCCCAAAGTGTTGGGATTACAGGTGTGAGCCACTGCGCCCAGCCTATGTATTTTCTATTTAGACAAAAATTGTGGCTCTATGTACAATTGGAGAAAACAGAAAATGATCTCTCTAATAGTAATTACACCAATGAAAGTGCTTTAAAATCTATTTAGAGTAGCCACCCTTTTTTACCTCCCTGTAAGAATGGGAAGCAAACAGCAGAACAGCCTAAGTACCCCTCCCAAAAAAGGTCAGAAGAGGATCAAATGAAAGCAGTGTTTGCAATTGTTTATACTGGCTGCAAACAGAAGCTAATTCCTACTATACATGTTGGATTCAACTTGCTAATATTTTGTTGAGGATTTTTGCATCTATGTTCATGAGAGGTATTAGTCTGTAGTTTTCCATGCTGGTGTTTGTTTATCATCCTTTAACATCCATGGGATCTGTAGTGATGTCCTCTTTCATTTATTAGTAACTTGTGCTCTCTCTTTTTCTTAATTTGACTTGAGGCTTATCAATTTTATTGATGTTTTCAAAGAACTTCCTTTTGGGTTTGTTGACTTTCCCTGTTTTCTATTTTCTATTTCATTGGCTTCTGCTCTAGTTTTTATTTTCTTTTGCTGACTGTGGATTTAATTTGCTCTTCTTTCTCTAGCTTCCTAAGATGGAAGCTTAGGTGGTTGATTTTAGATCTTTCTTCTTTTCTAATATATGAATTCAATACTATAAGTTTCCTAAGCCCTGCTTTAATTGCACCGTATAACATTTGATAAGTCGTATCTACGTTTTCATTTATTTAACAATATTTTAAAATTTCCTTTTAGATTTCTTCTTAGACCCACACTATTTAGAAGGGTTCTTTAATCTTCAAGTATTTTGGAATTTTCTAGCTATCTTTGTTATTGATTTTTAGTTTAGGTCTATTGTGGTCTGAGAGAAGACACTGCATGGTTTCTATTATTTTCAGTTTGTTAAGGTGTGTTTTACAGCACAGAATGTGGTCTATATTGGTGAATGTTCTATGTGAGCTTGTGAAGAATGTATGTTATTCTGCTGTTGTTGGATGAAGTAGAGTCTACAGGACAGTATTGCTGAGTTCAACTCCGTCCCTACTGATTCTCTCCTTGCGGGATATGTCTATTTCTGATAGAGGGGCACTGAAGCCTTCAAATAAAATAGTGGATTCATGTATTTCTACCTGCAGTTCTATCATGTTTGGCCGTATGTATTTCAATGCTCTGCTGTCAGACGCACACATTAACAACTGCTATGTTTTCTTGGAGACTTGACCCCTTTATCATTATGTAATGCCCTTCCATGATAACTCTCCTTGCTCTGAGGTCTGCTCTAGCTGCAATTAATATAGTGACTCCTAATTTCTTTGATTAGTATTAGCATGATATATCTTTTATATCCACTTACTTTTAATCTACATGTCTTTATACTTAAAGTGGATTTCTTGCATAGAGTTAAGTCTTGTTTTTTGATCTAGTCTGGCAATCTTCTAATTGCTGCATTTAGACCAATGACTTTGAAAGTTATTTGTGATATAACTGGATTAATCACTGCTATATTTGTTATTGTCTTCTATTTGTGGCCCTTGTCCATTTTTTTTTTTTTGTCTCCCACTCTTTTTCTGCCTCTTGCGGGTTTAGCTGAGCATTTCATATGATTCCATTGTTTCTTTTCTTAGCATATCAGTGACTTCCTTTTTTCCTTTTCTTAGTGGTTGCCCTAGAATATGCAATATATATTTACAACGAAACCAAGTCTACTTTCTTTTTTTTTTTTTGAGACGGAGTCTCGCTCTGTCACCCAGGCTGGAGTGCAGTGGCGCCATCTTGGCTCACTGCAAGCTCTGCCTCCCGGGTTCACGCCATTCTCCTGCCTCAGCCTCCCGAGTACCTGGGACTACAGGTGCCCGCCACCACGCCCGGCTAATTTTTTTTGTATTTTTATTAGAGATGGGGTTTCACCTTGTTAGCCAGGATGGTCTCAATCTCCTGACCTTGTAATCCGCCCGCCTCGGCCTCCCAAAGTGCTAGGATTACAGGCATGAGCCACCACGCCCAGCCCAAGTCTACTTTCAAATAACACTGTAACACTTCATGCATAGTGAAAGTAGCTATGATAACAAAATAATCCTAATTCTTCCCTCTTATCCCTTCTATCACTGCTCTCGTTCATTTCACTTATACATAGGATATGCACACACACTAGAATATGTTATTATTTTGAAAAAAACTCATGTTAGATCAAGAATACTAAAAGTATTTTACTTTCACCTATACCTTCTCTGATGCTCTTGTTAGTTTTTATTTCATAATCATAAACTTAACTCTGCAATTCAGCTAGGCATGGAAGGGAATAAGGAAAATATGGAACCCAAGGAACTGCAGCAAGAGCACAAAGATGAGAGGCTACTGCGAGCGAATGGGGTGGAGGGGTGCTCTCCTGAGCTAAGGAAGGAATGTCTGGTGGTTAAGATAGAACATGAGTCAAATTTATTAAGAGTCGTCCACAGTCAGCAATGATGAGCTTCTTGCTGGCCTTGGCATTCTTGGACCCAAAGTGCTCCATGGTTTCCACGATATTCTCTTCACCTTGCCAAAGACCACATGCATGCCACTCTGCCATTCAACCACTCAGCCTTGGCAGTGCAGATGAGAAACTGGGGACCATCTGTATTGTGTCTAACATTTGCCATGGACAAGATGCCAGGACCTGTATGCTTCAGGATGAAGTGCTCACCATCAAATTTCTTCCCGTAGATCAAATTTCTTTCTTGATACCAGTAAATTTTCTTGGAAATTTGATGGTGTGTGAAGTAACCACTCTGACACACAAACCCTGGCATGATTCTGTGAAAGCAAAGAGCCCTTATAACCAAATCATTTCTCTCCAGTGCTCAGAGCACAAAAATTTTCTGCTGTTTTTGGAATGTAGTCTGCAAACAGCTTGAAAGAGATGCGGCCTCATGTTGAAGAACACAGTGGGGCTGCCCACGGCTGGTGCAGGGGGCTATGGGTGGTGGCAGCATCTGCAAAGCCTGCCCTTCCTTGCCCCATGGAGATCCAAGTTTCTGACCTATGTCACTTTCCTTCTCTCTAAAGAACTTCTTTTGGCCGGGCGCAGTGGCTCACGCCTGTAATCCCAGCACTTTGGAAGGCTGATGCGGGTGGATCACGAGGTCAGGAGATCGAGACCATCCTGGCTAACACAGTGAAACCCTGTCTTTACTAAAAATACAAAAACATTAGCCAGGCATGGTGGTGGGCACCTGTAGTCCCAGCTACTCGAGAGGCTGAGGCAGGAGAATGGTATGAACCTGGGAGGCGGAGCTTGCAGTGAGCCGAGATGGCGCCACTGCACTCCAGCCTGGGGGACAGAGCAAGACTACATCTCAAGAAAAACCCAAAAAACAAAAAAAATTCTTTTAACATT
This sequence comes from Homo sapiens, assembly GCF_000001405.40. Classification (NCBI taxonomy): domain Eukaryota; kingdom Metazoa; phylum Chordata; class Mammalia; order Primates; family Hominidae; genus Homo; species Homo sapiens. The sequence continues at coordinate 66,757,703 of NC_000017.11, read as the reverse complement.
TCTTGCCAGGCTGGTCTACTGGCAACACATTTCCTTTGTTTTTGTCTGAGAAAGTCTTTATTTCTCCTTCCCTTTTGAAGGACAATTTTGCAGGGTACACAATTCTAGGTTCGTTTTTTTTTTTTTTTTTTTCCTCCCAAAGCTTTAAATATTTCACTCTACTGTCTTTGCCCTTCTTTAGGTAACGTGTTGCTTTCCCCGCTCTGGGCTTCCCTCAGAATTCTTTGATTTTCTGCAGTTTGAATATGATATGCCTAGCTTTTTGTTTTGTTTGAGCATTTGTCCTACTTTGTGTCATTTGAGCTTCCTGGATCTGTGATTTGGTGTCTGACATTAATTCAGGGGACATTCTCTGTCCCAATTGCTTCAAACATTCCTTGTTTCTTTCTCTCTTACGTCTCCTTCCAGTGTTCCCAGGGCATATATCTTTTGTAGCTGTCCCACAGTTCTTGGATAGTCTGTTCCATTTTTTTTTTTTTTTCAGTCTTTGCTTTTCCGTTTTGGAAGTTTTTACTGCCATATCCTCAGGCTCAGTCACCCCAGACTCAGCTGTGTCCAGTCTACAGATGAGCCCATCAAAGGCATTCTTCATTTCTGCTCCAGTATTTCCGATCTCTAGCATCTTTTCTTTCTTGGAATTTCTCTCTGCTTAACACTGCCCATCTGTTCTTGCATGCTGTCTACTTTTTTCCACTAAAGCCCTTAGCAAATTAATCATAGTTTAAAAAAATTCCTGGTTATGGCCAGGCACGGTGGCTCACGCCTGTAATCCCAGCACTCTGGGAGACTGAGGCAGGCGGAACACTTGAGGTCAGGAGTTCAAGACCAGCCTGGGCAACATGGTGAAACCCTGTCTCTACTAAAAATACAAAAAATTAGCTGGGCATGGTGGCTCATGCCTGTAATCCCAGCTACTTGGGAAGCTGAGGCCGGAGACTCGCTTGAACCCAGGAGGCGGAGGTTGCAGTGAGCTGAGATCATGCTACTGGACTCCAGCCTGGGTGACAGAGCAAGACTCCATCTCCAAAACAAAAAAAAACCCAAAAACCAAAAAACAAAACTCCTGGTTATCATTCCAACATCCTTGCCACATTTGAGTCTGCATCTGATGCTTGCTTCATCTCTTCAAATTGCTTTCTTTTTTTTTTGCCATTTAGTGTGCTGTAATTGTTTTCTTGAGGGCTGGACATGGCACACTGGGTGAAAGGAACTGTAGTACATGAACCTTTAGTGATGTGGTGGTGAGGTGTGGAGAGGGGAAGTGTGCTACGGTCCGACGATGAGGTCTCTGTCTTGTGGGGAGCCTGTGCCTGTGGATTGTGACCTTCACAAGTGCTTCTTGGTCTCCCCCCTCTCCTCTTGGGTGGGAGAGGATGGGTGGAAGGGATTGGAATCGGGGATGTCCCTTCTTCTAGGTAGGTTAGGGTCTGATAAAACCCCAGGAGATTAAGCTCACATTAGCGTCTCCTGAGGGAAGCCCTTGTTAAGAAGAACGGGATGCTCTGGCATATTTCACAATGGTTATTACTTTTCTCCTCTCCCTGCCAGAAGCATGAGGCGATTTTTCTCCAGCATTCACTGTGAGGACCCGGCAGCGCTTCCTGAGGGAAAACTCCAAAACGCGTGGAGCCCCCGTGACTGATTCTCAGACTTGTCCACACTTAGCCTCCAGCAATTTGCCGATTACGGATCAGGTTTTTGCACCCCAGCACTAGTAGCCAGGGAGGTTTCTGTTCTGGTAAGTTGTAATTATCTGTATCTGCCTGTCTGTCTAATTTTGGGGACAGTGGTTTGCCCTGTTACCTCATTTTTCCAATGGCTCTAGGGAGGCGAGAATTCTACCACTCAACCACCAATGCTGGTGCACTGGTCAGGAAATGAACCCAGGTCTCCCACGTGGGAGGCGCCAATGGCTCTAGGAAGAATTGTTGATTTTCCAGTCCAGCTTTTCACTTGTCAGGATGGAACGATGACGTCTAAGCTCCTAACATGCTGGACTGGAAACCAGAAGTCTGTACTTTTTCTGTGCAGAAAAGAACTGTACAATACTGGCTTGCAAGGTGCCTGGAAACAATTCAAGGCTGGGTGAGACAGCCCTGGGTGCTCAGCAAACACAAAGAACTGAAAAGGTGTTTGACTAAAAGAACAACCTTCAATAAAATAAGCCATAAGAAAAGACAAACACTTCACCAGTGGTGTCTCGCCCGCAAATAATGCCAGGCAGTGGGGTTCAGCGGTCTCCTGGGCTTTGGGCCAGGAAGCCAGGAGCGTGAAGTGGCCCCAGGACACCTGAATCATGTGTGATGAGGCGGTTATTAAGGAGGCGTGACTGGACTAACCTTCTGAAGGAGCCATAAATAAAACTCTGAATAAAGTGCTGGGCTTTTGATCTGGCAGAAAGGTGTTCTCCCCACCGCCACCCCATGCCGCGCTTCTCCAAGTCTGGAATGTGCACTGGGGGGGCGTGGGGTGCGATTTTCTGCGATCCTCAGAGGAGGCACTGACAATACTGGGTCAGGTGGTGGGAGGCAGCACCGTTTCAAGTCTTCATGGAATGCTTCCAAGGAAGCTCTTGTTTGGGATGAATCTCTTTTTAGCTCTTCGGTAAGGCTAGCTGATCCTGGCAGAAATCGGGAAGGTGACTGTGGAGCGACTGGGTCTAGAAAAACATTATCTAATTGAGTTGGGTCACCCGACCTTGGAATTGCATCCCCCGCCGCCAAATCCGTGTGCTGAAGCCCTAACCCCCAGTGTGACTGTTCTGTAGAGGTAAGGCCTTGAGGGAGGTAATTAGGGGAGAATGAACTCATCAAGGTGGGGCCCTGATCTGACAGGTGCAATTCCGTCCTTAGCATTTCCCAAGGACCTGGAAGGCCAAGTTTGACTTAAGAATTCATGGACCCCTGAGATTCCACTCCAGTATGTGGAGGCCTAAGAATGTAATATTGACATGGCCCACCCCACATCATCTAATCGACTTGGCCCACCGGACCTCTCCAGCGCCATGCCCAGCAAACTTCTTTAATTTCTTGTTACGTCAAAGAAATCAAACACCTCTTCAGATCCTCTCTTTTCCCCCACCGAGTTTTTCAGGAACCTCCTTAATGGTGAGATGCACTAAGAATGTAATATTGACTATAAATCAAATGTGAATCAGAGCCACCCCTGAGCACAGTCTTTAAGCCAGCACCGTGCTAGGTCGTACCCTCGTTTACCACTGGAGAAGTCGAGGCACAGCAAGCTCAAGTGAGGTGACCAGAGTCACACGCACAGTGGGGAGGTGGCAGATGGGGCCAGGATTCATCCTGGCTCTTGCTTTACTGTCGCACATGGTGCCCGCTCTGTGTAAGAAGGAGCTGTGAATGGGACAAAGACATCTGAGATGGTGCCCCTGCCCTCTGGGGCCTTTATTCCTCCTTCCTGTTCTGCTTGATAAGAGTGACAACGATGTTGATTGTATGAATACATACACATACATATATATATGAACATATATATGAAAAAAGATATGAATATATAAAATACATCTCGCTTTATAACATAATCTACTTGGCCCTAACCCACAACTCCCTATTGACCTAGGATGAGGCCATCTCTAACATGTGGGGTGAGGGAGCCGGGACAAGAATAACTAAGACTCACACAGCCTTTATCTAAATAGGAGTATTACAAATCAAGCCAACAGACGGTTAAATACAGTATGCTCTTTCCCACCCCTTGACACAAGTACCTTCCTGTATTGGTTGGCTTGAGCTACCCTTATAAAACACCACAGACTGGGTGGCTTAAACAACAGAAATTTCTCTTGGGTCTGGAGGCTGGAAGTCCAGGATGAAGGTGCCAGCAGGTGGGCTTCTGGTGAGGCCTCTCTTGGTGCCGTGCTGGCTGCCTCCTTCTCGCTGTGTCCTGACGTGGCTTTTATTCCATATGCACCCTCCTGTGGCCTCTTCCCCTCCCCGTAAGAACACTAATCCTATCAGATCAGAGCGCCACCTTGATGAGTTCATTCTCCCCTAATTACCTTCTTCAAGGCCTTATCTCTACAGAACAGTCACACTGGAGATTAGGGCTTTAGCACACGGATTTGTGGGGTGGGGGCGTGGGGATGCAATTCAGTCCTTTACATTTCCCAAGAACCTGGAAGGACAAGTTTGACTTAAGAATTCATGGACCCCTGAGATTCCACTCCAGTATGTGGAGGCCTAAGAATGTACTATTGACATGGGCCACCCCACTTCTCTTCCCAGGCCCTTTCCATCATAGCACCCCAACCTGCATGTCTAACTGCGTCCCACTGCCCCTGAAAACAGCCATCCACTGACTCCTCCACTGGCCACAGGAGTGCATACGCCAGCAGGGCGGTGTTCACAGGAAGGATGGATCTTGGCAAGAGGCCCTGGAAGGGAATTCCAGGCTCTGAGTACCCAGGTTGTTGTCTAAAAGGGGTCGGAGAGCAGGCTGTGAGTGGGCATTGGCCCTGCAGACTCTAACCCTATAAGGAGAGCCCAGCCTGGGGACTGGTGGGGAGAGGAGAGCCCACTAAGGTAGGGCTTAACAAACCATAGCCTGTAGGCCAAATCCAGTTTTTGTACAGCCTGTGAGCTAAGCATGCTTTTTACATTTTTAAATGTAAAATGATTTTGGCAAGAACAGTTGCTCAATTTTGCCTCTTGGTAAAAATCTAAAATTAAGATTTAGGAAAAGCCTATTTTTTATCTAGTCCCTGGCAGAGAAAGTTTGCTCAGCTCTGCTCTAAAACACAAGGCAGGGGCCCTCTTGCCTGGTCCTCACTGTCTTTGACCTGCAGAACGTGTTGGAAGTAACACAGTTCAGTTCCAGGTATAGACTTCAGCAGCCTGTGGCTTCTGTTTTTGGCCTTTTAGTAGCCAGCACCATGTCAAGAAGCTCAGTGACAAGTGGCTGCATGGAAAGAAGGACCAGGTAGAGGAGAACCCATGTGGCGTTGGCCAATAGCTGGAAGATACCTTGGGCCCTCCAGCCCCAGCAGAGCCATGGTAGGGATGTCCCTGCAGCAGCAAGGAGTCCACCTGCCGGGTCCTGATGGAGGCCCTGGCTCCAAGAATCGCAGCATTAACTTTATTTATTTGGTGACAGAGTCTTGCTGTTGCCCAGGCTGGAGAGCACTGGCATGATCTTGGCTCACCACAGCCCCCACCTCCCAGGTTCAAGTGACCCTCCTGCCTCAACCTCCTGAGTAGCTGGGACTACACAGGTGCCCACCACCACACCCAGCTAATTTTTTGTATTTTTAGTGGAGATGGGGTTTCACCATGTTGGCCAGGCTGGTCTCGAACTCCTGGCCTCAGGTGATCCTCCCACCCCGGCCTCCCAAAGTGCTGGGATTACGCGTGTGAGCCACCACGCCCAGCCCAACGTGATTATTGTTTTAAGCCATTATGTTCTGGGGCGATTACACATCAATAGATAATTGAAACAACTGCCAAATAATGGACAAGGCTTTCCGGAGTGCTCCCTCTGAGGCAGGCTAAGTCATTATGGCCAGACTCACTGAGCCCTCAAAGTTGGGCTTTCAGGAAGATGCTGTGATTATACCCTATTATACAGATGTCACCCCAAGTTCTTAAAATAGCAGTACTGTAGCCAGAGTTTATAATACAGTTTGGATCTGTGTCCCTACCCACATTTCATGTTGAAATGTAATCCCCAGTGCTGGAGGTGGGGCCTGGTGGGAGGTGACTGGCTCATGGGAGCAGTTTCTCATGAATGGTTTAGCATCATCCGCCTAGTGCTATTCTCGTGGCAGAGTTCTCATGAGATCTGGTTGTTTGAAAGTGTGTAGCACCTCCCTGCTCTCTCTCTTGCTCTGGCTATGGAAGATGTGCCTGCTTCCCCTTCCGCCATGATTGTAAGTTTCCTGAGACCCCCCCTAGCCATGCTTCCTGGGAGGAAGGAAGCAGCAGCCCTTGTCCCTGGTCTCTCCCTCTGAGGGTGGCAGGGGCATAGGAGGTGCTAGGGAAAAGCTGGGCAGGAGTCCCAGCTCAGCACCCACCTATAGGACCCTGCTCATCTCAGGCCTCCTCTGGGGTCAGCAGAGAAGCTGTGCAAAATGTTAATTATGCATCAGAACAAAATAACTGCTTGTATGGTAAAGGAATGAAGTGTGAGTTAGGAATAACTTGTGTCGTAAGAGCTTTATTAGCTGGATTAAAAGATTTTCCAGAACCAAGAAGTCTCAAAGTCTAGTGGATCTCTACAGATATGATTTGGAGACAGGGCAATAAGTGATACACTGAGGTGGCAACTGGCCGTGGATGGCATCAGGGCGCCAGCCTGTGCTCTGAGGCTGGCGGGCCAGCATTCTGCCCCTGCCATGTGCCATCTGTGAGCCCTGAGCAGGTCCCGTCTCCTCTCCAAGTCTCCTTTACAGTGTTTGTAAAGCATGAATAATACCACTTACCTTAGAGGGCTATTGTAAGAATTAAATGTGATAACAGGCGTTAAGTGCGTGGCGCATAGCAAGAAATGAACAAATGTTAGTAATCTCTCATGATACCCACCTCCATCCTGCCATCGCCTGGGCAATGTTACAAAGAAAGAGGCGAAATAAGCTCAGAAATCTCTGACCCACTTTTACAGGATTTAAGCAAATCCCTAAATAAAGGGCTAATTAAAGCATGCCACCAAATACCAGGAGTAAAAATCTAACAGAGCATTATCTGAGCTCTGAAAGCCAATAACAGGCCTGTGAGAGCAGCTTACTGGCACATGTGGAGTGACATGTTGCTTGGGTAGCATTGGAGCTGATGTCTGCAGGCCCTTCCTCCCAGGGTAACAGTCACCGCAGGGAAAAGCTGCTCAGTCCTGTGTTCAAAACCAAGTCTGCATTGAACTGGGGAGGTGGGGAAAATTAACAAATCTCTGTGCCTCAGTTTCACCATCCAGGAATTAGAATTGACTTAGGATTAAACAAAATAAACAAGGTGCTCAGCCCTGGTCTGGGATGTAGCAGGCATTTGCGAAGGGGCAGCGAATCCACCAGGAGCTGGTTACTTCTGGAGGGAGGATTGGAAGTGGGGAGGCTCAGAAGAAAGGAGCGGGCCACATTTGTTTCATAGACCACAATATCGCAGAAGGTGCCCAGTGCTCTAGAGAAGAGGCTAAACTGATTAAACTCCAAGGCGGGGAGAATTATGAGACAGTTAAAGAGCTGCAGGCAGACAATACAATATATGAGATAATAAAACCAACATAATTCCTAGAAAAGATCTGAGAATCGCACAACTTAAAGAAGACCCCAAAGGAAAGCCTGGCTTTGGCTCTTTAAATATTTCTTTGAGGGAAAGCGGCGGCTTCATTTTCTCTCTTGCAACGCTGGAGTCACTGGACCATGACCCTCCATAGAGGGAAATTGGCCTTTGATAGAAAGAAAGCCGCCCTTTGGTTTATCATTCTGTTTCTTTCATCAAGTGCTTTTCTTTGCTCCTGCCCATGCTGGGCTGGTGCGGGGCCCATGGTTCAGAAGCGGCTGATCTCAGAGGAGCCATTGCTGGTGCTGATTGGCTTTTCTCTCCCTGTATCTCATTCTCCCCCTTTCTTCTTGGTGGTGAGTGCTAATTTACTGCCTGACTGCCCGGCTGCATGTATATACCACATGAGTTATTTTCTCTTTGAACCTTTAGATACTCTTATTTTCTATCCCTCTCTACAATCCTTTCCCCAGAGGCCAGGAGAAGTCTCTGGGGTCAGCTGGGGCTGTCTGGGGGACCTGGGATGATGTCCCATTGACCTTCACTCAGGTCCCCCAACCTGCTGGATCTCTTCAGCCGATGACATGAGGTGGTGTGGCCCTTCTCTGCACTGTCACATACCATCAGCCCAACACCTGTGATGGCCTTGGAAGTCACCCTTCCAATCACCTGGCTAAAGAGTTCCACCCCTCTCAGTCTCCAAGGCTTCATCTCTGTCCTCCTGCGGTGTCTCCCCTGCAGATTCCTAGGTGGCCACATCCAGGAGCGCAGCGTGCAGGCACCCATGCCAAGTACACACTGAGTGCCAGGCACGGCTCCAGACCCTGGGGTAGGGGCACAGCAGCCAACACCAGATGAAATTCTGCCCGTGGTGGAGCTTGGTGAGATAGACTGAAAAATCAGTTCAGGAGTACATCTTTGTCCCTCCAAGGGGGATGAGTGCCATGAAAAACAGCAGGGACAGGAGTCAGCAGTCCTGGATGGGACTGGAGGTTTGCAGGTTCAAATAGGGTCACCAGGGCAGGGGGCCTCCCCAAGGTGATCTCTGAGCAGATGCCTGGGGTGGGACATGCTGGGTGGAAGGAAAAAGAAGAGGAACTGGCCTGAGGATGGAGAGGTCTGGCAAATTGGAGAGTGGAAAGGGAGCTAGTGCAATGGGTCTAGAGAGCTCCGGAGGGGTGGAGGGCAGGGGGAGGAGGTCAGGGAGGGAATGGGGCGGGGAGGCAGGTGCTAAAGGGTCTTGGGGCCCCTGTGAAGGCTTTGGCTTCTCCAAGATACCCAATTCAGAGCCAAGATACCTAATACCCGCCCGTCCTGGTGTCACCCTCTGAAGATGCAGACTGGCCAGGGAGGGGGTTCCAATTCAGAGCCAAGATACCTAATACCCGCCTGTCCTGGTGTCACCCTCTGAAGATGCAGACTGGCCAGGGAGGGGGTTCCAATTCAGAGCCAAGATACCTAATACCCGCCCGTCCTGGTGTCACCCTCTGAAGATGCAGACTGGCCAGGGAGGGGGTTTCAGCTTTCCTGCCACCGTGAGGTCTCCTGTGTGCCCCTCCCCTTCCTCCTGAAGCTGAGAGGGAAGGGCATCCTTACCACGGGTGCCCCATTCCTTCTTTCTCCCTCCCTCCTTCCCGCCCTCCCTCTCTCTCTCCGGCATTTCCCCTTTGGCTTAGAAACTTTGGCTCAAGTTTCTGCCACGTAAATGATGCTTCCTTCAGCCTGCCTTCCTGGGAGTGACTGTCCACTTTCTTTCCTTCCATTTACCATAGATGTCCTCAAAGGAAGGTCCTCCTGCTGCGCTGCTGATGCTCACGCTCACCCCATCCCGGCATCATTACCAACACTGCTCTCTCAGGGATCATCAAGTCCCAGTGGCTAGATCTTCTGCCCATCCCACTCCCGTCTGCTGGACCTCCTCAGTCCCTGGCCACCCTGACTTCATGAACATTTGCCCTCCTTGGGGTCCAAGAACGAGACGGCTGTCTAGTGCTTCCACCTCTATGGACATCCTTTGGTCTTTATTCCTCCCATCTTTAATATGCTCCCCCCAAATATTAATAGGACTCTTGACCTCAAGAAGACAGGTCATAGGTGATAGCCCATTGGCTGAATTTCACTTGTATACACATGTTAAAAAACATATGTTAGGGCCAACTTGGAACAATTAGGTGTATTTTACATAAAAATACAGGAATCTGGCTGCTGTCCCAGGCATCAGTGGGCTGGCATTCCTGTAGGGCGGGAACGCAGAAGCTGTGACCCCAGAATGGCTCTTCAGCTCTCTGGACCCATGAAGCCCCCAGTCCTCCCAGGAGTATGCCCATCTGCTGATAGGCAGCTGGCTGCAGGTCAGGCAACCACGTCTGCAAGCTTCTTCCCTGGAAATTTCAACCGTGTTGGATGCACCATCTGTTACTGCTGAGAATACTGCCCTGTCCACCTCTCAAAATCCACAGTCCTCCTGGGCTGCAGTCACTGATTTCCAGCTGCCTCCAGCCCCAAGGCCCTCCTCCCAGCTCTCCTCTGGGCTCCTCTTTCTGGCCCGGCACCCCCCGGCCTGGAACAGTGCCCAGCACTCGGGGGGCACCCTGAATATGCCAACAGATCGATGCCCACGTGCTGGGGAGGGGCTTGCGTGTGGCTGGATCACCCTTGGTTTCTAAGGGATCTCCCTGGGGATAACAGCTGGAATGCAATTCTGCGTCATTCACTGCATCTCTGATCATGACTCAGGTCCCTGATTCACGTTGAGATAAGTGAGTGGCCAAGAAAACGTGGCCCAAACTGAGTGCTCACTTTCACCTGCTTTTTCTCCCATATCTATGGAGACAATGCAATAGGTAAAAAGAACGTACGGGCTCCGGTCAGAACATCTCGGATCCAAATCCCACCTTTGCTCTTACCAGCTATGTGACCTTGGGCAAGTCACTGAACTTCTACTCATACTAACATGTGGCAAGTCAGAAGTGCTCAGGGAGGTTGGTGCAGAGAAGTCAGTGTATCACGGGTGATGTCCTTTGTGTGTGGTCTAACGTAGCCCCCGCCATAGCGATGCTGTGAGGAAGACTCTACATGGCACACTTGAAAAAGCTTCACTTCAGGGCCGGGCACAGTGGCTCAGGCCTGTAATTCTAGTGCTTTGGGAGGCCAAGGCAGGAGGACTGCCTGAGCCCAGGAAATTGAGTCCAGTCTGGGCAACACAGCGAGACCCCCATCCCTACAAAATTTTTTTAAAATTAGCAGGCGTGGTGGCACATGCCTGTAGTCCCAGTTACCCAAGAGGTTGAGGTGGAAGGATCACTTGAGCCCAGGAGATTGAGACTGCATGGAGCTATGATTGCTACTGCACTCCAGCCTGGACGACAGAGCGAAACTCTGTCTTTAAAAAAATAAAGTTCTTAGAACAAAATTATATAAAATAAATAAAATGAAAAGCTTTGCTCTCACTGCAGTAGGGGGTTCTCGGGACACAGGCCAGAAGCAGACACTCTTCCTGCTTCTCTTTCTTCCAGGCAAGAGTGCGCAATGCTAGTGTCTGGAGCCTGATTCTTGGCTGCTGGAATCTACTTGACTTGTGACTGGATCACACACGCCCAGAATAACTAAGTTTCAGAGATGGATTAAATCCAAATGAAGCCTTTGCTTGGCCTGCTCAAGGACTCTCATTGACCTTGAAGAATTCTTTCTATGTCAAAGCAAAGAGGACCCTCTGTGTCAGCTTTAGGAATCATTTTCTGATGAGTGCTCCTTCTGTGGGTGTCCATTTCAACTTCAAACTCTCATCTGTTAGTGACATTTTTTGCCTCAGCTCGGCTTCGCTGCCTAAGGAGACGCTAAGGTATTAATCGATTTCAAGGTTTTTGAACAAATAGCCATAAATACTTAAGCCTCCGCTTTGCCTATTAAGGAGAATGCCATGCAAGATAATGATTTTGTCTCTGCCTGACAGGAGTATTTGCACAGAGGACAAATACTATTTTAACCTTTCCACACATTTTGAATTTTCCACACGAAATATTATTTTAACCTTTCCACACATTTTGAAACCTTGAACCTATCTGATCTTTCTCTATACTGTAAGTATTCGTGTGGCCAAATATGCCAAATTACTGAACACTTATGAGGAAAAAATGCTAGCAAAAGCTGGAACAGGCTAGGCACAGGTGGTGGCACACACCTGTACTACCAGCAACCTATGGACTGAGGCAGGAGGATCCCCTGAGCCCAGGAAGTTGAGGCTGCAGTGAGCTGTGGCACTCCAGCCTGGGCAACAGAGTGAGGCTCTGTCTCAAAAAAAAAAAAAAAAAAAAAAAAAAAGCAAGGCAACAAAAAAGGTGAAACAACCTTAAGGTGATTTTCCAAAGCAGTGGTGCCTGATGTTTTCAACGAAAGCTGACTGGAATCCACATATAGATTTTCATTCCTGCTGGTCAGTATGATGTCACTTCTTATAAACTGAAAGCACTTGGAGGGCAAGGGCCATCTGATGTCTTTTTGTATCCCTCGTGGCACCATGCTTAAGCACAGTAAGCACGCAGAGTGCTGTCTGGATACGTGAGTCGCTCAAGTTTCGAGCAGTTTAGTGTAGTGAGCAGTGCAAAGGTTTGGAGGTGACCTGGGCTTGGGATCAAAGCCTAATTCTGGCATTTCTCAGTAACGTGGCCTTAGACACGTTACTAACCACCTCTGTCACTTCATCTGAAACACAGATCTGATGCTACCTCCCTGTGGGGCTTGTCATGAGGATTAAATGAGAGAAGGTTTATTGTATTTATTTATTTATTTATTTTTGAGACGGTGTCTCACTCCGTTGCCCAGGCTGGAGTGCAGTGGCACGATCTTAGCTCACTGCAATCTCTGCCTCCCAGGTTCAAGCGATTCTCCTGCCTCAGCATCCTGAGCAGCTGGGATTACAGGCACCTGCCACCACACCCGGCTAATTTTTGTATTTTTTAGTAGAGATGGGGTTTCACTATGTTGGCCAGGCTGGTCTTGAACTTCCACCTCAATTGATCCACCTGCCTTGGCCTCCCAAAGCACTGGGATTGTAGGAGTGAGCCACTGTGCCCAGCCAAGAGAAAGTTTATCATGTGCCTGGCACACGGTAGACAATAGAAGGTGGTCACTTCCTCTATTATTGCTTGTACAGTAGATGTAAGGAGGGGAATGAAGGCTTCAGATGTGAAAGTATCTAGAGCAAGAACAGAGTATTCTCTGTGTATGAAGAGGCCCGAAGTTACCAAGACATGACAGAAGTGTGTTTAGGTGTCCCTGTTGAGGACAGTGAGGAGGTTCTCCAACATATAACAAGTGTGATAGACTAAGTCCCCTCTCCCCAACAGATGTCCACATCCTTATCCCTGGAACCTGTGAATCTATTACCTTTATGCATTAAAAAGGATTTTGCAGAGGCAAATTAAGGATCTTGAGCTAGGGAGATGATCCTGGATTATCCAAGTGGGCCCCATATAATCCCAAAGATCCTTGTAGGAGAAGAGGGAGGCTGGAGGGTTGTAGTTGGAAAAGACAGAGAGATTGGAAGATGCTACGTTGCATGGGGGAGGGAAGAAGACACCACGAACCAAGGAATGCAGGTGGTGGCCTCTTGATGTTGGAAAAGGCATGGATGGCAACAGGTTCTCCCCTAAAGCTTCCAGAAGAAACCAGCCCTGCCCACAGCTTGACTTTAGTCCAGTGAGGCTGATTTTGGACTTCTGATCTCCGGAACCACATGATAATAAATCTGAGTTATTTTAAACTGCTGAGTTTGTGGTTATCTGTTACAGTGGCAACAGGAACTCATACCGTGAATGATACCGAACCGCAACAACAAAAAAAGACAAGACACTCAAATGGACAAACCTTAATGATATGGAAAATTTTGTCTCTACTGGACACTGTTGTTCCTGGTGTTATTAGATAGCTGAGGTGTTACTGAACACAAGGAGCTATTTGTCGGAACAGGAGAGACCTGGTCTTAATAGAGATGAGGTTCAATGCCACCTTTATTCCTAAAAAAGCTGCCATTCCCCATCACTAAGCTTTTACATCATCTGCTGAATTGTTCAATGAAGGCTGAATGGCTCATAATCACAGCCTGCTTAATACCTGTCATTTAGTAACAGGCTTCAGAATAAATACTACATCAAGAGATTGTATTTCTGACAGTACCCTGACTATTCCTCATATTTGAAAAATAAGACTATTTAATTTCACCTCATGTCTGTAGGTACTAATGAGGGAGTTCTTTTGGGGGAAAATCCCAGTAAGTTATGCAGCAAGATCACATATCACCTCTGGCCATGCGATTCAGAATTTAAGTTTCTAAATGAAGTCTATGTGTCCACGCTGTCTTGAAATATCATAAAACTACAAGGTCTTCACAAAGGAATAAAAAGCAGCTTCCCTTTTGGAATAATGACTATGGAGGGTCTACTAGATGCAAAATGTTGTATTAGGCACTTCAGTCCACACAGCAATTCTACAAGGAGGATATTATCCCTAAGGTGCCGCTGAAGAAACGGGGTTCAGAGACGTTAAGTAACTCACCCGAGTTCCCACAGTCTGTAAATAACAGATTCCAGATTGAAGCTCACATGGGTCTGACTTCTGAGCTTGTGGGTGCCTTTTTCACTATCCCTACTGTCTCTGAGATAAATGCATGGGGTAATCTGTTGAATAAATGTGAGACCGGCTGCCAACAGCTCATCTGAGGGCTCTGTGAAGAGCTGAAGCCAGCTCAGCTTTGGATCCATTGGTCTCCACCATGCTGGGTACAGATGGGAAAAAACTGTGGCATCCATAGGACTGTGTGTGGATGGAAAGTTGGCTCTACAGTGACTACAGTGACAACCCATTCTATCATTGGCATGTGGGATGTTTCATAAAACAGGAAAAAAAATCCTCTGTAAGTGTTATAACAAAAGCAGAGCAGCACAGCCGCTGCTGTCAAGATACAAGTCCTGGAACCATTTTGCTTAGAACCACACTGACACATTCTTCCTAGACCAGACAACATGCAGTTTAGAACAGTCATCACCGCGATGCTGCTAATACACCATCACTGCAACCCCCGTCTCACCCCGCCTTCCAGGCAGAGTATTTTCACAAGTAATTCCCTCCACTCAACAGTATTTCTTTTTTTGGGGGGACAGAGTCTTGCTGTCACCCAGGCTGGAGTGCAATGGCATGATCTCAGCTCACTGCAACCTCTGCCTCCTGGGTTCAAGAGATTCTCCTGCCTCAGCCTCCTGAGTAGCTAGGTATTACAGGTGTGCACCACCATCCCTGGCTTTTTGTATTTTTAGTAGAGATGGGGTTTCACCACGTTGGCCAGGCTGGTCTTGAACTCCTGACCTTATGATCCACCCACCTCGGGCTCCCAAAGTGCTGGGATTACAGGCGTGAGCCACCGCGCCCAGCCAACAGTGTTTCTTAAATGATTTTGACCATGACCATGTAACAAATACATTTTCCCAAGCAACTGGCTCACATGGAGCAAACAACAGTTCCAGGAAGCAAGACACAACCTTACTATGTGCAATGGGCTCTCCTATTTCCTCTATTTTAGTCTGTTTTGTCCAGTTTAGTCCATTTAGTGGCTGTGACCATGCACTGACTTCATGATTCGCCAGTGACCCTATAACCCATGAGAGGGCTGCGTTTACAGTTTGGGAGTCCTGGTTGAGAAAACGATCACTGGGGTTCCTACCTCTGGGGCGATATAATCTGGAGTCCCACAGAAGGTCCTGGTCGTGACTCCATCCATCATGTGTTCCTTGCACATCCCAAAGTCAGCAATTTTGATATGTCCTTCTGAATCCAACATGACGTTATCTAACTTCAGATCCCTGCAAGGAACCGGGTTAACATCAGAGTCCTTCCCATGACATAACATGGTTTGCTTTGGAACTGGTGAAATAGAAGGATATCTGAATACCTGTCAGCTCAATGGCAATATTAACTATAAGTCCCTGGACTGTAGTATCAGAAGTCAATGTGTGTTGATATCTTCAGAGACTAATATTGTGCCTAGGCTACAGCAGGTGCTTAAATGCATACTGAATGGATTACTAAACGACTGGACTAGTGATTCTCAATCTTGCCTATGTCTGTGACTCTAGAGATTCCAATTGAGCACGTCTGGGAAAGTCTCAATCATTTGATTTATTCATGTCCCACACAGGGGGTCTGACACATGACCAGGTTTGCAAAATCACGGGTTTAGAACCACTTCACTGGGTCATACACATGTCCCTTCCATTCTGCCTGTGCCATATATCCTTCTAATTATGCTTCAATTAATACTGGAAGAAATTCTTCCTTCTTTGGCACCAGACTTTCAGCACAGCTACTAACAGGCAGAATTTAATTCAATAGATTTTTTTCCTTGCCTCTCCCCAGTTCCCTGTGTTCTTCTTCTGCTGAACATCTATAACAGGAATTCAGTTTCCATTGCTCCCTGACCTCCATTCCAAAGAAAAGGCAGTGGAAGGAGCTGTCAATGGAGAGAAAAATGTGTTTTCTTGTGGAAAAAGTAGAAACAAGATATAAAGTCTTTGCGGTCTAGAAATCAGAAGGTGGCTCTGATTTGCCTCCAGGGTGAGGAGGAAGGTGGGTCCCAGCAGGTCTCTGTTCCTCCTGGGGAGTTATCAACTCTGTGTCTTAAGTCACCATTCCAGAATGACATGCCCACAGAGGCCCAGCTAACCTCTCTGCTGAGCTGCTGGTAGGAGGGCTTCAATACACACCTATAAATGATTCCTCTTTTATGAAGAAAGAACAATCCGATGGAAATCTCTGCCGCATAGAATCTGCAAAAGAAAACGGGCTTCAGGTTTCTCACTTGCTTCCTTAGATGCCTGTATACTTTACATTCTCAAATTCAAGCATCAAAGAGAGAAAAGAATGTCAGACCCAGAGGCTCTCAGAGACCAGCATCGTGTTCTTCCAACCCCCGGTCCTCCCTCCATCACTTCGTCCTCCAGCTTATCCGTGAATGAGACAGCTAATAAAACCAATGAAACCGGCTTCTTATTCTCTTATGGGGAAGGTGGACAAGTAGCTTATTGCCTGCAGAGTAATTTCTCATACAATCATTTAAAGAGTGGATACCAGTTAGACTATTCTATATCAGGAGTATGGCGTAAAGAAAATTTCCATTTTCCTATTCACTGGCAGAATACACTGGTGTTTGAAAATACAATACAATTACTCCCTGGAAGGCAAAGTATAGTGGGTGATGAACTCTTTAGCTAGTGTTTTCATTCCTTGCGAGTGTTGGAGAGATTCATATCTGAGTTTACTCTTTTAAATAATTCATAATAAAAAGCAGTAACTACCATCACTTCAAAATTGTTAATACATTAATAGCTGAAACTCAGATTAAAAGGAGGCGAATATTTAAAAATCTGCATAGCATTCAGGAGTCTTTGAAGTCGAAGAAGCCACAAGACTGTGCCTGTGGAAATATCACATGCAGGAGGCTCAAAATAAGCACACGTGTCTACACGAGCAGAGAGGAAAAAAAATCTCTAATGATCAAGACCAAACCCTTAACGAGGGGCCACCTCTGAAGGCTAGAAGAGTACAGAAAGGGGGAGGGTGAAGAGATGGGATTACTACAGGTGATCTTTACATTATTTTTCATGCTTTTCTAAACTTTTCTGCAACACAAATAATATAATGAAAGGATATTGGACCAGACACCTTTATGTTACTTTATAACATAGGGTGACTCTGCTATCTGCTCTTTACAGTCCTGTGTGACCAAGCTTTATTTTACAATCTGAGTATTTTAAGGCTTTATAACTACAACATAAGACAGAAGAAAAGGACAGGCATTTCTGAAAACTGAAAAGGAACAATCAATAAAGGCAGAAAAATCCCCCTTCACACTTTTAAAGCTTGCAACCAAAGATTTCCCTATTCTGCCTTCAGTTAATCTTCCCTAGGGTGCATAATCCCTCGCAGGCCAAAAATTCTTCCAATGTGTCTCTTAGATGGCACAGCAGCCAGAATCCTATTAACAGGTGCTGACTTCATTCATCAGGGTACATGCCCCCGAGGTTTCCTCACTGCGGAACTAAACTCGCCCTTTGTTTAGGCTTGCTCCACTGGTGTTTCCTGAGACTTCCTGGCCCCTGAGAGGTGAGATGATGTTTTCCAGCACCAAAGTTCCAGCTCCCCACACCCCTCAGATGAATCTCTCATCTTCACCTGGAGCCCACGTCTTCCTCCTGTGCTGCCGACTCCCGCATCCCATCATGCAGGTGCGTTCCAATAAAACGTTCTTAACTGAGCTCATGAATCTCCCCCCTCAAACCACCTCCTCCTTGGTGGCTGCCCCGACCCAAGCCTGAAATGGGGTCTCACTGGAAGAGGTTTATCTCTTCTCTCCTCCATAGTCAATAAGTTCTGCTTTTCTTCCTCCAGGGTGTTTTTCAAAGACACTTATTCCTCTTTGGCTCCAAGGTCTAGCCCTAACTACAGCTCCATTCCTTCTTATCTATAAAGGGTCTCACCAGCGCCTGCACCAGCCTCTACCATTTCCTTTCATGCTTCCTTCTTCCCCCAGAGAGCTCTGCAAAAACTGAATCTGATGGTGCAAGCCCCACTGCAGTGCCTTCCCTCTTCCCTCCTCCACAGCCAGGCTCCTTACCAGGCTCTTCACCCAGAGCCCCACCTACCACGTTCCCCCCTTCCCCCGCCCCTCAAATAATCTCACAGCATCTCCCACACCTGCTGAGCTGCAAGGCTGCTTCCCTGGACTTGCTTCTGCCTCTGTTCACATCTCTTCCTGGAAGGCTCTTCCCCCACCTCTGAGCCGGTCATTTCGTGGGGTTGCACTTCCCTCTCCCCGATTTTTAGGGGCTTACGTGTTATCCTGGTATCCTGCGCAAGTCTCTAAAGTTACAGCAACGCACTATTAATTGTTAGGTGACTTCTCCACCTCCAGGGTGGAGTGTAAACTCCCTCTGGAAAGGGAGCACCTCGTTCCTTTCGCAACCCCAGTGCCTGGTGCAGAGCAGGTGTGTGATAACCATTTGTTCAACAGATAAGAATAACTCCATCAACAAGGGTGGACCTGGGTGATGATGGGATATGGCAACATCTCCAGTTTATTGGAAATACTGGAAATAGAATAAACTGCTCCTTAGGAACCATCTTAGATGGATCCTACCAGTATATCTGCCCTCCGCCTCCCATGTTTAGGTTTATAACATTCAACCTAAAACTGGGCAGAATCCCACTTTCCCATTTCACCCAGCAGAAGTTCCCAGTTGGGGCTGGGCATGGTGGCTCACTCACGCCTGTAATCCCCGCACTTTGGGAGGCCGAGGTGGGCAGACAGCTTGAGCTCAGGAGTTCGGGACCAGCCTGGGCAAGATGGTGAAACCCCATCTCTACCAAAAACAGAAAATTAGCCAGGCATGGTGGTGTGTGCCTGTAGTCCCAGCTACTCAGGAGGCTGAGGTGGGAGAATCACCCGAGCCTGGGAGGCAAAGCCTGAGTGACAGAGTGAGACCCCCAATCTCAAGCGGGGGGGAAAAAAGGAAGTTTCCAGTTGGTAGGACTTGGTTGTTCAAATTAAAGGACTTAAAAAATAATACTCACACTGCTTGTGGTTCCTTAAATTTTCCTACTTGCTGAATGTGGTACATGAGGTCCCCACCGTTGACATATTCCATGACGAAGTACAGCCGATCCTGCAGACCAAGGTTCAACACATGAGCAGGGCTCCTCCCCAGCCAAGTGGCTTCCTTTGCTCTTCACAGGTTGTGTTTTGCTTTCTCATTAGTTAAATGGGGACTGCATGGGCAGATGTGCTCAGTTTAGAGCTCTTTCACATTTTTTTCCAAAGAAAGAATAAGTAATAAACCCTACTGCATGAGGGCCTTGGGAAGTATAAAGTCATTACATAACCCTGAAATAATGGCTCTCCATCAACGTGCCTTCCTGTTACATATGCTATTATAGTAACGGCCTTGAACATTCTTCCCTATCTTCCTATACATATAATAAATTTCTAAGTAAGGGATGGTGTGAGGAATCCACATAAGGCAATTATTTCATTTTAACTAGTGCTTCTCCATGGTCCAAATGTTTAAAGGCTGGTTTGCAGTGTCTGGGAGGCGTGCCATACTAATGTAGTATCGTGTTTAAATGGATACTCCTGAAAACACATCTCTCAGGCTTAGGATTACACATGCTCAATATATTTACTGGACATGGGACAGGGGACTCTAGATGGAGATGCTAATCAAATGTTCTTTTGCATCTGTAATATGCCCAAACACTGTTTTTCTATTTTCTCTGTCACTGGTAGGCTAAGTGTTGGCCCCATGATGGGCATGTATCATAGACCCAAATAAATCTGCATATTCCTGAGGACATTATGCTGGGACAGATAGGAAGATGGAGGGGTTTAACAGTGAAATAATGACCTCTGCTCTCTGCTAGAAAACATCCCCATTTCACAGAGGATATTAAACATTAAAGTGCTGCACAGGGAGAAAAAAATGATGAAGCTGGTGCTAATAGCCAGGAAGCAACCCTGGGAGCCCCAGTCTCTAGCTTTCCTGTTATGAACTTTAATTTCATCTTCATTTCTTTGTTTTGTAGCTTTCCAGAGCTTAATCAGGGTAACCAGGGTTACAGGCTCTGGGCTGGGATTCAGAGCTGTGGTTGTCTCTTCCGAGCATGCTGCTCTCATCTCTCCCTGGCGTGACTTGATTCAGAGTCAGTGGGAACGGCTGGGAGCAGGAAGCTCAACGTGCCGCCAGCGCTAGGCTGACACGTAGTGGCCGGCGCCTGACTCCGCGGCCACTGCTACACACCCAGAGGCTCCGGGTGGCTGCAAAGCCATTTTGAGATTCTAAAACACAAAAGCACTGAGAGGTTCCTCCCAAGAGTTTTCAAAGAGGCATAAGACAGAAAGTCAATCTCTGATCAATGGGCAGTTGAAAATAGTAATAATCGCATCAATTACAGCTACTGATTATGGAGTCATATTTTAAATGGGCAGCCTCTGAGGAGTGGAAAGACCAGCTTTGGCAACGTCTCACTATGGTGGCATCTAAACATCTATGTTTCTTTTTTTTCTTTTTAAGACAGAGTCTTGCTCTGTTGCCCAGGCTGGAGTGCAGTGGCGCCATCTCGGCTCACTGCAAGCTCCACCTCCCGGGTTCACGCCATTCTCCTGCCTCAGCCTCCCGAGTAGCTGGGACTACAGGCGCCCGCCACCACGCCCGGCTAATTTTTTTTTTTTTTTTTGTATATTTAGTAGAGACGGGGTTTCACCGTGTTAGCCAGGATGGTCTCGATCTCCTGATCTCGTGATCTGCCCGCCTTGGCCTCCCACAGTGCTGGGATTACAGGCGTGAGCCACCGCGCCCGGCCATGTCTGTTTCTTGTAGGCCACTTGCAAGCCCTGCAACGGACTGATTAGTGCTTTGGAATGTCCTTTTTTGTCCTCTGTTTAGTTTTACTTTACGACAGAGCTCAGCAAACTTTTTCCACAAAGGGCCAGACAGTATGTATTAATATTTTAGGCTGTGAGTGTCTCTTGCAGCAACTCAACTCTGCCTTCATGGTGCAAAAGCAGCTGTAGATGACAGGTACACGAAGGAGTGTGGTGATGTCCCAAAACAGCTGTTTATGGATGCTGAAATTTAAAATTTGACCTAATTTTCACGTGTCACGATATATGACTCTTTGGATTTCCTTGTTGTGACCTTTCCTAAACTCACAAGCCATAGAGAATAGGCCACAGTTTGCCAGTCCCTGTTGTGTGGCATTGAACAAGAACATGCTCTTTTACAAAATCAAGTCTCCTTATGCTCCAATGCCATGTTTGGCAGTGGAACCAGTGGTCTTAAAAAGCCAAGACTGTGGCCAGGTGCGGTGGCTCATGCCTGTAATCCCAGCACTTTGGGAGGCCGAGGCGGGTGGATCACCTGAGGTCAGAAGTTCAAGACCGGCCTGGCCAACATGGTGAAACCCCATCTCTACTAAAAATACAAAAATTAGCCGGGCGTGGTGGCAGCGGCCTGTAATCCCAGCTACTCGAGAGGCTGAGGCAGGAGAATCCCTTGAGCCTGGGAGGTGGAGGTTGCATTGAGCAGAGATCGCACCATTGCACTCCAGCCTGGGGAAGAGAGAGTGACTCCGTCTCAAAAAAAAAAAGCCAAGACTGTGAGTTTTTTTGTTTGTTTGTTTTTGTATCCCAAAGTCTGAGCACAGTACCAGGCATGAAGAAAACCTTTCATGGAAATGTTTGCTGAATTAAGGCCAGGCACAGTGGCTCACACCTGTAGTCCCAGCACTTTAGGAGGCCAACGTAGGGGGATCGTTTGAGCTCAGGAGTTTAAGACCAGCCTGGGAAACATGGTGAAACCCCCGTCTCTACTAAAAATACAAAAATTAGCTGAGTGTGGTGGGGTACATCTGTGGTCTCAACTACTTGAGACTGCAGTGGGCCGTGACTGTGCCACTGCACTCTAGCCTGGGCGAGAGAGTGAGATCCTGTCTCAAAAAAAAAAAAAAAAAAGAAAGAAAGAAAGAAAAAGAAAAAGAAATGTTTGCCGAATTAAATGGCATGAATGCCAAGCAGAGGACATCACAGAGAAGGCATGCCCCAAATCTACCAGTGAGAGAGGTGGGAGGTGGTCCCCAGTCACCTCTGCTTGACATCACAACACACCTTTCTCCAGCCTTCTCCAAAGGAACAAGGATGCTAAGAAGCTTTGGGCTGAGGCGTAGCTCTGAGAGCTGGGTACTGCATCGCAGGGATTCCCAGGGTCCTTACCACTGTCTGGAAGCAGGAGTGCAGCTGCGTCAAGAACGGGGGTTTGTCAAGCAGGGCCAAGACTCGCTTTTCTACCATGGTGCACTCCACGTCATCATCCTGAATCACCACATCCTTCTTCAGGATTTTGATTGCATACAGTTCTTCTGTGCCCTTCCTGTCGGCAAGCATCACCTGAGAACACGTCAAGAACAACCTGAACACTTGTAAGCACATATCTTGGGGGGCAGAGGGAAGGAACCAGGCCAGGTGACGGCTCAGTGACAGTTTGTGCACCTTTGTCAATGTGGAACATAAAAATATTAAACTTTATGTGCAAATTTGTAAATTCTACACATCACTACAAATTCAGTCCCTCCAGCATTTGCAAAACTTCAATGCTGCCAAGATTTGTAAATGGTATAGGCCACTGCCACATAATGGCACTATTTTGGCTGCTAAAATGAATACTCAACATTCTCTATCAGGATTAGTCTGGAATAATGCACATTTTTCAGGAGTATCCTTAGAGTGAAAGCTGACTGACATTTATAATCTCTCAAGTCAAGAACCTAGACTTGAAATCAGTTCCTGCGTCTATGAAATGTGGGGCCACAGAAACCGAATGGAGATACAGGCAAATTGCTGAAGACCCCATGTCAGTATCTCTTAATGATTGTATTTGCTTACTACAAGTGAACATTTAATTTTTAGTTGTGAAAACTATTCATCAACCAGCATTTCTGAGCATCCCTTCTGTTCTGAACACTGAGAAATAGTAACAACACAGTGAACCCACTATAGCTTTTTGGATGCAGTTGCTTTTAAGGAAGTAGAAACCAGGTGAGGACTGTGCACTCTGATCTGAGAGACCAAATAAATGCCTCTTTAGCGACTAAGATGGACCCTAATGTCGCAGGCATTTGAACCAGAGTGACTCCATCTTGAATAAGGGATGGGAAAAATAAGGCTGAGATCTGCTGGGCCGCATTCCCAGGAGGTCAGGCATTCTTAGTCGCAGGATGAGATAGGAGGTCAGCAGGGCTAGTATCACAAGACACAGGTCAGAAAGACCCTGCTGATAAAACAGGATACAGTAAAGAAGCCAGCCAAAACGCACCAAATCCAAGATGGCGATGAGAATAACCTCTGGCTACCCTCATTGCTCATTATATGCATTATTAGCATGTGAAAAGACACTCCCACCAGCACCCCAACAGTTTACAAATGCCATGGCAATGCCCAGAAGTTACCTTATATAGTCTAAAAGATGGAGGAAGCCTCAGTTCTGGGAATTGCCCACCCCTTTCCCAGAAAACTCATGAATAATAAAACCCTTGTTTAGCATACGATCAAGAAATACCTCTAAGTATACTCAGTCAAGCAGCCCATGCTGCTGCTCTGCCTATGGAGTAGCTGTTCTTTCATTTCTTTACTTCTCTAACAAACTGACTTTCACTTTATTCTGTGGACTCGCTCTGAATTCTTTCTTGCTTGAGGTCCAAGAACCCTCCTCTTGGGGTCTGGATCAGGACCCCTTTCTGGTAACATTAAAGTTAAGGAAATAGTTATCTATGGGTTGAGGGTTCAGGGCCCAGCTGGCATGGCAAATTTCTAAATCCCTACAGCTACAAGATAAACCACTCTCGCTAAACTCCCTAGCAGTAGGAGCTATCAGGCCCCTCCTAACTTTGATTGACAACTCAGATCACTATGACTTGGACTGGACAGAGAACTGGCCTTACAAACATTCTTTTCTGTGATGCAACTGCAGACCTGAAGCCAGTTTCAGCAGCTTGCAGAGCCTGCACACAAACTGTTTTTGGGTCCTGTGGTTCACCTTTTGATCTAAAGAGCCAACTTCCACCTTTTTTTATTTATTTACTTTTTTTGAGACGGAGTCTCCCTCTGTTGCCCAGGCTGGAGTGCAGTGGCATGATCTTGGCTTACTGCAACCTCCACCTCCCAGGTTCCAGCGATTCTCCTGCCTCAGCTTCCCGAGTAGCTGGGATCACAGGTGCACACCACCACACCCAGCTAATTTTTGTATTTTTAGTAGAGATGGGGTTTCACCATTTTTGCCAGGCTGGTCTCAAACTCCTGACCTCAAGTGGTCCACCTGCCTTGGCCTCCCAAAGTACTGGGATTACAGGCATGAGCCACCATGCCTAGGCAAATTCCACCTCATTTTAATGCTAAGTCCCCACCCCAAAGTGAACATAAGATGCATGTTACATATATGTTCATCCATTGTGCCTGTGCTAGGCTTCCCTCACAGATAAGTCAAGCTTTCCCCCCAAACCTGTTGAATATGGATGACTCTACTGTGTAACATGGACCCTGTGAGGCATAAAACCCAACCTGCCCTTTCTCTCCTCAAAGAGAGGGCACCTTCATTTCACACCATAGACTTTCTTTTATGGGTTTGCAAACTGATACCACCAATAAACCTCTCCTTTCTACCATTTAGCCATCCTGGTGGTCTTCTGGATGACTGTACAAATCACAGGGAAATCTTTTTTTTTTTTTTTTTTTGAGACGGAGTCTCACTGTCTCCCAGGCTGGAGTGCAGTGGTGCGATCTCGGCTCACTGTAAGCTCCGCCTCCCAGGTTCACGCCATTCTCCTGCCTCAGCCTCCCAAGTAGCTGGGACTACAGGCGCCCACCACCATGCCCAGCTAATTTTTTGTATTTTTAGTAGAGATGGGGCTTCACCGTGTTAGCCAGGATGGTCTTGATCTCCTGACCTTGAATCACAGGGAAATCTAATGTGCTATTCTGCAAACTACGAGGAGAACAAAACTGATTCGACATTCTCTGCAGAAGCCCCTGCAATTTGCAGACGACTGTCCTCTTACCTTTCCAAAACTCCCCTTTCCCAACACCATGAGGAAATTGAAGTCCGTGAGTTTCACTCGGTCAAGGTTGTTGGAAGGTTGTTTCCTGTCTTCAGAGGGACTGATGACTTTGTTGCCAGCAGGGCCAAGTTTGGCTTTCTAAATAACAAGCACAAATGGGAAACACGTGGGTCATTTTTCTGGGGAAAGAGTGACAGAAACCACCGTGTTGTAACTGAGTTTAATGTTTGCTTGGAGGTGGGATGGGGTGAGAAAAGGAACAAAGGGTGAGAATTGAGTACCTGTTCAGATATCAGCAGCTACACTCACCCTACAGGGAAAGTCAGCAAGGTAGCAGAAAACTGCTCTCCCTATTAAGAGACAACTCTTTACACAGTCAACCTAGAATTGATGCGTGGGGATCCGTGAAGGGCTGGTTGGTTGTAATTCCAGTATGTCAAAGTCGACTTCTTGGGAAAAACAGTGCTTCGGGTCCATGAACATAATAAAGGAAATAAACTGTGTACTGATGCTTTTTGTATTTGTAGATTTTCCAATTTAAAATTAATCTGCATAAAGGAAAACTTGTACCCACACCAAAAGGGAGGAAAATGTTCTCTGGAGAGGAACTGCTTAAAATGGCAAAGCCATTGGGATGATTCATCGCTATTTTCAAATGCACAGTAAGAACAGGGGTTGGGTTGTTTTTTTTTTTTTGATTTTTTTTTTCTTTTAAATCAAGAGTTGAACTCACAAAAAGACATGGTGATGTGCATAAGAAGAGATCCCAGCACTCTGGGAGGCCGAGGCGGGTGGATCACCTGAGGTCTGGAGTTTGAGACCAGCCTGGCCAACATGGTGAAACCCCGTCTCTACCAAAAATACAAAAATCAGCTGGGCATGGTGGTGCGTGCCTGTAATCCCAGCTACGTGGGAGGCTGAGGCAGGAGAATCGCTTGAACCGGGGGGCGGGGGGCGGAGGTTGCAGTGAGCTGAGATCGCGCCATTGCACTCCAGCCTGGCGACAGAGCAAGACTCTGTCTCAAAAAAAAAAAAAAAAAAAAAAAAAAAGAAAGGGAGCACAAGGCGCCCTTTGCGCCTGAAGAATATCTGGTCACTGCCTGGTGGGCGAGCTACCAGAGGAGTTTTTAGAAGCTCTAGAGGGGGCCCTGCCCTCACGACTCTCACCAGGGCCTCAGAGTCCATGTCAAAGGCAAAAGGTAAAAGGGCTCAGCAGAAAAAGGAAGGTCAGTAAACCCACGGGAAGTCTCACTGTCACCGAAGGAGCCCTGGAGAAGCCTGGAGTGGGCTGAGTCTCCCAGCACAAGACTCCGAATTTTGAACATCTGCCTGACGGGAAGGAGCTAGTTGTAAGAAGCGTCAGCTGCTGACAGGTCCAGGACCCTGGTCCCTGGCTAGACCTCCACAGCCACATCCCTGAGCCCTAGGGCAATGATTCTTGCCTTGGATACATTCTTTTTTTTTTTTTTTTTTTCTGAGACGGAGTTTTGCTCTTGTTGCCCAGGCTGAAGCGCAGTGCAGTGGCGCGATCTCAGCTCACTGCAACCTCCGCCTCCCAGGTTCAAGCGATTCTCCTGCCTCAGCCTCTTGAGTAGCTGGGATTCGCCACCATGCATGGCTAATTTTTTTGTATGTTTAGTAGAGATGGGGTTTCGCCATGTTGGGCAGCCTGGTCTCGAACTCCTGACCTCAGGTGATCCGCCCACCTCGGCCTCCCAAAGTGCTGGGATTACAGGCATGAGCCACCACGCCTGCCCATTCTTAATGAGAGGGTGCACCTCCCTCCCTAGTGCAGCAGACCTTAGCTCTGGAGCTCTTTCCAGGAACTCACTCCAGTCAACACCTTGGTGGTTACCAAGATGATGGTGAAGGAGATAAGGAAGGCACTCAAGGGGCTTTACTATGGATCAGCAGCAGAGAAGGCTTCCGAGGAATCATCCGTCGTCCCTCTTGGAGCACCACCATGCCTTCATCCCACAAGTACTGATTGAGCCCCCTTGTGCTCTCTTGGGGAGCCTCTGCATTTGCAGGAGGAGCCCCTGCTGATACAGGAATTCAGCAGGACTGGTTTCACAAGATACAGGTCACAAAGAACCCCTAATACAACAGTCTGTGGCAAAGCCAGCCAAAACCCGCCAAAATCAACAAGGCAATGAAAGCAGTCTCAGGTCTCCTGGCTGCTCATCGTATGCTAATTATAATACATTGGCATGCTATAGGAAACTCCCGCCAGCACCAAGACAGTTTACAAATGTCATGGCAATATGTGGAAGTTACCCTACATGGTGTGAAAGGGGAATCCTCAGTTCCAGGAATTCCCTGCCCCTTTCCCAGAAAACTCATGAATAATCCACCCCTCGTTTAGCATTTGATCAAGAAATAACCACCAAAATAGCCAATCAGCAGCCTGCAGGGCTGCTCTGCCTATGGAGTAGCCACCCTCTTATTCCTTTACTTTCTTAATAAACTTGCTTTCACTTTACTCTGTAGGTTTGCTCTTGAATTCCCTCCCGCCCAAAGCCAAGAACCCATGTGGCCTCTTAGGCTGAACCCCAATTTTGGGGTTCACCCTGTGACACTGCCAGCTGTGTCTAGATTCCCAACTCTAACAGTGCTTGGCACAGGACATGCACTCAGCTCTCTGGCTGAACAAATACAGAACTGAAGCCCAAATGTGCTTATCAGATGCTGTGCTGTTGGGTGATGCTTTTCTCCGATAACAATAACTTGCTTGTGGCCAGACATGGTGGTTCACACCTGTAATCCCAGCACTTTGGGAGGGTGAGGTGGGTGGATCACCAGGTCAGGAATTCAAGACGAGCCTGGCCAACATGGTGAAACCCTGTTTCTACTAAAAAAATACAAAAATTAGCTGGGCATGGTGGCACATGCCTATAATCCCAGCTACTCAGGAGGCTGAAGCAGGAGAATTGCTTGAACTGGGACTGGGGAGGCGGAGGCAGCAGTGGGTGAGATTGTGCCACTGCACTCCAGCCTGGGCTATAGAGTGAGACTCTGTCTCAGAAAAAAAAAAAAAAAAAAAAAGAATAACTCGCTCATACAGGGATCAAGTCTCAGGGCTTGTGAACATGCTCTGATGAGTTGAGTGCCCCCATTTGACCAGAGACATTAAAACATGAGGGAGAGATGGCCCTGATATTTTTGCTTCCAGACTGAAAGTGTGAAACACGGCTGAGCTCTGCCTTTGTTGGCAGCATGTAGTGGAAACACCTGTGAATTTGGGGCCACTGGAAACGTAGAAGGCCCATAAAGATAAAACATGAACTGTGATGCTACACATACTGGCCTGCCCACTTCGGCAGGGCCAGCCCAGTCCTCTAAAAACTGGCCCCGGCAATGATTCTAAGTTGAGAAACTTCCTAGGCTGTGTCTACATTTAATTTTTAATTTTTATTTTTTTGAGACAGAGTTTCACTCTTGTCACCCAGGCTGGAGTGCAGTGGTGCGATCCCAGCTCACTGCAACCTCTGCCTCCTGGGTTCAAGCGATTCTCCTGCCTCAGCCTCCTGAGTAGCTGGGATTACACGTGCACACCACCAAACCAAGCTAATTTTTTTTTATTTTTAGTAGATATGGGGTTTCGCTGTGTTGGCCAGGTTGGTCTCGAACTCCTGATCCATCTGCCTCGGCCTCCCAAAGTGCTGGTATTACAGGTGTGAGCCACCGCACCCAATTGGTTGTGTCTAAATTTAAAAGAATACATAGGAAGTGCAAATTTGAGATGAGAATACCGACTATGCCACCCTGCTCTGCACTTCTGACTTAGAATAAGAAAAAAGTTACCAGAAAGAGGCACAGATTAATCGTATTTTCTCAGGATTCACAATAACATCTGAAAACACCCAAACACAACTGACTTGCTGATCTGAGATGCTTGAAACAGTTAAAAACTACTTTCACCTGGGTGAAGTTGCGGTTCATACTACCAACGAATGCCCAGTTTCCAACTGTAGCACGCAGTTCTACCCAGCTATGCTGGACTCCTCTGACATTCCCAGACAGTCATTCCGCCTTCCTCCTTTGACAAGTCACCACCACAGTCAGGGGATGTGGGCTGATGCAGTGATGAGCCTCCAGATAGGCAGGGGGCCTTTTTACACACTTTGCCATCTACCGCCTCAACTGCAGACATAACCTAACGACGGCCTTGTGAGTTTCATGTTATCATATTAGTCTGGTTATAAGCATGAGACACTGCTCACAGTCAGGCTAAAGGCTGACAGAAGCATTTTTACATTCAAGTACTTCTGAACTTATTTGCAATATGACCTTGGCCTCAGGTCTCAAATCAATCACCAGGTTTGAGAGCAATATCCACAAAGGAGACACCTGCTCGCACAAGGTGGAGCTGGGCAGAGGACGCCACACGCTTCCTGCTCTGCCTGGGCAGATTCTTTTCAGCCGGAAGCAGAGCTGAGTTTCTGGAGGCTGGTAGAACAGGCAGCTGTTTGGGAAGGAGACAGACCGGTGTGTGGGGTCCAGGGCAGGCTGACCACGTCCATATCAGAGAGGTAGCTTCTCAGTGGCCTGGCCCAGAGGGTCAGAATAGATTTCTCCCCAGCCCAAGCCAGCCCTGAGATCAGAGCAGACCCAGCATCTTCACGCCCTTGCTCCCCCAATCAAGAGCAGCACTTCTGTTTCCACTACAGAACACACTCCCTGAGCCATCTCCACGCTGCCACCTGCAGGCCTTGCTGCCAAAGGACACAGAGCCATCCAATGCTGAGTTTTTGAAAGCAGCTCTGTTATGGTAGGAAACTCCACGGTACGGCAACCTCAGGGGTCTGGGCCGGCTTTGAGCAAGTCCCACTTTCAGTCTGGGTCTAATCAATGCTGGGGTTGAGGGAGACAGCCAGTGGATATCCGAGCAGCTACATCACTGGGGGTGGGGGATGCCTGAGGGCAGGGGGACGAGGAACCATATAGGACTTCCAGGTGGGCAGGGCGCCAGGGCAAGATCAGATGCAGCGCGAGGCTTGACCTCCAGACCTTTGGCCAGCACCTCCTCTGTCTTCCTGAAGACCCAGCCTTCCCTGGCCTGCCGTTTCTCCCCCATCCCTAGCCTGGCTGACCTCTCCCACTTCTTCAGGTCCCAGCTCAACTGCTATTTCTTCAAGAAAACTCAAACAGGAATAATACAAGGTGGTAGCAGGAGAACAGAAAATTCCAGGCAGCAGTTTCACGGGACTAGCAAAAAAGAAAAAAAAATGTTGAAATAACTGCATAAGCTAGGGGCCCACAAGACCCTAAACATCAGGATGTGGGCCAAGCTGGCTAAGACCAACTGGACCCAACATGGTGCTGGATTTGACCCAGTTTCACCTGGGACCTCACTGTCCACTCATTAACATCCTCAATCCTCTACCCACCAGTGCCACGGCCGTTCCAGGAACACCAATATTTAGTGTAAAAACAGGTGGCACCACATTTCTGAGAAATCTCCACCTTTTTCTGGGAATCTTCAGGAATATCCCACCCCTTAAAGAAGCCCATAAAGGTAGCAGGCCCCAAACCCCCTTGCACGCCACTCTCTCTGGAGTATGCCTGCCTTTCCCTTTCTCAAGTGTGTACTGGTCACTTTGCAATAAATCTCCATATTTTTCACTATTTTCTGACTCATCCTTGAATTCCTTCCCGTGGCAGTATCAAGAGCCTGGACACCAGCTGAGGTCGAGGTCCCACCAGCGTTTGGGGACCTCCCCTAGCCCACGGGCAGCAAAACCCCTCCCCAAAGATGTCCCGTTGCTCTCGCTGGCGGGCTACTGCTAAAATGACAGCAGAAGCCAGGCACGGTGGCTCAAGCCTGTAATCCCAGCACTTTGGGACACCAAGGCAGGAGGATCACCTGAGGTCAGCAGTTCAAGACCAGCCTGCCAACATGGTGAAACCCCGTCTCTACCAAAAAATACAAAAATTAGCCAACGTGGTGGTGGGCGCCTGTAGTCCCAGCTACTTGGGAGGCTGAGGTGGGAGAATCGCTTAAACCCAGGAGGCGAAGGTTGCAGTGAGCCAAGATCGTGCCACTGCCCTCTGGCCTGGGTGATAGAGTGAGACCCTGTCTCGAAAAAAAAAAAAAAGACAGTGGTCCTGTCCTGGATTCACCGGCTTCCCACACGACAGAGAGAAGGCTGAGTGCTTTGATGGCTGAGGAGGACACTCGCTCTGCTCTGTCTCTCGGCTTATTTCCCACCACTCCCTCCGCCTCGGTCCCAGCCATGCCAGCCTGCCGCAAGCTCCCACCTGTCTCCTGCCTTGGGACGCCAGCTCCGCCCTTCCCTCTTCTGCTGTTCACAGTCATCCTCCACAGTGGTCTTCCTGAAACCCCAACACTCCTTCCTTCTCCCAGTTAGCTTTCTTCCCGGAAACCGTTGCCACCTGACTGCAAGTCTGGGAGGGCAGGGGTCTTGCTGTTCTGTTCACCTTCAAAGTCCAACTCAAGTGCCTCCTTTTGGTTTCTCTGGAATTTCCAACCTGCAGCAGACAGGGCCCCACCCGTATCCCCTGAGCTTTCTGTCCTGCACACCTGCGAACACCTGAGCTTTCTGTCCTGCACACCTGCGAACACCTGCGCTTTCTGTCCTGCACACCTGCGAACACCTGAGCTTTCTGTCCTGCACACCTGCGAACACCTGAGCTTTCTGTCCTGCACACCTGCAAACACCTGAGCTTTCTGTCCTGCACACCTGCGAACACCTGAGGGTTCCATTCAGACCACTCCTGCAGAGGGAGCCCGAGGTGCCCGAGTTATGGGAACAGGAAGCCTGTTCCAGAATGTTCTTCCAGCTCACAAGAAGACCGAGCTCCAGCTGCCCACAGTGGTCATCAGCTTGAGAACACAACCTTGGCTAGGTCCTACCCTTACCTGGCTCCCATCTCTACTCCCCACCCATGTCTCCTGGGATCCCTTCAGGAATGAACTTCTCAAAACCATGGGGCTACGTCAGCTTCTGGGGAACTTAACACACATTCCTTCTTGGAATTTTTTTTTTTTTTTCTAGACAGGGTCTCACTCTGTCGCCCAGGCTGGAGTGCAGTGGCATGATCATGGTTCACTGCAACCTCAACCTCCTGACCTCAAGTGATCCGCCCATCTCAGCCTCCTGAGTAGCTGGGACTACAAGCATACATCACCACACCCAGCTAATTTTTTTTTTTTTGTAGACATGCGGTTTTACCATGTTGCCCAGGCTGGTCTCAAACGCCTGAGCTCAAGTGATCCACCCACCTCAGCCTCTCAAAGTGCTGGGATTATAGGTGTGAGCCACCACACCCAGCCTCTTCTTCTTGGATTTATTGATCTGTCTTCCTCACTAGCCTGTGAGATCCTAGGAGGTAAGGACCAAGTCTTACTCAAGTTTGTATCTTGAGACCAAGCACTATATCAGGCACATGCATTCAAAACTCAGAGTTCTCTCTCTCATTCATTCACATTTGTGCTCATTAAGCACTAAGACTGACAGAACTGACAGAGGCCAACTTGTAGCCAGCACTAGTTGGCCAGATGACAAACTAACATAAAAAGGCAGCTGATAGTCAGGTGAGCTGGTGCAGACAAGCAGCCCAGAACTCCATGCATTTGCACCTTCATACATAATCTGAACTCCTTCTCTCAAGCAATCACTGTTCATGCTGGGACAGCCACAGAGAAGTGCTGGGAGGGCTCTCTGCCTTTAGGGTGGTTGGCCACATGATGACCCTCCCCAGAGGCCACACGAGACTAGTTAGCCAGGCCAGCAAGCTGAAACCATGCCCTTGGAAGGGTTTCTCTGAAGGGCTATTCCTCTGCTGAGAAGTCTGGCTTGCCCAAGATCCAGCTGGGATCTCTGGCTCAAGAGCAACAGTGAGCCCTGAGCTGACCATTTTTCTTTCTCTGAGCTTTTTAATGTATTGTTTGGCAACTGGCCTCCCAGCAGAATTAAGAGACCTGCCCTTCCTGGCTTGCATATTGTTGACATAACTCTAGTTGTCATGACTATAATTCAGACTTCACCAGGAGTGCAAATAAAATCAATATACGTCTAGGGATAAAGCTGAAGCTAACAGCCTAACTGCAGAGATTTCAGAAAACCTGAGGAAGCAGAAGAGTAAGTGTGCTGGCATCCTTTACTCCAGCAATACAAACACGGCCCAACGTGGCCAGACGCCCTGCTGGGGGCCTGAGCAAATGGAAAATTCTGAATGCAGAGGATGAAATGCAGAAACACAGAATGTCCCCTGAAGATGAATGAATGCTCAGAGCAGAGCATGCACTGGGCTGCTGACCTCAAGCAGATATTAACTCATTAGAAACGCTCCTGCTGATGTGTCCCAAATCTTGAGTCCATCTCACTCATTTCCAAGTTAGGTAAAGAAAGCGGTGGGGGACCAGGCTCTGAGCAGCAGTCCACAGGCTGGAGACCCCCATGGCTCTCAGTGCTGCCATCCTCCTGTGAAACTGTCCTCCACCCCTGCACCAGGAGGAATCTCCTTTCAGCTCTGATGATGTCTGTTCAGTTCTTTTTTTTTTTTTGAGATGGAGTCTCGCTCTGTCGCCCAGGCTGGAGTACAGTGGCGCGATCTTGGCTCACTGCAACCTCCACCTCCCGGGTTCACACCATTCTCCTGCCTAAGCTTCCCAAGTAGCTGGGCACTGGTCCTAGGACCAGCAGCATCAGCTAGAGGCTTGGCAGAAATGCAGACTCTTGGGCCCCATCCCAGATCTACTAAGTCCAAACATGCATTTTAAACAAAATCTTTGGGTGGGTCCTGTGCACATTTAAGGTTGAGAAATGCTGATCTAAGACAGTTGGGACATTTCTCCAAGTTCCAACATCCCTGTCAAATTCACTCGTCTCTGAGACCCTTTCCACCGTCCACAGTCTTCAATTATTATATAAAACCAGTGGGCAACTCTGGAAAGAGCCCTGAACTTGGATTCCAAAGAGCTCGGATCAAATCTTAATCTTACCCATTTTTGCTGTGTGACTCTGGACAAATGACACTGCCTCTCTGAGCCCCCGGTTCCTTATCTGTAATATAGTAGTAAGAAGACTGTGTCCCTGGACTATGCTGGGCTCTCTCTCTGGACTGCACTGAAGGTGAAATAAGGTATCCTTTGCAAAAGGACTCTAGTGTAGCACCCCATGCTTTATTCCCTCCACCCTGGTCGTCATCTTCCTTTTTTTTTTTTTGTTTTTTGAGACGGAGTCTCACTCTGTTCACCAGGCTGGAGTGTAGTGGTGTGATCTCGGCTCACTGCAACCTCCACCTCCTGGGTTCAAGCGATTCTCCTGCCTCAGCCTCCCGAGTAGCTGGGATTACAGGTGCATGCCACCATGCCTGGCTAATTTTTGTATTTTTAGTAGAGATGGGTTTTACCACATTGGCCAGGCTGGTCTTGAACTCCTGACCTCAAGTGATCCACCTGCCTCAGCCTCCCAAAGTGTTGGGATTACAGGCAGAAGCCACCGCACCCAACATTACTCTGGTCTTCTTTGCTTTGACCCAGAAAGGAGACAAAGTGCAGGAGACTGCACTTTCCTTCAAGCTTCTGGCATGCACCTGCTCCGTGACTGTACACTGAAGGCCTCTGGGATTCAATGAGCAACTGCATGCTGCCTGGGCTAGAGTTCTGTGGGCTAACTCACAGACCAGAAACCTGTGACCTGCAGAGATGTGTGAGGCTACAAATGGGCTTTGCAGGAGCTCATGACCTGTTGTGAGGTTGAGGCACATCCCCGTGGGCTCCCACACCCTCCTAAGGGGGGCAGGAGAGGCAATGGGTCTTGGCTCTAGCTATCCACCCTGACTTCCGGAAAGCCTGCTGAAGCCCTCTAAGGGGTCTGGGTTAAGACTGCAGTAGGAAAAGACCCTGACTTAATAAAATGGCACAAATTTTTAAAAGGAAATAAAAATGGGAACTACAATATGTAATGTTGTGAATAGAATGAAGTGACATTAAATGCAGAAGCTGTAGCATGCTCTTTTTTTCAAAATGGGACTAAAGTACCTCACAGTTTATTGGCTATGATTCAACAACCCAGAATCCAGGATTTTTAGGTTCCTCAAAAAATGGCATATTCACGTTTGGTTCAAGTTTGGCATTGTGATGCCACTTGGAAGACCAGGCTGTGAGACCAGGCAGTGTTCCCTCCTCATTTGAAAATTTACTGATGACTGACACGTCTCACTTTATACCACAGATACATTCTTGAAAAGTCACAATAGTTTGCAATCACTGAAGCTATTAACAATTCAAAGAGCTCCTGCAGTGGCATTCTGTAAAGCAAATCATACAAAATGAATCTGAATATTGCAAACCCAAATTCGCCTACATGGGGGTTATGGTACATGTGTAAAAACATCTGTGTCTGAAGCTATCCATGTGTAATGTGAGAAGCTCTCCACATTCAGCTCCCTATTAGGGGTTTTTTCAAATTAAAATTGAGGGTGGTTGTGACAAATGACTTACATTGTATATCTATGAGGGGCTGGATGGCTGGAGACGTTCATTTTCTAATAGGTTAAAAGTTTGCAGCTGCTAAGCTGTGACAGTGTGACAGTCTAACCCACCTTAACAGCAATTTCAAAGGGTTTAACTTAATACCATAGACACTCTGCTATGTTTGAATTTTATATAATGAATATACACTATATGGAAAATCAGACAGACCATAAAAATAGAAATTTCTGACCTCTAATACAATAGCCCTCTGTCCAGAAATTCTTACAAGGGGTGCTGATTTATCTCCAGTATGAATACAGGTCCAAAGATTCATCTACAGTTAAGAATCAGAAACTGAACCATTACTCCAGGGCTCCCGGTGGGTCCATCTCATCATCATAGAACTCCTGGGCAGCCTCTGAAGTACTGTTTAATGTCTAATTGTGAGAGGTGTTCAAACCAGAGCAACTCCATCTTGAATAGCAGCTGGGTAAAATGAGGCTGAGACCTGTTGGGCTGCATTTGCACTCCTGGGAGGTCAGGCATTCTTAGTTACAGGATAAAACAAGAGGTCAGCAGGACTGTTCTCAGAAGGTACAGACCATAAAGACCCTCATGATAAAACAGGATGCAGTAATGAAGCCAGCCAAAACCTGCCAAAATCAAGATGGCGAGGAAAGCGACCCTCTGGCTTCCTTGCTGCTCATTATATGCTAATTATAATACATTAGCATGCTAAAAGACACTCCCACTAGTGCCATGATGGTCTATAAATGCCATGGTAACATCCAGTGGTTACCCCGTATGGTCTAAAAAGGGAAGGACCCCTCAGTGCTGGGAATTGCCTGCCCCTTTCCCAGAAAACTCATGAATAATCCACACCTTTTAAAGCATATGATCAAGAAATAACCATAAAAATAGCCAACCAGCAGCTCTTGGGGGTTGCTCTGCCTATGGAGTAGCCATTCTTTTTTTTTTTTTTTTTTGAGACGGAATCTTGCTCTGTTGCCCAGGCTGGAGTGCAGTGGCCCGATCTCGGCTCACTGCAAGCTCCACCTCCGGATACACGCCATTCTCCTGCCTCAGCCTCCTGAGTAGCTGGGACTACAGGTGCCCACCACCATGCCTGGCTAATTTTTTTGTATTTTTAGTAGAGACGGGGTTTCACCATGTTAGCCAGGATGGTCTCGATCTCCTGACCTCATGATCCGCCCGCCTCGGCCTCCCAAAGTGCTGGGATTACAGGTGTGAGCCACTGCACCCGGCCCATTCTTTTATTCCTTTACTTTCTTAGTAAACTTGCTTTCACTTTACTCTGTGGACTTGCCCCAAATTCTTTCTTCCATGAAATTCAAGAACTCTCTCTTGGGGTCTGGATTGGGACTTCTTTCCAGTAACGTAACTACATTCCACTTTAAATGTGTTCATTCTCACCTATTTTGTAAATATGTCTTCAAAAATACATGATCTCTTAGCATTCTCGAAAATAAGGCTTTGAGTAATATACTTATCAAAGACAGTTGCAACGTGTGGAGAGATGACAACAGAAGCTTCTTTCTACTTCTAAGATTCCACGGACAGGCCAACGATGACCAACCATAGGAACAAATGAATAATTGTGGATTTCTCCTACCATTTTTTGTACAACGATGAAAGTCCTCTGTATTCACAGCTAATCTGAACAACACTGGCAAAACAACACTGATGGTGATTCATTGCTATTCCATGTAACAGGGCATGGTTAACAGAAATAGCCATGCCATATATAACCAAGGATGCCCAGCACAGCATCATACCTCTAAGGTAATGCCTTTACCTGCACCCACTGCAACGTTAGTTAAGAGAGATCAAGTGTTTCGAAGCAGAAAGCCACAAAGGAACTGAGGGTTTTCACGGTATCGTTAGTGGAATATGGCCTGTGTATTTCTAATAAGCTCCAAGTCATGATATCTATTATCTTCTACTCGGTAACGGGGCAACAGGTTAAAATGATGCTACTTAATGGGCATGACAGCCTCCTGGGTAGCACAGTTAGAGTAAATAAAATGTCCGCTGTTCTCTGGCTCAATACTTCATCTGCTGGGACACGCCAAGCACGCTGCCGCCTGAGGGCCTTTGCAGTTGGGCACTTCCTCTGACCCAGATAGGCACGGGACTCCCTTCTATCTCTGCTCAAAGGATGCTTTAGCCCCGAGGCTCCCTACTCCTTCTGACATTGTCCCTGCACCGGTTTCTGTGGTGCATACTCCCTCCCTCTCTTCTCATTACCAATCCTGTATTTCTCTACTTGTTTGTTACTTTCTTCGGCCACTGGGATGAGCACGCACGGCTCGTCTGTTTTGTTCCCCGGCACAGCTCCAGTGCCTAGGATGGTGTTTGGGGCATGGTGGTCCTCAAATATTTGCAGAAGCAATGAGTAGAGTATATGGGGAAGGCAGCTTTTCATATAACATTTTTAAGAGGCAGAAATGTTGCTTTAAAATAATTTCTACAGCAAGGCTGCCTCTTGTTGTAAAAGTATACCTGCTCATTTTAGAAAATCTAACAGGCATGGATACATCAGAAAAAAGAGAACAAAATTTAAAACATCTATAATTTTATTTTTATTTATTTTTGAGACGGAGTCTCGCTCTATCTTCCAGACAGGAGTGCAGCGGTGTGATCTTGGCTTGCTGCAACCTCTGCCTCCTGGGTTCAAGCGATTCTCGCACCTCAGCCTCCTGAGTAGCTGGGATTACAGGAACATGTCACCATGCCTGGCTAATTTTTGTATTTTTAGTAGAGACGGGGTTTCACCATGTTGGCCAGGCTGGTCTCGAGGTCCTGACCTCAAGTGATCCACCCACCTCGGCCAAAGTGCTGGGATTGCAGATGTGAGCCACCACGGCTGGCCTAAAACATCTAAAATTTTATACTCATTTTGGCAGCATATATACTAAAATCTTATAATTTTATTACCCAGAGGTAATCATTAATAACATTCTGGTGGACATTTTCCTAATCCTTTCTTTTCATGATTTCCTATGTGATACAGATAGAATCAGATTGTTTGTAACCTGCTTCTCCCCTTTGCTTATTGTGAACTTCTGGTTATAAGCACTCTTCTGCCACATGATTTGAGTGACTGCATCATATCCTACTACACGGCTCTACTGTAGCTGATGTAACCATTCCTTATTGTTAGACACCTAGGTTTTTCCTAGTTCTGTTTTCAATGACATGCAGATGAACAATTTTGTGGTCTAAATATGTGTGCATCCTTGAAGTCCCCAGGATAGATTCCTGGATGAATGAAACATTAATTACTTGTTTGTGACCTTTTTGGGGAGGTCACAAACAAGTACCCTTGTGCCCAGCTGCACAAGGACAGACATTTTAATCTCACCATGAATAGTCAAAGAGAAGAGGAAGAAGCCCAGAGTCAAGGCAGCCTAATTCCTGAAGGCAGGCTCTTGGTTTCTTTTGGGTTGTGTGTCTAAATTCACAGTTGGAATTTTTAACTGTACTTCTTTCTCACATGTGGCTGTGTATATGTGTTTTATGTTCAGATGTCAAAACAAAAACACATCTTTTCTTCCACAACACAGAAAGTGGTCTTGGAAGGTGCTATGGTTTGAATGTGTCTCCCTCAAATTCACATGTTGAAATCCTTAGCCCCAAGATGATGGTG
Source organism: Homo sapiens (assembly GCF_000001405.40). Taxonomy (NCBI): domain Eukaryota; kingdom Metazoa; phylum Chordata; class Mammalia; order Primates; family Hominidae; genus Homo; species Homo sapiens. The sequence continues at coordinate 66,718,711 of NC_000017.11, read as the reverse complement.
TCAGGAGGCAGGGCCTTTGGAAGGTGACTAGGTCATGAGGGTGGATCCCTCACGAATGGGATTAGTGCCCTTATAAAAGAGGCCTTGGAAGCTGGGTGTGATCCCAGGCTGATGCCTCTAATCCCAGCATTTTTGAAAGGCTGAGGCAGAAAGATAGCTTGAGGCTGGGAGTTTGAGAACAGCCTAGTCAACACAGTGAGACCCCCATCTCTACAAAAAATAATTTTAAAAATTAGCCAGGCACAGTGGCGTGCACCTGTAGTCCTAGCTACTCGGGAGGCTGAAGCAGGAGGATTGCTTGAGCCCAGGAATTCGAGGATGCAGTGAACAGTGATTGTGCCACTGCACTCCCGCCTGGGCATCAGAATGAGACCCTGTCTCTAAATAATAAAAACTTTAATAAAAAGAGGCCTGAGAGGCTCCTCATCCCATCTACCATGTGTGGGCAAAGCCAGAAGATGCCATCTGTGAATCAGAAAGTGAGCCTTCACCAGACACCTCACCTGCCTTGATTTTAGACTTCCCAGCATTCAGAACTAAGAGAGAGAAACATATGCAGTTTGTAAGCCATGCAGTTTATGGTATTTTGCTATAGCAGCCCGAGTGGACTAAGACAGAAGGGGAGCTAATTTGTATGGAGAGCTTAACAGTGATCCTTAGTAAGTCAGTCCCCCAAGCCACCCCACTTCCTTCTGACGGCATTTTTCTGGTTGCACAATCCGATCTGTAAGTGCAACCTGGAAATAAGGGCCTGGGTGATTCCTCCCACACAACTGGGTCAACACCTGCTACTTGGAGTTTTCTCCCGGAGGCGGGAATCACAGGTGACCAGCAAATCACAGGCATGAGTCATTCTTTCTCCTGCTGGCAACTGCAGCGAGGGCCTCAGAACCACAGACTGTCAGCCACAGAAGGGTCCCTGGGGAGTCTGACCTGCCTAGGATGCAGATGAAGATGCTGAGGTCTAGAGAGCTAACTTCACCACAGCCTCTGCGCCGCTTCGTGGCAGTGCTGGTGGAGGAAGAGAAGGACGCTCTGTTCTCTACAGAGGCCCTGAAACTAGATGCTGGATCATCCCGTACGTTTCCCTGTGCTAAGGTTGCCCCATCTGGGCTGTAATCTTTGACTAACAGCAGGAGGATGACAGAGCTTTTAGAATTCAAAAGCAACTTGGGGATAGTCTCATCAAGGCTGCCCATGTTACAGATGAGGAGAATGAGCCCAGGGGGCACCGCGATATGTCTAAATCAGTTTTCCATCCTGAGCTCTGAATCCAGAACTCCAGCCTTTGAACCTAGTGCTCTTCCTCCTACATCGAGGGTGAGCAAACTTTTTCTGTAAAGGTCCAGATAGTAAATATTTGTGGCTTTGTGGGCCAAATACTGTCTCTGTTGTAACTCTCCAACTCTGCCATTGTAGCTCGAAAGCTGCAAAAGTGAGTAAAGGAGGGAAGGTGTTCCAATAAAGCCTTAATGGTGAAGACAGGCAGCCGCTGGGGTCTGGGCTGTGGATTGCAGTTCGATGACCCTTGCCCTGTATCACGCAGGTTCTCAAATCACTCATCCTCATTTGCAGTTAGATTTCAGTACAATGTCTGTATCTTCTTAATCTATCACAACAGCGACAATTAAGAATCTCAAGAGCACTAGAATTAAATCACTATTCAGGCTCTTCCACAATGCTTGCTATGCCAGGCAGCACAGGAAAAGGAAATTTTGCAGCCATACAATGGTGGTGAATGAAGTATGTATTCAGCAGAGCAAAATGTAAGGGCAACACATTCAATCGTTTTCTTAACAAGAAATATTTTCATGGACACACCCACTTTGGCTGTTGCCACGGTTAAAATAAATTCACAGGCAGCGAGAGGGCCTCCGTTGTCATGGCAACTGAGCCATTCTCCAAGGAGAAACGTGGGACCCTGACGTGTTGGCACTTTGCCAGATGTGGAAACTGCGAAGTGCTTGGTTCTTTTCATACCACATAATATTCACCTCTAGTATCCCGGTGTGTGATTTTCTTTGCAGCCAACCAAATTTTTCCCTGTTTCCCAGATTTGTCTGTTGATAATTGACACATCTGTTAGGATCGCTAATCTTGGTGGTGCACGCCTTGTCTCACCTGCTAAACACCTCCTGGAAAGGCGGTTTGCCCTTGTACCGCGTTCTCCCCAATTGCTAAATCTCCAGGCTTACATGAGGATTCCCCACCAATGACCTTAAGTTTTTCCATCTGCAACAATGTTTTTCTCCCACCAGGGAGCTAGCTGATGGCACACTTGCGTCTGATGCCCGGCTTAGAGGAAGGCCCAGTGCGCACTGCAACAGCCATGACATAGCATTGTTCGAGAACTTTGGGCACTTAATCATTTTTGGAAACCTATTCCTTTTCCTGCTCGAATGCTCCCCTTTGGAATTACCACCACACTGGCTTTATGGGTTGGCTGTGGCAGGGTCAAGAATCACATGAACTCAGAAACATCATCAAAGTAAATAGTTTTTCAGACTGTCAGCAACATGGCTTCGAAGTGGGTAATTCTCTGGTGCTAAAAAAAAAAACCCGGGGAGATAGAAAATGGGCTGGGGCCCAGTGCAAGCAAGAATAGACTGAAGGAGCCATCCAGCTCTTGGGAAACCCTTGACTTCTTTGCAGCACACTGAAGATCCTCTAAAGCCAAGAAGCAATGGGGAGCACAAGGTGGTGATCTCATCTCTATGTCCACTAAAATGTAAAGACATCCAGGCAACAGTTGATTGCTGTTTGTTGTGTGCAGGTGTCATGGAATCTTTCATTTGCAAATCTTTACTGCCCTCTTGTGGTATTCAGTTTCTGAAGCAACTGCAGTTTGGCTGGGATCTTTTAGCAGAGATCCACCTAAGATTCACTAGTCTGCCTTACCGAGGTGAAGTCCCAGTAAATGGGGCAAGATGGCACAAACAAGACACAAAATTGTATCTACGCAGATGCAAAAAAAAAACTGTATCCTTTATAGTAGATGACCTGAATCACTCACGTAAGTGCCAGGACTTTGCAAAATGCCAACGGAACTATAGAGTGCCAACGGAACTACAGATGCCAAAAGTGGGTTTTAAGATCTCTGGGTGCTCTATTTCTAGAAAACAAAGATCCAAACAGTTGTAGGCCTTTCTGTGTCTCCCGAATCTTTCCAAACCCTTGACTGGGTGCAGACTCTGCAAGCCACAGATCCAAGAAAGGGCCTGGGGGGAAGGGAGGCAGTGAGGGCTGCAGGGGGCCCTGGAGTGGTCCGAGGGAGCCACGGTGTTTATCTTAGAAACAAAGAACGACCTGGAAAATAGTGAGAAGTAACGACAGTTACACGAGGGCAGAGTTCAATGAAAAAGCCACTTCTGGGAAAATCCAATTGAAGCTAAGCGAGCACAGAACAGCAGCTCCTGAAGTCAATAAAAAACAGTAACAAAAAACGCACCCAAGCTATAACTGGCAATAAAACCCAGTTCCCCAAGGAAGAAGGTTCCAGAGCCTTCCCTCCATGGCTGTGCAGCTGCTGCAGAAAGGAAAAACAGGATGACTGGGCATCCTCACAGAGAAAAAAAAAAAAACCAAAAAACAAAACACATCCTATCCCCGAAATGCTGGATACACTGCTCAACTACTCAACGGAAAATTTTTATAAAATGTCTCTGACAGGAGCAAGCAATTTGAAAGCAGGGCCGACTGTCATTAAATTTAGCACAATATTTCCATAATCATTGATTTCATCCTACCCTCACTGAGCCTTTTTAATCCACACCAGTTTTTAAAACCAAGGGGCCTAATTATAGCTCAATGGGACACCTGCTTCCAAGGCTAGCAGCAGCTGCACTGTTCTGGGCTATTCTCTGGGCCCTCTGTGTCAGGCAGCTCACTAGGCGCTCAGGAAGGTGACAAGCATGGGATCTGGGGTCTGCCAGCAGCGGTCTGGGACACCAGTAAAGGCACTGCACACTTCTCTGAGGCCTGTTTCTTCATCTGTAAAATGGGTCAACACTCCCTTTCTCGTCCTGCAGGCTTGGGAGCCTCGCCATCCTGCAGTGGTGAGGGAGTGATCAGAGCTCGGGGCTGGTGGCTGCTGCCATTCTGAGTAGTCTCGCCACAGCCATCGCCTGCTGCCAGGTGGCAGCGTCAGAAGACAAATTTCCATTCCAGGAAGGGGGAAGAGACGAGGGGGTGGAACAGTGAGACCTCTCCTAAAAAGACAGGGGCTTCCCAGCTGCCCTCAGGGGACTTGGACAGGACTGAGGAGCTGGTCTCCAGCAGGAGGGGCTGCCTGAGGGCAAGGTGGAGGTAGGTGTTTCCTGTCTCCAACGGTGGGCACAGGCCTGAGGGCACAAGGGCAGCTGAGGTCAGGACACTTTTCCCTTTACACATGGTATTTGCACCCTAGCTCTCTGGCCCCATGCATGAGGCCTGGCAGCTTGAGGGGGGCGTGGACTCACAAGGGGGCATTCTCCCCAAAGGAAGCAGCGGGTGGGGGGGAACATGGCTGGGATGCAAGTGGCCTCAAAGCAGAGGGCCTCACACCGGAGAGGAAAGGTGTGTGATCGGATCACTTCACCACCGCACGAGATACTCCTGGGATCTCCCAGCTGCAACTGCTGGGCTTTGGAAGTGAACAGAGGTTTTGTCAATGGGCCAGGAGAGAGCCAGGGAGTCTAAATTAATACAATTATTGTGACCCTAAGGGTATCTACAGGCTGTGAGCACCTGGGGGAATGTGAGTCACAAAACGAATACCCCTAGTAAGAGCTGAGACTATGGCTGTGTCCTGCCTGCCCCCACCCAAACCATCAGCTCTGAGCTGGCTGACCACCCATGACCATTGGGAATTCATGGACAGAGCCCTTCCTGCATGATTCTTTGCAGCCTGTCAACAGAGAAAACCAGTGACTGGGGGCCAGACTCGGACTGAGTGTTGACAAGTCTATTTTCAGAAAAAGCCACAAGGTAAAGATTAGCTCATGACCAAGCCAAGGAAGCCACTTTGAAGAGAGGTGTGAGCGAGCGGTGGCACGCTATTATCACTGCCTGGGTCAGGGTGAATTTCCAACATGCGGGTGACATTTTCTTTCTCAGGTAGAGTAGCCTGTTTCTTGTCCTCATAACAAAACCACACAGGAAACATAATAAGCACCAACACAAAACATGTCAGAAAAGAGACTTTGTTGACTTGACACTTCTCATCTCTGTTCTTAAATGAATTCAAGATGGCCTTGCTTCACTGCTGCAGGTGGGAGTAGGGTGGGGTACGGGGAGCAGATTCCTATCTGATGGGTTATTTGTACCTAATGTACAACCGGGGTCTCCCAACTGGGGCCCGGGAGTGGTTTAGAAAGCACAATGAGGTCGGATGCGGTGGCTCACGACTGTAATCCCAGTACTTTGGGAGGCCGAGGCAGGCAGATCACAAGGTCAGGACTTCAAGACCAGCCTGGTGAATATGGTGAAACCCCTTCTTTACAAAAAGTAAAAAAATTGGCCGGGCATGGTGGCGCGTGCCTGTAGTCCCAGCTACTCGGTAGACTGAGGCAGGAGAATTGCTTGAACCCGGGAGGTGGAGGTTGCAATGAGCCAAGATTGCACCATTGCGCTCCAGCCTGGGCAACAGAGTGAGACTCCATCTCAAAAAAAAAAAAAAAAAAAAGGACAACAAAGGGTTCACTTTAACTTGGCAATGGCTTCTTGGAAACCAGCAATGCACAGTGACACCTCCATTAGGGAAAACTCTGTAATTCATAATTCCTGGGGATGGAAGGCAGAGAAAAGGCTGAGTAATGACTGCAGCAAACACAAATCTAGCCAGGCACTGTTCTAGGCACCTTCCATACTTACTCATTTAATCCTCCCAACATCCCTAGGAGGTTGGTCCTTTTACCATTTCCATTTTAGACTTGGAGAAACTGAGGCAAGAGAGATGAGCTGCATGGCTCCAGGCTATACAGCTATGAAATATTGGAGCTGGGATTTGAACCCTTGAACCCAGGCAGTGTGGCACTTCCTCGCCACACCCTGCTGCCTTCTTGGAATGACGAGGTGACAGCCACGTTGCCCAGCAGGTGGGAGAAGAGGGACAGTCTTTAAGGAGAAGGGGACAGGGACAGCCCTTCATTAGAGCTAGGAGGAGCCAGGCAAGAACCCAGGGAGGTGAAAGCCTCACCCTAACTCTTTCTTCTTATTTTTCTCCCCTCTCATTACTTCCCTTTTCAGCCACATCTGAGTTTTTTACACCAGCACCCAGCTTTCCGACATGCTGGGAAACTAAGCTCTGTGATTCAGATGTTTCTTTGGAATAACAAAGTTTTCAACATAATAAAAAGGACACAAACAGCACTCAGGCACGTCAGGCCACACAAGTGGGAGAGGTTTGGGTCCCAAATAGGGTTCCAGGACCCAAGTACGAGTTCCTTCCATCAGAATGGAGGTGTTCCTCTGAAGTAGCAGGGGGTGCAATGAGAGGGGTTTACTTGGTTTTTAAACAGGAACTGTTTCCACCTCCTGGAGTGATCAAGAGGTGCCTCTTTCCTCTGAGAATGCTGGAGGGTTTTACTCCACAGGAAGAAGTTGCACAGAGGCTCAGTGTATTCAGGTGTGGCCAGCCTCTGGAGATGTGTATCCAAAGTCAACACCCTGCATTGAATCATGGGACAGGGTTTTCAAACACAGACAAGGGCGGGGTGGAGGGGGGGCAGTAACAACAGAAGCCTTGAAAGGCAGTTTTCACACACAGTATTTACCACACTCTGCAAGACTTAGGAAACCTCAAGGAATATTTTTTTTCTTTCTCATTTCCAGTATCTCTAGGTCACAAATCTCCTGTGGTTCCTCTAACAGGCACATCTGCAGGGTGAGATACAAGTTCTAGAGATGAGAAACTCTAAAAACATTATTTATTAGATGCTGTCTTTAGGACAGTGTTTTTGAGAGAGCATTAGATGTGGATTCCAGCTTGGGGTCGGGGAGTAGGGTTTCTCCCCTTGCAAATCCTCCACCCGAGCATTTGAGGGTTTAAATTTTCCAGTTTGATCTAATGCGAACATAAAAGCACTGCGACAATCTTGGGCTGATTTTAATTACGAACACAGGCAATACGCTGAGAGCACAGCTGGTGTGTGGCCCTAACCAGCTTCCCAGAAGAGAGTGGCGCTATCAGAAATGACAATAATAGACCAGGTTTTTAAAACCATTTACATGCAAGTTGCAAAATTCCCCTCCATAGTTTGGGGATAGAATGGTTGATTAGATTGCAACGATTGAGTTGGGAAAACATTAAAAAATGAGAAAAAATGAAATAAGAGTGAGAAGGATTAAGTCAGGCATTAAGAACATCAGAACAATTACAGGATTTCAGCCTATGATATATTACACTACATCATCCATATGAACACACTCATGTAGTGTAAATACACCATACTGATTGCATGCTAATGCAGATGTATGCCTATAAAACTTAAAATGAATCTTAACTCATATGTGATTGAAAGATATTAACAGAAAGAAAGGAAAATGAGCTGTCCATTTAAAGATGCACTCTTTCTGTTCATTGGATGGATGCTTTCAATACAGACTTGAACTTTAATCACTGATAGGAGGTTTTGATATTTGCTTGGTAAAATTTTATTTATTTATTTATTTATTTTATTTATTTATTTTTGAGATGGAGTCTTACTCTGTCACCCAGACTGGAGTGCAATGGTGCGATCTCGGCTCACTGCAACCTCCGCCTCCCGGGTTCAAGTGATTCTCCTACCTCAGCCTCCCGAGTAGCTGGGATTACGGGCACCTGCCATCATGACTGGCTAATTTTTGTATTTTTTTTTTTGTTTTTTGGTAGAGACGGGGTTTCACCATGTTGGGCAGGCTGGTCTTGAACTCCTGACCTCGGGTGATCCACCTGCCTCGGCCTCCCAAAGTGCTGGGATTACAGGTGTGAGCCACCGTGCCCAGCAGGTAAAATTTTAAACTAACCTAATCTGAAGAGGAGGGGAGACTGGTCTATTCTCTGGGTGATTAAGACATGGCATTTTTTTTCATGGGAGGGCCGTGGCTGCTTGGAAGGGAGCACACAGACTAAGACACAAGTAGGTGTGAGATTCAAGCTACCAGAACACGCGGTGCATCCTTAAGGGTGGAGAGCATGGCTGCAGGCTGAGGCCCGGGAGCCACAAAAACCAAGGCAAGTGTTTTGTGGAAGGAAAGTGGATGAGGAAAGAGCAGAGGAAGAACTACCTTTAAGAAGCGGACATGACAGCCCTGTAAAAGACAGGAGGAGGAGAAAAACTGCCAGGTTAGTAGGAGAAATGTTACACACAGGAAGTGCTACACACAATTAGTGGTGTGAGAAAACGAGATTGAGTACAACACAGCACAGGTTCCAATTATGATGCAGGCAGGCACAGCAGACAGACGGTGACCCCGAGACACAGCACCAGGGTCAGGAGAGAAGGTGCGGTGAACCTTCCAGTGCACTCTGCTCCGGAGGCACCCCAGGTGCAGGTCTCATTTGACCCTTGGAGGGGTAGGAAGTAACTCTTCCTTGTTTGAATAGTGAAAGGCCTAGAATCAAGCTTTATGAGGACAGGACCCTTCTCTCCTCCTTGTGGCATTTCCATGTCTGAAAGTGGTCTCACATCAAACAGCTCCACTACATTCAGGGATGTGTTTTGCTATCGGCCAGTTCACATGACGGGGTCCTGGAGTATTTGGCGAATCGACTCGTTTGAGGTAGCACATAGCAAGGTGCCCAGTAATGTTATATACAGATTGCCATTTTTCAATAAATGATGATGAAACCAAACCCGCTTACCATGAAAACTATTAGTAACAAGATTTTGTTTTTTCTTGATGATTCAGAAGGCTCTTCAATATCTTGGAAGTGCCCAAGATGACTGACGAAACATAAGCTGGTGGGCAGTGAGTTAACCAAGCTCCAGTTGACTGAATGCCACACAACCAGGGTTTGCTTTTCTTTTTACTTTCAACTTCCACCGAAAAAGAAAAAGGGAAAAAAAAAAACCTATCTTAACTGGATAACTTTCCTTTCTCAAGTACTAATGTGAGAAAAATAAGTTAAAATCATCTCAGAAGAGGCCGGGCATGGTGGCTCATGCCTGTAATCCCAGCACTTTGGGAGGCTGAGGTGGGTGGATCACTTGAGGTCAGGAATTCAAGACCAGCCTGGCCAGCATGGTGAAACCTTGTCTCTACTAAAATACAAAATTAGCCAGGTGTGGTGGCTCAAGCCTGTAGTCCCAGCTACTTGGGAGGCTGAGGCAGGAGAATTGCTTGAACCCGGGAGTGGAGGTTGCAGTGAGCTGAGACTGTGTTACTGCATTCCAGCCTAGGCAACAAAAGCAACACTCTATCTCAAAAAAAAAAAAAAAAAAAAAAAAAAAGAAATCATCTCAAAAGAGACTTCTCTACAAGGATTCATGAAGGTGAGACTTCTCTACAAGGATTCATAGGGGTAATCCCCCAACTTCATAAGCAGTGAGAGGTGGCTTCCAGGAGAGAATTTGAGAGGGATCAGATGATCAGATTTCTGAACCAAAATCCCACAGCCTGAATGGGTCATCACAGCCCTGAACCTGAACAGAGGAGATCAGAGGCAAACCAATCCTACGTGCTCAGTAAGGCTTTGTCTACTAAAATGAGAAACTAGTCAAATCATGAGTTTTGCATCTCTTTTACCAGGTATGGGTTATCTTCTATTCCAATTTATCATTATGGGCCTTTAAAAGTCAGTAATCACAAATCCATTTATGATTGTTCCTAAAATAGGCCATTTTGTTCCAACCCCAAAAACTCTATTTTAGGATAGCGATCTTAATCCACATCAAGATTAAAGGGAACTAACAATAGCAACAAAAACACCCTTATTGCAATCTTGGTATTGGACAGAGCCTTAGAGGAAATTTAATCAGGCATTTCTCCTACATCTTTCTCAGAGGGTTGCCTGATCTTTGCTTGGATATCTATAGGCATAGGGTACTCTGTATTGAGTAGCTGGGATGCCCTGAGAAGTATATGGCATGACTTTAGGAGGTTCCTATCTCCAACTGCCATCTGCAATAGGTCACCTGCTTCTTTCTACAGGGAGACAAAAAACATTTAGCAGAGACACCTTGATACAATTGCTATGTGGCTTCACAGCCTTCCGGCAGCCACTGGGTAGTTATTCTTAGACTCAAATGGACCTAGAAAGAACTCTAAGGCTGTTTCACACTTGGACATGACAAACCATCCCAAATCTTCTCTGGGAAAAAAAAATCAAAGGAAAGGCTGAAGTGACCCAGCCCAGATACGCACAGCACCTCTTGCTCTACACATCTGCAAGAGGTCCCAGGGAATCCTTCCCGGACCACACACCTGGATGCTGGGAAGGGAGATGAGGAAGCAAAACACCTCTGCTCAAGGTGAAAGTGGCAAATGGCAGGAAGCTGCACTAGTGCCAAATGTTAACCACTTCGTTTTCAATTAAGTGCTGAAGACACGACAGCCACCGAGTTCCCTGAATTCCTGAACAAGGACATCTATGGCCCCACTTGGTCGGCCTGATGAACTGGGAAGTGCCACCATCATGTGTACATCATGGCGACAGTCCTAATGGGCAAAGAGGCCTCATCCCTGAAAACAAACTAAAACCAAAATACAACACCATGAGCACCTTGGCCACACGTTCCTGGACCCCATGTAGGGAGCTGTGATTTTGAATTCTCTGAGGCCTCTGTGGTTCTAGCTGCCTATAAAAGCCATGTTACATCAGGCGAGCCATAATCTTTTCAGCAGTGAGGCTTACTCAGCATCTCAAGAGCTGGAGATACTGCTACGTGGACAAAGAACTGACTTGTGGCCTGGGTCAGACTCCCGCTGATCTAGGCTAGCTACTGTTTAGGAGACAGGGTGTAAGCTTCCCTCCACTATGAGGGTCAGGGGTCGTTTCCAGAAAGTGGAGATAAGGTACAAGGTCTCATATCCCTTAGTACTACTCCACAATGTTCCCAAGAGCAAGGTTCTGTCTCTAGCCCCAGGGACAGTGCTTGACACAGAGTAGATGCAGCATCCACCAGTTAGAAATGTCCAGAATTACTGATTTCTGGAACCATAAAATGTATGGGAAAGAAACTGGTCCATCTTCAAGAGCAACCAGATTTGTCACACACGTGAGTTTTACACAACTGCTAGAGGAAGAAAGGGAGGTTCTCGTGGCTCTAAAATGGCCTCTCCCCTGAAGGCCTCCAACCAGCCTCATAAAGATGTTGGCTCAGACACCTTCCTCTGGGCTGTCAAAAAAGTGCAGGTGAAGGGTGGACTCCTCATGGGCCTGATGTTTAGACTTCAAAGTATTCAGAGGAGGGCCTGAGGTTCTTACTCTGGAATCAGGAAGGTGACACATCTTACAGGTGTGTCTGGCAAGTGAGTAGTCTTTAGACTGCATAAGTCAAGGCAATTTTAAGAGGCCAGAGAACCACATAAAGGGACTTGTAGGATTTGAAAAGCCTAGGACTGACGGAAGTGGAGGAGAAGGGAGGGTCTTTCCAAGGAGCACAAGCATGGGCTGAGATGCATTAATGAGCATGGTGGATGAATGGAGAGGAGTCAGAAAAGGGGGTGTCATAGGGAAGGGTGTGTGGGAAGGGACAGGGTATGAGACAGAAGCATCAACTCACACAGGAGGTCTGGGTCCTGCACTAACAAGCTTTGAACACACTCCCTTTTGCTTTTGTTTCCCCATCAACAAACACAATCTTAAACATCTCTCCCAGTTTGAATACCCTATTATTCCATTAACCCAGAGGTCACAAACTTTTTATGTAAAGGACCAGAGGGCATACATTTAGGCTTTGAGGCCCATGCAGTCTCTTTTGCAGGGACTCAACTCTGCCGTGGTAGCAAAGGAACAGCTGTGGACAACACACGAATGAATGAATGTAGTTGTGTTAATAAAAATCTATTTATAGGCACCAGATTTTGGATTTCACCAAATTTTCATGTCTCGCAAATATCCTTCTTTTTTTCAACCACTTAAAAATCCTGAAACCACTCTTTTTTTTTTTTTTGAGACAGAGCCTTACTCTGTCGCCCAGGCTGGAGTGCAGTGGCGTGATCTCGGCTCACTGCAAGCTCCGCCTCCCGGGTTCATGCCATTCTCCTGCCTCAGCCTCCAGCTGGGACTACAGGTGCCTGCCATCATGCCTGGCTAATTTTTTTTTTTTTTGTATTTTTAGTAGAGACGGGGTTTCACCGTGTTAGCCAGGATGGTCTCGATCTCCTGACCTTGCGATCTGCCTGCCTCGGCCTCCCAAAGTGCTGGGATTATAGGCGTGAGCCACCGCACCCAGCCTTGAAACCATTCTTAGCTCATAGACTGTATATACAAAAGCAGGTGGTTGGGTGTGGGTCACAGTTCACTGATCCCTTCGCTATTTAATATGGGTACTGGGGGTGATGAAGTCTATCCTTGCTGTCTTTACGACCACAGGAGACTGAATTTGTTTACTCATCAGTCAACAGGTTTCATCTTCTTGACCAGCATTTCTCAAACTTTAATGGGCTCAGGAATCACCTGGGGACCTTGTTAAAATAATATTCTGACTGGGTCAGAGGCTGGGCTGGGCTCTGAACCTCTGCATTATTAATCAGCTCCCATACTTGGAGGTGCAAGATCTAGAGCTCAAGCTGCTCGCCACTTCCTCTTTCAGGATACCCAGGGAGGTCAGAACCCTTGCGATTTACCGCTCCAGGGACAGGCAATCTTAATTCTCTGTAGGGCATGTTTTTTGGGGAAAACAACAAATAGCATTATGTTTGGTGTCACCCTTATTCTAGGTCCCTTAATTTTATTTTAGGGGGCTTTAATTTCCTCTTAGGTGCTTGAGATAGAGCCATGAAGACTTGTGCCAATGTTTAGCTGCCATGTTCATGCTAGTGCCAGTGGACATCGGCTCTGTCTTCCCTCCTTCCAGTTCCTGTAAATGAAGGGTGGCACCCTTGGTACCTGCTCATCCCCTGTGGGTACCAGGGCCTGGGGACATTTGCAAAGCTGCCTCTAACATTTAATAACAGGCTTGTGTGATATTAACTAATATTTCTTCAACCAGCAACATCCACCCACAAGGCCATCCCTGTAACTACAAGACACAGGGCTTTTATGCTGTTTCAGGAATTCATTAGACAGACAACTAGAATGCACAATCTTTTTTGGTTTCCCAACAAAATTATTTCCTCGAGACAAATTAAACTGAAAGCATGCTGCCAGCACTCTAATATAAATGCATGCACCCTCCCTTACAGACTCATGAGAAATTCTGTACAGTTGCTTTCAGAGGCTGTCTTGCTTCCTTTGGGTCTGCTCAGCTGAATGCCAGGTTAACCTCTGTTGGCAGTGATCTAATGAGTGTTTGAAAATGATTTCTACTACTAACCTGTCTCCTATATCAGTTTAAGACTTTGCTTCTAAGACAAAGCTGAAGGATAAGCCTTAAAATATCTCTTTCAACTGCTGTGCATTTTATAGATTTTTTTCCCCCTTAACATCACACAGTTAAGGAAGTAATTAAGTAAGCTATTTAGGGACAAAAAAGCAGAGAGCATATTGGGGCACATAGATTTTTTTGTTTTGTGTCTAAAAGGTCATCTGAAAGTACTCTGGTTTCCATAGTAACCGTGGCAGGGCTGATCAGATCAACAAATAGCTACAATTTATCTGAGGGTCTCTAGTGAACTGTGTTTTGTGGTTTTATTTTTCCCCCAACTGGAAGAGAGCATTCTGAACTAGATAAAGTCTTCAAAGACAGTGGAGGCTTTGGGAAAATCTAATTCTGATAAAAGAGAAAAATGCTTGCTTGCTCTTTCCACATATAACCTAGCAACAGAGTCTCATCTTTGTTGATTTAAGTACCTTAATTATAGTTTAATTGGATCATATTAATTTGTTAATTAGTAAGAAGGATAATCTCAAAATATTTCTCTTGAATAAGTAAAAACAGATACACATTTGATTTTTCAGGCAATCTGAATCCAGGGTGATACTTCCTGTAGTATCTGGACTTATAATCCTCACAAAACAGCTCATTCAAGATCACCAATTTTCTTTTGGCTTATATCTTCATATAGTTCTGAATGGTCACAAATATAAGAACTGTGAAGACACACATATTTCTCTGCATGAGACTTCAGTCATCCCAATATTACTGGGGGTCTAGTTTGGACAGAAGCCATTGTTAAGCTAGCTTGAGATTATTTTTTTGCTCCATGTGTTAACAAATTTTATTATAGAGTTAGTAGAATATGTATGTACAGATAACTATAAGCCTTAATATATGTACTAGTACACTAACAACTCTAAAGCTATAATAAAGATACAAATTAAAATTGAGCGAAGTGTTATAGACACATTTCCAAATAACAGCACTAATTTATGGGACAGAAGATGATGTTTAAGTGAAACCAAATCAATAGTGGTGGTGTTAATAGTGGGGATTTTAAATTCAAGCCCAGTTCTGAACTTAACCTATTCCTGTTTTTTTTTTTTTTTTAACTTTGCTGAGATTATAAATGTAGAAAAAGGTTTTATAGTCAGGCACTACACAATGACATTTTGGTCAACGATGGACTGCATAAATGATGGTGGTCCCATAAGATTATCATGGAGATGAAAATTTCCTATTACCCAGTGATGTCTACATCACAGACACTAACATTGCTGCACAACACATTACATGTTTGTGGTGATGCTGGTGTAAACAAAGGTACTGTACTGCCAGTCACACAAAAATACAGCACAATTATGTATAGTACATCACAGTCGATAATAAATGACTATATAACTGGTTTATGTATTCACTATACTATATTTTTATTGTTATCTTAAGAGTATATTTTTTCTATTTTTTTTTTTCTTGAGATGGAGTCTCGGTCTGTCACCCAGGCTGGAATGCAATGGCACGATCTCAGCTCACTGCAACCTCCACCTCCTGGGTTCAAGTGATTCTACTGCCTCAGCCTCCCAAGTAGCTGGGATTACAAGCTCTCACCACCATGCCTGGCTAATTTTTGTATTTTTAGTAGAGATGCGGTTTCACTATGTTGGCCCAGCTGGTCTTGAACTCCTAACCTCAGGTGATCCACCCGCCTTGGCCTGGCAAACTTGCTGGGATTATAGGCATGAGCCACCACATCAGGTCTTATTTTTTTCTACTTATTAAAACAAAAGTTAACTGTAGAACAGCCTTAGGCAGAGCCTTCAGGAGGTATTCCAGAAGGCATTGTTATCAGGGGTGATGACAGCTCCATGTGTATTACTGCCCCTGAAGACCTTCCAGTGGGACAAGATGCAGAGGTGAGGGACAGCCATATGGATGATCCTGACCTGTGTAGGGTCAAAAAAAAAATTTTTTAACAGAAAAAAAATTTTAAATTTTTAAATAGACATAGAATAAGGAGATAAAAATATTTTTGTACAGCTATACAATGTATTTGTGTTTTAAGTGTTATTTAAGTGTTATTATGAGTCAAAACTTTTTTAAAAGTTTATAAAGTAAAATAGTTACTGTAGGCTAAGGTTATTACTGAAGAAAGAAGATTTTAAAAATAAATTGAGTGTAGCCTAAGTGTTGTGGTGGCTTACAGTATTGTTCTGGCACATTCCCTCACCACTCACTCACTTACCCAGAGTAACTTCCAGTCCTGCAACCTCCATTCAGGGTAAGTGCCCTATACTAGTGTACCACTTTTTTTCTTTTATATTGTATTTTTACTGTACCTTTTCTATGTTTAGATACACAAATACTTAGCATTGTGTTACAGTTGCCTACAGCAGTCAGCATCTGTACAGGTTTATAGCATAGAAGCAATAGGTTACACCCTATAGCCTAAGTGTGGAATAGGTTATACCATCTATGCTTGTGTAAATACACTCTATGATGTTTGCATGATGAAATCTCTTAGTGATACATTTTCAGAAGGCATCCCTGTATAGAGGCATGACTAACAAAATGGTATTAGTCATTGTTTAAGGTATACAATGTGATGTTTTGTGTACATATCCACTGTGAAATGATTACTACAATCAAACTAATTAACATATCTGTCACTTTACAGTTACCATTGTGTGTGTGTGGTGAGAATCTTTAAGATCTACTCAGCAAATTTCTAGTATAAAAACACATTATTATTATTGGTCACCATGCTGTACATTAGCTCTCCAGAACTTACTCATCTTAAAGCTGAAAGTTTGTATTTAACCAACATCTCCTCATTCCTCCAACACCCTGCTCAACCCATGGTAACCACACTTCTATTCTGTTTCTGTGAGTTTGACTTTCTTAAGATTCCACATATAAGTGAAAACATGCACTATTTGTGTTTCTGTGTCTGGTTTATTTCACTTAGATGATAATATGATAATGTCCTCCAGGTTCATCCATGCGTTACAAATGTTTCTTCTTTTTAAAGACTCAATTATATATACATATACACACACATACACACATATACATATATGTGTATACACAATTGAGCCTTTACATGTATATATGTGTGTGTGTATATATATATATATGAATATGCACACACATAAATGAGATATGTATGTGACAGACATTTTCTTTATGCATTCATCTATTAATGAACACACTGTTTCCATATCTTGGCTATTGTGAATAATGCTGCAAGGAACTTGAGAGTACAGATATCTCTTCTGGGACAGTGATTTTTATTTCCTTTGGATATATACCCAGAATCAGGACTGCTGGATCGTATGGTAGCTTTATTTTCAAGTATTTAAGAGACATCCATACTGTCTCTCCATAACTGATATGCCAATTTACATTCCCACCAACAGTGTATATCATTTTCTCCACATCCTCAATAACACTTATCTTTTGACTTTTTGATAACTGCCATTCTAACAGGTCTGCAGGGATACCTCATTATAATTTTGACAATTTTGACTTAAATTTCCCTGATAAGCAACATTAAGCACCTTTTCCTTTACCTGTTGGCCATTTGTATGTCTTATTTTGAAAAATGTCTATTCAGGTCTTTTGCCCATTTTAAAATCTGTGGGTTTTCTTTTTTATTTTTGCCTTTGAGTTGTATTATATGAGTTCCTTATGCATTTTGGATATTAAACCCTTATTGGATATACAGTTTGCAAATATTTTCTCCTATTCCACAGGTTGCCTTTTAATTTTGTTGCTTTGTTTCCTTTGCTGTGCAGAAACTTTTTAGTTTGATGTAGTACCACTTCTTTATTTTTGCTTTTGTTGCCAGTGCTTTTGGTGTCATATCCAAAAAACCATTGTCAAGACCAATGTCATGAAGCTTTCCCCCCAAGTATGTTTTCTTCTAGTTCTATGGTTTCAGGTTTTACATATTTAAGTCTTCAGTCCATTTTGAGTTGACATTTGTATATGCTACGAAATGCATCTATCCAATTTCATTTTTTGGTATGTGGATATCCAGTTTTCCCAACACCTTTTATTCAAGAGACTATCCTTGCTTTATTCTGTATCCTTGATGCCTTTGTCAAAGATAGTTGACCACGTATGTGTGGGGTTTATTTCTGGGTTTTCTATTCTGTTCTACTGGTTTGTATGTCAGTTTGTATGCCAGTACCATACTGTGTTGATTATTATAGATGTGTAATATAATTTGGATCAGAAAGTGTGATACCTCCGTCCTTCTTGCTCCATATTACTTTAGCTATTCAGGGTCTTTTGTGGCTTCATACGAATTCTGGGATTATTTTTTCCTCTATGGAAACAAATTATACTAATAATTGGCATTTTGATAAGGATTACGTATAATCTGTAGATCACTTTGGGTAGTACAAACATTTTGACAATATTAATTCTTCCAATCCAGGAACAGGCGATATCTTCCCATTTATTTAGGTATTATTATTTCTTTCATCAGTGTTTTCTATTTTTCAGTGTACAGATATTTCACCTCCTCGGTTAAATTTATTCTTAAGTATTTCGTTCTTTTTGATGCTACTGTAAACACAATTGTTTTCTTATATTGTTTTGAATAGTTCATTGTTAGCATAGAGAAACACAACTGATTTTTGTATTTTGATTTTGTATCCTGCAACTTTCTGAATTTGTTCATTAGTTCTAACAAGTTCTTTGGTGGTGTCTTTAAGGTCTTCTATATATATATATGATCATGTCATCTGCAGAGACTATTTTACTTCTTCCTTTCTGATTTGGATGCCTTTTCTTTTTCTTGCCTAGGTGCATTGGTAGAACTTCCAGGACTATGTTGAATAGAAGTGGAGAGAATGGGCATCCTCATTTTGTTCATGATCTGAAAGAAAGAACTTATAGCTTTTTACCATAGAGCAGGATGTTAGCTGTGGGCTTGTCATAAATGGCTATTACTGTGTTGAGGTACATTCCTTTATACCTAATTTGTTGAGAGTTTTTATTTTGAAAGGGCATTAAATTTTGTCAAATCCTTTTTCTGCATCTATTAAAATAATCATACAATTTTTATCCTTCGTTCTGTTAATGTTGTGTATCACATTGATTGGTTTATGTTAAACCATCCTTGTATCACAGGAATAAATCCCACCTGATCACAGCATATCATCCTTTAAATGTGATGGTGAATTTGGTTTGATAGTATTTTGTTGAGAATTTTTGCATCTCTGTTCATTGGATATATTGGCCTTTAATTTTATTTTCTTGTCATGTCCTTGCCTGGATTTGGTATCAGGGCCATGCTGGCCCCATAAAATGAACTCAGGCATGTTCTTTCCCTTTCAGTGTTTTGGAAGAGTTTGAGAAGGATTGGTATTAATTCTTATTTAAATGTTTGGTAGAGTCTGGGCACAGTGGCCCAGCAAAGGGAGGACAAGCCTTGAGGCTAGGAATTCAGTTGAGGCCAGGAGTTTGAGACCAGCCTGGGCAACACATCAAGACCTCATCCCTACAAATTAGCTGGGTGTGGTGGTGCATGCCTGTAGTCCCACCTATTCAGGAGGCTGAGGCAGGAGGATTGCTTGAGCCCAGGAGTTTGAGCTGCAGTGAGCTATGATTGTGCTACAGCACTCTAGCCTGGGCAACAGAGCGAGACCTTGTCTCTTAAAAAGTGTTTGGTAGCATTCACCAGTGAAGCCAGTAGGCATTGGGCTTTTCTTTCCTGGGAGATCTTTGATAACTGGTTCCACCTCCTTACTCATTATTGGCCTACTCAGATTTTCTATTTCTTTATGATTCAGTCTTGGTAGGTTGTATGTTTCTAGAAATTTATTCATATCTTCTGGGTTATCCAATTTGTTGGTGTGTAACAGTTCAGAGTAGTCTCCTATGATCTTATGTATTTCTGTAGTATCAGTTGCAATGTCTCCTTCATTTCTGATTTTATTCATTGGTCTTCTCTCTTTTTTCTTAGTCTAGCTAAAGGTTTACCAATTTTGTTTATGTTTTCAAAAAAATCAACTCTTAGTTTTGTTAATCTTTTTTTTTTTTTTTTTTTTGAGAGACAGTCTAGTTATGTTGCCCAGGCTGCAGTGCACTGGCTATTCACACGCACAATCGAAGCTGCTCCACAGCCTCAAATTCCTGAGCTCAAGCCATCCTCCTGCCTCAGCCCTCTAAGTAGCTGGGACTACAGGCACATGCTACTGTGCCTGGCTTGCTTACCTTTTCTACTGTCCATATCTTTCTCCAAACTTGGGAAGTTTGCAGACATTTTTTTTTTCTTTTTTTTAAGACAGTCTCGCTCTGTCACCCAGGCTGGAGTGCAGTGGCAAAATCTCAGCTCACTGCAATCTCTGCCTCCCAGGTTCAAGTGATTCCTGTGCCTCAGCCTCCCGAGTACTGGCACTACAGGCATGCACCACTACACCTATTTTTTTTTTTTTTTTTGTATTTTTAGTAGACACAGGGTTTTGCTACGTTGGCCAGGCTGGTCTCGAATTCCTGGCCTCAAGTGATCCACCTGCCTCAGTCTCCCCAAAGTGCTGGGATTAGAAGCATGAACCACCACACCTGGGCCATCATTTCTTTATATAAGCTTTCTTCCCCTTTCTCTTTTTCCCTTCTAGAATTTCCACAATGCAAATGTTAGCCCTTTTAATGTTGTCCCATAAATCCCATAGGCTTTCTTCATTCCTTTTCATTTGTTTCTGTTTTCTTCTGACTTGGTAATTATAAATGAGCTGTCTTTAAGTTCATGGATTCTTTCTTCTACTTGATCAAATCTGCTGTTGTCACTCTCTATTGAATTTTCCATTTCATTCACTGTATTCTTCACCTCCAAAATTTCTGTTTGGTTCTTTTTAAAAATGATTTATAATCTTTTTATTGAGCTCTTGTTTTTCTGATTTTGTTGTCTGTATCCTCTTGTAGCTAGCTCTCTGAGCTTCCTTAAAACAATTAAATTGTCAGGTCATTTTTAGATCTCCATTTTTTAGTAGTTGCTTTCTGGAATATTGTGTTCCTTTGTGATGTCATGGCTCCTTAACTTTTCATGTTCCTTGAAGTGCTGTCCTTTGAAGTCTTGTTGCTTCAAATGCTGTCTTCACATTTGAAGAAGGAGGCAGTCATCTCCTCCTCCAATCCTTATTGACTGGCATCAGGAGAGAAATGCCTTCACCAGTCAGCCTGTCTATGGATAATGAGACTTTCTTAATCCTTTTCTATGGATGCACCTGCTCTACATTTCTTTTTCCCTCTTGAGGGCTAATTCTTGACTTTGCATGCCTTCTTTCAATCCTGCAAAGCTAGGTTAGGTGCTAAGAGCCTCCTGTTTGTTTTCCCTAGGATGGTGTCCTGAAATACTCAAGTTTGTGTACCTTCTCCCAATCCCACAGAGTTGAGCTGGCTGTCTACATAATACGCTTGCATTCACTGTCCATGGGGGCACATTTAGGGACTCAGTCTGGGGGTGGGGGGTGTAGAGTTTGGGAACAGTAGATGAGGTGTCTCAAGCAGCTCGTGGATGGGCTTCCTGATGGAGTCTGTAGAACACTTCAGAGGGCCAGCAGCTTCTCTTTCCTGCTCTCAGCCTCTCCCAATCTCTCAGCCATGCTGATTATCTCAGCAATCTGGGTGAGGTGAGAAAGAAGTGGGGCTCTTGGGCAGTGTTGTGGATGGCTGGGGGAGCTGGGTGCTTACTTACTATGCTCTTGCTTTCCCCCTTAGAAGGAATTACAGGTGAGAGAGTCTCTCTTGGCTCTGAGCAGTGCTGCTTTGAGGGAGGGGTAATACAGATAAAGTAAAACTAGTTCTTCCTACCCTCTTCAATGTGTTTATTTGTGGATGTTTTTCCTCCAACAGTGTTCTGAAACTTCTCTGCTGGCCTCCTAGACTCCTACAAAGACACTCTTGTCCATAGGTAGTTGTCAACATTGATGCGTCTACAGGGGAATGATGGTGAAAGCTCCTATTCCACCACTGTGCTGACATCTAGCTTTAGATTCTATTGGGATAGTGTGGCTCTAGAGGATTTTCAAGATAAGGCAAAATGTAGCTATTTACTTTTTAGAATTTATGATTATGTGATTATTTAGCTGACAATGTGCTTCAAATCACAAGAGGTAGACAGACTGGGTTCCTCTGGGCTGACTTGTCTAATGGGTCGAAGAATTTCCAAGGCTTTCTCGACTCTCTGAGGAGACAGGCGAGGTGTGATGACGATGGTCTATGACTGGGGAAAATCAGATTAATTATGAGGGGGTTGACTTGAGGTTCTAAGGCAGAGCACAGATGCTTACGGCGGAGTCAGGCCAAGGTGGCATTAGCAACCTGGGAGCAGGGACAAAAGGCAGGTCTCTCAGATGCCAAAGCTCTCGATCACGTATGCACTCAAGTTCAAACAACTTTCCCCAGCCTCCTGGGTGCCAGGTGTCAGGAGAAAGTGGGTGAAAACAGAGATGAACTGGGAAGCCTGTCTGCTGAAAATGTCATCAAGATAGCAGAATTCGGGTTTAGCTTCAGGTTCTAAGAAACCATAAATGTTGGAACAACCAATCCACTGGTCTGTTCTCAGAAATAAGTCCTTGATAACAATTTCTAATGCTCAAAACAGAGTTCTAAGAATGCTCTTACCTCTTGGTAGCACCTCATTTGCACAGATAAATAACTTTTCATAAATATAAATCAAAACCAAACTTGGGCAAATCATGTCTATTTCATATAATTAGCAAACATTTATTGGGCACTTACTCTATGCCAGGTACTAGTCTAAGCAACTTACGTAAGTGAACTGAGTGAATCCTCCCAGCAGTCCTATGCGGCAGTCTCTATTATCATCTCCACTTCGTAAACAAGGAAAACAAAGGTCAGAGAGTTTAAGGAACTTATCCAAGATCATCAGCTGGGAAGTGGTAGAGCAGGGATATGAAACTATGGCTATTTTAAATTGCATATTCCTTCTAGAAAAATACCATGCTCAAACATTGAGTAATCTGTCCCAGGTCATACAACTGGGATATAAAAGGGGCAGGATTTGAACCTAGAAGTCTGGGTCCAACACTGAGGCTTCTAACCACTATGCAATACCACTTCTCAAATGAAAGGAATATACGATGCCCAGCACGGAAACTGCCTAGCATCTAATCATCACACAGCGGGTGTTTGCCATGATTCCCCCTGCTTTCATCACTGCTCCATCAACATCACACCTCTTGCTCCCCAGGAAGGGACAGGATGGGAACTGGTCCTCAAAACTGCACTTCATTTTTCACACTTGGCTATAAATTTCTCTCTTTATAAGAACTTTAAAAGTATTTCCCTTTAGAGAGCTCATACAAGCTTCAAGGGACATTGCAATTTAAATAAATTCATCTTGTTTTCTTGGGTCCTGATACTCAAATGAGTAATATGTGATATATTATCCATCAGCTTTCTAATGGGACATCATTTTTCATTACATTCTGACAACAGAAATATCCCATCGCAGACAAAGCCCCAGGTGTGCTGCCTCTTAGCTATCTTTGTTCTGCTACAAGTTTCTTTTTGGCTTTTTAAATATTAGATGTTTAACTTGCTCTGGAATAGAGCAATGGTGTGCAGCAAAAGTTACGGTTACAGTAAGAGGAGGAAAAGGCCAAGGCGCTTTTAGCTTCTTAATTTGCTCTGTTTTTTAAATGATGAACGAAATAATAAATGACAAAAACAATAAAAAGCCTGGACAATTGAGCAAAATTGAATGGTGTAGGCTCATTTAAGGAAAGCTGCTTGACTTTTTAATATTAGAATCTCCATTAACTGTTAACAGCACATGGAGTAGATAAGCAACCCTACAGGTAGAAATGAGTTCGTTGAAAGTCCATTCCCAGCTAAAAGCCATCAAAATGCAAATTAAAAGTAGTCATTGTGATACTGGAGCAAAATGAGCAAACGTATGTTTCGTTTTGTGAAATCTGAAGCTTGGAGAAGGGAGACGTGGTCTTCACCACTTGTCCTGAAGTGCCCTCAGCCCCAGGGAGCCAGGTCCATGGCTGGGGTTATTTGCCCTTCTGGCTTGATTTCTCTTGAGGTTGCAGGATTGGGGAAGAAGGTCTTGGACAGAGTAAACAGCCCTAGGGAAGAGGGGCCAAGCTTAGGAGAAAGGCTCTGCACAAGAGGAAGGGGCGCTGAGGAAAGGAAGGAATGTAACTCTGGGGATAGGAAATGGCTGGATCCCAGGCAGGCCTAGAAACTGGTCCCAGAACTCCCTTCCCCTCACCTTTCCCCTTCCCCTACCTCTCAGCCCATTTTCTTGATTCTAGGACAACTCCAAGGCTCTGAAGGTAGATGTAGCCCAAGTAGGCTCAGGGAAAGAATCAACTGACGGATAAACAAGAAACAAAAATACTAAGCTTACTAAAAGCCATGGAAATGAAATGCAAATGACAATAAGAACTTCGGGAACTGTCTTAAAAGAGGGAAAGATGTGGCTAGAAGATACCTTTTTTTTTTTTTTTTTTTTTTTTAACCATTGGAAATGTGAATGTAGCATGTAACTTCCTGGGTACAGCTCAAGATGTGAATGATTCAGATCCCAGATTTTGTAAAAGATCAGAGGGCAATATTACACCAACAAAAGTACTGGACCTTCATGTGAATGCAATCAGTAGTCAATCAACTGTGACGTTTCTGTTGTTAACATAATCACTTCTCTAATGAATTATTAGCTGCAACAATCATTATGATTATACTTGTGTTGATTCTTCGTGTGGTTTACATCAAATCCTTTTTTTTTTTTTTTTTTTTTTTTTTTGAGACAGAGTCTCGCTCTGTCGCCCAAGCTGGAGTGCAGTGGCACGATCTCAGCTCACTGCAACCTCCACCTCCTGGGTTCCGGCAATTCTCTGCCTCAGTCTCCCGAGTAGCTGGGATTACAGGCGCCCGCCACTATGCCCGGCTAATTTTTTGTATTTTTGGTAGAGACAGGGTTTCACCATCTTGGCCAGGCTTGTCTTGAACTCTTGACCTCGTGATCCAGCACCCTGGCCTCCCAAAGTGCTAGGATTACAGGCGTGAGCCACCGCGCCTGGCCAAATCATCTTTTATATGTGCCTACTTTTCAGTTTGTAATCGGGACCCAACATCAAACCATTGAATCGAGAAGGATCAGTGCAAGCTGACTTCTCACTGTGGTATTATATTTACTTCCCTGACAACAACTAATATCCTATCGTATCAGGATATTAGTTCTATTTATAACTAATAGAAAAACAGAACTAGTTATCCTGACCTATTTTTTCCATTTATAGTTAAGCATGCCAATGCACAGAAAGGTCACATAGTAAATAAGTGACTAAACTAGGATTTGATTCTAGAGCCTACGGGCTAAACCAGAAGTTGGCAAACTGGCCCTTGGGCCAATTCTGGTCTGCCACCTGTTTTTGTAAGTAACGTGTTATTGGAATACACCAACACTCATTTGTTTATGTATTTGTGGCTGCTTTTGAGCTGCAACGGCAGACTTGAATGTTATACCAGACACCGCATGGCCCATAAAGCCTAAAATATTTATTATCTGACTAGGTACAGAAAAAGTTTGCTGAGCAGAGCTAACCCATCCTCTGCACTGCCTCTAACGCAAGGTGGACCTTTTCCCAACTCTGGCCGTGAGCCTCATCACAGGGAGCAGAGACCAAGCAGTGAGAGGGAAAAACAGGAATCTCAGTTGTCCTCAATAGTGCCTGGAGATTCAGGGGAATCACTGGCCAGCACAGGGGATATGATAAGCTCCCTGCTTTGTTCCCAAATATTTTTGCAGCAGGGCCCATAGATACAGAACGTAAGCTCCAAAGAAAGCAGGAACTGTCTGCTTAGCCCACTGCTGGCACCTTACTTTTTTTAACAAATGGAAAAATGCATTATTTATGTTTGTGAATCAGGGACCACGTGTACTTTACTTGATGACAAACGTGGAACAGATTAAAGGCCCACAGACACACTGTCCATGAGTATCGCAATCAAGGTTCTGGTTTGTTTTGTCTTGTAGGAGGATGAACTGCTCTAGCAGGATCTCTACCAGCGAGGAAGGTCATCTCCAGCCACCCTGGAATATTCCTTGGCTCCTAAGAGCTCCAGTCACTGATCATTCTGTTTGCCAAGATTTGAGAACCAACCATTTAAATTGCAAAAACTTTCCACCTAATTATCGAATGAATACTAATGCAGTGGCAGAGTTGTAAATGCTCGTTTGGTTTCCCTTTCATCCAACTGAATGACTTTTGATTTTTGGAGAAGGATTCGAAAACTGCATGGAGGGAACCCTTTTTAGAAAACAGGGCTGGACATGGAAGGATAAGGACAGACTGGACACTGTGTGATCCCACTGAGTGATGCCTGTTCCCAACAGGACGAACCCTCGTGTGTGTTTCAACCAATACAGATTCATCATTGAACTTAACAAAAAAATCTTACTCAGCTGAATCAAACTGTTACTGGAGGGTGGCAAAGTATCTATGAAAGAGTGGGTAGGGAAGAAAAGACTAATGTGATGGAAAGCAAGTTAGAATGGCAGTTAGTTGGCGAGAAAGGGCCCAGAGAGGGGAGCCTGGAGACACTGGGAAGCACTCATGCTACAGACCGAAAAGGAGGAAACGGGGTGGGGGCTCAAAGAGGTGCCTCAAATTGGACCTGATGCCAACTGATGGCACCCTGTTTGCAAAGCCTGGCTGCTACCCAGAACTGCTCAAATGTGGATGCCAGCCTTTCTGCCCTGGTGCATCCCTTCCCAGTAACTTGGCACTGGGGAAGTCTTGCAACTCTCACATTTATAGACCTCAACAAAACACCATTACGTGATTGAACCCCTGCCTAAAATCAGATCTGAATATGTATTTAAAATGAAGCATGGCAGCTGTCGTAAAATTCTCAGCATCTTTTTGACGCCATCCTCTAGTGGCTTTCTGCCCAGTCTCTTGCAGTTGTGTTTTTTTAAAATGCTCTAAGCAAATGAGCTAATGTAATTTGAGTAAAATCTAGGAACTATAAGCTGAAAGGTATTTAAAGCAAAGGTTAGAATGCAGTTCATGTAGATGCTCCAAACACAGACCTCACTAGGCTGAAGAGCAGAGCCTCCACCCCATGCAACTCTGCTGATGCCACCTCTCCCCAGGATGCTCACAGCCTTGGGCTGGCGCTCCTGCCAAGTCCACAGCCCTCCCAGGAGGAGGAATAGTAAGCAGCAACAGCCCTGCGGCCTCTGACCAGCCTCCCAAGAGAAATGCTTCGTTTTGCTCAGGTCCTCTGGCCTGTATTTTGTTTGTTTGTTTAGAACTCTGACCTTTATAAAAAGCTGAACTCATTGCCCAGAAAAACAGGAAGTTTACTCACCAGGAAGCCACGACAATGAAGCACAAAGAGTGGGTCAATATTTCTCCAGCAGCAAAGCTAAGTCTCAGACATTACTGTGAGGAACCCTGTGGGGAACGCCCGTGCTGTTCCTCCCTCGAATGCACTCTTTCTGCGTCAACAGCCCCTGACCCAGTGACTGCTCGTGATCAACACCATGGCATAACATTCGGTAAGGAAGGTTCTTTCTGGCTCCTCAGGTTCCTCCCCTGCCTGAGACAGCTGAAGAATGCTGGCACTCAGTCCTGAAACTCTCTCTAGAAGGATCCATCCGTCACAGAGGTGGTGTGACATCAGGGATGGGGCTCAAGAAGGTGGTCCTGTCCAGTACCCCAGGTCTGCATCCTCAGCTGCAGGGTAGGGGTGGAAACAGATAATGAAGCAAGGGAAGAAATACAAATTGAAAAGGAGCTATGCCTGGCATAGACATTTGAACCTGCCCCAAACCCTGACTTTCATCTTTGTACTTGAATTCCTCTAAATATTATAAAGCATCTTTGAAAAGAATCTCATTCTTTTCTCTCTATTGATAGATAGACAAATAGTAGTTACACAGATACATGCACCTTTTTATTTATACATATTGTAATATATATAACTATACAAATAATTTTTTAAAATTATTTTTTCTCTATTTTTGAAGAGCAGAGACTGCAAGCTGGTTCTTACTGGTTGAATCCTACTGGTGTCTAAAGCAATAGATGCATATTTGACCTACACAGAGTTCTAAGTTTTTTGTTTGTTTTCTTGAGTCAGGGTCTCACTTTGTTGCCCAGGCTGGAGTGCACTGGCGTGATCTTGGCTCACTGTAACCTCTGCCTCCCAGGTTCAAGTGATTCTCGTGCCCAGGTTCAAGTGATTCTCGTAGCTAGGATTATGGGTGCATGCCACCACACCCTGCTATTTTTTGTAGAGGCTGGGTTTCGCCATGTTGCCCAGGCTGATTTCAAACTTGTGAGCTTAAGCAACCTGCCTGCCTTGGCCTCTTAAAGTGCTGAGACCACAGGTGTGAGCTACCACATCCGGACAGCTCTAAATTTTTTTTTTTTTTTTTTTTTTTTTGAGACAGAGTCTTGCTCTGTTGCCCAGGCTGGAGTGCAGTGGCACAAACTCGGCTCACTGCAACTTCCGCCTCCCAGGTATAAGTGATTCTCGTGTCTCAGCCTCTGGAGTAGCTGGGAGTACAGGCACATGCCACCAAACCCGGCTAATTTTTGTATTTTTAGTAGAGATTGGGTTTCGCCATGTTGGCCAGTCTTGAACTCCTGACCTCAAGTGATCTGCCTGCCTCATCCTCCCAAAGTACTGGGATTACAGAAGTGAGCCACTGCACAGGGCCTGGTTCTAAGTTTTAACATTAGAACTCTGCCAACATTAAGATAAATCAGAATGTATCATATAAAAACCTGGATTTCTGGCTTCTCTGGAAGAAGGAAGATCCGGCAATAGAGGGCCTGGACTCGCCTGTGAGAAACATCGAGTGGGGCAGGGTAGCCGTAGCTGCCACCTGCAGACAGAGCTGAAGCTTACCAGCTCACCCCAGTCTCCACCACTCCCTCCTGCTTCAATCCCGAGGCCTGCCGTTCATTGCCATTTATTATCTGTGAATCATTTCACTCGTCTGTGCTCCCAAGGACATCTAACCAAAGAGCCCCTGCCATTTAGTATTTGCCACAAACATCAACTTTAACCAAACATCAGTTTAACAAAGTAATTTGAACAACTGCATGTTTTACATCCTTTGGGATTCATTCTCTCTGGATAAGACCTATATGTTTCTTTTGTGGGGGGCATGAAGGAGGTTTATTATCCCCCCAAGACCACTCTTCCCCACCCCCCAGATCTGTATGTTTCTTGGAGAACAACAGAAGAAGGAAAAGAGGAGCATCAGCATCCCATTAGTGTCAACATTTCAGTAGCAGTTCAGCATCTACACACATGTGTGCGTGTGCACGTGTACTGCTCTAGAGCGGGGAAATTCCAGGGAATTCTAACAAGTCTGAAGAAGAGAAAGATTCACGAAGGAATTAACCAGTTACACAGACTGAAAAGGCTACTCTAGGAGTCCCTCGAACAGCCAAAATGAAGGGTGATTAGAGAAACAGACAAATATTAGAAGTTGTGCCTTTAAAACATAAGGAAGGTGCTTACAGAAAAGAACCGTTTACTAAAAGCTGAGATGTCGGTAAATGAAGAGGAGAAGGGAGAGAGAGGAGAAGAAAAAGAGGAGTAAGGAGCAGAGGAGGAGAAGTAAAAAGACCAGTGAATCCGGGACAGAGGCAAACACAAATACCAAGAGGAAGAAGAGAAGGAGGTGGCCTTTGCTAAACATCTGGAGCATAAATAAAAAGGGATCACACACAAAGGCATATTTGTTTAAGCTGCTCTTTCAGAACAAAATTAGGAACCTTGTACTTTCTGTAGAAAAAAAAAGTCTCAGATGATAGCCTGATTACACACAAATGAGCTCCCAAGGAAAGGCCAAAATGACTTCCTCCTTTTCAGAAGAGCACAAGTCCTCCTTTGTAAGAACAATCCTGCCCTCAGAGCCTGCTTCTCTCCCCAGTGATGTGCAAACAGATCTCTTATGCAGAAATCAACCATGCTCTCAGTTCTGCGATATTTCCAGTTTCCATTTTCTAAGTGGTAAGAGTCATAAAAAGTCAACAGCTTGCAAAGGAAAGGGAACGAACAACATTCATGTTTTTAAATAAAGAAAAAGATCATTAACATTGAGATTACTTTTTTTTTGCTTTTCAAAAATGTGACCACAACATCTCGGCCGTTCCTGAAGTTGGGCTTTCTAAAGGAAAGGTGTTTCCGGGCATTTTGTTATCCTCACCTCGAATTTCTGCCTGAGTTCCATGTTTCCTTCCTCGTCCCCTTCCGGAATGGGTACGTTGTAGTACTCACCTTCTTCTTGGTTAAGCAACTTGTACCTTTCAAGGACGGGAGAAGAAGAGTTACCACCGCAAGTTTAACAAGCCTTTCCTGCAGCCTCTAGTCGAGCGGTTTTGTGAAACGCATCCTACGGAGAGGCTACAGCCAGATCAGTAGACATTTGACTTTTTTTACATTTTTATATTTTTGAGACAGGGTAGCTCTGTTGTGCAGGCTGGGGGACGGTGGCGGAATCAAAGCTCACTGCAGCCTCAGCCTCCTGGGCTCAAGTGATCCTCATGCCTCGGCCTCCTGGGTAGCTGGGACTACAGGGGTACACCACCACACCTGGCTAATTTTTGTATTTTCTGTAGAGGTGGGGTTTCTCCATGTTGCCCAGGCTGGTCTCAAACCTCAGAGCTCAAGCAATCCACCTGCCTCGGCCTCTTGAAGTGCTGGGATTACAAGCATGAGGCACCATGTCCAGCCTCAACTGACATTTGAGAGACTGAAACCTAACTGTCTAAATGGTCTGATGCTTTGAGACATACTCAACCTAAGCGGCTTCCATACCATCCACTGGCCGGCATCTTCATCAGCTCCGAAACTCCAAAGGAAAGGGATCCCATGAAGTCATTCCTTGTTGTTCGATCCCAGTCCCAGATTTCTACAGACAGTCGTCGGTCTTTGTCTGAAGGTTTCAATTTGCTACAAGACACACACACATGCAAACACTAGGTTATCTTGATCATGGTTTCTTGGGAGATACCACATGTATATGACTCGAGCCTGAGATAAAGAAATAGTATATTTGTCTTCCTGGTCCAGTAAAATACCAACCCCTTATGCTGGCAAGCAAAGCGCTACAGGAGTTAACAAACTATGACCCATGGGCCAAATCTATCCCACTGTCTATTTTTATAAATAAAGTTTTATTAGGACCCAGCCATGGCTATCTGTTTACATATTGCCTATGGCTCCTTTGGCACTAGAAAGTTATACCGGTGCAACAGAGGCTATATGACCCACAAGGCCTAAAATATATACTATCTGATCCTTTATAGAGCAGAGCTTGCTGGTCCCTCTAGAACAGACAGCTACCTTTCTGGTTGTCCACAGAAAAACTGCTTCCTGTATACTACTCTACAAAGGGGAACTCTTGCTTTCCCTCAGCTACACTCAGTCCTCCTGATTTATTTATTCCCTCCTTCCTTCTTCCCCTTCTCTACCTCTGAAATCCTGGCAACCCTCCCAGGCTGGCTTTAAATGTCACCTTTTCCAGGAAGTCTTCTCTCTTTGAAGGCAAGAATGATCTTCCCATTTCAGTGGCAATAACACTTTCTATGTTACTCACTCATTCTGTGGTCTAAAAATTATTTAAATTCTTGCCTTATGCCCTCCCCTAACTCCCAAAAGAACCTAAGTCCATCAAGAGGTGGACACACCTGACACATTTTTAGCTTAAATTCTATTTACCTTAATTCTATTTCCTTAAATAGAATTGTTTATCCAGATTAGATAATAATAATCTGAGGCCTGAATTATGCAACTCTTGATAAATCAAATTACTATCTATCGAACAGGTGCTAATAGCTACCTCCCTAATGGCAGCCTGAGGAGGTCTTAGGACTGAAGACATGTTTAAAGACGTTTATAATGAACCTACTTCATTACCTCAAATAATGAGGTGGGCAACTGCATGGTGTATAGGAATGAAATTTGATCAAGGAGAGACCACTTACAATGTAAAGGACTCATTCCACTGCGGATTTAGTGTGGAGCGGATGGTTTTGGTTTTTTGCTTGCTTTCATTCTTGGGATCAGGAATAAGTTTCAGCTTCACATAAGGATCTGAAAGCCCGTTTGGATCCATAGGGATTAGATTTTTTGCATCTCGTACTGTGAAGAGAGAAGGAAGAAAATATTACAAAAAGAGAACAGACCTATATTGCCCGCTGTCTTGTGTCAATACCAAGCTGAATAAAAGAGACGTCAGAATGGCGTTTAAGGAGACAGATGGTGGAAGCCAAAAGCCTCTAACACTCGACATGAGAAAAGCTACCCGCTGCCACCACCGGCAGAGATAATGGGCATCGTGTGGGCCCTTGTGGGTGGGTCTTGGGACTTAGCACCAGCCTGGACTGGCAGCATCAGCAACACTAAGATATCTATTAGAAATGCAGAAACCCAGGTCCCACCCCAAACCTGCCAAAGCAGAATCTGTAATTTAACAAGATTCCCAGGTGACCTTTGCAGCTCCCCAGGAGTAATGGTGCACCCTCCCTGCATGGAAGCGACCAGCCCAACCTGGTCTATGGTGCCACACACGCACCTGAGCTCCCAGAAGGTGTTATCCCTTTTTGTGGGTAAAGGCCAATGGCTTCCAACTCTGACTGTACATTGGAATCACATGGGGGTTGGGGAATGGGGGAGTTAAAAATTCTAATCCCCAGAATTAAACTAGAATCTCCAAGGAATGTGGCTCAAGTATTCGTTTTTAAAAGCTCCTTGGGTGATTCTACTGGGCAGCAGGGGCAAGCACCACTGCTGTATACAGTTGTAACTCAGAATTGCTGGTCCATGGACCGGCAGCATCTATATCACCTGGGAGCTCATTAGACATGCAGAACCTTGGGTCCCACCTCAGACTTAATAACTCAGAATCCTCACTTTAACAAGACCTCCAGGTGCTTCCAATGCAATCTTAGCTTGAGAAACCTGATATGGGAATCAAAAATAATTAGAAGGAAAGGCCATTTCATCCACAGAGGAAAACAGGCTCAAAGATTTAAGAGCTGGCAGAGGCTCACAACCATGAGAAGCTGTCTAAAGCCACTGCACGTCAACGTAAAAGATAATTATCTACTGCTATGATGAAGGGACAAAAGCCTGAGTCTCCTATCTCAAATGCCTTCCTATCTTCCCATGGCATCTTTCCCAGTAAGGCTGAATTATCAGATACCCAACTGGTCAGACACCATCAACACACATATAACTGGGACCAGGCTCCCTGATTCAGTGGTTCCCACAGTGTGGTCCCTGGACCGGCGGCACTGGCAACACCTCCTGAATCAGAACTCTGGGGTGAGGTCCAATGATCTGTGTTTACCAAGCCTCCAGGTGATTCTGATGTCCATAAAAGTTGCAGAACCACAGATCTAGGCAATTAGCATAGTTTATCAGCATAGTTTGATTATTAAATTAAGAATTACAGAAGAACTTGAGAAGAAGGCACTGGAGTTGTCAGTGGGCAGGGTTAGATGGGGAGGAGGCAGGGGGAGAACCCTAAAGATGTTGGGTCTTTGGACACAAATGAGGGAGGTACAGCCCTAAGATCGGAAGTCAGAGACAGGCATTGCCTTTACTAGTCTGTGGATCTACTGTGTTCTGCCTCCTGCCAGCCAACAGCCTTACATCCTCCTTACCTGGAAGCCTTACATAGGTAGGTAACAGATGGGACTATATTCAAATACAGAGGGGGAGGGGGCTAGCTCAGGTCTGCTAGCCACAGAGAAGCTGAACATAGTTTGTCATACCCCATTTGTGCCTTCCAAGTATTTCTTCTCCTAAGAAAATATCTAACCTCATTCATCTCAGGGAGCAGATAGCACACAAATAAAACACATAGGCATGGTCCCTGTGGCTCAGCAGGTGTACATGCAAACTCTGCCTCCTTCACCATGTAACCCTGAGCACTGGGAAGCTTAGTCTCTGAGCCTCTGTCTCTTCATCTAGAAAAATGAAGACGGACATAATTCCAGTGGTATAGAATTGTTGGGAGAATCAAATAAAATAATGTTTATAAAATACCTTACATGGTTGGGGGCTTGGAAAATGAAAAAATAAATCCATGGTGTGAGTGCTCACTATACCCCAGGCATGATGTTCCGGACTCCTTTCCACTCTTATCATGCTGGAATCTATAGGGTTGGAGGCCCCCAGGGGACTTGGTCACTGGAGAATTCACCAAGCTCATGTGAAAGGTTTTAATCCAATGCAGAAAGTCTAGCCCACTAAAACATCAACCCTGAGTATCACCAAAGATGAAAAATGTGAGCACAAAAATGGAGCTCTCCCATGAGGAATGGAAAGAGGCCAACGGTCTCTCTCTGATTAAACACCAGAATGAGAATCAGATGCTTTTTAAAAGGCAGAAAATGCCCTGGAATGTCTAATACTGGAGGCTGCAGAAGGTCACATCCTGGATAAGCCAAAGAAGACCCTTATTAAGGTCACCAAGAGGTCCTGGGTTGCCTCCTACCAGTTGCAGAATTATTGCGGGTGCTGGCTTTTATATCTTCAATTTATATTCCTGACAGACAACACACACAAAAAAAATCATTTAAGTAAGATCTCTTCGGAATGGTGATGAGTTAAAATCTTGATGGGATTTAAAGCTGTGAGTGTCCTACTGAGATACTACCATTTAAGTTGAAAATAAAAAGAGTTATCAATTCTAAATGTCATTGAAGCAAATAGTGGGTCCAAATTTCAATTTCTTATCACAGCAGAGAACAGCCTGTGTGAGTGTGACTCATGGCATGCCAGGACACCTGAATCAGGATTACGAGCAACTAACTTAGGGTCCCATCTGCTCAGAGTGTAGGATCTGGGGCAAGGCTGCCTGCATTTGAATTCTGGCTCTGCCACTCTGTGGTTGTGGACAAGCTATTTTATCTTCCTAAGTTTCCTCATCTGGAAAATTATATCTCCTTCAAGCAAGGATTATGTAGGCTCATCCATGTAAAGTGCTTAGAGCAGTGATAGGCACTCGGTGAGAGCACAATAGTGATGATCATAATTGCTCTTAATACAAGTTACTGGTGGAGAACAATCTTAGATGTGCAGAAACTGCACCAACAGCTTACGGAGTGGTAAGCAAATGCCGGGGAAAACAGTACAGTGTGGTAATGTTCTAACAGGGTTTCAACTGTATGGTTTCAAGAATGTCAGGCTAAGAGGCAATGCTAGGGGGCATTACTCATAGGAATAGTTGTAAGGAAGATGGAAGAGGGGAAGCTGGGGAAGCTAGGAAAGAGAAAATAAGAGGAAAATTGAAGTGGGGAAGCGGATGAGAACAAGGGCTAGAGACAGAAGAGAGAAACAAGGGAAAGATGTGATCAAGATGTGGAGTCAAATCCCAACACTTTGGGAGGCTGAGGCAGGTGGATCACATGATGTTGGGAGTTTGAGACCAGTCTGGCCAACATGGTGAAACCCCATTTCTACTAAAAATACAAAAAGAAGCCGGGCGTGCTGGTGGGCACCTGTAATCCCAGATACTCAGGAGACTGAGGCACGAGAATCGCTTGAACCCAGGAGGCGGAGGCTGCAGTGAGCTGAGATCATGCCACTGCACTCCAGCCTGGGTGACACAGTGAGACTCTATCCCCCCGACCCCCCCAAAAAAAGATATGGAGTCAGAGGGTGAGGACGCTGCCCCAGGATAGGTGGGCAGACATTCTCAACCTCAGCTACACCCTGGAAACACCTGGGATGTTTTAGTCAAACACTGATCCCTGGGCCCCACCTTCAGAGAGTCAGATCTACTTGGTCCGGGTTGACACCCAGGCACCAGGATCTTTAAGCTCCCCAGGTGAGTCTCAGGTGAAGCCAGGTCCAGGCACTGTTCACTGCACCCAGCATTTGCTCTCTAAGTGTGCTCCCTGGCCTAGCACACTGACATCATTTGAAGACTTCAACTATTATTCACATTTTTCTTTAAATTGGCTCGCTTTTTAATATCCATCATTTAAAAAGGAAACACATCACTATAGGAAACAGAAAACCAAGATTGTTTGCCATAAATGGAAGGTAACCATAAAAGTAAACACAATGAAAATAGATGTTATTCATTTCTAGCTGGATCCAGTTGCCTGAGATCTTCTGTCTCTTAGCTACAAAGGGGAAATTAACAAGCGCTAGTGTGTTAAGGATATTCCAGCCCCAGAAGTCTTTGCTGCTTCAACTGAGATTGAAAGAAAATTGAGAATAACTAACTCATCACGTAATTTAATGCTTTTTAACATCCGTACAGTACCTTCAGAAATCACCTCAAGTGCAACCAAAAGTCACACCCATCAGTGGTCCCATCCCACATTTGGGAAGCACAGTTGGAGGGAATGCCAATTCCGAGTTACTAAGCAAGAGCAAGTTCCACAGCCTAAGAGCAATACTGGGTCCAAGAAGAACAGACCCAGCACAGGTCCCACGGCTCATTTCTTGTCTTTCACTTTCTGCAAGAACCAAATTGTTTTGACCCACAGAATTAAGATAAGGAAACAACAACAACAACAACAACAAAATCACACTACTTAGATACACACACTATTGAAAATGAGTTTTTTTTTAAAAGATCTATCATGCCAACTCAACTTTCAAAAGACAGGTAGTCTCTAAACACAACAGTATAGAAACAACACACTTCCCTTGCTCCTTCAGCTGCAGAAGCAGTGACTGCTCCCCGAGGTCTGCCCAAATGGGCCCAAGGCCCTGGCAGGGAACGCGGGAAGAATGCTTTTCTATTGCAGCTCATTAGCAGTTCTGCAGCCTTTATGAGGAGGAGACATCTGCTGAGGAAATACATCTGTGCCACGGCACTGGCCATTTCAGAATAGAAAGTCTGTTCTGTAATTCCAGAACTTTAATAGAAATACAGAATACTAATTATATTCTCATTTTTTTGGCTTCAGATGGCTGCTCTGAAATTATCAGCTGTCAAGCCCGGCACTGAGAAAAACCAGCCTGGGTTAGAAGGTTATATAATTTCCTGATCATGTAACCTGTCATTTCTGGATAAAGCCCATTCAAATAAGATGATGAAGATGGAGAACCACCTACCCAGTGATCCCCGATGCAGGTGGCTCGGGAACCCAGGACATGAGAGTTTTAGAGTTGTAAGTAAATGTTCAGGAATGGAGTGGGGATACAGGCAGATGGGCTGCTCCTCAGCTCGCAGGACTGGGCCGCCCTAGCCGGATTGGAGAATCTAAGCCACAGGTGCACCACAGTAGATGGCACAGTGCAGGCTAGGCAATGAAGCCAGTGATTTTGCCAAGAGCCTGCTTGATGAAAAGTGGAGATGTGGACCCAGACAGGAAGCCAGGCGGGAGTGACCGCTATGCTTTCCCTGAGAGAAGCAAGGTGCGCTCACAAAGGCTTGCAGGCACCCGAGTGAGGGATACACATCTGATGGTGCACAGGGGAAAGTCAGGCCATCTCACGTGAATGGGTGCTGCAGGTGGTGGGTGACTTCTCAGGGGCAGCATCACTTAGGGACCAAGAGCGTGGGCAGCTAGGGCCAAATCTCTGCCCTGCCACTTATTAGCTGTATGGCTTTGGATAAATTACCCAACTTCGCAGTTTATTCATCTGTAAAACAGGGAAAATAACAGTGCCGAACCCATAGGGTTGCTGTGGAACTAAGTGAATTGATATACGCAAAGCATTAGAAGAGAACCCAGGACAAAGTAAGTCTTATATACTTGCTATTATTACTAATGGTAGTGTTAAAGAAGCATTTGCTATCTTTATCATCTTCGCCGTCACCACCACTACTCCCACTTTCATTCAGTTCTCTCTGACCCCAGAAGCAGGGCTGTTTCCTCAGGGTAACAGACCCCATTAGGCTACAGTGAAACAGTCAGCAACTAGGTGTTCCAAAGTAATTTGCAATTAAAAAAAAATAACTCAATGCAATCCTTGATCCATTGGATCCACTGATCCAACAGATCAATGCAATCCGTTCAGAGAACGGTCCAGATGCTTTCCTTCTGTTTTTTGAGATGGAGTCTCCCTCTGTCACCCAGGCTGGAGTGCAGTGGCGCAATCTTGGCTCACTGCAACTTCCGCCTCCCGGGTTCAAGTGAGTCTCCTGCGTCAGCCTCCTGAGTAGCTGGAACTACAAGCACCCACCATCACACCTGGCTAATTTTAGTATTTTTAGTAGAGACGGGGTTTCACCACGTTGGCCAGGCTGGTCTCAAACCCCCGACCTCAAGTGATCCACCCACCTTGGCCTCCCAAAGTGCTCGGATTACAGGCCTGAGCCACTGCACCCAGTCCCTCCAGGTGGTTTCTTAATCCAGAGAATATATGTAGCATAAATGGTGGGGTGGAATGATAAACACCTGTGACTCACTGCCTTGCATAAAAGCTAGATCGGTGGCAACACTGCTGAACCTACCCAGCGTGTGCCCCTTTCCCACCTCCCCCACCCCCAATGTGGATTTTTAATTTCACTCTGAGGGTGCTCTAGCTGGGCAATGGGTCAAAGTAAGGTCATGCAGAGGTTCTGAAGGATTCATCCACGGGCACATACACCAAAAGCTTTGTTGAGGACACAGCTGTATCCCTGTTGCCTGAGGACCAGACTTGTCAGCACTGACCCACAGTGACTCTGCCCATCAAAGGGTTCATGTCTATACAGAGACACTGTTTAGTAATGCATAAAAGTCAAGTGTCTCCATATTTAAGGACAACATGGCCCTCCAAATGATCTGTTTTGCTTTAGGAAATAATTCTCTGTTTTTATTACTTTTTCTCCCCCCCTCTAAGAGCACCCCTGCTCCTGGCTTCTACTTAAAAGCCAAAAACAAGGACAAAGGCTCAAAACAGAATTACTGCAAAAGTCAGGATTGTTCAGTCTGTGCTGACCCCGTGACACCTCCCACCTCCACCCCTGCCTGACAGCAAAAGCGAGAGTAAACAAAATTCTCGAATCCTACTCCACACCAGGCATGAGCAAAAATGTTCTCTGACACTGCAGAAAAAACAAACAAACAAACTCTTCTTTGTTTGAAGTTACCCACAGCAAAAGAAATGTGAATGCAAAAATGTTGGTGGAAGGGCAGGTAAGTGCTGGAAACAGGCGAGATTTAGTGTCTGTGGTCAAAAGAACTTCATGTCATTCAACACCAGGCCACGGAGTGAAGGACGCTTCCACAACCCATGAGCCTTGTCTTTGAGGAATAAAAAATGACTTCGAACCCAGAGAATTCATTATTTTGATAATTATTAGATATCCAGAATGTTCTCTCAAAGGACTTTAGATCCATAAATTAATTTCATGTAAAAAGATGCTATTATCAAGCCCATTTGCAGATAGGGCCTTCAGGCAGAGAGAGGTGAAATAACCTGTCCACCACACAAAGCTAATGAGTAGCTGAGCTCGGGCAAGCTTCTGACTGTACAAAACTCCACTTTCGCTTGCTGATGTATTGAAATGACTTGAGCAAGACAAAGTCCCAGAGAAGAGGTGGTGAAGTCAGCCTCAGCTAGGAGGGGATGGAGGAAAACGTTGCTCAGGAGAACGAGGAGGAAAGGAAACTCTTCCACTAGAAAGATGGGTGGCCAAAGAGCACAGAGGGAAAAGTGAACACACATCTTGCAGTGCTGTATTGAGCCCTGGGTGTGCCTAGAGGAGTGGTGGGAAGGCAGGCAAAGCCTGCACAGCTATGTCTGTGCTTTGGTGCCTTGAACTTAGTGAAGGGGTTTAAAGGTGCTGCACCTGATTTAAAGGTGTGAGTGTAGGCCGGGCACGGTGGCTCAACCTGTAATCCCAGCACTCTGGGAGGCCAAGGCGGGTGGATCACGAGGTCAGGAGATTGAGACCATCCTGGCTAACACGGTGAAACCCCATCTCCACTAAAAATACAAAAAAATTAGCCGGGTGTGGTGGCGGACGCCTGTAGTCACAGCTACTCGGGAGGCTGAGGCAGGAGAATGGCGTGAACCCGGGCGGCAGAGCTTGCAGTGAGCCCAGATTGCGCCACTGCACTCCAGCCTGGGTGACAGAGCAAGACTCTGTCTCAAAGAAAAAAAAAAAAAAAAAAAAGGTGTGAGTGTAGTAGCTTCAGGGATGCAATTCTAAAACCAATAAACCTCTTAGTACACTGGGGTGCTCCAGTCACTACAGCTGGAATGTGCTGACATCTGCCTAAGAACCAACAGGCCAGGGACTGAATCAATGAAGACCATGATGTACCCAGTGACCACGTAGCCAGTGAGTACCCAGCAACCATGCCACCAAAGAGGAAATGGTGCTTTGTGGGTTCTCTCTCTCTCTGCTGCAGTTACCAATTCTAGGACAAACAGCACATGGAAAGCATAGAGGGAAAAGAAGATTGCAGTGGGTGTGAAAATGGGCTGGGTAAATCTGCACCGATGTAGAGATTTTTAAGGCCACAAAACAAATATTGAAACCAAGGAAAAACGACACTCCACAAAATAGCATAAATGTATCTAAAACAGTGTTCATTTCCCTACAGTCATGTTCCCAATGACAGTGGTGTGCATACTACGAGAAGCCTGTTGGGTGGCTGGGACTGTCCTTTTTTTTTTTTTCAGTCAACAAGGACTGTTTAGCCCTATGCAGGAGGAAACAAAAAAGTAAGTGGTGTGGGGAAAAGGTGTGGGGTGCCTGCCAGATGAATGCCTGTTGGCTTAAGTAGGCTTCTCCACCACTAAGTGGAGTATGCTAAAGCTCACACTGCCCCAGTTCAGATCACAGGACTTAATCTAGCTCTGGCCTACCTTCTGCTAGCAGGATGACATCAATAGTAATCTTAGCAATAGGTATCCTCAGTTTCCTGTGGCTGCTGGAACAAAGTATACGCAAACTTCCCAGTTAAGACAACAGAAATGTATTCTCTTGCAGTTCTGGAGGCCAAGAGTCCAACATCCACATCACCAGGCCAAAATCAGGGGCTCTGCAGGGCCATGTTCCTTCTGGAGGCTCTAGAGGAAAATCCACTCCAGGCCTCTTCCACCTTCCAGTGGTGGCAGGCATGACTTGGCTTGTGGCCACATCACCTTCTTCTCTGTGCCTGTAATTTCTCTCTATGCCTCTCTAAGAATACACATGTGATCACATTTAGGGCCCATCCAGATCATCCAGAAGAATTTCCCCACCTCAAGATGCTTAACTTTATCACATTGCAAAGACCCTTTTTCCAAATTAAGGGCACATTTACAGATTCCAGGGATTAAGATCTGATGTCTTTGGGTGGTGGTTATTCATCCTACTACAAGTACTACTGAGGAATTTCTTCTTGAAGTGATGACAATGTTCTGGGTTAGACAGTGGTGGTGTATATTGCACAATCTTGTGAATATACTGAAAACCACTACACTGTACATTTTTAAAGGGTGAATATTATGACCTGTGAGTTATATCTGAATTAACAAAGAGGCCTTTACTGACAGGTTTCCACGTGCTTTACTACACCCACTCACTTAATACTCACAATACTCCTGTGAAATAATGACTCAGATGCCCGTTTTCCAGATGACAAAACCAAGGCAGACAGATGTTAACAAACCTGCTCAAGGTTGAACATTTAGTAAGGGATGGAGTCAGGAGTGCAACTCAGTCCTGCCTCAGGGGGCCTGGGCATTAACCTCTGTGTGGTCCTCACAAGGTGACCTCTGCATTCAGGTTCACCTATTAGTGTGGAATAGGAGATAGCAAACCTTTTCTAAAAAGAGCCAGATCACCAGTCATTTAGGCTTTGCAGGTCACAAAGTCTCTACTGCCACTATTCAGGTCTATTGCATAGCGAAAGCAGACACGGACGATATGTGAACAAACGAACGCAGCTGTGTTCCAATAAAACTTTATTTAAAAAATAGGCCAGGCACAGTGGCTCACGCCTGTAATCTTAGCACTTTGGGAGGCCAAGGTGGGTGCACTGCCTGAGCTCAGGAGCTTGAGACCAGCCTGGGCAACACGGTGAAAACTCGTCTCTATTAAAATACAAATAATTAGCCGGGTGTAGCAGCGTGCGCCTGTAGTCCCAGCTACTCAGGGGTCTGAGGCAGGAGAATTGCTTCAACCCAGGAGCCAGAGGTTTCAGTGAGCCGAGATTGTGCCATTGTGCTCCAGCCTGGGCGACAGAGCGAGACTCAGTCTCAATAAATAAATAAATAAATAAAAATAAGCTGTGGGCCAGATTTGGACCTTGGGCCGTAGTTTGCTGACCCCCAGCATAGAACAAACACTACCCCACCAACACAGTGAGTTGTTTGAGGAGAAAGTGACACAAAAAAGGACGCTCTACTTCCCTTAGGTTCCTTCTGCTTTGAGCTGAGCCTCTGAACTTTCACCTTGTGCTATAAAGCAAGGAAGGGGTTCTGGGCTGGGGGTCGGGGGAGAGGGTGTGTCTCCTGACAGGAACTATGATCCATCTTCTCCTGTCTTAACAGAACCTTCAGAAACCAGCACCTCTCATGTGCACCTTACGCTTGCTTCTTTTCTCCCGGCTTTTCTGGTGCAGCAGTTGGCACTTCTGGACAAACATGACTCACAGCCTCCTCCTCAGGGTATCTGATCTGGCTGTGACCTGTTGCAATTGGCCAACCCCACCTTGTTCAGGCTTCCCCGGCCGGTCCCACACCTTAGCCCCACCCAGAAGCAAGTGCAAACAGTGAGCACCGTAGGACATCCACAGGGCCATTCTTTAATTATGCCACGGCTGCCTCGGAAATAGGGATCTTAAAGGAACATGTGCGCAGTAGCGCTGGGCCACAAGCAAGCTGACCTGTCGGGGCAAGCCTGGTGTGGGAGAGGCCCCTCTGCTTCCTCGTTATTCTAGCTGCGTTTTTCCAGAGCTCAGGGCTTGTCCTGCTGAGAAAGTACCCTCCGAACAGCTTGGTTACTCAGTTCAGGAGCATCTCAAGTGGCCGATGGGCTGGACCAGATAGAAAAAGGGAAAAAACCCTCACCCCACCAGCTCAGCCGCACCACGGAGCTCTCAAGTTTCCTCTGGCTCACATTTTCCCGGTCACGTTACTGGGAAGAACACGCTGTTCTCAGGGTTTGTTTGCGTC
This sequence comes from Homo sapiens, assembly GCF_000001405.40. Taxonomy (NCBI): domain Eukaryota; kingdom Metazoa; phylum Chordata; class Mammalia; order Primates; family Hominidae; genus Homo; species Homo sapiens. Next base: position 66,676,181 of record NC_000017.11, on the reverse strand, counting down.
TCTACTTTGGGCCTCTTCTGACGATGCTGCGAGGGAGAACTTGGGTCTAAGAAGCTGCCAGTTCCCTCACGTCGCCACAAGTCAGTTCTGCACCGGGAGCCAGAACTCCTCGGCAAATGTTGATTGGGAAACTGGTGGAGTGACAGATTGCCTCCAGAACAGGATTTACCGAGCGCCCTTCCCACGTGATGTTCCGGGGGCGGTCAAGCTGTCTAGCAATAAGGCAAGGGGTTTAGGGGCTCTGACTTGGAACCTCTAAAACCATGCAGGCACACAAACCCTGGCAAGGGTGGGACACGTTACAGGTACTGCTGGGTCAGCTGGCGTGGGACCCCGCGGAGGAACCAGAACTGGCATCGCTAGGGGCTATTATGTGGGCAGAGAAGGCCGTTTCAGGAGAAGGGGCCCAGGCAGGCTCCGGTGGCCGCAGGAGAGGGGGTTGGGAAGTGTAGCTCCCAAGTGTCACTCCTGACGCATACAGATTTTAACTTTGGGTAACAGGCACATCCTAAAACACTCTGGGCCTCTGGGCTGGGCATTCTCCATTCTCTCTAAGCCATGCACCCCTTTAATACAACACTGCAGTTTTGATGACATTCTAGGGTAGGCCCTGGGTAGAGAACCTCTGCTATATGCTTCAAGAGCCTGGTTCTGCAGGGACCGAGGGATCGTCCTCTCTCCACGCACTTTCAGAACCTGTGTGCAAAGGGACAGCAGCCTTCCTCTGGGTCATTCCTACTTCGGCTGGGGATGGGAAGAGCTCTGTGCTGTGGTCTGAATGTTTGTGCCTCCTGCCCCCAATTTGTGTTTGAAATCCTAACCCCCAAGGCGATGACATTAAGAGGAGGGGCCTTTGGGAGGTGATTAGGCCAGGAGGGCAGAGCCTCCATGGAGAGGATCAGTGCCCTTATAAGAGAAGCCCAAGGGAGCTGGTTTGCCCTTCCACCGTGTGAGGATGTGGGGCTGTCGGCAAATGGGCCCTCTCTAGCCACTGAGTCTTCCTGTGCCCTGAACTTGGAGTCTCCAGCCTCCATAACTGTGAGAAGTAAACTTCTGTTGTTTATGAGCCACCCAGTTAAAAAGATATATTAATAGATCAGACTAAGGCAGTTTTGGAGCTGGGAGAAGTCCCGGCAACAGAGAGCAAGTGCTTGCTGGGATCTGCCTTTGGATAGGAGGCGTTGGGTGGTTGGTCCATGATGGTGGTGGCATATCTTGCCACTGGTGTGGGCACGACTTCCCATTGGTGGGCGTGCACTGCAGTCAGGCCCTCCATGGCATAAGGAGGTAACTGATTTCTCAAGCATGAACAATGAAGAGTCGACAGGACAGGTGAGAGTTGGTTGTGGGTGGCAGCCCAGGCACTGCCACTCATCAGACTGATTCACTGGAATCATTTGGCCAGAAGCAACAACAAAATCATATTCTTCTCCCATTAACAAGTTAGAACTGAGATATTCTCTACCACAGCTTGAGTGGCACTTGGTTACTGTATCTTTTAGGCTCCCAACATGGAAAACAGGCCTCTAATCTGTTTCCTACCATTTACTTGAACACCTCTATCTAAATGTCAGTGACGCTCCGTCTTCTGGCCCACATTCCCCTAGCAGATGCTGGTATGACTTAGGAGCTGGCATTGGTTCTGATGGGTTGGTTCTATATGCTAAATATTTAACTGCATGCAACCTATCACATTTAGTATTTATATAACCCAAAAGAACCACTCCACACCAACAAGGTTAGTCTCTTTTAGTTATTTTGAACCCCTACTGCCCAGCACAGCACCATGCGTGAACTGAGTAACTGCTGAACACGTGTATCTCTGTGCCCACCTTGCTCTGTGCTTCTGGGTCCACACTGCCCCATCGCTGGGGACACTCCTCCATCCATCTCAGTGCTGTCAGCCCTTAGCCTTGCACAAGACCCATTTCCTCTGCCCTTCCACTCTCCTGCCAGCCTAGCCCAGCCCAAAGGTGTTCCATGTCTACAGACTGACAGCACCTTGAGGGCAAGGGCCACACCCCCTCGCATCCCCAGGGATCACTCCCCCAGGGCAACACAGGACAGACAAGATAAAATCTGCGCTCATTGGATTCCTGCTGAATGACCGGAATGCTAACACAGACAGGAAAGCTTGGAAACTTCTCAGCTCTTGGTTGCAGTACATAAAGCGTCCATTTGGAGGGACTCTTGGACAAGGAAAAACCACCCAGGCCTTTTCACGGGCGAAGAAAGCCAGGCCAAAAGGAGTGGCACACTTTTTTGAAAATGTTAAATGCTTTGAAGAAAGAATCTCTGTACCCACAAAGACAAAAGAGCACAGGATGTATCTCCACTTACAGGAAAAATGGGTCAGAAAGGGACTTTTGCTCTTGGTTAAATAGTGATCACGTGGAACTTCTCTAGATTTCAGGAAATAAAATGCACAGGTGTCATCAACCACGATGAACAATTTTTGACTGGGTAATTATAGACTGAGATTCTGTGTACAAACTGGGTCTGGGTGCTGTCTAGTTCACTGCATTTGTTCTATTTATGCTGTATCAAGTCTGCTGACACCGTCTGTGTTTATGAATGTTGCAGAATTTCTGATGTGATCTCTTTCATGTTTAGAAATAATGACCCCTAAATTTTGTGATATTTGTTTCCTTATTACCAGAGACAAAGGCAAGAATAATGAGATACACTAAAAATACACCTGATCAGACATCGCCTCACAGCTTCATATGGCCCTGTACACAAACCTGGACTGAGGGACATTAACCATTTTCTTATTTGGAACCTATTTAGTGAATATTCTATTTTGCTGGTGAGGCTGGCTGCTTGGTGATAAGAGTGAATTTCTGTCCCATTCACGTACCAGAAAACACAGGTTGGCAACTCATCAACCAAAATTCTACTGGAACAAAACTTACATAAGAGAATTCGGAGGACTGTGGTATAAGATGAGAAACAACAATGTTTAGTCCTTGGAAAAAGATCATAAATATTTCATTACTTTCCCTTTTACAATTAGTGGGACATAAAATTTTACATTAAAGTTCTATAATTCTGATGTTTCAAAAGAAAATGAAACCTAGTTGTGAGAGAAATATTTCCCAGGTTATGAGAGACTGAAACGATTCTGCATAAACAACGTAGGAAGATATTTAAGAAAATTTTTTTCTTATTATAGGAGTAACGGGTGCACCCATCATACAAGAAATTTAAAGACATAAAAATATAAAGAAGAAAACTAAAACAACTATACTTCTGCATGGGAGAACCAACATTGGCACATTAGCATGTTTATGGCCAGTATCTTCCACATCTATCTACATTGAAATATTTATTTTTATAGAATTCACATCACACTAGGAATAAAGTTTTAGAACCTGCCTTTATAACAAAGTATGCTTTGAAAACATTTTAAATGTCTAACATCTCATTTTATGGCTAATCAGAATTTATTTAATCAATTCCCTGTTTGGGGGCATCTACAAAGTTTATCATTTTTCACCTTTACAAATAACATAGCAACTGATCATCTTCATGCATAAATATTCATTGAAATTTCTGATACTTTTTTTCTTGTTCTATTTATGCTGTGCAAGTCTGATCATACCCTGTGTGTTTAAGAACGCCACAGATTTTCTGATGCAAAGAAGAATAAGAATACATTCTTGGAAGTAGCTTAAAGGATGGAAATTATTCAAGATTCTTGGCATACATTGCCAAATTACTCCTCTAAAAGTTTACCACAATCCTACCAAAACCATATCAAGAAGTGGTGAGAAAAGTAAAGAATAACACTGTAATTTTGACTTTCTTATTTTTGAGGTTAAATTTTTTTTCCATGGTTATTTGCCCATTTGTATTTATTTCTGCCTGACTTAACTCCTTATTCAAGTTTTCTAGAAGGTAGTAACAAGTTTTCTTACTGTGTTAGAAGAGTTGTTGAGATATAAATGATAAAAGCCTTTTGTCATAGTTGCTGCAAACTGTGTTACATGTCACCATTCTTCTAGAAACAGAGAAGCTTAACTTATTATGTAGTTAAATCTGTCAAACATTTCCTTTTATTTTTTCCATTTCTTTTAGGCTTACAAAAACCTTGCCCTTTCTGAGATTAGCTTAATATTCACCTAAGTTTTAATTATTTTGTTTCTTTCTTATATTTAACTCTTAAGACCATTTGAAATTTATTTTGGTGTACAGTGTGAAAGAAGATCTCATTTATTTTCCTCCAAATGTTTAGACAACTTCTCAACATTATTAGTGGAATAAGCCCTATCTTTCCCATTGGTCTGTGTGGCTTCTGTTTGTTAATGTTCGCTCTGTTTTCAGGGCCATGTATTTTATCTTCTTCAACTTTCTGCTAATTTGTGCAACAAGCTTAGACTTTAAATTGTTCTAGATTTCCAATGCATGTTAGTGGTACAAGCCCCCGACTCGGCTTTCTCCATCCAGGTACACAGAGTTTCCTGACTTGGGGCAATTCTACTTCCACTGCTTTCTTTCTTTCATCTCATAAATCACTGCCCATCCTTTTTCTCAGTGTTTATGGGTCATTTTACTTTACGTGTAGGTCTCATTCATAGGATATCGCTGAACTTTAGCAAAACATCCCATCTGAAAATGGTGGGCAGTTTAATCTGTTACCTTATCCTCAATATTCGTACCCACAAGTACGTACCTGATAAGGTACTCAGCACCTTGGACATATTAACTAACCTCCGCAATAACCCTACTTGGTATCCACATTTTATAGACGAGGAAAGCTGAGGCTTGGAGAGATTAAGCAGTACCTAGGACAAGGTCACCCAGCTAGCAAGGGGAGGGGCTGAAAACACAGGCAGCCCCATTCCAGTACATTCTTAAACCCCCCCACTTCTTGGCTGCCTCTGTCGTGTGGAGCTTCACTTGTTGTTGTCCCTCTGTCTCCTAGTTACTTGCTTTGTTTTCAGTCTTTTTTTTTTTTTTTTTTTTTTTTGAGATGAGTCTCCCACTGTCTCCTGGGCTGGTGTGCAATGGTGCAATCTCGGCTCACTGCAACCTCTGCCTCCCGGGTTCAGGCCATTCTCCTACCTCAGCCTCCCAAGTAGCTGGGATTACAGGCGCACACCACCACACCAGGCTAATTTTTTGTATTTTTAGTAGAGATGGGGTTTTGCTAGGTTGGCCAGACTGGTCTCGAACTCCTGACCTTGTGATCTGCCCACCTCGGCCTCCCAAAGTGCTGGGATTACAGGCATGAGGCATTGCACCCAGCCTTCACTCTTTTACTATACTCTGTTTTCTTTGCATTTATTTTTTCTATAATTTTTTTAAATTTATTTTTGAGATAGAGTCTCACTCTGCCACCCAGGCTGGAGTGTAGTAGTGTGATCATGGCTCACTACAGCCTTGACCTCCTGTGCTCAAGCAATCCTCCTACCTCAGCCTCCCGAGTAGCTGGGACTACAGACACACGCCATCACACCGGTCATTTCTGTGTTTTTTTTGGGTAGAGATGGCGATTTCACCATGTCCAGGCCCATCTTCAATTCCTGGGTTCAAGCAATCCTCCCACCTCAGCTTCCCAAAGTGATGGAATTGCAAGTGTGAGCCACAATGCCCGGCCAAAATTTTTAAAATGTTGTTTAAATTCTACTGCTGACTATCTCAAGATTCACCCCAAAACATTTTTTATCCTACATTTCTCCGATCACCAAAGGAAAGAATGAGATAGCATCTTCTGACTCCTCTCCCCAAGGGTATGAAGCATTGTGCATGCTCTGTTCTTACTCCCTGTGAGCTCCCATCCTACTTCCTCTTTTTGTTACTGTAAAATTATCTGGAGTATGGGATCTCTAATGCTTGTCATAATTTTTATATGAGTTACAGTTTTGATAGCTGTTTTCCACATTAACAGGTTCAACTGATTTTAGTGCTTACTGCTTATCCTTATATGACTTCCCATCCCTGAACTTTTAATTTTACTTCATCTTGCCGTCCTCTTTAGCTCGCCTTTAAATAATTTTCAAGAAAGTGTGGGTGATGTATATTCTGAGCTCTTGCATCTCTGAGAATATGCCACGACTGGCAACTTGGCTGGGTGAGAAATTTGGGGCCAATTCACTTTGTTCTTCCAAACTCTGTAAGTGATGTTTTCTTATCTCTTAAAATTTAGTAGTGCATACGATTAGAGGTCTAGTGACAACCTGGTTTTTGTTCTCCTGTAGGTCACCTATATATTCTGAAGAAAAGACATTTGTTTTCTTTCTTTGTAATTAAAAGTTTTCCAGAATGTTTCTTTTCTGAGACAGAGTCTCGCTCTGTCACCCAGGCTGGGGTGCAGTGGCGCAATCTCAGCTCACTGCAACCTCCGCCTCCTGGGTTCAAGCGATTCTTGTGCCTCAGCCTCCAGAGTAGCTGGGACTACAGGCGCCCATCACCATGCCCAGCTAATTTTTTGTATTTTTAGTAGAGACGGGGTTTCACCATGTTGCCCAGGCTGGTCTTGAACTCCTGAGTTCAAGTGATCTGCCCAACTTCGGCCTCCCAAAGTGCTGCAATTACAGGTGTGAGCCACCGCACCCAGCCCAGAATGCTTCTAAATGCAGACTTCTTTTGGTTAATTTTGTAGGAACAGAGTGCATTCCTTTTCATTTGAATGCTCCATAAATTTGGTCCTATCATATTGAATTAGTGCTTCTTTTTCAATTTTTTCTTCTTTTATCTTTGGGACAAAGCTATTATTCTCAATTTATATCCTGTTCCCAGTCTTCCATTTTTCATTATTCTCTCTTTCATCACCATGGTTTTGTCCTTTTGCCTGCATTCTAGAAGAGCTTCCCAGGATTCTTGCACAGCGCTGATTTGATTTTCTGCAATGCCAATTCTGCTGTTTGTTGCACCACAAAGATTTTAATTATGTACTATAAATTTCCTTACTGGAAACTGGCATTTACTTGTCCACTTCCTTTCATCTTTTCTGTCTCTTTATATAGCCCACTATCATTTTAAAAAATCTCATTCTGCTTGCTTTTCCTCTCAACCTGTTTGTTCAAATGGCATTATGTTCCTGTTTTACAGAGATTGTGCATTTTTTTTTTTTTAAAGAGAGGGTCTCACTATGTCACTCAGGCTGGAGTGCAGTGATGAGATCATAGCTCACTGCAGCCTTGAACTCATGGGCTCCACAATCCTCCCACCTCAATCTCCTGAGTAGCTGGGACTACAGGTGTGTGCCACCATGCCTGGCTAATTTTTAAATTTTTTTGTAGAGGCAGAACTTGCTATGTTGCCCAGGCTGGTCTCAAACTTCTGGCCTCAAGTGATCCTTTTGCCTTGGCCTCCCAGAGTGCTGGGATTACAGGTGTAAGCCACTGTGCCCAGCCTCCTGCACCCTATTATAATGTGTATGGAGTTTTCTCAAATACTCTTCTGTAATTTCTTTTCTTCCAATAATCTATATTCAAATATGTTCTCCATGATACTATCCCTTTATCTCCCATGTTTTAAAAATGGGCCCCATATTTTGGGTTTGTTTTCTTTCTTTACTTGTCCTCAAAGACAAGTACATCTAGATGTGTTATTTGCCCAAAGATACTGTTTGTATGCCACATTGGCTCTATCCACTGTCTACTGGGACACTAGAGAACTTGCTTCCCTCTTCCAGGGCACTCAAGTTGATGTTCATGGCTCTTAGTCCAATGACGAGTGTGTTTTTGCTGGAGCCAGGTAGGATCATATCCAATTCACAGTGCTTGGTAATTCCAATTCACAGTGCTTGGTAATTACACATCTTGAATCTGTGAAGTCCGTTTAAAGTTAGAATCCCCTGACCCTGAAGTTCTTCTCACCTCCACACCTGTGTCCACTATACTTCGCTTGCAGAGCTGCTAACCCTCAGGACATAACTCACCAACAACAGCCCTTTTCTTTTTCCTTTGGAAGTTACAGTCTATTTGTAGACTGTATGGAAAGATGAGAGAAGACACTATTTTGGTCCTCTGAAATGAGAGAAACTCCATAGCAAAGGAGTGCCTCCCAGGTTTTTTGGCTGGTCGAAGACCCTGTTTATCTGAGCAAAAGGGGAGGCCCAAAAAATCTTCTTGCTTTCTTTCAGGTGTGCAGGACTTTGGTTTTTTCATGCATCCAGTATGGCCAGACCACTGATAATTGTTTCTTAACACTTGACCACTGGGCTAACGGGCAACAGAAATTTCTCCAAGGTGGCAGTAAGTGGTTTGCCAGTCTTGATCGTGGGTTTCTGTCACTTCCTGAATCTTCTTAACATTTCAGAGGGACATAAGAGAGATTGCATTTCAGAGGTTACCAACTGGTTACCGCAATTCAATCCAGAAATGCAAGGATATCTCGATTTCTTAAGTAGCTCTTGGAATTCCACTGTTTCTAGAAAGTCTGGTTAATTGGAAGAGGAATAAATTACTCTTGGCCACTCACTTCACATCTAAGCTGCCTACCATCAGTTCTCATGGCAGACACTCTTACCTTTGCTTTCATGTTGTTAACTTGTCCCTGTGTGGGTGGCTTTTGAATGTGGTTCCTTGATGTGGTTTGGCCCTGTGTCTGCACCCAAATCTCATCTTGTAGTTCCCCTAATCCCCATGTGTTGTGGGAGGGACCTGGTGGGAGGTAACTGAGTCATGGGGGCAGTTACCTCCATGCTGTTCTTGTGATAGTGAGTGAGTTCTCACAAGATCTGATGGCTTTATAAGGGGCTTTTCCCTGCTTTACTCTGCACTTCTCCTTGCTGCCGCCATGTGAAGATTCCACCATGATTGTAAGTTTCCTGAGGCATCCCTAGACATGCTGAACTCTGAGCCAATTAAACCTTTTTCCTTGATAAATTACCCAGTCTCAGGTATGTCTTTATTAGCAGTGTAAGAACGGATGAATACATATGCCTCCAGTGTGGTCTGTTCTTTAAAGGCCAAGGCTGTATCTGTTTAACTCGATTTGACATCATCCTGGTGGCCATTTTACCTCCTAGATCCCTAACCTCCAACTGAACTAAACACGCAGACATTCCAGATGGGATTTAAAAGGTGGCAGAGGTGGGGGAAGGGACTGGGCAGGGACCTTCGGCTTGCTCTGTCCTGCTGCTCACTTTCTTGGGCAATCTTTAGTGAGTTTTTATATTCAGTCTGGAAAACAAAGGAGTTGGCTGGACAGGGAAATCTCTAAGATTCTTTCTACTGTGAACAGAAGCTGCTTCCTAATCCATTTTCATAGCACATGATTATGCCTTCGTTTTCATGGTATCACCAAAGTCTACGTTACTAGTCTGGGTACTAGATAGTTAAGGGTCCTTCATATAGTCCTTTGTCCTGGAAATAATCTCTAAATTTGTGTGTGGGGGGGGGATTCAAAGGGTTCCCTGGAGAGGCATGGAGAGTTACGACTACTCTTTCTCCTAGAAGGTAAGATACAAAATTCTACATATCATTTATCTGACAGACAAAGAGTCAGATTTTGGGGAAGGCATTTTTGCAAAGAATGAAGATACAGGAATACTTATATAGCCCTTTATATAACATCTGTTGAAATTTGGAGCCATAATGAGGTGATTCTCCCTTCCTTGGGTAGTAGGAAATGAGGAAAGCAAGATCTTTCTTTGGAAATCAACAAACTACTGGATTCATCAATATTGGATCAGAGCAGAGCTTCTCAAAGTCCCCTGAAGGAGAGAGGGTTCTGAGAGGTACTAGGCTTGTAGGACCAGCTTGTGTCCAGTATGAATATGTTCAAATGAGCAGCGAGAAAGCAGAGGCTCCAGGCAAATGTCAGCAGAGCCTATGACACAGGTCCAAGGAGCGGCATCTAAGCATTTGACTTCAAGTGCTTCTGGCCCCAGCAGCACAGCAGCCGCCTCTAACTTGAGATGAATGTTAAACCTTAGTCTGCTGCCATCCAACATTTATCACATCCCCTTGTTATAATTCTATGTTTGCTAGGCAGCATTCTGAGTCCCCTCAGGTTTGTCTGTAGGGGAGAAGGCACTCCCAAAGCGGATTTCTGCTCTATGTAGTCTATGTGATGGTGCTTAATTTGACAAATCAATAAAATGGGTTCATTATGCCTTGCCTGGTATCTTCTCTACACTGATTGCTCTCATCAAGTCACATGGTCAACTTTATTGTTCTCTGTAAATTCATAAACTGGCATCCTGATGGACTGCCCAGTCAGGACTACATTGGAATTGGTCTCTAGGGGCCTGGTCATCCCAAGAGTGAACCTGGGGGCCTTCAACAGGAAAGGCCAAAATGAGCTACACGCCACTCCTCTGTCTTCAGATGCTATTGCCTTTCCTAATGTGTGTGCTTTTCTGGATAAAGAAGAACTCTAGTTTTAATAAATTCCCTCCAACACCATCCCAAACATATAGACACTTGTATGTTTTTAAGTAAATCTAACATACCGCAAGGCTAGGAGCAAAAATACCCATAGCTGCAGGTCTCAAATGTTAGGTGCCTAAGAACCACCTTGGAGAACTCACTAACAATAGAATTTACTTGCAGGCTCTGCGCTTGTTCTTAGAGAATCTGATTCAGGAAGCCTGGGGTGGGGAAGTACTCTACCCCACTCCAGGTAGACCAGCAGCACACTTTGAGAAATCCGGCATGGAGGAGTGAGTGCTTAGCAGGTCTACTCAGGTGACTTTAATGAGCCATGGGAGGTACTTGGACCCCCTCTTGCCACTCCTACACTCAGCCCCAAGCCCAGCGATGCTCCCTTCTCAGGGCATCTCCACTGTGCAGGGTGTTGGGAGGATGGTTCTGAATGAACACTCATGCAGGTGACTCAGCGTATACCAGAAAACCTTTTGGTCATGTTCTCATGGAAACTCTCAGGACACAGATAAAAATGTTCTGCCTAGATTCAAGTTCTAGCTCCACCTTGTCACCTGGCAAGTTCCTGAAATCCTCTATGCCTCCATTTAAATGAAGGTAAGAGTTTCATGCAATAGGAACCGTTTAAGTATTAAAAAAGATTATACAAGTAAAACCCTTGGCATAGTGCTTGGCACAAAATAAGCACTTAATAACTCTTAACTTCTGTAATTATCAGTATCATCCAGAAAAAACCCTCCAGTGTTATTCGGACACACACTGAGAACATGCTGGGTCCCAGGCACCATGAGTTCGGGGATTCTGCAATGAATAAGACCCATAAAAATCCTGGGTTCATGGAACCAGCACTTCAGTGGGGATACAATTTTCTGCTTTCAGGGTTGGCATATAAAACTGCAATGAGCCGGGCACAGTGGCTCACACCTGTAATCCCATCACTTTGGTAGACTGGGGTGGGAAGATTGCTTGAGGCCAGGAGTGTGAGACCAGCCTGGTAATGTGGTCAGACCCTATCTGTACAAACATTTAAAAAATTATCTGGGTGTGGTAGTCCCAGCTACAGGGGCTGAGGCAGAAGAATCACTTGAGCCCGGCAGCTCATCATGGCTGCGGTGAGCTATGATCGCAACACTGCCCTCCAGCCTGAGTGAAACAGCAAGACATTGCCAAAAAAAAAAAAAAAAAAAAAAAAAACCAAAGCAAAACAAAAACCCCAAAGAAACAAGAAATTGAGATGAATCTCTCTTCATCATGAGATGACGAATCTCTCTTCTTTGATGATGTCAAGGCTAAGAGATTTTCACCTGGCAATACCTCTTATCATCTCAATCACTGTTTAAAACAAAAAAACCCTCTGGACATTCTCATTACCTTTGGGTTCTCTGACTGGGCCCATGAATTTCTCTTGTTCTTGATGATTCCTGGTACTAAACCAAATGCACAGCCTCACAGGCCCTGGGGGCAGGAAATGATGGGGTGGCCTTGGGACGCAGCTCCTGGGCTCAGGGCAGGCAGGGCAGCCCAGGCCACAGGACTTGGTGGTCTTTGGGCCTTGGGCTTCGCTGAGTGGGCCTCTGAACCACATATTCACTCAGAAGAAACTGCTCAAAGCGGAGGCTCTGCCATCCTGCCTCCCAAACCACCAATCCCAGGGCATCAAAACACTCCAAAGACGGTTGGGCGCGGTGGCTCACACCTAGAAACCCGGCACTTTGGGAGCCCGAGGCGGGTGGATCACTTGAGGCCAGGAGTTCGAGACCTGCCCGGCCAACATGGCGAAACCCTATCTCTACTAAAAATACAAAAATTAGCAGGGCGTGGTGGCATGTGCCTGTAGTTCCAGCTACTCAGGAGGCTGAGCCACGAGAATCACTTGAACCTGGGAGGCAGAGGTTGCAGTGAGTCAAGATCACGCCACTGAACTCCAGCCTGGGTGACTGAGTGAGACCCTGTCTCAAAAAAAAAAAAACCCCAAAATCAAACAAACCAAACAACAACAACAAAAAACACTCCAAAGAGAAAGAGCTACCACAACACAGTGATCAGTGAGTTTGCTAAAAGGAGAAAGGGAGGGCCGGGGAAGGTGTCACTATTCAGTCCTGCCTGGCACAAGAAAATTGCTCCATTTGTATTTCTAGTGGCATAATTAATATCCCCCATCCTCCCTCCCCCAACAAAGCTGATATCATGCTTCTTTTCTTAGAGAACAAGGTGATGATACCAGAGACAAAACACAGTGAGAGCTAGAACTTCGTCTGGCTAACCTGCCTCCATGAAGTCATTCCCTTTATATCAAGACAAGTTAAGCCTGAGGAACTAGCGAGGGCAGCGGATGGCCCCTCCAGCCCCTCCCTCATCTTTCCCCTCGGTCTGATTATTTCCTCTTCATCTGTGCTTAAAATAGACTAAACCGAACTGAAATAACCCAGGAGATTAAATTAAATTAAGTCAGGCCTGGCTCCCAGGCAGCTGCTAATAAAATTATAAGCATTCACATCAGTGTGGCAAACAAAGACAAAAATATTTATTGGTTCCTCCCAACCCCTCGCCTGAAGTAGCTGAATCACCCTAAGAGACGACGTCCAGTGACACCAACCTTCTTTCTAGCACCTTTATCTGAGGGACAAGGCGCATGAACCTTTGAGGCTGGAGAGGAGCAGGAAGCTGTTCTTGTTTGTGCCCGAGGGAGCCCTGTCTTCCAGTGGGCTTTGCTCGGCTTCCTTGCCTGGAAGGCCCTGGCTGAGCATGAGGCATAATTCCTGATTAGGAGGCAACTGTCCACCGGCAAGGGTATCCTTCCTCCATCCGCCAGCAGAAGAGGGATCTGCTATCCCATTACAGAACTGTTCCCAACACCTGCAGAATCGACGACTTTCCCATACACTTGTTCCCCACAAATGGGCTCAGAGCTGATTCTCTGAGAAATGTACTTATCAGGAGCTACTAGGAGTTCATGAGCACAAGAGACTATCAGTATCTGTCTCTGGAACACTACGGTGTTTGGAGAGAGAGATAAAACAGGAGTAAACTTTATTCTTTCCAGCCTTGCTGTTATACCATTGCTGTCTTTAATCTGAGAGTATAAAGCAGAAGATAAACATTAATTACAGGTATGATGCCAGGCCTACGAGATTTTCACCTGGAAAAGCCTCTTATCTCGACCACAATCAAAATCAAACCAAAACAAAATCAAACAAGAACCTGGACACATTCTCACTAGCTTTGAGATCTCTCTCTGGGCCAGTCCGTCAACACCTTAGACTACCACAAGTCAACCACATGCACCAAAACTAAAGAGAGACTAAATTGATACAGAAAAGAAATGACTGGGGGCCGAGTATCTTGGATGTAAAACTTTTCATTCCATGAAATAACTAAGATGACCCCCAAACCACGGATGTCTCAAGCTGCTTGGGTGCCGCTGAGCCATGGCGCTAAAGCCATCACTGAATTGGCAAAACTGTCAGTAGAAAGGGAAATTAAACAGGAAGACAGCCAATGTTGTAGAGCCCATGAGTCAAGGTCTGTGCACAGGATGAGGATCCCAAATCCCATGAGGACTTACAAGGTGGGCATGTGACATCTAAGTGCTTTCGTTTGGACGGAAGAGAGAGAGAGGACCTGATATTCTGGGTATCATCCACATGGTTTACAAACCAAGCAGGAGACACATCAGTTTCCTGACCTGAGAGGGCCTTGTGGCGATGATTCAGGGATAAAAGGTACCTTGCTTTTCTCTTCCCTTGCTGAATGAAAGCCAGGTTGCCTGGCTGGCTCTTCTCAGGACAGAGGCTAAGAACCTGGAGGCATTGTTAGCATGCTGCCAACTACCTTTGTTTATTCTCGCAGTAGGAATTCCTCGTGAAAGAAAAGCTCCAGGGGTAAGGGGTGAGGGTCTGCCAAGGCAGCAACGTGGCCTGCAGAAAAAGCTGCCGCAGGGGAAGGTTGTTTAAGGCCAATGGCTCAAAATGCATTCTGGAGGGCCTTGTCTAGTTCCTAGGCCCTGATCAAACAGCTCCACCTTCCTGAGCCACTTGTTCCACAATCTCCCCGTGAGCCCATTCAAAGGACTTGCTTCCTGCGGGTACCACCATCACTCAATCTCTTCCACATCAACACCATTTACGCCTGGAACCTGTTGTGCTGTTTTACAGCTTCTAAATAAAAAGGGTGATTAATGCACTGGGTGGCTGAATTGGACAAATGTCACTCAATCAAGTTTTTTTCTTTACCCTTGGCTGTTTTTGGAGACCAGCCAGGCCAGGAGCAGGTTGACGTGTTCAAAAGGAACTGATGAGTCATATCCAACTTTTGGACATAAGCTCAGCCACTGTCCCTCTTGAGTAATTTCACGGATGTGCAAGGTGGTTGAAGGAAAGGAGCATCGAAGTAGAAGGCAGGAGCCTGGCTGCATCCTCCTCCTGAACACACTTCCTGCACAACCCTGGCTCACGTTTCATGGCAGTGTTGCATTACCTACAGTTTTGTCTGCTTCTCACTATTCCTTGTTCCTGAAAATGTCTCCCACCTCCCACCCCACCCCATATCTGCCCTCCAGTCACAGTCCATTGGTCCAGGGTGGCATGTGACCCACACTGAGTCGATGAATCCCTTTCCCAGAATTTTTGGATTTGTGACTGACACAGTAGAAGACATGCAGCTGCAAGAGGCGAAGCTGTAGAATCGTCTAGGGCCATGTTTTCTGCAATGCAAAGAAAGTCTAACGTGTTGTGGAAAAGAAACAAATGAAGGCAGTATGGAGAAAGAAGAGGTGAGATACAGAAAGAGAATCTTGGGTTCTCAGTATTCTTATGGCTCCAAGGCATTCCCACCCTTGCGTTTCACGATACTCTAGATTTCTTTTGCTAATTCCCCCTTCTACCTGAGTGGGTTGGTTTTATCCTTTAATTAATTAATTAATTAATTTATTTTTAAGACAGCGTCTTGCTCTGTTGCCCAGGCTGGAGTGCAGTGGTGCGATCTCGGCTCACTGCAAGTTCTGCCTCCCGGGTTCATGCCATTCTTCTGCCTCAGCCTCCCGAGTAGCTGGGACTACAGGCGCCCGCCACCACACCCGGCTAATTTTTTGTATTGTTATTATATATATATATTTTTTAGTAGAGACAGGTTTTCACCGTGTTAGCCAGGATGGTCTTGATCTCCTGACCTCGTGATCCGCCCGCCTCGGCTTCCCAAAGTGCTGGGATTACAGGCGTGAGCCATCGCGCCCGGCCGGTTTTATCCTTTATAACCCCAAAGACCCTACATAGTAGCCATATTCCCTGAGCCGTGGTTTTTATGCATGAAAATGAAGGGGATGGACCATGGGACAGAATTTTCAGAGGGTCCCCGGGCAGGAGCACCCCCTAACATGGAAATAAAGGAAAATCTTGAGTTCCTTCAAGGAAAATTCCAGGCACCTAGGTAGCCTTGAGAATTAAATGAGCAACTTGACAAGGAAGAAGGTATCAGTAAGTTAAAACAACAGCAAGGAAGTTAGGAGATGTTTTGCTTTCTGTAGAAATTAAAGATAACATCTAAACACATGCCCTTGAGTTGTTTCAGAAAACTGGACCCCCACCAAACGGACCCACTGGCACACAGCCCTTGGATGGGGGGAGCAGAAGACAGCACTCTGACTGCTGTTCTTTGTTCTACATTCTTCCATCTCCCTTCGATGCTTTTGTACCCAAAAGCCAGAGCTAACATTGTTTTTTTTTTTGTTGATCCCTAATTCTTAGACAAAGCTTCGCCTCCTTAACTAATCACAAATCAGAAGATCTTTGAATCCAGCCATGACTGTGGCACACCGCCTCCCCAGCTTTGGGATGTCCTACCTGTTTGGGTCAAACCAACATGTGGCCCCCAGGTACTGAATGACTTCGACTGTAACCTCCACCTTCCCGCCTTTAAATAATGGATAGCTGTAAGCTATCTGCCAGTTCAAGTCATCAGCACGAGCTGCTCAATTCTCCTTGCTTGGCAATAAACGCCTCAGTTTCTCCTGCTGTTAACCCAACATCAGCATTTGGCTTTGCTGCATGGGGTGCACGGACCCCAGCACAGTGTGATAACAATCACATTAGTGACTTCTTTTTTTTGTGACGGAGTCTCACTCTGCTACCCAGGCTGGAGTGCAATCTTGGCTCACTGCAGCCTCAAACTCCTGGGCTCAGGTAATCCTCCCACATCAGCCTCCTGAGTAGTTGGGACCAAAGTGCAGCATGTGTGCCACCATGCCCGGCTAATTTTTATTTTTAATTTTTAAATTATATTTATTTTTACTCTTTATAGAGACAAGGTCTTGTTCTGTTGCCCAGGATGGTCTTGAACTTCTGGCCTCAAGGGATCTTCTGCTTCCGCCTCTCAAAGTACTGGGACACAGGTGTGAGGCCCTACACCCAGCCTACATCCTTGACTTTCAAACTCTGCTCCACAGAGTCTCCTCATGGCTGGTGGAGGAGGAGGAAGAAGGTGAGTACCCTATTTTCTTCCCTTCAATCAGAGTAACTCTGGTGAAATATCATTTGAATATCATCTCAAACAAGATGTGATGTTCCAACTTGTTTGAAAATCACCGGACCAGCAGCCTCTCAGGCCTCATCCATTTGCAGAGTCCCTAGAGTCTCCAATCTACCATCAGTTCCTCACGAAGGGGCACACTTATTGGCACCACCGATTAGCTCTCTCTGAAACAGCTCTCAACAAAATGCCAGAGCTGAAGGGAACGTCAGGGTTCATGTAGTTCAAGTG
Organism: Homo sapiens; assembly: GCF_000001405.40. Classification (NCBI taxonomy): domain Eukaryota; kingdom Metazoa; phylum Chordata; class Mammalia; order Primates; family Hominidae; genus Homo; species Homo sapiens. The sequence goes on along the minus strand of NC_000017.11, from coordinate 66,659,088 downwards.
CCTTAATCTGAATTTGCAGAGGAGAGGGAAACAAAGAGAGGTTAAGCCATGAGGTCAAGGTTCACAGCCAGTTAAAATCTTTAAGGTTAATATCCTCAGCTTAATATGCAACTGTTCTACTCATACAGAGGCCTTCCAATTTTGAAAGTGATTTCACAGTGTGTTCCTGTGTCTTGCTTGGTGGGCATAGTGAAGAAAAAACAAATGAGGTCTGGGGTTAGATTTTCTTGGTTGGGGCTGCTGGAGTCCCACTGTGGTTATAGCTACACCATGAAAGAGTCAGGACTGAAAGAGTTAATTTGTCAATAAAGTGACATGCTTCAGTCCATTGAGCTACATGACTTAACGTGACTGGAGTAAAACTCCATTAATAGAGTAACAACCCCTAATACGTATTCAACATTAATTAGTGCTATAGTTGGGATTCAAATCCAGTCTACCTGACTTCAAAGTCAACGCCATATGATATGGTTTGGCTGTGTCCCCACCCAAATCTCACCTTGAATTGTAGTTCTCATAATCCCCACAGGTTGTAGGAAGGACGAGGTGAAGATAATGAGATCTGTTGTTGTTGTTGTTGTTGTTGTTGTTGTTGTTTTTGAAGACAGAGTTTTGCTCTTGTTGTCCAGGCTGGAGTGCAATGGCGCCATCTCAGCTCACTGCAACCTCTGCCTCCTGGGTTCAAGCAATTCTCCTGCCTCTGCCTCAGCCTCCCAAGTAGCTGGGATTACAGGTGTCTGCCACCATGCCCAGCTAATTTCTTGTATTTTTAGTAGAGAGGGGGTTTCACCATGTTGGCCAGGCTGGTCTTGAACTCTTGACCTCAGGTGATCTGCCCACCTTGACCTCCCAAAGTGCTGGGATTACAGGCATGAGCCACTGTGCCCGGCTGAGATCTGATGGTTTTATAAGGGGCTTTCCCCTTTACTGGGCTCTCATTCTTCTTCTCCTTCCTGCCGCCACGTGAAGAAGGATGTGTTTGCTTCTTCTTCTGCCATGATCGTAAGTTTCCTGAGGCCTCCCCAGCCCTGCAGAACTGTGAGTCAATTAAACCTCTTTCCTCTAGAAATTACCAGTCTCGGGTATTTCTTCATAGCAGAATGAGAATAGACTAATGCACCATAGTATCCTCTAAATGCAAGTCACTTCTATTATTTTATAAACACAAGCCTGCTGTATTCTTTCTTTATGGAGTGTTGGTCATGTAAAGTATGCTGGGATTTTTTTGTTTTTCAAATATATACTAGCATCCTTCAGAAGCCAGAAGTTTTAAGGATAACAGAGTCCCTGCCATATTGGGGTGGGAGGGATTGAAACAGACTTCAGGGTCTTTCAGAGAGGTTGGGTATTAGTAAAGAGTAAGGAGGGCTCTGGTGCTATTTCTAACATTCACTGCACATACACTTGCTCTTTTGGGCAGATGTTCACCTGTGAGAGTTCTTCCACGAGAGTTCTTCCACCTGTGCGGGCCATAAGATGACAGCAGCAATATATCCCAGAGAAATGTGTCTCTCCTGCACTGTACCCCCACTCCCAGCTGAGTGACTTAACAAAGAGAAAGGGAGGTCAGTGCGGCATTTCCCAGAAAAAGAGCCATGTCCCTGCTGGGTGTTCAGTGAGGAAGGTGTCTCTTTTGATTACATTCCCTACCTCAAGTGAGTCGAAGTTGATGAAACAACACTTCCTTCAGGCCACATTCCCCAAATTCACCACCCCCACTGCAAAAACTTTTATAGGAAGTTTGCCTTGCTTCTATTCTCTCTTCTTTATTCTAGGAAAAAGTGCCTGCTTTGGTTTGAAAAGGGACCCTGACTATCTTTAATTAACCACAAACCTTGCATTAATTAAAAAGGAAAATGCATGTAAAGGCAGCTACCATTCTCAGTATAAAAAGTCCCTCATGGGGATGCTCTGTGCAGAGCTTCCAGTGGGTGGCCATGGCCCCCTATTCAAATGGGGATATTTTAGAACAAGCTCAGGAGCTAACTTATCTCATATTTTCTCAGGAAATCTGAATCTTTCCAATTGGAAACGCCTACAAGCTAAGATGCACATAGTCTGATGTTTCTCTGTACCATTTTGATGCCAATAATCAGAGCAGGTGTATACATGTTAATGGGAGATTCCTTTACAACACATCTGAAAATATATATATACATATTTTTTGCTAAGATATCAGAGCAGCTTGGTGTTGAAAAGGACCATAGGACAGCACCTGCCTATTCTAGCTTCCTACTGAGCCATTCCTACCCACCCACCGTTGAAGATGACATGGATCAAGAGAGGAAAAAAATTTCTGCATTTATTTTAGGACATTTCCATTGGTGAACATAACCATTCCCAAACACTTCAAGTTTTCCACCCTTTTGATGGAGAACCGGGAAACAAAAGGAGCATTTATCTGTTATTTATTTCGTCTTCCCTCCTGATCCCCCAAGATCTCTCTCTCATTCCCCAAGCATTAGAAGAAAGTTTCAATGGAAAGTGATTGAAAAGACATCATTTGCAAGCTTCTAAGAGATTTCTCACTTGGCTAACACATTTACTTTCCAGAAGATAAAGTTCCTTGCAATAATTTCACAGCAATTAATCTTGTGCTTAAATGATAATCCTATAATTAGAAGCAATTAAAATCCTGCACAAGAATGACCTGCTCAGTCAATATCAATGTCTCTGTATGCTAATGGGGTAATCTTGAAAGAGGCCCCAGAAATAATTTGCTTCTCCTCTTCCAGGGATGTAAGCATTCAAAGCCTATCTTTAAGAGTGCTTCCTCCTGGCAGCAGTCACTGAAGTCAAAGACGACAGATGACTGATGACCCTATAAAGAATCTGGGGACTTGGGGTATCTTAAGCAGGAGAAAGAGAAACTATGTCACCATGAGCATGGATACCAGGGTGCTTTACAACAAAGACAAATGCTGCATGAAGGAAATGACACTGGCAACTCTTTGCCCCTTGTTCCAATCTTGCTGCCTCCCACGCACATCTAGTGACTAAGCACCCAGAGTGAAAAGCTCTGTTGGAGTCCCCGCACAGAGAACCAAGCATGAATAACAATCTGTGGGATGGCATGCTGCAAGTCTGTACATATCTGACATTAAGATGAGCCACAGATCAGTCAGGACGAGGTACCACAGTCGGAATGTAAATAATCATGTGTCTCTGAGAAGATGCAACCTTTTTCTTAGCTGATAGATGTTTCTCTAAAGGATCCCAGAGCCATGTGGCTTTATGAATTGGGTTAAAACAGGATCATTTTAACTTGATCCAGATGTAGGGCTAAAATGGGGAGAGTCACCTGGATTTGGGGTGAGGAGTGCAGTAAAAGCCTGAGTCAGTTTCTATGCTGTATTGTGTACTTCCATCATCATCATCATCGGCTCAACAGACACACATTTGGTACAAATTTGAGGCACTGGGCTGGGTACAGGAGATAAGACACTATCTCTGACCTCAAAGGACTTATGACATAGTGGAAGGAGATCAACATGTAAATAAACACACAGGTGAAATCTCATAATACATGTTATAAAGGGCATGGAGAGAAAGTGGTTGGTTTCAGGCATGGCATAAAATGTGAGGAGAGGCTTCCTAAAGGTAACTGCAGCTGAATGTTAAAAAGACGTTCTCTGGGGAGCAGGGAAAATGGCACAAGCAAAAGTGAGGAGGGAAGAAACACTGGTGGGCTGTTGCCTGCCACAGTGGGGAAGCTGCTCATGGCTTGGAAATCTGAGTGCAAACGTGTAGGGGACATAAGGGGTAAATATGGGGAGATGGGCAAAGTACTGCCTACAGAAGGGGTCATGTGGACATAAGACACTGATGTTTAGGAATGCCCAATCAAGGAAGAAGATAGAGTAGATAAATCCACTGAACACATGCCAGTCATGACCCAAAAGCATACGCATTTGAATGGGATAATGTGCAGGCTTTCTTCTGGTACAAGCACACCGCTGTATGTTTTAGCTAAGACGCACTTTCCTGTTTTCTTGTGCCAAGGATGTGCCTGGATGTTAAGCACCAGTGAACTCAAGGCAGGTGACTGCTAGATTTGGTTTCTTTGAAGACTGTGAGAACGTGAGAGCAGGATGAGTCTCCAATGGGGAAGAACTGGGGCCACTAAGAAAAAGCCAGACGGATGCCAAGAAAGGGCTGGTCCAGTCACATGCCCACGCAACTCACATGCTGTCAAAACACGTCCTGTAGCGGCTTGTTTCCATCCTTCTGCCCATTTTAATTCTTCATTTTCCAGCACAGAAGACTTCACCCAGATTCCCTGCTGCCATTTTTATTTCCAGCCATTATGGAAACCCTGGAAAATGCAGGGTCTGCGGAAGTGAGGACAGACCCTCACCCCCAGTGGTGCCAACAGAACAGTAATCACAGGAGCTGCGGAGCCATCCCAGAGTAGCCTCCACAATTAATTGCAGGATAGAAATGTGAAATTGCAAGCACTTGAAGCAACAGTGTAGGCTGTGTCTGTACTCAAGGGAAACAGCTGTGAGTAATCACAGGATCTTCCCTCAGCCAGAGCCAACGGTCAGCTGCTTACAATAGTGGGAAGGGCATGCGTGTGTGCTAGAGGCAGCTGGGCAGGCTGCGGGAGCTCTACAAGCCTCAGTTTCCTCACTTACAAAAGGGTAATGATGCTGCTGCTGCTGCTGGTGATGATGATAGCATTTTTCCCAAAAGGTGGTTGGGATGAAATACATAGGAAAGCATCCAGTTGGGGCCTGGTACACGAAAAGTGTTCAATCAGTGTCGGTTTCTCTTCTCACAGGATCTAAGCATTCAAGAAACACCCGGAGCTTCTCTGGTTTGCCCTTCATGTCCCCTTTCTAGGCAGCTGCTACTGCTGTGACTGGCTGGATCTTGTTAGCATTTCCATTTGCAAGATGCCAGGCACATAGAGATCATTGGATAATAAGGGTCCCCTGGCTAGATGGTGCGACCACTTCCTAGCTAAACGGACCCACCAATCCTCTCTGCAAGAACACTGAACGCCCCACTCATTCTTACTTCTCCATCTACAAAAGAGAGGACCCAGTCTTGCTGTGCCTCTCCCCAGGGAAAATTAATGCAACAATGCCTATCACTTTCAGAATTAGCTGATGTTAGTGGATTCATGAAACTTCTACAAAGCCATGGAGATAAAGTGTGCTTTGTCATGAAGAGCAGTTACCCCTCTTATTATGGACTTTTCTCTACCAGTATTTAAAGACAAACTAAAGGAAGTAGTTTCTCATATGTGAGCATCATAAAGCTTGTTGGTTTTGTTTTTTTTTTTTTTTTTTAAGAGCTGGAAACTTGCAGGAAATAGAAGCTGGTGTCTTTAAAGTAGGCATGGAACCCCCAGATCGAGGAGAGTGGTATCCAAGGGGAGGGGAGATGCAGAATGCAAACGGCCCACTCAGCCATTCCCCAACTCCTTGATGTTTATTTATACAATAAGCAACAGCTTTGCCAATACTGTGCCCACAACTACTATTTTTTTGGAGATGGGGTTTTGCTCTGTCACCTAGGCTGGCATGCAGTGGCGCCATCATAGATCCCTGTTACCTCGAACTCCTGGGTTCAAGCGATCCTTCTGCCTCAGCCTCCTGAGTAGCTGGGACTACAAGTGCACACCACCACATCTGGTTATTTTTTCTTTTTGTGTAGACGAGGTCTTGCCCTGTTGCCCAGACTTGTCTCAAACTCCTGGGCTCAAGAGATCCTCCTGCCTCAGCTTCCTGAGTAGCTGGGACTACAGGAATGAGTCACCATGTCCAGCCTACTTCTTACACATATGTACACATACCTACATATGACTCCTTTAGCTGTTTAACTCACATTTTCTTTTCTGCCTGAGCTATTTGGAAAATGGGGGTCATATACAAGCTCTTGGGGACATAGACCACTAGTGGCTCCCAATCCCAGGCAGCCCCTGCCCATCCATGTAAGTGTACAGTTCCCAGAACCTGCCTGTGGCAGTCTGGCCGGCTGTGTCATGGCAAGTCCCATGCAGCCAGTCCCAGGTGGCTCTAAGGAAATGGTCAGTGACTCACCTGTTTAACGGGGGCCAGGGGCCAGGGGCCAGGTGAGTGCTCTTCATGAACCAGGCTTCTGGGCCCAGCCTCAGTGCAGAACCACAAGGAAACACAGCGTTGGGTTGAGGCAGAATAATTGTCTCCTTTGGTCTGCCATCCACAAAAGGAAAGGCGTTGGTGGCCATGGACAGAGGCAGGGGAGGGTCATAGAGTAAGAGGGTGGAGGCAGGGAAGCTTAACTGCTGAGGCGCTCTGATGGCTGCTTCAGCAGGGGCTTCCTTCTAGCCAAGAATGACCTCTACAGAGTACATTTAAATACGATCAACTGAAACAAAGCTTCAGACATAGATATCATTGCCCAAGTTTTTGGGAGTGAAGTTGAAAGAACAGTACAGTGAACACCTATATCACTTTCTAGAGTCACTATTATTCCGCCACAGGTGCTCTTGCCTGCACACACGCTCTCTTCTTGGCCCCAACCCCCGCCTGGTCCTATTTTCAGATTTCTGTCTGTTTTTTTGCTTTTGTTGAACCATTTGGAAGTAGGTTGTAGACATTAGGAAAAAATGACCCCTAAAATATTTCAGCATTCCCCTCCAAAATCACATGACCATTACCACCCAGAAATGTCACACTGGTACAAAAACATTCTCTAAAATACAGTCCAGATTCAACTGTCCCCACTGTCCCCAAAATGTTCTTTACAGCTGTTTTTTTCTTGGATCCAGGATCCAACCAAGTGTTACAGATTGCATTTGGTAATCATGTCTCCTCATTCTCTTTTAATCAAGAATGGTTGGCCAGGCACGGTGGCTCACGCCTGTAATCCCAACACTTTGGGAGGTCAAGGCAGGTGGATCACCTCAAGTCAGGAGTTCGAGATCAGCCTAGCTAACATGGTGGAACCTTGTCTCTACCAAAAAAACAAAAATTAGCCGGGCATGGTGGCACACACCTATAATCCCAACTACTCGAGAGGCTGAGGCAGGAGAATCGCTTGAATCCAGGAGGCGGAGGTTGCAATGAGCCAAGATTGCACCATTGCACTCCAGGCTGGGTGACAGAGTGAGACTGTGTCTCAAAAAAATAAATAAACAAATAAATAAAAAATAAAATAATCAAGGTTAAAACCATTAGGTGGGAGGTTGCTGTTCATCAAGTATGACATCCAGATTCCTTATTAATTACAAACAACAACAACAACAAAAATACCTTTGCAGTTGGAGGGATCTGCTGAGAACGCTGAACCAGGTGGTCAAATGCAGGATCACCAACAGTGGACACTCTGGGTGCCCCTGAGGATAAGCAGCTTCTTGCCAGCACCCTCTCCCTCTCCATCCCAAACCAAAGGAGCAGATACATCTGCTGCATCACCATCTACGTTCCTGATCTGGATCCAAATCCCATAACCAAGATTTATTGAACAGAAATGACTTCCAACTAATGCCTTTTCCTTTAAATAAGGAGCTTGGTGCATCTCCTTGCTGGCAGCCTCCAACAAGTTATTATATTCCACAGCCTGCCTGTCACTGCAAAAGGTACCTGTGCAAAGCTTTTAGGCAAAGGTTGGGCTACCTGCTGCGTCTCCTTACCCAGCAATGATAGAGAAGGTCTCTGCTCACTGTGAATCTCAGGGTGATGTGTAGAGTTCAGGCTAGGAGACTGATGCTCTGTTCTTGTTGAAAACGTAGCTACCTGGAACTTAAAATCTTCCTGTTTTAAAAAGAAATATTTAACTCAGAGCCTGTGCGCATGGCTCCTAAGGATTGTGCAACTGGTAAACTGATGATTGCAGCTCTCATACTTTGAAAATGGAAAGAAACAAACTTCCCTCCAGCTCTCTCCAACTCTCACTTGAACTTCCTGACATCCTGGATGGTGCTGAGCTTCCTGAACACACTCTGCATCTTTGCCTGGAATGCCCTCTTCTTCCTTCCCTGTCCTCCCGGCTCCACTGCACTTCCGATGTGAAGCTGTCACCTGCTGCCTCCCCAGGGCCACTGAGGCTCCCCTTCTCCCAAACTCCCACTGCAGGTACAGCACCCGCCAATTCTTTTTCATGCCTGAATTCTCCCCCAAAGACCACACAGTCTGTGACACGGTCTAGGTCTTAATCATCTTAGCATCCCTGGTGCCAGGAAGAGAGCAGGACACACGCTCAATAATGTATGATCAATGGGTGAAGCAAAAAAAATGAACGATTATCATACAAAGCTGAGGCTCATTTCCTTCATTCTGTAACAAATACACCATGGTAAGGTGGAAGAACACACAGAGGGAATATTATTGTTTTAATTACAATAAGATGAGGGTGAGTCTCCATATCTGCAGGGGTGACAGACATCAAATCGCGCAGGGCCCTAGGTAGGCAGGAGGAGTCTCTGGGCCGTAAGAGCTGGGAGGAAGTCTTCCCCTCCCCGACCAGAGTTCAGTTTAAAACTTCAATCTCCACACCAAATTAACAAACTCAAGTTGTTGAGAAAATTAGACTCTTCTTCAGAATAATCTATCTGTGGGAGAGACGTGCTCCTGAAACAGCTCTAAAGCACCCGATATTTTTTCCATTTACTTACAAGATTAAATTGAAAATTGGTTCCCATGAGGGATTTTTTTTTTACTACTCCTATAAACCGAATTTACAAAACACACTAGAGTGTAGAAAACCTATTACAATCTCCTATCAGAAGAAGAAAAAAAAACCCCGACACCATTCTGATAATATCAGCACCACCGCCCAAAGGCAAAAAATAAAAATACACCACCAAAGCTCGGGGCTTTCCCATAAATACCCCACCAAGCTAGAAAGAAAACTCATCTCTGACTGCAAACGGAGGTTTCCATCCTGAAGCAGAGCTCCTGTCGGGAGTTTCTACGTTACTTTGGGAATTATCTTCAACCTGAGTGATTCTACATAGGTAAGACACAGTTTGAACTAACCTAGCAATTAACACAGCTGCTCAGGGTTCAGGTTTAAGTGCATTTTCTGAGAAATCACTCGCATCTGGACCATAAACTCTGCATGTGATGGCTTATGGTTTATATTTGTGTTCTCATGAAAGCCACCACCAGGCTAATTCCCACAGCCCTCTGACTCTCTCAATCGGAGCTCTCTTCCCTCTCTGTCTCTCAAATACCTACAGTATTCAGTCGGCTGCTTCTCCACAGGGTCCTTCCCTCTCTGTCCCCTTCCCCACCCTCAGTACCTCCCAAGGGTGTGCTATTTCATCACCATGTACTTGGTATTTAATTTTACTTGGATATGGGTTGTTCTTTGTTCTCTTCTTGTGTTACTCTTTTCTCCCCTGGTTTTAAGTCCCATGTTTGGACCTTCCGTGACCTCAAAAAACTTTGTGGGGTGCTGATTGTGGGTTCAGCAAATATTTATGGGTTAATTGTTTGTTCCAAAGGAGACTCTAATTAATAAGAGAGACTTGGAACATTCATAGCCTATGCACTGAAAGCAAGAGTGTGGAAGCCAGGCCCGGGCTGCGGCCCCAACTACATCACTTTCCACCTTGTAACTTGGAGCCATTTCCTTCCTTTCTCTCAGCTCCTTTGCTCATTTCAAGAAGGAGGATAATAATAGTATTTACTTCATGGGATTGGTTGGGGAGTCAATGAAGCAATGAATATAAAATGCTGAGCATAAAGGTCCAGTCCTATGAACAATAAATATAGAGCAAGCACTCAATAAATGGTAGCTATTGGTATGAAAACATTTCTCAAGACAAACCCATGCCTGAACTATTTGGTTGGGAGAAGGTGCAGGCAGATAATGGGCATGGGGGTGCCACCCATCATTGGCAAGCACTGCCCCAAGGGGGCTCTGCTTAGTACCACTTGTGGTCCTTTTATACTGAAATAAGATGAGTCTGATGTCTTCTATTTGGCTCTTTAAAAAAATTCCTAGTAACTAATGCGGGTACCTATTTTTTCTTTCTTTCTTTTTTTTTTTTTTTGAGATGGACTCTCGCTCTGTCGCCCAGGCTGGAACGCAGTGGCACAATCTCGGGCTCATTGCAACCTCCACCTCCTGGGTTCAACCGATTATCCTGCCTCAGCCTCCTCCTGAGTACCTGGGACTACATGCGCATGCCACCATACTTGGCTAATTTTTTGTATTTTTAGTAGAGATGGGGTTTTACCATGTTGGCCAGGCTGGTCTCAAGCTCCTGACCTCAAGCGATCCACCCGCCTCGGCCTCCCAAAGTGCTGGGATTACAGGTGTGAGACACTGCACCTGGCTGTAAGCACTTATTTTTCATAAATTTATCAGGTACTATAGTTATACAAGGGCATTAACATCGGGGGTTGCTGGGTGAAGGGTGTACGAGAACTCTGTACTGTGTGTGCAACTTTTCTGAAAATCTTAAATTACTTTAAATTAAAAATGTTAAAGATGTAATTACTAATTAGTTATTTCCTTGAGCCTGACTTTCCATACTTAACATTGGATTCCCTTCACACACATAACTGTACTTTAAAAATAGATTCCAATTCTTATGGAAACTGTCATCAAAATATCTTCTCTCCGCATGTGCCATTTAAATATTTAGCCATCCAATTTACCATCTGTGTGACTCTGGGTGAGTCACTTCATTTCCTTGTATCTCCGTTTCTTCATCTATAACGTAAGGATAATAAAGTCAACTTCTTCACAGATTTGAATAAAAGTTAGTACATAAAGTACTTAGAAAGCGGTCCTGTGGAGGAAGCACTGAATAGCTGTGAGCTGCTGCTACTATTTGCTGTGGTCTGAATTCATATCTTCAGATTGGATTCCCGGTGTGATAGTATTAAGAGGTAGGGCCTTTGGGAAGTAATCCTTTCGGGATAACCTTCAACCAAACGCAGAGCCTTATAAAAGAGATGACAGGGAGCAAGTTCGCTCCTTGCACCATGTGAGGACACAGCCTGCCCTCCTTCTGCCATGTGAGGACACAGTGAGAAGTGCCATCTATGAAGCAGAGACGGAGCCTTCACCAGACACTGAATCTGCTGGGGCCTCGATCTTGTACTTCCCAGCTTCCAGAATTGTGATACATCAATTCCCATTATTTATAAATAACCCAGTCTAAGGTATTTTGTGATAGCAGCCTGAATGGAATAAGACATTATTATTATTATTATTAATTAAACTTGCTGAATTCACATTCCTAGAGTGGAGCTATAGCTCTACAAAAATTTTTAAACTAATTCTCAAGGGACTTAGCCCAGAGAGTTGGCATAAGCAATACTGGCTGGCTTTCACATGCAAAAAGTCGACATCCAACCCAGTGAAAGGTCTTGTTCCTTAAGCTGACTCTACAATTGTGAGTCAAGTTCAACTTTTGGCAATGGTAGAGGAATTAGCCTGATGTAAGCTCTAGCACGATAAGGCCTGACCTTTGTCTTCCACCTGTGTACCTGTGCCACCCCAGCCAGAGCATCTGTGCTCTCTATGCAGTTTTAGATCTGCAAGGCTCTTGAGGTTTATAGGAGATACTGGAAGGTTCCGGCAGTACCATATGGTTGCTGCTTTTATTACAGAAGACGGCACGGGGCGTGTCCAGCATGCATAGCACATGTTTTGCTTTATCTAGAAACACAAAGAATGCCAGCTAAACATTTCAGGCATTCTTGCCTTACAGCGAGCCATAAGGTAGCCACATGTAAACCCATAATTAAACTGAATATTCACCTGTGATGTCTATTCTACTGCCAACAGCAGTAGCTTTGGAAATAAAGGAAAAGGTAAGAAAAGCATGGACATGTTTAGCCATAGGCATTCTACTTTATGCTCCTTGATCCCTTACCACCTACGGAGACTAGGTTTTATGGTAATTTTCCCCTCGGCTGCAAAATCTGCTCCCCCCATACATGGTTTTGACAATGTGGAAGCCTTAGTAGGAAAGAGAAACAAGAGCAAAGCTGTGATGTTGCAGAGGGGTCTCATGGCCCCCGAGGAACACCATCTTCCTCTGGGCAGAGAGCATCAGTGCCCAGTCAGAGGGGCCCTGGCTGTCAGATAAGGGCAGGGATTCCAAGGACAGCATCAGCCCATTAAAAAGAAATGCAGGTGACAATCACAGCCCCAAAGGCAATGGCACAATAGGGATGGTCTTGAGAAAATAAAAGAATTTCTCTAAAAACTACAAAAAGTCAGAAGGGATTCTGTATCTATGATAGGGATTTCATTCCCAGTTCCATTTTGACCATCAGCTATAGCTGGTTTCAAGGTTATCCAGAGGCAAACTGTTACCCTCTCCCAGTGATACCTTGGAATCCTTTGTTCTTCTCTGAGTTCTTACCTGAGGGGACAGCCCTGGTTAGAACATTTGCTTATCTTTCAAAGGAAAAACCTGAGGATGTTTCCAAAGGTAAGCTTTTCTTTGGAAGTCCCCACCTTCCCCTTTTTTTCTTAAAACAGATCCTCCTAAACCCTTCTTCTATGATGTTTTCTGTTATCTAAACCTAATAGATTAGCATCAGTCTTTCCATGTTTATGATAGCTTCAAATTCCTAGATACAGAAGGAAGATACCTTTGCTGATCAAATGAAAATGAATGCCCTTGTCAACAAGGGTAATGTATACAGTTGGTCCCTCAGGGACCCCAAGTGCAAGGAAATAGGCTGATGCCTGAGAGCTGAACCATACACCAACATGGAGTGGGTCATGGTACCGAGAACTCAAGCCATCTTGAGGACACGGGATGGGTCCTAGGCCAATAAGACTCCAGGATAACTTGACTGAGTGTGCCGATGAACCGAAAGTGGATTTGGTGGGAAAACCACAGGAAAAAGCCATGTTGTGGCAGAGCCCACCCAGAAACAGCCCCGAGGAGGGAGTAACCAGGCCCCTGGATAGGGAATTCCGGTCCCATAGCCAGGCTGTTTGTAGGAGGTGTGGTAATTATAAGCACAGTATCTGGAGTCAAATGCCTCCATTCCTATCCCAGCTCCTCACTAACTGTAACACTGCAAGTTATTGATCTCTCTGTGCCTCAGTTTCCTTTTCTGGAAAACGAGGCTAATAACCAGCTAGGTGTCAGGTCTAAATAACTAATCTATGTGAAGTTCCTAGCACCATACCTAACACAGAGGAAGCAAAAGCACTCAACGGCTGTTGCTATCGCTGAGGTGGATTTATTGGGCCATCACAGGCCAATGCCACAAAACACCTGGGTCATCCATCCATTCGCCTCCCCTTGTTCTAGTTCCATTCCCTCCAACAGCATTTTGATTAATTGGCTCCCCTGACCCCCTGTCACCGGGAGGAGAGTACACGGGCCATGCTGTCAGAATAGCCCAATCCACACAGTGCTTGTGACTTTGTGTGACATTGAGTATTTGGGAATTTGGGTGTACAGACCCATCTCCTGGGAGGTGTATTAACCCGAGGGCTCAGAGGGCTGGAGGGCTCTGAGACAGTGATGGCTCCACCAGGGCGACTGCCTCTCCAGAGGCCTCAGGGCATCCAGCCCAGCCCCCACCCTGCCTTAATATCAGTGTAACCTTCATCCAAATGCCTGCCCACGATGCTGCTCCGGGATGAGCAAGCCTTACCTGTGACATGGAGCTTTTCATCAGCAACCTCAGCCTTTAGGTAAATCCGCCCCCTCTTCTCAGTGTGATCCATTCCGCAGAGGCTGGGGACATTGATGACGCATTGCTTGTGAACGTTCATATCGCAGGCTGTGAATCAAGAAAGGAGAGGGTGAGCTGGGCATATGGACTCCAACCACCGCTCCTCAGTGTTTTGGTGCATGAGCACAAGTGAAAATGAGTTACCCCCAACTCGATACTTTGCTATAATGTTTTTGGTGACATAAAGAACTGTTAGCAGATGTCCTGTACAGCACAGGCTTCATGTGAGTGACAATATCCTTAAAATACTCATACCATATTTGCTCAGTCTTCACTGAAGCAAAATATCCCAGCTTGGGCTTCTGTGATTGTTTCAAGTATTTAACAGTATACAAAATTCACACAGGTAAATATGTACAAAGCTCAGCCTAATTCATATTTTATGTACACAGAGGCAAAATAATATGAAAATGTTAAACAGAGGATTTTTTTTTTTTTCTTCAGACAGGGTCTCCTTTTGTCTCTCAGGCTAGAGTGCAGTGGCATAATCCTAGCTCACTGCAGCCTTGAACTCCTGGGCTCAAGTGGTCCTCCCACCTAGGCCTCCTAAAGTACTGGGACTATGGATGTGAACCACTGCACCCAGCTTGAACATAAGACTTTTTGCTAATGAATTCTTTATGTCATTCTGGGCTTACCACTGAGAAAGAGTGAAAATCTGTGGATTGAGTATAGAAAATTCATTAAATTTTCCTTTCCTCAGCTAACCTTGTATTTTCAACAAGGTTTAAGTACATTGCCTGTGTTTTTCTCCCCAAAGAACCTGTATTTGATATTTTAAACCTATCTTCAAATATTTAAATACCATTCCAAGTAAAACAAATACCCGCCTAGCATGATCAGCCATTCCTTACAGCTGACATTATGTGGGTGAGACAGGGGGAGGATAAAAAAAGATCAGTATTATTGCAATGAACCAAAGAAACCCTGAAAAGAATCCTGTGTGCCGGAAACAAACAGAAGACTGTGTGTGGGTGTTCCAGCTCGATCACCCTTGTACCTTTAGGCTTCCAGAAGGAGGGAAGGCCACTGGAATCCTTGCAAATCCTTGCCAGGATGCTAATAAGGTTATTCTGTAATCATCAAGGTGGAGTCTTCCTTTCCGTTTCATTTTGAGTGTTTAATTTTAACATGACAAAGTAAATTGGAAAAAGCATCATGAATAATGTATACTGCTCCGATTAAACACTGACAGCAGAATGATGGACATACTGAGGAAAGAACAATTAGCTAATTCACAAATGTGGATGCTATTAGGCTTCTATTTCCAAGGCTAACTGTTCAAAATTCTACACCTCGAATTTAGCCAATATAAAGGCTCTTGAAAAGCTGTGTTATGTATATTGCTTGTGTTAACCACATCATGTCTTTAAGTGTCCGGGCAAAATTTGCAATGTGAAGGCAGTAAATGCCAGAGCCTCTGGAAAGCACAGAGGCAACGGGGAGGGGACGGGAGGTGAAAGTGCACTGGGCCGTGTTGCAGTCTCTGCTGTATATCTTGGGAAGCTGATTTGCTCTAATTTCATTTCCAACTCTACAAAGTGAGAGGTTGGCCCACTCAAGTTGTTGTTGCTAACTGCCCCCTGACGTCCTGCCCCATCCCAAGTGGAACTCTATCTAGGATTGCAATTGCACCAGGTGGAAGGGCACAGGAAGAGGCTTCTTCTCTGCAGAAGTTAAGGTCAGTAGGGGTTGCAGTCCTGGTGCTCATCGGCTTGCTCTCCTCCTGTCTCCAGAAAGGAGCACAGGCGGCAGCCACAGAAGCCTTATGATTCCCAAGAAAAAGAGTTTAAAACAAAACCAAACAAAAAAGCATTGGTCCAGGTCAGCGGTTTTCAAAAATTTTTAGTAAGGAAACCATTTTGCAAACAAAGTCTAAAGCAGAATCTAATGATGTAAACCATATGAGTGTTATTTTATTAGCATAAACTCAGCTAACAAACACAAATTTATACCACTTATTTATTATAAAGACATTCAAGGATCACCAATAAAGCCCTCTGATACAAACACAACTTTGAAACCAGTTGATGTCTCAGACCAGCCTCCACATCTCATTTATTTTTGCATTATGTTAAAGTAGTACAGCATCCAAAAATCCTCATTCATGCAGAAAACTGAGTACAAACAGGAACCGTGTCTAACGGCATGCTTCCCCATCCCAGCTGACTCTTCAGTGAAGAGGATGCTGTAGGAGAAACCTGATTGCAAGTTCTGCCCAAGGAGTGAAGGTTGAGTATGTAACACATTCAAATATTTATTTTGTTCCCAGTTTTAAAGTAGTTAAAATATATTTACATATGCACTTAAGTTGTAAGCCCTTGCAGAACCCCTGAAAACCATGTCTTTGGAATCCTAGGGTTTCTTTTTTTTATTTTTCTAGTTTTTTGAGACCGAGTTTCACTCTTGTTTGCCCAGGCTGGAGTGCAATGGCACAATCTTGGCTCACAGCAACCGCCGCCTCCTGGGTTCAAGCAATTCTCCTGCCTCAGCCTCCTGAGTAGCTGGGATTACAGGAGACCACCACCACCAGACTAATTTTGCATTTTTAGTAGAGACGGGGTTTCGCTATGTTGGTCAGGCTGGTCTTGAACTCCTAACCTCAGGTGATCCTCCCGCCTCGGCCTCCCAAAGTGCTGGGATTAAATGGTGGAAATCCCAGCGTTTCTTGAAGTAAACAAACATTGCATTTGGTTGTGATGCCGTACAACTCTGTAAGGTGAAGAATCCCTGTGTCCTGAGAAACTCCATCTACTCTATGATGCTCGTTTATGTTTCTTTTTCTACAGTTTGCTCCATGTAAGATACAAATATCAGCTTCTGGCCATCATAGCAAATGAAAATAGTCATTAGCAAATGGCAATAGGCTGATATTTCCACAGTGGTTCCCGATCTATTAGAAAAACAGGCTCGGCAATTAACTTTTCATGTCCTAAAGGTATCAGCTTGTATTTAAACAAACATAGCCTGAGGAATCTCATACTTTAAGAACGATCAAAGCAGGTTGGGCGCGGTGACTCACCCCTATAATCCCAGCATTTTGGGAGGCCGAGGCGGGCGGATCACGAGGTCAGGAGATCGAGACTATCCTGGCTAACACAGTGAAACCCCATCTCTACTAAAAATACAAAAAATTAGCTGGGTGTGGTGGTGGGGGCCTGTAGTCCCAGCTACTCGGGAGGCTGAGGCAAGAGAATGGTGTGAACTCGGGAGGTGGAGCTTGCAGTGAGCCGACATCGCGCCACTGCACTCTAGCCTGGGTGACAGAGTGAGACTCCGTCTCCAAAAAAAAAAAATGATCAAAGCAAAGAGTCTTCATAGTTGCTTTTCTTTCCTCCTGGTAGTTGATGGAGATACACACGTAACAAAAAATAACAGAAAAGGGCTGGTGTCTTGCTTGTCAGTGGTCCTCAGCGTTTTGAGCCAGGCTAATACACATTTGATCCGTCCATAAACATGCTGGGTCAGTGAACTTCAATAAGATGCTATTCTGGTTTTTATGTTCATTTTGGTTTCAGTTTTAAGAAGAGCCTACTGGATTTTTCCACAGTCCACCCACTAATTAGAGACACAGGAAGATAATGAGTAGGGTTTCTTGGCTTATTTTGAAGCTATAACCAAATGTGGACCTGGCGGTGGAAGTCTTCTTTGGGGTTTGACTAGGCTATATTTTACAGTGATTGAAGACTTCTGCCACTAAAAAAAAAAAAAAAGTGACAGCACCCACCAACCTCATTTATAAATCGAGTGCTTTTTGGGGGTTCATAATGAGGCAATCAAGTAGTTCAATAACCTGGAACTTTGACAGTGGAAGAATCTACACTTTGTCAGTCTGGTAGATATCTGAACTAATTCCCTCTACTGAAGAGTTGGTGTTGAAAAGTTACTGAGCCTTCCTTGCTCAGCAAACCCTGAGCATGAGCTACAGAGCCTCGCTATGAACTGGAAAAGAAAACTTACTTACTGTCACATTTCATCCCTTGATGGATAAGTCCATAGAGCAGTGACCCACAGTGATCGCAGAAGGTGGGGCTTCCGTAAGTGTGGATTTTGAACTTGTGCTTGCTCCTGGGGTCCTGGGAGGAGAAGAAGCACAATGCTCATTTTAGTCATGAAAGGACCACGTTTTTAGATTAAGCCAAGCTCAGGCCCCACCACTCCCCAGCCCCAAGTCAAGGTTCGATAACACCAGACTGTGCATCATTCTCTGGAGTCACACAATGGGTGGTGGTGACTTCGCCACTAAATATTTTAGATATTTACTGTTGTTTTTTGAGACAGAGTCTTGCTCGTCGCCCAGGCTGGAGTGCAGTGGCGCGATCTCAGCTCACTGCAACCTCCGCCTCCTGGGTTCAAACGATTGTCCTGCCTCAGCCTCCTGAGTAACTGGGATTACAGGCATCCACCACGATGTGGGTATTTTTGTATTTTTAGTAGAGATGGGGTTTCACCATGTTGGCCAGGCTGGTCTCGAACTCCTGACCTCAGGTGATGCACCAGCCTTGGCCTCCCAAAGTGCTGGGATTACAGGCGTGAACCACCACACCTGGCCCGCATCATGTTTTAATATAATGAATACCTATGTTTCCTCTATTTATGGGGTGAAATTTGCACATACCACGGTTTCCACCAAAGCTATTACTTCTGGAGCTATGGTCACCAAAGCCCTTGGGGACAAGCACAGTGTTTTAAACAACTTGGCTTCTCTGTCTCCCCACTGCCTAGCGCAGGCTGGGGCACGAGTAGACACAAAATCGGTGTGTTTGTGAAGTGAACGGAACAACCCTAAATGGATCATTCAGGAGATCTCCTCTTGGACAGAGTATCCAGAAATACAATACACTGCGAAACCAGATCTACATCCAAACTGACAGGTACATTTTCCTGCTTCTGCACCATCTCCAAAGTATTTTATGCTTTTTATAGGGAAACTCAGCATGGTCAGATGAAAATCGTAAAGGCACTGAAATTACGCCTCCCCATAGCCCACTGCAATTTCATTACCTTCTCTAGCATACCACATAGAGCACCAAAGGTGCAACCAGACATCTTTTTTCTTTAGATTTTTAAGCTTTTGTCCCTCAACTCACAGATTATGGATAGGGAAGAAAAATGATATACAGAAGACCATCGTGGTTAAAGAGCGTAGATTCTGGAGTCACTGCCTGGGTTCAGGTTCCAGCTCTGCTACTACCCAGAGGCATGGCCTTGGACGAATTACTTATCCTTTCTGCCTCATCTATAAGCTGGGAAATTAACAGCATCTGTCTTCTGTGGTTACTATAAATAAGGACAAAACGAGTCAGTCTTTGTAAAATGCTTAGAAGAGTGCCGTATCACAGGGTAGGTAGGTACCACGCAGGTAGTGCAGATAAGCGCCTCTGCTTCTGGGGCCTCTGCTTATTTATTTATTCAATTTTATTATTATTATTTTTTGAGACAGAGTCTCACTCTGTCACCCAAGCTGGAGTGCAGTGGCACGAGCTCGGCTCACTGCAACCTCTGCCTCCCAGGTTCAAGCGATTCTCCTGTCTCAGCCTCCCAAGTAGCTGGGATTACAAGTGCCTGCCACCACACCTAATTTTTTTTAATTTTTAGTAGAGATGGGGTTTCACCATGTTATTCAGGCTGGTCTCAAACTCCTGACATCAGGTGATCTACTTGCTTCGGCCTCCCAAAGTGCTGGGATTACAGGCATGCGCCACCGCGCCCAGCCTCCTCTGTTTATTAATATATAAAGGTAGGCCAGGCACAGTGGCACACACCTGTAATCTCAGCACTTTGGGAGGCTGAGGCAGTCAGATCACCTGAGATCAGGAGTTTGAGACCAGCCTGGCCAACATGGTGATACCCTGTCTCTATTAAAAATACAAAAATTACCCAGGCATGGTGGCGTGTGCCTGTAATCCCAGCTACTTGAGAGGCTGAGGCAGGAGAATCGCTTGAGTCCAGGAGGTGGAGGTTGCAGTGAGCTGAGATTATGCCACTGCACGCCAGCCTGGGCGACAGAGCGAGCCTCCATCTCAAAAAATAAATAAATAAATAATAGTAGAGCTCTGAGCTTCTACTTAGATGATCTATTTGTCTCCCATCCAAGTACTAACCGGACCCGACCCTGCTTAGCTTTCCATCAGGCATGTTCAGGGTGGTATGGCCATAGACTCTACTGTTCTATTGGAACTATAAAACAATTTCATATTCAACATGTACCTATCAGGACTCATTCCTATTAAGTTCTTCCTCTTGAATCACTCCTTGTGGCCTGAGCAGCTGCAAAGGCAGAGTGGCCATCCACTGAATTAAGCAAGACTTTAGAAGATCAGGGTTTGGGGAAGGGCAGGAGATCCAGAGATCTACTGTAGACATAATAAGCTTGAATTAACCTTTCTCTCAGGGTTTCTCCAATGCAAAGTGACATAAAGCAGAATATTCTTGGCTGCTGACTTTCTGAGGGCCTTGGTGCTGGTGATTTCGGGGAATTCCAAAGGTGATTCTGACTGTAAGATAATTCATCTTTTGGTTGACTATGGAACCTAAACCCTAAGCCACATATATGCCAAAGGCTTGTTATGACTTTTTTTTTTTTAGACAGTCTTGCTCTGTTGCCCAGGCTAGAGTGCAGTGGCACGATCTCTGCTCACTGCAAGCTCTGCCTCCCAGGTTCATGCCATTCTCCTGCCTCAGCCCCCCGAGTAGCTGGGACTACAGGCACCCACTACCACGCCTGGCTAATTTTTGGTATTTTTAGTGGAGACGGGGTTTCACTTTGTTAGCCAGGATGGTCTTGATCTCCTGACCTCGTGATCCACCTGCCTTGGCCTCCCAAAGCATTTGGCCTATGACTACTTTTTAAAGACACAGATTTGAGAATTCTGAAATAGTTCAATCATACAGAGAAGTATAAAGAATAGTAAACCCCTCGTGTCTGCACCACCCAGAACTTATAAAAATGAGCATTTTCCCCTAGTTTTTACTGCCTAATTATCCTCGTTTTACAGAGATGTTAATGACCTTCCCCAAATCACATGGTTGATGAACATCAGACCTCAGATTTTTTTTTATATGAAACAGTTCACATATTTGCACGTGATCCTTGCACAGGAACAACGCTCATCTCTGTTTCACTCCAAGTTTTGTATTTGTGCTGCTTCAGAGAGCACAGACCTACGATGTGACCAACGTTGGATTCCCATCACAAGAGCTTTTGGAGATCTACCCAGAATGAGGATCTGGCTCTCAATATATTTACAACGCATTTTTATATTTGCAACATATATATATATATATACACACACACACACACACATATATATATATATATTTTAGAAACAAGTCCACCACCTATTTTTGTAAATAAAATTTTATTGGAAAACAGACATGCTCCTTTATTTACATATTTTCTTTGGCTATAATGGCAGAGTTGAGTAATTATGACAGAGACTGTGTGGGCCACAAAATCTAAAATATTTACTATTTGGGTCCTTTTAGGAAAAGTTTGCCAAGCCCTGCTTTAGGACAAGGGTTTTCAGAGCATGGTTCCCGCACAGCATCACATCACTTGGAACTTGTTAGAAAGGCATAGTACTTAGTCCTTTCCCAGACCAACCGAGTCAGAAACTCTGGGGGTGGGGCCTCACAGTCTGTGTTTGAGCAGATCCTGCCAGTGATCCTTGTGTTGGCGGACACACTAAAGACTGGAAAACCACTGCTCTAGGAGGTCATTCAACAAATATTTAGTAAGTGTGTCACTGGTGCGAGGTGAGTACCTAGCACCTCTATGTGTAGATGATTAATGATATCCTCGAGGCAGGTCAGTGGTTTACCTCCTAAATGTTTCTCTCAGGGTGTGAGACATCAACATCTTCCTTGACAGGTTATTTCTTCTAGAAAGCAGTAGTTGGGTCCACGGTCTGAAGTATGGCCTTAGACTTCCACCATTAGGGAAGCCCACCACTTTTGCCAGGATCCCAGGACATCAGGAAGAATGTTCAGGGAGTAGGTTGGTGCCAGCACCAATTAAAAATACCTGTGTTGACAGGAAAGGTTGCGTCCTACAGTGCGGAGGGCGCAGAATATGCCAGGGGAAATGAAGGAACCAGTTTTCCCTGCAGAAACGAGGCATCAACAAATGGCACTAAATTAATAAAGAATGGCAGCTCGCACGGAGCCCTCAGGAGTATGTGCATGCCAGGCAGCCCCAGGGTGGTTGTCATACCAGTTGGTTGTCACATAGATCTCCATTGATGTGGCACACAGGCAACTCACTTTTCAGGAAAACCTAAGGCTTACTCACGCAACAGCCATATGGCACCTTCAGGTTCTCACCGTTTGGAGGTGTAGGAAGAGAGGAAACCATCGCTTCCACCTCCTGCCTAAGTCTGGAGAACCAGCAAGTCTTGGAGTTGTCACACCCCAAAATTACATGTGGCCAAAGATCCTGCCTATGAATTACAACGACAGTAATAATAATAGCACCAGCTGTTTGTTGATCAGCAATTGTGCACAGGTGCTTCACAATAACCAGGATCTTTGTTTAGAACAAGAGAGTCTCCTATGAGAAGAGCACTTAGCAGGACTGTGGAGACCTGTGTTCTGACCCCAGTCCCGGCACAAGCTCTTACCTTGGAAAAGTCACGTCATTTATTTATAAAGCAGAAATAAAACCAATCTGCCCGTGTCATGGGCAAGGGGTGACACCCAGCTTAGGGAATATAAGAGAAAGACTTTGCAACCTGAAAATCCTTAGACAAATATAAGCAATTATTATTACATTATCCTTAGGAGCAAACTTCAAGGTGCCCAGGGTTTCCCCAAAATACTTTAGTGACTTGGGCCTGGATGGGGAGGAAACAGGACTCCCTATCCTCTGGGCTAATCACCCTCAGGCTTCATAGGTGGTCAGAGTGAAGGCCAAGCTGGCAGAAGTCAAGGGACTTCCTCCTAGGTCCCGCATTCCCGACTTCTGCACCCCATGCCTGGACTTTCAAGCCAGTCCTCTTGGCAAATGCCCTGAGTGGTGTTTTGTTAAACTGTCTGCTAACCCAAACCACCTCTTGCACTGTCTCAATTATATGGATGATGCCATTTCTTGCACTGCAGCAATGGGATGCAGGAGCATGGAAACTCTTTTCCAGTCTAATTAATCTCACCTAGTCTGACAAAAGAAACCACAGTGTTAGCGACAGAGCTGTGAGTCATGAAGATCTGCAGAGAGCAACTCGTCCTAAAAACTCCCCAGGCTCACTGTGTTTCTATCAATAGCCTCTAAATAGTGATGCATTTTACTTCTGTGGGCCCTGATTTCCTCATCTGGAGCCTAAATGTATTGGGTGGGATCAGCATTTTTAAAACGTCAGGTGGTGCCTAAGGATGCTGAGGATGGAGGCAGGAGAAGGCAGAAGAGGGAGACCACTGCTAAAATTAAAGTTGAAAACAACCGGACTAGATCATCTCTTTAATTCTTTTTTTTTTAAAGCTATTTAATTTGAAATAATTTAAGACTCACAAGAATTTGCAAAAATAGTACAGACTGTTCCTTCATACCCTTCATCCAGCTTCCCCAGTGATAACATCTTACATAACCACGGCACATTTGCAGACCCAGGACAATGCTACAATACCATTAACTAAACTACAGAGTTTAGGGTTTCATCAGATTTTACATGCATAATTCCAATGCAAGAGCATTTACTGTACTACATATGTATTAAATATACTGTTTACTGAATAGGGAATACAGTAGTATTGGCTGGTGAAATACATTAACTCAAGTAGAACAGCACCAAAGGAACATCTTTTACTTCTTCATTAAATATATAACCCGCTGATCTCATGTTAAGGAGTCGTGGGAGGATGAGTCTAAAGATTTATCTGAAAAGCAGAATTAGGACGCTTTTCTCTAAGTAAAGGAAACACACTGCTGTTTCCAAACCTTTCTGACCCGTTTTTCAAAACAAAATCATCTCAAGGCACAGGCAGAATGAGAGCTCAGGCAAAATGTGGCGCCAGCCTGGGCCATGAGGGATTGAAAGGTGGGTAAGGCTTGCGGCTTCCAGGTGATGCCTGTGACCTGGATGGACAGATAAGGTGAACACCACAATACCAGGGCACAAGCTGCCCCCACTGGCCCAAGAGTAGGTCTCCTGATAGCTACCAAATTCATCAAATTCATCAAATTCATCATGGAAATGATCAGAGCAGCCTCAGGATCCTTTCCTACATCTATAAACCTGGACATCTGATCTTTCTCTTCGGTGAGTCCCAGATGGCAGGCACCTTGGTGTCTCTCATCTGTGTCTTCATTTCGGCTGCTGCCTCCACCTGCCAGGACTCCACCTGCTGAAACACCTGAAAAGTCATTATCAAAGTCTCCTTCCTCCTCCAGGAAGTCTCTCCAGATGTCAATACCAGTTACAATTTCTCTCCTTCATCTGACCTTCCAGAGCATTTTATTTCTGTCTTTTGCATGCCACTTAACATATTCTGCCACTTATGATAATTATGATTCTGTCTACCTCCCCTTTAATTTTTCATCATTTATCTCTCACCTCCCACACACAGAGGACTGACATGACAGTCTAACAGGGAGGAAAGAGAGGTCCTAAAGGATGCTGCCGAACTGAGGATTAAGTATTAACTTTATCTCTGAGCTTCCTGGAAACCAAGGTAAAAAGAGGAAAGTGACATTAATAGGTTCCTCTTGAACTGCAAAACTACCTGAATGCAGAAGTCTGTCTTTGTATCCTCTGAAATCATTTTATCTCCTACATGGTAGACCTTCATTAAATGTGTATGAAAGCAACTACTAAATCCTTAACAAAGCACACTTTTATCACTGTGCACCAAAGGGCTGTAGATAAAGTCATCCCACAGATAAGTTACAGCAAGTCTGGCTAGACTTAGGGCCACAAAGAAATATCTGGTGCACACCAAGTCTTCACTATTACCAAGTTAATAACATTTTCCTTTTTAGTCAAATACATATTAGTCTTCCTTTTTAGTTCTCCAGGAACTGGCAGCCTGTCATTAAGTGGAGTGTGAAACCTGCTGTCATATGTCACAAGCCTGACATTATATTATAACGAAAGAGGGAAAAATACAGCTCAGACACTTCTGTCATATATGTGGTTGGGAGAAAAAAATGAAGGCTTTGAGCTAATCACTTTTCATAGGCATGAATAAAGTCTAACCTACAAATCTAAATCTAAACCTCTTAGGAAAAAAATGACAAGTGAAAAATTCAAATTCTATTGAAAGCATCCGCTGGCCTGTTTCTCATTTCTTAGTTTTATAATGTAGCAACTTAATTAGTCTTCCTTGGAAACATTTCTCAACATTTCTACCAAGATTTTCCAAAGTTTCTCTTTATCACCATCATCATTACCGCTATCATTTGCAATATGTTAAAATAAACACATGGATCTACACTGTGCAGAATTCGGATGCTGACCGGGCATCACATTTCCTAGATGCATTCTTGTGTCTACAGCCACCTGGAAGTCATATTCTAGGTAAGTCTGCAAAGGCAGTAGTTGAGGCTGGAGACTAATCTAGCTATGTGCAGTGTGAAATCTCTAGAGGAGTTAACGCTCCCTTCACACCAGGAGGCAGGCAACCAATGATGTTTTTTGATGGGGATGTTCATATTTGAACTGACATCACTGCACATGTGCTTTTAATGCAATGAGTAAAATAATGGCAGGGTTTTGGTTAGAGGTCATCCTGGCTTGAATTTTCCACCCATATTTGAATGCCTCCAAAATGCCCCATAGGTTTCTCTTGAAGGACCAAACTATCTGTCATTGAGGGCTGGGGGTTCAGGGTTTCTGGAAAAGACTGTTTTTAACCAACAGAAGCTCTGCGGTGCAACTTCCTCCAGCAGTCAGAGCAGTATGCCTCCTTGAAGCTGCTCCCCTCTAAGTACCAAGGGAAATTCTCTGCTGTCACCATCTGATGTGTTCTCATGAATCATGCTTGTAAGCCAAGCTTGGGTCTAAATGTCACCCACATGCTGACTATATGAGAAACACCCAAAACACTGCTTCAAGGGCAAATCTAGCAACATTACTGCGATCTTAAATTTCTTAAGAAATTTAGGGAAGTAGGAAGCAGTTTTTTTTTTAACCCTATGATATAAAAAAAGACCTATTTAAAATTTTTTTGGTTAACATGAGAGGATTACCAAAACCAAGTCATATGATCAGGGTGGTTGCATGTAACTTGGGGACCACTGTAATTATTACATTGTGTATCATGTACTCAGTAAAGCTGCCATGCCCCTTCTCAGGCGGCTGGGTCTGCCTGGCCCACTCTCCATTTGGGCTTAGGATCGCACTTGGCCTCTGACCATACTGATCTTGTTGGATGTTTCCTTTTCTAAGAAAGAACGAAAGAAATTCCGTTTTTGGTGATGCTCATTAATTTCTGATCTGCAATGTAACACTTCAGTTTATTCTGGTGAATAACACTCATCTATACAGTTGGATGAACCTGTCAAACCAGGTTTTGCTAGTAGGTTTCTTATGAGTCCTTTGCCCAGCTATGCAAGATGCTGTAATCATTCAATGGGAAGCAATAAATTATTTTAAAAATTCTAGATAGATCTGTATCAGCAAGGCAATGGCTAAATAAACTGTAATATATTTATACTATGGAATACTCCATGGCAGTTAAATCAAATGAGCTAGATCTTTCTGTAAAATCATGGACAGATCTCTAAGATATATTGTCTAATGAAAACAGCAAGCCACAACACAAGACATAAAATATAATGACTTTTATGTAAAAAACAGAAACAAGCACTTTGGGAGGATCGTTTGAGCTCAGGAGTTCAAGACTAGCTGGGGCAACATAACGAGACCTCATCTCTACTTAAAAAAAAAAAATTAGCTGGGGGTGGTGGCCTATGCCTTTAGTCCCAGCTACTCAGGAGGCTGAGGTGGGAGGACTGCTTGAGCCCAGGAGGTCAAGTTTGCAGTAAGCCCTGACCATGCCACTGCACTCCAGCCTGGGTAACAGAGCAAGACCCCGTCTCAAAAAACAAAAAACAAACAAACAAAAAACAAAAAGCCCCCTCCTCTGAACAGTAAGACAGTTTTTTTCTAGATTGATAAATAAGTAAATGACTCTGGGAAAGTGTGGGGACAGATTAGGTTCAGACATGAAAGTAAAATGAGACTTTTAACATTATCTGAAAAGATTTAAGTTAAAAAATAAATCCATACATTATCTATGTAACCCAAATTACCACGAAGTCCAGCTGAATACACTGGCTATATTCCGGCTGCTTCATGAGACACCATTGGGGGAAAAGCCTAGCATGCTGGAGGAACTGGGGCGCAACCACCTCATCTCACTACACAGGGGCTTTGTTGGCAGTTTCTCTACCAATCTGCAGAAGAAGGTGTCTATATGAAGGCACTATGAAGATATTTAACACCACAAGCCACCAATACAACTCTTAATGAAAAGCTATTATTAAGACCATCTTCCTATTTCATAATATATCTTATTCATTAACATCTCAAGACATTGTTTTATGTCCAGTTTTTGCTCCATCATCAATCAACTTTAAACAAATTTATTTTTAACTTTTGTGAGTACATAGGTGTATATATTTACGGGGTACATGTCATGTTTTGATACAGGCATGCAATGTGAAATAAGCACATCATGGAGAATGGAGTATCCATCCCCTCAGACATTTATCCATTGAGTTACAATCCAATTATGCTCCTTAAGTTATTTTAAAATGTGTAGTTATTATTGATTATAGTCACCCTGCACAACTTTTAAATTTCAAAAACCTCTGATGGTTTAATATGGAATTCTGATATTAAAAAAAGATAAGCTAGGTGCAGTGGCGCATGCTTGTGGTCCCAGCTATTTGGGAGGCTGAGGCAGGAGGATTGCTTAAGCCCAGGTGTTCGAGGCTGTAATGCGCCATGATCATGCCTGTGAATAGCCACTGCACTTCAGCCTGGGCAACATAGTGAGACCCTGTCTCTAAAGTAACAGTAATAAAAATAAGATGTTTAAAATGTGTAAGTATTCAAATCACAAACCCTAAACATAACTCATTTATAAATAAGGTTATTTCCTAGGTACCTATCAATTTCTTCATTTTGCCTAAAAAAAATTATTTACCGTACACCTACTATGTGCCAGGTGGTGTGCCCACCATGTGAAGACTCCAGGTGAGGCTCAGGTCCTATCTAACTTGGAATGAAGAGACTAGATTATACTGCTAACAAATCACTTCTAACTTTCAGTGGCTTTCCACAACAAAAATTTATCTCACTTTTCACTTAGGGACTTTAGCAGTCACTATCTAGGACATATGCAATCTCACAGCAGAGGAAAAAAAGAAATGGCAGAGTACTCAACGGCTCATATATCTCCTGCTTGGAAATGGTGTCATCATTTCTGTTTGCATGTCACTGGCCAAAGCAAGGCACATGGCCAATCTGGAAGTCAACAGGGCCGGGTGTAATAACCTCCCCAGAAGGGGACAGCAAATATTTTAAATAATAACACAATCTACAATGGCCCTCAGAAAGCTTAGTATCTACTGCCATTTTATATTATTTGGTAAAGAGCCACAGGATGGGTTAGGACTTCAAACTTTGAAAGCTTGTAGGTTTGAGTTCAACTGAAAGTAGTTTCAAGTTGGTGATGCCCAATGAAACCGTCCACCTTGTAGATGTAATTTTAGCTCAGCAACAAAGCAGTACCAAACAACCTCAAAATCTCATTGGCCTAGGTTTATTTCTCACTCATGTTATATATCAGGAGCTTCAGAGAAGGAGCACCTGTCTACTTATTCCAGGACCTAGAGATGAAGGAACAGCTGCTATTTGGGACATGCCATTCTCATGGCAGAGGAAAGGAAAAGCAAGAGGTGAAACTGAACGACAGTCTGTCAATGCTTCTTGAAGCAGCTAAACTTCACTCCCTTTGGCCAAGACTGACCCTAGGTTGGGGATGCTCTGCATCCAGGGAGGGGCTACAAGTCACATAGCAATGGGTAGGACCTATGATCATCAGAGAGGTAAGGGAACAATTAGTGGGGGGCAATAATACAATATTCCACAGATATTCCTGTATGTCTTTCTCTAGCCTATCTACTTAGTATTTAAGTACATACTTACACATATACTTAAATCATGTTTTTGTTCCAGTTTTTGTTTCAAGGATAAATCATTATTTTTCTTTTTCCTATTGTCATACTGATTCCTCTAAGGAAAAAGTCATTCAAATATTGTATTTCTTTGCCCATTCAATTGGGGGTACTGACTACTTTAACTAGCTTTATGGTAACTCTGAGAATAGTAATCTTTTGAGGAATAGCTCACGTTTTAAAAAAATGTTATTTAAAACATTTATTTTGAAATAATTTTAGACTCACAAGCTGTAAAAATAGCACAGAGAGTTCCCATGGACCTTTCACCAGCTTACTCAAATAACAGCATTATACATAACCATAGCACATGATCAAAACCCAGAAATGGACACTGGCCCAATGCTATGAACAGACTGTATAAGGATTTCACATGTGCTTATTGTATAGGAGGGTATGTGTGTGTAGTTCCGTGAAATTTTATCACATTCATATTCATGATACGGAACTTCCCAATCTCCACAAAGAAGCTCCCCCATGCCACCCTCTTTATAGTCATGCCCTCCCCTCCCCTAACTCCTGACAACCACTGATCTATCCTCTATTAAAATGTGATACCATTTTTTTAGCACCAAATAATGTTTATGCTAATTACAGACTTGGTTAGTTCCAATACCATAGTTGGAAAGGAACGTAAAATAGGAATACAAGAAGCATCTAAATTATGCAAACCTCTGCCAGCCCTGTACAAAGTGGTAAGTCTCCTATAAGAATTCATGGCCAAGTCTGTACGACTGAGAACAAATCAGAGATAAACAAAAACACATTTATTCAGAGTCTGCAAGATCCCATCATTTTAATTTAGTAAAAACAGGATCAGGTCATTGTGTGAGGTACCCTGTCTGCTATTCTGTGATGATGTGGGTCAAATTTTGAAGTCCACTCTTTGGTAGTAGGGAGCTAACATGACTGGGATTCTGCACTCATTTTTGTCATGAAGTTCAAATAGTATAACATTATTTGCAAGAGGGCTGATTTTTATGCCTCACTATAATGTCATAAGATTCCCCAGCAGCTGGTATTTGTTCATCTATTAAACACACAGAGGAGGCAGAAGGTGTAACCATGTCTTTTTCTCGACTGCCAAGTCCAAATCGGCAGGACTGTCTCTTTAGGTACCTCCGAACTTCACCCTGACTCCTCATTACTTCCAGTAGATATTTCCCAAGCAGCAACCCCTCTTACCCACGTTAAGATAAATTTTATTTTCTTTTTTTGTTTTTGAGACGGAGTTTCACTCTTGTTGCCCAGGCTGGAGTGCAATGGCACAATCTTGGCTCACTGCAACCTCTGCCTCCCAGGTTTAAGTGATTCTCCTGCCTCAGCCTCCCGAGTAGCTGGGATTACAGGCATGCGCCAACATGCCTGGCTAATTTTTTTGTATTTTTAGTAGAGACGGGGTTTCTCCATGTGGTCAGGCTGGTCTCGAACTCCTGACCTAAGGTGATCCGCCCACGTCGGCCTCCCCAAGTGCTGGGATTAGAGGTGTGAGCCACAGCGCCCAGCCAATTTTATTTATTGATGTTCAGTGATCTTTTTGGTTATAACCTCACTTTAAAAATCGAAATGTGCAGTTTATGGTAAAATAGTATTCTAGTAATTTGTTACTAATTTTCTATTGTTTAGGTCACGTGTTCTTTTAAGTAGGTAAAACCATACTTGCTGTAAAAAATTAGAAAAGGTAGTTAAGTAGAAAGAAGTATATACACATTAACATTTTGGTGGATTTCATTCAAGAAAGATGAGAGAGAAAAAAAGAGAGAGAGGCTGATAGGTAGCTTTTTAAAAAATCTAACAGTTTATGTTAAACATTTTTCCATGTCATTAAATATAAATCAGTGTCACATCTTACTGTATGATATTTCATCATACATTCACACTATGATGGATTTAATCAACCCCCAATTCCTAAACATTCAGGTGATTTTGTTTTTCACTGTTATGAATAACACTACCATGAGCATCTATAAGCACACACTGTGCAAGTGTCTTATCAGTTCCCAAGGATAAAAGCCAGAAGTGGAAATCTTGAGCCAAAGAGGTGAACATAAAATATTAAAAGCAAAAGCTATCCACCGAGAGGCAGAGGTCTGTTTTTGATCAAGCTGCTTGTGGTTGTGCTGGACGCTTGCTGAGCCTGCTGGAATAAGCTTGCCAGTAACCAGTTTTACATCTTAGCTAAAAAGTGATATGTTAATCCTTGGTTTTTCTCCGTTTTTGTTAGGCTTGGGCATTTGGCCGTGCATGAGTTAGGTACCCCCATCAACCCCATCTGCTCAGTGACTGCTCAAAGCCTCCACAAATTGATAGCTGAGGTTTTCTTCTCTTCGATTGTAGCAAGCCATTCTCTCCTCAAAGATGCACTTGATCTCTAATTGATACCCCTTCATTCCTTTTCTAAAACCAGGAATTGGGAAACTATGAAGGTTCAATTTTTTGGGGGGGGATACTGAATTTCCAACCATGCGTTAGTTAAGGATGGCTGGTAGGAAGCCGTAAAACAGGAGAACCTGCCAGAAGAAACACTCACACACTCACACGTAGTTCTAGACTGCTATTGGCCTCTTTGGCACTTAGTTTTAGTTGATCCACTGGATTCGGTTTTATAGCTGTGACTGGGTAAAAGACACTTACACCTTGGTCTTCACTCGTGAAAAGCACCATCACAAGTATAGCTGCATTGTCTGTTAGCACCTGCCCTTCCACGTCTCACTTTGCACTTCTCAGCATCTCTGCATTTGTTTGTGTGCTGGTGGTCACAGAGCATGCAAAAGTATCATATGCATGTATTCCTTCCTCCCTCTCTCCCTCCTTTTCTTTAAACAACAGAAGGCAACACTAATGCACTTTCCCTTGTGGCGTTAAATGTGTCCTAAGCAATGCCTCCCAGAACTCAACCTGAAGAATAATGACCAAAATAGTACTCATTGATACATTCCCCCCAACCCCCACGCCCCAGGACAGCATCAGAGACTTCCAATCCTACATCTTAACCCACTGGCATGGTTTGCTTAGCTGTTAAAAAATTTTGAAGTTTGCCTTTAGGATGGCAGAAACCTACTGTGCACATTTGAAATTCACCTTTCTGGGTTGTTTTTTAAAGCAAAACAAATACCTAATGAAAATATCTCTGCAAATATGCTAATATTTCTACATGTAGCAGACAGTTGTGTTAAAATAAAGGCAGAAATTCAGCACTGTTTGCCACAACAAATGTCTAGTCTTTAGAGCTTAATTCTCTGCTCTGCAGAGGGAGGTTATGACATGGTGGCTGGAATAAAGGGGAGAGGGAGGGATGTGGCATTTAAGTGCATTTCTGTGGATACTTCTAGTGAGAATGCTCTTTTTGAGACTAGAGAAATACTGTAACTGCTAATGTTCCAAATTATTGTTTCTCCTATTAGCCACTTTAAACTTAGAATAACTCAACATTTAAAAGAAAAAATGGCAGGGCGCGATGGCTCATGCCTGTAATCCCAGAATTTTGGGAGGCCCAGACAGGTGGATTACTTGAATCCAGGAGTTTGAGACCAGCCTGGCCAACATGGCAAAAACCCTGTCTCTACCAAAAATACAAAAACTAGGCTGGGCGTGATGGCTCACGCCTGTAATCCCAGCACTTTGGGAGGCCAAGGCAGGCGGATCACGAGGTCAGCAGATCGAGACCAGCCTGGCTAACATGGTGAAACCCCGTCTCCACTAAAAATACAAAAAAAAAAAAAAATTAGCCGGGCTTGGTGGTGGGTGCCTGTAGTCCCAGCTACTCGGGAGGCTGAGGCAGGAGAATGGCATGAACCCAGGAGGCGGAGGTTGCAGTGAGTCAAGACTGCGCCACTACACTCCAGCCTGGGTGGCAGAGTGAGACTCTGTCTCAAAAAAAAAAAAAAAAATACAAAAACTAGCTGGGCATGGTGGTGTGCACCTATGGTCCCAGCTACTTGGGAGGCTGAGGTGGGAAGATTGCTTGAGCCTGGGAGGCAGAGGTTCCAGTTAGCCAAGATCATGCCACTGCTGGATGACAGAGTGAGACTCTGTCTCAAAAAAAAAAAAGAAAAGAAAAAGAGGAAGACAAAAGAAAAAAGGAAATATAACCAAACCAAATGGTAGCCTTTGGGCTCTTGCAACCAACTTAAAGGTAGCCCCAGCCCCACCATGCTTCACCTGTACGCAGAGAGTTCGGAAACATATTTCTAGTTTACCTGTTTATCCATCTTTCCTAAAAGGATGCTGCTGGGGGCAGAGTGGTGGTGGTGGGGAATGAGGCCACATAAATGTGCAGAGTCCACCTTAACTTTCAATGAGGTTTCATTATTTCCTTTTATCTTGTGATACGACCATGGAGAGTCAAAGGAGAGTCTCCAGTTTAAAGATGAAGAGACGGAGGTTCAGGAAAGTAAATGATTGAATTTGAAGCCATGGATAGTTAAGTGGTAAAATCGGGACCTCAACCCATGCCTCTAACTCAATTAACGGGCCTGACCCTGTGCTAGACGCTGAACCAATGGCACATCCTAGTAACATATTGGGCAATAAGGCTTCTTCTGGTATGAGGATAAATAGTGATACATAGGATAGATACCTAAACTTTTTTTCTCCAAGTAGCTCAAATAGACAGAGAACAGAAGGCTATTTTCCCCTGAGGACAGGAAAAAGGGTAAAATGTAAAGCAGCAGCCTATCATGATATGAAAATAAGTGATAATGCTATCTTCTATCTTCATTATCTCTAGATTTCTATTCCTACTACTGCGAATGTGTCCAAGCTGGAGTAGAAAGACAGATACCTTTTAATTCCACTAGAGGGGAATAGAATGACATCAAGAGATACAAGTCAATAGAGTTTTAAAGTTTGTCACCAGCAGAGTAGAGAGGAACCCTGTTGTCATTGCACTTCTGATGAATTTGTGTTTTACAGTGTTCATATCCCTCTCCTTTAAGAAGTCTACTCCAAAGATGTTAAATCAGGCTGAAATTTTTACTCAGTTTCTATGCTACATGCAATTCAAACATTCTGTTCTGGAAAGTGATTTTTCTATCATTCTTTGTTAAGCACACAACATTTGACAGCCAAACCAATGTAATATCATAAAGAACTTAATTGGTATCCGTAAGAGGAAACGTTCTGTACAAACAGAAGTTTCCACAGCAAAGTAGTTCGTGATATAAAACACCATGGGAGACTTTCTTGTGATCTATAGAAAGATGAAGGGTTTGTTCATCAGAAAATTCGTGATCCAGCCCAATGCTGTCCAACAGAATCTTCTGCAATGAGGGAAGTATTTTATCCACACTCTTCAATATAGTAACCATTAGCTTTCTATGACTACTGAGCCTTTGAAATGTGGTGACTCCTAATGAATTCTTTAAATTTCTTTTAATTCATTTATAATTTTTTTCTAATGATGCAATTATTTGCAAATAATTCTTTTTATTTATTTATTTATTTATTTATTTATTTATTTATTTGAGATGGAGTCTCACTCTGTCACCTAGGCACAATCTTGGCTCACTGCAACCTCCGCCTCCTGGGTTCAAGAGATTCTCCTCCCTCAGTCTCCAGAGTAGCTGGGATTACAGGCACCTGCCACCACACCTGGCTAATTTTTTGTATTTTTAGTAGAGAGGGGGTTTCACCACGTTGGCCACGCTGGTCTCAAACTCTTGACCTCAAGTGATCCACCCACCTTGGCCTCCCAAAGTGCTGGGATTACAAGTGTGAGCCACCACGCCTGGCCAAATAATTCATTTAAATTTAAATCACCACAGGTGACTAGTGGCTACTGTGTTGGAGAGTGCAAATTTAGAACCCTCTGCCCAGTGGCACCTGATTTGTTCAAGTCTATGATCTTTTTCTCCCTACTCCTTCCCCAAAGTACTACAATAGTAGAAACAGACTGAGAGAGAGTTTCAGAGTCTGGAGATAACTGGCCAAGATGAAACTGTCCATGTGGCTGGCAATGTCTCTTGAACTGGCCCTTTCATGCTAACCCCACTTTACCAGACTAAGCCAGGCCTTACAGCCCCATATCTAGCCTCTCGGTGGCTTCCTTCCCCATGCCACACTCTACCCCAGTCAGATTAACTCTTCAGGATTCACTGACTGGCATGCATCACTCCTTTGCTCAAAAACCTCTAGTCACTCCCCAGTGCCTACTTAGTCCGGCTACCATTTGACCCAATGTAATTGTTCAGTCTCTTTTCCCACCACAGGACTCTCTGTCAACTTGATGACACCCTACAAGTTTTCCTCAGTGTCTTTGGGTACAGCCCCCTACTCCCTGCCCTGGTCAGGAAAGTCCCTCTCTCCCCTCTCTTCACCTCTTCTCAGCATAGGTTTTAAACATTTCCTTGCCTCAGGGCCTTTGCACTTGCTGTCCATCAGCCTGGAGCCAGGCACCCCAGCTCTTCAGGAGGATGCCTCACTTGTCATTCAGGGCTCAACTCAACTGTGCCTGCCTCCTACTCCTCCAGGTTTTCCTTGACTCTCTCGGTTAAAGGGGCCCTCCAGAGCTTTTGTTCTGTTATCTTATTTCTTATTTAGCTTTATCTTTCTTATTCCATTTTTGTTTAAATTCAACTTTTTCTTTAAAATGTAAATTCTACACGTAGCAGGGACCTGATCTGCCTTGCTCATGGTTGAGCTTCCAGCACCCAAAAGAGGGCCACTGCATCAAGCAGGTTCTTTGTGAACATCTGTCAAACGAATGAATCCTGCATTCCCTCCCAAGGCACGGCACACTCTTGGAGATCAGAGACCACGTTGCATATCTCCTGGGAGCTCAATACATGTTTGCTGAAGATAATGACAATGGTGACATTTAACCCAAGCTGCAGCTTTCCACCCATTCCTTCGTGGGTGACACACCATTACATGAAGTTACTTTGCAAATCAGGCTTCCAAGGTCTCTAAACAAATCTATTGCCCGCTGATGTGTACCTGTCTCTTTAAAAGCCTACATCAAGTTCAGGCAAAAAAAAATCTGGCTGAGGTCAGTAATTAAGGATGGAATAATCAAGTGATACTTACATTGTTATCCACTGAGGAAAATTCTAGACCTTTCATCTGATTACATTTGTGAATTTCTATTGCTACAAGTGATAACACAGGCATTCTGGTACAAAGAAGGAGCAATTCAACTTCTTTTACCAAAGAAATGACCAGTGGAAGATAGAGAAGAAAAACTGTCCTAATGTCTGTCCTACAGGAAATGGGAGAAAAAACTAAATAAGCAGCAGAGCCTATATTCAACTCACAAATCAACGGTTTCCTGGGAAGAGTCATGATATGGTTTGGCTCTGTGTCCCCACCCAAATCTCATCTTGAATTGTACTCCCATAATTCCCACATGTCGTGGGAGGGACCTGGTGGTAGATGATTGAATCATGGGGGCGGTTCCCCCGTACTGTTCTTGTAGTAGTAAGTCTCACAAGATCTGATGGTTTTATAAGGGGTTTCCACTTTTGATTCTTTCTCATCTCTCGTGCCACCACCGTGTTAAGAAGTGCCTTTCACCTTCCGCCATGATTGTGAGGCCTCCCCAGCCACATGGAACTGTGAGTCCATTAGACCTACTTTTCTTCCCAGTCTTGGGTATGTCTTTATCAGCAGCGTGAAAATGGACTAATACAAGTCAGTTCCCTTGTTTATTGAGTTAATTACCCAACAAGTGTTACTCTAATATCTACTTTTCCAGGGGATGTCAGTTTTCCACATTAAAATGAAAACCATGGTCCTAAGAAAAGGTAACCACCATGGGTCAATTCTCTCATTACAATTAATTTTTAAATTCTTTGTTATATGGTCACTGCATTCTTAAGCACAGATGAAAAGAAGTGAGCCATCTGGGGCTTCTGATCTGCCCTGTTGGGCTAAAATTTTGATGGTAAACGTATCTGTTTGTAATTGGCTTTCCTCTGTTATTGTTAATCTCATTTCTCAGGTTACAGAAAGAGAAGGTCATTGCTTGCAAACAATTAATTATAAACAACTCAGTATTTATGAAGAGTCTGCAGGAAGGCTGCTGGTTATTATGACTGTTAGTCAACCTATTTTATTTTTCTTTGACAGACAAGGTCTCTCTCTGGCACCCAGGCTGAAGTGCAGTGGTACGATTACAACTCTCTATAACCTTGAACTCCTGGGCTCAAGCAATCCTCCTGCCTCAGCTTCCTGAAGAGCTACTGCCATGGCTAGCTGTTTGTTGTTGTTGTTTTTAAATGGATGGAGTTTCACTATGTTGCCCGGGCTGATCCTGAACTCCTGGCCTCAAGCAATCCTCCCGCCGTGGACGCCCAAATTGCTGGGATTAGAGGTAGGAGCCACTGCAACCAGCCTCAACTTATTTTTAAAGACCCTTTTCTTCTTGCTGACTCTCTGAATTTAGCTGCAAAATCCTGCTATGGCTTAACAGAGGAAATGCATTAGAGGATCAGATTATTTTGACATATGCAAATACATTGCTTCAAATGAGCTCTTTCTGATCACACCTGGGACGTATGCACCTAGAGGAGGTACTATTTCTTACTTTTGCTTGCCATTCTTGGAGGTTTCTGTGACATTTTCAAAGAAAACACCAGATCAGTAACAGGGATCTGTCCTGAAAAGTGCATCTACTCCATGAACGAAGCAGATATTTTTAATGCTTCCTCTTAACTCCCACTACAAGAACCACAGACTTCGCAAAGAAATCTGGTTCTAATGAAGATATGAAGATTTCTAATTCCTAAATGGAGCAAATAATCCTCTGAACACTAAGTGGTCAAAACGGGTGGTATGATTGAATTGATTATAACAGGTTTCACAATAGTAAACTTAAAGCAAAGTATGTTTTTAAACACAAAGAATACGAGGAAATAGGGTTTCTAGATCCTTGGAGAAGAAATAATCACATTTTTAAATGCTTCAATGGATAAAATCATGATTTTGATTAGCTTCTAGTGGAAATATTTAAAGACACACTTGAATTCCAAGAATTACAGTGTTGACAAGTAAATGCCATTTAATGAAAATCAAACACCTAGCCTTTCTGTTGGGTTGGCTCTGTTAGGTTCCTGAAGCCCCAAGTTTTCATTGACTGGGACAGCTCATTTAATCCAGAATCTTGAGAACAAAAAAGAGCCTCTCATCTTGATGAACATCAAAGTCAACCAGAGTCTTCTCTACAGAACTTTGAGTTCCTCTTTAGGGAGACTATTAGGAGTTAATATTGTTTTAGGAGCAGATGCATAAGCTAGAACTAAGTCATTGAAAGAGCCTAGCTAAACTTGTGCTGATGAATGGATAAAGACTTATTTTTACCCCATTGCCAGGGGACAACTTCATCATGGAACTTCAGAGCTGAGTTATTTTCAGATGCTCCATGATAAAATGTACTCTAAGACTCAAGGCTATTTTGTTAGCTGCAAGACAGATTTATTTCCCCTTAAAAAACATGCACAGAATAATTAGGCAAGATGTTTGGCTGAAATTTTGGCCCTCCAGATACAGTCAATGTACACTTTCTGTGGACTGCCGATAGTGAGCTATCTGTATGGGATGCAAACTATTCACTGTGTTCACTTTGACTTCTTAGATAGAATCACTCGGTTTTCACTTCCTGGGCCTGAATTCCCTTCCAGTAGCAGACACTGCTAGGCCTCTGACCAAAAGCCATTCATTTTTTTTCCCCTTATGAATAGATTTCTGAGCTTTGTTGAAATGACATGTTTAGCTAACAAAATACATTTCCCCGATTCTCCTGCAGCTATCGGTAGCCACAGGCCATAGCTCTGGCCAGTCAGATCTCAACACAAGTCTCCTAGACACTTCTAGAAAAGTTGCATTTTCCTGTTATAGGTGCTTCCCTCCCACTTATTGCTTCCCCTTTTCTTCTGCCTACCCAGAGGTGGAATCGCCATTTACTGACCAGAGGCAATCCTACTCCCTTTGTGGAAATGGAGGTTTTTGGTGACTATTGTAAAGAGGGAACTGGATTTTTCATAATCTCAGGAAAATAGGCACCAGCTAAAATAGGCTGTTCAATGAAGGGCTAAACAGCTTTGTGGATTTTATCTATTTCATCAAGTTTTCACTGAGTTAGAAAGAAGCGGCATGGATAATTTCTTTGATGAGTATTCACGTAACACAGCTCCTTGAGGAAGGGCTGCTCTTTGAAAGCTGCATGACCCATTCTGTATGGAGCATGTGCTTATGGGTCTATGTTACCAATGACCCCACTGTGGCTATTTAAGGGAACATGTGACGGTGTGGCTGACTTAAATTTTTTTTCATTACCCCCCAAAAACCTGTTTTTATAAATGTTTTGGGCTGTTTTAAAGTAACAACTACCAAATCTAGTCTCCTTCGTGACTTTATAACCTCAACGAGGTGATTAAGAAAGCAAAGAAAGGTAAAAAAGACTTCCAGATAGTCTTCTGGACATGACACAGGCAGCTTCACTCTCACATCCCTCCTTTTCTTCCCTCCCTTTTGGAGGTTTAAAGGGAAGATAATACACTTCTTAAGGTGTCTGCTTAATGAGGTTTTTCCTTGAGACACTGAGACGGGGAGAGAGAAGAGATCGGTTTCCACATAGTTGAGCTCTGCCAAAAGCTGTGGCTTTGTGGAATTTGCACAGCATTGCCATCCCTCAAACGCTTTTAGTTCATGGATGGAGATAATGATATTCATTTGAGGGGCATATTATGCCCTTCTGTTGCATATACAAACCAGCCTTAATGGATATTTTTATAAAACTTCCCATGGGGAAAATAGGCCATGTGAAAGTGCCAGGCATCCAACTGTCACTTCCTTCCAGAGGAAAAAACCCAACAGCCCC
This sequence comes from Homo sapiens, assembly GCF_000001405.40. Taxonomy (NCBI): domain Eukaryota; kingdom Metazoa; phylum Chordata; class Mammalia; order Primates; family Hominidae; genus Homo; species Homo sapiens. The sequence goes on along the minus strand of NC_000017.11, from coordinate 66,619,436 downwards.
GTGTAGATGGCGTCAGCTGTTGCTCTCATGTTTAGAAGTTCTTAATGCTTTCATCATCTACGCATTTGGCTTTAGGGCAACCCCAAACCTACAGTCACTTGGAGCGGTTGACACCTGCCAGAGTCACAGACCAATTTTAAACAATTTACCTAGATGATACGAAAGAGAGTGAGGAGAGGGACTCCAATTTGTTTCCTTTTGGAAACAGCTCTGACGCCCATAATCTAACAGTTTATGAGAGAGACTCAATTGAGCCATCTTAGTAAAGAACCACTACTTCTGCCAGTTTGCAAAACTAGTTTCCCGACCCTAGCTTCTCCAGCTGACTTGGATTGCCAGAAAAAAAAATGCCAAGACTATGAGATTTTTTAAAATCTATAAAGCCCTACATTCTCAGTTCTTGAGGGAAGAGTATATAATATTTGAGCTAATTATGCCCAATGAGATCAACTTTACTTATATGGGTTCCCCCTCCTCATCTATTTCCTGGGGAAAGTCTCAAGATTCTAAAAGTTGATAGAATTATGATAATCAATGGGTAGGTGAATAAATGAGCAAATGGAAGGAAGGAAGGGAGGGAGGGAGGGAAGATTTATACCTGAGGATATGGGACACAGTTGCCTTAGCAATTCTCTTCAGATTCTCAGCAAAGGTCTATGTTCCCAGCCTAACCCTGCAGAATGTAGGCATGTAGTACAGAATTTGAACATTTCCCAGAATACGAAATCGCTTGAGTCACACAGCCTTTTATTAAAATTCATGAGTAAGGTCTCAAATACTATAATCCCTTGTTATTGTGATGTCTACGACTTATCTTTGGGAGCCACAGAGCTATTCAATGTCCCAGAGCTTTCTCAAAACTGTACCTGGTAGTAAAGTTTTTTAAAATCATAATTCTAAAATTGTGATGTTTTAAAAATTCATTATAATGGGCCCCAAAACAGTTAATGTTTTCTTCTAATAAATGAAATACTTATACTTTGTGTAGAGACTATAGACAGAGTAAAGACTGTATGTATACACTTAGAAAAAAATGAGAGTGAACGAAGAAATGAATGACTATGTTCTTTTTTTTTTTTTTTTGCGATAGGGTTTCACTCATTGGCCAGGCTGGAGTGCAATGGCACGATCTCAGCTCACTGCAACCTCTGCCTCCTGGGTTCAAGCAATTCTCCCACCTCAGCCTCCCCAGCAGCTGGAATTACAGGCGCCCACCACCGTACCCAGCTAATTTTTGTATTTTTAGTAGAGACGGGGTTTTGCCATGTTGGTCAGGCTGGTCTCGAACTCCTGACCTCAGGTGATCCACCCACCTCGGCCTCCGAAAGTGTTGGGATTACAGGTGTGAGCCACTGCATTCGGCCTGAATGACTATGTTTAATGAAGGCAATCTTAACACCTCCAGGACAAGATTCTTCCAACAGTGTACTAAAAGAATGAAGTTGCCCTTGACTTAAAAATCAACAGGGCACCACGTTGGGGCAACTAAATTTTCATGACACAATGTGTTTCTAGCACCTGAAAGGTTGAGAAATTAGCCTGCTGCCTCTTGGCCTGACAAAACTCTCAATCTTGGTTCAAAAAAATAAGAATGGCTCTCTCATTGTAACATAAGAAGTTCGTAGTTCCTACTCTACTAGATAGTCATATAAGTGCTTCATTTCCCAAAAGTTAATGTTCTTCATGAGAACTTTATAAAGGAAGGCCTGGTGGTCATCAAGCAGTTCTATGGAGTGCTGACTCAATTTTAATATGGTTTTCAAAAAGTGAAGGTAAACTATGTGCCCATTTGTGGCCACAGTCAGTGGCTGCCTTGTGGTTTCTTCCATATTTGGATCTGGGTTTGGCAGGTGGAGGCAGATCTACCTGCTTCTGCTGGCAGCTCCAAGCCAGCCCATGCATAATTTACTCAAACGGATGGAACAAGCCCATTAGGGACACATCTTGGCCTGTTTCCCCTGGTTCATCATCAAATTTGCTCTGTTTTGATCTCAATGGCCCTGTAATCCTCCCCCTTTGATATCCACGAAGCTGGTATGTGTCAGATAACACATGAGACATCTGGTGGTGGACAGACCAAGGCCCTTCTGAAGAATAAAGTGAGGCTTCAAACCAGCCAACGAGCCAGGATGGGAAAAAGCTCCTAAACTAGATTATAAACATGAGGAAAACAGCCCATACCGAGGTAGGTCAAAAGACATGAAACTGACCAGGTAGTCCATTTTTAAAACCCAGTCCATCATCCTGTCCCCATCAAGCTCTGAGATGAAACAGTTCCCTGAACATGTGCCTCCTTTGATCTTGGGCGTCTCACATTTTTCATTATTAAAAGATTGAGAATGACATATTGTAATGCATTTTGTGTCACTTTTCCAGAGGCTGTATTTTATAAATGTTCTGTGTTAATCAGAATTATAAACGAGGAACTTATTTATTTTTAACAATGTGAACTGTTCAGCCCTATGTCCCGTTCGTACCCAACCTTCAGCTGAGCCACAGGAAAGCTGGAGCTCCTGCTCCCACCAAGAAACTGACCACGGCCCCACCCCTGCTAGCTTCCCATTGCCCATGACAGCAGCTCCCTGGCCCCAGCCCCCTCTCCCTCCTCTGTGCCTCCTTACCACCTAACCTTCCAGCCACTCTGCTCTTTTTCTCCCACTTGGATTCCTCTGGAACAAAGGCTTATGGCACTTAACACAGTGGAAGCTAATTAATAGTGTGACAATGGCTGAGAGCAAATCTGTCTCACTGCAGTGTAGACTCCACTAAGTGGTTTCCACCATCTTGGAAATGGGCTCTGGTAGCTGGGGGCAGATAACCCTGTGCACGCAGCTCCAACCTCAGTCTGCATGGCTCTTAGAGATGGATGGAACTTGCCCTCGTGCCTTACTCACTCTGTGTGCCCCCAGTGCCTAGCACGGTGCCTGGGCACAGCAGATACTCGACAGACATCTGCAACATGAATGGAATCAATAAATAATCAAGTAAACAAATCACAAAGCCACAGAGGGCCTTCACCATTGCACCTCACTCATCATCTACGTGAGGAAAGATGAGCTCAAAGACATTCAGCTACCAGGTGTCATGGCACAGCCAGAATCCAAGTCTTAGGGTTGAATGGACAATGTTCTTTCTATATTTATTATAAGGCGAGAGTGGGGGACAAGGACCCCTAGAGCCACTGGAATGTGCTAAGCTAATTCCACATGACATGTTGATTTCTACAAATTTTTACTATTTCATTCTTCCTAGAACTGGCATTCATGTACATTTGGCAAGGAATGATTTGCTAGGGCCCAGTCAGACTTTCTGATTGGGCCCTTAGGAAGGGGCATCAATGATTAAAAAGGCGTCTGTTTGTCCTGCAATCTGAAACTGGGATTCAGAGTAGTGACGAGTAACATTGCATAAAACCTCACTTGGCGAAATGGCTGAGCAAGGCATTGAGCAAAGCTGCCTTAGTTCTGGGTCTAGAGAAAAGCAATGAATGTTCCAATTCCAAGCAGTTTCAAGAGGTCCCAGAGATCCACCTCCTGTCCTGACAGCAAGGGAGCTGGGGGGATTCCTTGAAGCTGCTTGGATTTGAACATTCAACATTTCAGTGAAATCCCTTCCCTTATGTTCAATGCCAGCAGAACATAAGGAAAGGGATTTCACTGAAACCCTGACCAGGCCCAAGGTGGTGACTGCCGACGGAATGCCCTTTTCACTGCACAGGGATGTGCTGGTTTCAACAGTTACTATCTGTGGGTTTGCTTTACAGTGGAGGCACCTCTGGCAAAGCTTTGTTTCACCCTCCCAGGGCACACGCAGGCCTGGAAGGACCAATGCTACAGTGGCAGGTGATCAAAATGGAGAGGTAAATTATTCATTTTCTCTCAGGCTTGAAGGATAGACAGTTCTCTGCCTATGAATGAGTTGTTTCAAAAATCACTTACAAGGCTGTAGTTCTAAAGCAGGATGTTTAGAACCCTAGATCCAGAGCTACATACAAGGTTCACTTCCCAGACCAGACTCCTCAATCCCCAAGTGCTATCTTCAGAGCCCTACAGAATACAATCCCATTACAGCACAGAATGCTGGCTACCCACCCCGACATCCACTCCCCTCCCTCCTTCATAAGAGAACCCTCATTTGAGCTGGGCACACCGAGGCCTGAAACAGAAGAAAACATTTTTCCCCTTCTTTGCAGCTAAACATGGTCACTGAACAAATGAGATATTAGTGGAAGTGTTATGTGGAAACTTCCTGAAAAGCTGCCTAGAGGGAGGCCACTCAGCTGGGAGAGGCATCCTGGTTGTCCTTTTACATGTTGGTAGCATGCATCACAAACGCGAGGGCTGGAGCTACACAGCCATTTGGGGTCAGAGGGGACTGTGCATGGAAGCCCTGGGCTTGTATGGTACAACAGAGACACAGAAGCCTGGTTCCTGATGACTGTGGAACTGCTCTGAAGCCCTGGCCCACCCCCTCCCTACTCCTTTCACATGAGGGAAAAATAAACATTCTCATTCAGTCTGCTGTTATTTGGAATTTTTGTACTGTATACAGCTGCATCCAATTCTTAACTGATATGCCCATGAATTACAATGTCTCTACTGGAAAATGGGATGGTACGACACATGTATCCCTAAACCCTTTTTGGCAGTAAGCACAAAAAGAATAAGAATTTGTGCACACCTCCAAAAGAGCTTTAAGAAAAGCATAACGAGGAACTGCCACTTGTGGAACACTTCCTGTTTGACACGGTATTTGCCAGCCACCACAATGTCACAAGGTTAATGATGAATTGCTGGCCCCCTTTTACAGATGAGGAAACTGAGGCCCATGTAGTTTCAGAATCTCTCCCAAATTTAGCTGTTAAGTGGCTGAGGAAGAGTTATTTATATATTTGGCATGAGATAAACACAGATATGGTAACAGGTAGGAAACGGTAACATTTTTAAGAACTCACCAACAAATTCAGCAAATTGCAATTATATGAGGAACCAGAATAAATAGAAAGTAACTTCACAGAATTAAAGGAGATAATTGATGCAAAACTGCCTCACGTGTGGTAGATGCCTCAAAAATATCAATTTCCATCTGGATTTTTAGAGTCCTTCCGGAAATATACAAACATACGCCCCCAAATCTGTGAGATGTCGTTATCTTGTTTGATAGGTAGCATACATGAAAATCTACAATCATTAAAAATGTACCTCAAAAATGGAGTGGCCAGGTTTCTGTGTCCCATCCTCCCAACCCCCTGCCCCTCCACTTCACGTCCAGCTGGAATCGGAGAGAGTGATATTATTTGGAAATAGGGTCTCTGCAGGTGCAATTTAGTTAAGTTAAGATGAGGTCAGCTGGGCATGGTGGCTCATGCCTGTAATCCCAGCACTCGGGGAGGCCAAGGCACACAGATCACTTGAAGCCAGGAGTTCAAGACAAGCCTGGCCATCTTGGTGAAACCCCATCTCTACTGAAAATACAAAAATACAAAAATTAGCTGGGTGTGATGGTGCACACCTGTAGTCCTAGCTACTAGGGAGGCTGAGGCACAAGAATCCCTTCAATCTGGGAGGTGAAGGTTACAGTGAGCAGAGATCGTGCCACTACAGCTTGGGTGACAGAGCAAGACTCTGTCTCAAAAAAAAAAAAAAAAAAAAAAAAAAGGATGAAGTCATACTGGATTAAGGTGGGCCCTAAATCCAATGACTGGTGTCCTTACAAGAAGGAAAAGGACACACACACAAAGATACACAGAGAGGAGATGGCCATGTGAATCGGAGGCAGAGATTGGAGTGATGTAGCTGCAAGCTGGGGAACACAGGGGTTGCTGGGAGGCCCCAGAAGCCAGGAAGAGGCAAGGAAGGATTCTTCCCTAGAGCCTCGCACAAAGCATGGCCTGGAGACACCTTGATGGGTGTCTTTTGGACTTCTAGCCTCAGAATTGTGAGGGAATAAATTTCCGTTGTTTTAAGAAAACGAGTTTGGTAATTGGCTGCAGCAGCTTTAGGAAACTAGTGGAGTCTGGAAACAGATTTAAAGTAGCAAAGAGCACTGATTAATAAAAGTATTTATAATGCTGAGATCCACTTCTGTGCATCTAAAAAAATAACCATCTCTCTTGTGTAGACGGCTATGCATTTAACCTCTAATTTTCCTTCCTCCAAAAACCACTGCTGGGATGTCCTTGACTCAACTCTTCACAGAGCCAACATCAGGCTCTAGGATTCTGGCAGAGAACTCTAATTAGCGGTCAAGGCTCCGCTGCATCTGTTGATGATGTAGTGGTTTATTGAGGTGAGAAAAGTCGGCTGCTGTATGTCAAATACACCAATGAACAGCTGCTAATTAGATTTGGGGATAAGATTTGATTTTATCCTGGAAATATAAGCAATCCCTGTACACAATTGCAACTTGTATATATTTGCCTAATTCTAAGCTTAATGTTCTATTCTTCTGAATTAACATAATCAAGTTTAGAATACTTATGTTGAGAATATCAAATGAATAAACATGACTTTATACATACTCTATAGTTTGACAAATCTGTGATGGAGAAACCCAATTATGATAATTTAAAAACAGAAAAGATAATTTTCTTCAACTGTTTGTAAGAGAAAAAAGGTTTTCTTCCCCTGGAAAAATTCACAATACCACAAATGAGGTACTTATCTCTTGAGTTTCCATACAACTTAGCTAAAGACAAAAAAAAAAAAACCTCCAACAGAATCAGTGAAATATTCTCAATTGCACATATGAATCTCTAATTTATATAGTATGAGAAAATCACAAATATCAGAACGTTCTCAATGTAAATCAGTTATCTCCACTAACTCAGTATTCTCCCAGCAGGCTTAGCACCCATCCTAATAGGCATTAAAAGGATTCAGGATTCTGTGTGTGCACTCTATTTATATATTACCAATGTCAGGTTTCTTCCACTACCAGAATGAGCCCTAAAATTAGGTTACATGGAACTATAAGTCAATCAAACTGTTAATAATGTCTCTTGGGTGTTTAAAATATTTGTTATTTTTTCCAGTCTTTTTTTTTTTTTTTTTTTTGAGACAGATTTTCGCTCTTGTTGCCCAGGCTGGAGCGCAATGGTGTGGTCTTGGCTCACTGCAACCTCCATCTCCTGGGTTCAAGCAATTCTCCTGCCTCAGCCTCCCAAATAGCTGGGATTACAGGCGCCTGCCACCATGCCCAGCTAATTTTTGTATTTTTAGTAGAGACAGGGTTTTACCATGTTGACCAGGCTGGTTTCAAACTCTTGACCTCAGGTGATCTGCCTACTGTGACCTCTCAAAGTGCTGGGATTACAGGCATGAGCCACTGAATCTGGCCTCCAATCTTTTTTTTTTTTTTTACTCACAAAGTGAGATATGTGTAAAATAAAACAAGTGTTTTTCCCATCAATGGTAAGATAAATAAATCCATTATAAAAATGCACCAAGGATTTGAATACATGCTCTCCAAAGAAGATATATAATGACCAATAAACACATAAAAACATGTTCAACATCATTAGCCATAGGGAAACGCAAATCAAAACCACAATGAGGTACCACTTTGCATCCATGAGGATGGCTAGAATCAAGAAGATCTGTAACTATGAATGTTGGCAATGATGTGGAGAAATCAGAACCCTCAACTCATTGCTAGAGGAACCATAAAATGGTGTAACCACTTCAGAAAACTGCCAGTTCTTCAAAATGCTTAATACATGTGACCCTGCAATTCTACCCCTAGGTACAGACCCAAGAAAACAAAAAACATGTGTCCACATGAAACCTGTAATGTTCATGGCAGAATTATTCACAATAGCCAAAATGTAGAGACAACCTAAATGTCCATCAACTGATGATGGATAACCAAAATGTGGTACACCCATACAATGGAGTATTATTAGGCCATTAAAACAATGAAGCACTATGACATGCTACAACATGGATGAACCCTGAAAACACAATACAAGAAGCCAGTTACAAAAGGCCATTTACTGTATTATTCCATTTATGTGAAGTGTCCAGAATAGACAAATCCATAGAGACAAAAAGTAGATTAGTGGTTGCCAAGGGTCGGGATAATGGGGAAAAGGGAGATGACTACTAGTAAGTATAGAGTTTCTTTTAGGGGTGATGAATATATCCTAAAATTAGATTATGGTAGCATTTGTACAACTCTAGGCATACACAAAAAATCACTGAGCTATACACTTTAAATGGGTGAAGCTTATGGGTACATGAATTGTATCTTGATAAATCTATAACAAAAATAAAGCAATACTGGGATATAATAAGAAATATTCACTTGGACTCCTCCCCCAGTTCGTGGCCCAGAGATTCTAAAATCTTTGTAATTCCTGAGCAACAGGGATGTTAGGAGACTTTTTTGTTCTAATATTTGGTCTTTGACCCCAGTTCCTTGTCAGGGATGATAAAATTCCTCTTCAAAGGGTTTAACTTGTAATGTCCTTGTTCTTTGTTCTGAAGCCCAACTTCCTTGTACTCTCGTTTCTAGTATTTAAACCACCCTTCCTGCTCTTGCTGCACCCTGACATGCCTTGTACTGTAATGGACAGTCTCTCCTTTCCCACCCAACTAGCCCTCCGCAATTTCAAACAGTAGCCAGTCGGGTCAGCTTAGATCTTAGGTTGTGCAGTCCAACCCCAATCAATAGGGGAAGGACACAGAGACAGGAACTGAGTTAGGGTTAAAAACCCCTTCCTTCCCTTGTTCGGTGTGCTCTTGCGATCGTGACTGAAACAGGAAGCACCCTTCTGCAGAAGTAAATTTGCTTTGCTGAGATATTTTCTGTTCGAGTGTTATTTCCTTTGCGACTCAAGCACTCATTTCCAACATCCTGAAACAGAGCTAATCCCTTGGAATTTCCTGGGTGATGGGAGTGTCTTTTGTTATCATGGGGTGACTCTGGGTGGGTTCCTGGATACAGGCTGGTCACTGGAAAGACCAAGCCATGACTAGAAGCTTGAAACTTTTAGCTCTACTGCTCCCCAGTCTCCAGGAAGGGGTGAGGGTCTGGAGATGGAGTGAATCATCAGTCATGCCTGTGTGAGAAGGCCTCCATAAAAGTCTCTGGACTTCAGGGTTCAGAAAGCTCTGTTGATGGTGGGTCCGGGGAGGCCATGGAAGCTCTGGGCCCCTCCTCACATCCCTTGCCCTGTGCATCTCCTCCACCTGGCTGTTCATTTGTATCCTTTGTAATATCCTTGATAATAAACTGGTAAATGTAAGTAACGTGCATTCCTGAGTTCTGCGAGCTGTCCTAGCAAACAAGAGAACCCTAAAAGGGGGTCAATTTGTAGCTAAATTGGACATCAGCTATGGGTAACCTGTACTTATGAGTAGTGTCTGAAGCAGGGATGGTGGGGGGCAGTGTTGTGGGACTGAACCCTTATCTTGTCGGACCTGATGCTATCTCCAGGTAGATAATCTCAGAATTACACTGAACTATAGGACACCCGGTTGGTGTCTGCTGGAGAGTTGCTTTGTGTGTGGGTGGGGGGCAACATCTCTCCACATTTTGGTGACCAGAAGCACTTTGTGTTGAGAGTACAGTAGGAAAAAACACTTGTTAGTTTGTTTTTCCTGCAATACAAATTCTTGTTTTCACTGACAGTAAAAAAAAAATAAAATAAAGCCTTGCCAAAACCAAACAAAAGCCATGGTAGCCCCAGTGATCATTCCTTTAGTCTCAATTAGGTGGTATTTGTCTTTTTCCTTCCCTTTTTTTCCCCGTTCCCTTCCTCTTTCTTTCCTCCTCACGTTGACTCTCGGGGTTTCTGGTCAAATCATTCAGACAATTTGACACATTTTTAAGAAAACTGGCCAGCTGCCTGACAAAATCAATAAGATATATTTACATGACAGGCAACTTATCTATACACTGTGGTAAAGAGCTTTAGAAGGTTAAGTCAGACCGACAGGACTGATCGATGATTGGCAATAGGCAAAGTCACAGTACCATTGTTTTAATTTTCCAGGATGGAGCTGGTCTCTCCGGTTTGCTCAATAGACACTGCTTCATATAGACACGCATTACACTTTTCAGCACCTTTACTGCTCATTCATTCATTCATTTACCAGTGGCCTCACACACTAACTAGCGGCAAAGTAGTAGCCCCGTAACCTATGTTTGAAAAGCCAATAGCTACCTTGAAGTCCAATGGAATGGGTTTAAAAGGATCTTAGAAAAATGTGTGAAGAAAGAAAAACATCTCAAAAACACTCAACACTCCTCTGTGTTTAAAAAAAAGTAAGTGAATCATACAAGTCAGATTTATTAATTCTCTTTTAAAATGCTAAGAAGGTCAGCAAAATGATTAGTCTGAGGAGGCCATGAGGAGTTAAGGGCTTAGGCCTATGGGGCAGAAACAGGAGTTCTAGATCCTATATGAGTTCTTCATTCACGCAAACTGCATGGCCTCGTTCGCCTTCCTGTTCTCACCTGTTAAGGGGGAGAGGCGGATTGATTGTGCTGCCCAAACCTGGCTGATTTTCAGGATCACCTGGGAAGCTGTTATTTAATCTTTTTTAAAAGTCTTTTCATTATGGAAAATTTCAAATACATGCAAAGAGCAGAGAGAATAATGGATCCCTAAGTACCCATTACCAGCTAACACAACAATCAACTCTTGGCCTATTTCTTTTCAGGGAGAATAGCTCTACGCTCTTCCCTCCTCCTTCCCAACCTTCCTGGAGACCTTTATGAGAACAGATTCCTGGGCCATACTCCGTGGGTGTCTCATTCATCACGTCCATAACGAAACTGGAGGATTTTTGTTTGTTTTCTTCCTAAAGAGTCAGGTTTGGAAACCAGTGATCTGGAGGACCCCTGAATTCCTTTTCAGCAACAAATTTCTATCGTATAGGGTATACAAAACAACAAATGCCATTAAGTCCAGTTTGTGAAAAAATAAAAATGAATTTAATGTGCAGCATACATAATTTATAGTGCGTTAGGCCACTGATGGGAAAATATTACTCATTAAAATTTAAGTAAAATTTAAGTATGGATCTGGACCTTCAAGAAAGAAAAAGTTCTGTTTAATGCAGGCTTTGGAGAAACCCCAAGTTTTCCTGATTTTAGAACTGCAAATTGTAGATCATTCTAATGACTTGCTTGGAACCAGAGTGAGGCCCTCCACTCCACCACCAACAAAGTGATGATTAGGTAAGTGGGAACACTGCACAATAACCAAGCTCCAAAAGCAAAAGCCAATTGGTGTGCTCCAATCGGTGTGCTCCAATCAGTGTGCTTCAGTCAGTGTGCTCCAATCGGTGTGCTCCAATCGGTGTGCTTCAGTCGGTGTGCTCCAATCGGTGTGCTTCAATGTATTCCAAGACCAGCAGACGACAGAAGTCAGGGCCAACCTCTGGATGCAATAATCAGCACCACCAAAACCCTAATGCGTATCACCCACTCAGAAAGTTCCAAACTTGTAAAAACTGTCTTTGGCAATTTTATCTTAAAATGGAAGAGACTTCAGAGACCATGTAGCTACCCAAACAGATAATCCACCACCTCATTTTAGAATACTTTTAACCTCTTTTTACTGAAGGGTATGTGCCATCAAAATGACAACGTCCACTGAATTAAACATACATCCAGAGGTGAAACCTGGTTGATCCTACAGGCATCTCAAACAAACCCTGCACGTTGGAATCTGACTTCATGAGCCCCCGGCCCCCCACACTCTACCAAATACCGGACTGCTTGTGAGAAGCTAACAGAGGGTGGAATCTAGAAACAGCAGCAAAAGCTCTGAGCATAAGCACTCAAGAGTTCCCTGAATTGGCTAAGGAACCAGATGTTGCTACATGAAAATTAACTTTCTTAGTTTGACGCACATTCTTTGGGATCAATATCAAGACATAAGGGAGGAGAAAATGAGGTGGTATTTTCTAAACTGGACCAAAACAATAACTTTAAAAATTAAGTATATTTTTATCTTTAAATATGCAAGGCTCAGATTTTTGTTTAACTGAGGGGATGAAGTGGAGAATCCATGTCTCTTCCCCTCAAAAGGACAAGCTTTTAAAAGGCAGTTCATGGCTTGCTTGCAACAATTCTCCACTTAACTCACTGTATGTCCGATTTTTTCCCACAGAACTATGTAAATTGGGAAAGAAAGAGAATCATTCAACTCTAGAGTGGTTTGGCAAAAGTACAATTAATGAAAGGTGTTTTAAGCATATTTTTCTCTTATGGTAATAAATGCTTCATTAGTATTTTAATTTAAAGGTCAGCCAAGAGAGCCGGCATCTTTTGATTTTTACCGATTGAAATAATCTGCAAAAACTTAATATTCTAGGAAGCATAACTCTTAGAAATATAAGGTCTATTTATAAAAATGTTTTAAAACTTAAAAGTAATTGCATTACAAAATAAGAAATGAAAAAATTTCCCAGAACTCCACCACAACTCCATCGCTGGGTCATTTTAATTATTTCCTTTCAGTAATTTTAAACTTGCCTGTTTTTTACTGTAAGTTATACTTACAGTACATATAACTTTAAAATCTTAGTAACTGAATTTTTATTTTTCTAATTTTTAAATGACCACATAAATGAGTCATAATTTGCATCATTAGTCTTTCATTTTTATATTTTTGTATGTTTTAGAAGAGATTTCTAAAAATAGAATAGCCACAAATGTTTTACAACTCTTGATATATATGGCCACTGATTTCTAAGAGTAGTATCAATTTACGATATAACCTGAAACATAGAAAAATATTGCTCTCTTTCCCAGCAATTGATAATCATTTTTAAAATGCTTTGCTAATTAAATATGTGAGAAATATTACAGTACTTTATTTTTCTAATTTTAATATCTTTGTTAAAGAACCAGAATGTTTTCCATTTGTCTGTGTGGTAATTATATTCCCTCTACTGTAAGCTCTCTTTTAGAATTATTTTGCCAGTTTATCTACTGGGGTCCTTATACATTCGTATGAGCTCTTTCAGACTTCTTTAATGTTACTGTCTCCTGGTATTTCTTTGGTTTAACTTCATTTTATTATTTTTTTTGAGACGGAGTCTCACTCTGTTACCAGACTGAAGTGCAGTGGTGCAATTTTAGCTCACTGCATGCAATCTCTGCTTCACGGGTTCAAGCGATTCTCCTGCCTCAGCCTCCCGAGTAGCTGGGATTACAGGCACGTGCCACCACACCCAGCTAATTTTTGTATTTTTAGTAAAGACGGGGTTTCACCATGTTGGCCAGGATGGTCTGGATCTCCTGACCTCGTGATCCGCCCACCTCAGCCTCCCAAAGTGCTGGGATTACAGGCATGAGCAGCCACATCTGGCCTCATTAATTATTTTTTATATACAGCTTTGAGATACAATTCACATACCAGACAATTCATCTACTTAAAGTATACAGTTCGATGGTTTTTAATACAGTGTGCTCCCATTATCACAATTTGTCATCTCAAAAAGGAACCTCAAAGTCATTAGCAGTTCCTCCTCAATCCCCTTCAAATGCTCCCCATCCCCAGCCCTAGGTAACCACTAACCTACTTTCTGTCTATACAGATTTGCTTATTCTGGATGTTTCACATAAATGGAATCATACAATATGTGACTTTCTGCGTCTGGCTTCTTTTACGGAGCAGGATGTCTCTGAGGTCCATCTATGTTGCAGCATGTGTTGTATTTCATTCCTTTTTGTTGCCTAATCATGTTCAACTGCACGAATATATCACACTTACTTAGCCATTCATCAGCTGATGGACATTTGGCTACTATGAATGATGCTGCTATGACCCTTCTTGTATTAATTTTTGTAAGAACATATGTTTTCATTCTCTTCGGTATATACCTAGAAGAGGAATTGTTGGGTCTTATGGCAACTTTAACTTTTTGAGTGACTGCCAAATACTCTTCCAAAGGAGCTGTACCAATGTACATTCCAGAAGTTACAAGGTTTTCAATTTTTCCACATCCTCATCAACACTTACTATTATCTTTTTTGATCATGGCCATCCCAGTGAGTGTGAAGAATGTCATTGTGATTTTGATAATTAACTCTTTTATGAGACATATGGTGTATTCCCACCAACATGGAAATCATGTTCTAATGAGAAAAGCACCAGCTTTGGAGTCCCACAGGTCTCATGGGTCCACTTATGAGTTGAGTGACCAGAGGGAATTCTAAACTACTTGGTCCTCAGTTGTGAAATGGTGCTAATGCCTTTCTCACTGTGATCAGTAGCCATCTAATAAAAGGTTGTCCTTGTTACTGCAATACATTGGCCCCATGCTTGGAATAAAACAATGCAGTCTGTGCCCTTTACATACACACGTGTGTACATGAAACCCCATGTACACATGAAAATTCCACCATGACGTGACAAGTGCTCTAATGTGGTATTATTCACAAGGAGCCTTGGGGTCATGGAGGAAGGGATGCTTATGTCTTCCAGGGGACTCAGGGATAGCTTCAGAGTAGCTGACACAGACAAAGTCACTCTTTACCATCCTGGTTTAACAATCTCCATGTTTCTGCCAAGAAACAACTTGGCATCCTATCACAGGCAACGCACCCCCAAGTCCAGTCTCTTGGTGGTTAAAGGTTTACTAAATCCTAGAAGTGCAATCATAATTGTAAAAATTTTACTTTGCACATTTTATGTTTCAAGCTGATTCTAGGTTGTCACTCCCTCAAAGAACACAGAAGATAAATTTGGACTTTCTTTTAAAGAAGTGGGCCTATGCATCTGGCTAAATCAAGTCATACTCAAAATCAAGACTAATCTTTTTGCAGCACTACTTCTGAGCAGATGCTATTGGCATGTCTTCAGAGAATCCTAATTAAGTAGTGTGGTTGTACACTGGTGCTTTGTCCTCAGTGTATGCTGCCAAAATGAATTCAGCAAACCATGTCTTTATTCAGCATCCAGACACAATTTCATCCAGCACTTGGTTTCCACCTACCAAAGGGACTAGAGAAAACCTTGGCTGTGGCAAACATTCTCTATTCCACTGTTTTCCTCTTACAAACAAAACACATGGAGAAACAGAATAACTGTGCATGGCCTTCGGAAATCAAGTTTTCTTTTAGAAACTGACTCCCGCAATATCTACTAATCTGGGATTTGCATAAAGGTTTAAGAAAATGTTTATTATGCCAGGAACCCTCCCTGTTTCCCAGGCCACTTTTTTTTTTCTTGCAGATGTCACCAAAGCTTACCCAAAGCAAGTTCTTATTTAGAGCTATTATCCATTTGCTTTTTCTTTTAACACACTCTGGGAAATCCTGTTGACAGGAGTGGCTCCTAACAGCAAAATTCTGTTCCAGAGGCGATCACCAAGGAGAGGCAGGGAGCGACAGCCGGGAACTGATGGAGAGGAAGGCTTCAGTGGGAAGCGGGGGAAGGTGCAAACAACTCAAGTGTCCATTGATGAGTGAATCGACAAAGGGCGGTATATCCATACAGCGAGATACTATTCAGTCTTAAAACTGAATAAAATTCTGACACATGTGACTACATGAATGAACCCTGAGGACTTCATACTAAGTGAAATAATAAGCCAGTCACAAAATGACAAATACTGAATGATTCTGCTTATGTGAGGTGTCTGGAGCAGTCAGATTCATAGAGACAGAAGGTAGAATGGTGGTTACCAGGGGCTGGAGGGGAGGGAAAATGAGGAGCTGGTGTTTCATGAGTACAGAGCTTCATTCAGGGAGGACAAGGAAGCTCTGGAGATGGATGGTGGTGATGAGCACATGACATTATGAAGGTGCTAAACCTGACTACACTGTACATTCCACAGTTAAAAGTGGTAAATTTTATGCTATGGATATTTCACCACAATAAAAACAACTATTTGAAAGAGAAAAAGGCATAGAAGGGACCTTCACCTCTCTCTCTGTCTACCAAAGCCCACAACAGAAGCATCTCCGAGTGCTCGCTTTGCTGTTCATTTTAAGATCTAAAGATGCTCTATTTAGACAAACGTTTGTATATAAAAAGGACCCGTTTTGAAAATTCTTTACTTCTCCACAACCAAAAGAAACACAAATGAGATTTATTTTTAAGGCCAACTGTCGTCCTTTGTCTTAAAAATGGAACAATTCACATGAAGCATCTGCGATGATAGTGTTCTCTGGCTCCTTTTACCCTCAAGGAGATGACGCGTTCAGGAAAGGGCTGGGGGCCAGAATTCCAAGGAAGCACAGCAGAGAGAGAGCACTGGCCCTGGGCCTCCAGTGATCCATTTATGCCATCACAGAAAACACCTTCTGGAGAGAGTTTCCAGTCATTTCTAAAGAATCCAGGGCAGGAAGGAGGAGGACGCTGGATGGTAGTGCTGTAAGGCTTTCTCTTTAGTTCAGCTAAAAGCCGGGCTCTTGTCACATGACCATGAAAGATTAGGCTCACAGACACTTTGAAGGGTGAGAAGGACAGGGTTTATTGGGTGAAGAAGAAAGAAGGGAAAGAGAGACTCAGCAAAGTGAGAGTCCTCCTAGTGGGCTTCCCGCCTCACAGACTGAATCCCCGGTTACCGCCCCGGAAGAGGAGAGGCCAAGCTCCTTCCCACTGCAGACAGCACAAAATTCCATGGCTCCCCCACAGCGCACACTCCTCCCAGTGCACAGGCCAGGTTGGAGGTTCTCAGGGACCCCTTTATACTTGGCTGTCTCTGTAGCATCAGAGCCAGAACCTCCAAGGCCACCCGTGAAACCTGAGCGCTCCACGCCTGCTACATGTTCAGATCTGTATAATATTTTCTCTCATTCTACAGTGGCTATACTACAACATCCCTCATAATACATATTTTAAAAGAAGAAATTGTTTTAAGTTTAATATTTTTGGAGGAGGAGCCAAGATGGCCGAATAGGAACAGCTCCGGTCTACAGCTCCCAGCGTGAGCGACGCAGAAGACGGGTGATTTCTGCATTTCCATCTGAGGTACCGGGTTCATCTCACTAGGGAGTGCCAGACAGTGGGCGCAGGTCAGTGGGTGTGCGCACCGTGCGCGAGCCGAAGCAGGGCGAGGCATTGCCTCACCTGGGAAGCGCAAGGGGTCAGGGAGTTCCCTTTCCGAGTCAAAGAAAGGGGTGACGGACGCACCTGGAAAATCGGGTCACTCCCACCCGAATATTGCGCTTTTCAGACCGGCTTAAGAAACGGCGCACCACGAGACTATATCCCACACCTGGCTCAGAGGGTCCTACGCCCACGGAATCTCGCTGATTGCTAGCACAGCAGTCTGAGATCAAACTGCAAGGCGGCAACGAGGCTGGGGGAGGGGCGCCCGCCATTGCCCAGGCTTGCTTAGGTAAACAAAGCAGCCGGGAAGCTCGAACTGGGTGGAGCCCACCACAGCTCAAGGAGGCCTGCCTGCCTCTGTAGGCTCCACCTCTGGGGGCAGGGCACAGACAAACAAAAAGACAGCAGTAACCTCTGCAGACTTAAGTGTCCCTGTCTGACAGCTTTGAAGAGAGCAGTGGTTCTCCCAGCACGCAGCTGGAGATCTGAGAACGGGCAGACTGCCTCCTCAAGTGGGTCCCTGACCCCTGACCCCCGAGCAGCCTAACTGGGAGGCACACTGACACCTCACACGGCAGGGTATTCCAACAGACCTGCAGCTGAGGGTCCTGTCTGTTAGAAGGAAAACTAACAACCAGAAAGGACATCTACACCGAAAACCCATCTGTACATCACCATCATCAAAGACCAAAAGTAGATAAAACCACAAAGATGGGGAAAAAACAGAACAGAAAAACTGGAAACTCTAAAACGCAGAGCGCCTCTCCTCCTCCAAAGGAATGCAGTTCCTCACCAGCAACAGAACAAAGCTGGATGGAGAATGATTTTGACGAGCTGAGAGAAGAAGGCTTCAGACGATCAAATTACTCTGAGCTACGGGAGGACATTCAAACCAAAGGCAAAGAAGTTGAAAACTTTGAAAAAAATTTAGAAGAATGTATAACTAGAATAACCAATACAGAGAAGTGCTTAAAGGAGCTGATGGAGCTGAAAACCAAGGCTCGAGAACTACGTGAAGAATGCAGAAGCCTCAGGAGCCGATGCGATCAACTGGAAGAAAGGGTATCAGCAATGGAAGATGAAATGAATGAAATGAAGCGAGAAGGGAAGTTTAGAGAAAAAAGAATAAAAAGAAATGAGCAAAGCCTCCAAGAAATATGGGACTATGTGAAAAGACCAAATCTACGTCTGATTGGTGTACCTGAAAGTGATGTGGAGAATGGAACCAAGTTGGAAAACACTCTGCAGGATATTATCCAGGAGAACTTCCCCAATCTAGCAAGGCAGGCCAACGTTCAGATTCAGGAAATACAGAGAACGCCACAAAGATACTCCTCGAGAAGAGCAACTCCAAGACACATAATTGTCAGATTCACCAAAGTTGAAATGAAGGAAAAAATGTTAAGGGCAGCCAGAGAGAAAGGTCGGGTTACCCTCAAAGGAAAGCCCATCAGACTAACAGTGGATCTCTCGGCAGAAACCCTACAAGCCAGAAGAGAGTGAGGGCCAATATTCAACATTCTTAAAGAAAAGAATTTTCAACCCAGAATTTCATATCCAGCCAAACTAAGCTTCATAAGTGAAGGAGAAATAAAATACTTTATAGACAAGCAAATGCTGAGAGATTTTGTCACCACCAGGCCTGCCCTAAAAGAGCTCCTGAAGGAAGCGCTAAACCTGGAAAGGAACAACCGGTACCAGCCACTGCAAAATCATGCCAAAATGTAAAGACCATCGAGACTAGGAAGAAACTGCATCAACTAATGAGCAAAATCACCAGCTAACATCATAATGACAGGATCAAATTCACACATAACAATATTAACTTTAAATATAAATGGACTAAATTCTGCAATTAAAAGACACAGACTGGCAAGTTGGATAAAGAGTCAAGACCCATCAGTGTGCTGTATTCAGGAAACCCATCTCACGTGCAGAGACACACATAGGCTCAAAATAAAAGGATGGAGGAAGATCTACCAAGCCAATGGAAAACAAAAAAAGGCAGGGGTTGCAATCCTAGTCTCTGATAAAACAGACTTTAAACCAACAAAGATCAAAAGAGACAAAGAAGGCCATTACATAATGGTAAAGGGATCAATTCAACAAGAGGAGCTAACTATCCTAAATATTTATGCACCCAATACAGGAGCACCCAGGTTCATAAAGCAAGTCCTGAGTGACCTACAAAGAGACTTAGACTCCCACACATTAATAATGGGAGACTTTAACACCCCACTGTCAACATTAGACAGATCAACGAGACAGAAAGTCAACAAGGATACCCAGGAATTGAACTCAGCTCTGCACCAAGCAGACTTAATAGACATCTACAGAACTCTCCACCCCAAATCAACAGAATATACATTTTTTTCAGCACCACACCACACCTATTCCAAAATTGACCACATAGTTGGAAGTAAAGCTCTCCTCAGCAAATGTAAAAGAACAGAAATTATAACAAACTATCTCTCAGACCACAGTGCAATCAAACTAGAACTCAGGATTAAGAATCTCACTCAAAGCCGCTCAACTACATGGAAACTGAACAACCTGCTCCTGAATGACTACTGGGTACATAACGAAATGAAGACAGAAATAAAGATGTTCTTTGAAACCAACGAGAACAAAGACACCACATACCAAAATCTCTGGGACGCATTCAAAGCAGTGTGTAGAGGGAAATTTATAGCACTAAATGCCTACAAGAGAAAGCAGGAAAGATCCAAAATTGACACCCTAACATCACAATTAAAAGAACTAGAAAAGCAAGAGCAAACACATTCAAAAGCTAGCAGAAGGCAAGAAATAACTAAAATCAGAGCAGAACTGAAGGAAATAGAGACACAAAAAGCCCTTCAAAAAATCAATGAATCCAGGAGCTGGTTTTTTGAAAGGATCAACAAAATTGATAGACCGCTAGCAAGACTAATAAAGAAAAAAAGAGAGAAGAATCAAATAGACACAATAAAAAATGATAAAGGGGATATCACCACCGATCCCACAGAAATACAAACTACCATCAGAGAATACTACAAACACCTCTACGCAAATAAACTAGAAAATCTAGAAGAAATGGATACATTCCTCGACACATACACTCTCCCAAGACTAAACCAGGAAGAAGTTGAATCTCTGAATAGACCAATAACAGGCTCTGAAATTGTGGCAATAATCAATAGTTTACCAACCAAAAAGAGTCCAGGACCAGATGGATTCACAGCCGAATTCTACCAGAGGTACAAGGAGGAACTGGTACCATTCCTTCTGAAACTATTCCAATCAATAGAAAAAGAGGGAATCCTCCCTAACTCATTTTATGAGGCCAGCATCATTCTGATACCAAAGCCGGGCAGAGACACAACCAAAAAAGAGAATTTTAGACCAATATCCTTGATGAACATTGATGCAAAAATCCTCAATAAAATACTGGCAAACCGAATCCAGCAGCACATCAAAAAGCTTATCCACCATGATCAAGTGGGCTTCATCCCTGGGATGCAAGGCTGGTTCAATATACGCAAATCAATAAATGTAATCCAGCATATAAACAGAGCCAAAGACAAAAACCACATGATTATCTCAATAGATGCAGAAAAAGCCTTTGACAAAATTCAACAACCCTTCATGCTAAAAACTCTCAATAAATTAGGTATTGATGGGACGTATTTCAAAATAATAAGAGCTATCTATGACAAACCCACAGCCAATATCATACTGAATGGGCAAAAACTGGAAGCATTCCCTTTGAAAACTGGCACAAGACAGGGATGCCCTCTCTCACCGCTCCTATTCAACATAGTGTTGGAAGTTCTGGCCAGGGCAATCAGGCAGGAGAAGGAAATAAAGGGTATTCAATTAGGAAAAGAGGAAGTCAAATTGTCCCTGTTTGCAGACGACATGATTGTTTATCTAGAAAACCCCATTGTCTCAGCCCAAAATCTCCTTAAGCTGATAAGCAACTTCAGCAAAGTCTCAGGATACAAAATCAATGTACAAAAATCACAAGCATTCTTATACACCAACAACAGACAAACAGAGAGCCAAATCATGAGTGAACTCCCATTCACAATTGCTTCAAAGAGAATAAAATACCTAGGAATCCAACTTACAAGGGATGTGAAGGACCTCTTCAAGGAGAACTACAAACCACTGCTCAAGGAAATAAAAGAGGACACAAACAAATGGAAGAACATTCCATGCTCATGGGTAGGAAGAATCAATATTGTGAAAATGGCCATACTGCCCAAGGTAATTTACAGATTCAATGCCATCCCCATCAAGCTACCAATGACTTTCTTCACAGAATTGGAAAAAACTACTTTAAAGTTCATATGGAACCAAAAAAGAGCCCGCATCGCCAAGTCAATCCTAAGCCAAAAGAACAAAGCTGGAGGCATCACACTACCTGACTTCAAACTATACTACAAGGCTACAGTAACCAAAACAGCATGGTACTGGTACCAAAACAGAGATATAGATCAATGGAACAGAACAGAGCCCTCAGAAATAATGCTGCGTATCTACAACTATCTGATCTTTGACAAACCTGAGAAAAACAAGCAATGGGGAAAGGATTCCCTATTTAATAAATGGTGCTGGGAAAACTGGCTAGCCATATGTAGAAAGCTGAAACTGGATCCCTTCCCTACACCTTATACAAAAATCAATTCAAGATGGATTAAAGATTTAAACGTTAGACCTAAAACCATAAAAACCCTAGAAGAAAACCTAGGCATTACCATTCAGGACATAGGCGTGGGCAAGGACTTCATGTCCAAAACACCAAAAGCAATGGCAACAAAAGCCAAAATTGACAAATGGGATCTAATTAAACTAAAGAGCTTCTGCACAGCAAAAGAAACTACCATCAGAGTGAACAGGCAACCTACAAAATGGGAGAAACTTTTCGCAACCTACTCATCTGACAAAGGGCTAATATCCAGAATCTACAATGAACTCAAACAAATTTACAAGAAAAAAACAAACAACCCCATCAAAAAGTGGGCGAAGGACATGAACAGACACTTCTCAAAAGAAGACATTTATGCAGCCAAAAAACACATGAAGAAATGCTCATCATCACTGGCCATCAGAGAAATGCAAATCAAAACCACTATGAGATATCATCTCACACCAGTTAGAATGGCAATCATTAAAAAGTCAGGAAACAACAGGTGCTGGAGAGGATGTGGAGAAATAGGAACACTTTTACACTGTTGGTGGGACTGTAAACTAGTTCAACCATTGTGGAAGTCAGTGTGGCGATTCCTCAGGGATCTAGAACTAGAAATACCATTTGACCCAGCCATCCCATTACTGGGTATATACCCAAAGGACTATAAATCATGCTGCTATAAAGACACATGCACACGTATGTTTATTGCGGCACTATTCACAATAGCAAAGACTTGGAACCAACCCAAATGTCCAACAATGATAGACTGGATTAAGAAAATGTGGCACATATACACCATGGAATACTATACAGCCATAAAAAATGATGAGTTCATGTCCTTTGTAGGGACATGGATGAAATTGGAAACCATCATTCTCAGTAAACTATCGCAAGAACAAAAAACCAAACACCGCATATTCTCACTCATAGGTGGGAATTGAACAATGAGATCACATGGACACAGGAAGGGGAATATCACACTCTGGGGACTGTGGTGGGGTCGGGGGAGGGGGGAGGGATAGCATTGGGAGATATACCTAATGCTAGATGACACGTTAGTGGGTGCAGCGCACCAGCATGGCACATGTATACATATGTAACTAACCTGCACAATGTGCACATGTACCCTAAAACTTAGAGTATAATAAAAAAAAAAAAAAAAAAAAAGGTTTAATATTTTTTCAATTTCCTACAAAGATTCTGAACATCTGATATGAACTAAAATCTTCCCCTTTCCATCATGCACTGAAGAAGATACTGATCACTCCAGAAAGGATGGGGATGTGGAGGGTGTAATGTCACTGGGATGGGGATGAAGTGGAGCAGAGCCTGGCTCTGAACAGCCCAGCGGTGAAGGCAGGGGGGCAAAGGAAAAACGCATCCAATTGAACCTTACATGACTAAATTACAGTTCTGACTTTTCCTGCCCTGTTCTTGCTTGCTTTTTCTTATCTTGCTTTTATTGGGCTCCAAGGAACCACAATAAACAGCAAAGTTACAAAGCGGTAAATACGCCAGAAGGTACCCATCAAGAAGTATAATAACGTTTATCAAGCCAGCCCTGGGAGATGAATGACAGGCACCACAACCACCTGCTAGTTACAGAGACTAAGGGAGCAAGCACACGGAAAGAAGTGTTGCTGACAACGTGCTAGCCGGCTCCACACGCAGCTGTGCAAACGGGGTCCCTGGGAATGAAAGGAGGGCCTGAGGCGACCCACCACCCATCCCTACAGGATGAGCCAGCTCTCTTTCTAGCACTTCTGATTTTCCAACTGCGAAAAATGGGCCTGTTACATTTCCAAGGCTTGATGCCGTACGCCTTTGCAGTCAACACAACATGGGATCGGTGGTAATAGATTTAACCTTTTTGATGCACGTTTGCTATGATATTGTAGTGGGTGGAATTGCATCCCTTGAAAAGACATGCCCAAGTCCTAATCCCTGGTATCTGTGAATGTGACTTTATTTGAAAATAAATAAATTTGGCAGGGCGTGGTGGCTCACGCCTATAATCCAGGAGGCCGAGGCGGGCGGATCACGAGGTCAGGAGATTGAAACCATCCTAGCTAACATGGTGAAACCCTGTCTCTACCAAAGATACAAAAAAAATTGGCTGGGCTTGATGGCGGGCACCTGTAGTCCCAGCTACTTGGGAGGCTGAGGCAGGAGAATAGCGTGAACCTGGGAGGCGGAGCTTGCAGTGAGCCGAGATTGCGCCACTGCACTCCAGCCTGGGTGACAGAGCAAGACTGTCTCAAAAAAAAAAAAAAAAGAAGGAAAAGAAAATAAAATAGAGTTTTTGCAAATATACCTAAGTTGAGGATCTTGAGATAAGGTGATCTAGAATTTAGGATGGGCCCTAAATTCAACGACTGATGTACTTGCGAAAGAAAAGTGAGGGAAGGCCAGGTGCAGTGGCTCACACCTGTAATCCTAGCATTTTGGGGGGCCAAGGTGAAAGGCTTGCTTGAGCCCAGGAGTTTGAGGATACAGCGAGCTAAGATCACACCACCATACTCCAGCCTGGGCAACAGAGTGAGATCTTATCTATAATTTTTTAAAAAAGAAGAAGGAGATTTGAAAATTGGAGGAACAGGGAAGAGGGTCATGTGAAGACAGGGGCAGACATTAGAATAATGCATCGTCAAAGCAAAGACTGGCAAAGACTGCTGAACACCAGCAGAAACTAGGAGGGAGTCATGGGATGGAAGGAACCACCTTGTTTTCTGCCAGTCTCTTGATTTTGGACTTCTGGTTCCCTGAACTGTGAGAGAATACATGTCTATTGTTTTCAGCCACCGAAATGTGGCAATTTGTTATGGCAGCCCTAGGAAACTAACACAGACATTAATTAATTCCCTCAGTGAGAGTATATATAAAGGTTTCTATCTTGGTCCTTAACTGAGGAATGTGGATCAGTGAGGCACCTGCAGTTCTGTGGCCAACCTGATCTATGCAGTTTTGCAGCAGAGAACACGATGTTCTGGGCCCCGTGTGGTAGAGAGGAGCTGGGTTCCATCTCCATTCGTAATTTATTTTCCCCAGGAACTGGGAAGTCATTTTCTTGGATCTGGGGAATTTAACTGTAAATGTGCCAAAAACAAACAAATAAATTAAAAAAAAACCCACATGTTGCACATGAAGATGATTGTCCTGTGATTTCCCAGAACGTGTCAGGCAATAACACGCTGAGTAATGTATCTTTCCTAGAGTGCCTGAGTTTGCCCTTCATTGAAGTCATCATTCAGACCATCATGGTGAAGAAATAAAGAGACGCTGGAAACTGATCACCAATCTAAAAATAAAGAGGCCATCTGGACAAGTAATCTACAGCTTTGTTCGTTCTGTTGAGCATCATCAAGCAGGGGCCGAAAGTTGGTAAATTTAGGCTCTAAAACATCCTGCAGTCCTTAGACCACCCCACCCAACCAACATATGCCAGGAAGAGCTGTCATCACTAACACTGGGCAACGCGATCAGATTTGGGCTTTGGGGATCCAAGATCTTCTTCCCACAGTGTCCTTGGATCTCCCTGTGAAATACTCCAGTGGAAGAGCCATGGTTGGGAAAAAGAGAAAGGCTTGGAATCCTCCATTGTACCAGACCTTCAGGGAAACCACCAATGTGGGATAGATTTACTCTTTTTTTCTGAGACGGAGTTTCATTCTTGTTGCCTAGGCTGGAGTGCAATGGTGCGATCTCAGCTCACTGCAACCTCTGCTTCCCAGGTTCAAGTGATTCTCCTACCTCAGCCTCCCGAGCAGCTGGGATTACAGGCAGCCGCCACCATGCCTGGCTAATTTTTTGTATTTTTAGTAGAGACGGGGTTTTTCCATGTTGGCCAGGCTGGTCATGAACTCCTGACCTCAGGTGATCCATCTGCCTCGGCCTCCCAAAGTGCTGGGATTACAGGCGTGGGCCCCCACACCCAGCCAGATAAATTTACTTTTACACCAAGAGATGTCTGCCTGAATCTTTGCCCTCCAAATATAGGGAGAGTCTGGCAAGATGGGCAGAACATTGGAACAGTTCTAGAAGCAGGGGTTTCCTTTTCCCATTCTGCTAGACAGAAAGAATGGATTAAAAACATCTTCATGTCCATGACAAAGAATCTGCTCTTTGTCCCCAAGTAGTCATTCTCCTCTTCTTTTAGTGATAGGAACCCCTCCTCCCTCCACCCCCAAGTTTCAGCTGTGCATGTGGCCTCCAGCTGGGGACTCCATTTGCCTGCCTCTCTTGCAGTTATATGCAACTGCTTTACTGGGCTTGGGCTAGTGGGCTGTGCACAGAGTGCTGTGATGCTTATGGGTCTTGGCCTCAAGACACAGAGCTTTGGTGCCTCATCCTCTTCCTCCACTTCCATGCACACACAGTAGCAATCCAGCTTCCACCAAGCAAACCAGGAAAGCACTCAGGAAAAACAACAGAGCATCAGGATGGAAGCAGCTCAGGTCCCTGAATGACCACATGGAGCCATGCCACCCCACCAAGGACTGCTACATGGGAGGAAACACCGACTTCTCTCTTTCCTTAGCCACTAATTTCATATGTCTTTATTACAGCAGCTTAGTCTTCACCCTGACGCAACCTCAAGATCAGACATTTAAACTCTAAATAAATGTTTCTTTATTTAATAAAATGAATTGGGCCGGGCACGGTGGCTCATGCCTATAATCCCAGCACTTTGGTAGGCTGAGGCGGGTGGATCATGAGGTCGGGAGTTCGAGACCAGCCTGACCAATGTGGTGAAACCCTGTCTCTACTAAAAATACAAAATTATCTGAGTGTGGTGGCACATGCCTGTAATCCCAGCTACTCGGGAGGCTGAGGCAGGAGAATCGCTTGAACCCAGGAGATGGAAGTTGCAGTGAGCCGAGATTGCGCCACTGCACTCCAGCCTGGGCGACAGAGCGAGACTTTGTCTCAAAAAATAAAAAATAAATAAATAAAAATGAATCGATGTTTTTTGGTTATGAACAATTTAGAAAACAAATCACATAATTCAACTGCATCACAGTTTGCATCTGCACAACAAAAGGATTGGAGTCAGTTTAAACAACTCACTGACTAGCAGCCTAGAAGGAATTTTCAGGAGAACCGTTCATGCTCCAGTCTTGCCTGAGTGTGATCTACCACGCCACTCAGACCAAGTCATCTTATCTCCTTTTCTTTGTGTACATGAAGTCTGTGATTCCTTGGACGCACCGGCGAAAAACAAGAACAAAGGAGGAAGTTTTACATGAAATTAATTTATATAGTCTTTGGAAATGTACCAGGCTTATGTCTTTGCTTCCTTTCTTTTTCTATTTTTTGAGGAGGGTGGGTGTAAAAATAAACTTTTCTTTGATAAAATGGTGATTTGGCCAATGGTAACTTTTTTTTTTTTTTTTTTGAGACGGATCACCCAGACTGGAGTGCAGTGGTGCAATCTTGGCTCATGGCAACCTCTACCTCTTGGGTTCAAGCGATTCTCCTGCCTCAGCCTCCCAAGTAGCTGGGACTACAGGCATGTAGCACCATGCCCGGCTAATTTTTGTATTTGTAGTAGAGACGGGGTTTTGCCATGTTAACCAGGCTGGTCTCAAACTCCTGACCTCAGGTGATCTGCCTGCCTCGGCCTCTCAAAGTACTGGAATTACAGGCATGAACCACAGAGCTCAGCTGGTAACTTTTAATAATGTCTTTATTTAGAAAAATTAAAATTTACTCTGATGTTGATCCTATCCATTAAAATATTGCATCCTAGGCCAAGAAACCCCCAAAGCTAGGACCAGACACTCTTGGGTCTAACGTTCTAGAACCCCTGGATGCACAAAGATCATCTAAGAGCAAAGGCAACTGGCTTCAGCAAAGGTTCGGCAGGGATGACTGCTCTCTCAACATGGTTATGTTTAGGTTTTTATAAAAGGACCCTCTCTGCATGGGAGTCGGCCATAGTGCAGCAATAGGATGACCTGGGAGACAGCTCTGGACATAGGCTTCCAGGACAACTCCACAAGGCTGTCGAGGGCAACAGAGCTTCTACTCATTTCCTATAGCAGCAAACCAACTTTTTCTTCCAACCTTACACGGAAAAAGCAAATCCTCATGGCCTATAATTAAACCACCAAAGTGGGGGCACTTTTACTGGGAAGAAACTATTTAGGAAGTACCAGAACAATGAATGAAAACTATCTTAAAACAAGAACTTGATTTTAGGATGCTTTTAAATGGCTGAGGGAATGATTCTTTTTCTGTTCTAACAGTTTCCTTGTAAGTATTAACAAGCTGCAAATATGGCCAGGCACAGTGGCTCACACCTGTAATCCTAACACCCTGGGAGACCAAAGTGGGAGGATCATTTGAGCCCGGGAGTTCAAGACCAGCCTGGGCAACACGGCAAGACCTCATCCCTACTAAAATAAAAAAAAAAAAAATTAGCTGGGCATGGTGGTGCACGCCTGTAGTCCTAGGTACTTGTGGGGCTGAGGAAGGACAATTGCTTGAGGCTGGGAAGTCAAGGCTACAGCGAGCCCTGATCATGCCGCTACATTCCAGCCTGGGTAACAGGGCAAGACCCTGTCTTTAAAACAACAACAACAAAAAGTTGTAAACAACAACAACAATAATAAAAGCTTACATGTATTGAGCATTGACCACACCAAGTCACAGATGTCACAGATGTGGAAAATGCGGTACAGGGGGTTGAGTCACTTGTCTGAGGTTACAGAGCTGGAAATGGCAGGCCTGGGATTTGAACCCAGGCCATAAGCAAGCAGAGCCCATGTGCTCCCCCAGTGATGTTCAGCTGAGGATTTTAAGCTGCGGCGGTGGGTTCCTGGGCTGTCCACACTCCGGTTCAGAAGGGAGGTCTCATTTCAGGACCGGCATCCACTTTTTTTTTTTTGAGACGGAGTCTTGCTCCGTTGCCCAGGCTGGAGTGCAGTAGCGTGATCTCGGCTCACTGCAATCTCCGCCTCCCGGGTTCAAGTGATTCTCCTGCCTCAGCCTCCCACGTAGCTGGGATTATAGGCACCCGCCATCATGTCCAGCTAATTTTTGTATTTTTAGTAGAGATGGAGTTTCACCACATTGGCCAGTCTGGTCTCAGAACTCCAGACCTCAGGTGATCCACACACCTTGGCCTCCCAAAGTGCTGGGATTACAGGCGTGAGCCACTACGTCCAGACCAGCATCCTCTTTAACATCTTCTGAGAGCTGGTATTCATCAGACGCCCTCGTGCACGCTCTGAGGACGGCATTGGGAGTACTGTGTATATAACATTTACACAGAGCTTCACAGTGGCCGAGCACTCTTCCATCCATTATGTGCCTTGCATCTCATGGCTGTGAAGCAGAGCAAGCTACAGGTATTATTCTCCACAACTAACAGGGGTGGAGACTGAAGTGCAAGAGGTTTTGTGGCTCACCTCAGATACAGCAAGGGCTGTGCTTTTAGTCAAGGGAATCATGTTATATCATTCAGACAGAGGGCTGATGTGTGGAGAGGGGAGCCAGGGGTATTGTCTCCAGAGAATTTCAGGCAGTTGACATCTACCTCCTGAAACTGGAGACCAACCTCCTCCCTCCTAGGGTCAGTTTCCTCATGTCCTGAGCCTGCTGCCTCCTGCCCAGCTGCCAGTGTATGGCCCCCAACCCCCAGGCCATGGACCGGTGCCTGTCCATGGCCTGTTAGGAACTGGGGTGCACAGCAGGAGGTGAGCGGCGGGCAAGCAAGCATTACCGCCTGAGCTCTGCCTACCGTCAGATCACCGGCGGCATGAGATTCTCATAGGAGCACAAACCCTATTGTGAACTGCACATTGAGAGATCTAGGCTATGCCCTCCTTCTGAGAATCTAATGCCTAATGATCTGAGGTGGAAAGTTTCATCCTGAAACCACACCACAACCGGGTCCATGGAAAAATTGTCTTCCATGAAACCAGTCCCTGCACCAAAAAGGTTGAAGACTGCTGCCCTAGACCATGAGCCCCTGACACAAGGGAGTGAGATCATCTTATCATCTTCGTATCCCCAATTCATGCTCAGTAAGTTTCCTCCAAATGAGAGCCCCAGACAACTGCCCCTCCCCATTATGCTAAACACCTGTAGGGTATACAACAAAAGTCGCAGAGATCAGTGTAACTTTCACCCTGCAATTCCAGGTCTTAGATTTTGGATGTTCACAAACATCCATGTACAAGAAGGTTCACTTAAAGATTGCTCCTTATAGTAAAAAAATGGAAATCAGCCACATATCCAACAAAAAAGATGTTTTAAAATCTTCAAGATAACAATGGAATACTACACAGCCATTAAAGCTGCCACTGTAGGAGTGTATGCATTAACCTAGGAAGACTTCTGAGACACGTATTGTGTAAAAAAACCTACAATCTAAAATAAGTATTTTATGATCACTTTAGTTATATGATATTCACATACTCATATGTATTAGAAAAAGTTTAACAGGATATATTTCAGGGTACTAACAGCCGTTATCTCTTGGTGGACAGAATTGTGCTTTTTGGTGGGTTTGTAATGAAATGAATTGCTTCTAGTTTGGGAGGATGGGAGCTACTCACCCATGAGCTGGTAGGTGTCAAGAAGCTAGTCTAAGTCTTTTATGGGTCATAAGAACTTAAGATCCCATGACCTGGAAGTGGGCAGACTTCACGTTCATCTGGGACTTAGGTAATTGTAAGTATCATTACCTAAGGTATCAGCAACTTGTTACTAAAGTCTCAAACAAGTGACCCTGGAGAACCATCAAGAACAAAGGCAAGTCCCTAAAGGTGATGCCTTAAAAAGGCAAAGCAAGACCAGTGCAGTGGCTCATGTCTGTAATCCTAGCACTTTGGGAGACTGAGACAGGTGGATTACCTGAGATCAGTAGTTCGAGATCAGCCTGGGCAACATGGTGATACCCTGTCTCTACAAAAATGCAAAAAATCAGCCGAGCATGGTGGTGGGTGCCTGTAATCCCAGTTACTCAGGAGGCTAGGGCACTAGAATTGCTTGAACCTGGGAGGCAGAGGTTGCAGTGAGCTGACATGGTGCCACTGCACTCCAGCCTGGGCAACAAAGCGAAACTCTCAAAAAAAAAAAAAAAAAAAAAAAAAAAGCAAAGCAAAATAAAACCTCAGAAAGAAATAAAAAAGGCTCATGTAATGATAACTGCATATATGGGAACTGTAATGATTCATTAGTTTAACACACCACCAACTTGTCTCAGGAGCAGAACAAATAGACCCTTTTACAGATGCTTCTATTAAAGGTTGAATGCTCTTCCCTATTTCTCATTTTTCTTTCATCAAAATATTTTATGAAAATGTCAAATCCCAGCAGAAGATAATTTGCAACTTATATCAACAAAAAATTAGTATCCAGAATATGTAAGGAATTTCTACCAATCAGTGAGTAAAGCATCACCTCTCTTCCTCATGCCCCAAAACAGGAAGGAGGAAAAAGGTGCTAGAGATATAAACAAACAATTCACAGAAGAAGCAACACTGATGGCTAATCAACCTATGAAAAGGTGTTTAACCTTCCCAGCAATCACAGAGAGGCAAACACCTGCTCTTTCACCCCAGCCACATGGAATCTTTTTGGTCAACCTGATAAAAGCATTTATTGGTAAGAATTTGAGGAAGTAGAATCCTCCAACACTGCTGGTGGAATGTAAATTGGTTCAGACACTTTGCAGAGCAAGTTGCCAAAGCTAGTAAAGTTAAAGATACATATGACTGGCAGTTCCCCTTCTGAGTACACCCCAGACCTAGGGGAATTCTCACATAGGAGAATCTCACAAGAAGAGCTACTGCAGGATATATATATATATATATATATATATATATATATATACACACACACACACACACACACACACATACATATGTATATATGTATATGTAGATACACACATATACGTATATATGTATACATATACACACACATATACGTATATATGTATACATATACACACATATACGTATATATGTATACATATACACACATATACGTATATATGTATACATATACACACATATACGTATATATGTATACATATACACACACATATACGTATATATGTATATATACACACACATATATGTTATATATATCTATATATCTATATCTATCTAATCAATCAATCTATCTATCTATCTGTCTATCTATCTATATATATATCTGTTTAAAAGAGCAGAAATGTGGAAGCAATCTAGCTGTCCTCCATTAGGAAAACGAACCAATTACTGTCATCATATATAACAAGTAAAATGAATGAACTAGATCTACATAAATCAATATGGATAAATCTCAAATCTATCAGGTTGGACAGAAAACAAGTTTCAAACGAATCTGTAGAGTGTAATACAATTTATATAAAATGTAAAACAACACAAAATGATGCTAGATTATAAGCTAGACAGATTTGCACATGCTGAAAAAGTGTACAGTAACACTGCACATCAACTTTGGGATACCTTGGAAGGAGAAGGATATAAGGGATGATAGTCCCCAAAAAATAACTTAAAATTAGCCCTAAGAAAACATTGTGTTAGAAAGAAATGTTCATAGAACTGTAGGAAAACGGGAAGAGATCAGACCTTAGTGATACCAGGAAACATACTATCACGTTCAACATCCATGGCCCCAGACCTGGATTCTGTTCATATTCTATCCCAGGAGGACAGACATTGTGAGGTTTCTGAGTAGACACTAACCACTGCCTGGACTCACAGAGACCATTCATAATGGCATCGTAGGAGCAACATGGCGGCAATAAAAGTTAAAAATAGGCCCTTCACCACCAACTCTGCCTTTGCTCCACAGCCTCACCTGTGTCTGTGCAGCCATCTAGAGTTCTAATGGCCCTCAGACCCACAACCCCAGTGCAGGTACAGGGTCTTCTTTATGTATCCCGACTGAGTCTGACATGTTATGGATATTCAGCCCATATTAACTGGTGATAGTGGATGATGACCATGAAGAAACTCAAGCTTCACTGGAGTATATACAACTTCAGACAGCAGCAAAACACTGAGCCACCTAGGGAGCAAGCTGTTGAAGGAGCTTAGTAGAAGTTATTTTGAGCTCAAAGCAGTGTTCTGTTACTGAGCATCAATAAAGCACCAGCTTCCCATTAAGGGTCTGACTTCAGGCTGGCTAAGGCATGCATAGCTTTTCTTAAACTAACTCCTAAAGGGACCAATTACTGGTCCAAGGTTGAAAGGATGGAGAAGCTCTTCCTTCTGATAAAAGGAGAGAGGATTTTGCATGCTCTGTGTCTTTTGCAGTGGCCACTGGTAGAACTCTACTCTTATCACATCAGTTGAAGATATTATTAGCAGAAAGTCACGCTAATTCTGCTGATTCCCTGAACACCTGGAATAAGATCTTTCAGTTAATAGTTAATCCTATTTTTTGAGGGCCCACTGTGTACTGAGTCCTGGGCTGAAGGATGTCACAAGTTAGGTAAAGGAAAGAAGGCAGCCACTTTCACAACATTTCTGGGGGTGGGCTTAGGGCTCCTCAGCTGTGATCTCCAGGGGCCACCTCAAAGCCTCATCTCTACTGGTTCAGATCAACAAGGTTATGGTGCCATAGCAATGGCAACCATAGCAACGACAATGACAACCACAGATATAGGTCCCTTTGCCGCACCAGGCACTGCCAAGACTCTTTATATTAACTTATTGAATATGTTAAACCATGGTCAACAACCTGTGTCATCCAGAAAGGTCAACTCCCCATTTATCTGGATTCACCCAACAGATTTGTTAATCCTCAAACATCATCCACCTGAGAGCAAGGCAGTTAATACTGAGGACCCTAAATGACTGCATTCAGACTCAAGGACACATATTGAGTTCCTGCTGTAACTTGTGCACCCTGTCAGCTACTTTCCCATATTCTCCCACATGCTTCTTGTGACCCAGAGGGGTAGACACCGTCACCTTCACTTTACACAAGACAGGAACCAAGGCTGGGAGACATTTAATAATGCCCTCCAGGTTCCAGTCTCAAGAACAGTGAGCTGGATTTCAAACTTAAGCTGCTGGCTCCCTGCTCCGCGGCTCCCCACTCCACATTGCTGGTGCCATGGGGAATGGGGAAGTGCGTCCTTGGGTGGAAACACCTGCCTGGTGGTCAGCTGAGACATCTGTGAGGTCAGCTACAGTGGCTTAAGGAGTGGTCCCAAGTCTTAATCCCCAATACCTGAGAATGTAATCTTATTTGTGCTACAGGAACTAGAAAGAAATTATTTAGGCAGTTAGCGAGGGTAAGAGAGTCCTCAGCAAGGTTTCTGTTTTAACAAAAAGCAGCCCCCAGATCATTTCTTTTCTAGCAGAGCAGCCTGTAAAATCGAGCTGCAGACATAGATAAGCAAGCTGGAAGCTTGCACGGGTGAATGCCGGCAGCTCTGCGGATAGGAAATGGCTACCTGGGGGTCAGGCGTGTTCAACATGGAGGGTCCATCTTCCCTTCTGTCAACCAGGTGTGCAATAAAGAAGCAGGCAACATGGCGCTGGCCAGGTAGAGAACCCACCTGCCTAACAAAAGATTAGGGTGGGGCAGCCATCTTCTTCCTACACTATGTAAATGGCACACCTATCTAACCAATCATTTGGGCCCTATGTAAATCAGACACCGCCTCTCCACGCTCATCTATTAACCACCACCCCCCCCTCCCCATGCATTTCACCATGGAACTGGAAGACTCACTCAGGAGCCCCTCTCTCTCTGAAGGAGAGAGAGAGCTTTCCTCTTTCTCTTGCCTATTAAACTCCTGCTCTTAAACTCACTCCTTGTGTGTCAGTGTCCTTGATTTCCTTGGCATGAGGCAATGAACCTCAGGTATTAACCCAGACGAACAATGCCACTTCATGTAGAAGTAAGGTTTTTGCAGGTGTAATTAAATAAAGACCTCGAGATAAGATCATCCTGGATTTAGGGTAGGCCTCAAGTCCAATGACTGGTGTCCTCAGAAAGACGAAGGGGATTTGACAGAGCCAAAGGGAAGAAGGCCGTGTGAAGACATTGGCAGAGAATGGAGTAATGCAGTCACAGGGTGAGGAACAACAGAAGCCACCAGGAGTGGGAAGAGGCCAGGAAGGATCTTCCCCTGAGACTTTGGAGGGAGTGTGGCCCTCCTGACATGTTGATTTGGGACTTCTGGGCTCCTGAACTGTAATATAATAAATTTCTTTTGTTTTAAAACTACCAGATTGGCCGGGCACGGTGGCTCATGCCTGTAATCCCAGCACTTTGGGAGGCCAAGGCAGGCAGATCACCTGAGGTCTGGAGGTCAAAACCAGCCTGATCAATACGGTGAAACCCTGTCTCTACTAAAAAAAAATACAAAAATCAGCTGGGCATGGTGGCGGGCACCTCTAGTCCCAGCTACTTGGGAGGCTGAGGCAGGAGAACTGCTTGAAACCAGGAGGCGGAGGTTGCAGTGAGCCGAGATCAAGCCACTGCACTCCAGCCTGGGCGACAGAGCGAGATTCCATCGAAAAAACAAAAACAAAAGCCAAAAACAAACAAACAAAAACCAAAACAATAAAAACTACCAGATGGTGATAATTTGTTACAGAAGCCCTAGGAAGCTAAGCCACCAACCTTTACCTCACAGACTTGCTTGAAGCCAAGCCAGGACGACGTGGGGGAAGGAAGAATGCAAAGGACAGACAGGACTCGGATTTGTGTCCCAACGTGATGATTCTTCCTTTCTGGCTACCCAACAGACTTCTGCTGTGAACTCAAACCAAAATCAACCCAGGAAACTAACAGCACAAAACGCCAGCACTTTTCAGAGACGTGTTACCAGTGTCTTAGAATAGTCTTACCTATTAGAGGGTTTAGGCTGTGAGTCTTAATTTTATGATACTTAGCTGCACAATGTTGGATTGCAGTGAAGATAATTTAGTTTAGAGACAGACTGTAACAGCTTCAGGCTTTTTCCCCCTTTCCTTTTAAAAGGCAAATCCATCTTCAAAAAAAGAAAAATACTTACCCAACTTCAAAAAAAGAAAAATACTTATCATCTGTAATCCCACCACCGTAACATAATTATTTCTCATTTTCAAACATTTCTCCATTCGAATAATTAATATTTTCCTTTGCTTCTAACTAAGCAAAGTGATACTTTTTTTTTTTTTGGTTCATTTAACTAAACATTAACCCAGGAGTTGTTTGGTTTCCATCAAAGATATGTGAGAGCAGCACTCTAATTCTTCAAGAATATTTCCCTAAAGGAAACTGACCATTAACTGTGACTTCCTTCAGGACATCACTTTAATTCTCAAAGGAATAAATTCATTTTGCAAAGCACTTAAGACTTGATTGTCTATTCTTAACCCCTGCATTTCAGAATTTTTATGAGTAACAGAACAGTAAAACACTAGCTCAGGATTAGATGTCTACAGCTATTAAAAAGACGACAATGAGATACAACAGAAAATAATCAAATCCTAAAAAAATGCCCATGAGATTCCTCCCAACACCAAATCTGTCACTTAATATGTAACTTCTCTAATCTGGAGATCATATACCCGGGAACCTCAACTATCTCTAGCAAGCATCAGAACCAAGTAATGTGTTTTGAGTGAAAACAAAAAAAATAATGACAGCTAATATTTACATAGTGCTTCCTGGACTGTTTGAAATGTTCTCACATACTAATTCACCTAATCCTCACAGCCACTATGCAGTAGGTGCTATTTCTCCCCATTTCACAGAGGAGAAAACTGAAGAACAGAGAGGGTAAGTAACACGTCCCAGGATGTACATAACATCAATGGCAGGGGCTGGGGTTCCACCAGACTATCTGGCCCCAAAGTCTGTGCTGCTGACTTCCTAGGTCACACGGGGCTCACACTCAGCTGAGGGTGGAATGCAGGCCTCCTCTGGCTTTAGAGAGTTTTAATCAGCCTACCAATCTGAAACAGCAAGGTAGAGTTGGTAGAGGAGCTGACTTAAGGGCAGGCTAGGTGAAGGTACAGCTCACATCCTGGTGGCCACTAGGGGAATGGAAAACTACACAAACTACAGGCCTAGAATCCTGTGTTAGTCTGCTCTCACGCTGCTAATAAAGACATACCCAAGATGGGGCAATGTATAAAGGAAAGAGGTTTAATGGACTCACAGTTCCACAAGGCTGGGGAGGCCTCACAATCATGGTGGAAGGCAAATGAGGAGCAAAGTCACATCTTACATGGCGGCAGGCAAGAGAGCTTGTGCAGGGGAACTCCCATTTATAAAACCATCAGTTCTCATGAGACTTATCCACTACCATGAGAACAGCATGGGGGGAACCGCCCCCATGATTCCATTATCTCCACCTGGCACCACCCTTGACACATGGGGATTATTACAATTCAAGGTGAGATTTGGGTGGGGACACAGCCACACTATATCAAATCCCAAATCCAAAAATCTGAATCTAAAACACATCTGGTTCCAGGCATTTTGGATAAGGA
Source organism: Homo sapiens (assembly GCF_000001405.40). NCBI lineage: Eukaryota > Metazoa > Chordata > Mammalia > Primates > Hominidae > Homo > Homo sapiens. Next base: position 66,582,274 of record NC_000017.11, on the reverse strand, counting down.
TATTCCACCTGTAGCACAGAAGTCCTTGAGTTGCGGTAGTTAATACAGAAGTATCCCTCTTAGCCAAGAATGCCTACAGCCATTTCCATGGGAAGAGGAGAAACAGCAATTACTATACACGACGCAAATGCTGGCCATAGTGTATACAAGACCTCAGTAGAGAGGATGTCATGACAAAGAGTGATATTCAAAATATTTAACAACTGCCACAGCCTGGACACTGACCAACTAGGATCCTCCGTGACTCTTCAGATGGGGTTCTGTTCACAAATAACTAGCATGGCTCTCCTGGGGCTAATGGCTAAATGTCCTTCCTTTTATCCCCATCCCATAGAAGATGAAACAGACCCAGAGAAGTTAAAACTTGCCCAAAGAGACACGGCAAAAGGACAGTGCCAGGGTTTCCATGTTTTATTAAACCATGTTGCCCATATTTACTAAGAAAATGTTCTCAGCTCATCCTGAGAATTTAGATCAGTGTTTAAAAACTTCAGAAAGATGGCCGGGCACGGTGGCTCATGCCTGTAATCCCAGCACTTTGGGAGGCTGAGGCGGGCAGATCACGAGGTTAGGAGATTGAGACCATCCTGGCTAAAACGGTGAAACCCTATCTCTATTAAAAATACAAAAAATTAGCCAGGCGTGGTGGCGGGTGCCTGTAGTCCCAGCTACATGGGAGGCTGAGGCAGGAGAATGGCATGAACCCAGGAGGCAGAGGGTGCAGTGAGCCAAGATTGTGCCACTGCACTCCAGCCTGGGGGACAGAGAGAGACTCTGTCTCAAAAACAAAAAACAAAAAAGAAAAAACAAAACACTTCAGAAAGATTCCCTCTCAAATATGGTTCAAGTTTAAAAAGTTGGAAGAATAATATTTTGTGACAAGTGAAAATTATGTGAACTTCCTATTTGAATGTCCACAAATGGAGCTTTTTTGGAGCACAGCCAGCCTCATTTGTGCATATATTGTCCAAGACAGCTTTTGCATCCCAAGAGCAGAATTGAGTGGTTGCAACGAAGACCATATGCGCCTGCAAAGCCAAAAATATTTACTAGCTGGCCCTTGGCTGAGAAAGTTTGCTTTCTCAACTGATCTAGAACATTTACTTAGGAGGATCACTCTTTCTCTGGTGATAAAAAATAAACAAGGCACTAATGCACTCATAAAACAATTTATAAACAACACAGTCATTTTAATTACTGCTGAATCCTAACAAGTGGCTCTGTGCCAAGCATGGTTTGACCCCGGATGGGTAACCTTCCTGTCATGAGACTGTGAGACTGTCTTTCCACTTGTGTTATCTCTATAATTTCTAGGAACATGGGATAAATCGAGCATGGGGGGGGGCAACAAATCTCATCTTAAACCTACATCCTCTCTACACATTGTATGATCCCATTGGTAGAAAGCCCAAAAAACAGGCAAAATTAATCCAGGCTGTTAGAAGCGATGACAAAGGTTACCTTCACGAGGAGTGCAGTAAACAGAAGGGAAGCAAGAAGGGCGCAGGGTGGCGTCATGTTCTGTTTCCTGATCTGGGTGCAAATCCGGGCATGTTTTGATCATAAGTGTGTTTAGTTGGCGAAAACCCACTTTACCGCACACTGACAATATTGCACTTTTCATGAAGTATGCATGTTTAAATGTCAGTAAAGTTTATATAAAAACACGGACAACTTTCTTATGTTTAGCTACGGGGAAGCTGATGTGTTTGTCCTTGGATTGCTGAGATGCTAAGAATGCGTGGAACCCTGGAGGCGGAGCCCAAACATGGCTCAGTGTCTCATGTGGGACCACGTGGCTCTCAGGCCTATATGGAGAGCCAAGAGGGGCAGCCTGTTCCCATCCCAGCCAGCCCCCAGTGCCAGCCCTGTCAGCTTTCCAAAGCACTGCAAAATCCCAGGGTCTCTGAGATCTGAGTAAGGAATGCTGCAGCACCAGCAGGTCGTGCACAGATTGGCCTGCTGAAAGCGACCTCTTGACTCCCTAAGAATGTGGAGCTAGGGGAGTAATGCTGGTCACTCAGGCTAATAAGGAAATGGAAATTTTAGCTTGAATAACAGACCACTAGTACTCCATGAGTAAAGTATCAGCCACAGGCAGCTTACACTGTGAAAGTCACATCAGAGTTATGAACTTGAAAAGTTAAATTACCCAATGAAACATCTTGCTTCTTAGCTTTGTAACTATTTTCCCTCCATTCCTTTCATTTATTTGTGGAAAGCCGCCTGTGCATGAGGAACCCTGAGAGATGCCGAGACATCTCCCCTGATCTTGAGGATCTCCGGCGCAGAGAAAGAGAGTGAGCCGAGGAGAGAGAGTGACACCTGCACCAGGTCTTGAAGGGCAAGGAGAAAGCACCAAGTGAAAGAAGGAGGGAAGTCCAACCCCCGATTTTTTTTTTAACCTTCGGTGTATAATTCCTCTCTCTGCCTCCTTCCCTTGCCTCTCCTTCAATCCACTGTCCTCCCAACCAAGTCTGATCACATAAAAATCCAAATTTCATCACTCACTTCCTAAACCATCTCCATGGCCCTGCCTCTGCCTTCCAGCCTTAGCTCCCTGGTTTCAGTTCCAGTCACAAAGGCCTCTTTCAAGGTCCCAGCAAGATGCTGCAGTGACTGCAGCTTGATCCCGGGACCCAGACTACCTGGGTCCAAATCCCACCACCCTACCAGCCACGTGAGCTCAGGCATGCCCACTGGCCTCTCTGTGCCTCAGTTTTCACATGTGTGCAGTGGGGATGGTAAAAGCACCTTTCTTGCAGTGTCGTATGAGGACGTGATGAGGTAACACAGACCCGTGCCTGACACGGTAAACCCTTGGTAAGCGTGACCTCTGACCCCTACCCACTGCTACCGTCATCCTCATTTTCCCATCACGACTTTCACACATCTTGATCGCAGGTTCCGGAAACATCTTTCTTCAGGCTCTTTCTCCACCTATTTCCTACCCAAATTCCAGCTTACACATCACACCACAGGAAGGCCATCCTTGACCCTGGTCTGCTTCCTTCCTGCCACTTCACAGCTCTTGTCACAAAGGGTAATTACGTAATTATGGTCGTGATGACTAGCTTGATGTCTGTCTTCCCTACTACTCTGTCTGTTCAATGGGGGGCAAAGCCACTTCTCTTGCTCTCTGCTGTGTGCCAGCGCCACAGCAGGGGCTGACTGTGTACTGACTAGGGAACGCACATGTGCACATGCTCCGAGCAGAAAGCAGCAGCCACCACAGATGCAGGGAGCCCCAAGAGGCCACAGCCTGCACAGAAGCACAAGTAGCCTCTTGCAAGTGCAGAGGTGAGAAGCAACGGTGGGGCCAGAGAGCACTCTCAGAGTCAGTTCACAGAGGCCTGCCTGGCGAGCTGCGCGGGGAGCCACCCACAGGTCGAAACAGATGAGTGTCGGCATGGGGACGTGATCCACAGTGCAAGGGGGCCCGAGGACGGCTGGGAGGAGGCACAAGACCAGAGAGACAGGCGGTCAGTTAGGACACTATCACGACAGTCACAGATCTGGATGAAGAGGACAGGAACCACAGGCCCAGGATGCAGAGGTGGGCCCTGATGTCTTCTACACTAAAGGGTGTGGAAGACAAACATGGGCATCCAAGACAGGGCTACTTCTTTAGAATGACTTGGCAGGGAGATGGGTTTACTTTCTTATTTATACATCACTCAGAGGAGGGGGTGGTTTGTGCAAACCAAACCAAACCAGCCCCAGGTACATTCATGGCCTTATACATGTTTTGCTCTTGTTGACCAGATGGTTTTAAGGCTTGCTGAGACCACCTCGTCTAGAAGGTGCACTGCTTGAACCATTGTAATTTTCAGGTGGTGAATATGAACAGAAAGACTCCCTCATGCTGCATTCCCCTTCCACTTTATCCTTCGCCAAGGACTTCAGGCTCCCTGGAGCTGAAGGGTTTCCAAGGACAAACAAACCCATGTGGACAAACCCATGGGGACATGACCATGTGCGGAAGCCTGGACCGACTTGCTGGGCTCTACCTGCTGCAGGTGAGGCGTCTTTCCAGAGTGCTGGCCTAGGTGGATGCCCCGACCCTGGGACAGACGAGATGAAAGGCAAATATCAAAGGGAGACAATGAGGGCTGTTTTGTTTTGTTTTGTTTTGTTTTAAATTCAGTCTCTCGTTAGCTGGCTGAGGAAGGGAAACACAGCTTCTGAATTTGGCATTTCAAAGGGGGCTGAGGAGGAGTTGCAGGAGAAAGGTTAAAGAAAGAGCTCACGGGGTGGAGGGGGCGCATGACACAAACCCTGCACTCTGGCTGGTCCATGGCACAGAGCAGGTGTGCGGCAGCTTCTGAGGGGGTGGCAGGGTGACAGGGGTCGGAAGCTAAGCATGCAGGATTGAAAACGATGACTTATGCAGCATCTGGGAACAGGCTAGGGCAGCACCCCACTCCCTACCCCCCACTACCCCGTCCTCACTCCAGTGTCATTCTCTGATCTAAGGATAAATGTGGCAGGGACTTCTGGCTAAGGTGAAGTATAAACTCATGCTGTGGACCTCTCCTTTAGCTCTAAATACATGGACGCAATAAAAAAGAAAAGAAGGAAATGTATTTTTAAAAAGATATAGTTCACTTCCATATAAACTACGCACCTCCCTGGGCTAGAAACAGAGCAGATCTCCAAGACGTAACCAGAGCCGAAGTGCAGGCTGGCTGAGCTCTAGGTCTGAAGCAGGCCAGGGGCTGAGCTATTTCATGGCCTGCAGAAAAAGAGACTAAAAGTGGACTGAGTCAGGAGAGCCAGAAGTCAGGGTGGCATCCTGGCTGCTATGGAGGACTCATCTCAAGGGACTCCCTTGCCCAGGCTGCAGTCCACATCCCACATTGCTCAGAATCACCATCTGCTTATTCTACTCTGGAAAGGGAGCTCGCACCTCTCAGGCCCAAATCAGGAGTAGACATCAGGAGTAGAAATGAGGCCTTGACCAATGTGAGAGAGGGATGCAAAGATCCCCATCGCCGGACTCTCACGGAAGACCAGGTGTCCCTCCTGGATGCTCCCTAGCCCACAAGCCTAGTTATTCTGCCATCCTTTGACCAAATACCGCTGTGATTAAAAGTGCATCACAGGGCCAGGCACGGTGGCTCATACCTGTAATCCCAGCACTCTGAGAGGCAGAGGCAGGCAGATCGCTTCAGCCCAGAAGTTCAAGACCAGCCTGGGCAACATGGCCAAACCCCGTCTCTACCAAAAATACAAAACTTAGCTGGTGGTGCATCGTCTGCAGTGCCAGCTACTTGGGAGGCTGGGGTGGGAGGATCACCTGAGCCCGGGAGGTGGAGGCTGCAGTGAGCCAAGATCGCACCACTGGACTCCAGCCTGGGTTAAAGAGCAAGACCCTGTCTCAAAAAAAAAAAAAAAAAAAGTACATCACCATTTTCCACGGAGAAAACAAGGGTTTGAGAACAGAAATGAGAGACAGCGAACACATAAATCTTCCCTAAGCCCTCTCTAAGTGAAAAGAACATCGTGAATGCTCCTCACTCAGGAGACAGGAACAGGCCACAGCTGCTGGCTCTGTGTGTGTTCCCTACTGAAGCCTGAACCCACTAATTTATATATGACTAGCCGAACCATCAAATAAAGTGAAATTTCAAGCCTGGTCAAGTCGTACATGGGTATCAAATTTCTCTTGTCCTGCGAACAGCAGAAATGAAATTTCAGCATGAAAAAAGTCCTCAAGCACCTTGCAAAAACCAATAGGAATCAAATTACATGCTGCAGTAAAGAGCCACTGGCTTTGGCCCTTCAAAATACATTTATTTCAAATTATAGACTGGTCCAGAATTATCAAGCTCTTCCTGCATCTTAATGGTCTCTATAGTATGGGCTTAAGCCCATCTCATGCTTTAAATTAATTTCAAGAGGCCAAAACCCAAGCTTCTTTATGCTTTGCCAGGCACCATGGAAGCTGGTACTATACCTGTGGAATACATCTCCTTTTACTTCATCTTCCCATGCACATATCCTTTGGTAGAGCAACCGCGCACATGAAATTTGGTATCCTTACAATGAACACTGTGTTGTAACCAACTGTGACAGTCTTCATAGCACAGCCTCCATCTGAAATTTATTTTGCTTTTCCTCCAGTTATTAGATGAATATTTGTTTCTAAGTTTTTGTTTGAGATGGAGTCTGGGTGTGTCGCCCAGGCTGGAGTGCAGTGGCACAATCTCGGCTCACTGCAACCTCCACCTCCCAGGTTCAAGCACTTCTCCTGCCTCAGCCTCCGGAGTAGCTGGGATTACAGGCATGCATCACCACACCTGGCTAATTTTTGTATTTTTAGTAGAGATGGGGTTTCACCATGTTGGTTAGGCTGGTCTCAAACTCCTGACCTCATGATCCACCCACCTTGGCCTCCCAAAGTGCTGGGATTACAGGCATGAGCCACGTGCCCGGTCCTGTTTCTAAGTTTTATGTACTAATACTAACACTAAGAATATCATCTAACATGGAATGCTGGTTTACTCTATCCAGACACTGCCCTCAGGTGTTACTCCATTCAAGCCTCACACCAATGCATAAGGTGGTAACAGGCAATGTTTCCAAGTAATCCCTGTATGTGTGGTTTTGTTTTCCAGTTTCAATTACCTGTGGTCAGCCTCAGTCTGAATATATTAAAAGGAAAATTCCAGAAATAAACAACTTTATTTTTTTAAGACAGTTTCGCTCTTGTCACCCAGGCTGGAGTGCAAGGATGCGATCTCGGCTCACTGCAACCTCCGCCTCCCGGGTTCAAGTGATTCTCCTGCCTCAGCCTCCCGAGTAGCTGGGATTACAGGTGTGCGCCACCATGCTCAGCTAATTTTTGTATTTTTAGTAGAGATGGGGTTTCACCCATGTTGGCCATGCTGGTCTAGAACTCTTGACCTCAGGTGATCCGCCCACCGCGGCCTCCCAAAATGCTGGGATCACAGGCATGAGCTACCACACCTGGCCCAATTTGTAAGTTTTAAATTACACACAATCCTGAATAGTGTGATGAAATCTCATACCATCCCACTATATCATCTGGGATGCGAATCATCCCTTTGTCCAGCAGACCCCTTCTGTAGATGCTGCTACCGCCTCTTAGTCTCTTCGTAGCCATCGGTTATAGATAAACTGTTGAGGTATCACAGGGCTTGAACTGAAGGAATCCTTATTTTACTTCATAATGGCCCTAAAGTACCAGAGTGGTGACACCGGCAATTCAGATATGTCAAAGAGAAGCTGGAAATTACTTTAAGTGAAAAGGTGAAAATTCCCGATAAGTGAAATTTCATATGCCCAGATTGCTAACATCAACAGTATGATATTTTCAGAGAGGGAGAGACCCCATTCACATAACTTTTACTACAGTATATTGTTAGAATTGTTCTATTTTATTATTGTTGTTAATCTCTTACTGTGCCTAATTTATAAATGGATCAGACATATTAATGCATAAGAAACATAGTACAGGTTGGGTATCCCTTAGCCAAAATGCTTGGGACCAGAAGTGCTTGGAATTTAGGATTTTTTTTTTTTTTTTGATTTTGGAATATCTGTTTCATGCTAACTGGTTAAATGCCTCAATCTGAAAATCCGAAATGCTCCAGTGGGGATTTCCTTTCACCGCTGAGTTTTGGTTTTTAGAACATTTCAAATTTTCAGATTAGGGATAATCAACCTGCTTATACAGAGTTGACACTATTGGAGTTTTAGGCTTCCACGGGGGTCCCTGGAATGTATCCCCTGCAGAGAAGGGGTGACAACTGCGCTGTTTCTCCGTGCTAGACAGGGTTCTAAGTGCTTTGCATATTAAATTACATTGTAATCTTCATAAAAACACTCTGAGACAGGGATTATTGTCGTCCCCATTTAAAAATATAGAGACTGACTGAGGGTTAGAGGTTAAGTGACTTGTCCAAGGCTCGGAGCTGGCAGACAGCCATTTGAATTGAAGTCCAGCTGAGGTACAGCCCATTCCATGTAGGCCATTTCCACTGGAATGACCATTTCAACACAAACACCCTTATAAATATAGTCTTTCTTTAGGCAAATAAATATAAAAATGAAGTTCTCAGATCAAGATTATAAACAGTAAAGCTTATTGATACATATCACCAAATTCATTTCCAAATATACCATATCAACGTATAGGCCATAAGACAGAAAAAGACTGCCATTTTTGGCTCCCTTGTCAACCCTGGGTGTTGTGATTTCATTAACTTAATAAGCAGGATCTTGTTTTACATTGTTGTCTTTAATACCCTTCGGGCCATATAAAAAATTTTAAAATAAATTCATTTTTTAGAGATGGGGGTCTGTGTTAAACCCAGGCTGGTTTCAAACTCTTTGGCCTCAAGTGATCCTCCAGTCTCAGCCTCCCGAGGAGCTGGGACTACAGGCATGCACCCCTGTGCCCAGGGAGGCCATTTTTCTAGGTGTTTATTTAAAGGTTGTATTTCATCTTTTGAAACATGGAATATTTTTATGAGTTCAGTGTATATTCTGATGGGTGAATGTCGCACTTCAAAATGAAAATAATAGGAAGCTAGATATAGCTTGTTAAAAACAACAACAAAGCATAATGTCAAAGAATAATGTTATGCTTTGTTGTAAATGCCTGTCAACATTGTTATAACAATCTTTTCCCAGAATTTTGGTTAATCTTTAATTCTTCACACTTTTTGATACTCTTAGAACTTCCTGTAATGAGCATGCAGCATCTTTATAATTAGAAGAAAACAGACACTTTTCCAACTGAGGATAAAAAAGATGGTTGCGTTTAGGTACTGCTTTTCTCTTTTCTATTCTACTTGATATTAATGACCCATGTATTCCTGATTTCAGCAGAAAACGAACTGATCACAAGTTTTGGTGGTATAATTCAGTCATGGAGATTTTAAAGTTGGCCTCTATCTGTTGCTCATAGCGTGCTAGGCAAGCTAGAATTACTCAGGAAAAAACCTCCTTTATCTCTCGTTTTCACTCTTGCAATGAAAAGGCATTTCAGGAGTGTGGGCTTAGCTGCTCATTACAAGGTCCTTTTATCCACTGACAACTGCTGAACTCACCTTGAGAGAGGAGCTGCTTTCTATTTTGGTTTGTCTATAATTTTCTTATTTCCCAGAGTGTATGTCATGGGCGCAACCCACAAACCAAGCATTTCTATATAAAATATCATAAGAGGAGGGATTCATTAACAAGTTCCTCTGTAGACAGAACGCAGCTCTTACAAACTCACAAAAACAAATACATACTTTTAAAAGTTCCCAAGAAAGCAGTTCTTGGGAAGCAGATGTAATTCTTCAGGTTTGAAAGTAAGGGCCTCCCCAGCTCCCTTATCACTGAATTACAGGACTCTGTATTTTTTAATTGAAATTTACTCAAAAGGGGACAGATATTCATCTCATACTATAGCAAAAACTAGTTTTAAAAATATATAACATTTTAAAATATTTTAGTCAGAAAAGCCTCAGGGCCAGGTGGGGTGGCTCATGACCCAGGACTTTAGGAGGCCAAGGCAGGAGGACTGCTTGAGCCCAGAAGTTTGAGACCAGCCTGGGTAATGTGGCAAGAGCCCATCTCTACAAAAAAATCAAAAAGCCAGGCATGGTGTTGTGCACCTATGGTCCCAGTTAGTTGGGAGGCTGAGGTGGGAGGATCTTTTGAGCCCAGGAGATTAAGGCTGCAGTGAGCTGTGGGTTACCAGGATAATTTGACTAACTGGAACATTTCTGGAAAGGTGGTTCATCTTGCGTATTTTCTCAGTTACTGATATTCTTTTTTTTTTCCTCCCCCTGAGATGGAGCCTTGCTCTGTGGCCCAGACTGGAGTGTCATGGTGCAATCTTGGTTCACTGTAACCTCTTGCTCCCGGGTTCAAGCTATTCTCCTGCCTCAGCCTCCTGAGTAGCTGGGATTACAGGTGCCCACCACCACGCCTGGCTAATTTTTGTACTTTTAGTAGAGATGGGGTTTTGCCATGTTGGGCAGGCTGGTCTCGAACTCCTGACCTCAGGTGATCCGCCCACCTCTGTCTCCCAAAGTGCTGGGATTACAGGCGTGCGCCACCATGCCCAGCCTGATATTCTTTATAGCCTCTCAAAGTACAATATTCATTCTGGAAACTATAAATTCAATCATAGCTTAATCTATCAGCATCTAGAGGTATTACGCACTTACCATGTCTAGGATCACAGCATCACAGACACCACAGTCTCTGAATCCCACCTCTATCAGCTAAGTGAACAGACAGCATCCCAATTATATGGAGTGGCACGTCAGACGGAATTATACGGAGTGGCACACTGGATGGAATGTCAACATAACACAACCACACACAGAACGTTCCCTGCACTATCATACAGAGTAATAGTTATCTGGCTTTCCATGGCATCCAACAGGCTTCGTATTTCAAAAGCAAAACACTCAGTGGTAAGATCTACCACCCATTTTTCTACCTTCTCCACTCCTACCCCTGCTTCAGAGTGGTCTTTTATCTGCTCTACGGACTCAGGTTCCGTGGAAGGTTTTATTTGCAAAAGTATATGTCTACCGTCAAACAAAAGTTTTTAAACCACTTGCCTAGGTCAATAGTTTGTTTCCTGAGAAAAACAATTTCTAAAACATTGATTGAGGAAGGTTGTTCAATTAAATTTAAGTTCATTAAAACATGGGGTTTTTTTCCCTCTTTCAGTTAAGTATACAGTATTTCTTCTGACCAATTAATTTGACTAAAGGTTCCACCAAATTAACTTTTTCTTCCATGAAGGAGAATGCTGCAAATTTTAGTGATAATAAGACTTAAAATGATTAAGGTGTGTCAAACTTATTCCTAATGTGGCATGTTGTAATTTGTTAAAAGGCAAATAATAAAACTTAAACATATTTGTATATACCGACAAGAATTACTTTTGAAATATGGATTAAAAAAAAACAATTATTTCCTGAACCAGCACCTCTCCTGTATATTCAACCATCCAAAATGGTCAGTTAATAATGTGAAAACACAGAAATAAGTACACGCAATGCCACAAGATGATAGGGATTAGGAATGGGAAAACACTACATGTTAGGACTTCTCCAGAATTCCTCCATTCTGTTGGTTACTTTCTCACTGAGCTTTTGTTTTCACATCTTCATATCTACAGACATTTAGTACGAAATTTAAGAAGTATATGTAAACACGATTAGAACCCCTCTGGAATGTGTGGTTTATGCAAACAGATTTATGACTCTGCAGTTGCAATTTGCAAACAGTGCTCACAGATATTACCTTCCCTTACCTTCACAGCAACCTTAGAGGTGGGTGGATGTGATTTCCATATGTAGATTTAATATTATTTTCAGGAGGAGGTACCCACGGAGGATGGCTGAGTGACATGCTCCAGGTCAGGACTAGAAGCTGTAACTAGAACCCAGGGCTCTTGGCTTTGGGCCCAGAGAACATCCCACCAGATTATGCTGCCAATCTGCTAATGGAAATTTAATTCCCACAATTTGGGTTGAGAAGTTTACAGCTATTTAAATACACAGCTCCAGACGAGCACAGTTATATCAAGACATTACATATAATTTTAATAGGAAAACTGCCAAAACTAGTAAGGCATGGCAGAAAAGCCCGAAAAAGAGCTAAAGCAGAGTCTTTCACACCCTAAGAAAGTGATTTAGCAATATCACGATCTCACTCTACTCACTGGCACCGCCTCCTCCTCTCACCCATGCCTCGCAGGCATCACAGACAGTAGCAACACGCTGCACAATAGCCTGGGTGTTTGAAGGCACTGCTTTTTAAAAATTTTTAAAGAAATTTTAAAGTGTTTTATTTTTTCTGTTGATCTATCATAGCTGTACATACTGAAGGCATTTCTAAAACAAACACGTTTTAATAGGTGTAGCATACATGTTTTACATGCACAAGTCATAATATGCAGCCTGATGGATTCTCACAACATAATCTCGCCTGTGTATCCACAAACCCGTCCATCGTCAGAATGGAACGAGAGCCCCAGAAGTCCCCTTGTGCCTGTTCTAGTCACTCTTCTCCCCAGCAAGATGTGGTTACCTTGACCCCTAGGCACTAGAGATGAGTGTTGCCTCTTTTTGAGTTTTATATACAGAAAACAATTCTGTGCCTGGGTTCTTTCTCTCAGTGTTATGTCTGCAAGACATCACACTTTTGTTGCACATAACAGGTTTTTCATTCAGGGCTGCACAGTACCCCATGATAGGATTATACAAAAAAATCCATTCTACATGTGAGGAACATCTGAGTTGTTTCCAGGTTAAGGCAATTATGAATAATACTTCTGTGAACATTTTGGGCATGACTTTTGGGGTACACATGCATGTTTCTTTTGGGGATCCACCTACGAGAAGAATTGCTGTCTGACAGGAGTGTGTATTCAGCTTTAGTCAATACTGACAGTTTTCTAAAGTGGTTATAGCAATTTGCATACCAGGAGCATGTCCTCACCAACACTTAGTACTGTGGTCTTTTTCATTTTATTCTTTCTTACGACTGCTGGTGACATCCCATTGCAGTTTTAATTTGCATTCCCCTGATGACCCAGGTTGAACACTTTATGTTTATTGTCCATTTTTATATCCTCTTTCATGAAGTTTACAAATCTCCTCCCCATTTTTCTACTGGATTGTCTTTCTTACTGATCTGTAGGAGGAGGTTTTCTTTTTTTTTGAGATGGAGTTTCACTCTTCTTGCTCAGGCTGGAGTGCAGTGGCATGGTCTCAGCTCACTGCAACCTCCACCTCCTGGGTTCAAGCGATTCTCCTGTCTCAGCCTCCCAGGTAGCTGGGATTACAGGTGCCTGCCACCATGCCTGGCTAATTTTTGTATTTTTAGTAGAGACAGAGTTTCACCATGTTGGCCAGGCTGTCTTGAACGCCTGACCTCAGGCGATCCCCGCCTGCCTCGGCCTCCAAAGTGCTGGGATTACAGGTGTGAGCCACCGCACCTGACCTTTTTTTTAAATTCAGGACACAAGCCCTTTAACAGGTATAAGTGTAGCAAATATCTTCCCCCAATACCAGTCTACCTTTCATTCTTTGATGTTTCAATTAACAAAAATGCCTGATTAATCTTTTCCTTTAGGGTTAGTTCTATTTAGATCCTGTTTACAAAATTATTTTGTACCTCAACTTCATAAACATGTTCTCTGTCATTTTCTAGAACATTTATTGTTTTACAATTAGGTCTACTATCTATCTGTAATTGGTTTTTGTGTAGGGTGTTACTTGTGGTTGAGGTTTTTAAAATATAGATATCCTATTGACCAGCCTCATTCATTAAAAAAACCACTGCTTGGCAACTGAAGGCTTAGCTTTAAGACTAAAAAGATGACCCAGAAAAAAGTTTCCAAAGACCCTACGTTTCCAGTCTTTGATTTACCTACATATCCCTGCCTAACTCTTTTAGGAACATGGAAGTGTAAGTCCAAAGATGAAAGGCTTTGTTCTCAATTTCATCACTTCATTGAGTCCCACAAAATTATCCTTTTTCCTGACTGGTAAGCTGTAGAACATGGAACATGAGGAAATGATTTTTAAATCATCTCAAAATTAAATGATTATAATGTCATTTTATGCCACAATGAACTGTTTATGTACTTCTCAAACCCCATTTTTAAAATTTCATTTTAAAAACATCCCTACTTCATTAGCTCCACACCAGCTATACGAATGAGCTGTCCATGGCAACAGCAGTAAGTGCACTGAAGACAGATTTCTGCAGCGCCAGCCTTCCTGGCCTCCAGTACCCTGCTGAGCAACAAGCAGAGGACCCAGCACCCGCACTCAAGCTTCCTAAACCACGAATTACTCCTCACCAGCACCCAAAAGCAGCTCCCAGAACAAGCTGGTGGAAAATGTAGTGGGGAAAACACTAACCTCTACCACAAATAAAGACTCTGCACATCTATTTTTTGGGGGTTTTTTGAGACAGAGTCTTATTCTGTCGTCTAGGCTGGAGTGCAGTGGTGCCATCTCAGCTCACTGCAACCTCTGCCTTTGGGGTTCAAGTGATTCTCATGCTTCAGCCTCCCTAGCAGCTGGGATTACAGGTGTGTGCCACCATGCCCAGCTAATTTTATAATTTTACTAGAGATGGGGTTTCATCGTGTTGGCCAGGCCAGTCTCGAACTACTGACCTCAAGTGATCTGCCTGCCTCAGCCTCCCAAAGTTCTGGGATTACAGGCATGAGTCACCACGCCAGACCTCTGCTGGTCTATTATTTAATGCAGTCCAATGTATTAACATTTTCCTTTACACTTAGTGCTTTTTATAATCCGTTTAAGAATTTTTCCAGGAAACACATAGAAATATTGTACATTATCTCTCTTCCCCATCCACTGGCTCACGAAGATCTTGGTTGTATCACAGTCATGGCATGAATCAGATTTTTGGACTTCTTCCCATCTGATTTTCACTTATAGGAATTTTTCAAATCGTTCTTAAATAAACCTAATAAGGATGTTTTCCCAAACGCAGGTTACCTTGGCATCAAATTTCTCAAGTGTCTGGCTCCGAGGTGGATCTGGAATTTTCAGCCTCTTTGTGATGTTAGCAGGGCTTTTTATTTCCATGAAATCTTGAGGTAACAGAGGGTAGGGAGGAGAGAGCAAACACTGACATCCCAGACTGGGAAAGGGGAGAGATGGTGGAAACTGAGACCAAAACACTAAAAACTGCTGGGTCCATTTTTCTTCCCACTGGGAATTCAGGCAACAGCATCAAGGGCTGGTACAAGGCATAGCCTCGGAGACAGACCTGCCTGTGGCCTGGCAGGATCTCCTGCTTAAGGGCCTTATTGCCCTGCTTCATTAACAGCCACGGCTTAGCAACAATCTGCCAGCAGGGGTCAGTCTCGGTCGCCACACAGAAGCCAGGAGGCTCTCTCCAGCTACAAAGCCACGCTCTGGAATGTTCCAGAAGTTGTTCGGTGCCACTGCACAACACTCAGCTTCTCTTCCTATCTTGTCACCTCGGCACCTGTTTCCTAGTTTTTCAAGATTGCATTTCATACTTAGAGAAATTAATTACCTTATATTCCTGTGGCAGAATTTCATACTGAGCTAAATAATTATACCAAGTTCCCCATATCATGTATAAAACCTCCCTTTCCCTTGATTTTCCTTACGGTAGCAGAAAGGTCGACCTTTTCCATATTTTAAAATTAAGGAAAGGACGCATTCTTACTTGCAGTGGAAAATGTACAAATATTACATAATGTGACAATTGTATTTTCTAATATTCCCATTGAGGGTTTAGTTATCTATGGGATAAATTTCTTTTTTCTCTCTAAATTACAAAACATCCTTTCATTAAGCATCTTGCCCCAAACAGCTCCTCTCAAAGTCCCTGGGAGGCTGGCAAGGGGCTCATGGCCTATACTGCCTAACCCCAAGCTCTCCTTGGACTTACTCGGAGGCTGTGTCCCAAACACCAAACAGTAGGGGCACCTGCACTGAGACCAGGAAAGCAAATCTGATGTCAAAAAGGTGTAGAATGAAGAATCTATTTCTACTTTAAATTTGAGGGTGGCTCTTTTTCAAGACACACTGCTGAATTAACAAACAGTTCTGGTCTAATAAATGATTATATTTCATGCTAGAAGGATATAACTATACTTAGTAGGTTACCTTTTCCTAAAAAATAAAATAAAATTCCCCCATGGATCTAAGTCCCATCAAATACAACATTCAGGAGGGCATAAGTTCTCATTTCCCAAAGTGGGGAAAGCTGTTGCAAAAAAAAAAAAAAAAAAAAAACCAAAAAACAACAACAGTTCTTCACAATGCCTGTCTTCCAACAAGTCTGTCTTACTGGTATTTTAAAGTGTGCTCATCTAAAAGTATATTCTCTGCTTCTTTCTCCCTAAAACATAAAAAATATTTCTAAAGCTAATGGCATCCATCTTCTTTCCACTTCTGGACTGATAAAACCTCAAAAGAAAAAAAGTAAGGGAACTTTGAGATGGGCAACAGAGCCCATCTGCCCGTTCCCTGGGATGGGGCTGGGTCACTCTGAAAGAAGGAATCCAGGTATCATCAGCAGATCTGAAAGGGGCCATAGAGGAAATGTGTTCAAGAGTGCATCTTAGCCCAAGGGTGCTGAGAGAGGGTCCAGGAAGACAAGGTATCCAAGGACTCTGGATACCCCACCTATCCGTCCTACCCCTTGCAGCTACAATGATCTATCTAAAATTTAAATCCCCAACATCTTCAGGGCTCACAAACAGCTGGCAGGTGTGACCCCAGCTCCTGCATTTTAGTCCTTAATTCTAATAGGCCAGGTAACCTCATTGCAGGCAAGACACTTGAGGACTAGGGCTGTGGTAGTCAACTTTGATTTCCCGGGGTAGTCAACGGACTCAAAAACAGCATTAAAATGAATATACATAGTGGGTAGATCAATGGGCTACAGGCAAGGCCTTTTTGGAAAATAGTAAACAGGTTCCAAGTGTTTCTATGTCCTGCCATGCCACCCACCAAGACAGGAGGGCACACAGGGACTTGGAACAGAAAAAGATAACACCTGTGCATTTCATTAGTACATATCTCTCAGCATCAGCCTTCTCCAGACTTCAACATGCATAGATGTTGGAAGAAACACCGCGACTGAGAAGAAAAAGGGGCCTCCTATGCCAGAAAGAGGCCATGCATCCTGAAGCCGCTACTGATTTGTAGCCCTGGCTTTCTGCTAGAGCAACTTCATTTTATAAAGAAAGTCCCACGTTATAATTGTGGAGCTACGATTCATATTTTGCTTTCAGGCTTTTAGCCAGAGCTGGGATTAAAATTCAGAAAGAGGCTAGGTGGGTGCCTTAGAACACAGACACCCTGCTGGGGATTGCTGGATGAGAAAGCAAAAGGTCAAGAAATGTAAATGGAGAAGGTACAATGCAAATTGAACTTTAGAGCAGCTTTCCCCTGCTCAGCATGCTCTCAGGGGCTGTAAGAGCTGGGCTGGAGACAAGAATCCCAAAACTGCAGTGCTCCAGGAAGGGATGCGGGCTGAGTGGGAATCACTTCCTGAGTACTCATTCTGACCCCATGTTGCACAAGCAGCACTCTATGAGAGGAATTACTTAGTCCCATTTTACGGTTAGGAAACCAAGGCTTAACGGGTAAGGAACTGCCAAAAGTTACATCCATAATAAGTGTTGGGACCAGAATGAGAACCGGGACATATCCTAAAGCCTCCTTTGTCTTTCCTGGGCCACTGGTGTGTGTTTCTTGTTGTGGTGGTGGTGGTGGTGATTGTTGTTTTGACACGGAGTCTTACTCTATCACCCAGGCTGGAGTGCAGTGGCGTGATCTTGGCTCAGTGCAACCTCTGCCAACCGGGTTCAAGCGATTCTCCTGCCTCAGCCTCCTGAGTAGCTGGGACTACAGGTGCCTGCCACTGCGTCCGGCTAATTTTTGTATTTTTAGTAGAGATGGGGTTTCACCATCTTGGCCAGGCTGGTCTTGAACTCCCGACCTCGTGATCCACCCACCTCAGCCTCCCAAAATGCTGGGATTACAGGCATGAGCCACTGCACCCGGCTGGCACTGGTCTTTTAAAAACAGTAGTGCTACTGTGGAGAAAAAGTGCCAAAATAATTTGATAATATCCAAATCTAATGTACTAAAACCCACAAAGTCATGGGTTTTGTTTCTTTCAATCACTGAATTATCTGAAGTGCTTCAACAGTGCTTGGCACATAGCAGGTACCTGAGAAACATCAGCTGAATAACATCCTTAAAGAGGCACCATGGACAAAAGCCACGCATTCCTCTTTTTCCCAGAAGCACCACCCAACAGAAACATTATGTGAGCTGTAGGTAATTTACAGTTTTCTAGTAGTCTCATTAAACAATTAAAAAGAGGCTGGGCACAGTGGCTCATACCTATAATCCCAGCACTCTGGGAGTTCGAGGCAGGTGGATCACCTGAGGTCAGGAGTTTGAGACCAGCCTGACCAACATGGTGAAACCTCATCTTTACTAAAAATACAGAAATTAGCCAGGTGTAGTGGTGGGCAAATGTAATTCTAGCTACTCGGGAGGCTGAGGCAGGAGAATCCCTTGAACCCGGGAGGCAGAGCCTGCACAGAGCCGAGATGGCCCCACTGCACTCCAACCTGGGCAACAGAGCGAGACTCTGTCTCGAAAGAAAGAAAGAGAAAGAAAGAAGGAAGAAAGGAAGAAAAGGAAGAAAGGAAGGAAGAGAGGAAGAAAGAAAGAGAGAGAGAAAGAAAGGAGGAAGGAAGGAAGGAAGGAAGGAAGGAAGGAAGGAAGGAAGGAAGGAAGGAAAGAAGAAACAAGTACAACAATTTTTAAATGTTTTATATAATCCAAGATATAAATTATCATTTCTATACATAACTGATGTAAGAAATTAATGATACTTTAAACTCTTTTGTTTATACTAAGTCTGAAATCCAACGTACCTCTGCACAGACAGTACAAACATCTCCATTTGGACCAGCCGCATTTCAACTGTTCAACAGCCTCACAGAGCCTATGGCTCCTAGACTGAACCACACAGGTCAGCACAGTCTGGAGTATTCAGACTAAGTCAACAGGAGAAAAAGAATGAGATATTTTGTGGCCCTTCCCATCTTGTCACATCAAGGGTCAAAAACTGAAATCTTAAAAGAGCACAGGACTTGGAAGCAACCAAGATACCCTTGAATAGGTGAATGGATAAACCATGGTATACCCAGATGATGGAATATGATTTAGCACTAAAAAGAAATGAACTATCAAGTCAAGAAAAGGCATGGAGGAAACTAAAGTGCATATTACTAAGTGAAAGAAGCCAATCTGAACAGGCTACATACTGCATGACTTCAACTATATGACATTCCAGAAAAGGAAAAACTATGGAGGCAATAGAAGGATCAGGGGCTGATGGGAGGGAGGGAAGAACAAGATGGAGCACAGAGGATTTTTAGGGCAGTGAAGATCCTCTGTATGATACTATAAAGGTGGATACGGGCCATGACACATTTGTCCAAACCCACAGACTATACACTACCAAGACCGAACCCTAATGTAGACCATGGACTTTTGTTAATAATATTGCATCAGTTGTAAGAAATGTACCACACTAATTAATGCAAGATGTTAATAAGAGGGGAGACTGTTGAGGAGAGGGGCAGGTATAAGGGAACACTGTACTTTCCACTCCATTTTCCTATAACCCTAAAACAATGGCTCTAAAAAATATCTTTTTAAAAAAAAAGCTAACAGGATGAAATAGCTGCTACAGTTATAGGTATATAACCAGAAATCAGAGAGAAGGGCCACTATTCCCTTCCAAATAATAATAAAATAAAACCATTCTGCATAAAAATTTATCAAGCTGGCCAGGCACAGTGTTCATGCCTGTAATCCCAGCACTTCGGGAGGCCGAGGTGGGCAGATAATCTGAGGTCAGGAGTTTGAGACTAGCCTGGCCAACATGGTGAAACCCTGTCTCTACTAAAAATACAAAAATTAGCTGGGCGTGGTGGCGCGCACCTGTAATCCCAGCTACTCAGAAGGCTGAGGCAGAAGAATCGCTTGAACCCAGGAGATGGAGGTTGCAGTGAGCCAAGATAGTGCCAGTGCACTCCAGCCTGGGTGACTCAGTGAGACTCTGCCAAAAAACAACAACAACAACAACAAAAAAAAACAAAACTTAGCTATTATTTTCACATACACTGGAATATCAGATAACCCCAGCTGGTAGGATGGACCACACAGAAGACTCAGGGAACCTAGAAAAATGTCTGTGTCCTTGTCAGATGAGTTTCCCCTTAGGTGTCCTCCAGGGTGCCTGAGACATACTTCCACAACTGCTGTTTCCCTTCTACAGGTCTGACCAAGAATGGACAGCACAGTGGTTGCCATGCTGGCAAAAATCCTGTAGACTTCACCAGCATTTATAGGGTGGTACTCATCTGAATTAGGGCAGAGAGCTCCTACAGATACCTCTATTCTTTTGTTATGTTTTACTTTTTTTTTTATTGTGGTGAGATATATATATATATAATTATATATAATTTAATTATATATATTTAATTTTATATATAACTTAATTATATATATTTAATTATATATATAATTTAATTATATATATAATTTAATTATATATATTTAATTATATATATAATTTAATTATATATATTTAATTATATATATAATTTAATTATATATATTTAATTATATATATAATTAAATTGACCACTTTAACCATTTTTAAGTGTACAGTTGTATGGCAGTAAGTACATTCACACTATTCTGCAACCATCACCACCATCCACCTCAACAACTCTTTCATCTTCCACAACTGAAACTCTATACCCATTAACATTCCTCCTTCCCTGTAGCCTCTAGCAGCCATCATTATACTTGCCATGATTTCTGACTATTCCAAGTACCTCATATAATCGTTTAATATCTGTCCTTTTTTGAATGGCTTTTTCATTTAGCAGAAAGTCTTCAGGGTTCATCCACACTGTAGCAGGTGTCAGCATTTCTTTCTTCTTGAAGACTGAACAACACTCTATCATATGTAGTTACCACATTTTGTTTATCCATTCATCTGTTCAATAGGCACTTGGGTTGCTTCTACCTCTTATCTATTGTGAATGTTGCTGCTGCTACGAACATGGGCATACAAGTATCTCTTCGAGACCCTCTTCTGGGTCTATATCCAGAAGTGTAATTGCTGGATCATACACCTTATTTCTAAGACAGGAATTATCCCTGGGTGTGGACATGACACACGCTGAATGACAACATAAAGCCAAAAGGATTCAGACTAGAAACATACATTCTCAGTGGCATGATCAAGGCACGGGGCTAACCCGGCTTCAAGGGTAAAATGTGGCTTCCTTCTGCCTGTTCTCTTGGCAGAGTAGCATCGAGCTGCACTCTAGTTGAGTTTCACACACGGACAAGGAAGTTAGATTTATGCATTAAAACAGGCTAATGAATTCAGAATTTTAAACTCCAGTTCCATCCGTAAACACAAGATCTTTCATTAATTTTGACTGAATTAAAAAGCATGTGAAAGCGATCATTTCGGTGCATCTACCCTGTTACCACTTTATCAGATTAATCCCATCAGTGTAATTTAACAGGCTTCAGAATCATTTAAAATGATATGTTTTGTGGAAAACTGTAGCTCTGGTTCTCCACAGGCCCACCTCCTCAGGCAGTCAACTCGCTAGTACTTCAGATCCCCGCAGGCTGCAGCTGAATTCATATTTAAATGGAAAGGTTCCAGGGAAAAACTGGGAGACAGGAAATGAGCAGGAAGGAAGATGGCGCTGACTTGGGAAGACAGCCGACAATCTCCTTGGACCACTGGCTGGCTGGTTTCCCAAAGGCAAGGGTGGACAGGCCCTCCAACTCCTCAGAGCCCCGTCAGCCAGACTTGCCCAGCAGAATGACATCCAGGGCTTTGGAAAACCTCTGCTGTCCAAGAGAATGAAAAATGCCAGTGGTGGCGCTGGTAATAGTCTTAAGTTCCTCAGGTGATTCGAACATACAGCCTGATTTTAGAAAACAGAGCTGGGAGGAAATAGACTTTGAACGGTGTCATAGGGCTTACAAAGTGTTTGGTACATTATCTCCTTTGAGTCACTCAACAATTCAGTGTGATCAGATGGAGGCCACCCTGACTCCCATCTTACAGAAGAGAAAACAGAGATTCCAGGAGATGCAGCAGCTGGCCTGGAGTTGGTGGTATTCTTCCCCCAACACCACACCACTTCGCAACTCGGAATAACCCCTTAGCAAAAATCAGAACTTCCCTCTAAATAATACACTGACAATGGGCTCAAAACACAGACAATTTTTTGTGCTTTCCTGACCAGCAATACTTACAGAATGTTCTTAAATGTTTCATAGAAATGGCTTTGATTTCAGTTTGTATTTACATTTTAAATTGCATTCTCATTTGCTCTTTTCTTGATTTCCTTTGGGCCCAGCTGAAGCTCTCCCTGACAATTTCTTCATATTTTTTTTTTATTCCTGATTTAACCACACCACTACTCTCCTCAGCACGTGAAATACAACTGCCCTCCTCAAGCCTCTGGGGGTATGCCTCTCTCCGCCAAGCACACCCCCATCAGCTCTCCAATGCACAGGGATTGATCACCATTTATTTGGAAGAACACATCCTCACTTCTGAGGAATAGCCAACATCCCAACTTAAACCTTCAATTCCAAACCTGGACCAGAAGTCATTCGGCTGTGAGGCCCTCAGCACACCTACCAATGTGCTCCAGGCTCCTGGGGCCAGATCACAGCTCAGTGCTTATTAAAAGGGGAAGGTGACACTTGAAAACACTATAAATAGCAAATTCCAAAATCCATCTGCCCCAGCGGCCAGAACTCATTAGATCTGAATCTGTTTGGCTTTTCACATGAGAGACTGGGGCCCAATTACAGCCGTCCACATACAAGGAAAATCATCTTGGTTAACATTCAGATTCCACTTTTAAGCTGTTGACTTGAAACCGTTCTGGGATTTTGACTGGCTTAATCCTTAAATAAATTAGTTCTGAAAGGATTTATAAAAATTAGATCCTATAAGGACTTAATGAAGACTTATAAGTCCATCATTCAAAATTCTTAAAAAAAAAATTTGCCTTATTGGACAGTTTCTCTCTGTCACTCACCGGCTGCGTGTCTTTGTATGAATAACTCAAACCTCTCTGAGCCTGAGTTCCCTAAACTCTAAGATGAGGGTACTGGAGAGCTTTTTTTTTTTTTTTTTTTTTTTTTTTGGTGAGACAGAGACTCACTCTGTTGCGCCCAGGCTGGAGTGCAGTGGCGTGATCTTGGCTCACTGCAACCTCCACCTCCTGAGTTCAAGCAATTCTCTGCCTCAGCCTCCTGAGTAGCTGGGATTACAGGCGCCCACCACCACGCCCAGCTCATTTTTTTTTTGTATTTTTAGGAGAGACAGGGTTTCACCATCTTGGCCAGGCTGGTCTTGAACTCCTGACCTCGTGACCCATCCACCTCAACCTCCCAAAGTGCTAGGATTACAGGCATGAGCCACCGTGCCCGGCCTGGAGGGCTTGGAGGGCTTTTAAGGTCTGTCCCTGCATTAAGAGTCTCTGATTCAAGGACTCCTTTTGCCCAAAACTTTCCCAGTCCAGTGCAAGAGCTGTCACAGATTCAAATGTGTACTGTCCAAACAGTTCCACTTGAGCCCAGAGGGAAGCCACAGCCTGTTCGAATGCATGGGGATGGCAAGCACAGGTGCTCTCAGTTCTTACCAGCACTATTTCCAGTTTGCCTGCATTAGACCATCCGTTTTGCCTTTAGTAGGGCAGCATCAGATGTTAACTGAGAAGCATGCCCGGTCCGAGGGTCATCATTCTGAACTGCATGGCAGATTACCCCTCAGGTCCATGGCCGAACCTCCATGCAGACCTTCACCGTCGGCTGCTTTCGCTGCCACCACCCCAGCTGCGGGTATCATCATCTTGGACTAAAACAACTGCAATTGCCAACCACTACTCTTCTCACATTCTCTCTTTTCCACTTACAGTCTGTCCTCCCTCCCCCCCTTACTCTCCACTCCTCCTAGGCAGTAGTCAGGGCCATCTTTATGATGATCTCACTCTTAGCCTAAAACCTTATAACTCTTACCTTTGCAGCTGGATGAGAATCAGATTCCTCACTGCACTGGGCCCTGTCTGCCTCTGCTCAGCTCACCTGCCTCAGCCTGCACCAGGTCCCCCTTTGCCCCGGGTGCTCTAGGCCCTCGGCCAAGCTCCTTTCTCCCTGGCTTGCTCCCCTCTCCTCTCCCTACACTGATCCCACACATCCCCCAAGTCTCTGCTAAAGGTCCCATCCCAGCAAAGCCCTCTTCTCCTATTCCTTACCAGTACTCCTTGTTTTTCGCCTACATAGCACCTACTGTGACTTTAAACAAATAATGTATTTATTGGCATACATGTTGACTGTCCGTCTCTTCAACAAGACCAGAAGCCCCAGGAGGGGAAATGTTTATGCTTCGGTGTCTGCACAGTACCTAGCACGTAGCCATAAATAACTATCAGGTGCATGGATAAGCCACCAATCAAACCGACCATCAGGAGCCTGGGCCTCAAGCCTAGGAGGGCAAGGCCCTGCCACATTTCACGAGCATTCCTGAATGTACAGCTATTCCCGTATTGGCTAGAGCTATAAAGTTCTTAAACATTTCAGCAATTGGGAACGGTGGGCAGTATTCAGAAGCATCACAAGGCTCCCTAGATGTCAGCAAACGAGTACATTTGCTGGCAGGTGTCTGGACTGCATGGGGATGGTGTCCTCTGCCTGTGCAGAACTGGGGCCTGGGAGAGGATACTGGGATCGGAACTTCTATCCAGAGGCACCTATTCTGTATATGAGCTCAAAACACTGCTCTCTGGCTAACACCCCCTCACAGGCCTGTAGAAAATCTGCCCAGATGGATTTTACCACTCAGAAGAAAACAGGGAAAAAGTACTGGCAAAAAATTCTAGGTTTTGGAAGTATGGAGAGAAAAGCAGCACTGATAGTATTGCTGAAGAAAACCTTTGTGGGCTCTACTATAAAGCATCCTAGAAAAGGCATTTATTTGCCTTTATTAAAATTCTTCAGAAAAGTACCCGTCCCTCCAATATAAAACATGAATCAGATTTTGGTACCTATTACATGAGAGAGCAGTTGCACCAACAATTATGTTGAATTTATTCATTCGAAAATCCTAATGAGTAATCTTTTTCTTGAGACATTTTAAGACTTGCATAATTCATTAGACTGTGTACATCTTTTTTTTTTTTTGCACAGGTTTCGCACCCATTCAAAGAGCAACTGTGGGATCATGAGTGATATGTCTAAGAAATGTCAAGCAGGAAATCTATTGTAAGTAGAGTGCATGAATAAAATATATTACTAACAAATTTAGAATCGTAATTTGTATCAAGTTGTCTGTCTCTGTGCAACTTGCTTCACAGAGAGAAGTCTCTGAATAATTCATTATGTCCTTCCCCAAGGCCCTTAAAAAAATCAGAAACACTGTAGATAATATTCTCTCCCTTAAATGAGAAAACAATCACATAAATTATCAAGTTAGATAGCCCTTCTGGATCCTACCTATCATTCCATTTCCAACCAGTTGAAGAAATTCCCTCTCAGCGCAAGGGGAAGGTGGTCACTTGGTCTCTGAATCTAGAGGCTCAAAACTTCATGAAACCATCTAATCCAACTATCAACAGCTCCAAACTGCTGGCAAATTTGCTCCTCCATTGACCCAAATTGCTTTCCTTATCCCCTATCCTGATGCTGTGGGGTTCTTCCCCGGGGAGTATCAGGTAGTAGTGTATTAGTCCATTCTCATGCTGTTATAAGGACATACCCGAGATGGGGTAATTTATAAGGGAAAGAGATTTAATTGACTCACAGATCCACAGGCCTGGGGAGGCCTCAGGAAACTTAAAATCATGGTGGAAGGGGATGCAAACATGTCCTTCACAAGGCGGCAGGAGAGAGAAGAATGAGAGCTGAGCAAAGGGGGAAGCCCCTTATAAAACTGTCAGATCTCTGAGAACTCACTATCATGAGAACAGCATGGGAAAAACACTGCCCCCCATGATTTAGTTGTCTCCAACTGTTCTTGCTCTTGATACAAATCAAGGTGAGATTTGGGTGGGGAAACAGAGCCAGACCATAGCAGATAGCATACCCTCTCCACATTCAACTGCCTTTCAAACATCTCATGAAAGCTTTGAGGTCTTCAAATGTTCTCTTCTTTTGGTTAAATATTTCCATTTCTTTAGCTCCAGGAATCAACATTTTCAATAACCTCTTTAAATAATGTATTATGGACTAAAATGAAATTGCATAGCTGTTGTCACCTAATGCCCATGAAGACTATTGTCTTGACCAAAAAAAAAAAAAAAAAAGAAGAAGAAAGAAAAGATTATTCTCAGAGCACAGGAGGTTAACTCATTTGTTTTAAATGACTCCAGGTACAAATGCATATTTTAGTAGATGTTTTTGGTGATGATGCTAAAACCTTGAATTTTTAAAGTGCCTTTCAGTGAAAGGCCCAAATGTGTTCAAAATGGAAAGCATCCAGGTGGTAAACAGAAACTCGATGCTCAAAGGTGCAGCTCAGTCAAAAAGAGCTCCAGTCCCAGGGAGGAGTCCCCATGGCTGGCTCGCCCATCCAGAGCTCACCTGGATGGATGAATGGCTTCCTTTTCACAGAGCATCTTTCTTTAAAAAGAAAAAAAAAAGTAGTAGAGGAAAATGCATTTGACAAAATAAATGAGAAGGCTCTATATTTAACGACAGGAACAAAAAAATAATTAGTAGCACGCATTGCCAAGGTATGACACATGAAATACCTTTTGTGACTTCTTGGATTCCACACATCTTAAATAGCAACTGGAAGGGAAACCCTTCACCTAAGGACAGTCTAAAATTGCTATGGAAACTAACAGTTTGTCAACTGTGGTAGTTCATAATAGAAGTCTCAGCAATAAAAAAAAAATTTTTTTTTAAACCTGCAATCCAAAGGCTTCTTGTCCCTGTAACTCAAATAAGAACCTGGGTGGAGTTGTTTTCCAGTAGTGTAAGTGGCTCTTAAAGGATAATCTAGGCTACAAGTTGTCTAGAAATTTCTTGGATGAAGTTAGAAACTAGGATTTCTACAAGATATACTTCCAAGGAGGGACATTTGTAAAGAGCATTTATTACACTGGTGGGGAGGCAGCAATCCTGCTTCTCTGTTCAAAGGTGCCCAAGTGAAGTGGGGAAGCGTGTGGCACAAAGGAAGTTAAGGAAGAACGAGGATCCTCCACAAAGATTCTGCAATATGACAGAAAAGCATGTTCTTGGTGGTGAAGGATCTGCAGGTGGCAACTTCCATAAAAGAAGCCACATGTGTGTTGTAGCCAAGAAGTCTGGTTGCGTGGCACTCCATCTGCCACACGCAACAATCCAGAAAGAAAAACAGCCCTTCATAAGCAAGCATTGCATTTAAAATGCTGTGCTGACTGCACAGAAAGATACGATACCTGCCTTCAAAGAATTTACAATCTACTGGCTGGGCGTGGTGGCTCACGCCTGTAATCCCACCACTTTGGGAGGCCGAGGCAGGTGGATTGCCTGAGCTCAGGAGTTCGAGACGAGCCTGGGCAACAGGGTGAAACCCCATCTCTACTAAAATACAAAAACTTGGCCGGGCATGGCAGCGTGCGCCTGTAGTCTCAGCTACTCGGGAGGTTGAGGCAGGAGAATTGCCAGAACCTGAGGCAGAGGTTGCAGTGAGCTGAGATCGTGCCACTGCTCTCCAGCCTGGGCGACAGAGTGAGACCCTGTCTTTAAAAAAAAAAAAAAAAGAATTTACAATCTACTTAAGGTGACAACGTGGAATCACAAGTACAATGGGATGGCATCAACACAGTACTACAAGTGTTTAGAGGCAACAGATAATCCCAACTGGCTGATCCATTCCTGGGGCAAGGAGAGGCCTCCTCTTCAACAGAACACACAGCTTGGGAAGCCAAGAGGAAGGACAAGGCTGTTAATGGGGCAGTGGATGTCATAACCAAACTCCCTTCACATCCATAGATTTAATTTATTTGCTAGTGCCCCCCACCAAAAAAAAGTCCTTTAAAATTAACAGGTCACCCACCTTACCTTCGGAGAGTGAGTAGGATCTCAAAAGGTAGAGGCAGACTAGCAATACAGGGGAGAAGAGCTGTAGGTAATAGAAATGATGTGAGTAGTCACGGGAATGTTCTCTTCCAGCCCAAAGTTTGAAACACAGGCCCCAATGGGAACAAGAAACGTGTCATAGCGTGATTGGTAATGGAGGCTCTAAAAATCTTCTGGGTCAAGGAAGCCTATTGCAGGCTTTCTGACACACAGCCTGGGCTCCATGGCTCCACTGGGACAAGTTCACACCTGATCCAAATTTGAACAAGTCCAAGGCTATTTTTTGAGAAATAACTTTTTTTCTCTCGTTTTTTTTTTTTTTCATAGAGACGGGGTCACACGATGTTGCCCAAGCTGGTCTAGAGCAATTCTCCCACCTTGGCCTCCCAAAGTGTTGGGATGACAGGCGTGAGCCACCATACCTGGCCAGCAAAAAGTCTTAACTCTGCCCTGGCAGGCTCACTTCTGAACACAGGTGTCTTCTTTCTCTTCATGCCAATGTCTGGTGCCCAGTTCTTCACTTACAGGTCTTGTACTTCTCAGCCCCATCATTTTAATAACCTCATGCTGTACCCCAGCCTCTGAACCACTTTAGCTGTCCATCACCCTGTCTGAATTCTACCCCAAAGTCCAAGGTTCAACACTGTACTTTCAAGGAGACTCTCTGGATCACCCCGGCCACACACTTCATCTCCTGAACAATGAGATGGCACCAGCTTTCTCTACTGCTTAAACACTAATGAGAGGCCATGTCTTACACGTCTTGGTTCCCTCACAGGCCCTGGCACGGTACCTGAAAAATGAAAGGATCCACTTCCAAGATGCTTCGCTCATGTCAATGTCAGCAGGAAGACTCAGTTCCTCACCAGCAGCTCCTTCAAAGGCTGCTTGAGTGTCCTCACGGCATGGCTGCTGGGCTTCCCCAGAGCAAGTGATCCAAGAAAAACAGCAATGAGGAAGCTACGATGCCTTTTACAGCTATTCTCAGAAGTCACACACTGTCACTGCTACCATATTCTATCCATTAGAAGCAAGTCGCGAAATCTAGTCCACACTTAAGAGGATAAGAGTTAAGCTCTTTACCTCTGGCAGGGAGGAGTATTCAAGAATCTGTGAAAATATTCCAAAACGTCAGTAGGAGAGCTCAGGGAACACACAAGAGGAAGGAAACTACCTACCAAAGATCTTTCTAGCTATGGAATTATTTATTTGCTAGAGAAGACATTTGATCCAATCTCATTTGAGCATAGGGGAGTCACAATTTAAAAATCATTCATCAGGCCAGGTGCAGGGTGGCTCACGCTATAATCCCAGAACTTTGGGAGGCTGAGGCGGGTGGATCGCTTGAGCTCAGGAGTTTGAGACCAGCCTGGGCAACACGGCAAAACCCCACCTCTACTAAAAATGCAAAAATTAGCCAGGCATGCTGGTACAAGCCTGTAGTCCCAGCTACCTGGGAGGCTGAGGCAGAAGAATCGCTTGAACCCAGGGGGCAGAGGTTGCAGTGAGCCAAGATCACACCACTGCACTCTGGCACCAGCAACAGAGTGAGACTCTGTCTCAAAAAAAAAAAAGAAAATATTCAGATTTTTATAAAATGTAGTTCTTCTAGCTGTCTAGATTTAGATGTTCTACTAAAAAGACATACTTGGGTTCATAAAACTGGTAGGCTCTTAAAACAGTTGTGTCTATAGTGTATTTCATCATACATGGCGGGAGGCGGCATCTGACATGGCTCTCAGTGCGTCCCTGCCTCCTGGTGCTCATGCCCTTGTGTAGTCTCTCCTTGAGTGTGGGCTGGACCTAGTGGCTCACTTCAAATGAACAGACTATGGTGAAAATGTCAGGTTGTCACTTATGTGATTAGAGTATAAAAGACCATGACTGCGATCTTGCTGGTAGTTCTCTCCTGACAGTGCAATCTTGGCTTGGGTGCTTTTAGGAAGCAAGGAGCCCATGGGGCAAGGAACTGAGGGCAAAGTCCAGCCAACAGCCATAAGGAACTAAGGGTCCAGTCTAACGTCAACGAGGAACTGAATCCTGCCATCACATGAGCAGGCTTAGAAGCAGATCCTTCCCCAGTCGAGCCTCAGATGATTAGACTTCTGGGCTGCAGCCCGGGAGAAACCCTCAATCACAAGCACGCAGCTGAACTGTGACCCACAGAAACTGCGAGAAAATAAATGGTGTTGCTTTAAGCCACGACATTTTAGGGACATTTGTTATATGCAATACATAACAAATACATCTTTTTGTTTTGTTTTGGAGACAGGGTCTTAGCTATTACCCAGACTGGAGTGCAGTGGTGCAATCATGGCTCACTGCACCCTCTAACTCCCAGGCTCTGTTGATTCTCCTGCCTCAACCTCCCGACTCATTGGGAGTATAGGCATGTACCACCATGCCCAGCTAATTTTGTATTTTTTCCTAGAGATGGGATTTTGTCATGTTGCCCAGACTGGTCTCAAACTCCTGGGCTCAAGTGATCTGCCCACCTTGGCCTCCACAAGTGCTGGGATTACGGGCATGAGTCATTGTGCCTGGCCAAATACACCTATTGTTTACACTGTACATAAATATATACACTGTAAATAAATCTATAGTATTTGGCATTTAAAGAAACCTCATGGCCCAGGGTTTTATAAAATAACAAAATCCTACACATTTTTCAGAATTCATTAAACTATGCACTTCAGATCTATGCATTTTGTAATATGTGAATTATACTTCATTAAAGGAAAGAAGAGAAAGATAATTCCCCCCTCTCTCTCTCATATATATATATAAATTAGGATTCTCATAAATATGTTTGCTTCAAGTGAAACTTACTGTTCTGCTATGGTAGGCAGCCTCTGAGTTCCCCTCTAATTTGCCCCTGTCCCCTGTCCTGGTACTTAAGTGTTCAAACAATATCCCCCCCTTGAGTATGGGCTGGACCTAGTGACTCACTTCAAGTATATGGAATATAGCAAAAGTGATGGGGTGTCACTCCTGGATTAGGTTATAAGACTGATTTCGTCTGGCTCGCCCTCTCTTACTCACTCTGATGGAAGCCAGCTACCATGCTGCGAGCTGCCCTATGGCGAGAATCAAGGCAGGCTTCCGCCAACAGCTTGCAAGGAACTAAACCCTGCGAAAAGCAGGCTTGGGAATGGGTCCTCCCCTACTCAAGTCTTGAGATGGCCGCAGCCCCAGCCCATACCTTGATTGCAGCCTTATGTGAGTCCCTGAGGCAGACACCTTGCTCAGCTGGGTACCAATTTCTGACCCAAAGATGCTATGAAGCCAAGGCAACATGGCAAAACCCTGTCTCTACGGAAAAGTATAAAAAATTAGCCAGGTGTGGCAGTGCATGCCTGTGGTCCCAGCTACTCACAGGGCTAAGGTGGGAGGATCACTTGAGGCCAGGAGATCAAGGCTACAGTGAGTCATGACTGTGCCACTGCACTCCAGCCTGGGTGACAGAGTGAGACCTTGTCTCAAAAAACAACAATTAAAAAAGATGCTGTGAAATAATAAACATCAATTGTTTTAAGCCACTGTGTTTTGGGGTAATTTACTATATACCAACACAAAATTGATGTAAACGCCCATGTAACTCATGTTATATAGGCTTTAAAAGAAAAGAAGCCGTTTAATAAGAGCTATGCTTGGTAACAAAAGACATTTTCATAAAACACACACAGCTCCCCACTCTTACATGCTCAACAGAATACAGCATTGCAAGCTCTTTGCAAGAAAGACGAATGTGTCGCTTCCTTTCCACCCGCATCGCACCATGGAGGAGGCAGTGAATGAACGGACATTTAATGCTGGCAGGAAGCTTTAATCAGGACTGTGCTTTCCTTTGCCCGCACTGGAGAATCTTTCCCATTTCTATTCCCAGAGCCTTATTGATTGATTGATTGATTTTGAGACAGAGTCTCACTCTGTCACCCAGGCTGGAGTGCAGTGGCACGATCTCGGTTCACTGCTACCTCTGCCTCCCGGGTTCAAGCCATTCTCCTGCCTCAGCCTCCCGAGTAGCTGAGACTACAGATGTCCGCCACCACACCCAGCTAATTTTTGTATTTTTAGTAGACATGGTTTCACTATGTTGGCCAGGCTGGTCTTGAGCTCCTGAACTCAGGTGATCTACCTGCCTCGGCCTCCCAAAGTGTTGGGATTACAGACATGGACCACTGCACCCGGACCCAGAGCCTTCTTTAACCTGCCGTGGAACTTTCAATTGTCAAGAGACAAGGGACAGTCTGTGCAGAAACTTGGCACGTTTTCCCCAAGGACCTACACCCAGGAAGACCTCAAAGGGAAGCCTTTGTGAGAGAATGCTGGCTTAGAAGCAGATGAACATCATCTAACTGGTTTTAGTCTTGGGATCTCATTTTCCATCATGGTTACGTCTCTTCACCCGAGAAAAAAGAGTAAAACTCTGCACGTGTCAGAAAAGCAAGTCTGCGTGTGTGTGAGACACTGGGAAGTATATGAAATACAACAGGCCAGGGATTCTCTCAAGTTGTTCTAAATGGAGATGCAAGTACCCAGGGGTCTTAAGAGTCTAAAGAGAAACATGCAGGGAATTTCAGAGGAATTCCTTGACTGGGGGAGGAGGTAGTGGTGTGTGACGAGAGGTGACTCACATTTCCATAAACTTCATTCCTTTTAGATTTCTTAACCCCCTTCACTTCTTGTTTGGGACCAAGGTGAATTCTGTGCCATCACAATTAAGAAACACACCCCACTGACCACTAAAAAGGGGCAAATAAGAACAGCAACATAGGAGGCAATTAAGGATTTCTTGCTTTAAGAAATAAAATTTCTAGAATGGAAAAATCAGTGTCTTTTTTTACTCCTCTCTCTCATCAGCAAGTGGCTTGTGTTCCTACCAAATACTTTAAATAATTTGGGTTAGAACCACCACCAGAGGAGGTCCAAATGGAATTCACACAACTGCTCAATATCAATTTATGTGAAATCTGTGGTTTCTGCCCCCTTTAAAGTGCTGATTAAAAGCAGGTGGCTACGACACAGGCAAATGCACTGTCATTCCCGTCCCGTGGCCTGGAGAGGTACCAACCTCCTCTAAGACTTCAATCTCTTTAGAGAGGCCTGGGCCACAGGTGATTCTTATTATTGCATGGCAGAAGGGAGCAACCTGCTGAGCTACACCAGACCCTGGCTGGTATCCACCCACCCTGTTATCAGTCACAGAAGCAAATTTGCATTTCCTCACTGGAAAGAAGTTGAGAGCCCAGGCTCTGGACGAAGGACTGAGCATGCATCCGAGCTCCACCCACACCCAATTTACAAACTTGAGCACCTTAATCCATCTCTCTAAGCCTCAGTTTCCCCCTCTGTAAAATGAGGCAATAATGGCACCTGCATGGACTTCCTGTGGTTATTGTAAAAAAAAAAAAAAAAAACTGCCATAAACTTGGTAGCTTAAAATTACAGAAAGTGGCCCGGCACGGTGGCTCATGCCTGTAATCCCAGCACTCTGGGAGGTCAAGACAGGCGGGTCACTTGAGCCCAGGAGTTTGAAACCAGCCTGTCAACATGGCAAAACCCCATCTCTACCAAAAAATACAAAAATTAGCTGGGTGTGGTAGTGCACTTGTGGTCCCAGCTACTCAGGAGGCTGAGGCAGGAAGATTGCTTGAGCCCGGGAGGCGGAGGCTGCAGTGACTGAGCTGTGATTGCGCCACTACACTCCAGCCTGGGCAACAGAGAGAGAGCCTGCTTCAAAAAAAAAAAAACTTGCCGAAACGTATTCGGTAGGCGCTAGGAGGGAATCCAGCTCCCACCTCCTCCAGCCGCCCTGCCTTGTCAGCATCACTCCCATCTCAACCTCACCTTTTCGAAAGTCCATGAGATGGCATTTAGGGCCCATGCAGATAGTCCAGGATAGGGTCACCTCAAGACCCTTTTTTTCCAAATAAGGCAATATTTACAGGTTCCAGGGATTGGGATACAGATATGCATGAGAGAGGGCCACCACTCAGGACACCAGATCACCTATCTTAATGGGTTGTTGTAAAGATTAAGTGAGAAATACCTGTGTGGTACACACAGCTTGGTGCCTGGTAGGCAGCTTGCTAAGTCCTCATTTGTTAGAGGACGTGTCCTTTAGGCATGTGTGTTGAACTTTGCTCACAGTAGATCTCTCAAACATTATAAATCATTTTCTGAGGGGAGGGAGGCGGCAGGAGATGACTTTCTGCCCCTCTCCTTCCTGCCAAAAGGAAGGAAGTGTCAAGGAGGGGCGCCCTCATAGGCACCAGCTGACTCAGCCCTGTGAGGTTTGGTGGCCTTCACCATCATCTCAGTAAATTTTTTGGTCTTTATTTTCACAGCTAAGGAGAAGTGTAAGGAGCTGTAGTTTTTGCTTTATAATGTTCTTCCACTGTCGACTTCAAGGAAATCCCCCCGAACAAGAATCAGCGAAAAGCTCCCTCAGGCTCTAGCCCCACAATTACAGCTACAATTCGTATGGTTTCTGTAATCAGAAAACACTACAACCCTTTAAACATTTCCACATTTAAAAAATGACTTGGGATCTGTGTACAGGCCTAAGAAAAAAAGAGTGGAGCAGCATGTTTTGCAAACCTCTAAGCAGCCAGGATATGTCATGAATGTCCTTCCAATGTTTCTGGTCAAAATTATCTAAAAGATGTTTGTATGGTTTTCTCATGGTAAGTGCTTTAATGTGTCAGAATAAAAAGCCGTAAGATGGTTTCTTTGCTTGCAAATAATTATTTGCCCAAGTAAATATTTGAGTTGAACTGGTGGTATCAAGGGTTATTTTCTACTTCAATGAGGAAATCATCCTATTTTTTTAAGGCATCTGGAAAATATGTCCACAGCCTTCTGTCAATATTTGAAGCTGTCAAAATGACTCTTGATTCTCAAGTAACTTTCGATGAAGTTAACAATGAATAGTCAAGGAACTTACCCAGGGTAGGTAGGATTCATCACAACACCTACCAAGGGAACATTTAGTCATTTATAAACAACTCTCAGTAAACAGTAAGGACTAGTGAAACCAGCACTCAACTTACTGATTCATTGATAACTTCATTTAGTGTACATTCATGGAACAGTGATTATCAGTCTGGTGACATCCTAGATGCTAGGAGATGACTCTCACAAGGTTCCTATCCCCTTGGGAGGAAGAGGATAGACAAATTATCCAGTAAAACGTAACAGGACCTGGGATTGGGACTGAGATTGTGTGTCATCCATAGCAGGGCACAGAGGGAGACCACAGCTGACTGCATTGAGTGATTCAAAGAAGGCAAGACTTGTCTTGGTTTTGAAAGGGAAATAACTGTTTGAAAGATAAGTGGAGGGGAGGGTGTTCAAGTTCAGTGTGAGCAAAGTACAGAGATGTAACATACACAGGCATATCTGGAGACATAAACACGATACCTAAGTGAGAAAGGAAGGTAGATAGGTAAGGGCAAGATCGCTAAGGTAAACTGGTGAAACTCCAGACTACTCAAGACAAAAGGCAAGAAATAACAAGGAGCTCACCTTAGTCAGTAGTAGTAGGAATACAGAGGAGGGGACAGATATGGGAGATGCTACAGTAGCTTAAAGCAATAGTATTTTATGCTTGGCAAAATGAGGGGAAATACAAGTAAACTGTTGTAAGGTTCTTACACCATATGTGATGTGGTATAATATTGTTGGAAAGTAGACTGATTGATTAAAGATTTACATTACAAGCCCTAGATCAACCACAAACAAAACAAAACAAAACACGAAGAGGTAAAACTAATGCTGCGGGTCGTATTGTGTTCCCCAAAACAATATCTCGAAGCCTTTACTCCAGGTCTACGTGAATGTGACGTTATTTGGAAATAAGGTCTTTGCAAATGTAATGAAGTAACATGAGGCCAATATTGGATTAGGGTAGCCCCTAAATCCAATGATTGCTATTTTTATAAGGAAAGAAAGATTTGGAAATGGCAGGCACACACAGAGGGAAGATGGCCATGTGAACACAGAGGCGGAAACTGGAGAGATGCAGCCACAAGCCAATGAACATAGAGGATTAGCGGCAACTAACACAACGTAGGAAAATGCAAGGAAAGATTCTTGCCAAGAGCCTTCAAAGGAAGCATGACCCTGCCAAGGCCTTAATTGTGGACTTCTAGCTTTCAGAACTGTGTATGAATACATTTCTGTTGTTTTGAGACACTCTATGTTAATCTGTTATGGCAGCCTTAGAAACTAATACAGCTAATCATATTAGAAACTAATACAACCAAACATAATAAAATGAAGTAATTAAAAATACTCATCCCAACAGAAGGAAAAAGGGAACAAGAGGATGAACTGAATGCAAATAAAAGGATAGTGGTCATTAAATGTAAATTATAATCCCATGTAAATTAATGATAATTCCATTACATATAAATGGTGTAAAGACTGCAATTAAATGGCAAAGATTGTCACAGCAGATAAAAAAGGACCAGACTACATACTGATACTGTCTATATGAAACTCGTTTTAGACTTAAAGACACAGATATATGAAAAGTAAAAGGATAAAAAACGAAGTATCATGGTAACATTAATCTAAAAGAAAGCTAGACTGGCCAGATTAATATCAAACAGTAAATTTCAGAGCAAAATTAACAAGTCTCAGTAAGGTTTATTCTCATACAAAATCTAATTTACTTTTTTTCCTAAAAGAAAAATGAATATGGTAAATGACTTTCCAATCACATGACACACTTCATATTTTCCACCAACATTCACTAAACACTTGGATTCTGCAGGAAACATTCTGCACTGACTATGATTTCTATAATGATCAGATTTTTTTAATGTTCTTCTCTTTTGTATTTGTAGTGATAAAATTTTGCCTGACATTTTTCCTTGAAGAAAGTAAACATAGCCTGCCACAAAAACTGATATTGACAGAGCCTCAGTGGTTAAGCCTTTTTTTCTCATTAATTCTCCCGATATTTTAGCTCTAGTAATCTAGCCCTAGACAAAAACACTGGTAGCTCACACTCAGGAATGCATGATGTGATGTAGGATTAAAAAAAATAACAGTCTTACTACAAGGATACAAACATTTTTTAAAGTAAAGTCATACAGTATGTAGATAAATTATCTGTTTTTTTGAGACAGAGTCTCGCTCTGTCGCCCAGGCTGGAGTGCAGTGGCACAATCTTGGCTCACTGCAAGCTCCGCCTTTTGGGTTCACGCCATTCTCCTACCTCAGCCTCCTGAGTAGCTGGGACTACAGGCACCCGCCACCACGCCTGGCTAATTTTTTGTATTTTTTAGTAGAGGCGGGGTTTCACCGTGTTAGCCAGGATGGTCTCGATCTCCTGACCTCGTGATCTGCCCGCCTTGGCCTCCCAAAGTGCTGGGATTACAGGCGTGATTCACTGCGCCCAGCCTAAATTATCTGTATTAAACTCCTGCAGCACTGACAAGTAGAAATAACATTTTTGAAAGCTCAGAGAAGTATTTTCCAACATTTGCTTAAGCCTAGAAAAAAGTCTGGCAATCAATAAACATTTGATTAACTTAAATAATGTAACTTTCGGTAAGTTACTTATCATTTCGTGATCTGTAAAATAGAGAAAATAATGGTAATTTATTAACCACCTAAGGAAATCGTAATAATTTACTTTTAAAAAATGATATTGGTGGTCGGACATGGTGGCTCATGCCTGTAATCCCAGCACTTTGGGAGGCCGAGGCGGGTGGATCACCTGAGGTCAAGAGTTTGAAACCTGCCTGACCAACATGGTGAAATCCCATCTCTACTAAAAATACAAAAATTAGCTGGGCATGGTGGCGCATGCCTGTAATCCCAGCTACTTGGGAGGGTGAGACAGTAGAATGGCTTGAACCTGGGAGGTGGAGGTTGCAGTGAGCTGAGATCATGCCACAGTACTCCAGCCTGGGTGACAAAGCAAGACTCACTCCATCTTAAAAAAAAAATGATATTGGTAATTCTTTCTTTGAATAAAGAAGACTAAAAGTACTGTAACAAGGCTTCATGTAACTCTCAATGTAAGGGAGTAACCTCATTTTCTGGAAAACTGAATATTTTCTTTTTATGTACTAAGGCTTGTTTTTAGTCTTTTCTTTTTTAAACCAGCATGTATACAAATATTTCTAAAACGCACTTTAAGTCCCTTGTTTTGTTAAACAAAATATGTCAATATACTTCAACATTTTCTCAATGATCACAGTGGTGACCTAGAATACTAGTGTTTATAGTATTTTGGTTCACAGCATTGGGTTCATGAACTACATGGGGGTCTTCTTCCTAAACTAAGTGGCCATGAGAAATCTTTTGTAGTTGTTGTTTGAGATGGGGTCTCGCTGTGTCGCCCAGGCTGCAGTGCAGTGGTCTGATCTTGGCTCACTGCAGTCTCCACCTCCCGGGTTCCAGCGATTCTCCTGCCTCAGCTCCCCCCACCACCCCAGTAGCAGGGACTACAGGTGTGCACCACCACACGTGGCTAATTTTTGTATTTTTTTTAGTACAGTCAGGGTTTCACCAAGTCGGCCAGGCTGGTCTCGAACTCCTGACCTCAAGTGATCTGCCTGCCTTGGCCTCCCAAAGTGCTGGGATTACAGGCGTGAGCCACAGCACCCAGCCTAGCAATCTTGTTTCTGTACAATTATGGGGCCTGCTGAAGTTCAGTCCTGCTCTCACTGAGTCTACTGTTTTACCATCCTCCCATTTTCTGCTTCTGACATTTGACACCAGAAAGCCAGCAAACCAGGCTTGTTCCAGAACTTTGGGGTGTAGCCTTTTCTATGGTGTAGGGTACATGGACTTCATGATGCCTCTTGGGATTGCTAAGTGTCTAACAATGTTCAATTCTGTCTTCACCACAGCACTATGTTGCTTCGTATTTCTGCATTATAAAATCTGCCTGATAAATAATCCGCTTGTTCCTCTCATATGCTGACAGATTTCTGCATGGTCAATGGAGCTTAGAGTATATAAAATACAAGTCTGGGAGAGTTTCCTTATAGTTCAAATATATAAATTTAATGTTCAAAAGAATGTAATTGTTTCAAGCAACATACTAGTAGACAAGCTGGAACTCACTGATTTCATTTCATTAGTCTCAAATAACAAAGGGTACTTCATAGCATCAAAAGCCAGACCTCACAATAACTTATGTTTTAGTATCTTACAGTATCTCATTATATAAATAATAAAATGACTAGGGTTTTGGTGAGAAGGAAGAGAGAAGAGCCACATGGTATTCAAAGAATGCCAGGAAACCACAAATACTGCATTCTTTTGAACATTAAATATACTTGAACTATAATGGAAACTCTCCCAGACTTACATTTTATATAAATACACTAAGCTCCATTCACTGTGAAGAAAACTGTCGTCATACGGAAGAAAATAAGTTGATTATTTATCAGGCAAAATTTATAACACAAAGTGCTAAATCAGGCACATTGCATTAAACATTATACTGACTATAAACAAGGATAGAAATTACGGAAGTGCATAGCTTTGGAAATTGAGTGAAAATAACAGCATAATTCAACTTTAATTGGATGCCTATAGATGAAACAATAATTGACTCTTAACTGTAACTCCAAGATATTTTATGACTATAACATTTTCTAAGTAATCTACTTGAAAAATACCTCATTGACTCATCAAATCCTATCTTTAAAATGTTACCCTCGTTCCAAGAAAATCACATGCATACACTAGAATGAAATGACTTGTCAAATATAATTTGAATCCAGTAAAACAAAAAAAGCATTAATCTGTACTTTCTCATTAATAGCAAGATAATTTTCCAAGTGAAACACACACAATACAATACACATTTGTTGAGACTCCCCAATGGCTCCCACTTGTCTTTCCAACCTTCATATCCTTCCACAGGCCTTTGCAGAGGAATCCCTTCCGACTATCAGTCTCTGAAGAATTCTCACACTTCCTGACACCACACCTCTACTCAGGGTGCTCTGCCCTCCCTACTTGGGACTATTGTGTCTCCTCACCCAAGTCTTATTGGAACATCTTTCCAGGTCCTTCATAACTGCTCTATTTCCCAAGAAGCCTTCTTGGGGCAGAAATAATCCCTCCTTGCTCTCACCCCCATGGTACTCAGCACCTGGTACTCTCATGTGCGACTTCTATGCTCTGGGTTTTCTCACAGCACACATGGCTTACTAACTGCCTATCTCCCAACCACACACAGGAAGCTCTTAAGGCCAAGTAGCACCACTGTATGTCCACAGAAACTAGCACAAAGACTGTGCACATACAAATTAATTGCAAACCACATCGTGAAAATCCTAAGCATAAAGAAAGAAAAAGGTCATATTTTAATCACCATCTAATACAGAACAGTTTCTTAAGGCCTCTCTGTAATAATTTTAAAGTTAAGGGGAAAATGCTTGGCTCAGTCCACTCCGTATAAACTCCTTAAACATTAACTAGTAATTTTAAAAGCATGAAATGACTTTCTCCCCTGGGGCTTTATATAGAACCATAATAACCGCAACACGAGCTTCAGGACTCTGCAATTGCCTGATACTAAAGTCCCACTGTGAGATTCCACGTGGTGGCTTGTTATCAGCCTTACATAGAACAAATGTGGTCAGCCAAAAATTTACTGTGGGGCTCAAAAACATTTTAGGGGCTCATACAAGCTTAGGGCCTTGACATTTAAGTGATAACTGAGAGGCATGCACTGATAGAAAATCCTCAGAGACTCAGAAGAGTTTTAAACAATGCAGTTGTACATTTTTATAGGGCACATGTTCTGAAACCTCAAAAATAGATATGTAAATGTCATCTGAAG
Organism: Homo sapiens; assembly: GCF_000001405.40. Taxonomy (NCBI): domain Eukaryota; kingdom Metazoa; phylum Chordata; class Mammalia; order Primates; family Hominidae; genus Homo; species Homo sapiens. Next base: position 66,541,738 of record NC_000017.11, on the reverse strand, counting down.
CTGTGTCATTTTTACTTAATTTTTGGCATAACCTGTCGCCTCAAAAAGTCTTTGTGGCTTGTGTATGGCAGGCAAACGGTGTCAGATGCACTTCCAAAGTGCCATGAGGCGTGGACTGGACGTCAGCTCTGCTTTGCACGTGCAATTCCTGCCTGCAGAACTGCAGCTAGCATCTGCTGCCTCTGGCATCTGCTGCCTCTGGATGAGCCTCTATTTGGAAAGTGGGAATTATTTTTTCTTCCACATCCAAGACCAGCAGAGTAGCTTTCAATCCCAGTCAACTGCTCTTTGCCGCAGAAATCAATATAAGCAACAGAGGAAAAAAACAATAAAGGGGCTAAGCCTCCAAAATCTTGCATTTTCCCTTGGCTCGGGCAAAGGTCCCCTCATTTCTTTCAAGAACACCAGAGGCAAGAGTTTGAGGTGGGGGCCGCAGGAGCACGTACCACAAGACCTTCTTACTGAGCCACAATCTGCAGCTAACTCTTGGTCAATCTGTGCAGTGGAGAAGCGGCACACAACATATCAAAATCTAGTTAAAAAATAAAACAAAACCCCTCATGGTCACATCTTTGTTCAAACTATCTTACTAGAGCTCGTGCTTCCAAAGAATCAGATAGACTCATTTGAGAGTCTACTCTAAATCTTGCCCTCCCCTGTAGCTGGAATGGTCCCTAAACAGCTCTGAGATGGCCAGAGAATACCAGTGGAAACAGCTAGTAACAGCCACTTCCTACCTCTGTAGGGTTCTACCAAATACTTGCACATACCTTGTCTTATTTGGTCATTTTCCACAGTGTGGGATACCATAGGTGTGACCATTTTCTCAGCTGAGAAAAGGGAGGCTCAGGGAGTGCACAGAGAAATATACAACGGAATAGGTCCAGGAAGTGCCAGATCTCGAGGTCAAACCATGATACTAATAATTACCCTCGACTGCCTCTGTTGTAAGCCACCATATTCAATCTTTTGATAGACAGAGAAATGGGAGACTCAAACAAGTGACAGAGACAGAACCGGGGGTTTCACACAAGGTCTCACAGAGCCTACAGCCTGAATTCCGTCTCAGCCTAGGAACCCTCTGCAAAATCCAGATGTTTTGCCTTCAGGCCCAGCTGGCCTTCGACCACAGAGCACTCACAAAGTGCAGCAGGGCCCCGCTGGGAGGCCCCACTCCACTCCGAGTGCTGCTTCTAACTGCAGCCCCCGCACGGCAGCCCGCCACCCAACTGACTGCTCTGGGCTATTTATGAGATGGTCCCTGCTCTCGGGAGACGTCCCTCTTTGGATTATTCATCCTCTCCTCACCCCCAAAGCAGCAAAACCAGCACACGCCGTCCCCCCAGCGTCAAGCCCCACTCCAGGGTTTGCAGGCAGCTGCCTCCCTCTCCGCCCCCTCTTTTAGAGACAGTCAGGGCTCCAGACTCTCCGCTGGGCTCTGTGCTGAATGTTACCCTTTGTCTCAGAACCCTGGGCTGGCTCTGACGGCTGGAAAGCCTGAACAACAATGATGAATCAGAGTATTTATTTTTGAGGTTTTCTCCAAGCTGCCTCTTCATCAGCTCTGAAATAGCAGCATTCAAGCTGCCACAGACACTTCCCGAAGTTTGCTGGCCTAGGGTTCCCAATGGGGAAAACATCACCTCCCTGGCAACAAACACAACAGCCTCCTAACACCCCTTCTGCAGGAGAGGCACCAACTGCATCTCTCCAAAAGACGGGTGGCCTACATGTTTAAATTGATTTTCGAAATTATTTTCAAATCCCTCGGGTTGCGTGAGCAAGGGTGGATTTCTATTTCTAAGTGTGGTGACCTTTTCTAAAACTGTTTTATGCTTTTCACTCTTCTGTGATTGGTGCCACCTAGGACTGCACACTGCATTCATTTGGTGTGTCTGAGTGAGCTGTTTAATCCAGAACAAGGAAACTCATCCCTTCAAATCTGAATTAAAGAAGCATCTCTCTGGGTACGATGAGGTTTTCTGATGTAAAACTCTCATCTAAAAGTTAGCCATTCTTATTAAGATTGAAACCTTAGGCCGGGCGCGGTGCTTACGCCTGTAATCCCAGAACTTTGGGAGGCCAAGGCGGGCAGATCACAAATCAGGTGATCGAGACTATCCTGGCTAACACAGTGAAACCCCATCTCTACTAAAAATAAAAAAAAATTAGCTGGATGTGGTGGCGGGCGCCTGTAGTCCCAGCTACTCAGGAGGCTGAGGCAGGAGAATGGCGTGAACCTGAGAGGCGGAGCTTGCAGTGAGCCGAGATCACGCCACTGCAATCCAGCCTGGAGGACAGAGCAAGACTCCATCTCAAAAAAAAAAAAAAGATTTCAAAGCTTAAATTAAATGAATTTAATGAAATAACTAGCCTTGCAAAAGGGAAACGTAAGAATAACTCACAAATTAGAAAAGTATTGTTTCTTGCTGTGCTGCTTGATGGCTTGTCACAGCAGAACAATATCCTCCACCCAAAGCGTTTATTTACACACATACACTCAGCCTGACGTTTAAGAGTGCAAAGGAGTTTTTAAAAAAGGCAGCTGGGGAAAAAACAAGAGTGAAAATCTGAGGACACCACACAGAAATACAATGATGTCTACACATGAAACTCAGTCTCCAATAAAAAATGTTTTAGTACATTTGCCTGTGAACAGATGAGCTTTGGTAAGTGTTGAGATCAGAAGGGAGTGGACTGTTCTTTTCATCACAGTTCCGAAGATAAAAGGAGAAGTACAGACTGCTGATAAAAGTCTGGCAGCATAACTGTTAATATGCCTATGCCTTCGATGAGGGCCTCAGATACCGGGGCTCAGGAGACAGCATGTGGTCAGCAGAAATGGCGATGCTGTTCTCCCTGGGATGGCCCTCCTGGGTCCTCTGGGCACATTACACTGTCAGGTAGTTTGCTAACTGGAATGCTTTCTGGCTAAGAGCAGAATTCTGTTTTGCTACGGTACTCATTCCAACCTATGAAGGTTATCCTCAAATCCCAAATGCCACTAATGCCCATCACTGGAACTGGACAGTACTGCCCACAAGGGATGAGAATAAAAACAGCTGCCATTTACTAACTGCTGGAGATCCCACCAGATGCTTCAGGTCTACTCATTACTTAATTCTCACACAGCCACCCCACTCAACCAAATAAGCTTGAGGTTTTCTCCAAGCTGCCTCTTTATCAACTCTTAAATAGCAGCATTCAAGCTGCCACAGACACTTCTCGAAGTTTGCTGGCCTAGGGTTCCCAATGGGGAAAACATCACCTCCCTGGTGACAAACGCAACAGCCTCCTAACACCCCTTCTGCAGGAGAGGCACCAAGTGCATCTCTCCAACGCAGATGAGTGAGGATGAATAAGCCAAAGAGGGATGTCTCCCGAGAGCAGAGACTGTCTCATAAATAGCCCAGAGCAGTCAGTTGGGTGGCAGGTTGCTAGTCTCCCATTTTGCAGAAGAGGAAACTAAGGTTCAGAGTGGTTAAGTAACTCTGAAAGAGGCACAGCTTTAAGTGACAGAGTTGGAGTTTCAAAGCCACATTCTTTACCCTGTGACACATCTCCAGAAGGGATCAGCTCTGGGCCCTCACTACTTCCAAAATAAAGTCTTCAGTAACATCAAGAAAAAGAAAAGGAGTCAGGCGTGGTGGTGGCTCACGCCTGTAATTCTAGCAGTTTGGGAGGCAGAGGCGGGCAGATTGCCTGAGCTCAGGAGACCAGCTTAGGCAACATGGTAAAACCCTGTCTCTACTAAAAATACAAAAAATTAGCTGGGCATGGTGGCGTGAACCTGTAATCCCAGCCACTCGGGAAGCTGAGGCACGAGAACCCCTTAAACCCAGGAGGTGGAGATTGCAGTGAGCCGAGATCATGCCAATGCACTCCAGCCTGGGTGACAGAGCAAGACTCCATCTCCCAAATAAACAAACCAGTAAAAGAAAAGGCACCATGCAAAGGCTCCTGGATACAAAGCAATCTCTTACTCAAAAGAAATATAAAACGTCTAGGAGCTTCAGAAATGGGGAAGTGGAAAATACTTCTATTTTGTTCAGGGAAACGTTGGTATTTTTCTACTGCAAAGATGAGATGGGAAGATGACAAGTCTTAAACATATGCTAAAGAAAGTTCCATCAGATTTGTGTCTCATGACTTTTCTTATGACATGCTCTGAAGACCACACGGCATTCGGATGACAGAGAAAGCTGTCTATACAAAATCTTCCCAAGAATGTTAATATTTAAATGTTGCCCCACATATGGAACCTGAAGAATCCCAACTACAGTTTCAATCAAATCACAAAGAACACTTGGCGTTTAACAATGCAGTTGTGATTCTTAACACTACCTCCTAATATCCTTAGATCCTTAGAGCAACAGACTCATAAGGTTAGAGTTCATTTCAAAATTTTGTACTTTCTCAATCATACTTACCTGCAAGCTTCCACTTGACATCTGTGGCCCCAAATAATTCTCACCATAAATTATGGTAATAATTTACTTTGGTGGACCTGGCTTTGGTGAATTACAGACCTCAAAAAGAACAAAAGGACTGAAATACCGTGGTTTTCCTCCCCACCTCTGATTTTGGGTAGGCAAGAGTCCTCAATTCCTGGACGCATGCTAAATTACTACAAATAAAAACAGCTTCAGGAGCACAGTCGGGGCTTCCCTGAGAGTAAAATTCACAAGGAAGAACTAGAGCCCAGAGAGTGAATTACTGAAATAGAGGTTCTAATAACTGGGGTGATCTACACAAAGAATGCCCAGCTGTATGCACTGGATATGGTGGAGAGGATTTTACAGGTCAGCTCTGTAAGACCAAGCCCCCATCGTTCACCTCTATCTATCAAGCACTCATCTCAGGGACTGGACCCACATGGTGCTCAATCTGATGAGTACAGGAGGATAGAAGAAAGGACAGGTGGCTAAGTCTGTCCCAGGAATCCACAGGAATCTGTCACAGGATCCACTGCAGAAAACTGCAATTCCCACGGGAGAAGAGCAGTTGGAGCCTGTCTCGTTAGCTCTCCTTACTAAAAACAATGGTAATAAAAGTGATAACCACCATCATTGATAGCTTCTACTGCTGCCATTGGTGATGATGACATCAACAGCAGCATCCCCCCTTCTGCAGCTCAGAGGGGTTAAGCAAGAAGCCCAAGGTTACATGGCCAGTAAGGGAAGAAGCCAAGATTCAACCCTGGTCTTCCGGCTCCGAAGTTAACTACATTTATGCTATTCTAATATTTCAGATATTTTAATCTGCATTATCCTTCTTTTCCCAGACTGCATAATCTATGCTGTAACCTCACTAAAGCCTTTCCATGTGGGTTTTATTTTTCTAATCTTGTGTGTTTTCTGTGGCTTTTCTCTGAATGATTGATCAGTGGAGGATCTATCCCCAAGTCAGACATCTGCATTCAGATGGTCTGAACCGGACAGAGTAAAGTTCAGGGAAGTTCTGGAAAGTTCTGAACTTACACCAGGAAAGTTCTAGTCACACAGACAAATAACTCATATTTCTTACACAGCATTTTCCTATCAGGGCTTCTCAATGTCATTTGGGACTGTGATCAGAAATATGCTGAGAGGACTGCAAGAAATGTCAGAATTGGAGAGGCAGAGCATGTGCCAAAAAATAAAAATAAAAATAGAGCAATTAGTCCAAAACCAGGTAAGAAACAGAAATTATGAGTACATTAATATCAGAGGACAGAAGCCAATAGCTATCCAAAGTCAGGCAAATAATTAATAATCAGGAGAATAAGGAGGGGAAAGAAAGGAAATGCTGTCCATTCAGTATGTTCCAGGCATGATGCTGTTTTGATGTAAGTTTTCACTTTTATTTCAAAGGTAGGTATTTTAGTGAAAAGGAAACTGGAGGTCTGGCTTAGATGATACAACCCCACAGCTGTGGGGGCCCCTCATTAGAAGGAGGGGAATGGACTAGAAGAGTTTGTGGTCTCACAGTGCACTGATATCCTATAATTGTTTAAATCTTGTTGTGAGAACAGAGATAGTGACCAGGTAGTGAGGAGATCCCACTAGGATTCAGAAGGGAAGGACAGATCCAACAGGGAACTGACACCAGCTGCCAAGAAAAGGTCTCAGGCTCTGGTCGTCTGCAGAACCCCTCGAGAGCTGTGTTTTGTGCCCTTACTCTGGTGAGGGCCAACCCCAAGGAAGCTGGGCCAGCACAGAGCTGATGGGGACACCCACCCCATCAGTTAGAGGCCTGTTTGGCAGCAGGGGTGGGGGAATTTGGGTCCAAGATGGAGCAGGTTAAAGAAGCTGCACTGCACATTTGTGTTTTATTAACTATCCCACAAGACATCAATACATATCTTTTCTGCCATATGTTGGCTTGAGGTAAGAGCCCCTAACCTGATGGACACACAGATCAACAGATGGCCTATTTATACTCAAAAAGATCTTAAGGAAGCTTCATCCTTGGTGAGTTTTCCCATCTGGCAAAATATGAGATGTGCAAGAGGCAGTGTAGATGGGCAGTGAAGGGTGGTTAAAAGTGGGAATTCACAAATCACAACGCAGGTTCAAGTCCTGCCTACTGCTGAGTATGCCTTGGAGGAGTTACTCAACCTCTCTAAGCTGTTTCTTTAGCTACAAAGCAAAATGGTAACAGCGCAGTCTCAGAGAGTTTGGGGATAATTTGAGGAATAATTCACATGAAGTGCTGAGAACAGCACCTTATAGGTAACACACACAGGGTAAATGCTAACTACTATTATTACTTACGGTGGTGGCGGTGTAAGTAAATAATTGTAACAAAGCATTCTTTATACTCTAATCCCATTGAAATGGAAATATATTCCAATCAGAAATCTCCGGATTAATAAAAGCAGCATATGACACTAGACAGCCTAAGTCTACCCCAGGCAATTCCCCTTCATGTCACTGTCAGTAAAGAATCATACAGGAGAGAGTCAAATTACCATGAGTCCTTAAGAAGGTTCACTTGTCCATTTCCCTCATGTTACAAGTTTATTACTCAAATACATTGGGCCCCAACATTCAGAAAGATCAACTTGTGATTTCTTTTTCTTTTCTTTTTTGAGACAGAGTCTTGCTCTGTCACCCAGGCTGGAGTGCAGTGGCGTGATCTCGGCTCACTGCAAGCTCCGCCTCCCGGGTTCACGCCATTCTCCTGCCTCAGCCTCCCGAGTAGCTGGGACTACAGGCGCCCGCCACCACGCCCGGCTAATTTTTTGTATTTTTAGTAGAGATGGGGTTTCACCATGTTAGCCAGGATGGTCTTGATCTCTTGACCTCGTGATCCGCCCACCTCGGCCTCCCAAAGTGCTGGGATTACAAGCTTGTGCTACCACACCCAGCCCAATCAACATGTGATTTCAAATACTCAGACTACAAAACCCAAGAGGAAGTCAATTAGGGATAAGAATCGACCTTCATCAGATATGAAATACCAGCAGAATACACAGAAGACAATGGAATCTCCCTCATGCCTCAGAGACCCCAATTCCGCCTGCTAGTTAGAACAATAATAACTGACCCAGTTCCTACCCGAGGGGAATATGCAAATACAAAAACTTGGCTCCAACAAAGAATCGTGGTCAGCTTCACTTGGGAAGAAAGTGGTCAAGGTGAATGTAATCAAAACTAACCATTTTCTAATTTTTTTGGGGGGGGTGCGGGGGGCAGCAGTTCCAGAAAAGGTCATGTTCTTCTTATTGCCTCTAAATGACAGAAACACATAGGCTAACAGTTGGAAGCTCCACTTCCCACTCCTCCAAAAGGCAGGGCTCCATAAACACTGTGGCATTACGAACGAACAAAAGGAGGGGCTGATGCGCTGCAGAGTCTGACAACCTCCAGACAACTTGTTTAAATGCCTGAGAAGCCGGCTTGTCTGCACTGCCCTTTCCAACAGCCTCTACAGGGGAACACATTCCTCTGCAGCAGCAGAAAGAAGCCTGAGCAACTAAAAGCCGCTCCCCCGAGTCAACAACAGCCTTGCAGGAAACTCGCAAAAGGAACGGGGTCTGCCTGGCCAGTGGGGGCGGCAGCCTGGACAGTCTCCTCTGGATCTTGCCTGGTTGCTTAAGACCAACCCACTGGGTATCAAATTAAAGCCTTAGATGGGAAAAATGAATGGGCAAGATGAGTCTGTAAACCAGGAGGAGGCAGAAGGCTGACCCTACCACGTTTCTCATTTGCCTAGCCAAATTCAGCATTCGTTATAAATCAAGCAGTCAATACACAGGCTAGCAGCCTTGGGTGCGACTTGTTTCAAGACACATGCCCTTAATAATTATTCTGAGGCAAACCAGGGGGGTCAGGACAGGCCAATACTGAGCTCCAAAAAGGGATGCAGTAAAACAGGGGATTTGGCCAATGCCCTGTTGCCTTTAGAGGAGAAAGGCCTATCTCATCAGAATTAATGGTGAGCCCAGGAGCAGAGGAAACATTTCTTCTTTTACGCAAACCAAATGCAGATACATTGGTTAAGAGAAGACGTGATGGGAAAAAAGTAGTGAATTCATGAAATTTATAAAAAGGGGCCTATGACTTTACTGCTGTTTTAGGGCATCCCTTTAAGTATCACTTGGTGAGAGGAGAATAAGTGTAGGAATCAAAAAGGTATTCTCTAAGAGGTACATCACAAAGAGCTCTACCGTTTGAAGTCTCCTCTTCCTTAAAATCCACTTCCAAAGGACTGAAGTGTTGTTGGCTGCCTAAGGTTACAATTGCCTTCCAGTATTTTCCAGCCGTGGGTTCCCCTTCACTGAAAGAAGGGAAGCAAACGTGTCTGTTTTGTGCTAAGAAAGCACTGTTCCACTCCCCGGGATGCTGTGTGTGCAAACTAATTCCACCGACAGCAGCAGATCAGCTGCTGGGAATAAACCCCTGAAGAAAGGCCTTGTGTACCTCCCATGTTCAGGAGAGGCAGCAAGGCAACTTGTCCATGGTCACAGCAATTGACAGCAAGGCCAGATCATCAGAGGGGATGTGAGTGGAAGGAATTCTAGTGAGTCCTTGCAGTAGGGTTTTACCCCATGCAAAGAGGGAAGGAGATGGGGTTGCAGTTAAACTTCAAGGATGGGCCGGGCGCAGTGGCTCACACCTGTAATCCTAGCATTCTGGGAGGCCGAGGTGGGCGGATCACCTGAGGTCAGGAGTTCAAGACCAGCCTGGCTATGAACTCTGTATCTACTAAAAATACAAAAATTAGTCGGGCATGGTGGTGCATGCTTGTAATCCCAGCTCCTCAGGAGGTGGAAGCACAAGAATTGCTCAAACCCGGGAGGCGGAAGCTGCAGTGAGCCAAGATCGCACCACTGCACTCCACCCTGGGTGACAGAGCAAGACTCTGTCTCAAAAAAAAATAAAAAAATAAAATAAAATTCAAGGATGAATAAATGCTTATGAAAAACTACAAGTCAGTGGGTGGGGGTGGGGGGGGAGGGGGCAGGAAACAACCAGCAAAAAGATAATGAATCATCACGTGACTTTTTTAAAGCTCTGAATTGGCTCCTTAATTCCCTCTGAGCAAAGATGGTGGGGACAGACTCAAGGGACTCAAGGTTGTTCTTTTTTTTTTTTTTAATTTTACCAGAAGTGAGTCACTTGGGAGTAAGAAAATCCATCCCTAAAGGCAAAACCATCTGCAATGTTCCCTCTTGGAAATTCACCCTGATCTGCTCAGCAGTGGAACATGGTGCTCTGTCAGCAAAGGCGCTGAATAATGCAGGAGCGAATCCACAGAGGGCTGGCAGAGGCTCGGCAGCTTAGCTCCTCAGCCTAGAAGCCGAACACAGCTCCTCTCTGGGAAAATCAAATTCCACCCCTGGAAACATGGGCTCCAGACTATGAGGTCTGGGGAAGGAAAACAGCACAAAGATAAGTTTGAGAAGAAAGTCTACTCTTCAAGTCCCTGGTCACCAACCAGGACTTGCAGATATCCACAATGTCTGGCATCCATCAGTTCCATTTGACACCCTGAGGACTGAGGCCTGCCAATAATACACGACACAGGTGTGAAAAGGAATGGGTGAGAGAGGCTTATTTAACCCTTGAAGGGAGACAGCAGTGACAGGAGGCCACCAAAAGGTGATTTGTAAAAACATCAGTCAGGTTGCTGCACCTGAAACAGGGCACTCTGTAAAAATAAGACTCCAGGGAGCCAACAACCCAGGGGATTTTCTGCCTCCTGACAACAGCCACAAAAGGAAGCGATCGCCTACATCCACAGGTGAAAATAATCGAGCTTTAGGCAGGGCCTCTCAGCCCAGGTTTCACATTAGGGTCAATGGGGGAGTTCTGGCAAAGCAAGGATGCCACCGGCTCCCACCCCGGAGATGTGGATTTAATGGACCTGCAACCTGCCCAGGCTGCCATGCTTCATTTGAAAGCTCCTCGGAGGACTCTGCAGTTCAGGCAGGGCTAAGAACCACTGATCTGAAGAGTACTTGGAAGAAACGGCGGCTCCAAGGCTGCAGAACCCTATGTGAACGCGGCTCCTCCTGCCCTCCAGCTGTCTCTGGCTGTGCAGATGAACATGCAGGAGTCCTGCTGGGGCCTCTGCCCATTTAATAGAAGGCTTTCCTGAAGCCCTGTGCTCAGGTGTTTCCTGAGTGAACAAGAGCCAGCAGAGACTACCGATGGAGCAAAGAATGTTACTGAAAAGCTCCTAATTGCCAACAAAAATCTAAGTAATCAATAGAGCAACTAAAAGTGTTGTCAGGAAGACACAACGTGGGCCCTTGTGTCCCAAAAAATCTAAGTAATCAATGGAGCAATTGGAAGTATTGTCAGGAGGCCCCCAGGGTATAAGAGAAGGAGGGTGGTGGCTGTTTAATCCATACCAGGGGCAAGGTAGGGAGCACAAAGATGATTTTTTTTTTAGATCCTCCACCACTTGCCCCAATATTACCACCTCTGAAACGCAGGGAAGCAATATTCACATTTTAGGCAGCTTGATGGCAGGGGCACTGCGCAGAAACCTGCAAAAGAAATCCCTGGATTCTCTTGCCCAGCTTCCACTGAGAGAATGCCTTCAAGTAGGTCAGTGAGCCACCCTTTTCCCTCAGGAAACATGCAGTTGATCCCCCTAACAGCAATAAGAAAATACGGAAGGTTTGGAAGCCAACACCTGCTCTCTTCTTTGGAGCAAAGGACAGAGAATGCTGGGAAACATTCATTTTCTCCCTCTTGAAAACTGAGAGTCAAGCTGAGGGCTGAAAAGAGGCAGCAAATTGCAAAGCTCCCGTGGTGCTTTTGATATCCAGCCATCTCTATAGCTGAAAAGAAATAGGTGTTATTTGATGATATTTTCTTTCTGCCCAAGTATTTTTCAGTTTCCCTGTTTTGGGAGAACCTTAAAAACTGAGAGTACACTGACAGGTCAGGTGAGGTTTATTATTCTGCCATCCATGTATGCATATATTAATGAGTCTTGGTGTTTCAGGGTCTCTGGGATTCAATAAAATACATTCATGTGTTTATTCCTCCTTCCGTCGCTCAAACCAAAGGATTGTCTCAATGGGCATGAATGTACTTAGGTTGTATCTCCACCATGACTGTTCAAAATCTTTGATGAACTTCAAGACGATAAGGATTCTAGCTAGGATATGCTTTGCAGCTGCCAAAGAACACTGAACATGGGGCAGGAACCAAATATCATCCATTTTCCAAGAACTGTTAAGGGTGCATTCTATGGACAATCCAAAGCTAACGTGGTTCCTAGCAGCAAAAGGAATCCTACTTCCTCCCTGACTCAGTTTTCCTTATTGCATGTCGCAGATCTGGGATGACAGTTAAAGAACCAAGGAGGAGGAAGGAAAAGTATCTGGAGTCAGCTGAAACATCAAATGTATTTGATTAGTCTGGCCAACAGGCAGTATAATCAGCAGCTTATTTTGAGGCTTAAGAAGAGAATTTTGACTGTGATTTAGCCAGCTAAGACATGAGCCACAGTACTCAGGGACTTAGCACGAGGACTCATAAAAATGAGCAATGGCCCTAGAGTGCTTCCATAAGGACATTTTCATAATGATCTTCGTTTTGTTGCTCAAAATATGTAAGACTCACCTTGGGACAAATACAAACAAATGAAAATTTTCCAAAATCTCATTTTACCTGTGGAGAAAACTGCAAAGACTGACTATGAGATTTTGTCATACCACCCATGGGCCACTCCCTCCCAGGTGACCCCAGGAAGAGCTCATCGGGTAATGTCAATTCCACCCACAAGTGATGGGAAGGAAGCTTGATGGCCCGTGAGCTCCATGGCCCTTACCAGTGGCTTCATGAGGCATGAGCTCCTTTCATCAATGAGAAACAAGGCTCTGCAAGGTCACACGGCCCTGCAGTGCTGGAGGTAAGATGAAGAAATGACTCTTTGAACTCAAAAGCCCACCAGGTCAGCTGCTGGTGGAAGTGAGCGGTTAGTCTTATTCACGTCTTATAACTTGGAAATCGCTGGACAAAATAGGGATGGAGAGAAAATCACTATTACCATAATGTCTATGTTACAGAATGCTATTGTCATCTTACAAAATTTGTGAAAGTTTAAAAACGTGTTTTTAGCTTAAAACTTGCACTCAAACTTTTGCAAAGACCTTAACTACAAGGACACCAATAGTAATCAAAGATGATATTTAAGGTCAAACTCTACTGAAAACCAGAGAGAGGCTTAAAAACAATAAAACAACAAGAAAAAAGAAACTGGCTTCTCCATTAAGGCTGGAACCATTTGAACCCAATACATCAAAACCCAAACTGGAGAACAATTTGGCTGGGCTTATTCATCATTTGTACTTGAATGTGAACTTGAAACTCTACCATTTTTCCCTCCTCTAACATTTAAAAGTCATCTGTTGCCTCTTAGTCTTAACCAACCAAAGTAAACTCACAAGCACCCAATCAAAATACACAAACTAAAATACACTGTACTTCCAACTATCATTTTAAAATATCTTCCCTTCCAGTCTTATGTGCCATATTAGTTTTTCATTGCTGCTGTAACATAATACCACAAACTTAGTGACTTAAAGCAACACAAATTTATTATCTCACAGTTTTGGGGTCAGACTTCCAAAATGAGTCTCATAAGGCTACAATGGAGGTGCTCGCAGAGTTCCGGGGGCCCCTGCTTCCTTGCCTTTTCCAGTATTAAGAGGTCACCTGTATTCCTTGGTTCATGGCCCCTTCCTCCATGTTTGAAGGGCAACCCTCCCAACTCTGCTTCTGCATCCTTTTGTGAGTTCATCCCTCACTCTTAGAAGGTCCTTTGTGATTACACTGGGCCTACCCAGATAACCCAGGGTAATCTCTCACGAGACCCTTAACTTAATCACATCTGCATTATGCTCTTTTCCATGTAGGAAAAACACTCACAGGGTCTGGATATTAGGACATGGATATCTTCAGGGGGAAGGCACATCATTCTATCTACCACATGTACATACCTACTTATTCTATGGTTACAATCACATACCTGCAGCAATTATGCATCTTTTTTTTTTTTTTTTTTTTTTTGAGACAGAGTTTCGTTTGCTCTGTCACCCAGGCTGGAGTGCAGTGGTGCCATGTCAGCTCACTGCAACCTCTGCCTCCCGGGTTCAAGCAATTCTCCTGCCTCAGCCTCCTGAGTAGCTGGGCTTACAGATGCCTGGGCTTACAGTAGCCACCACGCCTGGCTAATTCTTGTATTTTTAGTAGAGACGGGGTCTCACCATCTCACCATGTTGGCCAGGCTAGTCTCGAACTCCAGACCTCAAGTGATCCGCCCGCCTTGACCTCCCAAAGTGCTGGGATTTCAGGCGTGAGCTACCGCGCCCAACCTGTATCATGTTTTTAATGGAATACTGTATTAAACATTTTCCGTATTTCCATACAGTCACCAAGATTATTGTTTTTAAACCAAATCAAGTCCCACCCAGTTAAAAAGATCATTATGAATATATTTTAAGGGGGTGGAAAAATACAATGGACAGTCTTTTCTTTTAAAATGTCTTTGTAATATTTTACAAGAAAGTGATTTTAGTCCTTAAAAAGTAGAAAGAAGAATAAACAGCAGTACAGATATATGCTGACCCATGAGGCCTGGTCAATTACTTCCATCACAATACCAGAGCTGACGGGAGGAGGTTTGAGCAGACAAAGGTCTGCGGCATTTCTCATGGGAGGCAGGCAGAGCGGATCAGTGCCTCATTCTACACAAAACACAATCAGATTGTCTTTCAGCAGAACAGAAATAATCACCCTATTGTCTAACATCATGAATGACCCGCAGAGCCACAAAACATTAATAATAAAGGCAAAAGTAGCAACTGGCTCCCTCATTTGTATGTCCTCTAATCTGCAATTTGTCGCCTTATAAACTTTAAGGATTATGACCTGTGGATGCAAATTGCATTGGTCATCAGTGCCAACAGCCAGGCACCAGGATAACTTTACCTCCTATTTTACCTATTTTATAAAAACACAGAATAATGAGAATGCAAAGCACAGTAGGAAAATCCTAAAAGGAACTGGGGCGGGTATGGGGTGGGCAGGTAGAGAGGCGGAGATTATAGCCAAATGGATTCTATCCAGTTGCATCATATCAAACAGGAGTCAGCTAACTTTACCTGCAAAGAACCCGGTAGTCAATGTTTTCAACTCTGCAGGCCACTCAGTCTCTGCCTCAAGTATTCAACTGTCTGTGGCAGGGCTGAGCAGCTGCACACAAGACACACACAAACCACTGGACATGGCTGTGTTCCAATAAAACAAGCCTTGGGCAGGATGTGGCCCAATAAGCTATAGTTTGCAACCCCTGGTATACAAGGAAAGACAGGTGTCTTCAATGTTATACGCAGACCAAAGTATCCCCAAACTGCTTCTTCACCATCTCCAAACTAATTTACCTCTCTGCTCATCTTTAACAAGTCTTGGCTCTTCTTAGGAGTCACACAGACACAGGGGTGAATATCATTACTGGCTCCAAATGTTCATCCCTGGCTGTAGTATCCATACCTTTTTTTTCATATGACTTTGAAATTCCTCCCCTAAAGATACAGTCTATTTCCCTGCTTCCTAACTTTGAGCTTAGCCATGTGACTCACTTTGGCCAACATAATGAGACAGAAGTAACGACATGCCCCTACCAAGCCTAGAATGAACCAGACTTAGTGTTTCTGCCCATCCTCCTGGGTTTGCCTTGCCCCCTTAGCCCTGGGAAGAGCACACCCAAGCTAGCTGCCCCAGGTCAGAATTGGAGAAGAGGTACGGCGCAGAGTCCATTCACAGCCTCACAATGAGAGGCCGAGATGCCTAGCTGAGCACAGGTGAAATCAGCCAACCCTCAGGTGACATGCAGATTATGTCTGCAAGTGATAACATGACTGGAAGCGATAACATGATTGTTGTTGTAAAGCCACCAACTTGTGGGGTGGATTGTTAGGTGACCATAGCAAATTAATAAATCCATTAATCATAAACCAAACCACTTATTTATTTCAAAGCCACCCAATCATCTTCACTGAAAACCATCTCCTATAATAATTTTCGGATATACATATAGGCACATATTTCAGCTATATATTTAATTACTAATAAATGTTCTCAAGATTTCCTCATAGTTATGTGTAGCTGCTTTTATCCACTGATCAAAACAGATTTCTGTAGAGCAATATACAGTTAGCATACACAATTTCCAAAAATGTTTCAATCACAGCAGTATGTCTTTTAGACCATTTCTTTAAACATATGGTATATCATTATCATAAAGGCAATCTGGAACCATGACGACTCTTATTGTTTATTTATAGGAAGTATTATTAGCAAGGGCATTAAATAAAATATTGTTTATAAAATAATTATGTGCACAGAATGTTCCCAGACCTTCTTCTGAATTGAAAAAAAAAGAGACTTTTGGAAGACAGGAAGAAGAGTATGGAGTGGCCCTGACATGTTTCTGTTTAATTCATGAAGTCAGGAGTTTATTTTCCACTTTGGTCCCACACTTCTGATATTACTGAGTCATGACTTTCATCAACACTTCTAGGAAAGAAATAAGTGTCAGTCCCCCAGAATGAAACCACACTTGTCCAAACTCTGGTCAGGGTCATGTTAGTCCCATACCTTTCCAGTACACTCCAACTATTTACATCCATCTGAAGCAGGTCCATGAGCCCTGGCGATCTTCCACCCTTCACTAACCACTGTCTCACACGTGCCAGCGCTAATCTGTCTCTCTCCACAAAACACGTGTACAGCTGGGCACCAGATTTCAAGTGGTTCTTTTCCAAAAATGTGTCTCTAAGTGGATGGTCCAAAATGTGAAAGGCATTTTCCAATGCCAACCTTCCAGGGCCTATTTCATTCATGACAAATAGGAAATATATTAATATCTATATTAAGTTCATAAATATTTACATCTTTCAATTATTAGTAACAAAAAAATATGATGCTGATGGTGAGCATCTTGAGACTTTAAGCTGGTGAAAGCTCATGCAGCTGCAGGTGCCTGATGGCCTAACTCAATGGTGCTGGTTTGTTTTACACTCATTTCTGCTCCACGTGGTCTCTCATCCTCCAGGAGGGTAATCAGAACTTCTGTGGCTGCAGAAGTTCTGAGTGAAGAAGCAGGAGTGGGATATGTGAGGTCTCTTAATACCTCAGCTCAGAACTCCCATGATGTCAACTGCACTGCATTCTGCTGGTCAAAGGAAGTCACAAAGCCACTTGACTCACAGGAGTAGAGAAATAGACATCTGACTGAAAGCATGGCAAAGACACGTTATAAGAGAACATGTAACCAGGATGGGAGGATCTGTGGCTATTCTTTGCAATATACTACATATACCTAGCAGTCACATATTCTATTGTTTCTACATAAAAAGGCATTGTGGTTTTATGATTTAGTCTCCTTGCAGGGAAGAGGTGGGGGAAGTGATCTTGGATAGAGGAAGACAGACCCAGATACCTGTCACAGACTCCTCCTCACCTGGGGCAATAGGCAAGCGTACCTTCCAGGCCAATGGCACTGTAACCTAAGCTCTGTGAGCACAGAGATTTGTCTGCTTAGTTCACTGCTGGATACCCAGGGCACAGAAGAGAACCTGGCCCATAAAAGGCAAGCAGTGAAGATCTGTGAAATGAGAAGAATAGACATCTCCTAGGTGTTCTGATTGAAAAATTACAGAAGAGCTCTGCAGTAGGAGATGAGAACTGGATTCTCACATCTAAGATAGTACTAACTGTACATATGGGTCATCTCAAGTCAACTGTTTATAAGTCAGGGACTACCCGTATTTAAAATTAGAGTAGAGAAATGATGTGCTAAGACATTCCCACATCAGTCTCCCAAAACAACAGTAACAGTTTCTTGTGACTCAAAAACAAATGAAAGCATAATGAAGGATACTTCCTATATTGTTCCAATGTAACAAAAATGCTCTTTGCTAACTTTAAAGGAATCTGAATCGCAAGCAACAAATTAGCAAAACACACAGTCTTCCACTGAACAATGCCCCTTACAGAGTATCAGGAATTGAAAATCAGGGCACACAGTAAGTTTTGGGAAAGAAGTGCAGTAAATGTTTTTGTTGAATGTTGGAGCCAGAAGACCCTAGCAGTTGTCTAATCCCCCATCTCCTCCCACTCACACACACCCTGTATATGTTGCAGAGGCTGAGGCCTGGGAGTTGCGAGGCTTGTCTGATGTCACCCAGCTAGTCAGCAGCACAGATGGGATAAAAATTGAGGAGTTCAGACTCAGCTCTGAGCTCTTTCCACTACACCCTGCTGACAGTTTTCAGCCTTACTTGCAGCATAAACAAGCTTTTGAATATAAGCAACTATAAATAGTAATTAGTCAGAGTCTTGTATTAGATATGTTGACATCATCAGAAGGCAATTCTGTTCATTACAAGCCCCTCTGACGCTCGCTCTGAAAGTTGCTGCCTTCTTCATGTCCACCAGGCACCACCCTGGACCTGCCTTAGGTCCAAAGTGCATCCTTCCAGCATCTTCCGGCAATCTGAGCTTCATTACAATGTCCCCTCCTCCTGCCGGAACTCACCAAATAGTCAGGTGCATTCGCTTTTTCTCAGCCATATTCAGGGAAGGGAGCATGATTTTTCTAATTCTTTTGCATGTTCCCACAGTACTAAGCAGGGATCTGACATACACATTTTGGTTAAACATAAGCTAATATTTACTGAATGATTACTATATGCTGGGCAAAGAGCTAGGCATTTTAAATGCATTATTTCATCTAATTCATCCCAAAACTCTATAAATAAGTAGGATTGTTTGTCTTCTGCCCACAGACAAACTGTGGTCTGGAGAGGTTAAATGCCCTGCTCAAGGTCATACAACCAATAAAAGATGTTGATGCTGAGATTCAACCCAAGTGCTATTTGACTCCAAAGTTTGTGCTTTTTAACTCCCAGTTTTTCCTAAGAATGACCTGCCTGAATTTCGGGGAGGAACTGGGGGAATGCATTTTGGAAAGTATCCCAGGTGATTCAGATGTGCAGCCAAATTTGGGAAGTCAGTGCCCCACACTCTGAAATCCTACACTGATTGACTCATCTTGCTTCTTCTTCTGCAGCCAGAATGACAGTGTGACCAGAACCTGACCCAAGCCCACCTCTACCAGGTGACTCAGGCCACACACACTTCAGAGAGTACTGTCTTCTCTCCTGTATACAAACTTTAATCCTTCCCATCCAAATCCTCCCTGGCCATCTCTGGATACTGTTGGAAACCGGAGGGCACCAAATCTTTATTCCGGGATCAGTAACAGAATTCATGATGACACCAAAGGTCTATCAAGGAAGTCCTGGTGGCACAGCCCAGGAAGAAGCAGAAATCAAGACCCCACTGGATTCATAGTAGGTTTCATTATGAATAATGCCCTCTTCCTTTGGGGCCTGGCTTCTTCTTTTTTTTTTTTTTAGTGAGCGACCCACACATACTACACATCAGCCAATGACAGACCCAGCTAGACAGTCTCACACTATTTTCCCAAACTTCAGAACAGACACTATGGTTTTCACTGCTATGCACATAAACTGTGTGTCTTAACCTTCCCTCCTGCAAGCATGCTTCTAGTTTGCCTTGGGCAGCTGGTTCCTCCCCTTCAACAAAGGTGGGGTTCAGCATGAACCCCCAGTACAGAAGGAATTCGGTCTCTTTATTCCACAAGCACACGGCACCTGGCGCTGGACTGAGCCTCTCTGGGAGATCACAAACAGGAGCTTCCATTTCCATCCCACATTTCACTTCGCTCAAGGTGCTCCTACTTCGATTACTGTCCCCTCTTCCCCCTGCCTATTCTCTCCTTTCGGTCCTGCCAACTGACAAGAGCTCCTTTCTGCCTAGCATAACTGAGATAAACTCATAAAGATACTACTAAATGCTAACAGGAAATAAACATAGAAACTGCAAGAAGTGAAAAAAAAGTGGGCATTATAAAACACTGGTGTTCTCATCCTGCCATAGTCAGGTTCCACTGGCTTTGCCCCAGGTGGCCTGCCATTCGGGGTATCCACCAGCTCTCCCCAGGGGCACGTTCCTCCCACGGGGCTCCTGGTCCACATCCACCTGCAGGACCCGTCGCCCAGGAGCTCCCTACTGGACATGTTGAGGGATGTGTGCTCCAAACCAAGAGAAAGACCCCTGTCTCTGTCATACAGGGTGGAAGCTAAAATATGGCTAAGATGGAAATGAGAGATTGAATAGTAGCTAAGGGAACCACAGACTGAAGAAAGAATTCTTTCAGAGCTAAATTTAAGTTCATTCCTCAATTCTTTCCTTCACTCAAGTATTTTGTTATTTCAAAGAGCATTCTGTATTCTGAAGATTTATCTAACACTAGAAACCAGGTGTCCCTATTTCCCAAGCCAGTGTTCTTGCCTTTCAAGGAGTCAAGAAATACAACAATTCTTGACCGTATTTTCTCTTCTCACACATATGGCATAAATCCATAAACCCAAGAGGCATTTATTCTCTACAAGATATTTGAATTTGGCTGAGACTGGTCTTCTTTTTCTTGAAAACAGTCCTACTGCATAAAGTCCTTCTTTTCAATATTTACTGTAACTTAACACACTAAAGAATCCAGCTCCAGCCAGATGACTTGATTCATCACTGCATAATTGGATGTTTACTTTTGTTGTCCTAATTAGCCAGAAAGGAAAAAAAAAGTCACAGTTTAGTCTTTCTTAGAGAAAAGATAAACCTTATTTTCTCATTTGTACCATCTTCTGGAATCTTGGGAGATAGTACTTATTAGAAAAAGTTAAGCGTGAAAAGCAATTGAGAATTAAAGAAAAAAAATCTCTGTGGCCATGCACGACCATTATCCTTACATAGGAGTTTGCCTCTGGATGCTGAAATCATGTTTAAAAACTATAAAAATGAGAACTCTTTTATGGTCATTATACTTTACACTATAGATCGCCATCACTATAATATGACATTATTACCATCTTTGGACTTCTACACTATATAAAAACATGAGTTAGCAATTGCCAAATACTTCCTTTCACTGTCTGTGAATATACTTGCAAGAGAAACTGCAGACTGCTGCAGAAATCTGGTAAATGTCAAACATTTTTAGTACTTTTTTTTTTTAAGGGGGCAATTTCCAAATCAAAATTAGTTGGAGCTGCAGTTTGGTTTGTACTGAGTGGACAGATGCCCAGAGTCCTGAGGCTGCCACAAGCCACACTGTCCCCGAAGCATCTCCTACATGAAGACCTCCTGCCTCCTCATTTGCCAGTGCTGCCCTGGCATGGAGACTTTTAAATCATTGTATTTTTAAAAAACATTCTATAGCAGGCTTTTATAAAGCAATAAAATCAGGAATGACAGACCTCAGAGAATTTCACTGTCTCTAAAATAGCAGTGGCAAGTGGTACTGGAGTCATTTTACTTTTCCTGATAAGTTTAGGAAGAAATCTTTTAGGTTTTAAAAGTCAGAAATCAGCAGTCACATTGGAATAGGAATGAAGAATATAGAGTAGAAAAGTGTGGCCAACTGTTTCCTTAGCCCAAGGAGAAAGTATAATTCTAAATAATAAATCTGGATACCTGAAATTTAGGGGAAAAATGGTTGCTAACTGCATTACCTTTGATAAGTTGAACTTAACGTGCCTTTTGATAGCAAGACAAATACAAACTGTGCATTCAAAGTTATTCTGTTCTTTGAAGTGGCTCACACCTGTAATCCCAGCACTCTGGGAGGCTGAGGCAGGATTGCTTGAGGCCAGGAGTTTTGAGACCAGCCTGGGCAACATAGCAAGACCCTGACTCTATAAAAGATTTAAAAATTAGCACGGTGGGCTGGGCATGGTGGCTCACACCTGTAATCACAGCACTTTGGGAGGCCGAGGCGGGTGGATCACCTGAGGTCAGGAGTTTGAGACCAGCCTGGCCAACATGGCGAAACCTCATCTCTACTAAAAGTACAAAAATTAGCCGGGCATGGTGGTAGGCACCCGTAATCCCAGCTACTTGGAAGACTGAGGCAGGAGAATTGCTTGAACCCAGGAGGTTGCGGCGAGCTGAGATCACACTATTGCACTCCAGCCTGGGTGACAGAGCAAGACTCTGTCTAAAAAAAAAAAAAAAAAAAATTATTAGTGTGGATGGCATGTACCTGAGGCTATAATGAGCTATGATCAGATCACTGCATTTCAGCCAAAACAGACAAACAAACAAACAAACAAAACAAACCAGTTATCCTGGCCTTCCAATAGCTTAGGAATCCAAAAGCCACCTTCTCCAATACCTTATTTTAACAGTGAAGTGTATGAGCTCTGGGAATTGCCAGGAATCTTACATGGTAAGGAGAACTGCACTCAACCATATCCAAGGTAATCTTGGCCCCAGAAACATAGTCTAGGGTTGTGATTCTCAAACATAGGCATTACTTGGAGAGCTTGGGAAATGCAGAATGCCAGGCCCCAGCCGCTGCCTTGCTGCTTCAGAAGATCTGTGGTGTGTGAATATCTGCTAATGAGCTCCCAGGTGATACTGATGCTGAGGTCTGGCAAGCCCCTTTGAGAACTGCTGGCATAGGAAATGTTAAAGAAAGTGTGGGCTGGAGGAATTAGTGCTTACCAAGCACCAGGCGCTTCAAGATCCTGTATCATCATCCACCCCATTTAATTCCCAGTATAACTTGTAAAAGAATCACCAATTGAAAGGTGAGGAAACCGAGGGCCAGGAAGGTTATGGAATTTGCTGATAAGTGGGGAGGCAAGAGATAGTCCCAGGGCAGCAAGAGTCCACTATACCTTCCAACTGTTTCCCACCTTAAGGCCCCAGTCAACAAAATCACGTACATCATAAAATGCCTTGCATGAATATCTGACTGGACCATCTTACAAGCTATAAACTTGCTAATAAAAACATTCTAGCTAGAGGCCTCCAAGCACTCAAACACAATATGCACAGCCATTTTTCATCCCAGGAGCCAATTTCCATCTAAACTGTTGTTGGAAATTTCCAACAATCCCTGTGAACTTTCGGCTTGCTCCTTTCCTGGATTCACTCAACAATCTTCCAAATCCTCCTTTCTCAATAAGCCAGCCCTAATGGAGCACCTAACAACGGACGGCCCCAAACCAGGACATAGCTCACTATCTGCAATAGAAATAGCATGAGCCCATTGCCTCCACTTTTCCAGGTTCTATGACTGAAGACCCTGATGTTTGTGTAGTGTTTATGGGTGTCAAGGTTAAATGTCTTTAGTGTAACCTCCAAACACAGATTTCTGTGCTTTGTAGTGTACGCATCATAGCACAACACTTGATATTAAAGCTCTGTGTTGATGATAATGACCTGCAGTAACTCTCCATTTCAGGGAGTCCCTTACACGGTATTAACAAAGCAACTCCAAGATCTGTTTCCATGACAACAGCAGCATCACACAGGAAAGAGAATGAGGAGAGTACAAAAAGGCTTTTTAGAAACTGTTACCAAAATGCACACCCAGTTTAGGAGACTAAAAATTTTCTGGGCATTAGATTTTGGGTTAAAAATCTTTTCTTTTTTGAATGTATTCTCTAATGATGTGACTATTTTTAAATGTCTAATAGGGACCGATTCAGAACACTATAAATACCATCCATCTGTCAAATTTCAGGAGGTCTAAAATTAGGTTACCAGGTTCATCAATTTCCCTAAGAAGATTCTCGTAAAAATAGAACAAACCTTTCTGGTAGCATTCACAGTAAAATCCTGACAGTTCAAATGCTGTGGTAAATAAACTATACTTATTTAAAAGCTAAAAACTATTAAGCAACTCCAAAAAATCATATTTTTTCCTGAAAAAAGTTAAGACAGAGAATATCTTACGAAACAGGAGTTTCTTAGGAGGCCCTTCAACTTACAAAGCCACAGACTGAAAATACCTCCCATCAGAATGTGGTATAAGCAAATCACATATTATCAACCAACTACAAGGAAAAGACACATCACATTTTCCTTTCTACTGTGCTCATCATCAACCTCTGCTTATGTTTGCTTTTCTCTGGTGGATGAGGTGGAAATTAAATGAAACACCAAACAATGCCCGTAGCCTTCTCCTCGCCTAATATTTTTTTCTGCCATTATTCCTTCATTGACCATCAAAGACGACAGGGCCATCTTACTAAAAATATCCTGGAACAACAGCCAGCATTGAGATCTTTTTTTTTTCTCTCAGCTACTGGGAGGTAAGGTTATTTCACCTACATGTGTACCAAGTTATTTTTAAAACTTGCCTTGTTCTTCTCTGGTTATTCTATTTCAATAAGCAAAAGGGAACCTGCAGCCGTACTCACAACCATCCTAAATATCCTAGCTGTTAGATGGTCCACGTTATGGTCATCAACACAGACACAGAGTGGACTTTTCATGCGTAAACTGATAAGCAGAAACTGCTTTGCAAAAACAGCTTGATGAGTAATTTTCAACCTTGTCACAAGCATGGAAGTTGCACACCTCAACTGGATGGCACTTGCGCCAAGAACTTGGTGTTAATTCTTTTTTCTCAGTAACTATCCATTATGCTAAGAGGCCACAACAGATTGGCTCAGAAAAACCTGTAAGAATGGTTTTGGCGTGAAAAAAGTTAGAACAGAAATTCTGTCTAACGTCAAGGTTAACTCAAGCAGAATCTGATCTCTATTCATTTACTTGCTAATTCAATAAATATTTGTTGAGAGCCAGATACATGCCAGATTCTGTGTAAGCACTGAGGACAGGGACGGGGAGATGAAAGATAGGTTTTGCCCTCAAGGGCCACAGTGCATGGGCAGACACAGAGGAACAATTACAACAAGTGGTATGAAAGTCTTCAAAGAGGCACGCAGGAGGTGGAAGAGAAACAACTGAATTGGGGGCGAGGAGGGGAAGAAAGGAGTCCATTGGGGGACAGGGAGTAGTCAGGAAAATCTCCTGAGATACTAATTCTGAAAATTTTTTATTTTTTGAGATGGACTCTCACTCTGTCGCCAGGCTGGAGTGTAGTGGCCCAATCTCAGCTCACTGCAACCTCTACCTCCCAGGTTCAAGTGATTCTCCTGCCTCAGCCTCCCAAGTAGCTGGGACTACAGGTGCGCACCACCACGCCCAGCTAATTTTTGTATTTTTAGCAGAGACAGGGTTTCACCATGTTGGCCAGGATGGTCTCGATTTCTTGACCTCGTGATCCGCCCGCCTCGGCTTCCCAAAGTGCTGGGATTACAGGCGTGAACCACCGGCCAATTCCGATTCTTGAAGAAAGAGTACAAATTAGCCAGGTGGCACAGGAGGAGCTGAGCTATTCCAGAGAGAAAACCCAATATCCATCCTAGCCTCGCATCAAATTCCGGCCTAGGGGAACCATCACTGCTGCTTCGGCCCAGATCAGAGCTAGCATTTCTTGTTAAGCCACCTCAGCCTCCCTGTTCTGCAGTCCTTGTTCTGTTGCTGGAAACATCTACTCACTGGAGGTTGTTCTCAGGGTTGTATAAAATGCTGTCCCCTGATAACGCCTTGTCAGTGGTCTGGGTCAGCACATGGAGTTCCCAAGGTGAGTCCACCCTTCTTCCTAGAAAGGCAGCTCTCATATCAAGTCCTGCAACTTATTCTTTTTTTTTTTAGACAGAGTCTTGCTCTGTTGCCCAGGCTGGAGTGCAGTGGTATGATCTCAGCTCACTGCAACCTCTGCCTCCCAGGTTCAAGTGATTCTGCAGCCTCAACCTCCCAAGTAGCTGGGATTACAGGCACCCACCATCACGCCTGGCTAATTTTTGTATTTTTAGTAGAGACGGGGTCTCACCATGCTGGCCAGGCTCGTCTCGAACCCCTGACCTCAAGTGATTCACCCGCCTCGGCTTTCCAAAGTGCTGGGATTGCAGGGGTGAGCCACCACGCCCAGCCTTATTCTTTTTTTCACACTGAACATTCCTGGCTCATTTTCTGGGTCTCTATGCTATGGCTTACCTGATCCCCTATCCTCCCAAGTGCCCCTGGTAATACCAGTTTCTTGATCCCTCCTTTAATACCCGCAGCCTGTGCTGCACATTGTCCTGCAGATGAAGTCTGCTACCCACAGAGGAGCCCCGCCTCCCTCAGCCTTGGGGATGCTCTGCCGTTTCTACAGGCAACCCAAGCTGCTTTAATGAATACTGAGTTTATTAATACACATGCTTTGCTTCAATCAATCCTAATATCTACTATCAGGAAGTATTATATAATAAGAATATTATGACTGAATAAACACAAGTATTGAATCTCAAAATATTTCATGATTACAACAAAATGCTCCTAACAAAATAAACAACTTAGACATAGTACAACTACCAAACAGAGAGAACCAACAAAGTGTTTAAAGATAAAAGAAAAGCCTTGTTTAAGAAAAACAAAAAACAAAAACAAAAACTCATTGCTGGGCATGGTGACTCACACCTGTAATCCCAACACTCTGCAAAGCCGAGGTGGGCGGATTGCTTCAGCCCAGGAGTTCAAGACCAGCCAGGGCAACATAGCGAGGCCCCATCTCTACTAAAAATATAAAAAATTAGCTGGGTATGGTGATGCACTCCTGCAGTCCCAGCTACTTGGGAGACTGATGGGGGGAGGATCACCTGAGCCCAGAGAATTGAGGCCGCAGTGAGCTGTGACCACCCCACTGCACTCAAGCCTGGGCAAAAGGAGTGAGACACCCTACCCCCCGCAAAAAAAGAAAAACTCACACAAGACTTCCTCATCCTTGTCTCCTTTTTCTGTCATCAGCAGATCAAGAAACTCAGTTAATTCCACTGTATCTCAAAACCTGTCATGACGTCATGTGACAGAATCCTTCCTGTACTAGAGATGAAGTCACAGCAATAGGAGCATTGAAAAGACTTACACACACGTGTGCACACATGGTAAGGCAATCCTCAGCAACTTTACGACAGAGTTCACTGTTAGTTACCTATCCAACATTCATTCCCTTCTTTTTTTTTTTTTTTTTTGAGACAGAGTCTTGCTCTGTCACCTAGGCTGGAGTGCAGCGGCGCAATCTTGGCTCACTGCAACCTCGGCTCACTGCAACCTCCGCCTCCCAGGTTCAAGTGATTCTCCTGCTTCAGCCTCCCGAGTAGCTGGGACTAGAGGCGCAGGCCACCATGCCCAGCTAATTTTTTTGCATTTTTAGTAGAGATGGGGTTTCACCATGTTAGCCAGGATGGTCTTGATCTCCTGACCTAGTGATCCACTCGCCTCGGCCTCCCAAAGTGCTGGGATTATGCATGTGAGCCACCGCACCCGGCCACATCCCTTCTTTATCACAAAACTAAGTTAACTTTGTTCCAGGTAGAAACATGCTCAACAAAAGCAAGCAAACAAAACCATCCAGATAAACCAGAAACCTAACATTTTCCAAATCGGAGTGGCTACATGATATGGTTCTGGCCAAGATGATGTAAATGGAAACTGCTGGAATGGAATTGTTTCTGGAGGAGTTCTTTGAATGGGAACGGCCTTAACAAGCATCTGTGATTTGAGTTCACCTTTGGCTCACCTCCTGCTTGGAGCACGGGTAGGATGCTAATGAAGCAGGCATCTCACACCTACCGGGTAACAAAGATGAGAATGAAAGAAAGAAGCCTACAAGACAAGACAGCTAAACTAAACGCTGGAGGAGGCCGGGTCCCGCACAGAAACATGGAGCTGCTGTATCAGCTTTGGACTGCCCTGTTCTGGACATTTTGTTAAATGAGGAGAGCGAGCCTCCTATTCAGTTCAAGTCGCTGCTTAGTCAGGTTTTCTATTACTCACGTTTGAATCCCAGGATGACACACTTAGCATGCAGCAGTGTAGATATCTGCAACAGACAACTTTCTCATCACACTGTTGGGCGAAGGAGAGTTCTCAGATGGGTGGGTATGTTTCATTCATGTAGCATTCTGGGAGGTGACAGTGCTCTGTCATATTTCAAGAGAATTACATGGCTTAGACTAGAGAAAGGTACAAGTACAGTCGCCCTTTTATCTGTAGGGCCTACATCCCAAGAAACCCCAGTAAATGCCTGAAACCGTGGCTAGTACCAAACCCTATATATACTATGTTTTTCCTATATGTACATACCCATGTTAAAGATTAATTTATAAATCAGGCACAGTAAGAGATTAATAACAATAACTAATTGTAAAATAGAACAATTATACTAATATACTGTATGTAATAAAAGTTATGTGAATGTGGTCTCTCAAAATATCTTAGTGTACTATACTAAAAGTAACTGAAACCACACATAAGTGGGGACTACTGTAAACAGAATTTTATAACTGTTGAAAATTGTATTGTTCTAACAAGATTAAATCCAAAAAGAAAATCTCCCTATGTCAAATCACCTTAAAAATCAATTAAATGATTTCCATCTTTTAGGTTCCCTTCTACTTCCTGTTCCCCTACACTAACTCTGCTGTAGTGACAATCATGGCAATAACTTTATATTAAGCTTTTGCACCTAGCATCATATAAGCATTTTTCTATGTCTTTATAAGCATCATTCTTAATGGCTGCATGTATTTTATCACACTGATGCATCAATTTACTTAACAACACCCTACTGCTCACCAAGAATATTAGCAGAAAAAAATTAATGACTGCAGAGGACAATCTAAGAGAGGACACTGATCCCAAGTCGATATGCAGCCATAATATTCAAGGTTAGGATCCTATTAGATACAAATTATTCTCAAGGTTTTAAATTCAACATCTACTTCACTTATCCAGAATGGGCAACATTCAGAATCAAGTGGTTAAGTATTCTAGTTAAATAAGATTGACTGTATGCATTTTATTTTAAAATTAATTTTATAGGCTGCATATTCTAAACATTAAGATTAAGAAGAACACACCTTTTATTTGGAAGATGTCCGATCACACGGCAGGTCTCAGGCTTCACTGGCATGGCATCACAGTCATAGAAAGGAAAAAGTCTCTATTGATCTTAGGACATTTCCCTTTAGTTTTATTGTTAGAAGGAAACAAAAAACCCTATAAGATCTTTCATCTCCCTTGTGCAACTAAAATGCATTCACTCATCCAGCCAACAAATATTCACTGAGCACCTACCACACATCAGGCACCATTTTAGGTTAAACAGAAGAGTAAGATAACATCCTGCTCTCACGGTGCTTTCAAGTTGGTGGAAAGATACCCAATAATCAAGTAACAAATAAATTGTATGGTTTTAGATGATGACAGGGGGTTTGAAGTGCATAAAGTAATAGAAAATAATGAGGGGGACCAGGTGCGGCGGCTCACGCCTGCAATCCCAGAACTTTGGGAGGCAGAGGCAGGCAGGTCAACTGAGGCCAGGAGTTCTAGATCAGCCTGGCCAACATGGTGAAACCCTGTCTGTACTAAAAATACAAAAATTAGCCGGGCATGGTGGTGCACGCCTATAATCCCAGCCACTCAAGAGGCTGAGGCAGGAGAATTGCTCGAACCTGGGAGGTGGAAGTTGCAGTGAGCCAAGTTCATGACACTGCACTCCAGCCTGGGCCAGCTCAAAAATAATAATAACAAGGGGGGTATGATCTAAAAAGGCTCTCGAAGGAGGCAGTATTTCAGCGGAGTCTGAAATCGTACGAATGAGCATCATGAAGATTAGTTCTACAAAGAGGAACCGCCCAGGGCAGCAGCCCTGGGGTGCCAATGAGCTTGGGATGTTCTGGTCAGTGAGGTGTGCAGGAGCCAGATCACAATCATGATGGGCCTTGTGGACCAAGGGAAAGAAAGAAATACACACACACACACACACACACACACACACACACTTTTTTTGTTGTTGTTGGAGACAGGGTCTCACTCTGTCATCAAGGCTGAGTGCAGTGGTGTGATCTTGGCTCACTGCAACATCCGCCTCCCAGGTTCAAGCAATTCTCCTGCCTCAGCCACCTGAGTAGCTGAGATTACAGGTGGCTGCCAACAAGCCCAGTTAATTTTTATATTTTTAGTAGAGACGGGGTTTCACCATGTTGGCCAGGCTGGGTATACATATTTTTTATTCCAGTGGTTAAGAGGAGGGCACTGAAGGGTTCAGATGGAGTGACACAATGATTTGATCTGCCTGATATTAACACTTGCAAAACATCAGACTAGCTACTGTGGAGGGTAAACTGTAGGGGATGGGAATGGAAACCAGGAGCCAAGCTAGGAAGCTATTTGGCAAGCAGTGTATTTCTTCAGAGGCGCTACTGTGCTGGACTCTCTCATTGTCTGGCTGCCGGATGGACAGAAGTTCACTATCTGACAGCTGGGTACAGTAGCTCATGCCTGTAATCCCAGCACTTTGGAAGGCTGAGGGGGGTAGAACACCCGAGATCAGGAGTTCAAGACCACCCTGGCCAATATGGTGAAACCCTGTCTCCACTAAAAATACAAAAATAAGCCGAGTGTGGTGGTGTGCACCTGTAATCCCAGCTACTCAGGAGGCTGAGGCAGGAGAATTTCTTGAGCCTGGGAGGCAGAGGTTGCAGTGAGCCAAGATCACACCACTGCACTCCAGCCTGGGTGACAGAGCGAGACTCCATCTCAAAAAAAAAAAAAAAGTTCACTATATGAGAGAATGACCTGATTTGAGCACACGTGTCCAAACTGACAGCGAGCAGCAAATCCGCAAGCCCAAGCCCCTTTAATACCTAGGAATGTGATTCCTTCTTAAATATTCAGCCTACCATTTTTCTTCCCCGTCTAGTTTTACACATTAAGTTATTCCCAGTTACCAATTCTTAATGGGGAAAAAACAACGATTACGATGAATTACCTAAATCCTGGTGCATCATTCAAACTGAGCAAATGCAAAAGAGAGCAGCCCTGCCTTTCTAATTTTAAGACCTGCTGTATGAACTCCCCTTCTTTTTCAAGCTTCCTTGGTCTTTTGTGATTAATTTTAGTAACTGGAGAACAACCTGTTTAAGAACAAATGAGTCATAATACAAGCTTAATATCTAGAAACCTAAAATCACCCACCTCCACAGAGAAGATCATTTTCGAGTATGAAATTCTTATGTTTTAAACACTGATATCCCATGCTCATTCTACAAAGCTTCCTGCCTTGAAAAAGGGATGAGGAGGAATAGGCTTGGGACTTGGAAGTGCAGAAAGCTAGCAATAGGCGTACTGCTTTCCTAAAGGCATTCATCACAGGCATGTTTTATGACACGAAAAAAAATGCCTCACCTATTGTAAAGCAGTTATAATCTGTATGTTTTAAAATACGTTATTTGGGGAGCAGGGGTGGGCAGATCACCGGAGTACCGGAGTTCGAGACCAGCCTGGGCAACAAGGCAAAATCCCGTCTCTACAAAAAACACGAAAATTAGCCGGGCATGGTGGTGCACGCCTGTAGTCCCAGCTACTAGGGAAGCTGAGGTAGGAGAATTACCTGAGCCCAGGGAGGTTGATGTTGCAGTGAGCCATGATTGGGCCACTGCACTCCAGCTTGGGCGACAGAGTGAGACCCCATCTCAAAAAAAAATAATAAAATTAGTAAAATACATACTTTCCTACAGCAATCTCATAACAATTTCTCATGAACAAGAATAGTAAACTCTAAGATTTCTGAAGACAGTCTCTGTCCTGGCAAAGGCAGGCTATGTAAAGTCAGGAATATACCCAGAAAGGCAGTGATCAAATGGGAAAGAAATCAAAGGCTATTGATTCCTTAAGCTGTTAGCTCTCTCCATTTCTCCCTTTTGAATTGCAATTGGTTACAAACCTCTCTACATGATAAGCCATCACTTCAAGGATGATCACCCTAAAATACGCAGGTGACAAAACAAGTTTTGCCTTTCAATAAGCAGTTTTTCCTACCAACATTTAACCAAAAAATGCTCATGAGGTTAAGAGATTCTGGTCACACAGCAGGCACAGTTCAGTGGGCATCTTGCATAATTTCGTTAGGCTTAAACTTCAAGCACTGAAGAGTCCCTCAACACAAAAAACCTTTTCCCCCCGAAAACAAAATTCTCTTTCTAAAGATGGTAACTTGTAATCAGGAAGTGGCTGGTATTGATTCTGAGAGAATCGCAGGAAACATTTCACAGATATTCCACTCCTAGGAGTGTCCAAGGGAGAGAATACAGTCATGGGTTCTTAGTTTCTGTTTCTTGTTGGGCCAGTAAAGCCCCTTCCTCATCCCTCTTTTCTGCTTATCACTAGAGATAGAAACTAAAAAACATGGCTTCAGGTTGCCAAAAGTCTCAAACAAAACAAAACAGAACCACCACGACAACAAAATAAGGTGGGTTGGACAAGCTTGACTCAAGTCTATGAAATTATTTTCATTTTCTTTAGGGAATCAAAGACTTCATTTTTTTTTTCCATTCATTCGCTCTTTCAACAAACATTAATGATCACCTACTATAAGTCAGAGATCATACTAGGCATTGGGGATACAGAGATGAATAAGATTTACAGGAAAGAATTATAACCCAAACAAGTCTGCCTGTGGCAAATGGTTACACTAACGGCCCCAGTGACTCATACCCCCAGGTTCCACACCCTTCTGTGATAGTTAATTTTATGTGCCGACTTGACTGGGCCCCAGGTGCCCAGACATTTGGTCATACGTTATTCTGGGTGTTTACACAATGGTGTTTTTGTATGATACTAACATTTAGATCGGGAGGTTGAGCAAAGCAGACTGTCCTTCCTAGTGCAGGTGGATCTCATCCAATCTGTTGAAGGCCTGAATGGAACAAAAAGACTGCCTCTCCCTCCAAGTAAGAGAGGATTCTTCTTGCCTGAAGGCCTTGAGATTTGGTCACCAGCTTTTTCTTGCTCTTGGACTCAATCTAAAACATCAGCTCTTACTTCAGAGCTGATGTCTTAAGCTTGCCTGCCTTTGAGCTTGGACTGGAACTTACATCATCAGCTCTCCTGGCTCCCAGACCTTCAGAATCAGACTGGTGCTATCCCATTGGCTCTCCTGGGTCTCCAACTTGCCAGCTCACCCTGCAAATCTTGGGACTTGCCGGCCTCCATAATTGCATTGAGTCAACATCTTATATTAAATCTCTTTACACACACACACACACACACACACACACACATACACACACACACACGTTCCTTTTCTCTGGAGAACCCTGATTCATAAACCTTCACAGTGACTCTGGGCTTTGGCCAATGAAACACTGGGAAACACAGCGCCAGGGGAAGCCTATTAAGTGTGTGTACACTGAGGTGTTCCTTCTTGGAAAACTGCCACTCCCTTGTAAAAAACCTGCACTACCCTCCCAAGCTAATGTGGGGCAGACCTTAGGACTCCCTGGCCAGCAGCCACAGCTAACAGCCAGTGAGGCCGCTGTGAGTGACTCTGTACCAACCTTGGAAGATGATAAGCAAGAGAGTGCATAATCACATTAAAAAACAAAAACAACAACAACTGGAGTACCACGGGGTGGCAATATGAAAGACAGTTCATAGAGGAGAAACAGTCCAGAGTCAGTAAGACCAACTCACAGCACACAACAAGGCCTTCACAAAGACAGTGGCTATGGAGATGGAGAGGAAAGAGAGTTGAAAGCAGAACTCGTAGCACTTGGAAACCTATTAGGTGCGTGAAACAAAAAAAAGATGGAGACAACCAAGAAAATCCTGAGACTTCTGGCTTGGGATCCTGTGTGCAGAGGACAGCTGGGTGTTACACCATGATCAATCAGGGTGACATAAGCAATGGCTTGCAGGGTGGAAGAGATGCACGGAGAATAGGCAAGAGTGCTGGAATGCTGAGGACAGTGATGTACGTGGGTGGCATGACATCCCCAACATCAGGAGCAGAGTGCTCTTTCCACACAAAGATGGTCACTGGGAAACCTTCACCCAGTCAGAACCACGGCAACGCCCAACGGCAGTGTTATCTTCGTGGCCATGACATTCTTCTTAAAACCTGACTTTTCCCCTTGGTTTATCATTCTCAAAACAAATATGTTTTGGAATGTGCTAGATTATAAGAATAAATAGAACAGACTGAATTACTAACAAAATAATTAGAATGGACCTTCCCACTGTCCATGTGACTCTTGCTAGTACAAGCCTCTACGTTTGAGGGTGCTGGATCCCAGCTTCTGGTACAACATAATAGAGGCGACTGTGAGGGGGGGTGCTCCCCACTTGCTGTTTTCTCTTAGCCACCATCAGAGGCTGAAACAGTGAGTGGGTTCATTTGATTGTTATGATTGGTTCTGGCTCATGATCCCTTTGTAAATAAATAAAATAACACAGTTATAATGACAGCTAGAATACCCACAGTAAACCAACCTTCTTTTCTTAGATCCTGGGAAATCTACTTCTCTGTCCACAGACCCTTCCTAAATCTCCTGCTGGAAATGTATTAAGCAGCAAAAACAGAAAACAAAGCCAAGGTGAGGAAGGTACCAGCTAACTGAATGGGACTCGGCTTAGAAGTTTAGAAGTTCAGCTTCTAAAAAACATGACTCATCAGAATCCAGGAATAAGCCCCAGCATGAGCCAAAAAGCTCTCTGGGCTGGCTTTCAGCTTAGGGTGTAGACACTTGAAACGGATCTTTCCAGAAACCCAATGTCCTGAAAAGTCCCACTCTGTACCCTCTTCAGAAGGACCTAAACCAAGTCTCCAAACTGCTGCCAGCTCCCACCCGGTCCCATCAGCCCTACATGCTCCTGTCTTTACTAGTTCACGTTGCTAATCTGCCTTGTGAAGGTTTTTACTGTTAATGTCTCAGGATTGTATGATTCCAAATTTCTTTTACCATTTTAAGATTTCTCATAGTCACAATGACCCCAGACTCCACCCACAAAAATGGAACCTTCACTGACAGAAAACTGCCCCTAAGTTAGCTTTGCTGTTCAGTCACGTGGTACTGTGGAAAAAGAACAGGTTTGGAAGTTGAGAGGTCCAGTTCAAAGCTTAGTGCTCCACTTACTACTGCACTCGGGAGAATCACTTAACTACCTCAAGCCTCAATTTGCACATCTGTACAATGGGAACAATAATGCATACCTAGTGCATTTATGTATGTTATCCGCTGAAGTGACTATTTGAATAGTAATATTTATTCATATACATGACTTCCCACTAAGGATAAGTTGTTTGAAGACAAGAACTGTGTTTTTTAACCTTTGCCTCCCATAATACCTCACACACAATAAATGCTCAAGAAACATTTAATGTTTACATACAATGAATAAATGCAAGAAAAACACCAGACACATAAGAGACGCTAAATACATGGTATCACAAAGATGTCACATCCTGTGCCGTGGATCTTCCAACTCTGGGCTTCCGAGAATTTGCACTCCTACAGCAGGCTCTCCAGACACCATTTCCAACAACAGTTCTCAGGGTCAGGTAATTTGGCTGTTTGTACATCACGAAATGTCTAGTATCACTGAGTCACTTGGATCGGTCAGAAAAAATAAACAAGGAATCCATCATACCAATTGTTGATCCCAACCAGTCAAAAGCTATTGCCTCACCCACTACTTCTTAAACTAAATTCCAAATAGTGAAGACTACACTTTGAAACAGTTACTGGGAAAAACAGAAAAGCCCATCAGGTGTGTTCCCCCACACCCCCAGCATCAGCCGTAATAATGATGCTGATGAGACGGCTACTCTTGGGTATTAAGGGAGTTCAGTAAAAGTCTCACGCACAGCTGTAAATATTCAAGTAATTCAAGACCGGATAAATACGACTGGTGATCAAGTTAGGTTATCAGACCTTCACCAACTCATTCTCTTTGGTTCAACGAATACTTTTTGAGTATCTAATTTGTGCCAGGCCCTGTATCAGGCACTCGGCTTTCAAAGAGAAAACACACAGGACCCTCTCACAAAGAATTCACTGTGTAAATATGATCATTAAGTAATATGACCTTTTTTTTTAATTTAAGAAATAGGGTCTCGCTATGTTGCCTAGGCCAGATCCCAAGTAAATAATTTTTTTTTTTTTTAGACGGGGTCTCACCGTGTCGCCCAGACTGCAATGCAGTGGCACGATGTCGGCTCACTGCAACCTCCGCCTCCAGGGTTTGAGCAATTCTCCTGCCTCAGCCTCCCAAGTAACCGGGAGAACAGGCACACACCACCATGCCTGGCTAAATTTTGTAATTTTAGTAGAGATGGAGTTTCACCATGTTGGCCAGGCTGGTCTCAAACCCCTGACCTCAGGTGATCCACCTGCCTTGACCTCCCAAAGTGCTGGGATTATAGGCATGAGCCACAGCGCCTGGCCTCCAAGTAAATAATTTTTAAAAAACCAAACATGCCCCAGGTGAAGCTGCTCACGCCTGTCTCCCCAGCTACGCAGGAGGATCACTTATGTCCAGGAGTTCAAGTCCAGCCTGGGCAACATAGCAAGTCTCACCTCTAAAATTCAAAATAAGTAAATAAATAAATAAGCATATTAAATAAAAGTGCCCCGGAGACATTATACAATGATTCAAACACACTCTCTATGGTTAATACACAAAGATCTGTTCCCAGACTTGATGTCAGAGGCATTTTATAAGTTTCACAACAAAATCACTCTAATTGATCATCTCACCTCTTTTTTGACCAAAAACAATTCTACCCACCTCAAAAGGCTCCCTTATTCTGACTGGGTTCCACTGGCCTGTTGTCTGCCTCCCGAGACAATCTCACCACCCTCTCAGAGGCTGACAACTCGGCAAGGGTAAGGATTTTGAAAAGGATGTACTACTGCCCGTCCAGGCCATTCAAAAGTGGAGTTCCAAAGATGGGAGGTAGGAACTACAACCTAGGGATTCAGCTGACAAGCCCCCAGGTGACTCCCTTGAAAACATGCCTTCCAAACACTGGTGAAAATGGGAGCATTTTCTTTGTAATTACGTCGCGCATTTTTTCCCAGCTAATCAGGTGCAGACAACGGGGCAAATACTCATCCCTCCCTCTTCCCTGTGGCCAGAGGTTGGTGGGTCAAGAGAATGGCCATGCCACCCACTCCCCCACTGTCTCCTTTTGCTCATCAGAACTACGGATGAGGATAGAAGTCTCGGAGGCTATTTTTAACTCCCGGCTAAATTAATTTGGTCCAAGTGCAGCAGGAGTCCCTTCCCTTGTAGGAAATACTTCTGTTACTGTGAATCTGGTACATAAAATAATCCACCCACTGAAGAGCAGAATTAGCACTGGAGTTTTTTTGTTGGGTGTGTTTCCCCGAAATAACTTCTTTTTAAGGTTTCCTGTGGCATCACAGCAAGTGAAGAAGGGTATCTGCGGGCAAGTGCCGAGGGTGGTTTCAGAAATGGACTCGGGCTTCCTCAGAGGCTCATGGGAGGGGGGTCCCGACAGGACATGCAGAACATTACAGGCTTCCCTCCTTGCACTCTTATGACAGGTCCACTGGCAAATATGTCACCTGAGTGTAGGCACTGCTGGATGGCAGCATTAGGCAAGAGACGTAACTCCCATGGGCCAACATGAGCAACAGAAAAACACTGATGGACTTATTTTCAAAGGAAAATGATGAAAAGAATTGAAATACATCTTGAAATGTCACCATCTTTATGAAGCTCTTCCTGCATTCTCCCATTAGATGCAGGCTGGCTCTCTCCCTGCTAAACTCAGCAGCATTTTATTTCTTCCCCACTTATGGCACCTACCCTGTGCAATCTTTTTTTTTTTTTCTTTTTTGAGGCAGAGTTTCACTCTTGTTGCCCAGGCTGGAGTGCAATGGTGCAATCTTGGCTCACTGCAACCTCTGCCTCCCAGGTTCAGGCAATTCTCCTGCCTCAGTCTCCCAAGTAGCTGGGATTACAGGTGTGTGCCACCACGTCCAGATAATTTTGTATTTTTAGTAGAGATGGGGTTTCACCATGTTGGTCAGCCTGGCTGGTCTTGAGCTCCTGACCTCAGGTGATCCACCTGCCTCGGCCTCCCAAAGTGCTGGGATTACAGGCGTGGGCCACTGCTAGTGGCCCACCCTGTGCAATCTTATAGTACAACTCTTTGCCTAATTGGTTTACCCTTGCAATTAGAGGATAATCCCTGCCTTGGGAGGGCAGGAACTCTCTTTACCTTTGTAACCTTCACAGTACAGGGCTATCAATCAATGTTTAATAACAGAGGGACTATAATGAAACTTGGGGCTGAAGGCAACTTTAAAGATCTCTAAATTCAACCTCCATATTTATACGTAAGAAAACAAAGGTCTAGAAAGGGCTTCAGTAATGTGGCCTGGCAGGACTCCCAATTCCCACTCCAGGACTCTCTGCACGATATACTCTGCTGAATTTTAAATGCAACTTTTTAGCTTCTGTACCTCATGCAAATCTAACTTTACCGTGTCAGTTCAGGAATATAAAAATGTTTTGGGGGTAGAACTGGCTTTGCTCACAAAATCATCTTTTTCTAAATTCAATGTTTAAAAGTACACTTCGAAAAAACAGAAGATTCACTGTTAAATTTATTTCTAGGTTTATTTTAAATGCTTTAAATTTTATTATAAATGAATCTTTGAAATGCTGAATTTTCAACATTTCAGCAGCCTTTTTTATCTGATCGGTTTCTAAGACACTGAAAAGGACTGGAGAAAGAGAGAATTCTCAAGATTGTAGTAAAGAAAAGAAAGCAATTTTGCTTTCTAGACATATAGTCCTCCACGGAGTCCAGTCTCACAGGGGATATCACTTTTGGTTTGTAGCAATTTGTGCAATAGGTTCCGTTTTTAGCTTTAAATGTTTACAGTCAGTGCGCTCAGCTTCTTCAAATAGATCAGTTTTATGATCTTCACTGACTTGAAGGTGTACCCAGGTCTGAAGCAAGCCTCCCTATCTTTTAACAAGTTAATTAATGTATTCATTTGGTCCCCTTCCAAACATTCTGGCAGGCTTCAGTGAACCTGTGACGTCACCGGTATACATGTTGGTTGTCTGCCAGGTGAGATAGAGCAATAACCTGCGAAGTCACCTGAATTCTGTTCAACGGGACGGTTCAAACATAAAACGTGCAAAATACTGTGGGAAAAGTTTCTCCCCAGAGAAGCCAGAGTCACTGGTAAAAACACATGGGGCAAATAAAAACATAATGGCTCAACAAAAACGCGAGGAAAGCTTACTACCTCCAGACGCTTGAAGCCTTTTAACAAATCCCTCTCCCACTCTCTCCCCCACCACCCCTTACTTTCTCAAATGTCCACATATCCAATGCACAGAGTAAACACTCTAAAGATTATGTGTAAACAGTTGCTTAGCATGTGTGTTATTTTATGGATGACACATAAAAACAGCTTCTCTTCTTACAACTTTTGACGAGAAAGCTGGGGGGCACGCTGGGCGCGGTGGCTCATGCCTGTAATCCCAGCACTTTGGGAGGCCAAGGCAGGCGGATCACGAGGTCCAGAGATCGAGGCCATCCTGGCTAACATGGTGAAACCCTGTCTCTACTAAAAATACAAAAAAAAAAATTAGCCAGGTGTGGTGGAATGCAACTGTAATCCCAGCTACTTGGGAGGCTAAGGCAGGAGAATGGCGTGAACCCAGGAGGCGGAGCTTGCAGTGAGCCGAGATCGCACCACTGCACTCCAACCTGGGCAACAGAGCGAGACTCGTCTCAAAAAAAAAGAAAGCTGCAGGGCAGGGGGAGTTGTACATTGTGGCCCTAAGAGCAGGACTGAGCTTGGTATTATTCTGTCAAAGTGCTGCTTTGTAGCTTTCTCACTTAAGACACACAGAGAAAATGAATTTTAAAAAGGGCCAGACACAGTGGCTCACACCTGTAATCCCAGCACTTTGGGAGGCCTAGGTGAGTGGATCACCTAAGGTCAGGAGTTCGAGACCAGCCTGGCCAACACGGTGAAACTCCGTCTCTACTAAAAATACAAAAATTAGCCGAGTGTGGTGGTGCATGCCCGTAGTCCCAGCTACTCAGGAGACTGAGACAAGAGAATCGCTTGAATCCGGGAGGTGGAGGCTGCAGTGAGCCAAGATCGCGCCACTGCACTCCAGCCTGGGAAACAGAGCGAGACTCTGTCTCAAGAAAAAAAAAAAATTAAAAAGGGCTTAATGTGCTAATAAACATACACACACAAATACATATCAATACATCCATGCACAGATGCATAATGGGAGGCCCCCAGACCCCATTCTTCCTCTTCATAGCAGGGTGGGCTTCATGAACAGACATAATCGAAAATGAATAGAAACTCTTCTAAGAACAGGGAGCTCCGCACTGATCAAGAAGACACTGGTGAGCTAAGGTTTTAAGAAGTGAGAGGAAGAAGTCTGGAAAGAGCCAGCCCTGCAGACCCCACACCACTAGCCCTTCCTGAATCTGCCCCACCCCATCATGGCCAGAGCAGCCCACGGAGGCAGGCAATCAATGGCAGCCAAAGAAGCATGGGCACTTGCTGCCCTTCAGCAGAGCAAAGCCAGGCTCACTACTCCCACTGCCCCAAAAACCACGGCTCTACTCTCGACTTCTACCTGCCCATGTCCGAGTCTGCATCTTAATTTGGTGGAGAAGGGGGAGAAGCCATTTCTAAACACAGAGCACTTTTGTCTTATTTTATGTTGTCTGATGAAACCTCGGATGCTGGAATGGGGTACTGGGCAGAGCCCCAAGCTGCATTCTAGGGCCACACACCTGGAAACATAAATCCTGCACCAATTCAAAGTGCCTTCCCAACACCAGGTAAGAAGACAGCTGCTGCTCATTCCATGAGCCACATACTTCAGCATCCAAGCCTGAGCCCCGGGTGCAAACACAGGCAGTACCAGGGAATGAGCTCACCGCTAACGTTGGTTCTCTTAAGTCTTCTGCTTTCATTCCTTCTCTACTCAGCGTGTATGGGGACGGACTTAAAGTCTAGGAATTGCTCAGCTTTTTGCTCTAGATTTGCTGGTACAGAATGCCATCTCATCCAGAAGGGGCAGAGGACCCTTGAGAAATTGGCCTGAGGATCTCCAGGGAGGGTCCTTCTGTGAACCCAGGAGCCTTTTCTCTGCCAAGATTCCCTGCACTAATGCATACTCTCAACTACGACTGCTCCTTGAGTCTTGAAGAGCATCTCTGTTCAAAAGAACTTTGTAATGTCTTCCCATCTGGCTACTGTAACCTGGGTACCGCTATTTTATTTCTCAGTACTTTTCCCATCCTTTCATCTTGAAGATGGCAGAGCAGGTACAATATTTGAGGATTTCACAAGGATTGTACCTTCTTTTTCCCCGTCTGTGAATGTGTTAGAGTCTGCCAAGCTCAACGAAGGTACTATTAAGCAGCACATGAACAGGACATCTTAACCATTCTCCATGGTACGAAAAAAAAAATCCTAATTTAAAATTTTTAAATTTTTCAGGGGAAAAATGCTTAGGGCAGTTTTTTTTCTCTTAAATTCTGATACTTCCCATTCTTTTCACTGGTCTTCCTCACTGAGCCTGCCAGCAGGCATTTTTTATTGGATTGATTTCTAAGACACTGAAAAGGACTGGAGGATAAGTTAATTCTCAAGATGGTAAAATAAGTCTGCTAGTTTTCCAAACACCTGACCAGAATTTTCAACAAATGCACCAAGGAATAGCTGTCAATGTGCTCCACTGGCAGCACAATCCAGTCAAGCCACCAACATCTTGTTTCTCTTCATGGCCAATTGCCTTGAAAGAATCAACCACAAGCCCACTGGATACTCAAGAGATAACATATGACAGTACCCCAGATCATTTTTGCCTTAGTTGTCTCCTCATCCACAAAGTAAGGTTAACCCAGATAAATCCTTAACACCCCTTCTGGCTCAATACTTCTGGGATTTGCAGAAAAATGGTATTCAGAAAAGGATAAAATAAGAAAATTCTAGCATCTCAGCTCAGTTCTACCTCCCAATGCCTTCATGATTTTCCAACTATCTCCCTGGTGCAGCACAGTTTGGCCACCTTGTACCTTCATAAGATTTGCTTGCAGATTTGCACAGTAAGTAAAATCATCCTGCATACAGCCAGTCAACACTTCTCAGGCCTTGGCTGCAGAAAGCCCTAGTCATAGGTCTCTTGCTCCAAAGACCAAAAATCAAATTTTCTCCTTTCTCTTCCAAGATCAAGGTGCCAGCAGATTCTGTATCTGGCACCAGCTGGGCTCTGCTTCCTGGATGGTGCCTTTTTGCTGTGTACTCACATGACAGAAGGGCTAAAAGGGGAAATGGAGGTAACAGCTCCCTTGTACCTCTCTAATAAGGGAGCTGGTCCCATTCAGGAAGGCTCCACCTCATGGCTGAATCACCTCCTAAAGGGCCCACCTCTTAATACAATCACGTTGGCAGTTAAGTTTCAGCATATGAATTTTCGGGGACATGGACCATTAGCAGACACATTCGGCATGAGATGTCTGACACTGGGAGTCAGTTGAGTATGGATGCAGGTGTGAATGCATGATCTTTTGGGTGAATGCATGATCTTTTGTGAACCAGGCAGGCAGGACTGCATTGAATATCTAATATACCTCTTTCTCTTTCACATTAAAAAAAATTCATCTAATCATCATTACTTTCAAGGATATTTTAAGTGTAAGACTCAGCATCTACAGAAAGTCAACACAAGATTAGGAGCAGGACATGGCTGGGCATCAGCTCACGGGTGTGTTTCCGTTATATTTCGCACCAAGCATATCTTTTCTAAAGCTTTTTACCTGGCTCCAGGCCCTATGAGTAGGATGACCCCATAATGATCAGCCAAACAAGATAAAAAATCTGAGCATGAAATGAGTTACCAAAAATAATTAACAGGCATCAATTGATCCATGGTGGGCATAAACAAAGACTTTCCCATGTAAATAAGATTGTCCTTTACAAACTGTATGTTACCTACTTATACGCAGTTTCAGCAACGTAGAGAATTCATAACAAACACAGAGATACGATCACAGTATTGGCCTATAGCCCCTTAGGAAATCATTCAATCAGCATCACACTCCCCTGGTTTTCTTCCTACTTTTCTGGCTGC
Source organism: Homo sapiens (assembly GCF_000001405.40). Taxonomy (NCBI): domain Eukaryota; kingdom Metazoa; phylum Chordata; class Mammalia; order Primates; family Hominidae; genus Homo; species Homo sapiens. The sequence goes on along the minus strand of NC_000017.11, from coordinate 66,499,298 downwards.
CCCTTCTTGGTTTCCCTACCCTGATCTTCCTCTCCCATGCAACATGTTGGAGTTCCTTAGAGCTCTCTCCTGAGACCTAATCCCTTCTCTCCCCACTCTATACCCTCTCCCTAGGCAAAAATGATCCACATCCAAGGCATTAAAAAAAAATCATAGGAATCTTTATCTTTAGGACATACCCCACTTCTGACTGCCACACCTGCCTCCATACTCAACTGACTCCCAGCGTCAGGCATCTCACACTGAATGTGTCTGCTAATGGTCCATGTCCTGAAAATTCATATGCTGAAACTTAACCGCCAATGTGACTGTATTAAGAGATGAGCCCTTAAGGTTAAACTCTTTCCTGGGCCCCCAATGCTCCTAAGCCTGTGCCCAAAATCCTTGCCAGACACCCAACTCCCAGCTTTCTGTTTGTTATTGATTAAACTCCTTCCCATATCTTGGCATTCTCACTTGCTCTTCCCTTTGTCTGAAACAGCCTTTTCCAGGGCCCCATACAGCCCAGCATGCATGTGTGCACACATGCGCGTACGCACGCACACACACACCCTTCCTTTTGTCTGCCTATCTCCTACCCATTCGTCAAGCTCAGTTTAAATGCAGTATGTCCCTTAGAGAAACCTGCTCAGTGTACCTGTATCCTATTTGAATTAGTGATATTTTAATGTCTGCCTTCCCACAGCAGAATGTCCAGGAAGGCAAGGAGCATATCTCTGTACTTAGTGTTATACCCCAGGACTAAGCACAGACTTTGGCCCATTATGGGTTCTCAATAAAGAATACTCAACCAAAAGAATGAAAAAGTAGGAGGGGGAAGAAAAAGGAAGAGAAGGGAGTCAGACAAACTACTCACATCCTGAAGCCTGCCCATCCTCCCTTCCCATTCTTGATGGGGCAGAAATGGGAGGAGAGAGAAGAGAAGAGAGGAAAGAAAAATACAGCAAGATAAAGATGGGAATGATGAGCAAGGAAGTGAAAGGCTATGACATGAGGTTTTAGACAACTCCAAACAAGTGCAATGGGACTTGGCTTTTTGGAAAAGTTAGTACTTTACGTTCCAGCTATTTTTATCTCTAAAATGCCCCAAAGGAAGACAATATTCCAGAATATGCCAGAAGAGAAGTATGGAAAGTGGCCGGGGCAGGGGGCAGGAGGCGGGGAGCAGGGGGGAGGGCAGGGGAATGACACTAACTAGTTTTGTTTGTATGCAGGCAAGTCACTCAACGTTCATGGACTTGGGCTTCCTTGTCCATGAAGTTATAAAACAAGGTGACGCCTGAGCTTCCTCTGGCTCCCATGTCCTGTGAGCCTTTGTGGAACCCGTGTGTATGTGTATGTGGGCTCAGAGCCCACAACAGGCACTCTATCTTGCCTCCACAAGCACCCTAACCCCATTGTGCATGTTCCCGTGCACTGAACACCAAACAGTAACTTCCTTCTTACTTGTGTTACAACAACGCAAATCGGAATCCCTCAGAGCACACTGCAAAAATGTCATCTTTCGCAAAGGGAAGAATTTAGTCTTGCCTGCACTGAGATAGCCACTTTCAAATTAAAGTTTCCTGATGGGAACAGGCATTAAAGATGGGAATCGCTTCAAGCACACAATTTGAGTGACTAAACTGATCAAGCAAAAGCAATTCAGAACAGAAATGTCTACCCTTCTAAGCCTGCCTGACAATTTTTTTTATTCAGTTAAAATATTACTTTTCATATAACAGCTGAAGTTTCTCTCTATCCAACATATTTTAGACATTGGTATTTTCCGTGACTCCTTTGTGGATCCTTTTTTTTTTTTTGAGACGGAGTTTTGCTCTTGTTGCCCAGGTTGGAGTGCAGTGGTGCGATATCAGCTCACCACAACCTCTGCCTCGCGGGTTCAAATGAGTCTCCTGCCTTAGCCTCCTGAGGAGCTAGGATCTCAGGATGCGCCACCACGCCCAGCTAATTTTGTATTTTTAGTAGAGACAGGGTTTCTCCATGTTGGTCAGGCTGGTCTTGAACTCTCGACCTCAGGTGATCCGCCCGCCTCAGCCTTCCAAAGTGCTGGGATTACAGGCGTGAGCCACCGTGCCCGGCCTGTGGATCCCATTTTTAAGTACACAAGAGATGCAACAGAGACCATCAGAATTGTCCACAAAGAGAGGAAATTATGTGTTCACACATGGGCAACTTCAGAGATCACTGTTCAGTGAAACAGATGCTAAATTATTTCAATCAGCAGCAGCATTTTTAACATACACCGAAAAGGCAGCAAGAATCCCCTGGAGTAAACCAGGAGCAGTTTGTTACATTGGCCCAAAGCAATGATGCTCCTATTGGTTTATTTCAGCTTAGAAGTAAACTGAAGGGTGGCAGGGCCCAGTGGCTCACACCTGTAATCCCAGCACTTTGGGAGGCCAAGACGAGTGGATTGCTTGAGGTCAGGAGTTCAAGAACAGCCTGCCAACATGATGAAACCCCATCTCTACTAAAAATACAAAAATTAGCTGTGCGTGGTGGTGCACATCTATAGTGCCAGCTACTCAGGAGGCTGAGGCAGGAAAATCGCTTGAACCTGGAAGGCGGAGGTTGCAGTGAGCTGAGATCGTGCCACTGCACTCCAGCCTGGGCAACAGAGTGAGACTCCATCGAAGAGGACGGGAGGGGTGGGGAGGGGAGGGGAGGGAACGGAAATAAACTGAAGGGTGATAAATGTTCATTGTAAAATCTGTCAACAACTGCATTGTGTTTGTGAAAGCTATTACAATAAATTTGGTGGATTTAGTCAATGCAGCTGCCCAAAGTGGAACAGTACATGCTACCAAGAAATTCTCCTCTGAGAAATTCTCTAAGATGTAGTCCAGAGCTCATATGGGCTATAAATCTGCTCATTACTACAAGCCAACGCTCTATGAGAATTGAGTCTTCCCATTAACAGTAAGTGCCAAAACTAACAGTTGCACAGGCGTTAAAAAAATTAAAGCTCAGAAATCCACATTGACATCAAATCATGATTTCAGGACTACTTACATCAGTGTCGGGTCCCTTATCCGCACCCGGACAAGAAAAAGTAACAAATTCATGGCACCTCTTGTGGACCACAAAACAGCAAACTGGTAGAGAAAAAGGAAACTAAAATTAGAATAGACATGATTTAACATACGAGCTTTATTTTCCAAACAGAGATACTTGCTGTTAGAAGTCAATTTAATTTCACTACAGACAGAATCTTATAAACAGCAATCAGAAGGCATTTCATTCTAGAATCAGCAACATTTGGTATTGATTAGACTCATAGATAACAGAGTCCCAAAATGCCAGCACTGACAGGGCCACAAACTGTGGCTCTTACTCTCTGAAGTTGAGGGAGAGGAGAATCAGATTGTAAGACAGTTTCCCAAAGTAGAAACCGGGAAACAAAATTTAGAACATTTTGCACCATCCTAGCCGGGCACAGCGGTTCATGCCTGTAATCCAAGCACTTTGGGAGGCCGAGGCAGGTAGATCACTTGATGTCAGGAGTTCAAGAGCAGCCTGGCCAACATGGTAAAACCCCATCTCTACTAAAAATACACACACACACACATACACAAATTAGCTGGCCATAGTGATGGGCGCCTGTAATCCCAGCTACTCAGGAGGTTGAGGCAGGATAATCGCTTGAACGTGGGAGGTGGAGGTTGCAGTGAGCCAAGATCCATGCCACTGCACTCCAGACTGGGCAACAAGAGTGAAACTCCGTCTCAAAAAATAAAATAAAATAAAATAAAATAAAATAAAATAAAATACTTTGCACCATCCTATAGCAACACACTAACACACACATATAAATGTATATAAACATTGTATTCCGTGGTTGAAATAAAATATAAAGAGAATAACTGATTATAAATAATGTGAGTATCCCTAAATGTGGGTTGCAGGACTTCCTCAGCAACTTAATAAACTCATTCAGACACAAATGCAATCTACAGAAAACAGACCTTTGAAATGAATCAAAACAATCTTAGCAAACACCTTAACACCTTCCTATATCTGTCTTTTTGCTACAGATTCTGTCACCAGTTGGGAGAGTTCCTGCAAATTCAGCAAAATCTACTACCCAGTAAATATTTTCAAAGCTTAACATGGTTTTGATAAATAGTCCTAAGGATGAATCAACAAAATAACTGTTATAGAAAGTAATCCCCTAAGAGTTTTTTTTTTTTTTTTGAGACCGGGTCTCACTTTGTCACCGAGGCTGGAGTGCAGTGGGGTGATCTTGGCTCACTGCAGCCTCAACCTCCTGGGTTCAAGAAATCCTCCTGCCTCAGACTCCCAAGTAGCTGGGAATACAGGCAAGTGCCACCACACCCTGCTCATTTTTACATTTTTGTAGAGACACGGTTTCACCATGTTGGCCAGGCTAGTCTCGAACTCCTAAGCTCAAGCAATCTGTCCACCTTGGCTTCCCAAAGTGCTGGGATTGTAGGCGTTGAGCTACTGCACATGTCCCCCTGAAAGGTTTGTATTGATGGTAATAAGATAGAGGACGCAAAAAATAAATGACCTAGTCTCTCCTTGAAAGCTTGAAGTCTAGCTCCAAAAAGGCATCATCTACTACTCTTATCATTTGTTGAATAATAACAACATGTTAAAAAACAGTATACCCTCAGGAATACTAGGTTAGTCATAAGTCTTTACTGCATGCTGTGGTTTGATTTCATGTCAGCTGTGAAACCCATGTTGAAATTTGGTTGCCATGGTGGCAGTTTTGGGAGATGGGACCCTTGGGGGGTCACTCCACCATGAGGGCTTTGCCCTCAGGGGTAGAATTAATGTCATTACAAAAAGGTGAGTAGAGCCCCCTTTTGTCTCTTTGCCCTTCTGCCTTCTGCCACACGAGGACAAGGTCTTCCTCCCCCTGGGAGCATGCAGTAAACAGGCCCTTGCTCAATGCTGGCACCTTGATCTTCGACTTCCTGGCCTCTAGAACTGTAAGAAAACAAATTTATGTTCTTTACAAATTACCTAGTCTCAGGTATTCTGTTATAGCAGCAAAAATGAACTAAGACTCTGCACAAGGAAGGTTAGAGTTTCCCAAATGTGTGGCTCATACGCTATTTTCTCCTCTCACCAATGATAATACAGTTCCCTGCACATATGGCAGTAGATACAGAAGACCAAAGAGGGTGAGTCATTTCCGTAGGTGGAAGAGGGTGGCAGGATGGCTCAGAGCTGAAATCCCAAGAGGAGCCCAGAGTACTGAGAGGGCTGTGAGTGGCCAGTAAGAAATTCAGAATAGCCTAGGAAATCACTGAAAGGTTCTGAACAAAGAGTAACACAGACAAAAACAATGCTTTAGAAGTGCAAATGGTGGTAATAGGAAGAATTTAATAGAATAGATTGAGGCCTATAATGCCTCATTAGAAGCCTCTTGCATAGTCTAGGTATGAAAGTAATTGGCCATCATCATGCAGGCTGCTAAGAAATGGAAGTAACAGAGGCCAGGGAAATTACACAAGAACGATGAGACTTGCTGACTGACCACACAGCACCATTTACTGAGCATCTTATCACGTGCCAGGCTGTTGCTGTTGTTGTACTGGGTCCCTTCACATGCATTATTAGCAAATTGAATCCTCCTAACAATGCTCCTTAATATGCTGCAATATCTATATTTTATGGATGGGAAAATGCTGCCCAGATCCCCCAAATCTAGCATGCTGTACAGTGAATGCTTGTGAACGGGAGACAGGAAGGGAGGCAGGGAGGACAGACAGATGGATAGATGAATGAACCAACAAACAAAGGATGGTCTTTCCCAAGGCTGAGTCACCATGTGATGGAATCAGGATTCATGCTAAGAGTTGCTGGACACCACAGCCCCCCGTCCTTTCATCATGTCATATGCACTGGCAGGATTTCCAGAGCAGAAAGGGTAAAGAGCTGATGCCAAGATTTTTTACATGGGTAACAGGAAAATGGGTATATGACAAAATAGACATACACACACACACACACACACACACACACAAATATACCTACATAGACATACACATATACACATATATACAACTCAGAGGATGAAGATACAGTATATTAGGGAAATAGAATCATGGATAATTCTTTTTAAAGGGTTTTCTTTTAAGGTAATCATAATATAATGTGATTGTAAAAATACACATTTTAAAGGTACTCATGATACCATGTCACTGTAAAAATATACATTTTAAAAAAGAAAATGCATGCCTGGCATTGAGCAGACAAAGAGCCAGATAACCAAACAGGAACCATCCACAGAAAGGTGACAAGTGGAGAGCTCTTAAAGCAAGCATCCCTTTAGAGGGGGAGGTGCCCTGGGTGAGGGATCCTGCTGGCTGCCCAGCACGCTGGCCACACCTGTCTGCCCTGCACAGTCAGGGGCAGGAGGAGGTGAGTGTGAATCGAAGAAAACAGCCCTCTTGGCTGCCCAGGCAGCACAGAGACACTCAAAGGGCAGTGCTTAGCTCCTACAAGCCCTGAGAGAAGTGGCCTTTCTCCACTGTGTTTCTGCTAAAAGCATCTTGATTGCAAAACTCTCGAAGGACGGATAATAAAGCCGTGCTGTGATGGCACAAATTAATCTGATCTGCTCTCTCTCCCCAGGCACACAGTCATCTTTCATCCACTGGAATAAGAAAGATAAATTACCAAAGGAAAAAGGTTACAGGGGCATTACTTCCTCATCACGGTTTATTACAGATGTAGTGTTTTGGTTGGAAAATAAGCATTCCTATTCCCTACTTAATCGTTCAAACATTTGGGCCTTTCATCTCTTTTTAAAAAAAACCATCTCCACATTCAGTGAACACTGTTAAGAAAACTCACACTTATCAAATCCCATGGAAGAATAGTTTGCTTTTTGTACCTGTTCTTTCTGTCTATGATTTGCAGGTCAATGCAATTATGTATCTACAGCTGGAAGTATTTCTATTGCACACCTCAAAAAAACTCATGCCGAATGTTATCCTAAGAAGACCCGGGCCCTCATTATCCAGCACAATTTGCAGAGGCAGCAAAAAGCTTTACCTATCCCAAAATAATTTCCTCCCAACCTGCCTTAACTACCCCCTCCCCACCTACCTTACACGAAAGCTTCCCATTTGAAGGACTGGATTCACCCTATGAGAGGCAGACAGAAAGGCCATGTGTTTCCAGACAGCCACTCATAGACACGTTATCTGAGGGATAAAGAGCCCTCTAAGCCTACTTGAAGATTCGAAATTCAGAATGGATGATCTCCAAAGGAAGAAGAAACAGAATGTGCCCAATCCTGGGTGACTAAGGAGAAAAAGTGTAGATGCCCCCTCTCCTCCCCAACACCCCCACTTACCGTGAGGGGAACAGGAAAGAGGAGCTTGGAGGTTGGCCGACGCTGGCTGCATGCAGCATGTGCCTGGGAAAGGCTGCCCCAGAAAACTGAGCAACAGCCAGAGGTTCCAAAAATCAGAGATGGCTGGCCTTGATCTTTGGGTCCAAGTTCCAAACTAAATTGGGTAATGCATATTTTGTAAGATAATCTAATGAAGACATTTGAGAAGTCTTGCTAGCATTGTTGAAAGAGGAAAAGACTGGCTCAATAAAACAAAAGGATGCATTAGGTTTGCCTGGAGATGGACATCATAGGGTTTCCCCTGGCTAAAAATCAGGAGCTATTGTTTTTTGTCTTTTTTTAATTTGGGGCTCTAAAGGAATTCATCTCACCATGGTATATGAAGCAAAGGAAATTGGAGTAAAGAGGTAATAAGGTGGTACCTGTTACATAGCAAACCTTCAACAAACATCTGCCTGACCTTGGTAGAAGGAAGGCAACTTAAAGACAACAGCCACTCAGCTGGAAGGAAGTGGAGACGTGTCATGGAAGATTCCATCTGATGATTGTCGTGGGGGCCCCCCTTGGCCCTTAAACAAGTCTTTGCTCAAGCAAGCATAGGCTATCCAACAAAAACTCACTCAGAGATGGTGCCTCATCTTCAAAGACTTTGGTCACCTCTGGTTATATAACCCAATGAGAGGTTTTAAAACAGGATGCTATCCTGCAGCTTCCAGTCACAAAGTAAATCTTCATTCAATTATTTTCTAAGCACAAAATCACTTTCTCTAATCCTCTATGTGATATTTGTCTGCTCCCCAGCAGTGACGGACGACACTGGAAATGCACAAATCACACTGAGCAAATGACATGGTGGGACAAAAAAATAATAAAGACCACAGACTTGGCCAAATAACAAATCTTGACATTGCCTGGCTTTAAAACTGAGAACACCCAATCTTGTGATCCATATTCCTTGCTAATCTTGCTTATGGAAGTAAACTAGATGGAAATTAAGGAGAGTTTTCACCACTTGTCGAAAGTATATTTCAGAAACAGAACAAATAACAGTCACCTGTGTTTGGCTCAAGAATTCATACAGCCAGGAGCGGTGGGTCACACCTGTAATCCCTGCACTTTGGGAGTCTGAGGTGGGCAGATCACTTGAGGTCAGGAGTTCAAAACCACCCTGGCCAATATGGCAAAACCACGTCTCTACTAAAAATACAAAAATTAGCAAGGCATAGTGGCTTGTGCCTGTAATCCCAGCTACCTGGGAGGCTGAGGCAGGAGAATTGCTTGAATCTGGGAGGCAGAGGTTGCAGTGAGCTGAGATCACACCACTGCACTCCAGTCCAGCCTGGGTGACAGAGCAAGACTCCGTCTCAAAAAAAACAAAAAGAAAACAGGAGATCGAGATCATCCTGGCTAACACGGTGAAACCCCGTCTCTACTAAAAAATACAAAAAATTAGCCGGGCATGGTGGTGGGCACCTGTAATCCCAACTACTTGGGAGGCTGAGGCAGAAAAATCGCTTGAACCCAGGAGGCGGAGGTTGCAGTGAGCTGAGATCCTGCCATTGCACTCCAGCATGGGTAGCAAGAGCAAAACTCCATCTCAAAAAAAAAAAAAAAGAGTTCTGGAAATGGATGGTAGTGATGGTCGTCTAACACTGGGAAGGTACTTAATGCCACTGACATGTACATTTAAAATGGTTAAAATGGTAAATCTTATACATAACCTACTATAAAAATTTTTAACTTATCAACCTAGAGCAATATTTATGAAATTATAAATAAGAGGAATAGGAAGAGGCAGTAAGAACCTTGCTTATATAGACTTTTTATGATTACTTGTGTTCATAATTGAGTTCATTATGACATCAAGAAAGAGTATTTGGGCTGGGTGTGGTTGCTCACACCTGTAATCCTAGCACTTTGGGAGGCCAAGACAGGCAGATCACTTGAGGTCAAGAGTTTGAGACCAGCCTGGCCAACATGGTGAAACCCTGTCTCTACTAAAATTACAAAAATTAGCTGGGTGTGGTGTTGCATGCCTGTAATCCCAGCTACTTGGGTGGCTGAGGCAGGAGGACGGCTTGAACTCAGGAGGTGGAGGTTGCAGTGAGCTGAGATCACGCCACTGTACCCCAGCCTGGGTGACAGAGTGAGACCCTGTCTCAAGAAAGAAAAAAAAAAGGAAAGAAAGGAATTAAAGGGAAAGGGAAAGGAAGGAAGGAAAAGAAAGAAAGAAAAGAAAGGATGAAAGAAAGAATGAATTTGCTTCCATTCTATAAAATTCTAAATAAAATCAGTGCTGGCATAAAGTGGAGACAAAGGGAAAATTCAGATTTGAGAGCAAAGGACTCATATAATCTTTAAGGATTGGAGACGTGTTCCTTGCACCCTCCCTGCTCGCTTGAGCACATAGTTGTCAATAATGATGGTGGAAGTGAGGCCCCTCAGGCTGCAGGCTTGGCTTTCCTGCCAAACTACTGAGATATTTGGTCACTTAATCTATATGCAAAATGGGTTCATCCCTATTTACATCTAACACGGATTGCTATATTCATTGAGGGGGGAAATATATATATATATATATATATATATATATATATATATATATATGCACTGCTAAGGGTCATTTTCCATTTCTCCTTTAAAAAATAATTTCCTTTCCTTTCACCCTCAAGTCCATGTCATTTTAAATTCAGGTCACAGTCATGTAAAACGGAACACAGGCATAGAAATTCCCTATTATCCAAAATTAATGAAGAAAAAGCCATTATGTAACATATTCTGAATTCTGGAAAGAACCTACTAAATATAATAGACTTTGCTTAGAAGAGAAGACTGGTAGCTGAGCTTCCTTGAATTCTTTTTTTTAAATACAAAAATGGTTGCCATCACGTGATATGGTTCTAATTAAATTTTGCTTAGCTGGAAGGGATTAATGAAAGGCAACGTCACAGCAGAATATAATGAAAGGAAAATCTCTAAGGCAAGTCAACCGCTTTCAGCTTTGTAGGGAAAGTAATGAAAAAGTGAGCTTATATTATATCTGCATGTTAAAAGAAAATTATTGGTTTCAGATTTGTAACAATGAAAACAGTCTTCTCCTGGGATACACATTAAAAGTTGTATGAAAACAAATCAAATAAATGCACTCTATCACATATTATAAAGAATGTCATTCTTCAGACAGCACCTTGATTCTTCCTTTCAGCATCTGTGCACGTGCTCCCAATGAACTCTTTCAAAAATCCAGTATTCCCAATTCTAAGCAGGCAAGCCTCTTTCCCCCTTCTTTAGGAGATTCATCTTTAATTCTTCCCTTGCCTTCTTTTTCTCTAATTTCAACAAAGACTACTGAGCATCTTTTGTGCATTCCTTCCTGGTTGGACCTGAGATATACTTTGAAGACAGGGCTGAGATTGAATGTGGGATGTGAAGGAAAGGCGAGTCAAGAACGGCCCCAAGCTCCCGGCCAGAGCAACTGAGTAAATGGTGTTAGCACTCTGCAACCAAGAGGTGAGCCTTATGATGAAACTGAGAGTACAGAAGACTCAGAGGAGAAAGAAAGAAACCAGATCTTGGCGTCAGCAAGGCTATCACCTTCAGACTGTTCAGTCACACGAACCATTAAATACCCTTTAAAAATGTCATTTTCTTCATTTACATACCATATAATTTAATACACTTGAATCCACAAAGTCATATCATACACGCTTTTATTGTTCACGCCAGTTTGAATGAGTTTTCTGTACTTTCCACAGAAAGAATTCTAAATACTAAAGGGTAAATTGGCAGGTTGTAGAAAATGAACAGAGAAGACCAAGGGGCAAGTTAAGAATTAACTTGGACTTGGGGACTTGCAATCTGAGTATTATACGAGCTCAAAGAGGAGAAACTACTCTTCATGTTGTTTAAACAGGGGTTTTATGCTACAGGGCATTATGGTCTGGACAAAATTTTGGGGTAAGACCTCAAAAGCACAGACAACAAAAGCAAAAACAGACAAATGGGATTATATCAAGCTAAGAAGCTTCTGTGCAGCAAAGGAAACAAAGTGAAGAAACAACCTACAGAATTGGAAAAAATATTCTCAAACTCTTCACTCAACAATTTTAAAATGGGCAAAAGACCTGAATAGACATTTCTCAAAAGATGACAAACAAATGGCCAACAGGTAGGAGAAAAAATGTTCATCACCACTAATTATGAAGGAAATGCAAACGAAAATCACAGTAACATCCCACCACAGTTAGAATGGCTATTATCAAAAGGACAAAAAAGAACAGATACTGGTGGGGATGCAGAGAAAAGGGAAGGCAGGGATGCTGCTGGTGGGAATGTAAAGTGGTAGAGCCACTACAGAAAGCACTATGGACTCTCCCAAACAACTAAACACAGAGCTACCATAAGATCCGCCAATCCCACTGCTGCGTATACATCAGAAAGAAGGGAAATCAGTCTACCGATGAGACATCTGTAATCCCATATTCACTGCAGCACCACTCACAATAACCAAGATACAGAATCAACCTAATGCCCATCAACAGATGAATGGATAAGGAAGACGTAGTATGTCTACAAAATGGAGTATTATTCAACCATAAAAAAGAATGAAATCCTATCATTTGCAGCAACATGAAAAGAACTGGAGGTCATTATGTGACATGACATAAGCCAGGCACAGGAAGACAAACATCATATGCTCTCACTCATATGTGGGAGCTAAAAAAGTAGATCTCACAGAGGTAACGAGTAGAGGCTGGGAAGAAAAAAGAGGAGAAAGGGATGAAGACCAGTTAGTTAACAGGCTCAAAAATGCAGTTAGACAGAAGGAATAAGTTCTAGTAATCGATAGCACAGCAGGGAAATTATAGTTAATAACTTACTGTATATTTCAAAATAGCTAGAAGAAAAGATCTGTAATGTTCCCAACACAAAAGATAAATGTTTGAGATGATGAATATTTCAGTTGCCCTGATTTTATCATTACACATTGTATGTAGATACATAATAGTTGTACATATTTTGGGGGTGCATCTGATATTCTGATACCTGTGCACACGCTGCCAAAGAACTCTTTGGATGGTATTTTGATATCTGCATCAAAATATCAGATGTACCCCCAAAATATGTACAACTATTATATATCAATAAAACATAATGAAACAATAAACAGGGGTCTCAATTTGAGAAAAGTATAATATACTGTTAGGCCACCCAGATAGATGTGTCAGACAAGCAGGTGGAGATTCAAGGTTAGAGGCCAAAAGACAACGGGGGACTGTGGACCAAGCCATGAGAGATGTCTTCATGGTGAGGGAGAACTGCAAGGCGAGTCCTGGAAACACCCAAGTGTTGTGGTTGATGGTAGAAAGGACGAGGCTGTCTGAGGGGTGGGAAGAGTCAGAAGAGAGCCTGGGGGCTGGAGAGGGTTGAGGGAAGAAAAATCTCAAGAACAGTCCGGCAATCACCAGTATAAAAGACTCCTTCCAGAGCCAAGGAGAAAAGATAAGAATGGGATGTGGTCATTACTCGCCCATGATGGCCCAGAAGCCACACACTTAGAAGGATGCAGATGATGACAGCGACACGTTTGCCAACAGATAAACAGTCTCCTTCTTTTATTATTTCAACTTATTCCCATATTCAACTCAGAACTACAATGAAATAGATTTTTCTCATATTGACTAAGAATATGCATGAATGAAATCTTGAGTACCTGTAGCATTAAATGGTAACTGCTTTATGTAAACAACAACAACAACAAAACTCTTAAAGATAAGTATATGACAAATCACGCAAAAATATTTAAAGAGAAACCCAAAGGTTAGCTTTTGAAAACTCAGATCAAGCAGTGTTTGGGGGTTGATTTCAGAATCAACTGATGAGTCCAACTTTCCTTTAATCTCTTAAGGGCATAAAGCCTTCCTCACTTGGCAGTACAAGCTTCATGTCTGAACATCCAAAACCCAGTGTGCATGTCAGGTTTCCTCATTTTGACCCTAAAAAATAATCATTGCAACACGTTCTATACAAGGGTTTATCATGACTCTAATACCAAACTTCTCTCTGCAATATTTTTAAGGTTTTTATTTTTCAGTCTGGAATTACTTAAACTGGGGTTTGAGTGTGAGTTGCAAGGAGCTAAGGAGGCTGGACTCGGCTTTGGGACTGTATGCTCTGCCTTCTCTCCTCTCTCTTGCCTTCAGTCCAAGGCCTCCTCAGTGTAGTGGAACAGGACTTGTTTCCCCTGCTTCAATGTCACTCACATCTATAAGCATGTAGGTCTGCCGGCAGTATGGACATCTGAGACTGCAATCTCTTTCTTCAGCAAAATGTGTAGCACTTTAAGCTTCACAGCAACCCCAATCTTCTCCCAAATGGCAGGCAAAACAAAGTGTGGCTCCAGAATTCTGAGAGGATGGAAGGTAGTCAAAATACTCAGAACTCAGGCTTCGATTCTCACGTAATGCAAATGAAGAATGAGCTCTCACAGCATGGATGAAACCTCTCTCCCTCGCTAAGGGCATAAGCACTCAGCACGTTAGGACAGTCCTGCTTCTTGGCAGGGTTGCAGAAATGCTACACGGGATCTAAATGTGAGAGAAAATATCCTGAAAACTGCGAGAAGCAATGTACCTTTCAGGATCTTTTTATTTCTTTTGTCTTACCTCTAGAGCTAAATGTGGTGTATTTTTCTGAGCATGTCTCTGTATCTTTCTATGCAAGGTTTTGGGGGAGCATCGTTCATTCTTTTATTCATTCAATTATTCAGCAAATGTTTACTGATGTACACTTACTATACACCAATTCCCTATAAGGTATGAAGGTAACTGGGGGACCAAGACACAGTTTCTGCCCTCAAGGAGCTCAGAGTTTAGTTAGGGAGGGAAACGTGGTAGGGAGGGAAACATGTAAAGGAGCTGGTGTCTCTCACATCCTCTCTCTTCCCAACCCCACCCTCCCCACTCCTCCTTTATCTCCTGCTTTTCCTTCTTTAAATTCATTACAATGTAAAAGCCAAGGTGTATGTCCTAATACTTATCATTAAGTAGTTTTACCTTTCTCCTCAATTTCAACAGTGAGAAAGTATGACATTACATTTCTCTAACTTAAAAAAAATTATACAAGTGAAATAACAGGATATCTGCAATTCCTTAATAAGACTCCAGCAAGAAAAATATGTGGAGAGAAGATGGATGAAACAAGATTGGTAATAGTTGACAATTATTAAAGTTGCAAGAAGAGTATATGGTTTTTATTATACTATTCTCTCTGCTTTTCCAGATATATGAAAATGTACATAATAAAAAGCTAAAACATAAATACATTAGTTAGATTGGATTTTACAAATGTGGTCAAACTCTTTTTCTCCATTAGCTGAAGAACATTGGGAAATTATTGAATCAGTATGGACAAAGAGCTGGTCAGAAAAAATAAGAAACCTGGGAAATAAGTTACTTTTATATGACATATGTCAAAAACAATCCCCCAAATTATTTCATATAATTTAGGATCTGACAACAATCACCTTTCTCAATAGTCTCTGATCATACACTCAATGCAATTTACTATTATTTCTACCCATCTCTCCTACACAGAATTGGCAAATAAAAATGTCATCTGATTATTTCAGGTATTAGCTACACTCTTAGGGGTTGAACTGTGATATGGTTTGGCTGTGTCTCCACCCAAATCTCATCTTGAATTGTAGCTCAAATAATTCCCACGTGTTGTGGGAGGGGCCCAGTGGGAGACAACTGAATCATGGGAGTGCTTTCCCCCATACTGTTCTCGTCGTAGTGAGTAAGTCTCACGAGATTCAACAGTTTTACAAGGGGTTTCCCCTTTCGCTTGGCTCTCCTTCTCTTTCTTGCCTGACACCATGTAAGGCGAGACTTTCACCTTCTGCCATGATTGTGAGGCCTCCCCAGCCATGCAGAACTAACTGTGAGCCCATTAAACTTTTTTTTTCTTAATAAATTACCTAGTCTCGGGTATCTCTTTATCAGCAGCATGAAAACGGACTAATACAAACTATCCCCATAAAATTCATGTTGATGTTCTAGCTTCTAGTACCTCAGAATGTGATCTGACTTGGAAAAAGGGCTGCTGCAGATATAATTAGAGAAGATGGGGTCACACTGGCATAAGGTAAGGCCTCTAATCCAATATGACTGGCATCCTTACAAAAAAGGGAAATTTGGGCTGGGTGCGGTGGCTCACTCCTGTAATCCCAGCACTTTGGAGGCCAAGGCGGGTGGATCACGAGGTCA
Organism: Homo sapiens; assembly: GCF_000001405.40. NCBI lineage: Eukaryota > Metazoa > Chordata > Mammalia > Primates > Hominidae > Homo > Homo sapiens. Next base: position 66,483,689 of record NC_000017.11, on the reverse strand, counting down.
GGAGATTGAGAACATCCTGGATAACACAGTGAAACCCTGTCTCTACTAAAAATACAAAAATTAGCTGGGAGAGGTGGTGAGCACCTGTAGTCCCAGCTATTTGGGAGGCTGAGGCAGGAGAATGGTGTTAACTGGGAGGTGGAGCTTGCAGGGAGCTGAGACTGCACCACCACACTCCACAGCCTGGGCGACAGAGACTCTGTCTCGAAAAAATAAAATAAAATAAAATAAAATAAAAATAAAGGCAAGGGGAAATTTGGACATAAACACACCCTGGGAGAACTCATGTGAAGATGGAGAAAGACTGGGGTGATGCTTCTGCTTCTGCAAGCCAAGGAATGCCAAAGATTGCCGGGAAACCACCAGAAGCCAGGGGGAGTCATGGAACAGATTCTCTCTTGCAGCTCTCTGAGGGAACCCACCCTGCCAGCATCCAGCCTTTGGAACTGAGGCAACACACTTTCGTTGTTTAAGCTGCCCGGTTTGTGGTAATTTGTTATGACAGCCCTAACAAACTAATACATGCAACAAGGTGGTTTTTGGAAAGCAAATGATTCAGTAAGTGAAAATTAAGTACTATGAACAAGAGCAAGTGGTTCGGGATTCAAGGCATTCTTCCCCGACAGCTCTACGGGACAGCACATCTGTGTCTGTTAAAAATACCGAGGGTACCTTTAAGTCCAAAGCAGTAAAGAGCTATTACCAAACTAATGAATTAGGGTCCTGTGAATACTTCCACGGGGAGAAATAAAGGCATACAAAGATTACAGGTGAGCATAAGTGAAAAAGTTATTTAAACCTAAATCACAATTAGGAAATAGAAGTTGCCAAATTCAAAAACATCTGAGGCATTAGTATAGACTCATTTGCTCATGATTATAAATGAGTTTAACACAGTCAGAACTCTTGAGGGGTTAAATATATTACTTTAATCCAAAGTCCAATTTAAAATCATTGCCTTTGTATGTGTGTGTTCTGCTTAATACACCTGCTGGTACCTGCCGTTGTAATCATACAATGACCACATACAAGTGATGCTTGCTGGCTGGTGAAAGTACTTTCTTGATCTTTAGTGGTGAGATAAGAATGTGGGTTCCCACACAAATAATATACAGCCACACAGAAAATGAACACTTGGAATCTTCACCTCGTACTCAGTGAAGTAACCTGTAGCATTCCTTTTTGTGAAGAACATTCCTAATTTAAAAGGTAGTAAAGATCACTGAGAGTCTGAGAATGAACTTCAGAAAGAATCCACTGGAAGGGTTTTGAAGCTATGATCCCTGAAGGACTCTAGGTGGGCACTGGAAGGGGTGAGCAGCGAGTGAGCTCATGATTCTTCCTTACCTCTGTTCTTCTCTTTGGGTCCTAAGCTACAGTTTTATTCTGAAGTCAATGATTGCATGCCCTAAGTTCCATGAGGAGCCATCATCCTTAGCACATATTTGTTTATTAAACAAGCCAGTTGATTGCAAACTCAAGGGCAAGGCCTTGCAAGACCCACATGTATCCTTCTAGTCTTTGCAATTTCATAATTCATACTCGATCCACTTTCTTTTTTTTCTTTTTTTCTTTTTTTTTTTTTTTTTTTGAGACAGTCTTGCTCTGTCGCCCAGGCTGGAGTACAATGGCGCGATTTTGGCTCACTGCAACCTCCGCCTCCCAGGTTCAAGTGATTCTCCTGCCTCAGCCTCCCACACAGCTGGGATTACAGGTGCCCACCACCGCACCCAGCTAATTTTTGTATTTTTAGTAGAGATGGGGTTTCACCATGTTGGCCAGGCTAGTCTTGAACTCCCGACCTTGTGATCCACCCACCTCTGCCTCCCAAAGTGCTGGGATTATAGGCATGAGCCACCACACCCAGCCCCAACCCACTTTCAAAATAGAGTTGTATGTTTGTCCATTGGTCACTCCTTCCACAGACACGCATGAAGCTCCTAGTTGAAGGCCAGAAAGTCTGGCAGGCCTGGGAGGACTACATGAAGCCCAGTCCCTTCAGGTATCTGCCTAGAAGAGATGCTGGAGACCTCGAATGCAATTTCAAAAAAGATGGTGTGGGGAGAACCAGAATTCCTTGCTCATAGTGCTGGAGGGGTGACAAGAGGAGTTGGCCAAACCTCAGAGACAGGCCTAGGAGAGAGGCGAGCAGAGAGCAGGAGCCCCGACATCCAACAGGGGGAAACGTTTCAGGAAGGAGGAAGTATTCAATCGTGTCACTCTTACATGAAATCAGGAAGGAGCTGACTGGGGCAAGTCTATTAGGCCTGGGACTGAAGAGTCGTTGTCATATATATACAGGGGTTGGCAGGAATGTAGACACACAGTGGATAGGGAGTACTCGGTTCACTTACCTTCTGGTCAACAAATATTTATCGAGCAATAGCTACATCCCAGATATGGTGCTGGGCCCTGGTGGTTGTAAAGATCAACTTCGCTCAGGGGCCCCCCTGGAGCTTTTAGTTTGGAAAAGAGTCACTAAGAGAACATTTCAGGATCATACAAGTGGAGGAAGGTCTTGCCAATGTAAGGTGTGAGTGCCTGGGGAATAGCCCTCAGCCCAGCCTTGAGTTCAGGGAAGACTTGTGGCAGAAATGACGCTAGTGCTGAGAATGAAAAAGGACAGCAGATCCAGGGACTTCTCCCCACCAAGACAGGCAGCCATCTGGCAGCGTTCTGCGGTAACACCTATGTAAAATTATGGAAAGAGGCTTGGGCCACCTCATGCAAACTATGGAGACGGAGTAGGTCAAAGGAAAATCAAGCACCGGGGGAAGGAACGCAATTCACATTGACCAAGAAAACGTTACCTTCAGCCATGGTTCACTGAAGGAAAGTAGGAAGCTGAAGCTGTTCCAAATATTTTACTAAACACTCTCATTTAAGAATTCAGTGCTTTTTTTTTTTTAAGCCATATAATTACAAAGCTCCTGTGGGTGAGGGAAAAAGCATTTCATATTTAATGTTCTGGTTTGGCTTTGGTTTCAATCAATGGTGGAATGGCCATAGAACAGTCTCAGAACAGAAAAGAGGGTATTCAAGTTTGGTTAGAAAGGCAGGGCACGGTACAAGTAAACACAGTACAATGTTTCTTCTGAAATCTGAGGCCACCATAATGCAGTGGCAATTTTTAATTCTTAGAGACAAATACATGCGGAAACTTTCCATAAATAAAATGCTTTCATTTTCTCATGATTACAGTGAGCTTTTGCGACAAAGCCTGGTCACATTATTATGTAAATTTTTACCCATGTAACATTTCCCTCTGCTTATCTTGGGGAACAATTCAAAAAGAAGCCATAATACACTAATTACCTCTCTTATATCAAGTATGTTGGGAACTAATAAAACATCAGGGACGTGGAACACCACATAATTACAAAGGAATGGGGCCAGGAGCCTCCAAAAAGGAAATCTGAAGGCGTCCAAGGGATTCTAATGCCCATGGGTAACAGTGGAGAGCAACTGGGGAAAAACACGAGACAAAGGAACTAGGAAAGTCTCCATACAAAGAAGGATATGAAGGCATAGAAGCACCCACAAATTTTAAAAACTAAAGAAAAATCTTACAAAACAAATATATTACCTTTCCAAACTGCATGCCAGAAAATATAAGACAAAATGAATTTAAAAATAAATATGATGAATTGTTATTCAGAATTCTAAAACCAAAATGTTTTTTTTTTTTTTTAAGTTCAGGGGTATCTATGCAGGTTATATGGGTAAACTTGTGTCATGGGGGTTTGCTGTACAGATTGTTTCAACACCCAGATATGAAGCCATGTACCCTTGAGTTATTTTTCCTGATCCTCTCCCTCTTCTCACCCTCCACCTTCTGACAGGCCTCACTGTGTGTTGTTCCCCTCTGTGTGTCCATGTGTTCTCATTGTTTAGCTGTCACTTATAAGTGAGAACGTGCAGTATTTGGTTTTCTGTTCCTGTGTTAGTTTGGTAAGGATAATTGCCTCCAGCTCCATCCATTTCCCTGCAAAGGACATGATCTCGTTCCTTTTTATGGCTGCATAGTATTCCATGGTGTATATGTACCACATTTTCTTTATCCAGTCTATCATTGATGGGAATTTAGGTTAATTCCATGTCTTTCCTATTGTGAATAGTGTTGCAATGAACATATGTGTGCATGTGTCTTTATAACAGAACAATTTATATTCCTTTGGGTATATACCTAGCCATGGGATTGCTGGGTCAAATGGCAGTTCTGCTTTTAGCTCTTTGAAGAATGGCCATACTGTCTTGCACAATGGTTGAACTAATTTACATTTCCACCATAAGTGTAAAAGTGTTCCTTTTTCTCCACAACCTCACCAGCATCTAATATTTTTTGACTTTTTAGTAATAGCTATTCTGACTGGTGTGAGATGGTATTTTGTTTGATTTGCATTTCTCTAATGATCAGTGATGTTGAGTGTTTTTTCATGATTGTTGGTTGTATGTATATCTTCTTTTGAAAAGTGTCTTTTCATGTCTTTGCCCACTTTTTTGGGGGGTTGTTTTTTTCTTGTAAATTTAAGTTCCTTATAGATGTTGGATATTAGATCTTTGCTGAATGCATAGCTTGCAAAAATTTTCTCCCATTCTGTAGGTTGTTTACTCGGTTGATAGTTTCTTTTGCTGTGAAGAAGCTGTTAAGTTTAATTAGATGCCATTTGTCAATTTTTGCTTTTGTCGCAATTGCTTTTGGCGTCTTCGTCATGAAATCTTTGCCCATGCCTATGTCCTCAATGGTGTTGCCTAGGTTGTCTTCCAGAGTTTTTACAGTAAACCAAAATGGTTTTTAATCTACACTTATACACAGTGCTTCAAAAAACTTATATTTAACAATAATCATGATGTGGGGCTATTTACTGTTTTAAAAATACTGTAAGTTGTTGCAAGAGAAAAAGTCTATAAGGACACAGACCAACGTGATACGGGGCTGTCTCTAGGGCAGTGTTTGGGAAAATTTAATTTTACTTTTATTTTTGTTCATCTATATTCTCTAATTTTTTCAACCATTAATGTATTACTTAAGAAACTAAAAATCTTAACTTTAGAGCAATGTTCATAACAATGCTATTGCAATGCAAGATCCTAAAGTGTTTTATGAATTATCATTTAAAAAATAAGTTGAATATGGGCTGGGCGCGGTGGTCCATGCCTGTAATCCCAACACTTCAGAAGGCCAAGGTGGGTGGATCACCTGAGGTCAGGAGTTCAAGACCAGCCTGACCAACATGGTGAAACCCCGTCTCTACTAAAAATACAAAATTAGCCAGGTGTGGTGGCACATGGCTGTAATCTCAGCAACTCGGGAGGCTGAGGCAGGAGAATCACTTGAACCCAGAAGGCGGAGATTGCGGTGAGCTGCGATTGTGCCACTGCACTCCAGTCTGGGCAACAAGAGTGAAACTCCATCTCAAAAAAATAAAATAAAATAAACAAACAAAAAAAGCAGATTCACGGAGCTAGAGGAATGCACAAGTGACTATTCCTCTACTCCCTCTCACATGTGAACAGCTGATGAAAAACTGAAAAGAATGCAACTCTCTGCCTCTTATCTACCAACACCTTTTACAATTTCTTCCTCCTTCCCCTTTAAACATTGAAGCACTCAAAATCATCTTTGGCGAAAAGCACAGACCTGTCTCCTGGGCGCACGTCCTTAACCTTGGCAAAATAAACTTCTAAATTGATTGAGACACGTTTCGGGTACTTTTTGGTTTAGAGAGGGAACAACTAAGTTGGTAAAGCTAGGTCAAACAAGAATTAGAGTCCACCAATAAATACATCCGAAAGAAGTCTGCCCAGTTAGAGAATGGGGAGTAACTGCTAACAGGTTTCTTTCTGGGGCAATGAGAATGTTCTAAAAAGGACTGTGCCGATGGTTACACAACTCTGAAATTACTAGAAACCCCTGAAGTGTACACTTTAAATGGGTGAATTGTACATTACGTGAATTATATTACAAAGCTGTGTTTGTTTTTTGTTTTGAGACGGAGTCTCACTCTGTTGCCCAGGCTGGAGTGCAGTGGTGCAATCTCAGCTCACCACAACCTCCGTCTCCCAGGTTCAAGCAATTCTCCTGCCTCAGCCTCCCAAGTAGCTAGGACTACAGGTGCCCGCCACCACGCTCGGCTAATTTTTGTATTTTTAGTAGAGACGGGGTTTCACCGTGTTGGCCAGGCTTGTCTCAAACTCCTGACTTCAGGTGGTCCGCCCGCCTCAGTCTCCCAAAGTGCTGGGATTACAGGTATGAGCCACCGCGCTCGGCCACAAAGTTGTTATTTTTTAAAAGTTAAAAACAAAGCCAGGTATGACACCCTAAACAAATAACCCTTGGGTAGGCTTGTTAAGCAACGCCCCTGGCTAACATTTGAAGAACTACATGCTGCTGTTACGTTTATGCCTTATTTCCAAATTTTAAATAATTTTTCTTAACATTAACATGATATTTTTATTCCTTTTGAAGTTTCTGTGGGTTTCGCTTTGTGCTAAATGTTCTGGTCTAAGCATGGATCTTTGAAATGGCTGTATCCGTGGGCATTTATGTTTCCCAAGTGGTTTCTAATGGGCCAGAGTTTAGCATGAAGCCCCTCGTCCTGGTAGGGTGGGTGGGACAGTGCCCTGTGTCCTCATCTGCACACCCCTATTCTCCAGCTGCATGACCTTGGGTATGTGAAGCTCTCATTCTCAACTGTTTCCGACTCTAAAATGGAAATTAGCATCACCAGCCTTGCAGGATTGTTAAGGACAGACAGGATGATGTACGTGAAGCTTCAGCCTAGCTCTGAGACACAGTACCCACTCTACAAGTAATTCCTCTTCTCTTTCTCCAGATTGAAGGGAAAGCAAATTTATAAAAAGTACAGGTCTTTTAACAGGACTCCAAAATTATTGGGAACTTGCAACAAGACTGAGGGAAAGGAAATGTGGCGTATTTTTAAATGAAGAAAAAGAGAATCCAACTAACAAGAAGGTCAATGATTAGAAGAACAGGCAAGCCTGAGCCTCAGGCAACTGTAGCCTACACAGGCCAGTGAGGGGAGAAGTTTCCTCTTTATTTACTATAAAGAGAAAACATACAAAGAAATCCAATGGCCACTTCTAGGCTGAGAGGTAATGGCAGAGAACCAGAGCTTGTGCCTCTCATAACCTTCTTCCCCGGCCCTCCCAGTTCCACCCAAAGGCCAGGCTCTGGCAGGATTAGACCAGACAGGGCCTTGGCTGGCATTCTCTCGGGGCTCCTCACGGCCTCCCTCTGAGCCCAAGCTCTTCCGTAAATCGGGAAACCCAGCTTGACCAGGACAGTGGCAGGAAGTGCTGTGCAGCAGGGAGGCAACATGCCCCCAAGCACCAGGCTTGCAGAGCTTGGGCCCGCCATCTCCTCTTCAACACCAACTGAAGGCCCTCAAAGTGTGACCACGTACATCTAAAGGTAGAAAAGGTAGCAGAAACCAGAGCCCCTTCCAGTCCAAGAGTAGAAGAAAATTGGCTGGGCATGGTGACTCACACCTGTAATCCCAGCACTGTGGGAGGCCGAGGCAGGCGAATCACTTGAGGTCAGGAGTTCAAGACCAGCCTAGCCAACATAGCAAAACTCTGCCTCTACTAAAAATACAAAAAAATTAGCCAGGCCTGGTGGCAGGCACGTGTAATCCCAACTACTTGGGAGGCTGAAGCATGAGAATCACTTGAACCTGGGAGGCAGAGGTTGCAAGTGAGCAGAGATCGCACCACTGTGTTCCAGCCTGGGCGACAGAGCAAGACTCCATCTCAAAAAATAAAAACTAAAAAATAAGAAGAAAATCAGGTATAATAGTATTTAAAAAGGACCCCTCACAATTAGGGAGGAAAATCTTCATTGACTGCAATCAAAATCTCTCGTTCCACAATTATGTGTGATGGCACTCAGTCCCCTGGGCATTAATCAGTTCCTACAATGTGCAATTAGCTGTATCTGTAAGACACAGGTATCAAGAAGACCTTCTGACAAGTACCCAAGATAAAAGGTATCCGCATTAAATGTGAGCTGACAGGGGGATTGGTTTAGGAGAGGTAACAGGCTGCTATGAGGCTTCATTTTCCATACCTCGATGCCGAACTCACACAAGGCAAATGTCTCAAATGGGAAATGGGAAGCTGGGAAAGACAGTACACATCCTGCATGGCTAAATTAGAAACCAACAGGAAAATCCAAAACTGGACCAAGCTAATAGCGATCAAGACTCCACTGAGTAATAAGGATCATTCGAAAATCCCCATACCTAGCTTCAAAACTACAGAAATGCAGATCGACAGCACCACAGATGAAAAGACTGAGGCATTTTAACAAACACATTAATGAGGTGCCATGGCTGCCAAAAGAGCTACTAGGAGAAGAGACTGCATTAACAGAGGTATATTATCTAGGATGGAGGAGGTGAGAGTTCCATACAACAAATCTTTATTCACTCCTCCTGAGACACGGTTCAGGGTTCCAAGCCCTCACTGTTGTGGTTGCAGCCTCTCTCTGGCATAAGTTTTCCAACAAGAGAATGAAACTGGAAACCACTTCCTAAGAGGAGTAGGGGATTCACCTGAAAGGGAAGACAGCTTGCAACTTAGCTGTCTGCAAATACCTGAAGACCTGATATTTGCCAGAAGGATTAAGCTTGTTCTGTTTGTCCCTGAAGGATGGAAATCCTGCAGAAACAAAGGGTGGAGGTTACAGGGTATCAGATTTCAGCTCACTTTCAGAGAGAAAGATGTAAGGTCTACCTGGAAATGGAGAAGAGAGGACTGAGTGGTCACCAGAGCTGTTGCTGCTGCAGATCCTGCATAACTGCTCCATGTGAATACTGGTGAAAGCATCCACATACTCTACACGACCGAGGTTACGCGCAACACACAAACCTTTTTCTACATCCATCCTGAATCCTAAAACTACCGAATTCAACCACATTGAGAAAAAGCTTTAGTTGTTGTTAATAATTACTTTAAGTTGAGGAAATGGGCTTCCGGTATAATAAAACACAGCCAAAGGATTCTTCAGAAGAAGAAAAGACAGAGAGCGCTTTATTTCAGGCAAGTGCAATATCTGCAGCACATTTTACAGCTGAAGGTGGAATATGGATCTTGAAGCAGCAAACTTGGTCCTTTTCCATTGGATTCATTACAATGATTAAACTCTTCTGGAGCCCTAAGCACACTGCCACCCTCAGCCATTTTGCAAGAGTGTAGCTTAAAAGTGTGCTTTTCCAATTTGCATAACAATAGCAGCCTTCCAGCTAGGCTGACTCCTCTTCCCAGCAAATGTATATAGATACAACATTGTCTGGGCATCAGGCAGGAGAGCTCCTTAGCCAGCAGCCCAGGGTCCCCATCAATTTTTAAAGCTCTTGTTCATGCATGCACATATACAAGAAAACAGAGACAATGTCACTGGAAAGTTCTGAGCATGTCAATAGCACCATCGGTGTTATTGGGTTCCTCCCCATCTGGGTGTGTTGCTGCAGAAGAATAGGTTAAATTGTATAATGTTAGGTCACTTGAACTTGATAGGTCCCATGAGAAAATAAGGATCAACGATAAGAGTAATAGTCTTCATAATACTGATGGTATTAATAATCTTCTTCATAAATGATTTTATTTATTAAGGATGAGAAAGAGTGATGTGGCAAGAAGTAGTAAATTGCAAAGTCACACAGTTCATATGTGTGAGACTGAGCTTGAATCCTGACGGTCTGGCTTGAGCTTTTTTGTTTTTTTTTGAGATGGAGTTTCACTCTTGTTGCCCAGAACCAGACTGGAGTGCAATGGCGTGATCTCGGCTCACCGCAACCTCTGCCTTCCTGGTTCAAGCGATTCTCCTGCCTCAGCCTCCCGAGTAGCTAGGATTACAGGCATGTGCCACCATGCCCAGCTGATTTTGTATTTTTAGTAGAGACGGGGTTTCACCATGTTGGTCAGGCTGGTCTTGAACTCCTGACCTCAGGTGATTCACCCACCTCGGCCTCCCAAAGTGCTGGGATTACAGGGGTGTTGGCTTGAGTTTCTACCAAAACACTAGCTGCTAGACACTATACTCCTTAATAGTAGCTACTGCAGTTATCATTTTGGATGGTGCCGCAGTTATCATGATGCTCTCATTTTCTCTACCAACACACTTGAACAACAGTAGAATGGGAAAGGCTGTTCTGAGGGACTCTGGTAACTGAGGGTCTAGGCTGCAAGACACCCTCTTCCTGAAGGGAGGCTGTTACAAGGGAAGGGCTGGAGTCCAGGTGTGAAGGCAGAGTCTGAAATGGGCACAGCGGCTCCAGCTGAAAGGAAGAGATGGGTAGGAGAGTGTTTCATGTGAGCAAGCCAGGGCGAGTCCGTGCAATCCACATGCATGTGAAGGGGTAAGCAAGGTACTGGGGAAACACAGAGATTGAGGCCAATCCCAGAGACTGAGAATCCTGGCCCAGGGCAGAGGGAGCAGGTACAAGCACCAGAGCTACAAAGACCCAAAGTCTAGGTCAAAGGAGTGAGCTACCGGGGGAGGCAGCCCGCTGCAGAGTCAGGTAAAAATATGCAATACTGGAGCAGGAGAAGAAGGAGGAATGGGGGAATGGGGGAGTGGGGGAGTGGAGGAGGAGAGGTGGCTGCAGGGCATGGGGCAATTCCTCCATAATGGTAGCTCCTGTGGTTATTATTTTTGGTGGTGCTACAGTTACGATGATGCTCTAAATTTCTCTACCATGCTCTGGACAACAAGCCATGCTTAAGGGCTCTGACTAAAGTCTGGCAGAGAACAAAGGCTGCCTCATTCACCTCCACAAATTAGGCAAGTTCGGTCGGAGGCAAAAAAAGCTATGGTCTCTTTCAAAGGCACTGATTTCTCTGAAAATGGAAAAATGACCTATAGTCATTTCCCATGGAACTCGAGATTCTCCTGCTACTTTATATGTGGGATCCTCACATAATCCCAAAAGATCTTTTCCAAAAGCCTCCTTTGCAAGAAGGTGGCTCAGCAGAGGTGGGCATTTGTGGGCTAAAGGCAGGAAAGGGATGTTACGTCTTGTTAATTTGAAGATATTCACTCCAAGTGACTTCACATCAACTCTGCTGACTCTTCACTTCTATTTTGGCAACTGAGCATTAAACCCAGGAAGGAACTATGAGGTCAATTTTGTGGAAATACCTGATGATGGATTTCTGTTCCCTTGATAAAAACAGAGAAAATTGGAGAAATGCTAATAGGATTCACAGGCTGTAAGTAATGACTGAGACAATTTCCACCACTACCATCAACGAGCCAACCCAGGGACACCTGTGCAGAGGCGGGTGGGCTGTGAGCAGACAGGACTTCCTTTTCCTAGCGATAGCAGCTCCTGGAACCAGAAGACAAAGGTCAAGATGTCTAGAAGGTACCACTCCCTCTTCTTGGTCTCCATGGAGGTTGCCTCATTGGTTATAGTAAAACTTAGGCTATGTGTGATGGTCCACGCCTGTAATCCCAGCACTTTGGGAGGCTGAAGCCAGAGGACCACTCCTGGGCAACATAGCAAGACTTCATCTTTGCAGAAATTTAAAAAATTAGCCAGGTGCAGTGGTGCAAGCCTGTAATCCTAGCTACTCTGAAGGCTGAGGCAGGAAAGGACTGCTTGAGCCCAGGAGTTCCAGGCTGCAGTGATCTATGATGGAGCCACTGCATTCCTGCCCGGGCAACACAGCGAAACCATGTCCTTAAAAACAAAAAGAAATTAAACTTGATCAAACTGATTGGTCAAATTTTGAATCTTCTGCTTCTAAATATTTTATAGTACTTAAATATGCATTTGCCCGGCCCCACCCACATGGTTCACAGTGACCCTGAAGGCAAGTCACTTCTCACAGCCAAATACGACTTCACTGCAACTTGTCATGAAAGCAGGCAGGCATGGGATGAAGGGCAGCACAGTAATAAAGGTAACCCTCTGCGGATTTGATAAGTCAGATTCATTTCTCACTCTTCAGCCCATTTTTAAAAAGTAACTTTCACTGTTGCTTTATATCCCAGATGCAAAAAAAAAAAAAAAAAATTAGAAAACAGTCCATTCAATTTTCCAAATTAGTCAGACTCACCTGTTTGAAAATGTGTTTTACATTTGCTCTCCCCTAAAATCATGGAGGGCTGCAAAATGCAGTTCTGCTCAGTGATGACTACTTTTCCTTGTGGACTATACTGTCTATAACACACTGTTGCAACTCAATTCCACTCAGGATACCTTCAGTGGTTACCTATTCTGTGCCAGACACTGGCCTCTATGAGATGAATAACCTGAGGGACTTCACAAGCTAATTAGCAGACAGACACAACGCACATCCAACAATGATAAATGCTCTCTTAGAAGTACAAGTTGTCAGTTGCAGTTAAAATCTATGGCATTGCCAGAGAACACAGTTCAAAGTATATTTGATATGCAAGAGTATCCAATCTTTCTTTGTGATGTATCACTTACTGAATGCCACCAACATAAAATAAACTTTGCTCTGATGAATGCTACTTATAGAACAAAATTGAGGAAATGCAATATTAGGTCATCAAATGCTAAATTAATCTGAAGTTTCAGGAATGAGAGAATATGTCCTAAATGAAGCTAAAGCTCTTGTATGTATTCTCATGCAACTTGCAGAGCACTTTGTAGAAGTACAATTAAAAAAAAAACTAAACTAAAAAAAAAAAAAAGTTCCCAAATACAGGCCAAAAATAAGGAAAGGCTAAGAAAAGGGCATATTTCTTTTCTCACTTGAGATATAACCTAGAGGGCTTTCTAATTATACACACTCTTAGTTGGAGATGCTAGTTGTCGTCTAATCAGCCTACAAGGGCGGAAGCCGATTTGAAGATCACTTTTCAAGTTTTAATTCACTCTGTTTCCTCTTTGACTCAAGTGGTTAAACATTTGTTTCAGAGTTGCATCTCATTGCCTCTGCTCGTCCCCCTAATAATTAAATCCTAGAATGTCAAGTCCTTCAAGACCCTTTCAAAAGGGCAATTCTTGGTATTGAAACGAAGGGCTGACTGTGCCCTTTAAGTCTGAACTGCATTGACACGTGGGGAATTACCATATCTGCACAGATCAGGTCCCTAAAGCCAGGCCGGGCCAGGTAGCTCTAAGTGCCCTTCAGTCTCTGCCCTGTAAAAAATGCAAACTGGGGCCGGGCGCGGTGACTCAAGCCTGTAATCCCAGCACTTTGGGAGGCCGAGGCGGGTGGATCACCTGAGGTCAGGAGTTCGAGACCAGCCTGGCCAACATGGTGAAACCCCGTTTCTACTAAAAATACAAAAATAGACGGGCATGGTGGCGGGGGGTGCCTGTAATCCCAGCTACGTGAGAGGCTGAGGCAGGAGAATCGCTTGAACCAGGTTGGCGGGGGTGGGGGTTGGGGAGGGGGGGTGGCAGAGGTTACAGTGAACCGAGATTGTGCCACTTGACTCCAGCCTGGGCCAAAGAGCAAAACTCTGTCTTTTAAAAAAAAAAAAAAAAAAAAAAGCAAACTGGTTCAGGTCCATTAAGCATCAGCTCTGAAATATGTCAGGGGAATCTCCTTCATGTGACCCTGAGGTTTCATTTCTGTGGCCTCTTCCTGGGACATGCAGCCAAGTCATGTTGTTATTTTCCCACTAAAAAAAAAAGTAGTGAATGTACACAGCATGCCACAACGGACACATATTGGGGGTAATTACCCCTTGGAAGGGTTAACTTTCTAAATCATCTCTGACCTTCCTAATAAAACGCTAACCCAACTGTTTCCTTCGCAGTGCTCTAAGTTTGTGGATACTCACTGGATCCTAGAGGTTTATGTTTCCTCTAAGACTCTGGCCATTGGCCCTGGGTACTTCTGATTTACTTCCAAAGTTTCTCTCCTAAAAAAAACATAAATACCCCCACTTAGGGGCTGGGAGACTTAACCCAATTGATTGTGTTCGCACTTCAGAAAAAAACAACTCAAAGCTTAAGTATTTGCAGACAGCTTTTTGTCCTACTTGCAAATGTTTCCTCAATAATACAAGTGACAGAATTAGGCAATGTGCTAGGGAGGAAGATAATTTAATGTAAAATGTCCTTTACAAGGTATCACATGCTAGTAAATCCCAATCTACAAAATTAATTATAAACCCACAAAAATTACATAGAATAGTAATGAATTGCTCAGATACCTAGAAAGATGGACTTTCTTTTTTAAATTAAGACCATTTTCACCAAAGTGCTATATTGTGGTTGTCACGTGATTGACGGGTGTTTGTTTTCAATATTATTTATTTCTATCTTATTTCCCCCAATGAGCATATGTCACTAAAAGTTTTGTTTTGTTTTGTTTTTAAGAAACACAGCACCCCTCATATTTACTCCTACACTAAACAAATAATCACTCAGGCTACAGAGCAGCAAAAAAGAATGGCAGGAATGTGTTCCAAGCAAGCCTTTGCAAAATGATAGCAGGGCACCTTTCTCTTTAGCAGATTTGTGGATCACAACTAAATGACAGCTCTGGCTGGGGGTAGAGGAGGGTGCCCCAGTGTTCTCGAGATGGTGAACGACTGGAATGTGGACAGAAAGAGGAAGGAAACTGTGGCCATGGAGCCTCGTTTGCATTTCGAGGGAATAAGGCATCTGTAGGGGAAGGGGAACTAAGTGGAGCCCGGCAGAGACTTTAAATGCCATTCTCAGAGTCCATGGCCTTCTTGGCTCTGACTAGAAAGTCTACAGTTGAAAGTGGTGGCCCAGAAGGGAACTGGGCTGAGCTACTTCCCTTCAACATTTCTGCTGGGAAGACAGCATTCAAAGCAGAACCTTCAGGGGAAATAGAGAGGATTGCAAAATAGAGAGGAATGATGGGTAATTTCTGGAGGTGAGAGGAAGTGGTGAATGGGAATCTGGGTTTCTCCTGCATGCCAGCCACAACTTCTGTTTCTCTTCAGTTTCATTCATGTTAGCTCTCGCCCCTCCCACTTTCCCACCCTCCACCCTCCTTCAGAAGTCCTTTACCTGTGCGCTCTTGCCCTAATGCTGCCATAGTTAGCTGGTTTCAGACCACACCTTCCATTTAGAGACCTCAGACAACCCTGGGCATTTACTCCAGGTCAGCTTCCTATTGAAAAGCATACAAATATGTTGGGAACAAGAGGCAAAAACAGAAGGGTGCCCATGTTTCTCAGCCAGATAGGATCTGTCAGTTATAATAGGGTTGGACCTTAGGAAAAACATGAATTATGACTTGCCAGGAAAAAAAATGCATGTGCAGGAACAAGTCAGTCAGCTGACTACAAACTGCTGCACCAAGATAGCAAATGTGTGCCTCCCACAGCCAGCGACCCAGTCAGCCCACACAAATGAGGACAGAGTCCTCAGTGACAGAGACACCCTGTGATGTTGCTGCAAGAGTGTGCATCTTGATTCAGACAAGTTCATTTCAAAAAATATTTTTCACCTGTATATCTTTTTAAATAGGTAAATACACAGCACAGACCCAGATAAAGGAAAAAGTCATTCTGTAGTTTTCATTTCTTTAAGCCAAAATGTCGAATGGAAAATATGTGCTTTTTGACAAATGTAGCTTTATCATTTCAGAGACATCGTATCTTCACTTTGTATTTTAGTTGCATAGAAGAAATAAAGAAGCATCAAAATGATACCCCACTGCTCCTGGAAACAGCTAATGAGGAGTTCCTAAACTAAGAGTCATTTCTGTCAAACACGAGGAAAGTGGAACTATCAGCAAGGAAAGATAACTTGTTAGTCATATAAATGCTCCTGGGAGCCATGAAAAGTTTTCTGTTGTTTTTTTTTTTAATTTTTTGTTTTTGTTTTTTAAGTACAACCAAGGCCAGACGCAGTGGCTCATACCTGTAATCCTAGCACTTTGGAAGGCCAAGGCGTGGGGATCGCTTGAGCCCAGAAGTTCAAGACAAGCCTGAGCAACATAGTGAGACCCCATCTCCACAAAAAATTAAAAAATTAGCTAGGCATACTAGCATGCACCTGTGGTCCCAGCTACTCAGGAGGTTGAAGCAGGAGGATCGCTTGAGCCCAGGAGTTTGAGGCTGTGGTGAGCCAAGATGGTGCCACTGCACTCCAGCCTGGGTGACACAGTGAGACTGTCAAAAACAAACAAAAATGTACAAACAAAATTTCATTCTAATTTTTAAAAGCACTAGAGCAGGTACTATTGGTGATAGGGCTGTTTTTCTGCAAAAAAAAATGTGTTTGCCCAGCTAAACAAGCATTTTGTTCACAATGAAAACTAAGCTATTATTTAGTCAAAAGCCATCATTTACAGATGAGGAAACTGAGGCAGTTTACCTTAAATCAGCCAGTTATAGCACATTATGTATAGTAACTGCTGAGGTTAGCTACACGACATCTGGCTACATAGCATGAAATGAGAGTACAGCTGACATCACTCCGTTCATACACTTTGGAATTCCTGAGATTTAACCACTCATGGTATTGGAATGTACCATGCCATGGCCTAAATGAGAGCCTGTAAGCCACGATACAAACCAAAAGATCTTTGCACACCACCTCCTGCGCATGAGGCAACATGCACAGTCATCCCTCTCTAAGATGCTCAGAGGAAGAGGAAAATAATGTGTTGAACAACAGCCATCTCTGTCGTGTGTGTTTGCAGGGCAACGAAGCCATCAGCAAACATCTTTTCATAGTAGGTTCAGTTTGAATATGAGCATCATTTTGCTTTCATTTTCAAATTTTCTTGCTACAAGGAAAAGTGAATCATTCCATAGTTTCAAATGCCAGTCACAAATTTAAACTGAGGGCATGAGTAATTTAAGTCTTTTTTTTTTTTAAATGAAGGAAGAGGTCACAAGTCAAACATCCACGTGGACTTCCCTTCTTTGACCCCAGCGTGAAGGAATTCGCAGGTTAAAGGCTTTTACTGCTAATCTTAGCACCACTGTTATTCCCACTTCTCTTTAGAAATAAAGTCAATTTTATTAAAAGCTGAAGTTTCAAGTTTTTGTGCATTACACCAAAAATTTAATAAAGAAAAGAACGATGTTTAGATTTTATGTGGAATACTTATCAATTCTTAACAGCACAGACTCCATCTTTGATTATTTTTAAATGTTCAGTGTGGCCAAATTATGTTAAATGGTATTTTGCCAAGAAGTTTCTTCCATTTTGAGGTAAGGAGAAGAAAACGTGGAGGAAGAGAAAGTCACTTGTTGCTCAGTGGGAACCACTTTGCAGAATAATTCTGACCCCCATCTCAGCTCCACAAGCAAGTTCCCAGAAAGGGCTTCCCAAGGCCCGTGGCTTGTGAGCAGTGCAGGTGGCCTCAAACGCAGGGCTCCCTGGGTCTGGCTTCAAACTCTTCCAGCTGGGACACCTGGGACCAAGCTCTACTTCCCCCAGCTCAGTTCCCATTAGATGCTTCCTCCACCCACACACAAATTCTTTCCACACGTGCAGTTCATGTTCCAAAATTTCATTCACCGACTACAGAAAAAAGGTACAGGCGTCTAGAGTGAGGAGATCCAGACCCATCCTCGTGCTTCGACATATTTCAGTGACTTCTTAAAATTCTCAGTATTGGGCTCTGCACACAGCAGCTATGTAACAAAACAGCTGCTGGTGCACTTGGATGTAAAATGCTTCTCTGTTTCTTCTCAATATAATGGAACTAAGAATGATTTCCTATGTCAGAGAACTATATAGCCCTACAGAAGAACAGCTTTTGACTTATTGCTGAGATTACATTAGGCTATACAAACTGAGTTATCCATGTGAAGAAACTCCTTTAAAAAAAAAAGTCAAATCTTACACAATAAGAAAGAAAGTACATGCAAATAAACAACTCCAAAAAGCATTTAAAATGTTACTGGCCTCAATAAATTTCCTTGCTTGGGTGGAAAGAGGTTGTGGAATGGGGATGGTTGTCTCTTCGAATTAAAGCTACCTTTGTTCATAATACCAACTTTTCTCTCTATGCAGATCTACTGTTAGAATTAAAACATATCAGGCCAGGCACAGTGGCTCCCCTCTGTAATCTCAACACTTTTGAGGGGCCAAGGTGGGAGGACTGCTCAAGCTCAGGAGTGTGAGACCAGCTTGGACAACACAGCAAGACTTCATCTCTACTTAAAAAAAAAAAAAAATTAACTAGCCAGGCATGGTGGCACATGCCTTTAGTCCCAGCTACTCAGGAGACTGAGGTGGGAGGATCTCTTGAGCCCAGGAGTTTGAGGCTGCTGTGAACCATGATCACACCACTGCACTCCAGTCTGGGCAAGAGAGTAAGACCTATCTCAAAAATTAAAAAAAATTAAAAAATAATTATAACATATCAGTTGACAAATTCCTTCCAGATATACCATTATGATAAGTCAAATTTAAGAATTACCCGATGCTATCAGTTTCTTAGGGAAGTCTTGAAACAAAATTCCCTTTCCCACAAAACAAATCTCGTTTACAAAACAGCTCATAGGACTAAAGTTCTGGATAGACATAAAAGATAAATTAAAGGATTAGTCCTTCCTATTCTGCAAATGTTAAGTTGTGGTTATTAAGGCTATGGGGGTTGGCCTAGTCAAAGAGTTTCCTAGTCATTCATTTATTTACTTAAGTTATTGCTTATGTCACTGGTAAAGAAACAAACTATGTTTCTACCAAGAAACAAAAACCACCAATCCCTTTGTATTTAATTAAAAAAACCAAAACACAAAATTGTAAAACTCTACAAAATAACAAAGGAGAAAGATCTAGATGACCTTGGGTTTGGCAATAACGTTTTAGATACAATACCAAAGGCCAAAGGAGCAATCCATGAAAAAATAATTGGTAAGCTGGATTTCATTATAATTAAAAACTTCTGCTCTGCAAAAGACACTGTCAAAAGAATCAGAAGATATTATAGGCTGGGAGAAAATATTGCAAAAAATAAATCTGATAAAGAAGTATTATACAAAATATACAAATAACTCTTAAAATTCAGCAATAGGAAAACAAACAGCCCAATTAAAAATGGGCACAAGACCAGATATCTCACCAAAGAAGATGTACAGATGGCAAATATGCATGTGAAAAGATGCTCAATATAATATGTCATTAGGGATCTGCAAATTAAAGCAATGAGATACCACTACACACCTATTAGAATGGCCAAAATCCAAAACACTGACAACACCAAACGCTGACAAGGATGTGGACCAATGAGATCTCTCATTCATTGCTGGAGGGCAAGCAAAATGGTACAGCCACTTTGGAAGACAGTTTGGCAGTTTCTTAAAAAACTAAACATATTCTTTCCATTTTACCCCACAATTGCAGTGGGTCATATATTTACCCAAATGAGTTTAAAATGTATGAAAACCTGCACACGGATGTTTATGGCAGCCTTCTTCATAATTGCCCCAAACTTGAAAGCAACCCAGACGCCCTTCAGTAGGTGAATGGATAAACTGCGGTGCATCCAGATGATAGAATCTTATTTAGCACTAAACAGAAATGAGCCATCCAGCCACGAAAAGACATAGAAAAAACATAAATGCATATTGCTAAGTGTAAGAAGCCAATCTGAAAAGGTTACATGCTGCAGGATTCCAAATACATGACATCCTGAAAAAGGCAAAACCATGGAGACAATAGAAGGATCAATGGATGCTAAGGGTTGGAAGAAAAAGGGATCTTCTATTGGTGGAGCATAGAAGATCTTTAGGGCAGTGAAAATATACCTTGCATGATACTAGAATAGTAGCTGTATATGATGATACATTTGTCACAACTCACAGAAGATACACCAAGAATGAACTCTTCCATAAACTGTGGACTTTGGGTGATAATAATGTCAATGCAGCTTAATCAACTGCAATGAATGGACCACTCTGGTGAGGGATGATGACAGTGGGGATGCTGTGCAGGCACAGAGAAATGAGGTACATGGGAAATCTCTGTATCTTCTGCTCAGTTTTGCTGGGAACCTAAAACTGCTCTAAAAAATAAATTAAAAAAACAAAACAAACAAACTAGCTGGGCACAGTGGCTCATGCCTGCAATCCCAGCACTTTGGGAGGCCAAGGCAGGCAGATCATGAGGTCAGGAGATCGAGACCAACCTGGCTAACATGGTGAAACCCCATCTCTACTAAAAATACAAAAAATTAGCTGGGCATGGTGGCACATGCCTGTAATCTCAGCTACTTGGGAGGCTGAGGCAGGAGAATCGCTTGAGCTTGGGAGGCGGAGGTTGCAGTGAGCCGAGATCATGCCACTGCACTCCAGCTTGGGCGACAGAGCAAAACTTCGTCTCAAAAAAATAAAAAAATTTAAAAAAAAAAAAACACAGAATCAAGGCTAAGAATTTCACCATACAAAATCAAATTCCTGGGTAGCTGCAAGTTTGCTCAGTTAACTCGTGTAGTTCAAGTGACTTAACTCACATAGTTCAAGTGACTCAGCTAGTCACTAGATCTTTTCTTACGGTTTCAGAGAAAAGTCAGCAAAAACTGCACATTATACAGGGCGACAGGCATGGCAGCAGTTTCTGGTGCACATGTTGCCTGTCTCCCGGTGACAGAAGATAACAGAGGACTAAGAGCGCACATATACCTCAAGAGCCCTAAGGCTGCCACAGGAGAGTAAACAACTCCACCCAGCACTGCTCCAGGCCGGGTAAGCCAACCTCTCTGGAGTCTGCAGGCTTACAATTGATTCTGGGGAAATAATTTATTATGATTGCCAGTCAGTGACTCATAAATGTGTGTGTGTGTGTGTGTGTGTGTGTGTGTGTGTGTGTGTTTGCATGTGTGCACGTGCATGTGTGTGCATGTCTTTGTAATTCTTCTTCCACATCCTTCAATTATTTTCTAAGCACCAACAGTAAACTTCTGGGCTACTTTTAATAAGAGATTCTTATTCTCTGCAGGAGGACATTTCATTCCTCTTAGCTATGACATATTCAACATTTTTATAGAAAGCAAAAACCATAGGTGGGAGGTAGGGGTGTTCGTGTTTTTGTAAATTGCCTCTAAAGAAGCTGCCACCATTGGTGGGGAAGACCTATATCATGGCTTACAAAAAAGTATCCTAAAATGGACATAAGCACTATTCATGTGCTTCAGTAGATTAAAAAAGATGGTTGGTGTCTTTTATCTATTTTGAGAAAGAAACAAATTTATACAATGAAAACGTTCACAGAAACTAGATGTAAGGTTGTAAAAATAAATAAGTACCTTGCTTTCTTATACAATAAGACATTCAAGTATTAGAAAAATGGAACTGCTACATGGGAAGTAATTATTATGTTAAGGCAAACTTTAGCTATTAGATGCCTTTTTTCTTCTCTCATTAAGCACAACCATCAACTTTTCATGAGCGGGCCCACTGGCTGCTGTCTGGAATGAAGAATCCTATGTTGCTTTCCAGCCTCACATTTCCCCTTTGTGTACTACAAAATAGGAGCTGTTTCATTAGAAACATAAAACAATGAGGAAGAAGCTGTTATTGACAAACTGGGTTTGGCCTTGTGCACTGATCTCAGAAACCGCAGAGCACCAGCCAGCTTCCATCCATGAAGGGATTTGTCTGTCCAACTTGAGTTCAAACAGAGGGAAGCAGACCCGACGTTTAAAAGAATATATCACACACCCTCTGCCCACAACCAAGGTCTCATCTTAGAAGTGATGAAAATAGAGGGTCAAAAAAGAAAAAACTAGACACTGTTCACGGAAACAGGAAACACCTCAATGACATCCCATAGAAGCATGCTCGGTAGTTAGGAACCCCAGTCTCCTCCTCGGTAGTTAGGAACCCCAGTCTCCTCCTCGGTAGTTAGGAACCCCAGTCTCCTCCTCGATAGTTAGGAACCCCAGTGCCTATACACCCATTATCTCAGGGGTCAATTATTTCAATTACTTCACACTCCAGCTGCCAATTAACTCATGGGCCACCATGAAACCCACAGAATGCCTCTATGCCAAGAAGGTTCTCAAGTATCTGCTATCATAATATAAACCTAAGTGCCCAGTGAATACTGTTTTTCTATTACAAATTGATCTTTGGATACATTTCCCCAGAAAATGTTACATCATTTTTACCACTTAGTGCCTACCTAGCACGCGAGCTCTCTGAGCTTCACTTGCTGCAACACAAAATAAGCACAGAATTAGGAGATAACTAGGGGAATTATCATAGCACTGAAATCTGAGGTCATTTCCTCATTTTTGAATACTGGAAAATGAAGGATATTTGAAACTGTTCACCACAACTCAGGTGACACGGGCACTCCACTATAGAACATCTCACTATTGCTAAAAATTACATACCTGTGCTTAAATGTGCCAATGACATATGCTGGTTGAGACTGATCAAAACAAGTCTGGAAGAAGTCTGGTTAGAAGAACAGGTTTTTTTACATACAGATAACATGTTAGCAACTTGAATATTAAATTTGGCACATGAACTTTTAAAAGTATTAGGATTGGGATGTGATTTTCTTTTCTTTTTTTTTTTTTTTTTTGAGATGGGGTCTCATTTTTTCACCCAGCCTGGAGTGCAGTGACGTGAACATAGCGTACCGCAGCCTCGAATTCCTGGGCTCAAGCAATTCTCCTGCCTCATTCCCCTGAGTAGCTGGAACTACAGGCGTGTACTATCACACCCGGCTAATCTTTGTATTTTTTGTAGAGATGGGGTTTTGCCTTGTCGCCCAGGCTGGTCTCCAACTCCTGGGCTCAAATGATCCACCCGCCTCAACCTCCCAAAGTGCTGGGATTACAGGCGTGAGCCATCATGCCCATCTGGGATGTGCTTTTCTAAGGAAGAAACAGACACAACAAGACAACCTCAGAGAAGGTGGCTCCACATACTGATGTTTTATAAACCTGTGTCTGCGACCAACCTCTGGGGTAGGAGCTGGGACACCTGAAGTCTTCAGTCCCCGCTTTGCTAGCCTTACCGTTTCCTGCCTGTCAAATAATGGGGACGCAGTTCTGCTTCCACAGCAAAGGAGACACTAAGCTGCTGGTCTGCCCCATCAGCTGGCAGGTTGGCACAAAACCCAGCAACATTCAAAGGTGCAATTCAGCTGGTTCTCCAACTAGGAGGGCAAGACAAGGTTTTATCCCACTAAAACGTAATGAGCAGCAGAGGCCAGCTATAGAGTGATTTTAGTTCTTCTCCCTGTCTGCACTGCTGCAATTCGGAAAAAATAAAAACGCACAAAACACCAAAAAAGTAGTGTGAGAAATGGGGGTAAAGGATGAAAGGGGTGGACTTACAGGAGGTGGCACGCCTTCGCTTATCAACCCTGGATATTAAGTATGCCTTTTCCCCCCTCTATCAAATGCAAACCCTTTCACATACTTTGAGTTTTAAAACTAGTTAAAATCTGAAGGAGCTATTTTTAAAATATACATAATCATATAGTAATAGTAAGAACCACGACTTCAGCCATATGGATCATACACACACAGCCCACATACCATTCAACTCTGCTAGGCACTTCTAAGTCCACGGGCAATGACCTTCATAGATTTCATAGGCGGAATTCAATACCTTGCGTAATAATTGAAGTTACAAATGCCCAGTCCGTTAGACTTACTTAGAAAAAAACAACACAACTCTGTGGGCTTCCTATTTCAAAAGCTGTGTGGGCAAGGAGCAGAAAGCAAAGGTTAATTTTGCAAAAGAAATCAACTTTGCAAGAAAGGCTTGCATCCAGTGAGCGGGATGGAAAACTGCTTTCATGAATGATTCATCCTTCGAGACTGCGGATGGATTACTCAAGGCCTGCTGATGTGGCCCTTCCTGCACATGTACCATGTAACCCTGACAAACACCAGCTGGGAGGCCACATCCCTTCTCACTTGGAAGTACTAAAAAATAAAAATAAAAATAAAAGTAAAAAGATCAGAAAGCAGTAGAGAGTGATACTTACGCACTGAACGAAAAAGAGCAACAATGCCCCAAAATAATTACTTACTTAAAAGCACCCCCGATGGAGTCGGGTCTATAAACACAGTAACGATAAAGAGAAAAGCCTCCCAGTGTGCAACCATGGGTCTCTCTTTGCTGCTTAATAACAGCAAGGAAGAACTGGACATAGAACTTAGCTCTCAAATCAAGCGGAATCTCATTTATCTGGCACTTTTAGAGAGCAAGGTGTTCCACCAGAAGAATTTTCCAGAAAATAGAAATTTGCCCCACATTTACAAAACTTTAAAAATAATTCTAACCATTCATATTTCTGAGGGATTCTACTATATACTTTTTTACCTTCTTCAACGGAGGTAGAGAATCTAATTTGATCTTTCAGTGCGTATTCATCATGTGTTTTGTTTTGTTGTTGTTATCGTAGTTCCGTCATCCAGGCTGGAGTGCAATAACATGATCATGGCTCCGTGCAGCCTCAACTTCCCAGGCTCAATTGATCCTCCTGCCTCAGCCTCCTGAGTAGCTGGGACTACAGGTGTGTACCACCACCTCCAGCTAATTTTTGTATTTTTTTTTTTTTTTTTGAGACAGGGATTTGCCAGATGGCCCAGGCTGGACTTGAACTCCTGGGCTGAAGCAATCCACCCACCTCAATCTCCCAAAGTGTTAGGATTACAGGCGTAAGCCAGTGTGCTCAATCATTATCCCTTTTTTTTTTACTTAACAATACCTGAGTGTGTTCCTTAGTGGTTCAAATCCCAACTCCATTACTTCATAGCAGGGTAAACTTAATCAAGTTACTTTACCTCCCTCAGCCTCTACGTTCCCATCTGTAAAATGGGGATAACATGCACCATGTCAAGTGGTTGGCACACAGTTAGCATTTAACAAATGTTACTTCTCTCCTTCCCCCTTTTGCCTTTGCTTTCTCCAATGACGTACTGGGAAGGTCGGTAACCAAATGTGTAAGGAATATTACAGTAAGACAATTCTCAGAAGATTCTGAAAGGGGCAGGGCACGGTGGCTCACGCCTGTAATCCCAGCAGTTTAGGAGGCTGAGGTGGGCGGACCACCTGAGCTCAGGAGTTTGAGACCAACCTGGCCAACATGGTGAAACCCCACCTCTACTAAAAATACAAAAATTAGCTGGGCGTGGTGGTGCATGCCTGTAGTCTCAGCTACTTGGGAGGCTGAAGCAAGAGGATTGCTTGAGCCCAGGAAGTGGAGGTTGTAGTGAGCTGAGAGTGCACCACTACACTCCAGCCTGGGCGACAGAATAGAAACCCCGTCTCAAAAAAAAAAAGGAAAATAAAGAGATAAAAAAGAAGACAAACCTGAAAGGATCTTCAAGGCACCCTAGCAGTGTTGCATATTCTACTGGGGGGTCTTAAGACCCCTGTGTCCATTTTTGTTTAACTCCAGCGTCTAGGCTGTGTTCCAGGAAGCTGTAGACTTTTTGTACCTTACTTCAAGGTTTTAGATATAACTTTATTTCAATGGCCTAAATAGAAAGCAGATTAATTGACATAGCAACTACAAGATCCTGACAAAAGAAGGAATGCCTCACTGGCTGATTCTGCGAAATAGGCTTTCTTTCATGTTCCAATAATAACTCAACTTTTAAAAATTAAAATCAGTATACCCTCATCCACTAAGTGGTTTAGAGCTCTCACTTACACTGCCTAGTTTGGGAAACTGCTACTTACACAACATGACTTTGTGAAGGTCATACTCCTTATGTCAGGTTGCTTGCTCCAAACCAATTTGGTGGGTGGGAGATGACGGAGATTCTGATATACAAAAAGAGCCCATGAGGATATCAGGCTTCATTTTTCTACTCTGTAAAGATTGAGGTCTGCAGGAGTACAGCAGGTGACCCCAGCAGCACACTCAGCTAGTGATCATGGCTGTAGTAGTCCGTTCTCATGCTGCTAAAAAAGACATACCTAAGACTGGGTCATTTATAAAAGAAGAGGTTTAATTGACTCACAGTTCCGCAGGGCTGAGGAGGCCTCAGGAAACTTACAATCATGATGGAAGGAGAAGCAAACATGTCCTTCTTCACATGCTGGCAGCAAGGAGAAGTGCAGAGCAAAGGGTGGGAAAGGCCCCTTATAGAACCATCAAATCTCATGAGAACTCACTATCACGAGAACAGCATGGAGGTAACTACCCCCATGATTCAACTACCTCCCACCAGGTCCCTTCCACATGGGGATTATGGGAACTACAGTTCAAGATGAGATTTGGGTGGGGACACAGCCAAACCATCTCAATGGCTAACCTCTCCAGAGAGCTCACAGCGAGCCAGATGCTGTGTTCTATATGCATCTCACATCTTCAACAGCCCTCTGAGGTGGCACCATTATCATCACCCCAAGAGAGGGATGCACCAAGGCTCAACAAATTAGAAGAACTGAGCCATCTAGGTCTCCCAGGCTCCACGACCATCCCCTACACTAAGAAACCCCACACATCTCTTCACCCCAAATGCCAAGGTAGCTCCTACCTTCAGTAGAGGTAAAACATGCTGTTCTCCTGACCCCCACAGGCCCAAAATACTCAGTTAAGAACTCTTAAGTTCTCTTGGACAAACACCCAAAACACTGGTGAGAAAACAGGCCAAGACGACGACTCCAAGATGAGTCTATCCCTTAAATTCTTATTGAAATATTAAATCGCTCTGGCATGATCAGTGTAGGCAAAAAAGTTTTCCATCCTAATCATGCCAAGCACCCTCCCATGGCCACACAGCTGGGCCTACAACATAAAAGGTTTACATGAACCTCTCACTCCCTACTCAGACATTCATGACATTCATGTACAGAAGAAGCAGCAGCCACTGGCCTAAGGCATACCTAGAATCACCAAGTCAGCCTAAACCACTGAAACAACTCCCATCAGCTATCCCCACTCTGTGCTTTCCTTGCAGCATCGAAAGCTGTTCCTCCAAGGCTAGTACGGGCTCCTTAGCAAAACAGCTACAGTCAGGACAGAAATATGGTGTGGCCCAGGGCTCAAGCTATTTCATCCCTTGGACACCATCTGGGAAGCCAGTAGGTGCAGCGGATTTTTTGGCCTTTGTCTTTTCTGCCATCTATTTCATTCACTTGCCTCGCAGTCAGTCCCCAAATAATCTCCAACAGCAGAGAAGGGAGCTGGAAGCAGCACAGAACCTGTGGTTGGAAGCCAGCACAGGGGATGACAATTTTAAAGTCTAGATGTTCGAGAGTTTTAGAGATCTATCATCCCCAAACCCACGGCTGAGAACACCTGGGCATCACATCTGGGCAGGATCTTTGACTATTCCAAACCCTTGGTTTGGGGCAATGGCCTCTTATAGAGCCTTGGATGGGAAGAAAACTTAGAATAGGCCACTTACGGCTCTTAAACTTGGGTTGGACAAGAGGAAATTTAGAATGAGCAGCAGTATATACCTGGTATTAAAAAGAGAACAAAGACACCTCAGAAGTACAATGAGTTTATTCATTTCCTAGGGTTGCCCCAGCAAAGTACCACAAGCTGGGTAACTCAGAACAGGAATCTATTCTCAGAATTGCTACTGGAGGACAAAAGTCTGGAATCAAGGCATTGATGGGGCTGGTTCCTTCTGGAAGCTCTGAGAAAGAATCTGTTCCTCATCTTTCACTCCTAGTTCCTGGTGGCTCCTGGCAAATCTTGGCATTCCTCGGTTTGTAGATGCATCGTTCCAATCTCTGCCTCCAGTATCTCGTGGCCTTCCTCCTGTGTGTCTCTGTGTCTTCACCTGGCCTTCTTACGAGAACAACAGTCAATGGATTTAGTGTCTACCCTAATCTACCACCACCTTAACTATTTACATCTGCAGAGACCCTATTTGCAAATAAGGTGACATTGTGAGGTTCTGGACGAGCATGAATTTTGAGGGAACATTGTTCAGCCCAGTACAGAGAGAAATCAGAAAAGAGAGAGCAAATAAATGAGTGTAGCTAGGCCTACTGCACAGGCTGATATGAACGTCTCACTCCCTTCTCAGATGTTCATTTACAGATGAGGAAAAGAGCAGAAGGCAGGCAGGCACTGAAGTTTCTTCCCACCCTTGTGTTCTTAGATATTAAGTGGAAAGAAAACCCCACACAGGTAAGATCCCAGTTAATCAAAATGTCACAGCAGGGCCTTTTCTCCAAGTCCACTAAGTTGATGGATGAGTAAGTTTGACTCAGCCAGACTTCCATCACCTTTAAAAGTTAATCAGTGTTTACAGAATAAAAGAGATGAAGATAATCCTTAGAAATTTGGAATGATAAATGATCATAAAGCCTATGGCTTCGCTGATGCTTCTGCATTTACCATCATTTTCCTGGCAGCTCCAGTTCAAAGTGCTTCGGGGGACCTTTTCTTCTCACAGCATCAACATAAATGGCCGTCTTCTATATGTGAGCACTCAGCACTCCTGGCAATTTCGTGGCAGCTGTGTGGCGATAAGAGGCCCTTTATTTTTTCAAGCACATTTGTGAAGTGTGTGGGGAGCCGACTAAAATTAATGAACTTTTCTTGCCAAAAAGAACTAGGCTCCAAATTCGGTCATGTATTGCCAAATAGACGGTGTGAATGAAAGTCAGTTCGTGGGGAGAATAAGAACATTTCAAAGGAGCACAAGTTGAATACAAGCAGTCCCTGACTCACTTATGTGGACTTAAAGATATTCCTCATCTGGGAAAAATAAGTCCAGACCTATAGCTGCGTCGACCACAGTTCCCTCCATCCCCAGTTTCTCTCAGCCCTCTGCATCCCCTCAACCCCCACCTTCCCTCCACTGCTGCCTGGGTCCGCCATCTGCCGGCCCTTCCATCCTGTGGTCAGGCACCTGCCCTCACCTGGCTCACCCCAGGGCCCACAATTGCACAGAGTAAAAAGGAGAAAGGAAGGAATCTCCAGTAGAAGCTTCTCTGCCCTGGGGCTGGCCACCTTCCAAACCTTAAACCTACTGATACGGTTTAGCTGTGTCTCCACCCAAATCTCATCTCGAATTGTACCTCCCGTAAATTCCTACACATTGGGGGAGGGAGCCAGTGGGAGTTATTAATTGAATCATGGTGGACTGTTCTCGTAGTAGTGAAGAAGTCTCATGAGATCTGATGGTTTTAGAAAGGGAAACTTGTTTCGCTTGGCTCTTACTCTTGTCTGCTGCCATGTGGATGTGCCTTTCACCTTCCGCCATGATTGTGAGGCCTCCCCAGACACATGGAACTGTGAGTCCATTAAACCTCTTTCTTTTGTAAATTGCCCAGTTTCGGGTATGTCTTTATCAGTAGCATGAAAACAGACTAATACACCTACCCAGATCCTGCCTTCTCCAACCCTAAACACCCAAATCTGGGTTTTCTACTAAAAAAGAAAAGAATGTTTTATCATTTATCCCAAATTCCATGACACTCACCTCCATGGTCTTTGCTGTTACCTGGCATTTTTGCAGCCCCAGGTCCAGCCTGCATTTGTCTGCAACTGAGGCATTAGGCCCCTGGGACTGTCAACCCCAAAATGCTTTCCCCAGGAAGCCAGCACACTGACCAGGGAGTCCACAGGGCCTTAGCACCTACAAAGCTGCCACATGCAAGTGACTGCCCAGAGAGGGCAGTGGGCTTGGTTCATCCAGCAGACTGTAATTGAAGCTGAATGCAATTAATTGTATAATTTTGAGTCATTTCAGATTAATTCTGCTAAAATCACAACATGAAACTAGGGCATGAGGAGGAATTGTTTTCAGAAAGAAGCCAGACATAAATAAAGTCTACATAAGCACTGGCTTCACATCCAATTCTGACAGTTTAGCATGATAACAACTGAGGTTATCAATAAACAAATTAATTTAGCCCAAATACACAGAAATCATATCCCACAGCTTTAAAAGCCTGGATGCTCCTGCTATTGGATCTGAAAAAACCCAAAGTATTCTGACTTGCATGTAAGCTAAATGGTCACACTTAAAACCTTAAAAAATATCTGCGTGTTTACATCAGGGAGAGAAAATTTGAGTAAAACCCAATGTTAGTCAGAACAACCCAGAAGAGTCCCAGGAAGCCCTACTCTGATTTTTCTCCCCAGTGGATGCCCAGCTCTTAAACCAATTCGACCTACAGCAGACGAGGGCGGCGCAAAGGGAGGCAAGCAGGGCAGTTCTAAAGATCAGGGGGGCTGGGCGCAGTGGCTCACGTCTATAATCCCAGCACTTTGGGAGGCTGAGGTGGGCGGATCACCTGAGGTCAGGAGTTCGAGACCAGCCTGGTCAACATGGCGAAACACGTTTCTACTGAAAACACAAAAAATTAGCTGGGCATGGTGGCGGGCGCCTGTAATCTCAGCTACTTAGGAGGCTGAGGCAGGAGAATCGCTTGAACCCAGGAGGTGGAGGTTGCAGTGAGCTGAGATCAAGCCACTGCGCTCCAGTCTGGGTGACAAAGCAAGACTCTATCTCAAAAAAAGAAAAAAAAAAAGAAAAAAAGGATCACGGGACCCAAGGCAAGGGGACTGTGGATCTGTACGAGGGCACATGGGTTCTAGTTCCCAGTCTTTTCCTGGGATTCCCTCAAGTCCCCAATGCCTGCCTTACCCCAGAGCCTCTGTTCCAAGTCAGGAGCTCCATCTTCAGTGGTTTCAAGCTTGGGATATTTCCACATCCGTGACCACCTAGCCAGTGGGAAGTGAGGGGAATGAGGGCTCCAGTTCCATTTCCTAAGCCACTGTGGGGAAAAATATTCTTGGCCTTCCAGGCAGGACTCCTAAATGCCACCAACTGTACAAATGTGGCTGAATGTGACACACAGCACATCTCGATGCTACAAGCTCAATGGGGGTTCAAACAGGCACTTGCGGTTAAGACACCAGCCCTTATAAACCTCATAATTTCTAGTTATGTGTTTTGTTTGTTTTTTTGTTTGTTTGTTTTTGAGACGGAGTCTCGCTCTGTCATCCAGGCTGGAGTGCAGTGGTGCCATCTCGGCTCACTGCATGCTCCGCCTCCCAGGTTCATGCCATTCTCCTGCCTCAGCCTCCTGAGTAGCTGGGACTACAGGCACCCGCCACCACGCCCAGCTAATTTTTTGTCTAGTTATGTTTTGTGACCCAAACAGTCACTGTAGAAAGGAAGTTCTGGAACCCACTGGTGGGTTTCTTGGATGTTGTTTTCATCACAGGTGCAGAGGCCGCATTCCTGAAGGCTTCAGTGCAATAGGAACAAGCCGGGCCAGTTCCTATCAGGCAACAAAAACACTCCTCGAGGTTCTCAGAACGCACAACATTTCAAGAGGAAATAAAAACCCCAAGATAAATTTCGGCAGATCCTTATTCTCGCTATACACAGCTGCACTTCTCCCTCCTCACCCTGCTTCTTCCCTAGTTCTGTCTTCCTGTTAAGCCTCACAAAAACAGATGATCCTTTCCCGAAGGGACCACATAGAAGGTTCTGGAAGCACCTGTGCTGCACCTGGATTCTGGGGCTCTCCATTCCTATCTGAGGTCTGGCTCCTTAGCAAACGCTACATTGGCTAAGAAAAAGATGAAGACTTCAATGAGGTCATCATAGGCACCCAAATAAAAAGAAAGGAACAGAGGTGCAGACAGTTCTCTGGAGAAAATGAAGCCACCGGCAGTATTTTCAGTGAATCAAATTGGAGGGTCACCTGATGTCTTGGTTCGCTGGGTCAGCTTGGACGCACCCTGCTGCATGGAGGGGCCATACACGGCTTCATATAAATGAGGGACGCACACTGCAAAATGAAATGTCTGCTGGAGGCTGTGGTAGAGGAAGCCCTAATCTGATTTACCTCCCGGCGGTGTCCTGCTTTCAATCCAATTTTCTGGACAGTTAGATTGAGATAGAATCAAAATGGGATTTGCCAGGAGCAAAAGAAAGATATTTCTGTCCCCTGGCCTTTGTCTTTATTAGAGATCACCCTAGAGTTAGCCAAATTGTACAGGAAATCCAAGGTTCATCATACAACTTTGCTTCAGAGCCTTTGACTCAGGAGCTGTGGCTGGCGGGCAGTGCTGTGGACAGGAAGGCAGACCTAGGGATCCTTCCTTGCCCCGGCCCCTCCTCTCCATCTCTCGCCCCACTCCCTCTGCTCCACCCACCCGTTAGGGGGCGCTTCCTTATCCAGGCTCCTGACCAGAAAAGCAAATACAAATATGATCAAAGTACAACTACTCCTCCAAAATACCCGGTCAACCCTTAGACATTCGCTACAACATGAAAATTAAAATCCCTCTTCTCCTGTAGATGTATTCTAATTAGAAGAAACAGATGCTCATATCATTCTGTGAAAGAGCAAAATTTCATTCATATATGGCCTGCATGTTACCAAAAACAAAAGCCCAAAATGTGATAATAATCAAAAAGCATCTTCCACTGAACTTGTTTTAGGTAATAAATAAATAAATAAATAAATAAATAAATAAATAAATAAATTCTAACTCCGTATTCTAAAAGTTTTGAAATTAAAGAATGGAATCCTATTATATTCAATCATTAGAATATCCACACGTAGATCAAATCTGGAAAAAAGGCACAGTTTAAGTTTTAAGAGGATTTAATATGTGGCTTCACTAGACCAGCATGGATACTTTGTTCCCTTCTAAGATGAATAGCAATGTCTAATTTCCTAAATTTCATCATTTTAAATTAAGATATTACTTGGTTAATAGAGTCAAAGAGAGAACAGAGATCCACAGAACATATTCACTTCATCATTTCTTTATAGATCACTGGAAACACACCAAGTCTTCCTTTTCTTCCATTCACTCAACAATCTTAACAGAGAGACAGAGTGAGACCCACAGAGCAGGTCATGTTACTTTCAGCAAAATTCTAGAACTTCACTCAGCAGTAAACCCCTGCATCACAGTTCCAAACAGTGCTATTTTCATCAAAAGTTAAAAACCAAAATGTTTTACTAATCGCATCAGTTAGCGGTTTTAAAAAATAATTCAGCACAGCTTATGAAGACAAATGTACTAGTACAGGGGCCCATGATTGCGTAACCAAAACATCAGAACAGCATGAGCTGGTACCAGCTTTTGCGGTAATTACCTTCTGTGAAAGCAGACGCCTACCCTTCCCCAAAACTGTCCCTGCAAAGAGAGTGTTAAGTGTGTGGATGAAAGTCATCCGGTAATAACTAATCCACAAGAGAAAAAGTGCACCTGTGCTGAGGTCTTCTTCCAACCGCAGCTTTCTGTTTCCTCCCCTGCCTCCCTTTTCCTGGGACTTCTCTTTCCACCTGCATCCCACCTCACTGTGGAGGCCTTCTGTGAACTGTGCACCCTCTGACCACACACCTGTGGGACATGGCCGTCTTCAGGTACCAAAGATGGGGACCCACGTTCATTCATCAGACTCTGTGAAAGGCATTTCTAACTCGTTTTACTTAGCACTCAGTACCACCCCTCTGCGGTACCATTGCCCCTACTTCCAGACAAGGAGACTGTGACTAAGAGGGACTGTGTCTCTCTTCCACCAAGCTGTTCCAATTCTTGCAGACTGGCTGGGGCATCCCTGCTCTGTCCTGTGAACTTGGCTCTGCTGGCCCCCGATGAGCATCTCTCTCTCCAGAACAGGAGGTCTTTGAGGTCCCAGCATGATTCCCAGCATGAAACAGGAACTCCACTCAGTATGAGTTAACGATCTTGTCAAAGGTCACCCAGTTAGTATGGGATAAAAATGTAATTCCAAAGCCTCCACTCTTTCCAATGACATTCTATTGTGGCTATAAACAATGCTTAAAAAAAAAACAAAAACAAAAAACACTCCCACTCCCCAAGGTATACCTCCTTGAAAATGAACATGAAGCAAAATAAGAAATCACTTCTTCAAAGTAATCAACGTGTACAATATAGGCTGCTTCCAAACTGAAGCGCATGGCAGAACAAAACAAAACAAACAAAAAAACAACAACAAAAAAGCTGCCTACACCTGAGGCCGTTCGTCCAGCATCCAACCACGGTGGGAGATTTCACTCCTCCCACCACTGTCTCCACCTTTACACAGGCGCTGCAGGTGCACACCCAAAAACAATTACAGCAACAACCTCAGCCCTGGAAGCCAGCCCCCTGTCCTGGTCTGTGTAGTCCCTCTGACTTGAACACTTGATGTTTGGCTCATAGAAGGAACAGCTTCAGACACAGGGGCCTTTTCTCCAGACTAAACTGTACTTGACTCACATGTAAGGACATTTTGTTTGCATTTAGTGCTGTGCTAGGGATCGTGAAGATGAGCTATCTGGGGAGAGGAAAAAAGGCTGAGGATGTACTACTGGTTGGGCAGCGAGGTTCAATTGAAAGAATATAAACAAGAGCAGTGTTATACTTATTTGCTGAAATAATTTTGCTGAAAGTAATATACACACTTTTTTTTTTAAAGGCAATATAGCTAAGGAGTTACCAAAAAATTCCTCAATCTCTCTACCTATCCATTCACTTTAAAGCTCATGCTTTTTTTGCTTTTGTTTTGTTTTGTTTTGTTTTTTTGAAATAGGGTCTTGCTGTTGCCCAGGCTGGAGTGCAGTGGTGCTATCGCTGCTCACTACCACTTCCATCTCCTGGGCTCAAGCAATCCTCCCAGCTCAGCCTCCCAAGTAGCTAGGCCTACAGGCACATGCCACCACACCCAGCTATTTTTTTAATTCATTTTTTGTACAGACAGGGACTCACTATGTTGCCCAGGCTGATCTGGAAATTGTGGGCTCAAGCAATCCTCCCACCTCAGCATTCCAAAGTGCTAGGATTACAGGCATGAGCCACCTCACCTGGCCACCTTTTTTTTTTTTTTTTTTTAAGTTTAGAGTTTTTCAAAGCTGGACCTACTCTCTTCAAAATACTATGAATACTACAAAAAAAAGTTGAGCAAGACTGACAGATTCAATAAGTTTAAAAAACTTTTAGATTTTTTTTTTTTTGCCAGAATCTCACTTATGCCTGTCCACAGAGGCATTATTTGATACCATTAGACTCACTTATCTAAAGCACATTTTGAGGGGTAAAACTGAATGAGCATTTTCATTGATTGCTTAAAGGGATGTGTGATGTTGCTGAATTTTTTTTGGTTTGGTGTAAATCAAATCATATGTCAAGAGTCAGGGAAAGCCACAGTGAATTCTTCTGAAAGGAGAGACTTTCCTTATAACGTGAATTATGCACTTCTAATGTTATTTTAATCACTAAACTTGGATTTTTGTGTGACTTTATTTTAATATATACTATAAAGGGTAGGCACAGCATATACACAGGTTTCTAAAGTTTAAAAGCCTTTGGAGGATGGGAGTTCACTGCAACGTGTCACCCTCATTACGCATAGCAGTTTAATGGCATCGAGCCTAATAGGGCTCAAGAAGAGCCTAACGCAGCCAAAACGACACACAAACTTCCATCAGGCGTCTCGATTTCCGAAACCAATTTTCAGGTATCAACAAGCTCCAAGGCAGCAAAATTCATCATTCCCTTTAACAGATCTCGTTTTTCCAATACTATGTT
Organism: Homo sapiens; assembly: GCF_000001405.40. Taxonomy (NCBI): domain Eukaryota; kingdom Metazoa; phylum Chordata; class Mammalia; order Primates; family Hominidae; genus Homo; species Homo sapiens. Next base: position 66,448,284 of record NC_000017.11, on the reverse strand, counting down.
TATTAGGGCAGACTGCAATGTGACAAAAATGACTAATGATCCACGTTTTCCTAAGGTTTAGAAGTACAAAGTCCACACTATGTTATCAACAAAACAAAATAACAGCACGATATCAACTTGTTAGCGGAAAAAGGGCACAGAATACACAGAACACAAAGGCCATCTTTCACCACGATTCTATTCTAAAGAACCTAAGCTTTCTACTGTAATTTCAAGGATTTAATTCCATTCAATCTATTCACTTTTGAGTGCTCCTAGATACCAAGGCAAATAAGGCAGTCTTACCTGTCGATACCCACTGCCCGACAGAAGCAGAAAAATAACCAAATAACTACACGACAAAAAGGGTCCACACACGATGCTCTGGAAAGGAGGCACAGGAGTCCCTAGTTCTGCCCAGGGTACCCAAGTTTGGTCTTAGCCAAGCCCTCCAGTAAACAAGAAAGAGAAAGAGCATCTCAGAAGGAGGAGAGCCTAGACGTGAGGAGGTAGCCACATAGCCCCAGGTGAAACTGGAATGAGCGGAGGTGGGGATGGAGCACAAAGGGCCAGGGGGCCCTGGAGGCTGTTGGAAACCACCTTTGATGACAGACTCCTAGAAGCTCAAAGGAGCTTAGAGATGGTCACACTGAGTCTAGGTTTCCACATTCAGCAGCACAGTCCAGGTCCAGATCTCTAAATTCAGTGCTTTATGAACGCCTGTCATCTATGCTACCACCCTGCTCTTTTAACAACTCACTCCCCCAGTTAAGCTGCACTTTAGCAAGAAAACGCCATCCCACATTTTACTATTCAAATTACTGAACCGATGGTCCAAGGTGGCTACTCAGAAAGCACTAAGGCCCCGTGCCTTTGGGAGTGAGGAAGGTGTCTCCAGAAGGTGTCAGCTGCACAAGAGGACTCCCCATGAGTCTCCGGCTCAGAACTCGCCTGGCATCCCCGACCAGCCAAAGTCGCATGCAAGAGGCTGAGGGAAGAGCTACTCAGAGGACAATGAATTGGGACTACAAAAATCACTCCCTTCTTTCAAAACCCCAAGGCCTCTCTCACTCTGTCACCATCCCGTATACATCTTAATGGTATGACACTTCCCTGTCTACACATGACTGACATTTTCAAGTCCCTGCCAAAACATTCTCAGAAAGCTGGTCCTCTACATACAGAGAGCTCTTACACTCGGAGTGACTTCGCAGTCTGTCTTTTGATGGCTTGATATCGAAGCGTTTCCGGAACTATGCTAAACTACTTCTTACACTGGAAGGGAGTCAAGAGTGAATTTCTCCAGGTGTGAAAAGGGATTTGAACACACAAGTGTACTGTCTTTAGAAATCGCTGGGTGACAAAAAGCAAAGCAAGCTAGAAGTTTTTATGCTCAGAATTCAGTGCAAGAAAATAACTGCCCTGACCCCTCCAACACACACATACCCTGACCAAATCCTCTATTCCTCTAAGCTGTCTCTTTGCTTTTTAGATCTAGGGGATCACTAGGGCCCCAAGATCCTCTTCCACTGCAGCCCAGGGGTACACCTCAGTTCTAGAGGCTACCGGGGTCCTCAGCTTCCTGACGTTGAGTCATAGGTAAGACTGAACAGGGCAGTGCTGCCTTGGAGGGGTTTAAGTGTGCAGGCCCCTCTCATCACAAGCAGCAATGAGTCACCAAAATGTACAAGCCCACCTGGTGCTCAGTGGAGGCAGCATTCATAGCCCTTGACCACAATCTAGATGGGGTTCTGTCTAAATTTAGCCACATCAACAATGCAACTGCTTATGAAAAACAAGCCCCATTTAAACAGAAGTAGTCTGAGTATCCTTCTGGGTCTGGACAGAAGACATTGAAAATGCCTGGCATATTTCTTGAGCAAGGCCAATGAGGAAGAAGAAAATTGTTTCCATCCTGGAGAAGGTGAATGGGGGTGCTGCACCTTAAGGCCCATGTCCCACAACCAGGCTGGCCACACCAAGGACAACTGTCTCCACAGCTCCTGTGGTCTTCTCAAGAGGTGGGAGTGTGAGTGTGAATGTGTGAGTGTGTGTGTGTGTGTGTGTTGGGAAGAGAGTCTATCATTTCATAAAACTAGAAAACAGCACCTTCCCCAGAGGCAACATTTCAAATCACAGAAAAGACCAGAGTTCTAAAACTCACCTTAACTTCTAATTCAAAGAGTCAGCCAGGCACTTTGGCTGGAATCAAGCCTGTAATCCCAGCACTTAGGGAGGCCGAGGTGCACGGATCACTTGAGCTCAGGAGTTTGAGACCAGCCTGGGCAACACGGCAAAACCCTGTCTCTACAGAAAATACAAAAATTAGCCAGGTGTAGTGGCACGCACCTGTAGTCCCAGCTACCTGGAAGGCTGAGGTGGGAGGATGGCTTGAGCCTGGGAGGCAGAGGTTGCAGTGAGCCAAGATCATGCCACTGCACTCCAGCCTGGACAGAGCCTGAGCCAGAGCCAGACCCTGTCTCAAGAAAAAAAAGAAGAAAAAAAAAAAAAGTGAACCCAACCCTAATGTAGACAGATGAAAACACCACCAAGGACACCACCAAAGAGCAGCACTTCTGCCTCTGGCATCCTCTGTCAAAATCACGGGAACAGACAGGGACTTCTGCACTGTTCACAGCCCAGGACACACAGCAAGGCCGTAAGGGCTGGTATTGCTGTCCTGAGCATCACCTCAGGTTCCCTAGCCACAAGTAAGGCCACGAGATTAGCATTTCTTCATATATAACTATTTGAGTCCTCTGAGGAGTCAGACTTAATTAGATGTTCTCTTCCCAGGATGGTTTCAATTAGGCCTGTGCCCTAAGAATGGGGGAGTTCCTCCTTATTGCTCATTAGGAAGCCTTCTACTCCGAGGTAATTCTTCTGAATGGCCTCTGGCCTCCAATGCTTGGACTCTCCAGTGTCAGGATCAGCCTGGATCAGCTGTTCCCAGCCAGCCTTGGTATGTGAATCCCGGATGCCATTTGGAGTGGGACAGAGCTCAGTTTTCACTCTCATTTGCTTGCAGCCCTCCCTGGGTTTCTCATCTGGAAACACTCCTGGTCAAGTGGAGACTCCATTAAACCACAGAGAGCTCCCGCTGAAGGGAACCAGAGAGACAGTGACACAGGCTTTATTCAGAAGTCCCACCGTAGGGGGGATAGCTCAGGGGTAGAGCATTTGACTGCAGAAGTCCCACCCTGGGTCAATGTCAAGGACATGACATCCAAAGGCGACATCTGGATGACAAATTCGGGGCAGGGACATGTTGCTACAAACTCCATCCAGTACCTATGTGTTTAGCAGAGCAAAGGGCCCATAAGGTCAGTGAGGGAGTCTGTATGTGTGAGAGTGTGTGTGTGTTGTGTGTTGTGTTCTGATTAGTGGGGAAAGGTGTTAACTCTAGAAACTGAGTGGGATTTTCTAAAATGCTAAGAAAAGAAACAAGCAGGGAAGAAAATTATATTTTGCTCTTAGAAGCTTTATTGTCTCCACCAGGTGCAAACAAGGGCTTCAGAAGTGGGAGTATCTTTTGACAAATAATTCACAATCACAACTGCTAAAATTAACTCTTACACAGGCAGACAACGAGGGGAAGATTCTCCCCGAAATTCATTGCCAACACACTTCTCCAAATCCACTGAACCTCAGCCTCAAAGATAAGCCTTGTGACACCCCCACCCTAACTCAAGGAAACTGCAAACCTGATAACATGCAGTATTTTACACTCCAGGAAAAGGGATGTTCCCTGGAAGGTCATAAAGAAGGAGGGCTCTGAGTCCTGAGCCCTCATATGCCTTAAGCAGCCTAGCTCTGAGAATTGCTCCAAGGAACTATCTGACGATAGGTCTCTGAGAATCCACACCCCCAGCCATCATAGATGTACCTCCAAGAAATAAAAGGCGGCCCATTAAACTATGACAGGCCATCATGTAAGACACCTCTGGATTCCAGAACGTTGAACTATGAAAGCACACACATCTGGGATTCCATGAGAGTTGGTGGCAAGCCAGTTTCTCTCTATCTGAAGTGCCTTGACTACAGGAACTAGACCCTGTTCAACTCTTTATTCAGAACCTGTAGAGCCAGGTCAGCACCCAGGGAGCCCTCAGCAAACACATTCCTGATAACTTGGATGGTATGACATCTCGCGCCTTTGAATCCATGAGTATTTACTCAGCTTTGTGCTAACACCAGTACTAGGAACTGGCATTTGAGTCACAATTATCTTGTCAGGTTTTATCCTTATCATCCCCCAATTACAGAATGAGAAACTGAGACTCAGAAAAAGACTCAACAGCCTTCTGAGGCTCGTGAGGCGGAGGGCACAGGTCTCAACTCAAGTCTGCCCAGGTCCGAAGCCATCATTAGATTTCCTGACCGCCTGCGTTTCTGGGTTAAGTCTGTGCTCAGATGTAGCGGGTATCCATTCACACACTTTTCCTCCTCCCTTGGTACCTTGCCAGCCTAATTCACTGCCTCTGCAAGCAGAGAACATTCTTTTTCATTAGGTGTGGGTGGTCAGGAATTTAATATTAGCTAACTTCTCCCCCTGCCCTTTCCTCCATCCTCTGCGGTCTTTACTTCTCTCATTAAATGGGCCACACATGTCATCGTGAGGACTACCATTCAGTAGCAAGTCATTTACCAAGGGCCTGTCCCGTTTCAGGGCAGGCAGCACAGCAGGCTGTGTGTGGACTCAGTTTCATAGAGCCCAACATGCCACCATGTCACTCACCATAACAGACATTTACCTGCAGCTGAAGAAAAGGGTATCATGCACTGAGTGGGTTATTTATTGAGTCAAGTTCATTCTTCCATAAACTCTCATGGGCACACTCTACAGCCAGAGCAAACGGGCTTCCTGTTTAATACACAACGACATCTAAGAAGCCTCACTTTATTTCTTAGCCTCTAGTTTCCAAGGCTACACTTCTTTCCAAGAGTAACAAATGCCAACAACCTCATCATAGTTTTCCCCTAAGTTACTTCCCATTCATTATTTTCTAGCCTCCAGTTAGAATGCAGCTGGTGAGGGACTGGCCCCCTCATCATTATAACATTGAACAGACAGGCATAGAAACAATTCAGAAAGAGCAGTCCCAGCATCAAACCAGAACCAGAAGGTCTTGATTCCAGACCCTCATGGACCACTTGCAGCAAATGGGGCAAAAGTTTCTGAACACCTCTGAGCTTCAGCTGTTTGTCTATAAAATAAGGTTTCTACTAACCAACGGGAGTCCAAGAGATCAAATGAGATATGATGTGTGTAGCTGCACAAACGTCAGATGATAACCAAAAAAGGGACGATGGCCAGGGCTCCTGCCAGAGTCACCTCGTGTTCAGGTCAACAATGGCAGCGTTTATGGTTCCCAAAAGGTGAGAACAGTTACCGGCTCTGAGGCAAACAGGGATCCAGGAATTGCTCATAACCACTCAATTCTGGAAGTTATCTCAAAAGAGAGAAAAGTGTGTCCATGTATGTAAGAAAAGGCAAAAAATGGATATGAAACACAAACACCTGACAAATGAGTACTTACATGTGCTATGGGTTGGGGTTCAAGGGTAAACAACAAAACAGCCCCTGGCCTCGCTAAGCTTGCAGTCTAATGGGAGAGGTGAACATGAATTAAATAATTATCAAACAAAATTCTGCATTACAGCTGGGATGGAGGCTATGAAGAAAAAGTGTGGGTGATGAGGAGAGGCGGCTGGAGACGCAGGGCAGCTGATGATACAGGGCCTTGTAGGCCAGTTTAAGGATCCTGGACTTCATCCTAGAAGCAATGGGAAGCCTTTAAATGATTACAGGCAGAAAGCGTGGGGTGGAGCTGGGAATGCTAAAGATCACTCTCTGAAGTGGAAAAGAGATTGAAGGAGGGAGGGGGCCAGGAATGGGTACAGGGAGGCCAGGTGAGGAGCTGGGGGACTGTAACATCATGATGTTACAGGCAGGTGCAGTGGCTCACGCCTGTAATCCCAGCACTTTGGGAGGCCTGGGTGGGTGGATCACTTGAGGTCAGGAGTTCAAGACCAGCCTGGCCAGTATGAAACCCTGTCTCAACTAAAAAAAAAAAAAATCAGCCAGGCATGGCAGGCACCTGTAGCCCCAGCTACTTGGGAGGCTGAGGCAGGAGAATCGCTTGAATCCAGGAGGCAGAGGTCACAGTCAGTTAAGATCGTGCCACTGCACTCACACCTGGCAACAGAGCGAGACTCCATCTCAAAGAAAAAAAAAAGAGAGAGAGACTAACATCATGATGAAAAACATGATGCTATATAAAAAATATCCCTTGGCAGAGTTGGGGCCCTAAAGCCAAACTGTCTGGAACCTGGGCACAGTCCTGTGTGATATTTCCATCTGTCCGCCCGTCCATCCATCCACCCACATTTATTAGTGGAGTGAAATGCCGTGGTATAAACATCTCTGGGACCATCACCCAGAGAGGACACCATTAGCATCTATTATGGTATAAATATACATACGTCATAGCTTTCAGAAGGTCTAAGAGGAAAAATCATTTCAGTGTAAATTAAATGTTCCTTGTCTTCACCTGAAAAAAAAAGTATTATTTTGAGAACAAAAACATGAAAACTGGCTACAGGTTGAAAAAACCGCACAGCAGCTATCCGTGCCTCCTTTAGAAAGGGGATCACAGGCATTGACTTCCACTCAGAGGAGGTGCACAGACGTCCCCAGTGTGCCCAGAAACCACCTGAAGAGGAGAAGCAGCTCTGAGACGAGAGTCGTATGAAGATGTACAAAAATAAACATTTTCAAGGGTTTTCAAATACATGAGCAAACAGATGGGGTTTCAGTTCATTTTTAGAAACAGAAGCAGACTTTGAAGTGAAAGGGGAAGTAGGTTCCCCCTCAGGGATCCACGATCTCCCTCCACTTAGGAAAGAGGAGATGGCCAGAACTGTGAGCTTAAGAGCACCCCAATCTTTTTTTTTTTTTGGAAACAGGGCGTTGTTCTGTCGTCCAAGCTGGAATGCAGAGGTGTGATCACAGCTCACTGCAATCTCGAACTCCTGGCCTCAGGCCATCCTTCTGCCTCAGCCTCCTGAGGAGCTTGGCACCACAGGCACGTACCATCATGCCTAGCTAATTTACTTTTTTTTTTTTTTTTTTTTTTTTTTGGAGACAGAGTTTCGCTTTGTCTCCCAGGCTGGAGTGCAGTGCCGCGATCTGGGCTCAATGCAACATCCGTCTCCCGGGTCCAAGGAATTCTCATGCCTCAGCCTCTTGAGTAGCTGGGATTACAGGTGCCTGCTACCACGCCCGGCTAATTTTTTGTATTTTTAGTAGAGACAGGGTTCACCATGTTGCCAGGCTGATCTCAAACTCCTAAGCTCAGGCAATCCACCCGCCTCAGCCTCCCAAAATGCTGGGATTACAGGCATGAGCCACCATACCCGGCCCTGACTAATTTACTTTTCATTGAGATGGGGTCTTACGGTGTTGCCAGGGCTGGTCTCAAACTCCTGGGCTCAAGCAATCCTCCCATCTCAGCCTCCCAAAGTGCTGGGGTTCCCGGCCTGAGTCATCATGCCCAACCAATCTTTTAAGTGCTGGGATCTTGAAGAGTGTCCCTCACTGGCTCTCACTAGCCCACCCTCGGTCTGTGGGTTGTCCAGGCCTCAAAAAAGCCCCCTTGACCACCAGTCCCAGACTAGGTAACACCCCGGTTGTATGCACTTCCAGCATCCTATAGTTCTCCTGCCTGTCACTCACTGCCGCTGTGGCTCTGTCACTATTTGAGGATTTCCTGAATACCCATCTCTCTGCTACACTCTAAGCTCTGAAGGGGCAGGGGCCTCTTCTTGTCAGCAAAGTCTATCTTAGGACTCTAGAAATAGAAAGCAGGAGATGGAGACATGTGCTGACTTCCCGAATAACCCAATTCATTCAAAGTAATTATGTTTATAAAATACAGAGAGAAGAAACAAATGAACATTGGCTATACGTTAGGCACCACACTCTTCAGGTACAAAGGATCAGGAGTCCTTTCCGTCCTGTAGCTTTAGGGAACTGGTGGGGGGCTCTTAAAACCATGGGGTCTGGACTCATTTTGGGCTATTTTTATTCGCCTTGTCAGTCACTTGAGTTTAATCAATTCAATGTGGTCATAATCACTGAGAAGTCAATGACTTGGATCTAGGATTTTAGGACTTGGTGTTTCTGGCATTTCATAGGAAATAAATAAATCAAAGCCTACAGTAAGCAACCTTCTTAATACATCTTGGAAGGGGGGAAAACCCCAAGACCCTTATTTAGGATGAATATATTAATACAATACAAAGCACCCAACTTCTTTCTGGGAATGACTTAGGAAATCCATCAGCAGAAGGAGACAGTTGCACTTATTATGGGATTTCTAGGGCATGGGGGCGCAAAGACCAAAAAGAGTCTTGTTTTACTTTTCAAAACATGGAAATGCTGATTCCCTTTCTCTGCTTATGCTATCCAGGTCCTTAAGGTAAAATGCACAAAAGGTTTTCTTGGCAAATGATGAAAAATAGTGCTTCTTGCCAAAACGAACATCAGCAAAAGACCATGCGCCATGACCTATAGTATCCTTTGACAAAATGCAGATAAGCAGAGACCCCAGGCACCCTATTTTGCAACTGTGGTCCTCTACAAACCTCCAACGTGAAGGATCTCAAACTGTAAAGCACAGAGGACAACGAGGAGCCCTGTAAGAGCTGCAGAGCTATTTGAGAGACACGTATTTTGGAAAAGGACAGTAATAGGCCAGCCTATGCCATTTGTGGAAATGGTAGAGCAACATAATTTTTTTCACCTGTATAATGTGGGTAAAAGGCCGGGCACGATGGCTCATGCCTGTAATCCCAGCACTTCGGGAGGGCAAGGCAGGCAGATCACAAGGTCAGGAGTTCGAGACCAGCCTGGCCAATATGCTGAAACCCTGTCTCTACTAAAAAATACAAAAATTAGCCAGGTATGGTGGTGCACACCTGTAGTCCCAGCTACTCGGGAGGCTGAGGCAGAAGAGTCACTTGAACCTGGGAGGCGGAGGTTGCAGTGAGCTGAGATTGTGCCACTGCACTCCAGCCTGGACAACAAAGCAAGACTCTGTCTCAATAAAAAAAAGAAAGAAAAGAAAAGTGGGTAACAGTAGTATTTAATGTAGTACAGGCTGTTGGGAGGGTTGAATGAAATTAAACAAGACACAGAATATAAAGCGCTCAGTACAGTGCCTTATGCACTGAGGTCTTCAAGAAATGTCAGTTACTGCTGACAATAATGATGACAGGCCATTATTCCTACCACTGTTGAGAGGGGATGTTTCATTCCCTGTTCTCCCCTCAATCACTGATATGGTTTGGCTGTGTCCCCACCCAAATTTCATCTTGAATTGTAGTTCCCATAATCCCCACATGTCGTAGGAGGGACTAGGCAGAGATAATTGAATCATGGGGGGCAGTATCCCCCATCCTGTTCTCGTGAGAGTTAGTTTCTCACAAGAGCTGATGGTTTTATAAGGGGCTTCCCCCTTCACTGAGCACTCGTTCATTCTCCTTCCTGCTGCGCTGTAAAGAAGGACATGTTTGCTTCCCCTTCCACCATGATTGTGAGTTTCCTGAGGCCTCCCCAGCCATGCAGAACCATGAATCAATTAAACCTCTTTCCTTTATAAAGTACCTGGTCTCAGGTAGTATCTTTGCAGCAATATGAGAACAGACTAATACAATCATCTTCTCTTTTTACTCTGTTTTAAATGAAATAACCGGTTCTTAAAAATAATGTTCCACGAATGCTCAAAGCCAACTCAACAGAGTTTTCAAACAACTTGTTTCCTAAAGCTCTCCATTATTCGAGCTTTTTATGGCCAGGAAAAAGCCCAGTTGGGTGTTCACAGGTTTGGGCTCCCAATCTCACACCACTCAACTCATTTCACAAGGGCACGTGTCCAGACATCATCAACTGGAAATATGAGAGCTACCCATGGCAAGAGACACTGAAATGCCGGAATTCGCCCTTTACCTACTGAGCTGCTTTGCTGATAGAGGAACTGAAAGAATACAGTTCCTCAGGACTGTCACTGCCAAGCAAGTGCGGGGTCCCAAGGTCACCAGATCCTTTAATCCTGCAGGTCTTTCTCAACCGCAGTCACACAAGATGAAGGGCAGGGAGAAGGGGGACCCGTTCAGAACAGAGACCCCTCAGCTCTTCTGCTGCCTGAGCCCTGTTCTTTCAGGACATTGTTCCCCATCCTCTTTGAGGGTTTGGGAGTTTCTCTTTTCCACACACACCCACCCCCCAAACCCCACCAGACTGTATAAAGGGCACAGTAGCACCTAGTCCAGAATCCTTGAGTATACTTGCAAAATCACTTATTTACTCCTGGTATCCAAATATGAAGAGAACCTGTTAAAAGGTATTTATAGACATAAGTGAGTTCTTAGAAAGGATGTGCAGAAAACTAAGCAGAAACAGAGACGGAGATGAGTTCACCTATGAGGGTTTGAACTGTCTAAGGAAATATCCAACTCATTTTTGCTAATCTCCAGTTTGAAGCCGCCCCCGCCCCACCCACCCCCCGCTCAAAAAAAAAAAGGAAACTTGAAACAACTACCCAGTTGCTTCTGGGACCCACAGCATCCTGACTCAGGTTTCTCTAGGGTTTCCTGTTCCTAAATTGTGTCTGCTCGGGGGACTGCCAAGCAAGCAGGCAGGTCCTCTGGCTCTGGGGCTCTGCTCCCACCAAAAGACACCCTATCTGTCAGTGAGAAAAAGCAAATTCTTTGTAAACTGTTTCCAAAAGTTATGTTTCCTGGGAGACAAGACCTCTTTAAAATAAAAGCTTTTTAAAACTCCCTGAGTTACTTCTTTCCCAATGCTTAGAAGCAGTATGAATAAGAAACTTATCATTTGAAAAACAAAACAAAATGCTGGAAGTTTCTTAAGGTTTGAGAAGCATCGACATTTATACCAGTCACAGGCAGATATTTATTATGATGGAGAAAACCTGTTCTCAGCCTGTGCCTTCCCCTGGATCCAGATTTCTCCACCACTGCACACATCTGCCCACCATTGTTTGCCAAAAAAGGTCCTCTCCACCTGCTCAGCAGGGCCTTTCTCCTCTGTGTTCCCCATGCTGCCAACTCCCTACCTGGTCTCCCACATGCATTCCTGCCTGCATTTGTATTTCTAATTTCTTGCCCTCTATTAGTTCTCTTTGTATAGCTTTTAAATTCTTAACTCCTGGCTTCGTTTGCTCTGCTGCCTCTTCTAAGCACCACTCCATCTTTTTCCTATAATCTCCCATCACGGTTCCCATATCCCATAAACTCTGGCTTCTCAATCATCCCACAGCTGAACGGCTCTAGCATGTTTAATAATATTCAAGCCTAATCAGTGGTACATTATGTTAGCCTCAATTTTCACTTAATTCTCATTGTATCTGACTTATACGACATCTTTAAAAAAAATTCTCCTTCCTCGGTTCCCATGACAACACAGTCTCTCGATTTGCCTCCTAATTCTCTGGTTATTCCATTGTCTGTGTCTTTCTTGAATTTCTCACTGTGCTCCCACCAATCCACAGAGGTATTTCCCAAGGCACAGCGTTGAGCTCCATTTCCACTCATCCTCCCTTTATCAAGCTCTGAGTTCACTCCATTAGCAAGATCCTTTCTTCTCAGACTTTCATCGTCCACCTCTCTGCGACTGATTCCCAAATCTAGACTTATCCTCACTCCCATAACTGGTTCCACACCTATGTCTGACTTTCAATACAATGAATATTCACCGTAATAAAAGCACTGGCATTCAGTGGGTACTTACCACACGCCAGGCACTGTTCTAACCATTTCACGTGTGTTCTCTCACTTAATCCTCGCCACCACCTTCTGAGGTAGGTGCTATTTTCACCCTCATAAATGGGGAAAACAGACAGAGGTTCATTTGGTCAAGGTTGCAAAAGCTAATGACTGGTAGAACCGGGGTTTGACCCAGATGATTGCAGAGTCCAGAATCCAAACTTCAGGGACATACTGCCTCTCCTCTCTTGAAGAGTGCTAAGACTTCCCCCTGCTAAGTCATTCATCTCCAGCTTTCACAAGATTTTCATTCAACATCAATGCCATCCAACCTCTTGATTCTCAAGCACTGAAGACTTGGAATTATTTTTCTTCACTCTTTTTCTTTACCATCCAATTATTGAACAAATCCTGGTAACTTTTCTCCATAATGCCTGAAAATGGGACCCCCCTTTTCCCCTGCCAGCCATCACCAGTTTCCACCCATTTGCACCATGGATCCACTCAGAAGCTGCAGTGGTTTCCTCTTGCCCATGATGACAAAGCTACTTTCCTTATCCTGTAACTTGGCCTCTCCAATCCTAACCTCACTACTAGGTTCAACAGAGCATGGGTCCTTCACGATGGTCATGTCAAACACGCAATCTCCTTTATTCTTAGCGCTATGCCTGCATCCACTTAACTCATGGCATCCTCTCTATCTGGAAACCTCTCTTCACATTTTTTGGCTTTAAGACACAGCTTAAGACCACCCCCCTCCCCCAAAAAGTCCTCCATGCTTGCTCATCAGAACCGCCCCATAGACTTCGCACTTCATGCGCATTGTTTTAAACACATCTTTTCACATTTCTTTTTGTCAGTGCTTTATATCTTCCCAATTTTATATAACACTTTTTCTCCCCACCAAATTTGCACACACCCACCTCTCCCTCCTCCCTCCCAGAGGCCTAGTCCAGGGCTAAGTAAACAGGCTACCTGCTTTTATGGAACATAGATACCTTATAGATACCTTTTGTAGGCGGCATCTGTGATTCCGTGAGTGCGTCTCGCGATTGCCAATAAGAACACAGCACACAAGCACCATCACACCCACACGACAAAACGCCGGCTGCACGGGACTGCAGCCTTATTGTCACAACATTTTGAGCTTTCTGACAACATAAGCTGCACTTACAAAGAAGTCAGAGCAAGGAAAGAAAAGTCTCAAACTGTGCTAGTTAGTTGGTCTAGCAAGGTACTGTGATAGCAACTTAAGTGGGGGAGAATCAGGAAGGCATTGGACAGAGAGGGCCAGGACGCAGTCCCCAGGCTGAAACCCCTGGATGCAGCACTAGCCCCTCTTTGCCCTCAAGCTTAGCAAAAGCGTCTATTGCATTCTGATTTCAAGCACATTAGACCCCATGGTAAAAGCCTGGCATTTGAATTTATTTATTTCATTCATACATCAAAGGTTACTCCCAAGAATACAAACAGCAAAGTAGAAATAAAGGTGAAAATCAGCATTAGGGAAAATGTCGATCAAACCAAAGAGTCAAGTTTGAGAAACAAGACTAATGTAAATATTCAAGCTAGGATTTCATGAGTGGTGATAGTTCTGTGAACATTAATGGGATAGTTACTGTGTTCTAGGAAGGCTCTCAGCCCTTGATGTTATGATTGTACTTGTTCCTCATAATAACCCCACAAGGTAGGTAGTAAATACTGTAGCCCAGGAATTGTTATTAGGACTGCTGGGGTGCTATCATTCTAACCCAGGCAAGAGAAGTTAAGCAAGCTGTCTAGGCCATGCAGCTAACAAGCCGAGGAACCAAAGTTTGAACCTGGGCAATCTGACTCCAAGGCCACATTCGGGGAAAAAAGGCGTGTGCCTAGGAACAAAGAAGCAGCTACACATCTGGCTCTGTGCTTCCAGATCACCATAGCAAAGGGGGAAATCGTCAAAATGCCAGCACCAACTACAGAAATGGGGAGCTTTGCTAAAACAACTCCAGCAGCGGTGGCTGGAATGAATTAAGCATCCTCCTGTTTCTGACCTCTCCCTGTTCACCCAAGGACAGGATCTATAAGCTCAGATCAGTGCATCATCCATGTTTCCCAAATCATCATTGAAAGCCATTGTTTTCCTTTCATTCAGGTCCCTCTTAGCACTGTGAGGCTCATGATGTCTTCACAAGGTCTTCAAACACTGCACTTGATAAGCCACATTGTAAAGTCTAATGAAGACGGGCTGTCTTCCATTCACACTCCCATCCTACCCCTTGATGGCATTAAACTGCCAGCCCCCATTAAAGGATGCTGCCTTCTCTCCCAGTTAAGCTGCTCCAAACCTCAAGACTCAAGCAGAAATAGGACCCATTTGCCCAAGAGTTCCTGCTGGCACCTGACAAGCCCAGGGTGACAGCAAGAGGCCCAAGAAGAGTGTGGCAGGAGAGAAAGAGCTCAGGCTGAGGGAAGCTAGAAGTCAGGGTCCATCCTGGCTCTGCTGCTCCTGGCTCAGGAGATTCACCTCCGTGCGCCCTACCTGCTCCATCCACAAACTGAGGAAGCCTGACCAGGGCAAGGCCTACTAATGAGGAAGACTGAGGGTCCTCAGGGAAACTCAGTTAACAACCAGGTGCCCAGGCCTCACTGCTGGAGGTTTGAGTGAGATGTTTCAGAAACTCCTCAGGTGGACTGGGTGCAGTGGCTCACACCTATAATCCCAACACTTTGGGAGGCCAAGATGGGTGGATGATTTGAGCTCAGGAGTTCGAGACCAGCGTGGGCAACATGGTGAAACCCAGTCTCTACTAAAATATAAAAAATGGGCAGGGCGTGGTGACGGGTGCCTGTAGTCCCAGCTACTCGGGAGGCTGTGGCCTGAGAATTGCTTGAACCCGGGAGGCAGAGGTTGCAGTGAGCTGAGAGAACACCACTGCACTCCAGCCTGGGTGACAGAGCAAGACTCTGTCTCCATAAAAAACAAAAATGAAAAAAACTCCTCAGATCAACTTCTGAGCTGGAGGAACTCAAGCTCCATCCCTGCTCCTTTAGCTACTCCATCCATAAACAAGCAAACACGCATCCTCACTTGGTGTTTCAGAGAAAGGAGAGCAGAAGAGGAAGTGGGAGGGATCTGCAATAGCTCAGCAGGGAGAGAGGCTGCTCTTGACTATGTTTATAGGAAACTTCAGTGGAGGTAATTTCATTAGAAGATGCCTCCAGGGCCAGGACCAGGGCCAGGGCCGGGGCCAGAGCTGGGGCCGGGGCTGCAGGGAAGCTCTGGGCCCTGGGGTTTCCTCCAGGGCACACACTACTGGGAACACATACACTGAGGTATACACGGCCTTCCAAAAGCATCCCAGCTATTGGAACACTTAATCTCTAGAGTTCTTGCTTTTAAAAAAAGGCAGTGAGGGTATATCCAAACTAGGAGGCAGGGATTATTAATTCTAGCTGCCACCTTCTGGTTTTCTGAACTACCTCCTTCCCCCCGGCTAACTGCACACATCAGAGTCTAGTTTTGGACACTTAACCTTCAGTAGCTCACACCTCACAAAGAGCCTGGCTTCACAAGCTGCCCTCTCACTTACTGAAAGGTCTTAGGTTGGTACAAAAGTAATTGCAGTTTTTCCCATTAAAAAAATAGCAAAAACCACAATTACTTTTGCTCCAACCAAATACACAATAGGCTGACTGCAAAGGTGGGGGTTTTGGGGCTTTATCAGTACTGATGGGTCCTGTGCTGACTTAGAAACAAAATCTGACCTGCTCAGTGCACTGGTGGTATCACTTATTCAATCAACAAACAGCAACTACAGACCTACTACATGCAAAATACCAAAGAAACTCACAAGAATAAGGCCCAGTCCCTGGCATCAAGACTCTTAAGATCTCAAGAAGTGACAAGGCCTAGGTTCTCCAACTGGCCAAATACAGGAACTTAGAAAAGCCCCATGACCTCCCTAAGCCGTAGTTTTCTCACATATTTAATGCAAATGAAAATCAGACCCCCTGAAAATAAAATATTATCAGGGAGGAAGATTAATCACCACAGGGAAGATTCTCCCTGAGGGTCTCTCCTGAAGCTTTGTCTGAGAAAACATCAAAAAGCGTATGTGGAGGAAGAGTGTGCTTGGGGGAAGTAAAGGTGGGGGAATGATCTGTAGTCATGGTAACAAGAAACTACCAGTTTAAGAATCAATGACAGCTCAGAACCAGTACACGGGCTTCTGACATCCCCATGCTTTTGTCAACAGCTGATCAACAAGGCACTCATCCAAGGACCCTGCTAATGACCTCTCACTCCCACCTCTCAAAGCCTGACCAGCCTCGAACTTCACGCTTCCCAAGATCCTAAACAAGATCGGCTCCCAGCTTTGCTGAGGAAAGCTGCCACTGAAGAGAGCTCTGCTTCTTACTTGCATGAGTAATAAATTTACCTTGTTGTTGCAAATTTTTGGCAATGTTCTCTTTCTTGAATATGAGTCACTAAAACATTCTCCCCTTCCTTTCAGGGCATGTTTCAGCCTAAGGATAAAAAAAGGGAACGGTCTTGAAAGTGCTTTGGAAATGCTGATTTGAAATGAAAAAAGAATTAGGATGCGGGGGGAAATTATTACTGGTTTTCCATGGGACGGGTCCTCAGGTTTACCCAGTGCCAATTTGGCCTTGCTTCAGACATAATTCTGCTATACTTAATTATTGGCTTTCAGTGAAGATTAAAAGCTGCAAATGATGTGCGGAAGAGGGACAGAGCTGGCAACCAGGGTTGAACTACTAATGTGTCCAACTCAGGAATCAATTCCATTTAGTGCTAAATTCTTAGTTTCAGAAGGAATTTAAGAGTAATACAATGGAGGGGAAGGGCATGTGTGTCACTGATGAGCATGGACTTTGCTGGAGCGCAGAGGGGAAGCGACAGCTACCCAGAGTGAAGCTTTCTCAGCCAACCTCTGGAGAGCAGAGACTAAACTTCTGCAATATTTCTGATGCAACCAACTTTATTCTGACCAATTTGGATCATGAGCCACAGGAAGAAATGAAACTCAAATTATTTGTCCTGCAGACAAATGAAAACATGAGGCCACCTTTCCTGAAGAAACGTGCTTGTTCCATTAAGAAAAGTATGAAAAGATCAGAATGACCCAAGAAAAGAAAAAAGCAACAAGATGAATTCATTTCCATGACTATTGTCCGGCACAGCTGCACTGAACTCATTTGCATCGCTATTAAATAGCCCTAATAAATATGAATATTGCGCAACATAAAGCACGTAAAAGGTCCATGTTTGAAATATCTAAAAGTATCAAAAACAATAAACCCAGTAGCCCAAGGAACTTCAAATACATTGTTATTCTTCCCATCAGAAGGACAGTAAATTAGTGGACAATTATGAGAAGAAAGTAAGCATTCTGAAAGCTAGTCATTAGTGGTACACAAACAAGAATAAATTTTCCAGTGTGAACAATAAGGGCTGGCTGTGATTTTATTACAAACTGGAGGCCCAAACCATGCTTTCAGAAAGCAGTTTCACCCCATGAAGCAAATTAACACTCCACTTTTCCTTGGGGCCTGTGATTTCCTTGGAAAGCCCTCTGCCAGTCAGTAAGTGGGACTTTTCCTCTCTGCATGGAAGGTAAAGGATTGGTTGGAGGAACTGAAGTAATCAGCAGTAATCAAGCTACAGTGCTGGGAGCCCTGGCCTAAAACAGCCGTCTTCAACTCTGCATCCTATCACTTGGCCATTTCCTAGTGCCCCAGAAAGTCTCCTGAAGGCCACCTTGCTCCTCATCTATGTGGACAAAGGCAAAGGAGGAATGGTAGAGAAGGGCAAATGAACCTTGTCCTGCAAGTTCTCTGCACCATGAATGAAAATCAAGCACTAATGGAGGAAGATCTGTAAGGGTTTCAATCTGGAACCTCTTTGTGGCTCAGTGCACCACAGGGCTGGCCCCCTAAGGACCTGCATCAGACCCATGCCCCAGATTTAGGCTTCAACCCTGAGAGAGAGAGACCACCCCTTAAGAATAGGGGAGGAACACAGCAGATGCCTCAGATGGCTTACCACGAACCCAAGCACAGGTTTTGACTACAGGGAGACCTCTGTCATGCCTCTGGTCCCAGGGCCATGACTCCAGATACTGGCTCTTCCGGAGCCATGGCCCTGGGAAAGGAGGCATGGCAGAGGTGTCCCTGTAGTCAGCTGGGGGCTGAGGCTGCAAAAGCTGATGATGCCGGATGGGCACCACACTCTGCCCCCTGTATTCGGTGTTGCCCCCCAGAGCCTAGAGGCTCCAGGGACTTGAAATGGGGAAAGGCGGGAGACTGTTCTCTCTCCGCATGGATCCGCTCAAAGCCTGAAGAGGAACCTTGATGGAAAAGGAGGATGAGGGCCAGTTCCCAGCAGAGCAGGGAAGAGCTCATCAGGGGCTGTGCAGACAAAGAAAACGGAACTTTCATCCAGAACCACCCAACAGATAAGTACATCTATAATTTTCTCTATCATATAAAGAGTGTGTAGCTCAGGAGTCCTTGAAGGGTGCAGAGAAAAGCAGTATTCTATCACACAGACCACAGAGATGCTGGTCACAAGCCTAAGCAGATGCTTACATCCATGAACCCAAATCTGCTAAGAATAAAGGTTTCACTTCAGTAAAAGGTCTTAAAGCAATCAGAGAACTACATAAACCACCACTCCCAGCATTCCTATAGTAACTTCTTCCTATCCGTCACATTAATTCTCTTACCCAATGTATACTCTCATGAAGATGGACTCTACCTTTGCCTAAATTTTGCAGGGAGGTACAGGCAGGATTGGGGGCAGGGAGGATAGGGCAGTGAGGAGAGAAGGAACCAGATAGGCGGTAGCTTCCCTCTATGAAAAGAATCAGCAGTTGGACCTTAGGTGAGGAAGTTACCTCAGTTTCCTCATTTGGAAAAAAAAATGGACTAGATGCAACTATCACTAAATCTCTTCCCAGCCCTAATATTCCATGCAATGTACATGCAACCCCTCACTACTAACTGGTTATTAAATGATAATCACAAATCAAACCACAGTGAAGTAGAAAACTCTCACTTCCCAGAGCTGTAATGGTACAGACTGAGGTTCTGTTTCTAAAAATCAATTTCAAACGTTAAATATATCAAAACCCATCATGAAAAGAAAGTAAAACCCCATGTATGCATTCAGACACATGTATTACGTTCATGAAACCCAACGATATTAAAGCTAAGTTGTCAATCTTCATTTTGGAAGATGTTTCTACTATGCGGAGCTTGACTACTGAAGCAGCCTTAACACAAGTCTTATAAAATTAGGAGTAAAGCACATTTATTTAACACATATTTATGAAGCATCTACTAGATACCAAGCACTATGTCAGATTTTAGCTGAACAAAACCAGACACAGTCCACACTCTCAAGAAGTTTGGATCTGGCGGAAGAGCGTGAAAAACTACCACAAAAAGAAATCTCCTGCTGACAAAAAAGGTGTTCTTTATCACCCCCAAAGATCTTCCAACTACATTTAAAAATAAGACAATTTATCTCAAACTTTACCTAATACTTTCATGTACATTAATGGCTCTTAAACGTCTTCAGGTAGTATATGCTTAAGTACGAGTTTAAATTTACAGTGACTCCTTCAATGATCCTTTACTCTCTATTTCATCAAAATTAAGTATCTGCAGCAGGCAAGGAGTAGCAGCCTTCTCCTTCAAGATTTTCAGGCTGGGCGCGGTGGCTCACACCTATAATCCCGGCAATTTGGGAGGCCAGAGTGGGCGGATCACTTGAGGTCAGGAGTTCGAGACCAGCCTGAGCAACATAGTGAAAACCCATCTCTACCAAAAATATAAAAATTAGCTGGGCATGGTGATACATGACTGTAGTCCCAGCTTCTCGGGAGGCTGAAGCAGGAGAATTGCTTAAACCCAGGAGGTGAAGGTTGCAGTGAGCCAAGATTGTGCCACTGCACTCTAGCCTGGGTGACAGAGCGAGATTCTATCTCAAAAAAAAAAAAAAAGAAAGAAAAATTTTTCAGCTTAACTTTTCTGGACTATCTTTTTCAACTTTCTTGAAATGTCTTGTGCAGTTTCCCTTGAATTCTAATGTGATTTCAACTGGTTTTATTCCCCCTGAAGTGATCAAATAAATCATCTTTGGTTCATGCTGTCTTCCTTTGACATCTCACCTGTTCATTAGTATTTTGAAGACAGCTCGATATCGGTGCTGGAATCCCTGCTTCCTGCAAAGGCCTATGGATTCGACCTTCTCTAATCACACATCCCTGCCATCAAATCAATCTATCAGGTTTCTTTATCCCTGTTGACTCTGGCACAGCAGTGCCTACAACCTTCATGCAACATCAGCCACAGAGAGTGGAATCGAAGTGAATCACGTGAGTCGGGCAATTACTGTGTAAAAGCACCATTTACGATGAGAAAAAAATCATACAAGTAAGGGGCTATCAGTCAAACCATTATACATGAGGGTCTCATATATACCTTAAGTCTTTGCTCAGTACCAGCACAGCAGAGGTCAGGAGGAGGAATCACAGAGGCCACAAAAACAAGTTACATGGGATGCATTTTTGCCTAACTTTGTCCTCGTTTGGAGCAAGTCAGATTAAACATTAACTTTCATAATCTAGGACCATCAAGATGCATCCTAGGTTCTCAGGTGAAATATCTGAAACATTTCTTTTAATTTATGCCAATAAATTGATCTTCCCACTCATTCCCTTTTTAAGCACCTGCCATCTTGGCTTTTCACCACCACATTGAAATTGCAACAAATCTGCACTTGATGTTATAAATCCCCCCATACTTAGAAACTCTTTCTTAACTGCTTTCTGTGATATGAAAGTGAATCCCAAATGCACATCTTCAGTCCTGACAGCACAACAGCTCTAGAAAGCCCTTGCCTACAGGACAATCTCCAGTTAAGAGGTACAAAACAAGGCCAGCATCTTAAACAGGCTTTGGCTACAAATAAACAGAAAACCTAACTCAAAATGGCTTAGACCAGAAGTGAACAAACTTTTTCTCTAAAAGACCAGATAGCAAATATTTAAGGCTTTGTGAACCATACTGTCTCTCTTTCATAACTACTCAATTCCACCACTGCAATGCAAAAGCAGCCACAGACAATATGACATTGCTGCATGCCAATAAAACTTTATTTACAAAAAACAAGTGAGGCCAGGCATGGTGGTGCATGCCTATGATCCCAGCACTTTGGGAGGCCAAGGCGGGTGGATTGCCTGAGCTTAGGAGTTCAAAACCAGCCTGGGTAACATGGCAAAACCTCGTCTCTACGAGAAATACAAAAATTAGCCAGACATGGTGGCACACACCTGTAGTCCCAGCTACTTAGGAGGCTGAGGTGGGAGGATCACTTGAGCCCGGGAGGTGGAGGTTGCAGTGAGCCAAGACTGCACCACTATGCTCCTGGAAGACAGAGCAAGACCTCGTCTCTTAAAAATTAAAAAAAAAATTTTTTTTTAAGTGGCTGGTGTCTCATGGACCATAGTTTGCCAACCCCTGCCTTAAACAATAAAGGTTAATAATCTTACAAAAAGGTCTGAGGCAGGAAAACCCCAGGGTTAATTAATTTAGCCACTCAACCACCTACGAAGTTCCTGTTTCCTTCTGCCAGCTTTCCTCATGGTCACAGGATGGCTGCCACTGCTCCAGGAGATACATGCACGCATGGCAACATCCAGCAGCAGCTGAAACAACCTCTTCTTTGTGTCCC
Source organism: Homo sapiens (assembly GCF_000001405.40). Taxonomy (NCBI): domain Eukaryota; kingdom Metazoa; phylum Chordata; class Mammalia; order Primates; family Hominidae; genus Homo; species Homo sapiens. Next base: position 66,426,773 of record NC_000017.11, on the reverse strand, counting down.
TTTTTAGGGTAAAGAAACCTTTCTCAGAAGTTACCTGCTCACTAACAGGAATCACATGCCCACCCTTGAAGGGTATTCCCACGACTGTCTCAAAGCAGTCAGGATTTACCCAAGTTACAAGGGCAAGGGTTGGACAGTTGAACAAAACGGGGGTTCTTGCAGCACAGGAAGAGGAATGGCTCTGGTGTAGATAGTACTGGTGCCAGCAGATGGTGCTACAATAATCTTCCTCCTCAAACCACCTCCCCTCTGCAACCACCCAAATCTTTTAACGTTTCACTTACTCCTTCCTGTCTTCCTGTCTGTTTACTCCGCCTCCCTGGACCATTGACACAACCTGAAATCTTGCTCCTGTATAATCACTTTGCACAACACAGGCTGCCTAACCTTTATGGTCAAACACCACTCCCAAGTTGTCACTCACTAGTGTTTCTCCTCAAAAACTTACAAAAGTTCCTATAGATGATGAAAACCAATTCCTCAGTCGGGCAGAAGGGCGTGACTTCTTGCCAACCTTTCCTTCCCCACCCTACACCAGCACTCCCCACTCCAGCTGGACTGTCTGATCATCGTTCCCCGAATATCCTGGTTCATGTTCACCTCTATCCTAGACTTTCACTCTTGCTTCCTTCCTAACCTGAAATGCCCTATGTTCCTGCAAATAATGACACTTTTCTCATTTTCTAATGCTGGTAGACACAGAAAAAGTAATCCAACGTAGACAAAGGAGGCCTGGGTGTGACTCCTAGCCAGCTCGGCCATTTGCTGCTACATCATCCCTTGCCCAGACAGGGACTCACTGTGCTCAACCACAAAGCATGGTCACGGAGGGTAATTCACAGGATCACTACCAGGACGAAATATGTGTGGTGACACCATACCTGGCATGCAACGGCTTCCTTCCTCCTCCTAACCGGCACCACCTCTAAGAATCCTTTTAACACCATTCCTGCTTCCACAATTTAATGCCGTTTGCATTGGGGTTACCATGTCGCACATACCTTAGAGTTCTTGAAAGGGTAAGATACACGCAAACAAATAATATGCTAACTGAATCGCTGGGTTTCCAAAAAAAAGACACAACACATTCTTTTCTAAGATCGCTAAAATCGCTTTCCATGCAACACTGTTTAGTTTCAGAATCAGGTAAACAGGTCACAGGAACACCATTATTTTTCTCTTCCTACCAGGTATTATGAATATACCTTCAAATGTGATTTTTTTCATGAGACTGCCACCCGACACATTTGACAATGAAAACAAAAGGCCTCAAACAACAGTTTGATATGGAATTGAGAGATTTTCTCCAGACAATAAGCAACAAATAACAATACTCTATCACAGCACCGTGGGGAAGGCCTGGCCTGGGTGGGCAGGACAGAAAAATACCAAACCACACACAGAACAAAGTGAGGACAGTAAGCCTGAGCAGTGCGATCAAATCTGTCAGAGGGCTCGGTGGTTGTAGCCTTGGAGGGAGAGGTCTGTGGATGTTGGTGGAGGTGGGAGAAGAAGGGTCTCGCAGGGATGCGGCCTGTCTGAATTAATCACGAAAAGAAAAGAACTAGCAGCATTCAGTGATTCTGAAAACTTTGGCTACGTTTACTCAAAAATTGTGCAGCTTCTGGGAGCGACAGGACCAACGACTATTTCTTGAATGTTCAAATATGAGCCAGACTTTACTAGACTCTTCTATATAGCAACAGTATACAGGCTGGGCACGGTGGATCATGCCTGTAATCCCAACACATTGGGAGGCCAAGGAGGGTGGATCGCTGGAGCCCAGGAGTTCGAGACCAGCCTGGGCAACACAGTAAAACCCCATCTCTACTAAAAAAATACACACACAAAAAAAAATTAGCCAGGCACGGTGGTGCAGGACTGTAGTCCCAGCTACTCGGGAGGCTGAGGCGGGAGAATCGCTTGAGCCCGGGTGGTTGAGGCTGCAATGAGCCCAGATCATGCCACTGCATTCCAGCCTGGGTGTCACAGCAAGACTCTGTCACAAAAAAAAGGCGGTGGGGGTGGGGGGAACAGCACAGAAACCTATCAATGCATTCCTTACATTGTGCATAGACACATTAAGACAAATTCAGAATATTTATGGATCTTTCATACATTGATTTTTCCAGATTTGGAAGACTTCCATCCCTATCAGTAACTTACTTCAAAGATGTGTGTGTGTGTGTGTGTGTGTGTGTGTGTTTGAGACAGGGTCGTGCTCTGCTGCCTCGGCTATAGTGCAGTGGTGCCATCTCAGGTCAGTGCAATCTCTGCCTCCTGGGTTCAAGCAATTCTCATGCCTCAGCCTCCCAAGTAGCTGGGATTACAGATGCCGCCATCATGCCTGGCTGATTTTTTTATTTTTAGTAGAGTTTCAACATGTTGCCCAGGCTGGTCTTGAACTCCTGGCCTCAAGTGATCCACCAGCCTCGGCCTCCCAAAGTGCTGGGATTACAGGCGTGAGCCACCGGGCCCAGCCTCAAGTAATATTTTTTAAAATATGTGAGGTTCCAGGAGAATGGGAGTTTATATTAGATAGGCATCAAAGAAAACCATCATCATGCGTAATATCCAGAATACTTGCTGTTGCTTTTCTCCAGAAAGATATTCAAAACGTGAAGTGCAAGCTGAGACAAAGCCTTTGACTAAGGAAAGAAATGATGCTTGTCCCGAAGAAATACAATGGGAAAGAATGGTCCTCCTCCAGAGCCTCCCCCTAGGAGTTCACAGCTCTCTACACTTCTGCTAAGACAGCATTATCATAATGCTGCAAAGTGCCAAAGAGAATTGTTTTAATAAACAGGGTTTTTATGCTCTTAAAAAACTTGAAGACAAGCACTTGATTCTATTAGCTAAAGTACACTGCAGCTAGCAAAGGATTCACGGTGGAATGGAGCCACATACTGCTGTCTCCAAACTGACATCACCGGCACTTAAAAGATTGAATTCTTAAACACATTCGGCTCCAGGGAAGCGCTCCCAGACTAATTAGAGTTATCCATGCAAAGTTCTAGAACTATAAGTGTGCTTTAAATATTTTTTACTGCATGGTATGATTGTGTTTCTCAACTGGGGGAGGCCACTCAACTAAACCATAATTACTATTGCAGATTACCTGGGAAGAAAAACAGTATGCATTAAAGGCTTCAGTAACAGCCAGCTTTAAAGCACAGACAGTGACCAGGACTGTCAGATGACTTCCCTAGGGGACTTTCTTCTGAGTCAGGTAATTATTGTATGTAAATGATGCTTCTAAAGAGATCTGTAAGTAATGAACATCTTTCTTAGTCATATCATTCCAAACTATTGTTAGTAAATCCCTTGTTTATAGATAAAAATTTGAGTCCAACCTCTCTGAATTATCAAACTATCAAACCTGCAAAATCCAAATAAGGCAAGATTTCCAAATATGGGATCATAAACATGTTAAGCACAACTTTTCACTATGGTGCATAAAAGGTTGCATCAGACAAGAAACCGGGCATAAAACAAAGTACTACCAGCTTGATGACATGAGGGGCAAAATCCTCGCTGCATTCCGGTGAGACTCTCTCAGCATCATGAATAAAATTAAATCACTATCAATCCCCAACGCTTTTGCTAACAGAGTCCAGAGTTCTAAGAGTACCTCCTTCTCTGCAATAATACTTTTTTTTTTTGAGACAAGGTCTCGCTTTTATCACCCAGGCTGGAGTGCAATGGCGTGATCTGGGCTCACTGCAACCTCCACCTCCCTGGTTCAAGCGATTCTCCTGCCTCAGCCTCCCGAGTAGCTAGGATTACAGGTGCCTGCCACTATGCTCAGCTAATTTTTCTATTTTTAGTAGAGACGGGGTTTCACCATGTTGGCCAGGCTGGTCTCGAACTCCTGACCTCAGGCGATCCACCTGCCTCAGCCTCCCAAAGCGCTAGGATTACAGGTGTGAGCCACCATGCCCGGCCTGCAATAATGCTTTAATGAGGTGAGAGCACTATCTACCTGTGGTTATTGAATGAATCCAAGATTGCTTATAAATAATCCAACCACTGTGTTAAAAATAAGAGTGTCACGGTATATAAAAATGGTTTGACACGGGCTCTCTTATGTCCTAGATTGCATGATGCTGCTGGAAAGACAGGACTGGCTAAAAGAAGTTGGTCCTGTTGACTGGCTTCAGTGTGAGATTCTCTATTTCTATATTATTGCACAGAGCCCTGAAGCCAGTGAAAATCCTCACTGCCCTTCTGGGCCTTTAGAACATTTTGAAACTAACATGTCTTCAGGGCATTCCTTTATCCTTCTTCCAGATATGACATGTATTCATCCAATAATATCCAACCTATATTTATTGAGGGCTTACGCTATGCTCTAGGTGCTAGGGATACAGTTTTATGAATAAAACAAAATTCCTGTTTCATGTTCTAATCCATGACACATCAAATAATTATTAACTGAGCTCTTGAAACAGAACTGCCAATGTACTACGAAAAAGTGAAGTGGGTGTTATGAGCTGAACCTCACCCCCCAAAAATTCATGTTAGTCTCCCCTCAAATCACTCATGTTAAAGTCCCAATCCCCAGTATCTCAGAATGTGACCTTATTTGGAAATAGGACCTTTTAGAAAGGCAAGAGGGTTATATGAGGTCATTAAGGTGGGCCCTAATCTGGTAGGACTGGGATCTTTATGAGAAGAGATTATGACAAACAAGGACAGAGAGAAAACCACGTAAAGATACAAGGAGGAGATGGCATCGACGAGGCAAGGAGAGAAGCTCCAGACAAAACCAACCCCCTGCTGACACCTTGATCTTAAACATCTAGCCACCAGAATTGTGAAAAAATAAACTTCTGCTGTTTAAGCTACCCAGTCTGTGGTACTCTGTCACAGCAGCCCTAGCAAACTAAACAGTGGGTAAAAAGGAAAAAGTAGAGAAAAAGAAATTTCAAGGCCAGGCATGGTGGTTCACACCTGTAATCCCAACACTTTGGGAGGCCAAGGCGGGTGGATCACTTGAGGCCAGGAGTTGGAGACAAGCCTGGCCAACATGATGAAACCCAGTCTCCACTAAAAGAAAAAAAAAAAAAAAAAATTAGCCAGGCCTGGTGGCGGGTGCCTGTAATCCCAGCTACCTGGGAGGCTGAGGCAGGAGAATTGCTTGAACCTGGGAGATGGAGGCTGCAGTGAGCTGAGATGGTGCCACTATACTCCAGCCTGAATAATAGAGTAAGACTCTGTCTCAAAAAAAGAAAGAAAAGAGAAGAGAAGAGAAGAGAAGAAAGAAGAAAGAAAATTTCAGAGCTATCTTTCCCTATAAAGCTGAAAATCACTTGATAGAGCTATAAAAAAAAAAAAAAAAAAAACAGAGGCTGTGGCTGAGTTCTGACATAATTACACAAACTGACAATAGAGGTAAGTGGTCAAAGGGAAAAGGGACTGCCCCTTCCTTCCAGAAAGGCAAAAACCTGAAACTGGCCCCTAAAGCAGTTCTCTGTTCCATTAGAAGAGCCTGTGAACTCCCATGACAAACACCAAAATCTTTTTACTCTCTCTCTAAATTACTCAACCAAAATCCTTTAGTTTCACTTATCTTCCTCCTGAGCAAAAGCAGAAGGCAGTATGCATGTGCCCAACTGGAGTAGCCATCAGGCAAGCATTTTATCAGGCAAGCATTTTTCAACTTCACTGGAGTAGCCATCCAACATGCGTTTTTCATCTTCATTGTGCAATGACGCTTGGACTCCGTCACCAGACAGTCATCCACCAATTTAGAACCTAGGAAGACAGGTTTCCCATGACAGCATAACAATAATGCATTATCAACAAGCTAGTAGAAATTCCAGTCCTTTCTTTCTTCAGGGTTAATTTCTCTCATTATGTGAAGGGGGTTTTGAAATTCCACAAAGGAGGGGAATGCAGGGGACAACGACATCACTGAATTCCAAAACTTCAGGCCAAAAGAGAACATTGATTTGACTGTCTTCTTAGTCCAAAACTGGTCTCAAAATGATAAAAATCGCCAGTCAAAATCCTCCAAATGTCTTTTCTTCCCTCTGACTACAAATGCTCCATGCTCCTCAACCTAGAATGGGTTACATCCCGAAAAACCACCATATATTGAAAGTATTGTCGTGCATTTAATACACCTAACACCATATCGTAGCCGAGCCTACCTTAACCGTCCACAGAACACTTACATGAGCCTACAGTTGGGTAAAATCATCTCATGCAAAGCCTATTTGATAATAAAATGTTAAGTATCTTGTGTATTTACTGAATGCTGTGCTGAAAAATGAAAAACAGAATGGTCGTACAGGTACTTGAAGTACAATTTCTACTGAATTTCTATCACTTTTACACCGTCATGAAGTTGAAAAATCTTAAGCCAAACCATGCTAAGTTGGGACCATCTGTATTAGTTCTGACTCTTGACTAAAGCTTAGACAAAGCTGATGCTTCATAAACTTTAAGAACATGTCCCCTGGCCAGGTGTGGTGGTTCACGCCTGTCATCCTAGCACTTTGGGAGGCCAAGGCAGGTGGATCACCAGGTCAGGAGATCAAGACCATCCTGGCCAACATGGTGAAACTCCGTCTCTACTAAAAATACAAAATTAGCCGGGCGTGGTGGCATACTTCTGCAGTCCCAGCTACTTGGGAGGCTGAGGCAGGGGAATCGCTTGAACTCAGGAGGCGGAGGCTGCAGTGAGCCGAGATTGCGCCACTGTATTCCAGCCTGGTGACAGAGCAAGACTCCGTCTCATATTTAAAAAAAAAAAAAAAAAAAAAAGAACACAACCCAGAATGGGGTTTGTTTACCCCTTCAACAAACACTGACTGAGGACGCATTATGTTTACTACACATTGCTGTGGCTCAGTAAGTGCTGGGCACAAGATGTCAATAAATGAAGAAATACATGGATGGACCTATGCCTTGGAGACTTTCCCAATCATGCCCCAAGACATCAATCTCCAAGACTCTATTAAACTTGTAAGTTTAATAAAGTAGGCAGGTTTCTTTTTTCTTTAACATATGAAGCATAATATAATCTGATGATTCAGAAGGGACCTCAAGATTGTGTTGTGCCGTTTTTCTCATGCGGAGTGTTTAATTCTGGTTAGTAAAACTTTGAACCAAAAAAAATTCACATATAATTCACATCAAGTGACTAAAGACAGATACAATATGGGCATTTTGATGTGTACATTTGTACTTGACCAGGGCACAATTTATAATATACTAAGAAAACTTTAAAAATTAATTATAAAATGAGTATTTTTAGCACCCTTAGTAACAGCTACTTGTTTTAAACTATTATTTCGTTTTTGGTGACCAAATTATATTTGACCATAATTAAAGAACATATAACCTTAAAATAACATTTAAGAAACACAGTTACAACAGACACATGTTATATTAAATGAAGAAAGGAAAGAAATGTACATGTATTAAAGGGTACTGAGGTTTTTCAAACCCATTCTTTTGAAAAGGCCTTTTTATTCACTTTCATTTAAGTCAATTTAAACCTAAAAAATGTCTCTACTCAGTATGCTTACAGAAAGAGGTGACATCAGTGTTGAGCACATGACTGCCTAACAACCACTCAGTGCTAATCATTGAACTAGTATTCTTATTTGATTATCCTAACATAATAATTGAGCCCATGTATATACGCAAGATATGGAGGATCCAACTGATCAACTGCAGAAAGAAAAACACTCAAAAAATGCTGAGGCCAGGTGCAGTGGCTCAAGCCTGTAATCCCAGCACTTTGGGAGGCTGAGGTGGGCGATCACGAGGTCAGGAGATCAAGACCATACTGGCTAACACGGTGAAACCCCTTCTCTACTAAAAATACAAAAAAAAAAAAAAATTAGCCGGGCGTGATGGTGGGCGCCTGTAGTCCCAGCTACACAGGAGGCTGAGGTAGGAGAATGGCGTGAACACAGAAGGCGGAGCTTGCAGTGAGCCGAGATCGCGCCACTGCACTCCAGCCTGGGCAACAGAGTGAGACTCCCTCTTAAAAAACAAACAAACAAAGAAAAACGCTGAAACCGGCTGGGAGCAGTGGCTCGTGCCTATAATCCCGCACTTTAGGAGGCTGGGGCTGGAAGATCACTTGAGGTCAGGAGATCGAGGCCACCCTGGCCAATATGGTGAAACCCCGTCTCTACTAAAAATACAAAAATTAGCCAGGCGTGGTGACATGCACCTGTAAGTCCCAGCTACTTAGGAGGCTGAGGCAGGAGAATTGCTTGAGCCCGGGAGGCAGAGGTTGCAGTGAGCTGAGATCGCGCCACTGCACTCCAGCCTGGTGACAGAGCAAGACTCCATCTCAAAAAAAAAAAAAAGGCTAAAACAAATGACAAATGGATATGACTGAATCACTGTACCTTTTTGACACAACCTTAAATCTTGGTTTTACTGTTTACTGTATATTATTTGGTACTTCTGGATTCAGTAGTCGGAGTAAAAACAAGTTTCTGTATTCAAACATATCTACAGAATGTCAATATAAAATATATGCATATATACATTTACTATACACATACGCGCACACACACAAGTAGGCAGTTTTCTCATAGCTTTTAGATCTGCTTAATCCACAGACATCTGCAAGCCATTCCCATCTTTTTCAGCAAGAACTGTCCTTCCTTCACACCTGCACGTCCTTCCAAATGGGGGACACAGCTTCAACAGAAGACAGTAAAACCCACGCGCACCAAAAAGTTTACAGAAATGTGTGCTGAGTGATCCTCACTGCCCATGAAGAGGTCCACGCTCAAACATGGCTAATTTGGGGAAAATAAAACAGAGAGTGTGCAACATTGCTGTGCAGATTTGTGTTTTGTATTCCTAGCATGGGAGTTACCATAGAAATAAAAGAGGTAAGTAGTTTAAGAAAAATCCCAGTTGCATGCATCCTGGGGACTGTGAACCAAAGAATGGCCTGAGCAACTCTAGGACTCTTTTTTGCCATGAAGAGAACGATATTTAAATTGGATTTCAACAGAGGAATAACTATCTCTATCAGGAAAAGTCCTGTGTTTCACCTTCCACTACCTGAGAGGCAGCCAAACAAAAGACCAAACGTGAGCCTGGGCAATGGGCAACAGGTAGCTGTCGCTTTGCAGTGACACTGGAGGCAGAGGGACCCTCCTTACCTGGGGTGGTATGCAACTGAGAAAAGAGACAGCAGGAGCTCTCTGCAGGTACATGTGATGAGTGTTTGCTCAACTGAAAATCTAAGCTTAGAGCAATTCCAGAGAGAGAATGCAAGTCTCTACAAGCAGAAATGGCCTGAAGCCATCCTTGCAGCCTAGGAATGGATGGGCCACAGAGGCAACACAGGACAGTAAGAACCAAAGATGATAATCCAGGCAAAGACAAATTCCTCTGCTGCACCTGGCTAGGGATTTCACCAGATCTTTAGGGACCAAAGTTCACACTAGCCAGACAGTTTTGTGGTATTAGGGCACCTGTATCTGTAATTATACCTAAATTGAACAATACGGTAAACTGCAGTAAACTATGCTATGGATTTAATAATTTTCAATTAATCTTTTTATTGTATTAAAAAAAAAAAAGGCCAGGCTGGGCACGGTGGCTCACACCTGTAATTCCAGCACTTTGGGAGGCCGAGGCAAATGGATCACTTGAGCTCAGGAGTTTGAGACCAGCCTGGCCAACATGGCAAAACCCCCATCTCTACCAAAAATACAAAAATTAGCTGGGCGTGGTAGGGGGCACCTGTAGTCCCAGCTGCTCAGGAGACTGAGGCAGGAGAATCACTTGAACCCAGGAGGCGGAGGTTGCAGTGAGCCGAGATCGCGCCATTGCACTCCAGCCTAGGTGACAGAGCGAGACCGCCCACCCACCCCCAACTTTTTTTGAGACAAAGGCCAGAGTTCCAGAACCTTTTCCAATACTGTGACACATGGACAGGGTAGATCTCAGACAGACAATCCACAGTGAGGTTTCTGGCACCCGGGGTGTGCAGTCCACACACAGGAACAGGATGTTTCCAGCAGGAGGAGGAAGCACAAGGTTACACAGGCTTCAGAGTCAGGCTGCCAGGGATCAAATCCCAGCACCTCCTTTTTCCTGTGATGGGGCTTGTTCAACTTCTTTGATATCTCTAAACTAGGGATAACAACAGCACCCGCTTGAGACTATTGGGTGGATTGACTGAACTCATCTATGTAAAATGCCCAGCACACAATAAGCTTCATCAGCTGTTATAATTAAGGTCAGTCCTTGAAAAGGCTTAGTGGAGTTTGGGCAGGTGGCTACACGGTGGGAGAGGATCCAGCTGTGCCTGTCAGTCCCCAGCTGCCGGCCACATGGATGCTCCCCACTCCCCTAGCCACCTCTGCCTGTGTACGCTTCTGACACTACGCTGCCTCTGCTTCCCTCTCCCTGTTCCAGCACGTCGGGCACACACGTGGAGTTGCACTAATGCCATTCCGCTGCAGCTTTCTGCATGGCCCACACCCATCTTTTCCTGGGTGTCCACTCTCAGCCAGTCAGGATGGTGGTTGCCCATCCTGCAGGGGTCCAGGACCTGTAGCCTGTGTGATAGACACCAGCAGCAGCTAGTCTATCAGCCACCTCAGTAGAGGCAGGTGACAACAGTGCAGGCTCTTTCATGATGGTAGACTTTGGAATTAGTTACAGATGAGTAAGAGAAACCCATAGTGAGGGAGGGGGTCTTACCGGTTCATTCATCCATTTAACCACCATTTACAGAATGCCCACTGTGTGCCAGTCAGTATCCAGAATTCCCAAAGAGGCACCTAACGAATGGGAATGCATGCAGCCTGACAGTGTGGGTGGCTTGTCACTTACAGCAGCCTCCTGCCCAGGTTTCTTTAAGCCTTTCAAGGACTGACCTTAATTATAACAACAGCTGATGAGTGCTTATGTGCCAGGCATTTTATATGGACGGATTCATTCAGTCCACCCAACAAGTTTGAGCAGGCACTGTTGTTATCCCCATTTCACAGATGAGGAAGCAGACGCAAAAAAGGCAACCAGGCAAAGTCCCTATCGCCCAACCTACCCAGAAACCAACAGACCCCAGGGCACTTCGAGCTGGAAAGGGCTAGAAAGCTTACCACTTTTTTTTCTTTGAAGCTGAACACTTCTTTGAACGCTTTCTCTAACATCGATTTAAGGATATCTTTGATCTTTGTGGAAACAAAGAAGAATGCTTTAAGACTGCGCTTAGAAATCTGGCCGTTTGGTTTTAAGGTCATTGGCCTCTGCCTACCGTGCTCCTGAATGAATAGCTCAGGACTTCCAGGGCTACCTTTGGGCCAAAAGTTAATAATTTACAGCTGAGCAAGTGTAGGTAAACTGCCACTTTACAGCAAGCTTCTAATCCCTCACTGATCACTTTGAAAATTACAAAGGACATTCACTTCAAGTGTGAGCCAATTCAGAATCAACCTCATGCTAATTTGATATAAGCTGTTCACTGAGGGAAAAAGTCCAAAGGAGGTTCTAACTTATTTTCTAAATGGACATCGTATCAAAATTAAAAATTCAATGACAGCATCTTTTAGCTCAATCATAGTTAAGTATATAATACTGCTGAATTTAAAGTCAGCAGAGATTATCTAGACTTTACTATGAAATATAGACAAGCTGTGCTTTTAAAAGGTTTATTTAAATTACTGATTATAAAAGTAATCCAAGCCCATTTGTGAAAATTTGGAAAATGTGGAAGAGTATAAAGAAAAAAAAAACTACTCATTCTATGAGCACCGAGAGATAAACGTTATCATGTTGGCGCACTTCCTTCTGGCCTTTTTCTCCAGGTACATTTAAGTATATTTTCATTCTGGTCTATTTATAGGCATTTGTACCTTGCCACTCTTCTTAACATCATGTCACTAAACTAGTCTTTAAAAACAATTTCTAGTGGCTTCATAGTATGTCTTACTATGAAGTAAGTCTCCTGGCATATAGTACATGCAGGAAGACCACAAGATATCAAACCAGCCCCTGACTTTTTCTATTTTCTCCAGTACAGTACACCTGGCGTTCACCAGACTATAACATCTGCTTGAATCACATTGTCACACACAAACAGAAACCAAGCAGAGTTAGTAGCAAAAGTCCTAAAAGGTTAGATCCACTGCCAAGCTGGTCATACCATATAAGACAAGCAAAAACATCCTTGGTTATACACATGTGAAGCAAAGTATGATGCTGTGTAATAAGAAATATGTATTTGGCCTCTGGTTGTATTCATCTGTTCTCTCATTGCTATAAGGAAATACCTGAGACTGGGTAATTTATACAGAAAAGAGGTTTAATTGCTTCACAGTTCCACAGGCCGTACAGGAAGCATGGTGACACGTTTCTGGGGAGGCCTCAGGGAACTTACAATCATGGCAGAAGGCAAAGCGGGAGGGAGGCATTTTCCATGGCAGAAGCAGGAGGAAGAAAGAGGGAGCAGGGAGGTGCTACACACTTTTAAACGACCAGATCTCGTGAGAACTCACTCACAGCACCAAGGTGATGGGGCTAAACCATTCCTGAAGGATCCACCCCCATGATCTAATCACCTCTCACCAAACCCCACCTCCAACACTGGGGATCACAATTCCTATGAGATGTGGGTGGGGATGCAGATCCAAACCATATCACTGGTATACATTTAGTTCCTGATGTAGAGCTCCTGAAACCCTTATAAATAGATAGGGAAATTACGTCCCTATCTATTTATATGCATCTTTCGTTCTCATATTTAATCTTTTTTTTTTTTTTTTGAGATGCAGTCTCACTCTGTCACCCAGACTGGAGAGCAGTGGTGCAATCCTGGCTCACTGCAACCTCTGCCTCCTGGTTCAAGCGATTCTCCTGCCTCAGCCTCCCCAGTAGCTGAGATTACAGGTGCCTGCCACCATGCTCAGCTAATTTTTGTATTTTTAGTAGAGACGGGGTATTGCCATGTTGGCAAGGCTGACCTCGAACTCCTGACCTCTAGTGATCTGCCTGCCTTGGCCTCCCAAAATGCTGGGATTACTGACGTGAACCACCACACCCAGCCCTGATACTTAATCTTTGACCCCAGTTCCTAACACAGAGCTCATAAGAGCTCTGTAATTTCCTGAGAGACCGGAGTGTCTGACACAGAGCTGCAAAATCTTTTGGAATCTGTTGGGTAATGGGAGCTTCTTTTGTTCTAATGAGGCGACACTTGGTGGGCTCCTCAATAGTCTCCTGATGCGTAGGTGGCTGGTTGCCAGGAAAATCATCTGATTAGAGGCTGAAACTCTCAACCCCACCCTCTGACCTCTGGGGAAGGGAGAGAGGCTGCGGGTTGAATTGATCACCAATGGTCAATGATGTAATCAATCATGTCTACATAACAGACAAGCTCCTGGTTGCTGAGGTGCCAGGAGGCTGGCACATCTGGAAAGGGCATGGATACTCCACCCCCCTGCCTACATGCCCTACTGTGCATCTCTTCCTTCTGGCTGTTCATCTGTATCCCTTGAAATATCCTTTATAATAAATCAGCAAATATAAGTATTTGCCTAAGTTCTGTGAGCTGCCCTAGTAGATGAACTGAGCCTGAGAAGGGGTGATGGGAAGCCAAAGTTAGAGACAGTCAGTCAGGAGCACAGGTCACAATCTGGCGATTTACGTTGGCATCTGAGGAGAGAAGCAGTAGTCTCTTGGGACTGAGCCCTTAACTTGTGGGATCTGACACTACTGCCAGGTGGGCAGCGTCAGAACTGAACTGAACTACACAGCTGGTGTCTGCTGGAGAATTGCTTGGTGTGTGTGTTGTGGGGGGTGCAGAATCTCCACATATCTGGTATCTGAAGTGTTGTGTTGAGTGGTGCATCAGAGTAGGAAGAACGCCTCGGTTCTTCCCATCTCTAATGGCTGGTATCTGCTGGGGAACGGATTGGCTGCTGGTGTGGAGAAATCCTCACGTTTTAGAGACCATGGAGGAAGTGATCTGGATTAGAATAGGAAAAACACTTTGGTTTTTTCCTATCTCTTACAGATCAGAGGAAGAGGAAGGGTGGTGTATCTTCATGAAACTACTAACCCAAACCCAGAACACAGCCATCTCGCTACTAAAGTAAGTCAAAAGCGCTTGGGAAATTCACAAAGGAAGGACACCAGAAAGCAGGTGGCACATAGCTCAGACATAAACCCCTGCAGAAGTTTGTGGGGCAAATGGGTCCCTGCAGCTCCTAGTGTGGACTCTCCCATTTTCCAAGGGCAGATGTTCACAAACCTGGGGCTCAGGACAAATACTCAGGGTTATTTCCCTTGAAGTGACACCTTAACTTTATTCATTTTAAAGAAAACGTCTGACAAATGCCCAAGTCTGAAAAACTGATTTGTCAGTCGCTCTTTTAAGTAAAAGTGCAAAAGTAAATAAATAAATAGAAATTTTAAAAATAGGCCAGGTGCAGTGGCTCACGCTTGTAATCCCAGCACTTCAGAAGGCCAAGCCTGGTGGACGACTTGAGCTCAGGAGTTCGAAACCAGCCTGGCCAATATGGAGAAACACTGTCTCTCCCAAAAATACAAAAATCAACTGGATGTGGTGGTGTGTGCCTTGGGAGGCTGAGGTGGGAGGATCACCTGAGCTCAGGAAGTCAAGGCTGCAGTGAGCAGTGATCGTGCCACTGCACTCCAGCCTGGGTGATGGAACAAGACCCAGTCTTAAGTAAATTAATTAATTAAACTAAGTAAAAGTGATGTTCCATGAAAATAGTGGCTAGTTCCATTCATTACTCAAAAAAAAAAAAAAAAGATTTTTTTTCCTGAAAAATAATGATCTCTCAGTGTCCAGAGGCACTTTATCCATACTTCTCATTTTATTACAAAGAATATTTTTAAAAAGTAATAAAAAGTAAGGTTTTTTTAATATTCTCAAAAATTACCAGAAAGTAGGCGGCCCATTGCTCAGACAAGAATCCCTGCAGCACAGTCAGGGTTTAATGACATTAATACTGCTTCATCAAGGCCACTCTCAAGTGAAACTGACTCTTTTCCTTTATTACTGCACTTGGTGGGAGGGGAAGATCAGGACGGCCGCTAGTGGCTGTGCCACTGCCTTGACTCACACCAAGACACAAGCAGTTTCGTCCACCTCTGCTTTTGCACCATTCGGGCAACTGTCAACAGTGAAAACAACAAAAGCATCTAAGTACTACCATGAAAAGTGGTTTGGCCTTAAAGACCCTCTGGTCTTGTAGACTCCCGGCAGTCCACAGACCATGCCTTGAGAATAGCTGTCCCAGAGGGCAGGCAAACTAAAACTTCAGGATGGGTTTTCATGGTTTTTTGTTTTTTTAACAAAACAATAAGTACACAGATAATCTCAAAACATCTAAGTGTGTCTAAAAGACCAAAGACTGCTGTTTTTAAAGACTTAAGAATTTGCAAGCATGGCTGCGCGCAGTGGCTCATGCCTGTAATCCCAGCACTTTGGCAGGATCCTTTGACCCCAGGAATTCAAGACCAGCCTGGATAACATAGAAAGAATCTATCTTAAAAAAAAAAAAAAAAGCCAGATGTTGGTGCTACAGGGGCACAACTATACTCTCAACTACTTAGGAGGCTAAGGTAGGAGGATCGCTTGAGCCCAGGAGGTTGAGGCTGCAGTGAGCCATGACTGCACCACTGCACTTCAGCCTGGGCGACAGGGCAAGACCCTGTCCCCAAAACAAAACAAACAAAACAAAAACAGAATTAACAGAGAATATATACAATTATCAAACATGGAAAATACTAAGTCTATGCACAGATCAGCTCACTCAGGCTCTGTGGGTGGGTAAGGGCATCTCTAAGGCAAAGCAAAAGCAAACTCCTGTCCAGAGTAGAGCGCACACATGAAAAAGTAATTTACTGGTTAAGTTCAAAAGTTCAACTACCTGGCTGGGCAAGGTGGCTCACGCCTGTAATCCCAGCACTTTGGGAGGCCAAGGTGGGCGGATCGCCTGAGGTCAGGAGTTTGAGACCAGTCTGGCCAACATGGTAAAACCCTGTCTCTACTAAAAATACAAAAATTAGCCAGGCGTGGTGGTATATGCCTGTAGTCCCAGCTACTCGGGAGGCTGAGGCAGGAGAATCGCTTGAACCTGGGAGGTGGAGGTTGCAGTGAGCCGAGATCGCGCCACCACACTCCAGCCTGAGTAACAGAGTGAGACTCTGTCTCAAACAAACAAACAAACAAAAAGTTCAACTACCTAACAATGTCAATGAATTGGAAGGAAATTTATATAACTGCTCTCAGAAACCAAAAATAACAATATTTTTTAAGCTAAGGTGTAATTTTCTTATATTGAAGTGTTTATTTAGCAGTTTCAGCAACTGCAAAAGATCCCTCAAACAAGGAAAAGCTATAATGACTTAGTCCAGTTTTCAGTGACAAGCAACACAGACCAGCCACGTCTGAGTTTCCATTTGTGAGTTCATTCATGGGAAATCTTTTTGCAGTGTTCACAGTATTCATCATGTACAAATATTCCTCATATAAATAGGAAAAAGCATCCCCAAATAATGAAAACACAAACAAAAAAATCATTAATCAAAAAAAAAAAATCTCTGTTGGTATCACCTATAAAATTAAAGAGAGATTCCCAAGGTAGAAATCCATTAATATATTTGCTATAAAGTTTAGTGAAAGGGACTGGGGAGATATTGAACCAGTCCTCACCTTCACTCCAAGCCTGGCATAGCACCTGGCACTAGGAGGCCAACAGCTGGTACTTGTTTATTGAACAAAGGAATGAACACACAAACGAACGAGTGAACAAAGTAGATGATGACAGACCAGCACGATCTACTAACTGAGTCTGATTTCTTCTCTTTTATTTATTTATTTATTCTTTGAGACGGAGTCTCACTCTGTCGCCCAGGCTGGAGTGCAGTGGCGTGATCTCGGCTCACTGCAAGCTCCACCTCCCAGGTTCATGACATTCTCCTGTCTCAGCTGGGACACAGGCGCCTGCCACCACGTCTGGCTAATTTTTTTGTACTTTTTAGTGGAGACGGGGTTTCACCGTGTTAACCAGGATGGTCTCGATCTCCTGACCTTGTGATCCGCCCACCTCGGCCTCCCAAAGTGCTGGGATTACAGGCGTGAGCCACCGCGCCCAGCCCTGAGTCTGATTTCTATGTGGAGCTCTCAGAATATTGAAGACTTCTGATTTTATCTATCTAAAATACAAGACTATTTTCAAATACAGAATTTTGAGAGGTTGATAGTTTCTAATACTTCCAATCCATCTGAGAGAGTGACAGCATATATTGTACAGAGCTATCAGGTATACTAATGCAGGCAACAGGCATTGGCTTTCCTAAGTTTTTCCATCCCTAGAAAAATAATCTATCATAAATGCTAATTCATCAATGGAACAGACATGGTCCACAGGAGTCCAAGACAAGGAGGTGTCACCTGCCTTGTATGCAAAAATAGAGAAGGCACAAGTTAGACATGGTACCCCCTAAGGCCTCACAGAAGCATCCAAGACTTTCAACAAGTGAACCTGAGGAGAAAGGGAGAACGAACCCCTAAGTCTTATTCACCCCCTGCCTCCATCCCATCCCAGCCCTGGTATATTCTGTCTTTCATGAGTGGACGTCACAGTGCTTCCTAAACTCCCTCAAGCCTTTACTTACAAGAGGTAACTCAAAAACTTACCAAAAAGTTAAGGTTTTCTGATAACTGACAACCACTATTTATTCTTCTTCTTTTTTTTTTTTTTTTTTTTTTGAGACTGGGGAGGGAGTGCGATGACGTGATCTCAGCTCACTGCAACCTCCGCCTCCCGGGTTCAAGCGATTCTCCTGCCTCAGCCTCCTAAGTAGCTGGGATTACAGGCGCACACCACCACGCCCGGCTAATTTTTGTATTTTTAGTAGAGACAGGGTTTCATCGTGTTGGCCAGGCTGGTCTTGAACTCCTAGCCTTGTGATCCGCCCACCTCGGCCTCCCAAAGTGTTGGGATTACAGGTGCAAGCCACCGCGCCCGGCCGACAACCACCATTTCAATCAAAAGTGCTATACTTCCCACACATCAACTCAACTAATGAGCAGCAAATTATTTGTTGCTGACCTCTTTTTCTGCTCTTATTACTGGTGAAGGTAAAATGAAATGAAGATTTGTGCTAAAAATGCATGAAGTAAGACTATAACCAATTTTTTAAAAAGCTAGATAAACCAAACAACGCATAAGGTAACAGAAGATTGACATAGACAGTCCCAGTTAGACAAGCACACGCAAACATATACACGGTGCTTTAATGCCCAAGCTGTATTTTATGTCATTGATTCAAATTAGTTGACATGGATTAAATGTATTCCCTCATTTTTACAAACTAGTTTTCAAAGCTCAAGTTACAATATTTGACAACCTTGAGACTAAAGTAATGCCCTAAAATGCAGTTCTCTAAATTATACCATTACAAAGGTACTAATTAATTAACAGTCAATGAAATATAGTCAATTCAATCTCATAGCCAGAAGGTCTAAAAACACTGGATAATCGGATTGAAATTCTTTTCCTTCCAAATATTCTTTCTTTCAAAATTTCAGTTTATCTGCAAATAACACGCTATCAACCTATAGTTGCCTTGGACAACCTATTTTGATTACAGCATCTTTTCCAGTAAATCTTTCTTATGCTGTATATCATCCATCTATCCAAAAGAGATACAGAAAGTGAATTAGTGTCAATGCCAATTTTTATAATACGTAATTGAGCATAACCTCCATGGAGGATGGGTGGTTCCAACAACAAATTACATAAATGCTCAAATCCTTACCCAACCTATTTCAAAAAGACGAATTTCAGCTTTTATGGAAGCAATGATTTTAAACTGCTTATCTGTTATTTCTAAGAAACACACATAAAAATCTATACCTATGTTACATCCAAACTTTCAATGGGGCTTGCAATGTTCAAGAATAAACACCATAATCCTTGGCAAGTTAGAAAATCGTAAAATTCTGTTAATGAACCATAAAATACAACACTTTTTTAAACTAATATGCTAATTTAACTGTAAAGAAAAGGAAATCTACTTTTTTTTTTTAAACAAAAAATGCAAAACATTTTTCAGAGTAGCAGAATCACATGAACTTCAAATGTGCATATACAAACTATATTTTCAGTCTAGCACAATTCCTGGGATATATTTAGGTCCAAATAAATAATGCATAGATGGTGCATTAGTCCATTTTCACACTGCTGTAAAGAAATACCTGTGACTAGGTAATTTATAAAGAAAAGAGGTTTAACTGGCTCACGGTACTGCAGGCTGTCCAGGAAGCACAGTGGCTTCCGCTTGGCTTCTGGGGAGGCCTCAGAAAACTTACAATCATGGCAGAAAGCAAAGCCGGAGCAAGCTTTCTTGCAGGCACAAGTGTCAGGGGAAGATTCTACACACTTTTAAACCACCAGATCCCCGAGAACTCACTATCACAGTAACAGCCCAAGGTGATGGTGCTAAACCATCCACAAAGGATCCGCCCCCATGATCTGATCACCTCCCACCAGGCCCCACCTCCAACACTGCGGATCACAGTTCCACATGAGATTTGGGTGGGGCACAGATCCAAACCTTTTTAAGACGGATAAAACCAATGGGAAAAAAAAAAAGGTTGGCTAAACACTACAATTCACAAATTTACTCATACTTCAACAAGGTGTCCACTGAACAAGCAAAATATTAGTTGCTCTGAATCTATGCAATGATGTAAAAATATTAAAACCCAGGCTTTCATTTTAAAGCAACGAAGAGTGTCTAGAGATCACACGGGAAAGACCTCTTTAGAAGTGCAATCGTTTTCTCAAAATTAGATTTCCTGGAAAGGAAGTGTCCTCTACAGATCAAGAAGTTGCCAGCAATTCGCAGTCCCTTAGAAGCAGACAGGAGCTCTTTTCTCCAGGTGTGGTAAAACTCTGCACTAAGCTGACATCCCTCTCTCACCTGGCAGACAGTGCAGGGCATGGCAAATGGGTGGAAAAGAATGAAAGTAGATGGCTGTGTAATTTTACCTACCTGGTATCAGGCTCCAACCACCCAAACGGATTAGCCCAACTGATCGAATGCATTCTTTAAATTTTAAGTTCTAACTGCCATCCAACTTCAGCACAAAGGATTCATATCCACCGGTATCTTTTCTATGACATTTAAAAAAAAAAAAAAAAAAAAAAAACCTGGAAAAGCTACAATGCTACATGAAGCTGCCTGGGCAGCGTTTTCTGCCCTGCCATAGACTCTTGGCAAAGGAGGCTGTGTATTTTCCAGGCATGATACAGAAAGTGATAATTAGCCACCTGGGCACCAGTTTTATTTTGGATTCCAGACAGACCTTTAGGTGATCCAGATAAGCCTTTTGTTCATGGAATGTTGTCAGCATCTGTACAATGGGGATCTTTTTATAAAGAACTTTAAGAGCATCCAATGAAACTTTCTTTTTAGAGCAAGTCTTCATAGTAAAGCAACTAAACCCATAAATAAGTCACATTTTTAATTCAAAGCTGCTTTCCCTCCCCCACCCCGTTCTTTAATGGGAGACCTGTAATTAAAATGAGCAAGAAATCAATGTACTGAAACCCAGAGGCAAATTTCTGTTATCCCGTCTTCCTAGACATCTGTAGCAAGGGATTCGGGGTGTGTTTGGAAACTGGCAATCATTCTAATGGGCTTCTGCCAGCTCCCATCACTCAACCCACTAACTCGATGATGACAGAGCAAACTAGGGCAGGCATTCAAATCTGACAGCTGGCTGGAGAAAAGGGAAGGAAGCCACATTTTTTAATGAAAAGATGAAAATAATGTATTCCATTTTTCCTCCACACCAACCATAATAATTGTCCACAGGAAGCCCCTGAAGCCCACTAATAGGAACACAGCCACAAGAAACTTGGCAGAGTCCAGCAAAGCATATTCTCCTACCAAAATGCTTGACTTTTTCAAGTTAAAAAAAAAATTGCCAATGAAGAGCACAGATAGCCATCTGCCAAGAACCTTCCATCTTCTCCATTCAGGCATTTGTACCTATTGGAAAGGATTAATTTTACGTGTAAAGGAATAGGGATTGAATGATTGGATTATAAACCCTTAGAGAAACATGCTTTGCCTACCAGGAACTTCTAAATTTACATTTTAAAGCCAACTAAATCTTTAAATGTCTACTCTATCTGTGAAATTCAAATAGCAATTACACAAGGGTTGGTTTTTTTTTTCTCCCTATTATTAATGAATATGCAGCAACAGAAAACGGATGCTAGAAGATCTAGTGGTACCACTAAATATAGGTAGTGTTTTCCAAGGAAAGCAAGGGCTGGACCCGATCCAGAGAGCATCACAGGGGAGTGGACAGCCCGTGGATTAGTCTGAGGAAAGCAGAGGGACAATGCTGGTTGTCAGTTCCAGTTCAACATCACTTTGCCAATGCACCATTTTCAATAAAATGAGAAGTGAGCAGAAAACTCTGGGTTTAAGTAATGGCACTTCAGGGACAGCAGGTTCACCAGCTGTGAAATCCCCACGGCCTTCAGGCAGCTTCATTCCCACACCTGCCTCACGTGTGGAGTGCACGCAGTGTCGGCACCTTGGGGAAGTGAACAGAGACCAGCCCATGGACAATCACTGTGCTCTGCCTTCTCTCCTGATGGGAGAGATAGGGGCGGGCTGAAATCCCAGGAAGAGCAGTTTCCATCCCATCAAAAAGGCCTACCCCTCTCTTGGCCGGGCGCAGTGGCTCACACCTGTAATCCCAGCACTTTGGGAGGCCGAGGTGAGTGGATCACTTGAGGTCAGGAGTTTGAGATCAGCCTGGCCAACATGGTGAAACCCCGTCTCTACTAAAAACACAAAAATTAGCCGGGCGTGGTGGCGTGCGCCTGTAATCTCAGCTACTCAGGAGGCTGAGGCAGGAGAAATGCTTGAACCCAGGAGACAGAGGTTGCAGTGAGCCGAGATCGTGCCACTGCACTCCAGCCTGCACTAGAGTGAAACGCTGTCTCAAAAAAAAAAAAAAAAAAAAAAAAAAAGGCCTACCATCCTTTCCAGCAGCCAGCATGGGAGTGTGTGGAACAGAGACTGAGGAGCCAAGGCAGAAGATTCAGGGTGAATAACAAGTTTGGTGCTTGCCTTGCAGCCTTGCTTCTTCGTATTTGGGTAGTTGCTAACAAGACAAACAGGTTCCAGCAATTCTCAAACGTTATTGCTAAGGACTAAGGGACAAGCTTGCTGCTAACTTCCTGAGGCTTGTAAACAGTAATCTGCCAAAAATAAGTAAGTAAAAGAACAAGAACTAAAGACATAAACACTAAGAATAGTACCCAACCGCCCTTGGCACTTTGGGCAGCGTAATGCTGCAATGTATTATCATAGGAAGCTTTCCCCTCCGCCGCCCCCATGAAGGAGTCAAGAATAGGAACCAGCTACTTGGCCAGGATTATTTGAAATTTGACGTTCCTAGAAGCAGAGGAGATTTCCTGTAGAGGCTTTTCTAGCAAGACAAAGTGAAAACTACCAACAAACATTTCCTGGGCTTCTCCTAGCACGAGGTCCTGCACAGGATACTGTCATGCAAATTAATATTTGTCCCTCTCTTTCCAGGCACCCAGGAATTGTAGTTTTCTGTGCAACAGAGATTGGGGAGCTAAGGCTGAGGATTCAGGGTGAATAACAAGTCTGGTGCTTGTCTGCAGAACAGCCAGCTGACTTTTGAAGTTGATTCCTCCAACATGATGAAGCGTATGTAGCTCAGGAAAAACGGCAGCTGGCCTTAAATCATATAGCATAAGCAAAGGGCTCTTCCCTGGACTATGTCTCATTTACTATTTGAATAAACAAAATTCAACAACCTGAACAATAAATAAAATAAAAAGGGAATCTGCTGGATCCACTGAAAAGTAATGCTTACTTATTCAAATTTATTATGCCCCATTTCCCCATGCATTACATTTAAACCTCTGATTTTTTAAAAGAATAACATCATTATTGAAAACTAATGTTATGCTTCAAAGCTCTATTACTTGAACTGTTCATAAATGGATTTATGGCTACTGCTGAGTTCTGTGAAAGACTGTATTGTATGCCTTCTCCTTCAGTTTCACCAAGACTATTAATAAAGATATCCCTACATCAACATTTGCCCTCCTGCAGGGAGCTAGGTATTCATACCTGAAAAAAACTTTCACTTAAATTGCTTTAATGGGTTTTAAGTAAAACACTACTCCCAGTGATTTATTTTTCCCTTTGATTGGCCAAGGATTTGAATTATAGCTCACAGGGTAAATTCATAAATAATCATGCTAACACCTTATTTAGGAGCTATAATGCAATAGGAGCTGCAGGTTTCTATCTGCCCATTGTTGAAGCCTCCTAAACATTACAGAGCTGTGTATGTAGGTGTGTATGGAATAATACATCATCCAATATATAGGCATCTCTGTCTCTCCCACTAAATCAGGGTCAGGAATGATATCTCCTTTGTAGACTAAATTGGAAACCAGGTATATTTCAGAGACTAATAGGAGCTTCTTAGCTTTTAAAACATGTAATATTAAACCACATTGCAACAATTTCAATATGTCCCCAGCATAAGATTTCTCAACACAAGTCACCAAGAATGGAGGGCATGCTATCATTTAAGTCACTGGACTGAAAATAACCCAAACATAGAGTAGATTCTTAATATAACACTGTTAAAATAACAGAATGTCACATACTCAATGACAGCTCAAACCGTGATAATAAAGAAACCAATCAATCAATAAATGTGACTAAAAGGACCACCTTGTGCAGAAAAGAAACCAAAACCACTGTTCTTGCAGGAGGCAGAGCCAGGACAGGCTCCAATATTTAGGAGCTTTCTCTATCCAACTCTGTTTACTGTCCCTATTTTTCCCTTATGATTAAACTTTTCATCTTCATTTAAAAAAACAAATTTCACAAAGCTTTCAGCCCATCTCTTCCAGTGTCTTCTAGAACTTGGTTCTATGAATTATTCCTTCTTTACCCTAAATCTTCAACTTCTCCCTCAAAACCAGCAAACATCTCAGTGCTCTGGTAAATGGTGACATCTACACAGGTTATGAGAAACTGGGCTCTCTTATTGCTGGTGTCACCCAGAGCCACTTGACATCCTTGTACCTCAGTTTCTCATTCATAACACTGGGAACAGTAATTGTCCCAACACCTCAGACTTGTTGGATGGATTTGATGAGCTCTTTGATATACAGCTGTTGGATGTAGGTGATATGGAGCAAGCCCTCCAAAATGTCAGCTACTTTAATTATCAACAACCTCTTCCCTTGCCCTGTAACATGCTCAAGTCTCTCATATTCTTTAAAAAAAAAAAAAAAAAAAAATTTCTTGGCCTCTTTTTCACTTTTCTCTCTTTCCTTCTAAGTTTCCTGAAGGAGTACTCCATAGTCACTCTACTGCCATTATAAACATTTACCTGAAATTAGTTTCCCACAACCACCAAGCTCCTAAAACCGCCTGGACAAAGGTCCTAAGGATCTTCACACGGCCTGGTATCTCCACGCTGCCAAACTTATTCAGTCTTTGTATCTTGACACTGCCAAGTGACTCCATCTTTACATTCTAAGACCTCTTTTGCTACATCTGAAGTTCCTGACCACTCACTCATTCTGGAACCTTTCTACTTTCCCCAGCCCCTGAGACACGACTCCCTCTTGGTCCACCCCGATTCTCATTCTCCAGCTCCTTGGTGGGCTGCTCCTTTTCTTTGTGCCCCTCCAACATAGGGGATGGATCTGCTTTCATAGTTTTAACTACTGCATACATCTAATAAGAACCAAGAGTGTGTCTCTATCTGAATCTGTCAAATTTGACTCACAAACCCAAGGTGAACTGGACATCACCATTTGTGTCTTCTACAGACACATCAAACCCAAAATGTCCAAAAGGGAATTGATCCTGTCCACCCTCAGTGTCTATTCTTATATTCCTAATTTCAGATCACGGAACCACTGCCAGAAATCTGTGGGTTATCTTCAATGTTCCCTCTGTCTCACCACTCATACACTTAACCGGCATATGGCTGCTAATTTTTTTAAGTATTTGGCAGGTTTTCTCCCTTCTCCTCATTCTTACTACCACTGCCCTAGTTCATTCCTTATCTCACTTGAACTTTCACAAAAACCTCTTACCTAATCTCTCTGCCTCCACCTCCACATTGCCCTCAGAGTGGTCTGCAGAGAGCACAAAGCCGTCCACATCACTGAATGCGTCATGAGCTTTCCATCAATGATTGCATAAAAACCACGTTCTCTGACATACATCCAGCCAACTTCTTTGGCCTCACCTTCTGCCTATCATCTCCCTGAATGTCATGTCCACTTGGCATCATGTCACCTATGGTTTCCTATACAGGCTTTCCAATTGCTCAAAGTGGGTCCAGCCGCAGGCACTCCACTCACACCTCCCAGGTTAGCAGGTGAACTCCTACCATCTTCCAAATTCAGCTCTGGCTTTACCTGCAAGAAGCCTTCTTTATCCCACGTCACAAGCTGACCTGGTTTAGTGCTTCCTTTCCTCATCCCTCACCTGCGCTCCTATGGCAACCCATGGCCACCTTCCTTTGCCACTTCATTTGCCCGTTCCTACAAAACGTGGCTACTTCTCATCAGTCCCTTGAGGGCGGGAACTGTGTTCTGGTTATCTTCATGTTCTCAACTGCCACACAGTAGGACTCATTATTAACTGAACTGAGAACATTTGTACTAAATTATAAGCAAAAAGAAACACCCCAAATACTTAAAGAAGAACAATGCCTGGAATAGTTTTGTACAACCAGTATTCTGAGATAGGTATCAATATGGACATATATGGTATACTCATCCTCCCCTGGGGAGTAAAGCAGCAAACATAGATAAATCACTCATCACAATATTCGTTTATAACCATGAAGAAAAGCTTGACATAATAAACTATAGATAGTCTTCATGCCCATTAGGATGGCTACTGTTTCTAAAAGGTGTTGGCAATGATGCAGAGAAATTGGAACCTTTGTGCACTGTTGCTTAGACTGTAAAATGGTTGTAACCACAATGGAAAATTGTACAGAAGCCCCTCAAAAAATTAAATAGAACCATCATGTAATCCAGCAATCTCAATTCTGGCTATCTATCCTAAAGAATTGAAAGCAGGGTCTCAGAAATATTTGTACACCCGTGTTCATAGCCACACTACTCAAGAGTAGCCAAGAGGTGGAAGCAACGAAGAGTTGTTGTTTGATAGGCAGACAGTTTCAGTTTTGCAAGACGAAAAGTTCTGGAGGTCTGTTTCAAAAGGTGACTATAGTTAACCCAGGCATGGTTGCTCATACCTGTAATCCCAGCACTTGGGGAGGCCAAGGCGGGGGGATCACTTGAGGTCAGGAGTTTGAGACCAGCCTGGCCAACATGGCAAAACCGCATCTCTACTAAAAATGCAAAAATTAGCTGAGCGTGGTGGCACGCACCTGTAGTCCCAGCTACTCAGGTGGCTAAGGCACGAGAATTGCCTGAACCCATGAGGTGGAGGTTGCAGTGAGCCGAGACTGTGCCACTGCACTCCAGCCTGGGCGACAGAGCTAGACTCCATCTCAAACAACAACAAAAAAAGGTGAATATACTTAACACTACTACCAAACCGTATGTGTACAAGTGGTTAAAACTGTAATTTTATTCATTGACAGATTAAAAAAATAGAATGATGTTGAAGATCCCTAACACAAAAATCTGAAATCTGAAATGCTCCAAAATTCGAAACTTTTTAAGTACCAACATGATGCTCAAGGAAATGCTCATTAGAGCATTTCAGATTTCTGGATTAGGGATGCTCAACCTGGAAGAATTATGCAAATATTCCAAAATCTAAAAAAATCCCCAATCTGAACCATTTCTGATCCCAAGCATTTCAGATAAGGGATATTCAATGTACATATCCATATATATAATGTTATATTATTCAGCCCTGAAAAGGAAAGGAAGCCTGTCACATGCTACAATGTGGGTGAGCCTGGAGGATAGTACGCTAAGTGAAACAAGCGAATCACAAAAAGACAAATACTGTATGAGTCCATTTATGAGTTAGTTAAAGCAGTCAAATTCATAGAAACAAAGTAGAATAGTAACTGCCAAAGCCTAGGAGGAAGAGGAAACCAAGAGCTGTTGTTTGATAGGCAAACAGTTTCAGTTTTGCAAGATGAAAAAGTTCTGGAGGTCTGTTTCAAAAGGTGAATCTACTTAACACTACCAAACTGTAGGCTTGCAAGTGGTTAAGATTGTAATTTTTATGTTAGGCGTCTTTTACCACAGTTTTTTGTATAGATTAAAAACTGCAGATTGAAATTTTGAAAAACTTAAAAGGAATACCCAAATTTTCATTTACTGCTTTAAAACAAATGCTGTCAGCCAGGTAATCCCAGCACTCTGAGAAGCCAATGTGGGCGGATCACTTGAGCTCAGGAGTTCAAGACCAGACAATGGGGCGAAATCCCATCTTCTACAAAAAAATACAAAAATTAGCCGGGCATGGTGTCCCACTACTTGGAAGGCTGAGATGGGAGGATCAACTGAGCCCAGGAGGTTGAGGGTACAGCGAGCCGCGATCGCACCACTGTACTCCAGCCCGGAAGACAGAGCAAGGCCCTGTCTCAAAAAAAAAAAAAAAAGAAAAGAAAAGAAAAGAAAATGCTGTCTACCACATGGTGCATCAATATCCACAGCATCATTCCTCTGTGCTTTCTACAGCCAAACTGCCCATATATTTCTTCTCTAAATTGGATCTTAATCTACATGAGAAAATGCAGAACCAGTAAATACAAAAATCGAGCATTAAATAAAATTAAGTATCTCAAACGAGAAGTTCGATTTTTAAAGTAAACATCATCACTCTGTCTGCCCAGTGCACTAAAATCTCTGGAAGCTTTTAGCAGCAGCAGGATCCTAATTGCATAACCTTGTTTCCAATGAGTGAGAAATTATGCTATAATTTTACTTATCAAAAGAACATATGAGTAGCGCGACGCCACCCACCTCCCCATCATCCATCTGCCTTTCTCGTTCATTAATTACATATGCTTCCGACTCTTCCTTTCTGATTACCCTGAACACTAACACTCTCCAAATGGGGACTGTTCCCTCTCTGTCTTGCTTCCAAATTGTCTGATTAAACCACACTCCTCACAGCTTCTAATCCTACAGTTACCCAGGGAGCTTTCCTTCCCCAATCTTACTCTCTCCACACCAAAATGCCTTCCTCACTCCAACTATCACTTAGTTCTTTGCCACTTAACTTTTTCAGCTAATCTTCCAAATTAGCCCATCACCAACTTTGATTTTTCTCCTAAGATGTTTAAAGCCATCATGAGCCACTATTCACTTCAAAAGTGTGGTTGGGTTTTGAGTCTATTATTGTATGACCACCACCTTGTTTCTTCAGTTTCCCTCTAGGGGTATAAATCGTGTCTGCATGTGGCAGATAGAATCTGTGGGCTGGAATCTTCATGGTTTTAAGCGTTACTCTGATTTTAGTCTGTTTCATTTCCTTCCAGGTCTCAGAGATATTGAGCTTGGACTTCGACCATGGGTTCTGGAGTCCATTCAATTCCCAGCCTTGGCCATTCCTGGCTGTGTAATTTCAAGGAAATTACCTAAACACTCTGAGTTTTGATTCTATCGTCAATAAAATGAAGGAAATGCTAGCATTTGCCATGTACATTGACATAGGGATTAATCATGGAAATAAAGAGTTGAGGTCCATGTCCTGGTACAGAGACTCAAAAAATCCTCAGTGATGGTAGATGCCAGCTCCCTTGGGGAAGGAAATATGATGGCTCTACTTCTTTGGAGTTTAGACGATGTCACAGAGCCTTATCCTGAGGAGCTCCCTGACTCTGCAGAGGCCATGAACAATGTCACAAACAGAGTTGGACGACAGTGGTGCCATCAGGATGCAGGCATCAGCACTGTATCCTGAATAATGGTACCATTAAGAGTAACTCCCCTTGAATGGCTCACACCCCCCATGACACATTACAGACTACACATCTTGATGTTACCACAAATCTCTAGAGGCCCTTGATGTATTCAAGTCTTCTGTGTAATAAGTCACAAAACTAGTGCTGAACTTAGCTGAGTTGGAAAAAAAAAGAAAAAGGGCAACGACAAACCACCTGTGACCCAGGCACCCAGCATCTCTCAGTAAGACATTTGCCCTTAAGTCAAAGGCAAGAACTCCAAAAGACAAGCTAAAAAAGAAAAACAGAAAACGTTTTTAAAGATATATCTTTTCTTCCTTAAAGTCCTGCATCAAAATGACACATCCACCATCTAACAAATTAATAAATTCCCTTAAAATTATAAATCCAGCATGGTCTAGACTGTGGGGCAAAAGGCACTCACACCCCAGGGGTGAAAATGTAATCTTGCACTAGGTTTTTAGAGGGTAACTTGGCAACAAATATCAAAAGCCCTAAAAAAAAAAAAAAAAAAAAAGTCTACACTGGGGCCGGGCATGCTGGCTCATGCCTGTAATCCCAGCACTTTGGGAGGCTGAGGGAGGTGGATCACCTGAGGTCAGGAGTTCGAGACCAGCCTGGCAACATGGAGAAACCCTGTCTCTACCAAAAATACAAAAATTAGCTGGGCATGGTGGCAGGCACCTGTAGCCCCAGCTACTCGGGAGGCTGAGGCAGGAGAATCGCTTGAACCTGGGAGGCAGAGGTTACAGTGAGCCAAGATTGTGCCACCACACTCCAGCCCGGGTGACAGAGACAGACTCTGTCTCAAAAAAAAAAAAAAAAAAAAAAAAAAGTCTTGATTGTTTGACTGAATGATTGCTTCTACTAGTTTTTACTGCAATAATTAGATATTCATATAAATATGTATGTAGAAAGGTATTCATGGCAGCATTACTTATAATAATGAAAAATAAAAAACAACAATAGAGGGTGAATTAAAGATTAAATTAATGACAGGGCGAGGCATGGTGGCGGGTGCCTGTAATCTCAGCTACTTTGGAGGCTGAGGCAGGAGAATCACTTGAACCCAGAAGGCAGAGGTTGCAGTGAGCGGAGATCGCGCCACTGTACTCCAGTCTGGGCAACAGAGCGAGACTCTGTCACGAAAAAAAAAAAAAAGAGAGAGAATGAATGACAGAACATTCACAAGGAAAAATATTACACA
This sequence comes from Homo sapiens, assembly GCF_000001405.40. Classification (NCBI taxonomy): domain Eukaryota; kingdom Metazoa; phylum Chordata; class Mammalia; order Primates; family Hominidae; genus Homo; species Homo sapiens. The sequence continues at coordinate 66,396,585 of NC_000017.11, read as the reverse complement.
GCCATTTAAAAGCTAAATTCTTGAAAAAATAAGAAAATGTGAAAATACACATGACAAGTGTAAAAAGCAGCATAAAACTATGTAAAAACTACATTACCAAATACACATCTAAAGGTACAAGGAAAAAAAAGACTGTAAAGATATGGCATTATGGATGATTTATTCTCTTTCAAATTGGCTCCAAAGAACATATATGACTTTTACACGTGAAGGAAAAGGCAAATGATTTTTAGAAAAATTTTGCCTAGTGTTTGCTAGCAGTTTTTACCACACTCCTTCCCACAAGTCTAATTTTCACACACACAAAATACTCTAATGTTTTCCAAAACTTCCTTCATAAACTGACTCTAAACCAACTCCTGCATTTGCAGCTGAACCTGAAAAACTCAGATGGAAATTATTCTAATTTCATTCAACAAGTAGCATTTCACCCACCCAAAGACTGAGTAGGTGAGAGAAGAACCATACTTAGCAACCATATCCTTAGCTTTAAACTTAATAGTTACAATATTCAATTAAAAAAAAAAAACAGTTAAACCCATATTGAAATAATGCTAAAAACAGACATGCTGCCTGTGCCAATTATTTTCCCTAGTGGGAGACTTTCCAGGTTAAACATCAATGTTGGTGGAATTCCTTCCCATAATTAAGGAAAGAGTGAAAAAGAAGGAACCTGCAACACCTACTTTCCTGTACAGGAAAGAAGATCTCTGACAAAATGTAGGCCCTGGAAACCCCAAAGCCTTCTCTCAAAGACTATAAGGATCTCTCTCCACCGTCTCCTCCTATAATGTTGAAGGATTTCTCATTGCCTGTCCTTGGAGAATCCCATTCAGCGTGCACACAGCAAAACTGCTGTTAAAAAATCAGCTGAAATCTGGATTAAAATAATAATTTACCTTGATGTATGAGCACATTAGCAGCAAACAAAACACAACATAGATCAGTGGTAGGAACTGTTCCTTGTGCTTAGTTAACAGGACTTTTCTTAAAGATAACCATGCAATCTAAAGTGGACCTGTACCACCGCCCCCAAGCACTAAGTCTGTGCTAGCCAAAGCCACTAGCCAAGTGTGCCTACTGAGTATGTGAAATGTGGTTAATCCAAGTTGAGGTGTGCTCTAAGTATAAAATACACACCAGATTTAGAAGACTTAATGCAAAGAAAATGCAAAATATCTCAATTATTTATATATATTATAATGGTAACATTATGAACATACCGGTTATAAGTTACATTAAGTTAGTTTCCCTCACTCTTTACTTTTCAAAATGTGGCTACTAGAATATTTAAAATTGCACATCTTGCATTGGATCTCCATTCCACTCTGCTGTTCTAAGCCATCATCACATTGTTTATCTTCTTTAGAGTTCACATCACCATCTGAAACGGTCCTGTTGGTTTGTGGGGTGTATTAGTCCATTTTCAGACTGCTATAAAGAACTGCCAGTTCTTTATAACATAATTTAAATCATAGTGAGAGAAGAACTATACTTAGCAACTATATCCTTAGGTTTAAACTTAATAGTTACAATATTCAATTTAAAAAAAAGTTTAAACCCATATTGAAATAATGCTAAAAATAGTCATGCTGCCTGTTCCAATTATTTTTCCCAGTGGGAGACTTTCCAGGGTAATTTATAAACTAAAGCAGTTTAACCGACCCACAGTTCAGCATGGCTGGGGAGGCCTCAGGAAACTTACAATCATGGCAGAAGGCGAAGGGGAGGCAAGGCACCTTCTTCACAAGGCAGCAGGAAGGAGAAGAGCCCAGCAGGGGGAAAGAGCCCCTTATATAGAACCATCAGATCTCGTGAGAACTCACTATCACAAGAACAGCATGGGGGAACCTGCCCCAGTGATTCAACTACCTCCACTATGTCTCTCCCTTGATACATAGGGATTATGGGGATTACAATTCAAGATGAGATTTGGGTGGGGACACAAAGCCTAAATATATCATGGGGTTTACTTATTATGGGTCCCATCCGCCCCAATACTACAGAAGAAAAGCCCCTTTACAACAGGATTTCACTGTCCTATCCACTGTCAAATACTCAGCACCTAGAACCCAGCAGGTGTGCCCGATGTCGTGATTAGGGAATAAATGATGAGTGAAGATTATACATAAATAACCACACTGCCATCGGTGAGTCTCATCCCCCAGTGAGCCAGCTCCTCTGCTAAGCCAATACTTCGGAAGTGAATCTTCCCCTGCCAATCCATCCTGACTTTCTCCCTAACTGTGCCCAAGCACACCTCATGGGTCCCACCTTGGGCTAGTGCTGGGTGTGGAGGTGTGAGATGAGCACCCAGTTCCGATCCTGGCCTGGGACAGCTAAGCTTAGCCATGTCACAGCTTCTGTGGGCCTCTGCTTTCAAAAAAAAGACATTTCTTTGTGGTAAAATGCTAAACTAAGACTCCTCTAGGAAGAACAGAGCTGCCTTTTCTAAGGCTTCTCCCTCAGAACCTCTTGCCCCTTATTTCATGTGTCACTCTTTCTTTTTTTTTGAGACAGTCTCAGTCTGTCACCCAGACTGGAATGGGGTGGTGTGATCTCAGTTCACTGCAACCTCCGCCTCCCAGGTTCGAGCGATTCTCGTGCCTCAGTCTCCCGAGTAGGTGGGATTACAGGCGTCTGCCACCATGCCCGGGCCAATTTTTGGATTTTTAGTAGAGATGGGCTTTCACCATGTTGGCCAGGCTGGTCTCAAACTCCTGACCTCAAGTAATCTGCCCACGTTGGCTTCCGAAAGTGCTGGAATTACAGAAGTGAGCCACCACGCCCAGCCAAAGGTATCCTCTTTTAAAAGCCAACCCTCACCCTCAGGGAGGGCGCTGCACTCAGGCCTGGGCTAGACACCCCTGTCCAGAGGGTTCCTGGGGTGGTCCCCAGAAGCTCCAACATTTGACGGCGCACACACACACACACACACACACACGTGCACACACATGGAAGAAGGCCGAGAGGCCTCCTGCAGGGACCCATGTGCTATCCGCCCTCTGCACACACCCAGGCTCTGGGGTCTTGCACTCAAGTCAGTCAACGTCAGGAAACGACAGGCCGTCCCATCCCTCCGAGCTGTTCTCCAGCACACATTTGGGGAGTGTTTTGGTTATGTGTAATTCCTCTACTAAATTGAGATGGCTGCAAATGTGATGTGTGTGTGTGTGTCCGGGAGAAGCATGTCAATAAGGTAATGAAGGCCAGTCCCAGTCCCTGGGACACAGATTGGGTCTGCAACCCAGATGAACAAAATCATCAGAAGCTGGGGCTGCTCGAAGATGTGTCTTCCACGCCTTCTGAACATCTTCCTCCAATGTAAAGTCACCTGTTAGAACGCTGAACTAACCAGAGTGGTTAACCTTACTAGACTCCAAAGGGGGTTTAAAAACAGGCAAAACCAATACCCAGATTTGCTAAGCTTCCCCCTCCCCACCACTTCCCACCATAGCCTGTGCTCTGAAACCCACTGGCTTATGTTTAAAATCACCTCCGTTTCACACAAGCTGTTGTCATTCCCTCCCCAAACCAATATTCAGTATTTGTTTTCCATCATTTCCCCTCTATTTAGCCAACAAAATGCCTAACAGGCCTGCAAGTGCCTTTCTCTCACTGGTCTAGGGTGTGTGCCATTTGCTTGCTTCCCGACTGTTGGAAAGCGAACACTCTCCCCAGAGTGCCTCAGAGGTGGCCTTTCAGCTTCAAGGACACATTTTTAAATTTAGCAAAACCCTCCATTATATGGTAGAAAAAGCTGAAGTTCTGACTGCTTAGAATGGCCTATACTTTCTTTTATTTAGGGATGTATAGAATTGTTAAGCATAATCACAAAATTAAGCTATTATTAAAATGCAAAAATTGAATTTTGGTGTTGCTCCAAGTCACTGAGCTTTCACCAGCATTTCGCACAGCAAGGCGGATGCAGCTGACTAAACACCACCTCACTGGTCTACACGGCCCCTCTGCACATGAATAAATCTTACTAGTAAATGCAAGCAAAATTAAAGGCACTTTTTCAATGACAGCCCGAGAAGCTAAGGAAATAATAAGTGTGGTTATTACAAAACCACAGAGGAATCATAAAAATCAAACCTCCAAATACTGTAAAGGGGAATGAGTTTTTTGAGGAGATAGTAAGCTTTTTGAAAGACTGTTATCTTTTCCCTTTTGTTAAAGTTTTAGACCCAAACACTGTAAACCGGTATCTATGCAAATGGCACAGCATACGTGTTACCTTCTCAAAGAAACCATTTCTAATTGTTTCCATTTTTTTTGGAAAGTAACTTTTCCCACTCTGTACTCCCAAAGCACGTAGTCCTCTGTAACCACATTTTTTTTTTTGTTGTTGTTGAGACACAGTCTTGCTCTGTCGCCCAGGCTGGAGTGCAGTGGCATGACCTCGGCTCACTGCAAGCTCCGCCTCCCGGGTTCACACCATTCTCCTGCCTCAGCCTCCTGCGTAGCTGGGACTACAGGCGCTCGCCATCACACCCGGCTAATTTTTTGTATTTTTAGTAGACACGGGGTTTCACCGTGTCAGCCAGGATGGTCTCGATCTCCTGACCCTGTGATCTGCCAGCCTCGGCCTCCCAAAGTGCTGGGATTACAGGCGTGAGCCACTGTGCCCGGCCTGTAACCACAGTTTCTAATGGCGTATCTTATTCCTAAGACTGAAATATTTAGGGTTGGGGTGCCTACTTTCCGATGATCTAGCGCAAGAGGAGGCTGTGTCTGTGCACATGTGTGTGTGCACACAGGGGAGGGAGGGAGATAGACAGAGTGGGTGTGCCGAGTTGTTAACAGTTGCTGGATCCAGACAGAGGAATACCCAAGTGTTCATTGCTCTGTACTTTCAACTTTTCTGTTTGAAAGTTTCCGAAAGAAAATAATTTTGAAGTGAAAAAACAAACAGAAGGGGCTCAATCAGTGCTTGTCCAATAAAGTAAAAAACTGTTGTTTTTTGGTTTTGGTTTTGGCTACTAAGTGACCATCTAGTGGTTGAGTAAGAGGACTACGGAAACTTCTTATCCAATAAGTGTTTAAGCTTCCACCTCCAGGCACTGTGGTAGGTGCTGCAGATGAAGTGATGAACAGGCCTCTGTCCTGACCCTACCGACCCTTGGCCAATGTGGAGCAGATGACACCACTGGAGATGCCATAAGGCATTTGGATGGGAGGTGAGGAGGAGCTGTGTAAGGAAGGAGAGGAACATCCATCTTTTCTTGGAGGAGGAGGAAGGGGGAACCAAGGAGCACTCAAAGATCACATCACAACCAGTAAATATTTGTGTAATAAACGAACAAAGTATATGCAAGTTGAATGATGTCTTGAAGCACCCGGCTGAATCTGTCCACGTGTGGGGACAGGGTGAAACAATCCAAGCAAAAACAGTAGGGACGACAACCTTCTCCTCCCACCCGCTGCTCTCCAAGCTCCATTTCAGGACTCGCAGCACGCAGGGGACTGATGTAGAAAAATACCCGGAGGTCTTTATGATGACTTTTGATTCCCTGCCCAATGGTTTGCTGAAGATGAGTCCATGGGATCTGTCAAAATGGAAAATCTCTCTTTACACCAGCAGTGGACTGCACCAGAAGTCTTCAGGAGGGTCTGATTTCTTCTCAGCAGCTCTTTGGGGTTGCTGAGTTTCCTCTGCTACTTGGTTCCTTTGCTTCGCATGCTGATGGCCCCAGCGTTGACTCCTGGCTTGGTTGGATGGGTCAGTCTGCACCGCCCTCCCTCTCCAAGGCTGTGGTGGTGGAGCTGTTTGCCAACTATGGCTGCTCACCCCATAGGGAATTCTCTTCCGATGGCTTTGCAAATCAGGCTTCAAGTTGCAGACAGTGGAGAGGCCCATGAAGTCCCCATGAAGCTCCTTTTGTGCACCCCAGGGGGGTCACATAATTAAAAAGTGACTAAGGTATGACCTTTTGGGAACCAATGGTGGGATTCATCACCAAGAGGGTCAATTTGATAATCAGAGGGGAACTCTGAAATCCAAGTTCATGGCATCTCCTCTCCATTTTCCAGAAAATAACCGCAGATGCTACTGACAGCTCAGAGAGAGAAACACATCTGTGGAAATGGCTGGGCCTTTCTCTTTAAAATGGAGTGTTTCTTAAAAAACAAAAAGCTGAGCGAGAGCCCACTGTACACACTTCATTTCTTTCCTATATGGCTTTTTGTTAGCTCAGGAATATATTTTTCTTCTCAATATTATTTCCTATAACTATATTTTGACTATTGCAGCCAAAGAAGGATTAGTTTACATCATGATTATAAGCATCGCAGAATATAGGAAAACATATATATAAATTGCAAAAAGGTCCACTCTTCATGATTTTTTTTTTCTTTTTTGAGACTGAGTTTCACTCTTATTGCTCAGGCTAGAGTACAAGGATGTAATCTCAGGTCACTGCACCCTCCACCTACTGGGTTCAAGCGATTCTCCTGCCTCAGCCTCCGAGTAGCTGGGATTACAGGCATGCGCCATCACACCTGGCTAATTTTGTATTTTTAGTAGAGACGGGGTTTCACCATGTTGGCCAGGCTGGTCTGGAACTCCCAACCTCAGGTGATCCACCCGCCTTGGCCTCCCAAAGTGCTGGGATTACAGGCGTGAGCCACTGCGCCCGGCCTCTTCATGATTTTATGTTATTCCAAGCAACTTATTTTCACATGGATTATTTGCAAGTGGGTAAGCCATTATTCGTGTGCATTTTGCATGGGCAAAGCCCTTCTATCTCTTTCTTAAAAAGAACATTAAGGCTATGTGTAAGAATGAAATGTTAGGATCAATGATTTTCTCAACCAACATCAAACAATAGATGAACTTGATCAGCATGGTTCACAAAAGGTGATGCTCCTCAGCCAATCTCTAAAAGAACCAGTCGCATGTTTCAAACAGCACCAGAGCACCACAGAGCACGATGGGCATGCCAGACCCCCTCACTGCCAACCATCCTGGCCCAGGACAACGATGGCAGCAATGATGATGACAATGAAAGATGTTGTTGAAGACGATGCTGGCCATCATCTGAGGGCCCCATAGAAACCAGATACTTCCGGCATATTTTTCAATACAGTCTCTCCATTCCTTACGATATCCCTGCAAAGGTGTCCTTATGCAGGGGAGGCTACTGAGGCAGAGCCACTCTGGTCACAGAGCTAGAGACCCCCCAGGAGTCTAGCTGCGGTCAGCCTGAACCCCGCGTGCTGTTCCTCCCCATCCACTACGCTGCAGGAGAGGTCCTCAAGCCTGCCTCTGGGAGGCCCAAGTGAGTCGTGCTCCTCTCTTCCCTCCCCTTCAAGGCCAGCCTTTCTGTATTAAAGTGAAATTTAACGCCACAGATATTTACCCTAAGAACTCTCTTGGTGTGGGCTATTGTGAAGGGTGTTGCAGGAAGATGTAAGGAAAAGGAAAGCCACGTTTATCTCTGGTTAACCTCGTGGCTGCAAGTTGCGTGGGAAGGTGCCGCGCCGTTTTATTAGAAAGGCATATACATGATGCTGTTTCTTAAACAGAATCACGATGTTCCCATCAAGGGTTGAAATGAACCTTTCACCATCAATGTCCACGAATTCACGATTTCCCACAGCTTTTTCTTTTTCCTTCCACATCTCTATGTGTTTCTTTCCCAGTGAGGTCTTCGAATTAAACAAAAAATGAGGTCACCCTTCCCACCGAAGCAACGTACTGGAGTATAAAATGCAAGACACGGCTCTGCGGACCAATGACTTCTGGTACACTGTCTCCAACTCTGTGACCCACACAAGTGCCGTCTCTCCACGACCCTGGGTCTTTGTGTATAGGAAGGTGCAGCTGCCCCACAGTGCAGATGTGCAGACAAACCTCCAGGGCCTGTGAACCCCTAAACTTGCATGCACGTGTTTGGTAAGTACATCATGTATACTTATGGTGTGGAGAGGCCCATACTTTTCCCCAAATTCTCCAAGAGAACTATGGCCAATAAGAGCTAAGTATCGGCTGGGCACAGTGGCTCATGCCTGTAATCCTAAGCACTTTGGGAGGCTAAGGCGGGTGGATCACTTGAGGTCAAGAGTTCGAGACCAGCCTAATCAACATGGTGAAATCCCGTCTCTACTAAAAACACAAAATCAGCCAGATGTGGTGGTGCACACCTGTAATCCCAGCTACTTGGGAAGCTGAAGCAAGAGAATCGCTTGAACCTGGGAGGCGGAGGTTGCAGTGAGCTGAGATGGCGCCATTACACTCCAGTCTGGGCAAGAAGAGCAAAACTCCGTCCCAAAGAAAAAAAAAAAGAGGTAAGTATCGATGGACTCAGATATCTCTATCTTCAAAATTATTTGATTCTACAAAATAATGAAAGCATGTCTATGATTTCACAGAAAGCTAAAGATGTCATCCCTGCCCCTCCCACCCACATATCCTTGTTATGTCATGACACGTCCAGGCTCACGGATCTCTGCTTACTTTGGCCATTCCTGGATCTATCTACGGTTTCCTCCCCCTGCCTCAAGCCCAGACATAGGTTTTCCGCTCTGCTATGTTGAAGCTGAGATAGCTATTTCAAAAAGAGATACTCCACACCAGGAAAGGAAAATGCCAAGGCAGGGAACAAAGGTCTAGACATCTTGAATAGGAACAGTTGGGAATGGACCCGGGGACAGCATAGTTAAGCCTGGGCACTGTGAAAAGAAATGTCCCACTCCAAGGTGAGGTGGGTAGGAATCTGGCAGGTCTAAAGCACAGGCTGGGAGGGCTCCAATCGCCATGTCAAGTGGCCTCCTCCGGCTTCCGGTCCACCTCTGCCCTACCCCTGCGGCTCCTTCTCAACAAGCTGCTCTAACTGCTGCGGGGCACCCCTGGGGAGCAGACAGGAATTCAGTTGGAGCCCCACAGTTTAGAGAGAACCAGGGGACTTTCAGGGACACACAGAGGATGATTACAAACTAAGAAGTAGCAAAGCAAGTGACAGCCCAGCCTACGGCTTCTATTGTTCTCTGCTAAAAGCCACTTGTCCCAAGAACCCCTCCCCTCTCAGCCCTGTAGGAAGGGCAAGATGAAAGGCTCCTTTTACTGAGCCATCAGGAGCCTCCACAAAAGATGCATCACTAATTCCAGAAGACAGGAGCTCTCCCAGGACACCAGATCCTTCTCAACTTTGTCAAGAGTCCCTCAGCTGCCTCTTATACTCACTTCTCTCTCTCCTAGTTTTCCTTTGCACTGGGGATGGCCAGGTGTTAGAGGTGATCTGACCCTGTGACAGAACCTGCTTCACCAGGTCCTGTATCCAGAAATCTCAACTTTTCTGCCCATGCTGCTGCCAAACATATTATTCATAGCTCAAGACAAGCCATCTACCTGCAGCCTAGCATTTCACTCGTTGCAGTTGCCCTCTAGCCCTACCCAGTGAAAAGGAACATTAATCTAGGAATGTTTTCCTGTTGTACTACAAGTTGATGTCAATCATCCACATGGCTCCCAACACTGTTCATTAAGCAGGATGTACCTGCCCATATGCAAATATCAAGCCCCATTAAACATGCAGGAAGTAACCTTTACTCTCTTAGTCAGGCACCTTGTTGCAAGAGAGAAACTCAAACACAAGTCTGAAGACCACTGAGAACCTTTACATTTTCACCAATTCTTCCATGGTAGGGCTGCACAAAGTGCTTATTATCACACCAGTATTTCATAAGATGTGTCATGACGTAGTAAGGCCAAGAGTAAAGATAAGTAGGAGGAAGTAATGAAGGAATGTTCTTGCTTTCAAGCCTTACATTAAAAGAAAAAAAAAAGGCTTTTAGAGGTTAAAAGTTTAATTACTAGTGGAAGAATAACTTGGTATAATGTGTGTAGGGCAACAGGGAGTATCCACCAAAATTTGAATTGTACATTTTTTGAACCAGCAGCCCAGCAATTCAGCATTTAGGAATTTATTTGACTGACTTACTCTCAAGTGTGCAAAGGCACAGGCAGCCATACAGAGCTAATGATCACTGATCACTCACTGTGTCCCAGGCATTATTCTGGGTATCATATGCACTGGCTATTTTATTCTACATACCCATCATATATTATTAATATTCCCATTTTACAGAGGGGAAACCTGCAGACATGAGAGATAAAGCAACTTGCTCAGAGTCGACGAACTGGCAACTGCTGGAGCCAAGATTCAAATCCAGGCAGTCAAAGGATATTCACTGCAGCTTTGTTTTAAAAAGGCAAAACACGGCATGTTTTTTACTTAAATGCCCATCAACTGGGCTCTGCTTAAATAAATTTTGGCACATCCACACAACGAAGCACTACTGAACAATTGCAAAATAAGTTATGTCTCTGTGCTGATGGTGAAAGAGGTCCAAGATCTATACTGTTAATGAAAAAAGCAAGTCTCAGAACTGTAGGATGATATAATGTAGGGCAGAGATACCTCAAAAGCAGTTCTTAAACGACACAACGAGACTTCAAAAGCGGTTACATCTGCAAAATGAACCTATAGCATGGGAAAAGAAACTTAAAAATAACTGTGCCTGGCTGGGCGCGGTGGCTCTCACCTGTAATCCCAGCACTTTGGGAGGCCGAGGTGGGCGGATCGCCTGAGGTCAGGAGTTCAAGACCAGTCTGGCCAACATGGCAAAACCCCATCTCTACTAAAAAACACAAAAAATTAGCTGGGTGTGGTGGTGAGTGCCTGTAATCCCAGCTACTTGGGAGGCTGAGGCAGGAGAATTGCTTGACCCCAGGAGGCAGAAGTTGCAGTGAGCTGAGATCACGCCACGCAGCCTAGGCAACACAGCAAGATGCCGTCTCGGAAAAAAAATAATTGTGCCCTTCCATCTGTTTGAATTTTCTATCAAGTATTATTTTTATTTTGTAGAGGCAGCGTCTATGTTGCCCAGGAAGAGTCTCGCTGTGTTGGCCAGGCTGGCCTAAAACTCCTGGGCTCAAGCAATCCTCTGGCCACGGCCTCTCAAAGTGCTGGGATTCCATGTGTGAGCCACCATACCAGGATCTATTTTTAATTTTTAAAAGAGTTTTTATAAAAAATATTACAAGTTTATCAATGAAACCAGAGACAGAGAGAGGACAGAATCATGGGCTTTGTATTACAAATATTTTGGCTGGAGGAGAAGGGCAATGCCCTATAAAATAACATGACCAAAATCACCCCACATCTATGTGTGGATGATTTAGAACTAATACCAGGCTACTGATTAAATGAGGTTCTTGATTCCCATGAAAATGACAAAAAGTAAACTGTCTTCGAATTCCTTCTATAGCACATACAAAACCATCAGAGCAATTTAAATACTTGATTCAATGCACTCTTTCCTACTCAACTCTAGGTTGATGGGCTGAGAGGAGAGAAAGCAACAAATGCTCCAGTGAGTAAGGTAAGACAAGGGAAGGAAGGAGTTGAGCCCCACACAGTGCCTGCCAGGGACCGTCCTGGTCCATGCCTGCTGTCTGATCACATGATGTACTACACAACCACCCAACCCAGAGGAGCACACCTAATCCTGGGTAAAGCAAAATTGCTACATAATTCAGAAAGATAATACTGCACAAGAAATCAGTTTTAAAAGTCAAAGAAGAGGAAGGCACAGTTCTCAAAACCCCTGCTCAGGCATTTACGGACACATACTAGTAATTAAAACAGTCAGCCAGGTGCAGTGGCTCACACCTGTAATCCCAGCACTTTGGGAGGCTGAGGGGGGCGGATCACGAGGTCAGGAGATTGAGACCATCCTGGCTAACACAGTGAAACCCCGTCTCTACTAAAAATATAAAAAAAATTAGCCAGGTGTGGTGACGGGCACCTGTAGTCCCAGCTACTTGGGAGGCTGAGGCAGGAGAATGGCATAAACACGGGAGGTGGAGCTTGCAGTGAGCCGAGATGGCACCACTACACTCCAGCCTGGGCGACAGAGCGAGACTCCGTCTCAAAAAAAAAAAAGTCATTTAAGGTGTTAGAAGAACCAGAGAAGGGAGTCATTGTCAAATGCAAATATTTAAAGAAACGTACTTGTACAACTTGGAATGGTTCCCTCAAGAAAGAATAAAAATTTAGAAAACATGATATGAAAATATAAGAAAACGTTTTATTCTAAAAATGAGCAAATCTTCAAAAATCAGATAATTTTTATCCACAGCTTTTCATATTTGTAATTCTCTTAGGAAATGTGCGAGAAAATCCCTGGTTTTAATGAGTTTCCAAAGCCCTGTTGCAAGACAAATCACTACTCCATAAAACAGGTTTGCCACTGAAAAAGTGATATAATTGGAGGTTTTATTCCTGATCAAGCCTTCAAAGTCAAGTAAACTATAATCAGGACCAGCAGTACATCAAAAGGTCACACTCCACTATAGCTCTCTGTCATCATTACAGCAGAAAATTATACTCTTGGCCCTAAAGTGCGGGCAGAAGTTTGTTCGTTCATATTTAATACATTTTCACTGAGCATTCCGTGTGTCAAGCATATATATATATTCTACATATATGAAATGTCATAGTGCTAGGTGCCCCATTAAATACACAAATAACTCATAAAAAATAGGAAAGTGCAATGGAGTCCTAGCATACCTAAATATATTTTAACTATAACATTAATGGCTTCATCAAAAACAATTTTTTTTTTTTTGAGACAGAGTCTTGTTCTTTCACCCAGGCTGGAATGAAGTGGCACCATCTCGGCTCACTACAACCTCTGCCTCCCAGGTTCAAGCTATTCTGCCTCAGCCTCCCAAGTGGCTGGGATTACAGGCGTACATCACCACACCCGGCTAATTTTTGTATTTTTAGTAGAGATGGGGTTTCACCATGTTGTCCTAGCTGGTTTTGAACTCCTGACCTCAAGTGATCCACCCACTTCGGCCTCCTAGACAATTTTCTTAGAGTTTGACAGGATTTTCCATGATGATCTGAGTGGATCTTGCTCTTTTAAAAGTACTCCAAGAAAGTTGAAACTATCGCAATTTATCTTAATAAACTTCTTCGCAGTAAGTACAGAAAGGCATCATTCCACTGACCTAGAATAACTCTCAGAGCCTTTGTTAAACAGAAACAGATGGTTTTATCATGACTTCTGAGGGTTGTGACGACAATGATCAGAACAGTGTTTCTCCCACACAAAAGCATTACTAATCAAACACATACTACTTTTTGCCCATTGACTTAGCCAAAAAAAAAAATAGGCTTTTCCCCAGTAACTTTATGCTTTATGCAGGCAAAAACACAAGCAAACAGAAAGTCTATACATTGTTGATGACACTGAAATTAGTACCATGCCTTTGGAAAGCAACTTGGAAACATCTGTCGAGAATCATAAAAAATTCACCACTTAGAAAAATAATATGAACAACTTACAAATACTACCCTTAAGAAATAACTAGAAATTAAAAGAAAAAGAAAAGCCAAATACACAAAGTTATTCATTACAGGTTATTCACAACAGCAGTAAATTAGAATATATGTAGTATAGGAGAGAAATGTGTGAATTTTAAAAATTTTGAAAATTACAAAATTACTCTGTTAGGATATAATGCTCAATGAAGAGAACCAGATACAAAAAAACTAAGTACACAGTTACGTATAATGTGGAAATAAAATAATGAAAGAAAATACACCATCATAACGCAATTAGGGGTGGGATTATTATGTGTTAGGGGTGGATTCTTGCAGAATTTCTCAGCCTTGGCACTACTGGCATTTTGGGCTGGATCACTCTTTCTTGTTGGTGGTAATGGGGGGGTGTCTGTCCAGTACATACAGGATGTTGAGCAGCATCCCTAACCTCTACCCACTAGACGCCAGTAGCAGCCCTCCAGCCCCAGTATAACAATAAAAAATGTCTCCAGACACTGTCAGGTGTCTCCTGGGAAGCAAAATCATCCCTGATTGAGAACCACTATGTTTAAGTTACTTCTTTTGTCTACTCCCTATTTTTTCTGTCTTATTATTACACATATTTTTATAAAAATAAAAATAAATGGCAGCTGGGCGCAGTGGCCTGCTGTAATCCCAGCACTTTGGGAGGCTGAGGCAGGCAAATCACTTGAGGTCAGGAGTTCAAGACCAGCCTGGCTGACATGGTGAAACCCCATCTCTACTAAAAATACAAATATCAGCCGGGCATGGTGGCACGCGCCTGTAGTCCCGGCTACTCGGGAGACTGAGGCAGGAGAATCGCTTAAGCCTGGGAGGTGAAGTTGCAGTGAGCTGAGATTGTGCCACTGCACTCCAGCCTGGGCAACAGAGTGAGACTCTGTCTAAATAAATAAATAATAGCTGAAGCCAATATTTAATGACTATCTCTTTACTCAAAACTAAAAGCATTTCTCTTCAGTGCATTGCCCCCGAGTAGAGATCACAAGACTAGCAGGTCTGTCTCTTCCACAATGTGGAAGACCAGCCCTAGGGTCACTCTGAAGGCCAAGGTTTGGCAGGACACCAGGTTTTCTCCACCAAAGCAGCTCCCCCAGGATAACCTTCCTTGCCTTGCACCGCTCCATCTGTGCAAAGTTAATCCACATCTAAAAGTTTCCCATAATGGTGACAAACAGAGGAAGACATCACCATCTCTCTCACAACATTTAGTATTTTGCTGCCATGGTTTTGGAGCACCTTATTCTCCACTGAGAAACATCCAACACATCATTGTATTACCAGCCTCCGTTTCAAATGGAGTTTCGAATCCTTTCCTAATTACTACAGAGCTCCACAAACAAGAGTGAAATCCTATTTTGACTGGCCACATGCTGTTGCTTTGGAAACAACAGGTCAGAGAGAAATCACAGAATGTCTAAAAAGTGATGGTAAAAGAAGCTAAACTATTTCTTAGAAGCCAGCAAGCAGGGCAGTAAAATTGAAAACCTGGAAGACAGTGGGGATGGTCTATTAAATTTTAGCTTTATGTGTTAGCAAATCCACATCTATTTTGCTGCTCCATGCTACATAAGTACATTCATAGGCAAATCTGACTCCTTGTAGAATAGAGCAAGATATGGAATGAAGTCCAAACTGGCCTCAAGCTACCTTTACAACCTTGATTGTCCAATCCTTCTCCTCCTCTCAAATTTAAACTTCATGGCCCTCCCTCTCATGCTGATGCCCAGTGGTCATTTCATTTCTACCTGGATGTCCATGGGGTTGTCATCCTGAACCTTCCACCAGGTGGATTTAGTCCTTCCACAGGTCATCCATCCAAACAAACCGTCTTTGCTCCTTGAACTCCAAGCTAGAAAAACTGACTCATAATTGGCCTAAAGCTATCTTCAAAATGCTCCATGAGTTTCCCTTTCAAATTCAGAACTTTTCTCCTGTTTGGTCTGGGAGAGAAAGTAGACACCTGGCCAGGCACAGTGGCTCACACTTGTAATCCCAGCACTTTGGGAGGCCGAGGCAGGGGGACTGCTTGAGGCCAAGAGTTTGAGACCAGCCCAGCCAACATAGCGAGACCCCAGCTCTACAAAAAAAATATAAAACTTAGCTGGGCGTGGTGGCTTGCACCTGTAGTCCCTGCTATTCTGGAGGCTGAAGCAAGAGGATCTCTTGAGCCCAGGAGTTCAAGGCTACAGTGAGCTATGATGGTGCCACTGTACTCTAGCGTGAGTGACAGAAAGAGACCCTGTCTCCAAAAAAAAAAAAAGAAAAATAAAAAATAAAAATACCTTAGATTCTTTATAAGGAACAAATGTAAATCTTATATGAGACTGTATTTTTGCCCATTTGGTTTTGCTTTTTATTTTGGGTGCATTCACAGAAGATCTAGCATCATTTCATTGGTTAAACTATCGTGATTCAGGACAAGTAACACACCAAAACACTCTGCTACCCAGTTCTACAATTGCTTTTCTGAATTTAAGTAATTACAATTAGATGAAAAATATGTTATAAAACAATAAAAACATTATTAGACTTAAGTTATTCATGAGAACTGTTTATTATTCCTTTACTGCAGGCAAAAATCATAATTAGCATATATTTATACAATAATTCAAAAATATAGCAGTATTTAACATTAAGTGAGAAGTACTGATTATGCTGGTGGCTAAAATGTACTGGAAATAGCAGGATAAATAAATGGAATACTTAATAACAGTAAGCAGTTTATAAGCATTTACTAAGTGGCAGGTTTATTCCAACCCTTTTAATAAACTTTTCTAATCCTCACAAGAACCCCATGAGGTATCTAATATTATTTTATTCATTTTTGAAAAGGGAATTATTAGGAACCTGAGGAGATACATCACTTACTCCCTGAGTAAAACTACAGAAATTGTACCTACACATCCGAACATATGTATGTATGGGCAGACAATCAAGTTGCATACTTTCAAGTGTTTCTCATAAGGTTGAATACAACACTTAAAAAAAAAAAAACCCTATGAAGCAGCCCACATGAATGCTTTCTTATTTTTGCTTATGTGCTTCTCAAATTGCTCACTGGGGGTAATGTCAAAACACTTCCTAAATTGGATCTCGTCTTAGTAGTCAGCTCAATTTCAGAGCAAAATTAATTTGAGATTGAGGCATTTATTTATTCCCTTAAAAAACTAAACCTATAATTTTAGCATCCTGTGACTAGTAATTGACAGGACAGAGCTGAGTATCACAGTCCATTTTAGAAAAATCAAGGCTATTTTTTTTTTAGCTTTAT
This sequence comes from Homo sapiens, assembly GCF_000001405.40. Taxonomy (NCBI): domain Eukaryota; kingdom Metazoa; phylum Chordata; class Mammalia; order Primates; family Hominidae; genus Homo; species Homo sapiens. The sequence continues at coordinate 66,379,932 of NC_000017.11, read as the reverse complement.
ACTTCAATATCCTTGACTAAAGATCACTTTTAATAGAAATTAGACCTCAAAAATTAACTCGAAAAGATCACAGACCTAAGTGTAGTTGCTAACACTTTAAAATTCTTGGAACAAAGGAATATCCATGACCTTAGATTTGGCAATGGTTTCTTGGCTATGACGCCAAAAGCATAAGTGACCGACCTCCCAAAAAAAGACAAACTGGACTTCCTCAAAATTGAAGTTAGCTTTAACCAATGAAATGCTGCTAAGTCTTTCATGAATGATACCAACAATAAGAAAATCCAAAACCGAACAGGCAAAAAGTGCAGCCTGGTATAAAATTTACATTTGTTCCTTACAAAATTACAATTAGTGAAGCTTCAAAGGGCATCACTAAAAGACAACTCACAGAATAGGAGAAAATTATCTGCAAATCCTGTACCTGATAAAGGGATTCATGTTTAGAATATATAAATAACTCTTCCAACTCAACAATAAAAAGACAACCCAATTAAACAATGGGCAAAGAATATGAAGAAACATTTCTCCAAAACACATATGGCTGATAAGCACATGAAAAGATGCTCAGCATCATTGGTCTTACCAGGCTGACTAAATAAAAAGGATGAACAATAAATGTTGGTGAAGATGTGGAGAAACATGAACTCTACCATACTGCTGGTAGGATTGTAAAATGGGGCCGCTTCTTTGGAAAACAGCTTGGCAATTCCTTAAAATGTTAACCACAGAATTAACATATGATCCAGCAATTTCAGTCCTAGGTATATACCCGAGAGGAATGAACACACACGTCCACAAAAAAACTCATGCACAACTGAATGTTCACAGCAGCACTGTTCATAATAGTCAAAGTATAAACAACTCAACTGTCTACCAACTGATAAATAAAATCAATTACTATTAAGCCATAAAAAGGGGTGAAGTACTGATTCATTCTGCAGTATAAATGAACCTTAAAAATGTAATGCTAAGTGAAAGAAGCCAGACAGTAAAAGCCACATATTATATCATTACTTTTTTTTTTTTTTTGAGATGGAGTCTCGCTCTGTCGCTTAGGTTGGAGTGTAGTGGTGTGATCTTGGCTCACTGCAACCTCTGCCTCCTGAGTTCAAGCATTTCTCCTGCCTCACCCTCCCAAGTAGCTGGGATTACAGCCATGTGCCACCACGCCAGGCTAATTTTTGTATTTTTAGTAGAGACCGGGTTTCACACCATGTTGGACAGGACAGTCTTGAACTCCTGGCCTCAATGATTTGCCCGCCTTGGTCTCCCAAAGTGCTAGGATTACAGGCGTGAGACTTTACGCCCAGCCTGCTCAATTACATTTATATGAAGTGTACAAACTAGGCAAATTCAAAGAGACAGAAAGTAGATTCATGGTTGCCAGGGGCTACAGAGAGGGAGAATAGACAGTGATTGCTAAGGGGTCTGGGGTTTCTTTCTGGAGTGACAAAAATGTTCCAAAGTAGATGGTATTAATAGTCATTCAATTCCGTGAATACTAAAAAACCACCAAAATGGTGAATTTTATGATACATGAATCATACCTCCATATATCCCTTATATTTTAAATGGCATATGTGATAGAGGGAAAAAAATCAGAAGAACATTTTTTTGATACAGAGTCTCGCTCTGTCGCCCAGGCTGGAGTGTAGTGGCCCAATCTCAGCTCACTGCCTTCCAGGTTCAAGCGATTCTCCTGCCTCAGCCTCCTGAGTAGCTGAGACTACAGGCACACGCCACCACAGCCAGCTAATTTTTGTATTTTTAGTAGAGACAGGGTTTTGCCATGTTGCCCAGGCTGGTCTCGAACTCCTCACCTCAGGTGATCCACCCACTTGGGCCTCCCAAAGTGCTGGGATTACAGGCGTAAGCCACCACACCCAGCCTAGAAGAACCTTTATATTAACATGTGGGGTACAATATAATGTGCCCATCAATGGTTCTTAACTTTCCCTTTTATCCATTCACAGTAAACCATGATGAACAGTAATGACAATAATAAGCAGCAGGCCAGGGATAGGGGCTCATGCCTAATCCCAGTACTTTGGGAGGTTGAAGGGGGAGGATCACTTGAGGCCAGGAGTTCAAGACCAGCCTGGGCAATGTAGTGAGAATCTGTCTCTATTAAAAGAAAAAAATTAATTAGCAACCTGCAGCCTGGGAGACAGAGTGAGGTCCTGCCTCAAAAAAAAAAAAAAAAAAAAATATATATATATATATATATAAAACATAGACTTTATATATATATAATAGACATTTTATATATATAATATAGACATTATATATATAATATAGACATATATATAATATAGACATTATATATATAAAATATAGACATATATGTAATATAGATATTATATATGTAATATAGGCATTATATATACATAATATAGGCATTATATATATACATATATACGTATATACATGTATACATGTATATATATACACGTATATCTATATATATAAAAGCAGCTGTGTACCTAGGCTCTGCATTAGCTCAGCCCCAGATAGACCTGGGACAAGTAAATTCCTGTTTCTTGGTTTTCTGAGGTGGCCAAGAGAGTAAGGGGATTGACAACGCTCTAAAATCCTGAGGCTTTGGGGCCTGACACAGCGACTCATGCCTGTAATCCCAGCACTTTGGAAGGCTGAGGCAGGAGGATCACCTGAGGTCAAGAGTTCGAGCCCAGCCTGGCCAACATGGCAAAACCCCATCTCTACTAAAAATACAAAATTAGCTGGGCGTGGTGGCACACACCTGTAATTCCAGCTACTTGGGAGGCTGAGGCAGGAAAATCGCTTGAACCTGGAAGGCAGAGGTTGCAGTGAGCTGAGATCATGCCATTGCATTCCAGCCTGGGCGACAAGAGTGAAACTCCATCTCAAATAAATAAATAAATAAATAAATAAATCCGGAGGCTTTGGGATTTTGCAGGGGACTGAACTCAAGCTCTGAGGTGGTTTGGTGCCACAGTTTCCAGCATCTTCTCTGCCTCAGTCATGCAGGGCTTCTCCACCACTTGAAACCAGCAGAGAGGAGGCCTTGACTTGCCTTTCCAGGGTGTGTACTCACAGGTCCACACAACAAGGAGCTATGCAGAAGCCACAACCTGAAGAAAGGACTTACATGGGGACCCCCACCCATCCTCACCCCCTCTCCCAGATGCCGATGCCCAGGACGGCTCCCCAGATATGCATATCCTGAACTGGTACATGAAGTCTAGTGCTCCAACCCTCGGGCCAGGGGATGAGAGCTGGGGTGGAGGGGTCCTCACCCAGCAGACGACCTATTCAATTTTTTTTTTTTTGAGACAGAGTCTCGCTCTGTCACCCAGGCTGAAGTGCAGTGGCATGATCTCGGCTCACTGCAGCCTCTGTGCAGTCTCTGCCTCCCAGGTTCAAGCGATTCTCCTGCCTCAGCCTCCCAAGTAGCTGGACTTACAGGCGCCCACCACCATGCCCAGATAATTTTTGTAGTTTTAGAAGAGATGGGGTTTTACCATGTTGGCCAGCCCGGTCTTGAACTCCTGACCTCAGGTGATCCACCCGCCTTGGTCTCCCAAAGTGCTGGGATTACAGGCGTGAGCCACCGCGCCAGGCCAGACCACCTGTTCTTTTACTACCACCTTCCACTGCCTGTGCCAGCCTCGCCCATAGCAGTTAGCTTGTCTCTGAACCTCTCCTACTGTGCCAGGGGGCCTTCTCAAACATGACTAGGTATCAGTCAGGGGAGGGTGGTTAAACACTGATTCCTGAAGATTCTGATGCAGCCGGCTTCAGCAGGGCCCAGGAAACCTAGGAAACAGTGTTTCCATCAGGCTGAAGCTTCCTGCCCAGGGACTACACTCCAAGGAGAGCTGGTATGTGGCTCTGTACCCAGCACACAGAAGGAAGTCAATAAATATATACTGAATAAACAATGAAGTCTTTGCTGAGATTGTAAATCATGTTTTGCAAGTGCCCAGCACTTCATTATCCATGACCTCAGTTATCTTCACAGCTCAGCATGTTAGCAAGCAGGTAGCAATATCCCCCTTCACAGTTGTCTGAGGGACCCAGGCTTACGAGGATTAAGCCACATGCCGGGTCCATATGGCTCCTATGGACAGGGCTGGCCAGGAGCTGTGAACCAGAGTGTTTATGAGCCTCTGTATCTTTATATATTTATCTCTTCATTGCATCTCTTTTCCCCCAAATTAACATTTCCTTTGTAGATGACCTGAAGTGTAAAACAAGCCTAAAGCCAACAACTATTTTAAATATTGGCAGAAAAGACACATGCCCTCAAGAACTGCCCCCAGAACTCTAATAACACAAGGCCTGTGAAAGAAACCTGGGGCTTACACAGAACATTTGGAATATGATATGCATGGGATGCTTTTCCCAGAGACTTAAACTGACTTCACCAAGGAGTCACCAGCTACCGGGACAAAATTCAGAGGTAAGGGGATCAGCTAGAAGCACCATCGACTCCACTTCCAACCAAGCAGACCAAGGAAGAATGAAGCATCCATCACTATACAGCCCATGTAGGTATCTGGCTTCAGCCAGCAAGTCCAATGCAAAAGCTGCCTGTTGTACAAACCCGGTACCCTTAAGTCTTCTGAGACCAGGGTTTTTCCGGGTGACAGGCAATAAATATTCATTAACCAGGTGAAGGAACTTCCTTTTCCTCGATCACTTATTACTTACAACTGGACTGATTTCATTTTCAACTGTGTTCATTCTCAAGATCTCCCTCGACGCTTAATCCTCCCAGAACTTCTGCTCACCTGAAATCTTCCACCGAATATACAGGTAAAACTATAAATTCTCCCATTAAGCTATTACCCCCCTCAAGGCTGCATACCATGCAGAAAGGATAAAGATTCAACAGAATAAAGAATGCAACTAAGGCCGGGTGCGGTGTCTCATGCCTGTAATCCCAGCACTTCGAGAGGCCAAGGCGGGCAGATTTCTTGAGGCCAGGAGTTTGAGACCACCCTGGGCAGCATGGTGAAATCCCATCTCTACTAAAAATACAAATAAAAAATTGGCCAGGCATGGTGGCAAGTGCCTGTAGTCCCAGCTACTCGGGAGACTGACACATGAGAACTGCTTGAACCCAGGAAGCAGAGGTTGCAGTGAGCCAAGATCAAGCCACTGTGCTCCAGCCTGGACGACAGAGCAAGACCGTGTCTCAGAAAGAAAAAAAAAAAAAAAAAAAAGAATGCAACTCAGCACCCTGCACTTAGCAGACACTCAGTCAAGTGGCAGTTGTAATTAAGTCATCACATCCCTCCCCTGCAGCTCCCCACAGACCAGGAAGCCTGCTCCCTTTAACAGTGTCGAACAAGACTTGATTGTTTGCTTGCTTGCTTAATTAATTCAGGGGGCTGCGGTGCAAAGGGGAATGGAGGATGATGGAAATCAGATAGCAAGTCTCCACTAGGCTGGGCTGATGCCATGGTGACGCCAGCATGAGGCCCTGTAAGCAGCAGAGGAGTCTGGGGCGACACCCGTGTGACCTTGATAGCACCAAACCCAGAAACAGATATGCGGGCCCTCAACCAACAGTCTCTTAGGAGGCGGAACACCCCAGCGCTCCCCCACCGGGGACTGAAGCCACAGACAGCAGTCCGTGCCACTTAGCACACAGAAGAGCTGGCAAAGCGGGGACACATGGGCTGAGGGAGCTGGGTCAGGCGGGGCGAGCTGGAGGTGCTAGTTGAGGAGGTGGTGGAGGAAGGATTCATGGGAAAGCTCCAGGCGGAAGGAAGGAGCCCTGGATGCAGACCCTGCCCAGGGAGCAAGGGTGTGCTTCAGAGCCCTCCCTCCCTGGCCCATCCTCCCTTGCGGACTCCTCCCTGGCTCATCCCCTTCCAGGGGAGCACTGCCGCCCCCAACATGAGATCCAGGACATGCACCCAGGTGAACAGCTGCCCTCAAACCCCCACTGCAGCAGCAGGGCCCCCACATCCCACTTCTGGAAATAAAGTAGCTGATCACCGGTGCACTGGGCTCCTTATTAACTCTAAGGGCTCCCGGGGTGATAAGTAGGTGCTAAACAAGTGAGGACCATTTAAACTGGCTTCTCTCCTACATCCAAGCCTTGAATACTGAAGATGTTACAAACGCAGAGGTAATCTACCCGATTTTAGGATGAAAGTGATCGTGAAAACAGGAGGGAGGGTTTTAATGGCCGCTTTCCTACAAAGGTTAACTGGTTTAGCATCTCTGTGATTGTCCCTATGTAAATCCCTGAATGGCAAAAGCAATACCAAAATTAACCAACTTTCTACATTTAGGAAGCCATTAGAATTATTTGTTGGTTGACTTAATAACTGGCTGTTGGAAGAAAAAAGAAAATGCAGGGAAGCAGAAAGAAAAATTAATCAAATCACCAAACTCCTACAACTTGAATCGATATCATGAATATTTTGGGGTATTCATACAGGCCCTTTAAACAAAGTGTGTAGCTACTGCCCCAGGTGCAGTAATGCATGACAGTGAAGAAAGTACATGGGCTTTTGGGGAACATTTACAGGCTGTACGACCTTGGACAAGTCACTTACCCTCTCTGGGCCACAAGTCTCTCATCAGAAAATACAGATAATAGTACTTTAAACACACAGGTTTACGGGAGGATTAAATGAGATAATGCGTTCCAAGTGTCCACCACATAGCAAGTACTCAGTAAATACTGGCTGTATTATGATATTTTTTTACAATGTGTTCTTTAACATGCTTGTTCACTTACATAAAAGATGATTATCAAACATCTTTTCATGACAGCAAATACACTACATTTTCATAGTTAATTGTTAGGTATATTTATTATGCATGTGAGCCATAAATCAATCTCTCTCCCTTTGTTCCCCTCTTTTTTGAGAAGGAGTCTCACTCTGTCACCCAGGCTGGAGTGCAGTGGCGCAATCTTGACTCACTGCAACCTCCACCTCCCAGGTTCCAGCAATTCTGCTGGAACTCAGCCTCCCAAGTAGCTGGGATTATAGGTGCCCGCCACCAAGCCCGGCTAATTTTTGTATTTTAGTAGAGGCAGGGTTTTCACCGTGTTGGGCAGGCTGGTCTCGAATTCCTGACCTCAAGTGATCTGCCTGCCTCGGCTTCCCAAAGTACTGGGATTACAGGTGCGAGCCACTGCGCCTGGCCTGTTGCCCTTTTAGATTGCTGCCAGTTTATCCCTTTAAGAGATGGCACTGCAATGAGCATACTGACCCATTCATCATGGCTCCCCCATTCAATTCATTTATTTAGGAAACTCCCCAGAGAAAACTGCTGAAAAAGAATATACTTACATAGTTATGTGGGATTTGGCTTTTAAGAAAATGAGCAAAATTTAAGGATTTCAGGATGTCTCAAAATAAAGAATACACATAACACAAAATACAGTCACAAAGATTAAGCCAAGAATAAAAGTTTCTTAAATTTTGCGTGAGACTATCACCTCTCAGGAAAGTGTTTGTGGATGTATCACTGCTTACATTTAAAAAAAACCTAGTGATTCATCAGTACCGCCCAATTACCTATGAAATCAAAACTGAAATGTTCTCTCAATAAGAAAACTCCGAGTGGGTGTCTCCAATGGTATATGTAATACATGCACATCTTGTAGGTGATTTCAGTTAGACTTCTAATTTTGCCATTGTCAAGGAACTATAAGCTCATGCATCCAAGACGCTGGACTAAAATAGTGTTTCTCCAAGTCTGGTTCACAGACCGCCTGTGTCAGTGCAGATTCCTGGGTCCCATCTAGACCTCCTGAGTCAGGATCTCAGATGCAGAAGACACATTTTTAAATGAAGTCCCCACGAGACTCATATACATGGTAAAATACAGCAGGTACTATCTTCATATCATCCATAAGTAATTACAAACATCCCATGCAACCCCCATCCCTGAAGTTTCCATCCACATTTTAAATCTTTTCAACTTCAGACCCTGGATACAGCGTCTCACTTTTCTACATTTGTTTAGATACAAAGCGCTTCAATTTTTCAGTTCAATTTAACAAAAAATATGAGACGCCTATAATACGCCAGGCATCAAGTAGGGAGTTTCGGAAGACTTGCCTTGTGCCCAAAGAACCACTTTGAAGGTGAAAATCCACCGTCTGGATTTTAGGCAATATTGCCAGATGACAAAGGGTTGGGTCATTCGATGGCACCCTGCCTGCTCTAATGTATCACCTAGTGGCCTTTAAAAAGCAACATATATATTACAGATAAAACAGTCACAGTGTCGCTTTATGCCAGGCCCTATTCTAAGATTTTTACACATAGTAATTGATTTCAATCTTATAGCCATCCAGTGTGGCTAGTGCTCTTATGCTGTTATTATCCCCATGTTACAGATAAAAAAACTGGGAGTTAAATAATTTGCCTGAATCACAAAGTTAGAAGTGGCAGAGCTGAGATGTAAACCCAGGCAGTCTGGGTCCAGAGCTATGCTGTTCATCAACCAGAGCAGACTGTCTCTCTCAGGTTCAAATCTCACCCCCGGTTTCCATTGAGGAAGATCATTTTGAATGAGTCTTATATGTGGATCTGAACTTCAGAATGGTCATTTCACAAACACACAGAAAATGGTGAAAGGCTCTCATGCAGAACAGGTGGTTGAAACAATTCTCTCTTCATTCTGAACTCCTCTCAACCTGATCAGTGACTCCAGGGTAGGGTCAGGCAGTTTTAGAATCAGGAGATGAGAATTCTGGCTGCACTGCTGATGCTAAGTGATTAACTCTAGATTTAACTCTTCATTGGTTTAAAATGTGATATTTTGGCCAAAGATGGGGGAACTTGGAAAGAAAAAACTGCAAAAATACATACATCATATCTTATTTGCTACTCGCATGCTATAATCAGATATAATCCCAAATTTGTTCTCTTTTGTTGGAAATAAACAGGATGTGATTTGTTTCGGAGATTCACTAAGGAGAAATGCTACAGGCAACATGCCCTCTTACAAACCAGCCTGCCCCTGCATCTAGCTTATCTGTATAATACAGCACCTATGAGATTACACTCTGGGTTTGAACCCTAGCTTTGCTGCTTACTCTCTGCTCTCAAGCAACTTAACTTCTCTAGGCATCAATATTCTTCTCTGAAAAACAGAAAAATAGGATGGGCAGTGGTGGATCGCTTGAGTCCAGGAGTTCAAGACCAGCCTGGGCAACATAATGAGACCCCGTCTCTACAAAACATAAAATGTTAGCCGGGCATGGTGGCATGCACCTGTAGTCCCAGCTACTTGGGAGTCTGAGGTGGAAGGATTGCTTGAGCCTGGGAGTTCCAGGTTGCAGTGACCTATGATCACACCACTACACGCATCTTGGGCGACAGAGTGAGACCCTGTCTCAAAAAAAAAAAAAAAAAAAAGAAAAGAAAAGAAAAAAAATAGTATCAAATCTATAGCGCTATTGTGAAGATTAAATAATTATACAAAGTGCTGACCTCACATACTGCACCTGGCAATGCCTCACTAACTGTTAACCACTGTTCGCCATCCCTGTCATTAAAGCTTATCAAAATAGCCAGCTATGGTGGTGTGCACCCGTAGTCCCAGCTACTCCAGAGGCTGAGGCAGGAAAATTGCTTGAACCCGGGAGGCAGAGGTTGCAGTAAGCCGAGATCATGCCACTGCACTCCAGCCTGGGCGACAGAGCAAGACTCCATCTCAAAAAAAAAAAAAAAAAAAAAGTATCAAAATAGCTTTATTTATCGCTTCATTCAATATAATTATGTCTGTGCCACTGTGGAGGTTGAGGGGATGTGGAAGGACTGTCCTTACCGTCAGGAAGGCTTCCATCAAGTACAGGGAACAAGTAGGGCGACCACATGTTTGAGTCTGCCCAGACAATCCTGGTTTATGACTGTTGTCCCAGCTTAATTATTAATGGCTCTCCTCCCTTCACTTTCAAAAGTGTCCTGGTTTAGAGGATAAATATGTTCACCCTAATGATAAGACAACTGAGCTAGAAATACCTGCAGTGCTTGGCAGTACCAAACAGGTCTCCTGGCAGTGATGCAAACAGGCTGCTCGAGTTCTTTGGGGATGGAAAGCTCCATTCTGCATGTGGAGGGAAGGAAGGACACTTGGAGGTAGCAGTGGCAGGGGCTCAACAGAGGCAGAGGACACCTGGGACAGGAATGCAGCCAACTCAGATGGAGGATGGAGAAGCCCAGCACTCAGTGGGCCATCACGCCACCCATCCCCTCTGTTCTCCCAGAAAAGAGTGGACAGAGCCAGATCCAATAGTGAAAACGGGCAGGTGCATTGCTTATTGCTCAGCAATGCCACAGGTTTTACTGGACTAGTTGGGATAGAGATGGAAAATGCTTGGGGATGAAATAAGTACCTCAAGGCATCCAAGTTAAAAAATTTCAAGCTTATTAATCCATCCCAGCACCAACTGCTTTAATCTGATCAACATCTAGCTGAAGTCAGCCTCAGGGAATTTTAATAAGAGGACAGGAAGAGGAGGAATCACCTGCAGAATCACTGATACCCCTCTCACAGGTCCCTCCTCCTCCCCCAGGTCCCTCCTCCTCCCCAGGTGCCACCCTTGCTGTTTTAGGAGGGAATTTTGGAACCAGACAGCAATCTTCACATGATCCTCCCGTGGAAGTACTGGGATATCTTGGACCTCATTAGGCTGGGGTAGTCACCAAAGCTCATAAAAAAGAGGCAAAATCTTGGAGGCTCTGCAATAGCATCATCTGTGATGAAACTCCAGGACTTTACAGGTTTTACCTGGGCCTTCCCTTAGGCAGAGTTTCTGATCAACACAAGCTGAATTATAAGCTGTATTATCTGAATTATGGCTAACACACAGCTCTGGCCTAATGCCTACAAGCCACCCTTTCACAACCACTTGGGAAGAAGGTGACAGAAAAGGACCGATGGAATATTCTAGAATGAGATGCTTGAGAAGAAAGCTCACGGAATCATGGAGTCAACCCCCCTCACGATCTACAGATTACGAAACTAAAAGCTAGAGAGGTTGAGATGTCTCCTGGGTCAGGTAATTTGGGCCAGGCCAGGGAGCAAGACTCAGGCCTCTAGCTAACCCCTTTACTCTAAAACCAACTAAGCTGAGAGGTCAACATGAATTGCAGTACTTTACATTTGTATAAAACTTAATTTGTGAAATTGTGTCCACATCTATCTTCCCATAGGAAGCACCTTTTCTGTCTTTATATTATGAACGAGAAACATGAAATATGCAGGCTAAGAGACCAGGCATGGTGGCTTATGCCTGTAATCTCAGCACTTTGGGAGGCTGGGGTGGGCAGATTACTTGAGCTCAGGAGTTCGAGACCAGCCTGGACAACATAGCGCAATCCCGTCTCTACAAAAAAATACAAAAATTAGCCGGATGTGGTGGTGTATGCCTGTAGTCCCAGCTACTCAGGAGGCTGAGGTGGGAGGATCACTTGAGCCTGGGAGATGGAGGTTGCCTTGAGTCGAGATCGCACCACTGCACTCCAGCCTGGGTGACAGAGACCCTGTCTCCAAAAAAAAAAAAAAAAAAAAAAAAATATATATATATATATATATATACATATACACACACACACACACACACATATATACACACACATATAGATAAACACACACACACACACATATATGTGTGTATATATATAGGCTAAGGGATTTGCTCCAGACCAAAGGTCACTGGAATTGTCAACAATTGAGCCTAGATTTTCAAAATCCCCAATCACCTACAGTAATTTAACTTAAAATGCACAGAATTCTGTACAAGGTAAGAATTGCCAAAATTAACCTTCAATCTCTTACACAGATGTTCTGGTAGAAATGCCACTGAATGGATGGCTGGGATCCCACGGTTGGAGTTCTGAGTTCACAGTATTGACCAATCTGCCAAGTACCTCTCAGAACAGTATGGTGATGTGATGTTACTCATTCATGTTACTCCCTATGAAGAGGAACTGCACCTGTAAGTTATTTTATAAACACAGGGAATTCATTGTAACTGATACCTCTTAAGTGCTTATTTAGGATTAGCATGCAACAGTTTATTGAGCAGCTATTTTGCAGAGGGTCTTTCACCTGTTCACTTTAGGTTTGTGAGCATAGTCTCATAAATTGGTATCCATTTAGCAAATGAGAAGACATAATTAAGTTGAACATTGCCAACTTGCCCAATACCATAAAGCCAGCAAAAACACAGCTCAGATTCAAACCTGGTCTTATGAGGCCAGGAACTAATTGTTTTGACTACAACAGGACAGCTTTTATTTAACCTAAGTAGACATTTAACCAGGAGAGAAAAATAGACCTGATGAGACCATTTTACCCCATTTACTATCAAGACCATCTTTTAGAATGCAACAGTGTAACAGACTCTGAAGGGCTGAGAAGATCATTTAGAAAGGTACAGAAATAGCAGAGTTCCAAACGTCTAAGACTTTACATTTTTAATTCCTTTTAACTACTGTTTTAGGTACAGCAGTGGCTTTTCCTGGATACCTCTCTCACCTCTGTCACTTCTATTTAACAGTCTCTGGCTTCCAAACCATCATTTTTCACCTGTCCTCCCAGCTCTCACTAAGTCTTTTATCCACAGGTGTGACCAGGGGCTTTTTCTTAGCTCAGGTTCCAAGCTGAGGAATTCTTGGCCAAAGGCCTGCGCACTTGTGCTGAACAGTGGGTTTCTTTGTAATTCCTAACATCAACTTCCACAAAGCACACTTTTTGTTTCCATTAAAGAAATCAGATTTTGTGAACTCACCATGGTCCTGTTAGAAACTTATCAAACTCCTAAATTGTTTGCAAATTGAGGCCAGTTATAAATGCCTTGCTTTTGGCACGCTGAAAGCAATGTTTTCAAAAGATTTTACTTTCATCCAATTATCTGAAAACAGAAAGGAGAGGGGAAGAGGGCAACCTGAAAACCTGAAAAGATCATTTTGACATGAAAATTATTGTTACATGGAGACCAACGTGGAGTAAAAACCTCACCTGTTCCTCTCAATGCATGTCACAATTTAGATGATGATTTAATTTAAAATTTGCTCACTATGAAGTGCTTTTTTTAAAAGACTGATTTTGGAATTTTGTGAGTGTGCTTTGTCTCTAACTTAAATCATATTGAGTCAATAATTTCTTCAATCCACAAGAGATACACATAAGATTTACTGGAGTAAAAATGTCTCATCCTTTCTTTTCAAGGAATTCAGCCAACAGAGCAAGCCAGCTACTCACAGTTCACCTATAGCTCGCTCTACCCATTATGCAGCTGGCCTGTGAGTTACTTCTCATTCTCCTTTCTCTTCTAGTTCTGCTAGCTCACCCCTTCAAACTCACTGCTATTATTTAACTTTGACAAATTTTCTACAACTAATTCATCTCCTCAATTCAGCTAATAGGTCAATTAAGATCTCTTCCCAGATTGTGTTTTCTCTGTAGAAAACAAAACTGCCCAATCGCCTTCTAACTTCAGCACCACGCCCTGAAAATAAGACCACAAAGGCAATTTACTTTTAATAAGTTAGTCAGGTGCATATCCCTATGAAAAAGCCTCGCTGGAAAACAGAGTAATTAATAAAAGCCTCAGAAAATGGTGTAAAAAAGTTTGCTTTAAAGCATACTTTCTACCTATAGCAATCTATATTTGTACTTATTAAAGACCTTGTAAGGCTTCTGGATTTTTTTTCCTTTAAGTACTGTAAATTGCATCATGAATAAAACACATAAAAAGATCGCCTGTGTTGACATCTAAAAGGTTATCTATATGATTGTTATCCTTAAGGGTACACACTCTAAAAAGCAGGAAGCTTTTTAGAGCTGATCACATTATGACAATCTGCAGGGATGGTTCCAGTGGCAGATTTACAGTTCTCACAATCTTAAGGATAAAGCAAACTTCAAAAGTACAAAGCATATTGGTCACGAGATGGACACCTAATACAAATGTCTCCATTCACATTTCTCAGACTACTCAGGAGAGACAACAGTTGCCTATTTGAAATGTTTTCTGCATAGAAACAAAAGGTAAATGAGTGCTGCCTTGCTGTCAATGCTCAATTCATAACAACAAAGAAAAACCATGGCTCAGATAACGTTAATTGGTGCATAATAAATCATTTATGTGAGCCTTTGGCATGCGTTTAATACTTCTGCTTAAATAAGAAAGCATACGATAATCAGGGAGTATTAAACATTCATACGTCTGTTTTCTCAGTGGATATATGCTCAGTAAGATCAATTTTCTGTCAAGGAGAATTATCTTCATTTTAAGAAATATTTATTGAGCGTTTAGGATTACACAGGACTTATTCCAGGTACCAAAGAGTATACAAAGAGTTAATCTATTTGGAGGAAGTAAATATAGCTGCCTATAAGTAACTATAGGATAAAGGCAGAGTAAAATCATCAGTAAAGGGAAGCCATTTAGTGGCTAAGAGCACAAAGCCTGGGTCAAACATATCTCAGGCAGTTTCCTCTGAAAAGGGGATTAAATGAGATCATGTACCTAAAGGGCTTAGTCCAGGGCTTGGGTCATCTACTCACACCCTCTCCTTTTCTTCCTCCTACTTAAGCTGCAGGAAGCCAGCAAGACGGATACACCTTCCTCCCACTTCTCTCTCCTCCCTCCCGTAGAATACATTTAATACCAAGACTCATTATCCCAACTGTCTTGCTCAATAGATGCCAGAAATCCAACAGAACACTGAATTTCGGGACTTTCCAGAAAATCTGCCCTAATTCTAGTGAATTCTCCCCACAAAAGCCACAAGAAAACTCCACTTATAAAGGCGAGAGCCTATTCTAGGAACTTCAAGATGCAAAGATAAATGCTGCTTTTACAATGTGAAGTCCCCTTTTTCTTTTCTCCTAAGGTTTGGGCTGCAATGTGTCTTTTCAAAGATTCTTACAGATAGACCTTTGGGGACTTTTTAAACACATACAATGGAAACTACTGCTTTTCAAAAACCTGGTACAATTAGATTTTACCTTCTTCAGTTCTGAAACAGTATGCAAGTGGGAAAATAGTATTCGAAAGCCTTCACTGAGCCACTCACGTAGAAGAAAAAAATCACATCAAAATTGGTCTAAAATCAGATGGGGTTATGCAGAAAACCATGATGGGATAGAAAAGTGGAAATGAAAGAGAAAACAGAAAAATCACTGGCTGAGTGAATCCATTAATGTGTGCCTGAGGGAGCCCCGTCAGCAGCCAGGGAGAACTGGAAACCCCAAATCAGGCGAAAACCATACTGCATCATACGTTACGGGCAGCTGCCAGGCATCAATCACACCCTCCCTGCTCCCGCACTCCCCCTACTTCAATCACATTGACTTTTGCTACTTTTTCTGGTAGAGCTGGCATCTTCCGGCCTCCACGTCTCTGTTCTTCATTATCGTTCCCTCTCTCCTCTTCTCCATACAGGGCTACTTGTTTAAGGTACATCCATTCCCTAAGATCAAATTCAAATGTTACTTCCTTGATTCCTATTTTTTGGCACAAAACCCCTTTGGTTTTATGCCTCTGGAGTCATTTATTTTGTATATTTTTTATGGTAAGTGACTCCCTTGTCTGTGATTCCTATGAATGAATAAATGAATTTACTGATTGATTGAGATGGGGTCTATGTTGGTCAGGCTGGAGTGCAGTGGCTATTCACAGGTGAGATCCCACTACTGATCAGCATGGGAGTCTTGATCTGCTCCAGTTCTGACCTGGGTAGGTTCACACCTCCCTCAGGCAACCTGGTGGTCCCCGACTCCTGGGAGGTCACCATATTGATGCCAAACTTAGTGCACTCAACTGGCACAGTGCACTACAGCTCAGTGCTCCTGAGCTCAAGTGATCCTCCTGCCTCAGCCTCCTGAGTAGCTGGGACTACAGGTGCACACCACTGCCCTTGGCTATAATCTCCTTTAAAAAGCCCATTCCAGGCCAGGCACGGTGACTCATGCCTGTAATCCCAGCAATTTGGGAGGCCAAGGCAGGCAGATCACAAGGTCAGGAGTTTCAGACCAGCCTGGCCAATATGCTGAAACCCCATCTCTACTAAAAATACAAAAATTAGCCAGGCATGGTGGCACGCGCCTGTAGTCCCAGGTACTCGGGAGGCTGAGGCAGAAGAATCGTTTGAACCCGGGAGGCAGAGGTTGCAGTGAGCCAAGATCGTGCCACTGCACTCCAGCCTGGGTGACAGGGTGAGACTCCGTCTCAAAACAAACAAATAAATAAATAAATAAGCCCATCCCTAGTTTGTCCATTTCTATATCCACCCCGTGGCTAGCACAGTGCAGAGCACATGGAAGATGCCCCTTAATTGTCTGCGTAATTAAATTGGCTTTATTGGAATAGCGCTCTTTCTTAATGAATTTACTTGTAACAAATACTATGAATTCACTAAATGATAGATAATTTGCCTCATTAAGAAATCATGACTTATTACTTATGGAAAGAAAGGAGCTGCCTTTACATTCGGATGGCTGGTTTGCTTTACCGAGGATAAAGGACAGCAAATCCCCAAGGCCAATACCAACGCTTCATTTTTCTGGTCTCACACTAAGAAAATCAGTAACTGTTTCCTCTAAGATTCCTTCCATGCAACTGTAATGGGAGAAGATTACCCTGTGTAAATGAACTTATGGTAAAATAACAAAAGGGTTGACTAAATAAAATAACAAAACAATAAAACACACACAGATAGACATGCAATGTTTACTACACAATTTGGCTAGCTGGTGCTCATCTTTGCAGTGTCTTTTCATCAAAATGTACATACCTGTGAAAGCAAAACAGGATGAATTTTAGTGTGAGTGAAAGGATGTACAACTGCTGGGATGTTTGGGGCACTTTAAAACTTTCTCCAACAGGTAAGATTTCTAAGACCTCTAGGATGCTATTCTGACAAAACTAGACATTGAGGTGCCTAAAAGCCCGCAAGGCAGCCAGGCACAGTGGCTCACACCTGTAATCTCAACACTTCGGGAGGCTGAGGCGGGTGGATCCCCTGAGGCCAGGAGTTTGAGACCAGCCTGGACAACATGGCAAAATCCCATCTCTACTAAAATACAAAAATTAGCCTGGCATGGCGGCACATGCCTGTAATCCCAACTACTCGGCTGACTGAGGCATAAGAATTGCTTGAACCTGGGAGGCAGAGGTCGCAGTGAGCCAAGATCGCACGACTGCACTCCAGCCTGGGCTATATAGACTGAGACTCTGTCTCAAAAAATTAAAAAACAAAGAGGAAAAAAAAAAAAAAACCTGCAAGGCACCTCACTAGTTGAGGGAGACAGAAAAAATACATTTCCCCATCAGGTAAGATCAACAGACTTCACCTGTTATCTCCTGTGTCCCAGGCCCATGAGACACAAAAGTGAGACTTATCTCAACCTTAAGGAGCTCAGGATCCAGTGAAGGCATCCAACAACCACCAGGCAATTATAACATTGAACATTGGAAATCGTGGGACAATTGAGCAGAGGACAGATGACACCCAGCCTGGAGAGCCAAGAGGCATCAGGAAGGCTAAAGAGTGGGAGAGTCTGCTCAGAGGAAGTGGCACTAAAAGGTACAGGTGAGAAAGAGCTCAACCCAGCTGGGCATGGTGGTGGCTCATGCCTGTAATCCCCTGCACTTTGAGAGGCCAAGGTGGGTGGATCACCTGAGGTCTGGAGTTCAAGACCAGTCTGGCCAACATGATGAAACCCAGTCTCTACTAAAAATACAAAAAGTTACTCCAGTGTGGTGGCGCATGCCTGTAATTCCAGCTACTCAGGAGACTGAGGCAGGAGAATCGCTTGAACCCGGGAGGCAGAGGTTGCAGTGAGACAAGATGGTGCCACTGCACTCTGGCCTGGGCAACAAGAGCGAAACTCCGTATCAAAAAAGAAAGAAAGAAAGAAAGAAAGAGCTCAACCCCTTCTAGAACACGCAAGTGGCTTAATAGAGCAGGTGATGAAAATTGTCACTAGATGATACCATGGCCTCTATAGCAAGGCTGTGGGGAAACAGACACTCTCACATTGTTCTCTGTAAACCAGATTCCATGGGGCTTTGTGGAAACTGAGCCAAGTCCCACTTAGATTGGTGCCTGACGCAGAGAACATGTTCAGGAAATATTAACCACTAACAATTTTATTATCTATATTACTACATTAGGACAAGTACATCTGATTTACTTGATTTCTTAATGGAAAGCTAAAGTAAATCTATAAACATTTAAGAAACAGTGACCACCTTCAAGAAAAGAAAACTATTGGAAAACCAGAACCAGGAAGACTGGGTAGAGTCCACGCTGTTGGAGGAAAATAAAATCCAATGTATGGGCTGGCGCAGTGGCTCACACCTATAATCCTAGCATTTTGGGAGGCCGAGGCGGATGGATCACTTGAGGTCAGGAGTTCAAGATCAGCCTGGCCAATATGGTGAAACCTCATCTCTACTAAAATACAAAAATTAGCCAGGCGTGGTGGCGGGTGCCTGTAATCCCAGCTACTCGAGAGACTGAGGCAGGAGAATTGCTTGAACCCAGGAAGCGGAGGTAACAGTGAGCCAGGGTCACACCACTGCACTCCAGCCTGGGCAACAGAGCGAGACCCTGTCCTAAAAAAAAAAAAAATCTAATGTATGCGTCTTTTGAAAGACTTACAAAGGAGAGAGATCAACTGATCTGGTACGTGCAGTGTCAAGACCGAAAAAGGATGATTCACAATGAATGACTTATTGACATTTGGTTTGGTTGATATCAGTTACTCACATACCCAAGGACAAGTTCATTCAGAGTAGTTTTCCTTGGAAACATCCTTCCTATCTACTGCCCTGAAGCCAGCTCAGCAGCAACCAAGGCCGCATCATGTTGTAAATAATCTTCAGTGAAAACAATATGGTCACAGATCACCGAGAGCTTGTTGAAGGCTAAATTTGTCTCTTTCCCCACTTTTCTATTTTTAATCACCTACCCCAAACAAAAAGAAAAGCAATACATAAAACCAGATAAAGACGATACTCTTAAATTCCTTCAACCAAAAGAAATGAAAACACGACTCCAAACTCATTCCCTAAACCTCCCTCTTCACTTCGAGACTTCCTCTAAGCGCCACTTTGGAACTGACCACCCACCGCTCAATTGTTTCTGAACCCTTGGTTCAATGTAGCACTGGAAGGGCCAAGAACCTGCATTATCCAGTTCGGATGACAAGAGTGGGTTTTAAGATTTTCCATAAAGACCTGTGGAGGAGAGATACTGAAAATAGGAACCACTTATCCCTTAAATCTGACTCCTGCCTGAGGCTCCTGAACCACCTGAAATCGAAGAGCTTGTCCTTCCTCATTAGTATCCCTGTTCCCAGCTGCCACAAGCAACATTTAAGAGCCCTTCGGATATCCACCTTAGGGTTTCTTCCAATCCATGGCCTCCCCGCACCACAACTTCCAGGCAGGGCCAAGGAATAGAGGACTTTCCCAGACCAGGCCATGCCTGCTAAACACTCGTCAGAGAATACTGTGGCAATGCCTATGAGAAAACAGTGAGTATTTTTCTCGTGGAGCAGCTAAGACTCATGGAGGACTGATGCTCTCCAGGCCTTTCCCCTGTCACCCCCAAGTACTAAAACAGAGTTCCAACCAAGTAAGGGCGGGCTGGCTTGGATCAATACCCACTGTCACCCCCTCAGCCAATGTGAAAGGGTCCCATGGTTTAGCCAAACTCTTCAGCTGTGGAAGCCCTTCCCTCCAACTTCAAATACTGCAAAGAAGTGAAATACAGTTAGGGTCTTGGTAATCAAGTTCGGCGATGTTTGAGTGGAAAAGTTATTGTGAAAGAATGGTTTTTATGATACTTCTGAGTGATATGAATATTCCTAATTCTACATATAAATTATCCTCTCAGAATCTAATTGTCTTCAAAGATGTCCTGACCATCACTGCTATAATTTTGGCCTTGAGAATATTAAATTTAAGGAGTGATAAAAACAGAGCTAAATAAGAGACATTTAAACAATGGGCAGTTTAGTAGGAGGTTAAATAGTCAGAGGCAACAAGAAATAATTACTTAATCCAGTTCTCCAAAAGAATAATTGCAACAAGCTTGCTTAAGGTACTTTGAGCTTTTGTGCAAGTTTATGCCTACTATAAATATTTCTATAATCCTTTTCTGTTCCCGACATACTTGAGAGAAGCCTAAAAGCATCTCTGAAATATTTTTGGTGCTGGCATAGAATAAACTTATTAATATTTGAGACGCAATTTACTGAGTTATCTGTCAACATCCTTCAACTTACCCCTCTGGATAATCTGTGGAGATTATTTATTTAGTATTTATTTCTACTAAATAAAACCACTGAGTCATCTCTTTAAATGACAATGACCTCAAGACATTGTTAAAGCCCTCCAGAGTTTCAGGCCCACATGGCCAGGGTGGAATTCTTCTATAAATGAGGCCTTAATCTGCTCAATGCTACATCTCTGAGAGGCTTATTACATGATGTGATATATTCCTAAGCAGGCAGGAAAACCAGTTTTCTGTGTATCAAATCCAGTTCAGAATAAACTAAGAAACTGATAATTTTTTTTAAGAAACCGGCAGCAGATTGCAAAATCATTTATAAGTTTATCATTTCTGTTGAGTGTAGGTTTTCAAAGAATTAAAGTGACGCGTGTCTGTGGGCTATTAGTGACAAAAGTTGGTGCCACTCAAGAATTTTCTGAGAAGATCTTTATTGAGGGCTATCTTAGACTTAACATCACCTAAATTCACTTTTTAATTTACTTGGCTCTCCCCAAATTTGCTCTGGGAATCACAAATTGATAGAAAAATAAAATTTTGCACTAGATTTTCAAATAACTTTATTTTGGTTTTAACATGACCTCAGCTAAAATAAAAAAGCAATCAGCCCATGAAATGTGAGAACAAGGACTACGTCGAAAGTCATTATTAATTTAAGACAAATTTTAACCTGATTTCATTATTCACCAGGATGAAACACTTCCTTAGCAGAACTTTTTTTTAAAGGTACTCTCATCCTAATATCCTGTTAAATTTATTTCCAACTCCTCAAAGTGACACAACGTATGTAACCATAGAAATCAAGCAGAAGAAAGTGCTTGTTAATGTGGAGACACTTTTCCTTGTGGGAGTGGGGCCATTTGGACAGTAATCATTAAATGAATCAGCAATGAAGAGCTCTTGAAATCATTTCAGCAGAGCAAATGTGCCAACATCACTCTGGGGGTAAAGAAATAAAATTTTAAGAGGACAAGAAAAAAGGTACTGACGCATGTTTTGTATGCTGACCACCGAATGAACAAGAAACCCTGAAGTTCCACACATTATTACATTTGCTGCTACACTGTCAACAGCAAGGTAGT
This sequence comes from Homo sapiens, assembly GCF_000001405.40. NCBI lineage: Eukaryota > Metazoa > Chordata > Mammalia > Primates > Hominidae > Homo > Homo sapiens. The sequence continues at coordinate 66,358,568 of NC_000017.11, read as the reverse complement.
TACGTTTCTTCTTCTCAATATCATGTTAGCCTTAGGCTTGAATCTTTGAGAAAGGAAATGGGTAGAGTGTAATAGATTACCATCTATTAATTCACACATGTATTCATTACCATGTGCAAAGTACCTTCTAGGTACTAGAAGGGCAAAATATGAACAAATCTCATCTCTGGCTTCTAAGGACTTACACATTATGCAGCCATTCAAAGCATCAATTAAGTGATCAGTTAAGTTTATCTGGTACCCAAGAATGACACTTATTATTCAATTACAACGGAAGAGTTCCTCTGCCCTCCTGGGAATAACTATTTAAACTCAGCCCTCAAAGAAGGTAAGAATCTTGTCCAGGGAAAACCTCAGTGCGTCAAATCCCATCCCAACGCTAATAAACTTTTTGGGCTTAAAAAAAAAAAATTGTGCTCTATGTGCATGTGTATCAATTAGAATAGACTAATATGACACAAACAAGTACTTATTGAACTTTTCAAATGTTCAAGAGATCTAATTATAAAGTTATAAAATGTTAACTCCAGAACAAAAGGCAATTCTATTATAATCATCATATAATTCTAATTAATATAATTAAATTCCATAATTTTTGTTACTCTTTTCTCTGCTTCCAAGTTCACCAGAAAGAACTGGCTTACCAAGGCACTCATCTCCAATCATTCTGTTGTCCATCTGCACTTCCAAGGTACCGTTTAGAATCCGAGCCAGATTTCCCTTCCAAACTAGTATGAGTCTGTGTTCCTATTGACACGGCATTCAGTGGGACTTCTAATAACATAACTTAAATCACATTACTTACTTTACTAGTTATTCATGATAATCATCATCTACCAAACATACACCATGAATCACACATACATTACCTCTCATTTAATAAGCACAAACTCCTATGAGAAAGGTAGTATTATTTCTATTTTATAAACGAGAAAACTCTGCCAGGAAAAGTTAAATTACTTATCCAAAAACCACAGCTAACAAGTAGCGCCAGTATTCAACCCTGTTGTAATTCCAAAGCCCCTACTGCTATACCATCTTCCTTAACAGAATTAGAAATAGACATTTTTTATAATGATCATAATGCATTCGAAGTCTAAATATAAAATTGCATATTATAATACATTGGGATTTATTTGCTTATGCCTCTGCTGCCTGTACTGTCAGGACAGACCTCATTATTCTTAACAACTCAAAGCTGGCTTTGTATCTACAGCTCATTGCCATTAAAAAGTATAATAGTAATAAAAGCAGAAAGCCAGATGCAAGACCCAAGTGTGACTTAGACCACAGCTGCCTCTAGTGCCCTCCCCCACCACCCAGCTTCAGCACCCTCTCTCTCTGTCTCCTTCCACCAGTTCCTATACCCATGACTCAGAGCTGGCACTCAGGAGCCATGAAGCACATTTGAGAGAACTGTTAGCCTGGGACCCTCATTTCCCAGCAACCCTGCCCCATCAAACTATCTTTGCAAAAGACAAGATTTCTGGACCCCAAAGAATTCATTTTGGCTGGGCGTGGTGGCTCACGCCTATAATCCCCAGCACTTTGGGAGGCTGAGGCAAGTGGATCACTTGAGCCCAGGAGTTCAAGACCAGCATGGGCAACATGGCAAAACTCCGTCTCTCCCAAAAGTAAAAAATCAATAAATAGCAGGGCATGGTGGTGTGGCTGTAGTCTCAGCGACTCAGGAGGCTAAGGTGGGAGAATCACCTGAGCCCAAGAGGTGGAGGCTGCAGTGAGCTGAAATCACACCACTCCAGTAGCACTCCAGGCTGGGAAATTGGAGTAAGACCCTATTTTTTAAAAAAATATTTAAAAAATCATTTTAAGGGTTATGTTTATCACCACAGCAAACATTTCTGGCTGATTTTCAAGTCTCATTCACTTTTAGATATCCATCTGTATGGTGTTTTGTTTGTTTTGTTTTTGTTTTTGTTTTTTTGAGACGGAGTCTCACTCTGTCACCCAGGTTGGAGTGCAGTGGCACGATCTCAGCTCACTGCAACCTCCGCCTCCTGGGTTCAAGCGTCAGCCTCCCGAGTAGCTGGGACTACAGGCACCCGACACCACGCCCGGCTAATTTTTTGTATTTTTAGTAGAGATGGGGTTTCACCATGTTAGCTAGGATGGCCTCGATCTCCTGACCTTGTGATCTGCCTGCCTTGGCCTCCCAAAGTGCTGGGATTACAGGCGTGAGCCACCGTGCCGGCCTATATGGTGTTTTGTTATGCAAATAATGTTGGTGTCTTTTAAAAAAGTGGATGATAAAGAAAATCAAGAAAATGAAAAGAAAAAAGTCTTCTATCATCTTGTCCTTTACACCATCACTGTTCAGGTATTTTAAAAACTAGATTTAAAAAAAATCACCGATGGGCGTGGTGGCTAATGCCTATAATCCCAGCACTTTGGGAGGCTGAGGTGGGTGGGTCACCTGAGATCAGGAGTTTGAGACCAGCTTGGCCAACATGGCAAAACCCCACCTCTACTAAAAATACAAAAATTAGCTGGACTTGGTGGCACGTGCCTGAAATCCCAGCTACTCGGGAGGCTGAGGCAGGAGAATCACTTGAACCCAGGAGGCGGAGGTTGCAGTGAGCGGAGATCATGCCATTGCACTCCAGCCCGGGCGACAAGAGCAAAACTCCATCTCAAAAAAAACATCACTTTAATCATACTGTGAATATAATTTACTATCTTTCCTATAATTGGGAAGGTATATTTTCAAGAGCATTTTTCCATATTTATCCTAAGCAATGATTTGAAAGGATACTTAATATTCTATTACTTGAATATACAGTACCAATCATCACTGAATCATTTCCCCCAAAACTGGAAAAGGATGTTTCCAATGTTTTTGCTGTTATGAATAAACCAGCAATGGGCAGGTTCATTGTGCAAAAATCTTCCTCCATATTCAAGATTACTTGCTTAGGGCCAATTCTCAAAAGCAGATTTGCTGGGTGAGAGGATAAACTGACTCTCAAAAGTCGAAATGATGATGGCAGCCACGATCATGGTGATGACAAAATTATTTTGGATGTACAAAAAAACTCAGAATGATGTAACACACACCCATGCACCCGCCACTAGACTGAAATTTAATGGTGGAAATTCAAGACCCAGGAAGCAAATGCAGAAATACCTCAGGAGCTCCATCACCACTGCACAAGCAGGTGCAAAACTTAACTCTGAAAAGCCTAGAAATGTACAGGTTAAGTCTCCAGGCAAGGAGAGGAAGGAGCCTCACCACCTCCCTTTCATCAGCACTTCCCTGAGTTTTCATTAGCACATACAGCAGGGATTAAAAGGATCTGGGTTGGCTGCCAGCTTAAGATTGAATGAGAATGATCTCAGTTTTAATGAAGCCCTTTCTGCATATATAAACTGAAAAGAAAAAAAAATGTGTTCAATGAGAAAATCTGACCTCTAGGAATGTGGAGATTATTGTTAGCAAATGCCACGAAATGTGCTTATTGTGAAATTCAGTTTTTCAGAAAATACCACATGCCAAAGATCATTTCCACGTTCACTCTGTTTTCGCCCCCTCGAGCAACGAGAGTTCATCATAGGATGACAAAATGTAACGATGTATAGGAAAGCAAATACCTTGTTAGGATGCTGAAAACAAGTAGAAAATAACCATCAATAACAGTAAAAATGATGTTCTCCCCTGATTGTACTAGAAGATACAAAGAAATATCACAAAAAGGCAAAAGCATAAATGAAAATTAAATTTGTTTGATCATCCTTTTGCAGAGGAAAAAAAAGTACTTTATTTATGTGCAAGGCAATATCATCTTTTAATAGCTACAGGACACATTACTATTATCCTGCTGCTTCTCGGCTGGAGAAATAGGATTAATGGCCTAAGAGGGAAGAGCTTAAACTGATTAGTCAAGTAGGCAGTCCGAGGCCAAATATGCAGGAAAAGGGGGCAGCCCTGTTTTCTGTGAGCCAATGTCCTGCAGAGGAAAAAACCTGGGTGAACCAAGGCTGGTCCAGGACCTTAGACGGCAACTTAAATGAAGAGGGGTTTTAATCTTCTATTTTCAAAATATACTCCAAATGACAGAGACCAGACTTACATTGGCTCCCAACACAGCTTAGATCCTACAAAGCCGTTTCAGAATGGCCACCATTCATCCATTTACACCACCAACAGTATTGATTAAACCACTACCATGCTCAGCATCCTGTATGCAGAGGTGAGGACCCAGAGCCTGCCTGCATGGAGCAGAGCTGCATGTATTTAATTATTCTGTCTGGTAAGAACCCTAAATGTACATGACTCATAACAAAAATAATTCTTTCTTAAGTTTGAGTCCTGGTGTGCTGGGTTGGAATTATCTTTGAGATCACTGCAGACCAATTCCTTCATTCTGCAAAAGAAACAATGGACTCTGGAGATACACACCAACCAACTCAAGGACACAATTCAGGAAGAAACAATGTTCGCGTCTGCGATCCTAGCCACGAGCTCTCTCAACAAAACAGATGACACAAACTTATTTGAAGGAATCTGATTCCCAAATCATAAAATTTCAAGATAAACTACATGACGTGTGCGATGGTGATCCTTGCCAGCAAAGTAGCATAAAACCTGTCTCTGACATTCTAACTCAGGACTAAGGAGGCAATTCTAGAAGCTGAGAAAGCAGCATCCGTGAAAAAAAAAAAGTTCCCAGTGACTGAGGCTGCTCTGAGAGCTGAAGCAAGATACCTGTTTGCAGCCCACCAGGGCTATAAAACACAGAGCAAGCCACAAAAATCTCAGACCATCTTAATTCCTTCATTTCCAAATTATTTTCTACACACTGTTTCTATTGGGGGAATTCTTTGGTGCTTTCTTTGAGAAAGAGTCTTGCTCTGTCGCCCAGGCTGGAGTGCAATGGCCCGATCTTGGCTCACTGCAACCTCCGCCTCCCGGGTTCAAGCAATTCTCCCGCCTCAGCCTCCTGAATAGCTGGGATTACAGGAGCAGGCCACCACACCCGGCTAATTTTTGTATTCTTAGTAGAGACGGGGTTTCACCATGTTGGCCAGGCTGGTCTTGAACTCTTCACCTCAGGTGATCCACCCGCCTCAGCCTCCCAAAGTGCTGGGATTACAGGTATGAGTCACCATGCCCAGTGCCTTGGTGCTTTCAAAACAGAAGTCGGAAGGGAAAGCAAACTCCTTTTCTGAATCAAATCACCTGATTATATCTGCCGTCTAAAGGATACCTATCATAAAATTCGGCACACAGCCCAAATAGAAGGTTACCAAAAGCAATCAGAAAAATTAAAGATTAGGATCAAAATGAGTCATCAAAAATGGTTAAGCTTCACCAAAATGTGCAGAAAGATCTGCTTGTGCTGCACTTAATGGAAAGGATTTCAAATGTTAAATCTAGGACATACCCCTTTAACCAGGGGACTTTATTAGTTTAATGCAAATCATAGCCACCCAGCTGTGTAGTAGATCTCTGGAGTGCATGGCATAAAAAGAACCTATCTTCATTGCAACCAGGTAGTTGGTTGACAATTAGCAATAACTCTTGACAGACTAAAACGTCTAACAGGATATTAAAAACAGATACCGAAGAAATACATAGAAATATAAATGGCTGGATAAAATTATTTCATCTCTGAAAAATCAAGAACACCCTTCATATACCATTCTTCGCCACTTCCCTCCTCCCCAAACCCTAAAATAATACAACTCAGGCCGGGCACGGTGGCTCATTCCTGTAATCCCAGCACTTTGGAAGGTAGAGGCGGGCGGATCACAAGGTCAGGAGTTCAAGACCAGCCTGGTCAACATGGTGAAACCCCGTCTCTACCAAAAATACAAAAATTAGCTGAGTGTGGTGGCACGCACCTGTAGTCCCAGCTACTCGGGAGGCTGAGGCAGGAGAATCACTTGAACCCAGGAGACGGAGGTTGCAGTGAGCTGAGATTGCGCCACTGCACTCCAGCCTGGCAACAGAGAGAGACTCCATCTCAAAAAAAAAAAAAAAAAAAAAAAACCTCAAAAAACACCACAAATTCAAGATGCTCTTTTTTCTCCTGATATTCTTTCCCTTTCATCTGCCCTAAAGCTAACCAGAAGAATGTCAACCGCCTCAGCAGAATTATCACTTAGCCCTGCAGCAGAGAACTCCTGGGCTGTCTGCAGAGCCCATGCCCTGCTCTTGATAGTTCATTTCATGGTCACAGAAAAGCCTCCAGGCCTCAGATAGTACATTTCATGATCACAGAAAAGCCTCCAGGCCTCAGGAAGACACTGATGAGTTCCCTCAAAAGGCAGAGCAGAAAATAATTAGAAATAAAGGAAATAGGGTACTGTCCGGACCCTATGGCTTGCTCTGAGTTTTGTAGCCCTACTAGACTATTTCCAGAACCTTGAAATAGCTTCCAGACTCTGGGATCTCACGTCAGCCCTCTAAGCCACATTTATTCCCCAGCCCCATTCCCATGAGCAGAGTTCATTGGACTTGGGTAGACAGCTGACCACATTGGGCCAACCAAATTCTTCCTCAGGAATTTAAACAGAGACTTGTGTCTGTCTGCATTTGAACTTGAAGGCAGAGGTATGCTCACGACGTGACACTGCCAGTTTAGACCCTAAGAGCAGGGAAGTGGAGGAAGCCCAACCACTGCCACAGAGAACGAATCTGATACTGGGAGAGAAGCACGGGTGAGTCCCAGGGTTCTCGGGGTGAAAGAGCAGTGCCTTGGCTCCTGGTATTGCCCTAGTCCTGGTTCCAGACTCCCTTGTAGCCTGGCAGCATTTCCTGCCCTTCTCCCCATAAACCACCCTGTGAATCCTTATACAAATTCTACTTTTATGGTTTACGCTGGTTTGAGTAGGCATTTATTATTTGTAACCAATAAGATATAGTCACATGTTTAATCGTTTAAAAAGTTAATATTTAATGATTTATAACCCCAGGAGAATAGCTTATAGCACACATTTCTTTAGCAGCACATACTAAAATGTATTTGTTTCCAATGTCAAAATCTATTTTTTATGTTTCCCAATAGCCCTTTCTAAACACAGCCACATATAGGGTATTAGTACTCACTCTCCCTGGCCTACGGGATGAGCTCTCGAATCTAAAAACCTTGGGTGAAACATTTTACTTTCAGATCTTCAAACTGAGGAAAGAGTCTCACAGACTAAAACACATACCATAGGAACCAACACAATGCCAGGAACACTTGCTCAGGACTCAGAAACGGGGGCACCAAAACTGGGCTGGAGTTTAGGTAATAGCCACTAGCCATGGCAGTCCCTGCCCTGTCAGTTGGCACGCGCCCATAGCCTGAAGGAGGAAGTAAAATCAGAACAGTGCTAACACTTCATGGTTTTCCTGGCCAGGAAATTCGGCTGTACTCATTCAAGCATCCACCCATTCCACATTCACTGCATACCCACTCCCCACTACATACCAAGCTCAGCACCACACGATGGGGAATACTGGGGTGATTATGACAGACCCTGTCCACTCAGAGTTTCTTCCATCAAACATTCACACTTTAGTAAGACAGAGGAAACTGGCACACAGACAATTACATTGTACTGCAGTCCATGATAAAACGAGAAGTGTGGCAGATCGCAGCAATGCAGAGAAAGAACGCTGCGAGTTCCACACATTGAAAGGGAGGGAGGAAACCAGAGTCAACTAAACATGCCTCTGGACTGTGCATTTGCACACGAATGCTCATGGAAGGCTAGGGACCGTCAAAAACTGGTCCCAGGCTAGTCACGGTGCCTCACGTCTGTAATCCCAGCAGTTTGGGAGGCCAAGGCAAGCAGATTGCTTGAGCCCAGGAGTTCAAGGCCAGCCTGGGCAACACAGCAAAACCCCATCTCTACCAAGGGGAAAAAAAAATTAGCCAGGTGTGGTTGTGTGCACCTATAGTCCCAGCTACTTGGGAGGCTGAGGTGGGAGGATCGCTTAAGCCTGGGAGGTCAAGGGTGCAGTGAGCCACGACGGTGCCACTGCACTGCAGCCTGGGTGAGAGAGTAAGATCCTGTCTCAAAAAAGATTAAAAAAAATAATAAAACTGGCCCCAAACACAAATGAACAGAATTCCAAAAATGGAAAATAACATAATTTTAGATTTTTATTTCCATTTTCTGTTTCCTTTAGGAAAGGGAAACAGAAGTGGTCTCCCCTGTAATCAATCCCTCCCTGTCTCCTGTGGGTCCACGGACACCCACATGAAAGACCCCAGCTCCCTGCCTGGGTGAGCCCCGGGCAGGACTGACCACTCAGACGGCTCATTTGGTCACACCTTTCCTGAGCCCTTCCTCTCAGATCAGAATTGCCTGTTACCTACACCGAGCATCCAAGCTCGTTTTCCAACATGTGAAAAGCCAGTTTCCAAAGGAAAAAGGAAAAAAATAAAAAGGCACTGTTACCACCAATTTATCCCCTCATTTGTAACCAGGCTGAGCTGTAAGCAGACCCCTGCCAGCACCTGAAAGGCCATCGCTCTGAGGACACTAGCCCGAGCTTTAGTTACAATATCTTTTTTCACTGCCCATTAGGTGCTCAGCTGCCCCCTCTCTCCTTTCCCCACACACGCCGGCTCCTAGGGTGGACTTTTTTTTTAACCTCTGTAACTAAATAACCTGATAACGCCATGTGATAAGGGAATGGTGGCCTAAAAACCCTAAGTTTCCAATTCCAGCAGCCATGGCTCCATTTTCATGTTTCACACACAGAAGACATTAACGAAGGCCCTAAAAATAAGAGACACTGGAGGCAGCCAAAGAGACACCTAACACTCAATCAAAGCCGTGCAAGTGAGGAGAGCAGTTTTTGGGAGCCAGGCCAAACACTGTTCTATTGGAGGAATGAATTTTGTGTTTGTGCGCAGTCAGCAGCCCAGAGGAGATGTGAGAATACAGGACCTGGACAACTAAAGGCCCGGGAAAACCCTCTCTGTCCTGCCAGAGTCTACCGCATGGGCAAACACTCCATACCCAAACTGTTCAAAAGGGATGACTTATTTCTTCCATGCAAAAGGCCAGAAGAAAAATGAAAAGCCAGAAGGAGAGAGGAAACAAGGGTGTGATGGTTTCTTTGCAAACCTCTACTGCGGAACAGCTCCATACTCACCAAGCCAGGTCTACACAGCAGGCCTGGTTTAGTGTTGGCTACTGGTTTTCCATCCCTAAGACATGTGCAACCTTGCCAAATGCGGGGGGTAGCAGGGTAGGCAGGCAGCATATTCATCCTCAGGGGAGAACAGCAAAAGCCCAGAAGGAATTTTAATTTCTCTTATAAAACAAAAATCTCAAGACAAAAACTTTACTGCCAAACTTTACATGGAAAGCAAAAATAAACTATTTGCTTTATACCTGCTGCCACAGGTATGAAATATTTTATTAGATGACTGTCCACTCACCATTAGGCTGACTCTCAAATTATGGACAGGAAGAGAGCAAACCGTTCACTTGATGGACGCAGCTAAGATGAACACTCAGCTGCTCACATTGTGTTCAGGTTCTGGTGCATTTTGAACACTTCGTAAGAGAAATTACTGAAGCTCTTAATAACAAACTTGCCTTCCAGAACAGAAAGGTTTTATGAAAAAATCCTCAACCAAACCCTTGATACATTCTCAGTTAAATGCTATACTAAAAGTTCTCAGGAAGTCTCTATTTTGGAGACCTGTAATTTTTAACCGTATAGTTTGGTTGCTGCTGACTAAAGCTGAGAGTAATTTTACAACTCCATTATCCACATGTGGATGACTCATTTGTTAGATTAGCCTAACTTCCAGCTGCCCTCCCCCTCTGCTGTTCAACCTGCTGCTGGATAATGTTCCAACTGCCTGCTCTAAGAGGCTGAAAGTATGCAAACCCATCTTAACACAACACAGAGACAAAATGAGATAGTGGTGTTGACTATGTTTTGAATGCATTTCTCCAAGACAAATAAGAGTTTTGGATTGATGCACTGTTTTGGGCAATTGGCACAATTTCACTTTATTAGTATGAATTTTAATGTGATGTTTCTAACCTCTTAAATCAAAGTGTGCCTCAAAGTATGCTCCACAAACCCTTAAGGGTCCTCATGATCAAACCACTTTAATGATAATACTGAGCCACTATTTGCCTTTTTCCTTGTGTTGACGTTTGCACTGATGGTGCAAGAGCAATGGTGGTGTGACAGCAGGAACCTTAGCCTGAGTCAAGGTGACAGTGCCAGGCGGTACTAGCAGGAATTATGTTCTTCCCACCATGAAATCCCAGGGGCTTTTTGTTGTCTTTTATGCCAGTTTCATTTAAGAAAGTCTCGATGAAGCATTAACAATTATTGATTCTGGGCCAGGCATGGTGGCTCACACCTATAATCACAGCACTTTACGAGGCCAAGGCAGGTGGATCACATGAGGCCAGGAGTTGGAGACCAGCCTGGCAAACATGGTGAAACCCCATCTCTACTAAAACTATAAAAATTAGCCGGGCGTGGTGGCGTGTGCCTGTAATCCCAGCTACTCATAAGTCTGAGGCAGTAGAATCGCTTGAACCCAGGAGGTGGAGGTTGCAGTGAGCTAAGACTGGGCCACTGCACTCCAGCCTGGGCACAGAGCAAGACTTTGTCTCAAAAAAAAAAAAAAAAAAAGGTTCAGAATTCTGAGTAAATATTCTGACACATAAAGCATTTGGCTACACTCCAGGGATGAGGGCTGTCTTGAGCTGAGCAGCCACTCTCTCCATGAAACACCACTTTGACTCAAAAGAACAACTACAATATGGTTGCTTAGACTTGGATATTTGGCAGATACTTTTTTGAAATACAATAAAGTTTTCCAAGTGAAAAACACAATCTTAGAAAATGTGCATCTACCGTCAGCTTGACGGCTTCCTAATAATACTTAAAGGCTCTTTGATGAGACTGATGGTGATACTAATAATTGTGACTTTTTTGATGTTGAATAATGAAATGTGTCAACATTTAGAAGAACCTGCAGAACTCAATGAAATAGTGTTTTCCAAACTAAAGAATGCGGTCACACCAACACATAAAAGAGCCATTCAACACATAAGATGGACCAATATGAAACACAGACACGGTTTCATTCTCTACCTTGCAACCAACCTTTGAGAAACTTACTTGCCAACGACCACTATCAAAAGTATCAAAGAATATCTCCAGTTACGTGAAAAAGCTATTAAAATATTCCCTCCTTTTTTCAATTACATATATGTGTTAGACATACACTTCAACCAAAACATATCACAACAGATTGAAGCAGAAGCAGCTGAGAGTCCAACTATGTTTTATTTAAGTCAGACAGAAGAGGGATGTAAAACACCACTCTTCCCACTAAATTTTTTTTGTTAGGGAAAATGTCCTTTTTCATAAAATTATGTAGTTTGTGTAACTGTATAAAGGGATTACTATTACTATTTTAAATCAATTAATAAATCTTTAAAATCTCTCATCTTAAATTTCTAATATGACCAATATCAGTAGATAAAATCTATGTAAATAAAACTCTTTAGAGTCCCCAATAATTTTTTTTTTTTTTTTAGATGGAGTCTTGCTCTGTCACCCAGGCTGGAGTGCAGTGGCATGATCTTGGCTCCCTGCAACCTCCGCCTCCCGCGTTCAAGTGATTCTCCTGCCTCAGCCTCTGGAGTAGCTGGGATTACAGGTGTGAGCCACCACGCCCAGCTAATTTTTTGTATTTTTAGTAGAGATGGGGTTTAACCATGTTGGCCAGGGCTGGTCTCGAACTCCTGACCTCAAGTGATCTGCTTGCCTCGGCCTCCCAAAGTGCTGGGATTACAAGCGTGAGTCACTGCACCAAAAGCCATCCTAAGAACTAGTGCCTTAATCTATACTAAAAAATTCAACATGTCAACTCTATTTAATATTTTCAAATAAAAATGGATTTCCAGTATCATAGGACATAATATTTCTAATAAGCTTGGCTTTTTAAAACATATACTTTGTTGATATGCCCAGGGATCATCTCTTAGGATCTGTAGTTTTCATACTAAAATCCACCCAACAGCCAGGCACAGTGGCGCAAACCTGTAAAACCAACCACTTGGGAGGCTGAAGCAAGAAGCTTGAGCCCAAGAGTTCAAAAGTCCATCCCGGGCAATATAGCAAGACTCTGTCTCTAATTTTTTTTTTTTAATTTAAAAAAGATATCTCAGCAGGGCGTGGTGGCTCAGGCCTGTAATCTTAGCACTTTGGGAGGCCAAGGTGGGCAGATCACTAGGTCAGGAGATCGAGACCATCCTAGCTAACACGGTGAAACCCTGTCTCTACTAAAAACACAAAAAAATTAGCCAGGCGTGGTGGCACGTGCCTGTAGTCCCAGCTACTCGAGAGGTTGAGGCAGGAGAATCGCCTGAACCCAGGAGGTGGAAGTTGCAGTGAGCTGAGATAGTGCCACGTGCGCACTCCAGCTTGAGTGACAGAGTGAAACTCCATCTCAAAAAAAAAAAAAAAGCAAAAAAAGATAACGCAATAGCTTATCTTTTACTGGCACTCAGTCATTCACTCAGAATGTAGTTACTGAGCACCTTCCAGATGATGCTAGAAATATCAGCAACACTGCCCTCATGGACATTATGTTCCAGTGGCATTCATCCATCATCTACTTAGGTATTCGTTCAATGAAATTAATTAGCCATCTATTATATGCCAGGCACTGTGCTTGGTCTAGGAATCAAAATGTTGATACACCTAACTGCATTTTTTATTAGGGCTATAAATTCCATTTTCAAATGTTTTCAAAATTTTTGCTCATTTCCAAATTTCCTTGAAGTTCAGAGAGATTTCTTCATCCTCAATCTGAAGGCTACTGCTTCTATATATTTTTCCTGCCTGCAATTTTACGATGAAATAACTCAAGTTTTAAGGTAAGAGAAATAAGTCAATAATCAGGACTGTCGTACAGTCAGCCACCTCCCTGACACTGACTTTTTCATTTCCATGATAAAAAAAGGAAAATGGTCCCTGACCCTGGAGCTCCAGGAAAGCCAGCTTCCAGCACTTTGTGAAGGGAATGCATCCCTCGGGAGGCTCAAGAGAACTGGAAGCTGCCTCTATTGGCAGGATGACCCGGGATGACACGGATTTCCTTATAAAACTAATTAGGCAAGTGATGGCATATATAAACACTACTCTGAAAGTCATTAAAGCAAGATTCCAGAGGAAACTGAAAGATAATTGTCCATTAGTTACACAGGCTGAACATAAATGATTGCTTCAGAAATTCAACTTCCTAACAAGGTTTTCTAATTCAATCACAATTTAAATACACACACACACACACAAAAGTAGCTAGAAAACTGGTGTAGGAAGTAATGGTGGTAACATATAAATCTCAAATGTGTGAATTGATAACAATTCTGTAATCCTGTGTATTTTGCTATTTCCAAAGCAAGATAAGGTATAAGAGTTCCTAAGAAAATCCAGCAATAGAGGGTGCGGGGGAAAGGGTATTTAGTTTGCAAAAGAAATAGGAGACAAATGAGAAAAATAAAAAGGGTAATCCTTGATTCTGAGCATATGCAGGGGCATTACATAAAACAGGCTTGATCATACTGCAATAGGTATATTCGTTCTTTCAGTAAAAATCTGAATGCACAATGTGTGATACAAAGTACAGGCATGAGGTGTGGCGGCACGTGCCTGCATTCCCAGCTACTTGGGAGACTGAGGCAGGAGAATCACTCGAACCCAGGAGGTGGAAGTTGCAGTGAGCCGAGATCGCGCAAGTGCACCCCAGCCTGGGTGACAGAGTGGGACTCCATCTCAAAATAAATAAAAGTAGAGTATAGGTATGACTTCTGCCAACCAGCAGGACTTGTCAATATCTGTGACAAAAAGAAAGCTCTGGAGTCAAAGAGCCTTGATTCAAATCACAGTTCTGCCACTTACTAGCTACCATTTACTTACATTTCTAAGCCTCAGTTTCCTCATCTCTAAAATAAGGATGCCAACACTAACTTTACAGGGATGATTATGTAACTTAGCCAGCATGGGGATAGGCTAATAACAACTAACTGTTTTTTTGTTGTTGTTGTTGTTGTTTGTTTTTTGTTTTTGGTACAGATGGGTTTCACCATGTTGGCCAGCCTGATCTCAAGCTCCTGAGCTCAAGCTATCTGCCCGCCTCAGCCTCCCAAAGTGCTGGGATTACAGGCGTGAGCCACAGCGCCCGGCACAGCTAGCTGTTTCTATTGGAAAAGCTAAACAGCATAGTCAAAAAAACATAAAAATAAAGCCAAGAAATAGTACATGCACAATTACCGCTAAAGGAATTAAGAGACTGAATGATCATTTTGGTCTTAGGTGGTCAGAAAAGACCATGCTGGGAAAATGGCTCCTAGGAGCACTTCAAACTCCCTTCTAAAATGCCGAATAGGAAATTTCCATTCATCGATACTGTTCTTCTGCTTTACGAGCCTATGACAATTATTTATTGAATGGTCACTGTGACTGAACATACTTAGTCAGTGGTTCTTAATTTTTCTTGAGCCAAGGCCCCCCTGGAAAGCCTAATGAAAAATATGGAAGGAACCTCTCCCCAGAAAATGCTGCTGACAATTTTTTTTTTCCTCTAAGTTAGGGAGGGATGGGGCCCAAGACACCCACTCATGAGCCCTCACTGAAAACATACAATGGTAGGCATCATGGTGCTATCAATTTTAAAATGAAGCCCAAGGTCACCTGGTCCAGCCTCATGATTCAGATGATTCAGACATAAACAAACATCAAGTTCCTCTTCCATCATGCCTTATCTCAGCAAATGGATTGCCATCCATCCTATTGTGCAAGCTCAGAACCTACAAGTCACCCTGGATACTCCCTGTCCTTCAACCCCCCCTTTATATCTAATCTTCCACTAAGTCTAGTCCATTTTTCAAGTACAGCCTCTTAAGTCCACCTCCCCACCTCCTCCGTCCAAGTCGCCATCACTTTCAGGGATGGCTGTTCAGCAGTACCCAACTGGTATAGTCTCACTCACTCCAGTCTCCCTCCAATCCGGTCTCTGCACAGCAGGCCAAATGAACTTCTAAACCTGATCATAACAAAACCAGCTTCCCCTACCCCATACTCACTTACACCACTTCAATAGCTTTCCATGAAAACCGAAAACCAACCAAATGAGGGAAACTCTGTTTGAAAGGAAGTTAGGCCATTCAGTGATGGATAACAAAGAGTGATATGGCCCCAGAATAGACAAGGGGGGAAGAAAGTGATAGAGAAAAAGCTAAGCATGGCAGAGAGGAAATGGATTAAGTACCAAAAATTATGAACAGCCCACAGTGTATATTCCCAGCAACTTAGGAAATCAAGTACTAGTAGTAACTTGGTACTTAAATTACTTAAACTTATATGCATAAAATGACATATAACCTATGGTCAGCACGGTAAACCAAACAAGATGCTCCCTCTCCCCTAATTTTGGAAATTAAAACTACAAAAAAAAAAATTATTCAGGTTCTCAACATCCAAAATTATCTACTTTAAACATCTTGGCATATTATGCTTCTTTTTTAAAAAAAGAAATAGAGAATTTATGCAATGCAGAGTAGAAAGACAAATGTAAAAATAAATCAACTCAAATGCCAACACACAGAAATAATATCATTAACACTAAGCAAAAACCATTCTAGCCATCTTTCTATGAACAAGGATGGATGACAAGTAATCTTTATGAAAATGGGAACATGTTCCACATGCTATTTTCACTTCTGATATAATTTTTCTTGACTCTAACAAAATAAAATTAATGAAATTTCAGATTAAGAGATGGTGAAAATATTTAAAAAGCTGAAGCAATTTTTTTGAACAATGCTTTTGTTTTAGACAGAATCAGTTAAATCTACTATCAAAGATGTGGACACCAGCATGCTTATACCTTCTCTTACTTTTCCTCTCTCTGCCTCCAGACTTTGGCTCTGTTACACTATTTTTATAGTTTCTAGGTGTATAACTTTGACATTCTGTCCTGTCCCCATAATTCCCTTGCTTGGCATTAGTTATATCTACATTCAAATAGGTTCAGATGCTCACCCTGCCTCCCAAAGTTTTCTCCATCTCTGAATTTATTATTATTATTATTATTATTATTATTATTATTATTATTATTTATTTTATTTTATTTTTTTTGAGATGGAGTCTCACTCTGCTGCTCAGGCTGGAGTGCAATGGCCTGATCTCGGCTCACTGCAACCTCCGCCTCCTGCATTCAAGCAATTCTCCTGCCTCAGCCTCCTGAGTAGCTGGGATGACAGGCATGCGCCACCACGTCCACCTGATTTTTGTATTTTTAGTAGAGACGGGGTTTCACCAAGTTGGCTAGGATGGTTTCAAACTCCTGACCTTGTGATCTGCCTGCCTCGGCCTCCCAAAGTGCTGGGATTACAGGCATGAGCCACCGCGCCCCGCCATGATTTGGCTTTTAATTGAATAGACTTCAACACTCCCTCAAAAGTAGGGACCACAACTGACTTAGTCGCTGGTGTGTCCTTGGTGTCTGTGTGCAGCAGGTGCTCCAGAAACATTTGCAGAATGGCTGAATTTATAAATGCAGAACAGTGTCAAGATAGCTTATAACCTATCAAACCACTTATATCTATGACTCAGGATAATACAAAAATCTTGAATTCCTTGCATAAGAGCTGTAAGAAAATAATTCACTAGAAATCTTTATCACAATTTTATAAGCCTTTCTTGGTAAACTGCAAAGGTATAAGGATATATAAATGTTTACAGTAACATGCAAAATACATGTTTATTCACATAAATGAAAGAGAAACAGTATTCTAAAGATAACCAGGGTAAAAGTTCAATCTCAAATTCTAAGCTGCTATCGCACTGTGCTGGGAGCATACCTGCATGGTCAAGTACCTAGTTAATTATTAGTGATTGATTACCATTTATGAAACATCTGAAAACAGTCCCTTTCTTTCTTTGAGTACTCCTTACTCAAAACCGTAGGATTGTTTGGGAAGTGCTTTTTACCTTTTGGCAAACTTCTTTCGAGGTGAGATGTTCAGATTTGACATGTATACACAGTGCAAGGCACAGCTCCCTACGATGCAAGAATTACTGGCACCCAGATTTCAGAACAACACGCCTCACTTAATTTTCTATCTCCAGAAAGATATCTCACAGCAAACACAAAGACAGTAGATAAATTTTTAAAATTACTTAACATCCCTCAAAATTTGCACCTTAGAGATTAAAAGCAGGGGAAAAAAATGTCACCATGCTCTGATGGAATGAAACTGATTTTGAAGAGCTTACTTAATATTTACTGTCTGCTGCCCAGCAAGCAGTACTACATACAGTGAAGAAATGGTGAGGCTTGCCATATCCCAAAATTTGTATTTTAAATAGTAGAAAGCTAGCAGCTTTCTAGACACGGAAGTCTGCGACCATCAGAAAAATTTTGATTCGGCAATGTATCCTGAGGTATGTGGTTTTTAAGTCTTATCCACTCCCAAAAAGAAAGAAAAGAGGGGTGAAAAAGAATGAGAAGACCCATGCAAGTGATTTTTCAGATCCGTAATAATCAATCTGTCATGCTTGCAGGAATAAATAATATAAGGACTCAACTGGCCCCACACTCCTCTGATTCCCACAGAACTCTCCTTGGGCTGACTCCTGGCACTCGCAGCTTTTGACAATAACTCACTGCCAAGTTCCTCCTTGGGCCCACAGGACTTCAACTGGCTACCCTACCTTCTCAATTGCCAAATAATTTTCACAAAATTTATTGCTTCTGGCTAATGATATTCACAGTTGCTGTATTAAAGATGAATATGAATGACTTCTAAATAAAGGATTTCTCAAGTATCCAAATCCAGAGAAGCATTGCTTGCTTAGAACACAACAGCATCCAATTGTGACATTTTCCTTTGCTCTACATTAAGCAGTTTAAATATTCTAATACATAGGCTCTAATTTTTCCTTTGAATGTGGTTTATGCTCTCCCATCTCAAAACAAAAAAATGTCAAGCAGCCATGATCACACTTACGCCAAATTAATTTTTGGAGAAAAAAGAAATCACTGTTTGCACAGTAGAAGCACTACTAAGCCCTTATGGACCCCTGTCTGCTCTGAGAAATTCCTGAACATTCAAAACTTAAACCAAACTGGGGCCATATTCTGACAAACGAAAACAAACAAGCCAAAAAAAAAAAAGAAAAAAAAAAAAAGAAACCAAACACCCTGCCAGTTCAAATACCAGGATTCTGCAGTCCCTTGTGGAGGGCTAAGTCGTCCACCCAAAACCTAGTTCCTTTGGTAACTGTTTTCTATTATTGAGATTATCTTCAAGCAAAAGGCCATTGCTTTGGAGTAAGCAATGGGCTGAAACAAACATTTTATGGTGTGTAGCGTGTTTGTAAAGCCTAAAATGTCCTTTTTATCTGTTTCCCCAAAGAGTTTAATACAATACATAAATGAGATGAAGACATGTTTAACACAGAACTAATCCACACAATTTTAACTCCAAAATGGTCCTTACTGTTAAGCCTAGAAGAGCACATCAAATGGTAAGGCTTACACATTTAGCTCATGTAATAGGAGTTATAGTGTAGACCTTTCACTTTCACCTCCATTATATAATTTTATAAAAGCCATTTGAAAATCTGATGAAGCTTCCATTCATTAATTGGCAGATTTCAAGGTAGGTTCTTAATATTAGGGGTTTCTTGGTTGCCATTTCCATGCAAACATTTTGGTCCTTTTTGGTGGCCTTCAGAGGCAAGCTGCCACTGTTTGCTCGGCAACTGGAAGAAATCAGATAGGGTTTGGGGTTAATGCAGCAAAAGGAAACAGCTTCTATTTAAAGGTCTTTGGGGGAGAGTGAAGAGAGTCAAGGAAAAGCAACAGATTCTGCAGTTTACCATTTTTCAAATGTACTTCAAAACAGCTGTTATATTTCTTTCTTTTTAAATTCCCCTCAAGTAGTAATGAAAGAACAATATTAAGGATCTAAAATGAACAGAATAAAAACTAAACTTGCTTTATAGGAGCAGTTTTTTCAATAACTCTAGGAAAACTGTAGGAGTCACATAAGAAAAACTTTTAGCATAAACTAAAATTAAACCTAAGTTAGCTTCAGAGTGGTTAAAAAAATTAAACATTATTTGTGTTGAGAGGGATCTTATTCCAAGTGGAAGCGTAAGAAATGTGAGATTTTAGTGAAGAGTTCATTTCCCCGTTGAGCCACTGTTTCCAGAAGGCGTTAATTTTAAAAGAAAGATAGATTAACTATTTCTGCAAATAAACAGCCGAATCTCAATGCTAGCTCACTGAGGGCAGACATAGGAAGAATAGACTGGAAACTTTGTAACACTCTGGAAGGTTATAACTCCAGATATAACAGTGTTGCAAGTCAGCTTCCAAAACCAGCCATCCTCTATCTCTTGGTTGATACTGTAACAGTTACCCTTTCATTCAAGCACCGTCAATCACATTCCTTCTGATAGCGCAAGAGCTCTCAGAATCAAAGTTATCATCCATTCCTTAACCTATCTAGTTTCTCCCCTCAATATAGACACAAGGACTCTTCAATAAATAAATGTCTAAGGAATGCCAGCAAGACAGATTAGGGCCTGTGTGGGCACAAGTATGTTCCTGTCATTTTCTTCTACGACCTCAAGATCAGGAAACATACTTCCAAATGGAGTGATACCATAGCCTGTTGAATGTTGTTGTTCTCTACAAAAATGACTTACCATAAACAGATTTGGTCAGTGTCTGAGACACCGCTGTATGAAACTCCTGCCAGGAAGAGCCAATTAAAATAGCAAAAACATCTTATTGGTTGGTTATAGTACATTCCACAAAATATTTTTTTTCATCCCCTTCTCCCACTGTAGGCTCCTCAAAGCCCAGATTCAGCTGCAGAATCTTGGTTCACTTGTATTTTAAATTTTAGTCTGTAGGACAGCTTTGAATAACAGCCTGGAAACCCCATATGTTTAAAATGAGTGGGGGGGAATGTTAAGTCCTTATCATACCAAATTTGCTTTATTGAAGAGTTGCATAATGAAAATAATCCCAGAAGTCAGAAAAATTAATACAATGAAAAGGTACAGCCCTAACAGATGTTCCCCGTGCCAGCCTTTCCTCATCCCCCTCTCTCAACAGAAACAATTTAGTCAAGCAGCATTAGGTGCTTATGCTAATATTCAGAGAATGGTTCAGAGCCAAAGTGGGGGTTTTGCACAGTAAGTCAAAAGAGGCCATTCGGAAAATTGGACTGAAGTCTTCAGTCTAGAGCCAGGCAGAAATGAGTAGTGACAAGCTTGGTCAGTGACCAAAGAAAACCAATGTTTTCTGGTTATTGCAGCCGAGACATGGCAGCCTCAAGCATGGTGTAAAATCCAAACACTCCCTGAATAAAGAAAGATGAAATGTGAAGCCAGGTTAAAAGCACTACCCAAGAGATTTTCAAAATGCCTTAGGAAATCATTCAGCAAGAACCGCTAGAGGAATTCACCGGGTTAAAACTACCTCTCCAACCACAAAAAATCACTACTCAATTGGAAATTAAGGGGGGCGGAGGGGGGGGAAGATTCCCAGGTTCAATCACACATACACACACAAATCTCCATACTGGTTACAAATTTTAGCAATAAAAGTTTTTTTTTTAATTGGCTTTTTGACTTATAGAAAGCCACAAAGTGATTAGTTTATGGTCTAAAGCTTTGGCATTTAAGATTACAAGAATTCCATGGAGTCAAGCTCATTTAATATTCAAAGAGAAGTCAAAAAGCCAGCATCCAGTTTTCCAGTACTTCCCTTTAAAAAACCATTGAGGTATATTATTAAAAGTTTAAAAGTTAGGTTTTCCTATTAGCTCAACCAGGTTTAAAACTTAGATCCATGCTGGGTACAGTGGCTCATGCCTGTAATCCCAGAATTTTGGGAAGCCAAGGCAGGTGGATTGCTTAAGACCGGGAGTTTGAGACAAGCCTGGGAAACGTAGTGAAACCTCATCTCTTAAAAAAAAAAAATAGCTGGCCATGGTGGCAACCACCGGTAGTCTCAGCTACTGAGGAGGCTGAAGCACAAGGATCACTTGAGCCTGAGAGGTCGAGGCTGTGGTGTGCCATGATAATGCCACTGTACTCCAGCCTGCATGACAGAGTGAGACTGTCTCAAAACAAAACCTTAGATCTACCACAAACAATACTTACCTCTTAGAAACTTGATTTCCTTGCTTGTAAAATGGAGGAAAATCTTTACATGTTGAGGACTGAGATAAGGTGAGAAGGTCACTGTCCTTAGCGGATCACCAACGATATCTATTCCTTTGCCTCGCCTTCATCCTCTCCTCACCCTCAGACATCTCAGAGTCCCCATGTAACCTCCCTGCCTGCCCCCTTCCTATCTTCCTCCCAAGACTATGAGTTTGACTCTGCGGAGGAAAAAAATGATCTAATTAAACAGATTCCTACATCAATAAAGAAGGCACGTCTGGCTGGGCACGGTGGCTCACGCCTGTAATCCCAGCACTTTGGGAGGCCGAGGAGGGCGGATCACCTAAGGTCAGGAGTTCCAGACCAGCCTGGTCAACATGGTGAAACCCCATCTCTACTAAAAGTACAAAAAAATTAGCTGGACGTGGTGGCGGGCGCCTGTAACCCCAGCTACTTGGGAGGCTGAGGCAGGACAATCACTTGAGCCCAGGAGGCAGAGGTTGCAGTAAGCCGAGATCACGCCACTGCACTCCAGCCTGGGCAACAAGAGCGAAACTCCGTCTCAAACACACACACACACACACACACACACACACACACACACACACACACACAAACTTATTTGCAGGGGTTCAGGATGTGGCGAATTAACCAGAGAAGGGTAAAACATTATATATGAATAGCAAATGTTTAATAATTTACTATATAGGCAAATGTTTAATAATTTACTATATAACAGGTACTTTTAAATTACTCCCCCACCACCACCAAAAAAACTTAAGCCAATAGGAGAGGGGGAAAAAGAGCAAAGCACAATGAATAGCCAAATCCTATAAGAAAAAATACAAATGGCCAACTTTAGTTTACATCTTGAGGTTTTTCTTCTGGAAACATTCCTTCTTCCTTGAGCTCCATTTCATCCCCTGGAAGGAGAATCCTTGAGATGCCTCCCATTCAACGAGATTTTGGCTTAAACATCACGTCCTTACAGAAGCCCCATCTCTTACAGGTTGGGTTAGGGATCACCAATATTTGTTTGCATGTCAAGCATACTTCAACTGATAGCACCTATCAATTGTTTAATTGACTCCTCCACTAGACTGTAAACACAGTGAGAGAAGTATAATATAATTCAGTCTTGTTTGATATTATGTCCCACACATCTATAAAAGGATATGGCACCTAGTAGATACTTGACAAATTCATTCAACAAATATGAAGCACTCCCTATATTTCAGGTACTATTAATGAAAGTGGAAAAAAAACAGAAGTCATCAGTAATAAAAATGGATTAAATTGAAACAATGATGACATATCATTGTTTAGCTTAACAGGCAATTTATTTTTAAAGATAACACATGGTGTCTGGGAAGATAAAATGAAAGCTGACCCTCATACACTGCTGGTGGAAGTGTGCTTGGCTGAAATGAAATTTAGTAACTATTCTGAGGGTAATGTGATGATATGGATCAAGAGCCTTAAAAAGGTTCATACTATGTAGCCCAGTAATCTCACCCCTAGGAATTTACCTGAAGTAATTATCTATAAAGAAAAACCTGATAAACGAGGTTATTCATCATAGTATTCCTCGCATTAGTGAAAAACAGAAAAATGACAGTGGCTAAAAATAAAATGGTAAAAGATATTCTACAAAATGGAATATTAAACACATTTTCAAAATATATGTAATGTGGGAAATGATCGCAATATACTCTGAAATTGCAATAACATACAATTTAATATTTTAACCATTTTTAAGCACACAGTTCTTTTTTTTTTTTGGGCAGTGGGGGGAGTTTCACTCTTGTTGCCCAGGCTGGAGTGTACTCAGTTCTACAGCATTAGCTACGCTCACACCATTCTGCAATCATCATCATCATCCATCCGCAGAATGTTTTCTTCCCAAACTGGAACTACCATTAAAAACTAACTTCCCACTATGTGTAGAGGCTCTCACCTGTAATCCCAGCACTTTGAGAGGCCAAGGTGGGAGGAATGCTTGAGGCCAGGAGTTTGAGACCAGCCTGGGCAACATAGTCACACCTCGTCTCCACTAAAAAAAAAATCAAAAAAATTAGCCAGGCATGGTGGTGCATGTGTTGCAGTCTCAGCTATTACGGAGGCTGAGACGGGAGGATGGCTTGAGCCAGGAGATGGAGGATGTCATGAGCTATGATCACACCATTGCAGTCCAGCCTGGGTGACAGAGTGAGACCCTGCCTCAAAAAAATAAAATGAAAATAAAAACGAACTTCCCATTTCCCCCTACCCCTAGCCCACTACCATTCTACTTTCTGTCTCCATGAGTTTGAGAAGTTATACATGAAATGTATAACTCATGTAAGTGAAACTATACATTTGTCCTTTTGTTATTGGCTCATTTCACTTGGCATAATGTCTTTGAAGTTCATCCATATTGCAGCATGTATCAGAATTCCCTTCCTGTTTAAGGCTCAATAATATTCCACTCTATGTGTTCCCATACTTTGTTTATCCATTCATCCACTGACAAACACAGGGTTGCTTCTACCATTCAGCTATTATGAATACTGCTATGAACATGGGTGTACAAATGTCTGTCAAGTCTCTGCTCTCAATTCTTATGGGCAGATACCCAGAAGTGGAATTGCTGGGACACATAGGAATTCTATGTTTAATGTTTTGAGAAGCCTTCATACCATTTTCTACAGCAGCTGCACTATTTTACATTTCCACCAGCAATGCACAAGAGTTCTAATGTATCCTCATTCTCAACACTTGTTTCTATTCTCTTAACGGCCATCCAATGGGTGTGAAACAGTATCTCATTGTGGTCTTGATTTGCACTTCCCTAACGTGGAGCATCTCCTCACGTGCTTATTGGCCATTTGTATGTCTTCTTTAGAGAAATGTCTGTTCAAGTCCTTTGCCCATTTTTAAATTGAGTTATCACAATATATTCTTAACAAAAGACCTAAAAATGTATTTTTGTAACATGAGGAAAAAAAAATAAGCACACACACACTTAAAAAGACAGAAGAGTATAACAAAAGATTAACAGAGATGACTTGATCATGTGTAACTTCATTTCTTTTTTATACTATATTACAGTTTTTTTGGTGTTTTGTTTTGTTTTGTTTTTTGACCTAGTTTCACTCTGTTGCCCAGGCTGTAGTGCAGTGGCACAATCTCAGCTCACTGTAACCTCCAACTCCCGGGTTCAAGCGATTCTCCTGCCTCAGCCTCCCAAGTAGCTGGGACTACAGGCTGAGCCACCACGCCTGGCTAATTTTTGTATATTTAGTAGAGATGGGGTTTCACCATGCTGGCCAGGCCAGTCTTGAACTCCTGATCTCAGGTGATCCACCCACCTCGGCCTCCCAAAGTGCTGGGATTACAGGCATGAGCCACTGTGCCCGGCCTCTTTTTTACACTTTATTTGCACTTTTTTACACTTTATATTAGGTGTTCTAAAAAGAACACAAGACTAGTATAATCAGAGGGTAAGGGGACAGTGAAACACATTTTTTTAAAAAGTATAACCCCCAGGTTTCAATGAAGAGCATCATCCTAAAGACTCTCCGAAGTTACCCTCCAGTAGGAAGAAAGACTAGACCTACTTCTACTTGTCCTGTCTGTCAGGGCTCGGAACAGATGGACCCAAGGAGTCAGGCACTGGTTCCTGGGGGAGGCTGACAACAGAACTGCAAAGGCCAGGACTTAATCCCCTTCAGTCTCACTCCCTCCCATTTACGTAGCCCAGACCCCTTCACAAGCACAGGGCATGGGGAATAAGAGGTTCTCTCCCCTGACAGAACTTGAAAACTAGTTAAAATGAAGTGAACCTTTACCAACAACTGATAAAGAATGTAATTATATAAAAGGCAACTGAGTGAGCATACAAACATGTGCTTCAAATCACGTTAATGCAGATGCCCCTAATAAAGTCCCATTATTCAAATTAGACCACTTTATCCTTGAACTATTTATCAGAAAACAGCTTGATCATTCATGCTATAACAAGAATATGAGTTAAAGATTGAGTTCTTTCATTAATATAAAATTTGCACCATTTAGAGGGATCTGTTTTCCTTAAAAATTATGCTTATTTGCTATAGTTTGTTAGATTTTCTAATAGGTAAACCCAGTCTCTGCTTCATATACTATTTTTAAATTATTTGTAATGTAGATGTCATTGATGTAGTAGACTGCATGCCTTCATGTCAGTTTCTCTGGGAAAGCTATTTCCATGTATGGCAGATGAAACAGAGGTAACTGGTCAAATGGTTGTAAAGGAAAATTTGAAGTTTTAATTTTATTTAAACAAAGAACACTTAAGCGTCCTATAAAATAGCCAGATTCTTAAATCACAAACAAATCCCTTAAAAATATCAGGAACCGGCCAGGCACGTTGGCTTACGCCTGTAATCCCAGCACTTCGGGAGGCCAAGGCGGGTGGATCACAAGGTCAGGAGATTGAGACCATCCTGGCTAACATGGTGAAACCCCGTCTCTACTAAAAATACAAAAAATTAGCCAGGCGTGGTGGCGGGCACCTGTAGTCCCAGCTACTCAGGAGGCTGAGGCAGGAGAATGGCGTGAACCTGGGAGGTGGAGCTTGCAGTGAGCCGAGATCATGCCACTGCACTCCAGCCTGGGTGACAGAGCGAGACTCCATCTCAAAAAAAAAAAAAATTAAAAACAAAATAATCAGGAACCTATTTTAGACTTCATAGAAAATGGTAGAATGGACCTAATGTGGATGATGGTCAACAGAGTCTTTAGATGCTAACGTGCCCCTCCCTCTGCAGCTTCTCCACATCTCACACTATACTCCATAGCAGAGGCTTTGAAAATACTTTCAGTCAGGTGCAATGGCTCACACCTGTAACCCTAGCACTTTGGGAGGCTGACGCAGGGGGATCACCTGACGTCAGGAGTTCAAGACCACCCTGGCCAACATGGGGAAACCCTGTCTCTACTAAAAATACAAAAATTAGCTGGCCATGGTGGTACATGCCTGTAATCTCAGCTACTTGGGAGGCTGAGGCAGGAGAATCACTGGAACCCAGGAGGCAGAGGTTGCAGTGAGCTGAGATCGTGCCACTGCACTCCAGCCTGGGCAACAGAGTAAGACTCTGTTTAAAAAAAAAAAAAAAAAGAAGGAAGGAAGGAAGGAAGGAAGAAAGAAGGAAAGAAAGAAAAAATATTTTATCAAATAAGATGCCCTAGGTATCACCAGAATTCCCATGGTCTATTCCAAGAGGTATTACTTTTATACATCCTATTATGAATGGGGTAAAAGTTGTTTTCTTTTGCCTTAATATATTCTAAAAAAAAAAAATTGGTTTGCTACCATTGGATTCAAAAGGAAAATACTGATCAAATCTTCAACAGCAAACGAAAAAATAAACTGTAAAAAAAAGTGGTTTAACAAGAAAGAGACAATGCGTAGTTTATATTGTCTTGGAGAAAGTTTCCATCAAGGAAAAGTCTACAGCAATGCATTTACCAACCAAGAGGTTATGCTAGCAACACAGCTGTCAGAAATTTCCTTCCCAGAAACAAAGATAATACAGATGGGGCAGAGACCAGAACACTCGTAAGACTTTCTCATTCTTATGTCTGTATGTTCCAACCCTTCTCTCGGTCGCTCCACTTCCCCTGTCCCCACCTCTTAAGATAATTAAGTTGTGTGGTTTTCTCTGCCCAATGACTTTGAGTGGAAGTGTTTTTGAGCTGAAGCAATGAAAAGCCCATGAGAGATCCTCCAGTCCCTCCTCCCCAGCTCCTGAAAGATCCGGCCTTAGGTTCTAGGTACTGAGATCCTACAAGTCTGTGCAGAGGAGAGTCCCGGTACCGACTCACAATGAATATGAACAGCAAGGGAGAAGTGGACCTCTGTAGTGTTAAGCCACTGAGATCTGCAGATTAATGTGTTGCTACAGCATAGAACTTTGCTGATCACAACTAACACAACAAAAGTATAAAGATACTAAATACCTAAAGTAGCATTAACCAAATGGGAGAGCATAGTAGCCACATCAGAGTCTTCAGAAGATAAAGAGATGAGAGGTACAAAGGGGTTCTGTTTATACTTAAACACAGAAGAGAAAAACAGACGAAGGGAGAGGTTGATGGGACAGGAAGCACGAGATACAGTCTTTCAACCCAAACCACTGAGATGAGGCCATCAGAGGACACAGCTAAGACAGCCACATCCCCAAGCTCCCTTCCCCTGATAACATGAGTCCAAGGAGCAGGGAGATAAGATTCCAAATTATTCCTTCTGACATCCCATCTCTGCACATCATCCCAAAAGCACTAAATAAAACATCTTCAGGGCTATCAGCATCATCTTAGACACAACCCCTTGTTAATTTATGGAGTTGCTCCAGAGATTAAAAGTATAGAACAATTACTAATACAGATGAAAGTCTTACTAAAAGAGGAAAGAAGTAAATAATATATCCAAGAGCAGAATCAGTGAATGTACTAGCAGGCATGTGCTTTATTCATCCCTACTGGGATCCCTGCAGGGCCAGAACCCATAAATCTCATTACTATCAGCTTCACTCGCACTCGCAGACAAGTCCAAAATTGTTTTTCCTGTTGCTATTTTAAAGTCCATCTTAACTAATTTATAAAATTTTGTAATCTAGTTATTGTCAGTGTACACAATCTTCCAAATACCTTTTTCCTACAGTCATCCTGAGACCCTCTTAACAAAATATTTGAAAATGGAGTTGAGTCTAATGGAATATTTTAGCTTAATAAAATCTCTCTCAAGCAGCAACAAATGCTTGCCTACTGATCCGCTTTATCTCTTCTGACAGGATGAATAGACATTACAGCTGTACGATTCTAAAAAATAATAAATCCTTTTACAGATATAGATAAATATCCTGGATAAGTAAATAAAGGAAAGGGGGCAACAGTTGGGTTTGGTACCTCCCTGAGTCACATATCAATATTATCTCCAGGGGCCAGGTGCGATGGCTCACGCCTGTAATCCCAGCACTTTGGGAGGCAGAGGCAGGGGGATCACCTGAGGTCAGGAGCTCGAGACCAACCTAGCCGAGATGGCGAAACCCCATCTCTACTAAAACTACAAAAAATTAACTGGGTGTGGTGGCGGGCACCTGTAATCCCAGCTAGTTGGGAGGCTAAGGCAGGAGAATCTCTTGAATGCAGGAAGTGGAGGTTGCAGTGAGCCGAGATCGTGCCACTGTACTCCAGCCTGGGAAACAAGAGTGAAACTCTGTTTAAAAAAAAAAAAAAAAAAATCCAGGAAAATAGTTTATCTTCCCAGTTGTTTCCATCTGTTATTAGTACCCAACAGACCAGCAGAGGGAATGGGTTGAGTAAGACCAGCTCAGTGAGGACTAGGTATTGAATGGATGAAAATAAAAGGAAGAACAAAGAAAACCCAATTTTATCAGTTTCTTTCTAAAGAGAGAGAACACGATTCACACCATTTTCATCCCGGCTGGTTGAAAAAAGATCGACATTTCGATCAAAGACAATGTATGGAAAAATAGAACTATCCAGATAAATGACGGGGTGTGTTTGACTGAACAATCCTTGGTAACTCTCCAGGGAATTACTGCTCAGATGGCTGCAGAGGTATTTCCTTTACTCTGCCCATTACGATGAAGCTCCAACCTCCACAGGCCATCAGAGCAGCTCCTGTCTTGAAACCTTGTCCTACCTATGGCAGTAGGGACCTCCTGCTTAAAATTCTCTCTTCTCTTGGCTTTCCTAACACCACAGCTCCTGGTTTTGTTCCTGCCTCTCTGGGCAAACCCTGCCCTCTCTTGTTCATTCCCATCTCCGTAGATGACTAAACTATACTGATTCCATCAGCCCTCTCATCTTTTCTCTCTGTGCCTTCTTCCAGGCACTCAAATCCTTGCCATTCATTCAACTTAACTTGTAAGCAGATGACTCTCCAGTCCTGGCTGCCTCTCTCAGCTCCAGCACCTAAATCCAGCTGCCTTCCCGGCATCACCCTCTGCCCCAGTCCCTGTACCATACACTTGGAGACCTCTAAGGCACTTCTCATTCAGCAAGTTTAAAACCACATGGTCTTCCCCGAAACCTGGTCTTCCTCTAGCATGCTACGTAATAGTGAATGGCACCACAGTCCTCTGACCTTTGATACCCTCCTCTCCCTTCTACCTCCAAATCATGTCCAGCTGATCTCTCCTCCTAAAAAGGATCCTGGATTTGCAAACGTTTGTCCTCCACCACATCTCTGGTTTCTGGAACCAAGTCTCTCACCAGAATGAGGAAAGACCTCCCAACAGGCTGCCCCATCCATTCTTGCCCACTTCTAGTTAGTTCTTCACATAACAGTAGGCATGATCCTCCTACACAAGGAGACACTAATCAGGCCACCTCCTTGCTTAAAGCCCTTTGAAAGACTGCCATGGTTCTTGGGCTAAAGCACTGAATTTTTAACACGGATTAAATGGACTAAGACCTGCAAGGTGGCTCCTGCCTACCTCTCCAGCCTCTTCTCACCATAATAATCCTCATTCAAAACACTCCAGCAAATGAGATCTGCCTTCAGTTTTCGTTTGTTTGTTTTGAGACGGAGTCCGGCTCTGTCACCCAGGCTAGAGTGCAGTGGCACCATCTCAGCTCATTGCAACCTCCGCCTCCCAGATTCAAAAGATTCTCCTGCCTCATCCTGCCAAGTAGCTGGGATTACAGGCACGTGCCACCATGCCTGGCTAATTTTCGTATTTTTAGTAGAGACAGGGTTTCCCCATGTTGGCCAGGCTGGTCTCAAACTCCTGACCTCAAGTGATCTGCCCATTTCAGCCTCCCAAAGTGCTGGGATTACAGGCATGAGCCACCGCACCCAGCCTCTGCCTTCAGTTTCTAGAACACACAATGTTCCCCTTTTAGGGCCTTTGCAGTTGCTGGCTGCTTTACCTAGAAGGGTTTTCCTTTCATTTTCAATCAGTTAACTCCTTTCCTCCTTTAGAGTTCATTCAAATATTATTTCCAGCTGGGTATGGTGGCTCATGCCTGTAATCCCAACACTTTGGGAGGCCAAGGTAGGAGGATCATAGCTTGAGGCCAGGAGTTCAAGACCGGCCAGGAGTTCAAGACCGACCTGGACAACATAGCGAGACCCCGTCTCTATCAAAACAAAAAAAATTGTCTTTTAATAGCCAGGCATAGGGGCATGCATCTGTTAACACCCAGCTACTCTGGAGGCTGAGGCAGGAGGACCGAGCCCAGGAGATTGAGATTGCAGTGAGCTACAATCACCACTGACTCTTACCTGGGCAACAGAGGGAAAAATGTTATCTTCTCAGGAGAGACGTTCCTGATCCTTCAGACTAAGTTAGGTCCCCTGTTACACACTGCCAAAATCCCGTAGTGCTTTCCTTGGTAACTCCATATGCAGTCTTTTGTTACTTGTCCACATGATTTTCAGATTAGTGGCTGGGTCCATCACTAGAGGGATTCCAGCAGAGGTAGTCTCAGCTTTGCTCACTTGTATCTCCAGCATCAGGCACCGTGGCTGGCAGATATGACGATGAATGCTTAGGGAAAAAAAATCTGTTGAATAGTCACCTAAAATTTCAGACCTCATTCTGTGAAATAATTCTCCTCTAAACTTGTCATATTAATACTCAAATAAAAGCTATCTGATGACTACAAATTTCAAAAAGATGAGAAATAGAGATGAGAGCAGAAAAGATGAATTGAAATAAAAAAATGTAAGTCATGTGGACGAAGGAGACACAGGACATGAAGTTTACAGAGTTGATGTCAGATAGCTGGCGGTTACGGGAGCACATGACGATAGAAACATCCAGAAATTTTATTTTATTTTTGAGACAGTCTCACTGTGTCGCCCAGGCTGGAGTACAGGGGCGCGATCTCGGCTCACTGCAACCTCCACCTCCCGGGTTCCAGTGATTCTCGTGCCTCAGTCTCCCCAGTAGCTTGAATTACAGGCACACACCACCACACCCAGCAATTTTTTTTTTTTTTTTTTTTTGAGACAGAGTTTCACTCTGTCATCCAGGCTGGAGTGCAGTGGCTCGATCTCACCTCACTGCAAGCTCCGCCTCCTGGGTTCACGCCATTCTCCTGCCTCAGCCTCCCAAGTAGCTGGGACTACAGGCGCCCACCACCACACTCAGCTAATTTTTTGTATTTTTTAGTAGAGACGGGGTTTCACCATGTTAGCCAGGATGGTCTCTCCTGACCTCATGATCTGCCCGCCTCTGCCTCCCAAAGTGCTGAGATTACAGGCGTGAGCCACCACGCCTGGCCTATTATTTAATTATTATTAAGAGACAGGGTATCACTTGGTCACTCAGGCTGGAGTGCAGTGGTATGATCATAGCTCACTATAGCCTTCAACTCCAGGGCTCAAGTGATTCCCCCCATCTTGGCCTCCTGAGTAGCTGGAACTATAGGTGTCTGCCACCATGCCTGGTGATTTTTACATGAATCCATTATTAAAAGTAAAACAAAGGTACTGTTTGATGTCACTTTCAGCAAATCTCCCCTGGATCAAACTTTAGATTATCAAGAATTTTCAAATACTGATGAATAAGAGGCATATCTAAGTAAATTCCAAAATATGAATTGGATGGACACATCAGATACAGAAGTCACATACTGCCAATGCCAAGAAAAGCTGAGTCTGTACCCAGACTACACCCCACTCTGGCTATGTTCAACATAATTGATCTTGACAGCTCAAAAGGATGAACAGACTAGGCATGAGGCAGGCACACAATTACTGAGTTGTCTGCGCTCCTAGCAGCTCTCATCCCCAGGTAGGGATACAAAAAAGAGGATGCTCCTCAAAAGTAAAGTGTTAGAGTTGAATTAACCTTTGATTATACGTAAACCCATTTTCATGCATCTTTGAAACCTTCTCAATCTTATAAATTTGCCAGGCTCAGCCACACTTGTTTTATATCATCACATACCACCAGGATATAAGACAGGAAATTAAAGAGCATGCTCTTACAGACAGATTTTTACAATTTATTACGGGTGAGTGAGGGCAGAGGGCAGGGAAGACAACATTTGCTTTTAAAGATATGCAAACCCACGGAGAAATTACCTTTCAAAAACCTTTTTTTATGAAATGTCACAAAAATCCATGTCATGAGAAAAAACAAAATGAACGAGTATGAAGCTCTACATTCAAACACTAACCCAGTCACGTAGTGTGATTTGAGCAACACTTAAATCTGAGTTACATCCAGAAAATAATCTGTCCTCATTTAGTGAAGATTAAATGAGAAAAGATATCTACATAAAGTGCCTAACAGTGGGCCATACACAAAGGGGGTTCTCAACAAATGGTAGGTCCTCCGGTTATTCCTAGTAACTAGTACGGTACCTGCTAAATAATTTTTAGGTGTGTGAATGGATGGTAGCCACTCATAGATGGAGGTCTTAGGGCCTTCACATCAACCCTAAAACCTAAAACTTTACACAAAAGTCCAGTTTTAAAAGGGGGAAAGGTGGAGAGGGATGGGAGACAGGAAAGGAAATCATTTTAAAGGTCAAATTTTCAAAAATAGGAGTTGTGCATGCAAAAGCTTGCAGTCCTATAAACTCAAAGTAATCCTAGGGCTCTCTAGGTAGCTCAAAGGATTCGGAGTAAGCTTTCAATAAATCACAACCACCCGCCCCTTAGGGCTTTTTCTCTCTTCTCTACACCCTGTTCTCAAAGGGTTTTTAGGAACATTAGCCTCCTGACTTGCTGTTTCCAACATGACTTTCTCTCCTGTGGATTTATGAATAGGACACTCTACCCCTACTATCATCAAGCATTGCTGGGGTGAGGATCCCACTATTTCACCCTTAATTATGGTTCCTATAAGGTCAAACACAAGTCTACTCCTAGTATTTTGTTATTTCCTGTCCAGATTTTTTTTTAAAGTGGGGCGGGAGGCAACAGAGTGACTACTTGGGTCACAGAGCTCTGTAAAAGACCATGAAAGCAATACGTGACTCAAATACCAAATTTCAACTGCAAAGAGTTCCCATAAATTGAATGTAATAAACATCGGCTTGGGCCCAACAAAAATTAGAAAAATTTAACATTTTACATGCTGCTAATAAAGAAAAATAACATCAAGGGATAAAAAGGATTGTTGGCTTCCCCCACTCCCCAACCCATTCTAAACCAACTCAATTCTGGCCTAAGGCCAATCCACAATGACCAATGGTTTGCTTTGGATGAAATGTTCAATATTTCAATGGATAACATTTTTAGGAAAAATTTTTACTGGCATAGTTGTTTTTCTGAGATGCTGCACTTCCAGGGAAGAATTAAAAGAAGTGGGGGAAATATGTTATAGAAACACTGACTAGCAGGGTAATTTAGAGCTTCCAAGGATTTTTCTTTATTCACAGAGGAGATCTGTAGCTAGGAAGGGACTTGGAAAGGATGTAGCCTAGGAATGGCAAATTGTTGTCTCCCATGTCAGTTCCAATCAACCAATATGTAATGGCCACTGGAGCCCTAAATTTGAGAAGAATTCTGAAGCTGAATGAAGACCGTGACTAATGAGTGTTATCTGCCATAGTATCTGGCAAGAATGTCATATGTTTGCTATCCCTACTAGAGTCTAATTCCCTCATTTACACAGATGAGGACAAAGGCCTAAACTGGAGACAAATCAAGATTACCTAATTTCCAGTCTACTGCTTTTTTTATCACATTGGAAAGTCTCTCAAATTTTTTTTATATATTAACTTATAAATGTTGACTTTTTTTGTTAAGACAGAGTCCCACTCTGTTGCCCAGGCGAGAGTGCAGTGGCACAATCCCAGCTCACTGCAACCTCTGCCTCCCAGGTTCAAGCAATTCTCTTGCCTCAGCTTCCCAAATAGCTGGGATTACAGGCACACACCACCATGCCCAGCTTTTTTTTTTTTTTTTTTTGTATTTTTAGTAGAGACAGGGTTTCACCATGTTGGCCAGGTTGGCCTCGAACTCCTGACCTCAGATGATCTGCCTGCCTCAGCCTCCCAAAGTGCTGGGATTACAGGCGTGAGCCACTGATGCCTGCCTATATTTCTTCATAAAAGCACCCTTAGTATTTTGTGTATCTAAGTCATATTTATCTAGTTATATTTTAAACTCCCTGATAAGAGTAAAGAGGCTAATTTTTATGAAAACTCTTTCTCCATATCAATGTTTATGTGAAGTTCTATACACAGCAGGTCCAAGTGTTATTGACCATCTGCTTCTTCAAACAGGAACACACCCAATTCACCTCCTGCTTTCTTTGCCACCAGATGTTCCAGTGCACAAAAATAACTAAAACCCAATTTTAATCTTGTGTTGGAAATTAAAAGACCAGGAAAAAAAAAAGATGGTATGTACAGTCATGTGGGTGAAGTTTAGACAAGTAAATGGCTATAACGATTTGATTAGCAATTTTTTTTTGAGTCAGAATCTTGCTGTGTTGCCCAGGCTGGAGTGCAGTGGTGTGATCTCAGCTCACTGCAACCTCCACCTACCTACCAGATTCAAGCCATTCTGTCTCAGCCTCCACAGTAGCTGGGATTACAGGAATGTGCCACCACACCCAGCTAATTTTTGAATTTAGGGTAGAGATGGGGTTTCACCATGTTGGCCAGGCTGGTCTCGAACTCCTGGCCTCAGGTGATCCACCCGCCTCGGACTCCCAAAGTGCTGGGATTACAGGCATGAGCCACCGTGCCCATCTGATTAGCAATTCTTTCTACCACTCCAGCAGACATACCCATACACACTTCTTGCCCACAGAAGCAGTTGATAAAAACTCAATCTGCATAGAGGTCCAATGAACATATTAAATACATTTAGAGAAACCTCTGACAATCTGATTTTCCACAAGTAGCACTCAGTAGATGTCTCAGTGTTGCATTTTAGATACAGCAAAATTTAACATAAACCATTTTATCATACTAACTGCTCTCAATTTTGGACACCTTGATAGAAAACATTCCATTGGTGTTCTTTCCACAATAACAGACCCATAATTAACAAGCATGTGAAGTTATAAAGGCATCTTAAAAACTAAATAACCCAGATCAACCTGAGTCTGATCATTTGAACCTCTGGATCAAGCTGCCAATTTGCAGAAAATACAAAGGAATGTGGTAACGTGCACTGGGAGCATGCAATTAGCAAAATTCTGATTGTGGAAAACTCCACAGGTCAAAAGAAGTCAGGTACTCCCCCAGATAAATTATAAGGAAAAGGAGGAGATGGAGGAGGAAGTGATCATTTAAAAAAGATTTAAGGACATTTGCAATTATTTTGAAATATGCAAGATCAAACTATAGTGCCTAAGGATAAGTTTTATCACTTGGGTGATAAAACTAAAAAGCATGAGGAAGCCATGAATCTAAAAGTCATAATAGTGATTACTTTGGTGGGAGGGATGAGGCACATGGAGGACTGGTCAAGTTTTACTACTTAGCCTTGGGCAGTGGTTACAGGAATGTTGACATATAATTCATTAAACTATGCATTTGTTTTGCATGGTTTTCTGTATGTGTTTTATTTTACAATGAAATTCAGGTTTAAAAAATATGATCCAATGTTACTCCCTAAGAATACTCCAAAGCTAGCCAGGTGCAGTGGCTCATGCCTATAATCCCACTACTGTGGGATGCCGAGACAGGATTGCTTGAGGTCAGGAGCTGGAGGCCAACCTGGACAACATAGCAAGACCCCATCTCTACAAAAAAAAAAAAAAACAATTAAAAATTAGCTGGGCACGGTGAGAGCTGCCTGTGGTCCTAGCTACTTGGGTGGCTAAGGTGGGAGGGTTTCTTGAGGCTAGGAGTTGGAGGCTGCAGTGAGCTAGGATTGTACCACTGCACTCTAGCCTGGATGACAGAGGGAGACTCCATCTCTTTAAAAAATTTAAAGAATTTTATTTTCTTAAAAATAGTCTAAATTTGAATCTTCCAATACAGTAGCCATTAGCTACATGTAGCCATTTAACTTTAATGAATTAAATTAAAAATTCATTCTACATTTTAAGTGCTTAATAGCCAGATGGTGCAAGTGGCTACCATACTAAACAGTGCAGATTAGGGAACACTCCATGATCACACAAAATTCTACAGGACAGTGTTAGTCTACAGGAAGATGCTTTTCCAGATCTCTGAGGCTCCATGAATTCCTATTTCATCTCTCCTAAGAGACCAGGCAATGACATAAGATCTTTGGCCTTCCATTTCTATTAACTATGCTTGTAAATGAGATTACTGCCAATGAGAACCAATATAAATGCACTCAGCAACCACCCTGACAAGGCTGACCTCACCCAGAGTGACATTACTCCAAAGCAACTAAAAGTTTAAAAAGTTTGGAGCAAAGAAACCTATTTCTTCTAAAGATTTCAGAAGGGTAATGATGAGAAAGAACTCCAGTTGTTAGAGCCAAGGATGGTTTGATCACTTCAGGATGTGGATAGCATGAGTCTGAGTTCATGGAACAAATACAAGTCCCCTCAGCCCTTCATTCTGGGAACTATCAAAGATTTTTTTAAGACAAGTTAGCTAACACCCTGTAATCCCAGCACTTTGGGAGGCTGAGGCGGGTGGATCACCCGAGGTCAGGAGTTCGAGATCAGCCTGGCCAAGATGGCAAAACCCTGTCTCTACTAAAAATACAAAAATTAGCCAAGTGCAGTGGTGCATGCCTGTAATCCCAGCTACTTGGGAGGCTGACGCAGGAGAATCGCTTGAACCCAGGAGGCAGAGGTTGTAGTGAGCAGAGATCATGCCATTGCACTCCAGCATAGACGACAGAGCAAGGCTGTCTAAAAAAAATTTTTAAAAAGTGAGCTAAATTATTTGAAAAGGGAGGCCATTATTCAAAAAAGACAATAACATCCATATAGCAGGCACAAAGGAACAATAAAGAAGGCGACATGGAAACTGTCCTTGGCACTTGAGTTCTATCAAAATTTTTCAAAATTATTCATACATATCAAATCAGCTGTGGTCATTTCTGTCCATCCTCCGAGTATCTTCAGACCAACTGTCTTCAGTTTCTCATTCTGAATATGGTTCAAAGACTCAGGGCAATAAAGAATGTCCAAGAGACTCCCCCAGGGAAATTTACCAAGGAGAAAAAAAGTAACCATTGTTTCAGACTAATTTTTAAAGCAACTCAGAAACCTAGCATAGGAAGGAAAATTTTCCATGGAATATTTATAAGACTTTTAGGTTGTGCTTGGATTTAGCTAGAAAATAAACATTGAAAAAAGCATACATAAATGTCCATTGTTATTTTGTATATTTTGTGTGTTTATTTTCTGTATCTTTATTTCCAAGGTCAGAACCTCAAATCAACAACACTGAAACTATCAAAAATAAAGCTTTGACTTCTGTATTTGGCTTGTACCACTCAGAAATAATTTCAATTTTAAGGATAGAGTTACATAAACTACAGAATGCAAAACTACCAAATAATAAGCTCCATGACTACATTTAGTCAAGCTTTAAATCTTGTTTAGGGAGCTACTAAAAATATGTACATTTGTAGATTAACTAATGAGTAATTTATTTGTATGTGTGTATTTTAGGTAATATATAAAAAGGCAAAATCAGCTCTGGTATGAAAACAATGTAAGATTTTTGCAGACTAAGTAACACCAGAACTGTATAGCCTGTTGCCAGAGAATCACAGAGTTAAAATTAGAGAGAAAAAATATACAATTTCGTGAACGGTCATCTTCCTTGCCCATGAATTCTCATCCAATACAAATCAAAAGTCTGAAGCATTTTTAATATTCTTTAATACGAGTTCTTTATGTTGTTACTAGACTGTTCACCTATAAATTATGAAAGCTAAATATACAATCCTTATTTACCTGGTAAAACTCCTAGAGTTTAGATGCATATTTGACTCTAAAAGGCACTGCCGTTTTTCAAAGAAAATAAAAGGAATCTCACGTCTGCTTTGTTTGCAGATTCCCTCATGCTTTCTTTTTTTAAAAAAAAAAAATAGAGTATTGGATGGGCACTTGTACTCACTGGGAATGGCATTTGAGAGTCAAGACTACAGAGTACAAGTACAAAGGTTCATAGCACAGGGTCATCCTATAGGAGGTAGGGGCTGGAGACTTAAGTGGCCACTCTCTGGGGGTTTGGTTTACAGCAAGTCACTTAACTCTTATAGCCAGTTCTACAGGTATAAATTCAAGAACCTGGGCTAGACAGCCTCTACGGTCCTTTCTTACTCTAAAATTCTAACAACAGGGCTTTTCCTGACCCTATGACAACAGGATTCACCAAGAAGGTCAACAAAGGTCAGTATTTAAATGTATATGAATTAAGAGGCAGGTGGAGTGGCTCACACCTGTAATCCCACCACTTTGGGAGGCTGAAGTGTGGCAGATCACTTGAGGTCAGGTGTTCAAGACCAGCCTGGCCAACATGGCGAAACCCTGTCTCTACTAAAAATACAAAAAAATTAGTCAGGTGTGGTGGCAGGCGCCTGTAATCCCAGCTACTTAGGAGGCTGAGGCAGGAGAATCCCTTGAACCCAGTAGGCGGAGGTTACAGTGAGCCAAGATCACACCACTGTACCCCACCTTGAGCGACAGAGCAAGACTCTGTCTCAAATAAAAAATTAAAAAAAAAAAAGAAGTATATGAATTCAGGTTATTGCATGACTACCACCTATGAATATATAATTTTAGTAATATTAAAACCCAATGTCATGTAAGAGATACCCAGTTACTTCTTAGTGACAAAAAGTTTTGCTCATCTGA
This sequence comes from Homo sapiens, assembly GCF_000001405.40. Classification (NCBI taxonomy): domain Eukaryota; kingdom Metazoa; phylum Chordata; class Mammalia; order Primates; family Hominidae; genus Homo; species Homo sapiens. The sequence continues at coordinate 66,319,607 of NC_000017.11, read as the reverse complement.
CATGAAATATATTCTACTTAAAAAAATTTTTTTTTCATGCTAAGAAAAAGTCTCCATATAAGAAAAAGTATCAGGCTATCAGGATAAAATACCTAGAATATAAAATATAACCTGACAAAAAGGAACACACTGGAAATACAACAGAAGCCAAAGTTAATAACGTGCTTCATAATTTCGAGATAAAACTTTGACCTTTAATAATTCTTCACCAACGGGTAAGTCAGCCAAAAACAACTTGTGCACAAACGATACTGTCAAAATTAAAATCACAAATGCTTTCTATTTTCCAGAGTTTACTTTAAATAAAACATATAACATCTAGAAAAGCATTAGCAATATACTTCAATTGTCATATTACTCAGAAAATTAAACAAAAAAGCCCAGAGCCTCTAAATTATCCTTCCACAACATTTCATTAGATTCATGGCAGACCACCATGGCAGACCACCATTGCAAGCCTTTTTTTGGGTGGGGGTGGAGGGGACAGGGTCTCACTCTGTCACTTAGGCTAAAGTGCAGCTGCACAATCTCGGCTCACTGCAGCCTCAACCACCGGGCTCAAGCAATCTTCCCACTTCCAAAGTAGCTGGGACTATAGGCTAATAAAAATTAGCCTAATTTTGTAATTTTATTACAAAAAATATTTTTTTGTAGAGACAGGTTTTTGCCGTGTTACCCAGGCTGGTCTAAAATTCATGAATTCAAGCAATCTGCCTACTTAGGCCAGCCACCACGGCAAGTCTTTTTTTTTTTGAGACCGAGTCTTGCTCTGTTACCCAGGCTGGAGTACAGTGGCGTGATCTTGGCTCACTGCAACCTCTGCCTCCCGGGTTCAAGCAATTCTCCTGCCTCAGCCTCCCAAGTAACTGGGATTACAGGCACCCGCCACCACGCCTGGCTAATTTTTGTATTTTTAGTGGAGACAAGGTTTCACTGCATTGGCCAGGCTAGTCTCAAACTACCGACCTCAAGCAATCTGCCCACCTCGGCCTCCCAAAGTGCTGGGATTATAGGCGTGAGCCACCACGCCCAACCCACCATGACAAGTCTTAAGCATACCAACTATTCCCGCTCCAGCCCGACAACTCAGCTTTATAAAATATGACTTGAAAGTTAATTTGCATCACACAGACATCAATCCAGCTCAATACCAGCATGTGCTATGGTGCCTAGTTGTACAAAATAAGTAAAAAAGAAAAAAAAAAGGATAATGGTGCCTATCAGCCATTATCCCTAAACTTGAATTAGCACCTAAAAATTAAAAAAAAATCATTCCTCCATGTTTCTAAACTGTTTGTAATTAACGATCATTTCCATTTTAAAGTCACATCTATGTGATATACAGAAACAAAGCCTCATTTTTTAATTAAAACAGAATTCTAGAGAAGTTTTCCATATTAATGTGCCATTCAGATTGAAGAAACTAATGTGAAACTAAAGCAACAAAAGTCACTTCAGTATTAAACAAATTTGGCACATGATAAAATTAAGTTCACTAAAAAGAAAACTTCAGAAGTATTGTTAGGCAAATTACTCATAATATGATCATCTTATTTTGAAGCCCACCTATTAAATTTTAAGTCATCCATGTACAACTTCTCCCAACTATAACAGCATTAAGAAAAACATCTTCATATTTAGAACTTAACAGTCATGTTTTAAGCTATTTTCTACATTGTAAATACTTAAGAATCAAGTTAAAATATTTTACATTTTTAAAAAATGAGTAATCTCCCATTTTCACATTTTAGGACAGTTCATTCACTTAGGATGTATAGTTGCATGCATGAATTCAACAAAAGGAGGAAAATGATTTAAGCTAGTGTACAGCCATTTAACTTCAACATAAATCTGAATGGAAGCTAATGGAAGTCTTTACAACTGTGAGCCAAGCTTTCTAAACCAGTGAGAGTTTTATTCCAATTATCACAAACAGCACCACAAATCATTCCTTATTAGAAACCTAAGAGAAGGAAAAAAATGAAGAGATAAGTTGAGAAAAAGGGATTGGCTACTTATCTGTACAGCTTCAGCAACTAAAAAAACGACTGCAATGGAAACATAAGACATTCACTAAATCTCCCCAATTTCAAATTACAGCTTCCCAATTCACCAGTCACACACAAGGGCAGCCTACTTAGCTTCTGTTCCAGCATCCTTTCCACCCATGGGGTGGTAGTACACTGTAAGTTCACAGTAGCATGGTAGCAGTATCATGTAAACTTGTATTTCTCAAATCTCAATCCCAGATGAAAACTAATACTCCAAACTAGGATACCAGTACACTGCAGCACCCCTTTCCTTTCCTTACCAAGGTTTCTGACCACGGTGAAAACACATCAGCCCGAGGTTAGCCCATGGAGAGAGAAGGAATAAACTACGGATCATGAACCAGAAATTCTGACTGAATACATCAGTTGACAGTTTCTAAAATAGAAAGTGTTACTGATTTTTTTTTTTTTTTTTGAGACAGAGTCTCACTCTGTCACCCAGGCTGGAGTGCAGTGGCGTGATCTCCGCTCACTACAAGCTCCGCTTTCCGGGTTCACGCCATTCTCCTGCCTCAGCCTCCCGAGTAGCTGGGACTACAGGCGCCCGCCACCGCGCCCAGCTAATTTTTTGTATTTTTAGTAGAGACGGGGTTTCACCGTGTTAGCCAGGATGGTCTCGATCTCCTGACCTCATGATCTGCCTGCCTTGGCCTCCCAAAGTGCTGGGATTACAGGCGTGAGCCACCACGCCCGGCTGCTGATTTTTAATATGTAAATATTTTAGTTCTTTATTTTTCCCTTATTAATACATGTATCTAGTATAACTGAGTATCTCATCTCCAGTCATAATTTCCATGCGGTAAGACCCTGGACTCCCAACATGATGCTATATATAATCAATAATCACTATTGCCAGCTTCCTTATAGTAGAGAGATCAGCAGAAAGAAGTGTCAAAGTAGCACACTTTTTAAACCAGGGGTGTCCAATCTTTTGGCTTCCCTGGGCCACACTGGAAGAACTGTCTTGGGCCACATGTAAAATACACTAACACTAATGATAGCTGATAAACTTTTAAAACAAATAAATAAATAAAAATTTAAAAATTCATAATTTTTTAAGAAAGTTTTCAAGTTTGTGTTGGGCCACATTCTAAGCCATCCTGGGCTGCATGCGGCCCACCGGTTGAACAAGCTTATTTTAAACACAAGAAGTTATTTTCCAAGCTTCAGTACAATGTATCTTCTACATGTAGATACAGTAATCTCTGTATTTGTAACTTTGTTCTGAAAATGATGACATGAAAACAAAAAGTTACAAGAGGAAACCATGTATTTAATAAAGAATCAGTATGTGGCAAAGCATGAAGTAGCTCCCTACATATTTTTCCTATCTGTTCTTCCATTTGGAGGTCAGTGGGGGCAACATCCCAAATAAGATGGGCTCTCTCAGTCTACTACTCCTGGAACGTGAGTCACTCTCATCCCTCTCTCACGCATGCCATTCCCTTACCTTAGAAGAGCTTCCTCCATTTTCCTAATCAAAGGAAATTCTAGCAACCTACAAAGCCCAAAACAAGAGCCATCTCCTGATGAGCTCAAAAAATATCTCCTTCCTTCCCACATGCTTCAAAAACTGTTATTTCATTCAGACTAAGATGTAATATAATGTACGTGATAGATGTATTGTTACAATGTGTTGTTTTCATATATGTCTTCTGTCCTGCGCCCTGCAGGGTCTGGCATGACATAGACTAAACAGAGGTCCATGTATCAGGCCATAAGCTCCCACTACAGGCAGGAAGCACATTAAGTGCTACTGAATTGAAAAAACACTTCCGGCTGGACGTGGTGGCTCATGCCTGTAATCCCAGCACTTTGGGAGGCCGAGGCAGGCGGATCACCTGAGGTCAGGAGTTCAACACCGGCCTGGCCAACACAGTGAAACCCCATCTCTACTAAGAATACAAAAATTAGCCGGGCATCATGGCACATGCCTGTAATCCCAGCTACTCGGGAGGCTGAGACAGGAGAATTGCTTGAACCCAGGAGACGGAGGTTGCAGTGAGTTGAGATCACACTACTGCACTCCAGCCTGGGCAACACAGCAAGACTCCGTCTCAGAAAAAAAAAAAAAAAGAAAAAACACTTCATTCTTTAATACCTCGACATTCAAGTTAATGGTGTGATTTAAGTGTGACAAAACTTCAAGAAAAGGAGAATTGTGAGAGGCAGCAGAACACCTGGCTTAACAGCATGGCATCTGGACTCATACTGCCCAGGTCTGAATCCCAGCCCCACCATTTTCTAACTATGTGGCTGTGGACAAGTTACTAAACCTCCCTGTGCCTCAGTGCCTGTTTCCTCATCTGTAAAACGGGAATCACAACACTGCCTATCTCTTCAGAATTGTGTGAGGATCAAGTGAGTTAAAAGTGAGTGCTTAGAACAGTGTATACAGTAAGTGCTATATGGGTGCTGGCTATCAGTTGTAGTGTTTCAAGTATAAGAAAACCCCTACGTCATAAACTTTGTGCACAACCACACACGAACTTGTGTGTATCACACAAGCTAGGTGTATATATATATACACACACACATATATATACACACATATATACACATATATATACACATACATACACACATATATACACACATATATACATACACATACACACACACATATATATACACACATATACACATACATACATACACACACACACACACACACACACACATATATATATATCTAGAGAGAGAGAGAGAGAAAGAAATTCTATCGTAGAGATTAACTCAAAACTACCAGTTTTCCTGACGGTAAAACCATGAGTTAATCTCTACAGTAGAATTTTACTCTCAATTCAACTGTTAACTGGACCCTCATTGACCCATCCCCTCAAACTTGAGGAAGCTTGTCCAAGTCAGAGCTAAACTCATGTCTCATATTTACATCCTTATGGTTTATTTCCTAACTACCTACTGCAGTCACCGTGGACGGGACAGATGGATCTACTATTGCTCATGGATACTGGAGGGGGAACAGCAAGAGAAGGCATTAAAGATGAACTGCCCTTACGCTAATCTTACTTGATGGACTTGCTCTCAAATAATTCTTATCTCGTGCTGGCCATTAATCAAATCATTCCCTTCCATTCCATCCTTGATAGAAATCTATTTCCAGAAACCATTTTCCCTTTTGTATAATTTAATAAAGAGTTTTTTTAATGCAGTTATAGCAATTTCTACTAGACACAGCCAACACTGAAGTGGCCATGCCTTAAGTTTAGCATGAGATTTCACAGTTTGGGTGGAAAACAAGACCTGAAATAAAGGGTCTGCCGTGGAAATTTTGACAGACTGATGAGGACAGTGAAACCTTAATTTTATGTCACCAAGAAATGTTTCATAATGGCATCATTCTTTCCTCTCCTAATATAAATCCGGGCTTCATTCATACCAAAAGTTTCCACTTGGCTCTGAAGAATGTTTTCTGCAGAACCGTTAGAATCTGAACCCATGACACGCCCCACCAGCCTGGTTAAGTACTTTAGCTCTATTTCTAAGATGGGGATAACATCCTGTTATGGGGTGCTTTTGGAATGAAAGCATATAAAATATGAAAGCTAGATGTCTGACATAATGTAGCATTGAATACATATCCATTTTCTTTCCTTTCAATTGAATAAAATCTTGAAAGTGATTCTAATCACCGTTATAATCTGTGATGATAAACATAATCACAGCTGTTTCACTCCAAAGCTGCCGCTGCCATTCATGTACATTTACTTGCATATTAAAGCACAAAAACCTTTATTATTTGTATTAAGGCACAAAAAATGTATTAACGCACAAAAACCTTTCAGGTACAAAAATTTTAAAAATAACAGAATCAGTGAAGTTGAGCTACTACTCCCTCTGGAGCATGATGATTGAGCTCCAGTTATTACCAATCTCAAAGTAAAATAGAGCATTTAAATAACTGTACCAAACAAGTACTAAAAGCTGGTTTTACTTTCTCACCCTATACCCAAGACATTTTCCCCCTCCTGCTATAGCCCATGATACACTCTTGTTTTATTTGTGCAATAAGATTTATTCTTGATGCTTGGATAATATTCTAAAGATAGAAAGAAGACACATTAAGTGGTTTATTTCTGCAGTGTTAATGTGTTAGGTTTAGCCATTACATATGTTAACTTATTATATACATAAAGGTAGAATTTTCTGCTCCCTCTTTTGAATAAGTATGCTTAGCTTTAAAAGTACTTTTTCTTTAATGATCCTAAGATCTTAGTTGGCACAACTTTGGATTATAAACTTGCTTTAAAAAAATATAGAAAAGGCAGCCAGGCAGAAGTCACTGTGATCTTTCTGGTTATGAATGCTTGTATCACATCTCTTAATATTTATATAATCACACACCCAACAAATATTTACATAGTATCTACTGAGTGTCAGGCACCACATTACACACTGGAGACACAAAAAGAAATAAGACTCAGTCCTCGCACTCAAAACTGGCAGAGGAAACAGAAGTAGAGAGGTGATACAGTGTGAAGGTCCTATGATAGGAAGGGTGGGGCGCGGGAGCTCACGCCTGTAATCCCAGCACTTTGGGATGCCGAGGCAGGCAGATCACTTGAGGTCAGGAGTTCGAGACTAGCCTGACCAACATGGCGACACCCCGTCTCTACTAAAAATACAAAAATCAGCTGGGTGTCATGGTATGTGCCTGTAATCCCGGCTACTCAGGAGGCTAAGGCATGAGAATTTCTTGAGCCCAGGAGGCAAAGGTTGCAGTGAAGTGAGACTGTGCCACTGCACACTCCAGCCTGGGTGACAGAGTGACACTCTGTCTCACAAAAAAAAAAAAAAAAAAAAGGTCCTACGATAGGAAGAACATGTAGAATAGGACAATTGGGAAAGACCAGAGCTAAACCTTAGACTAAGACTTAACAGGTGAAACAGATATCATCTGGGCAAACGGGGTTGAGGAAAGAATTGAAACAAGCACTTTCTGGGAAACTGCAACTTATTCACAATGACCCAGGGATAGGAAGAAGGAAAGCATTGTAGGTAAGTCTGAAGAGGTCAGGCAGGAGACTTTAAGAGTCTTCCAATGTCTTGCTAAGGAGTTGGACTTATCCTGATAGGGCAGCTGTGAAACTAATGCTATTTGGAAATGGAATACTCTGAATCTGCATGAAGAAAAACAATTGAGCAAGTGAGGAGTTAATGTGTCTAAAAACTTAAATTTCAATAGTATCATCCAGGAGAGTGAAATACTCGGAGGGCAGGAAACCACCAAAAAATGTAAAGAAAAGGAAACTCTGGTTGGGTGCAGTGGCCCACGCCTGTAATCCCAGCACTTTGGGAGGCTGAAACAGGAGGATCACCTAAGGTCTGGAGTTCAAGACCAGCCTGGCCAATATGGTGAAACTCCGTCTCTACTAAAAATACAAAAATTAGCTGGGCATGGTGGCATGCATCTGTAATCCCAGCTATTCAGGAGGCTGAGGCAGAAGAATTGCTTGAACCCAGGAGGCAGAGGTTGCAGTGAGCCAAAGTTGCACCATTGCACCGCAGCCTGGGAGACAAGAGCGAGACTCCATCTCAAAAAAATAAAATAATATAAAGAAAAGGAAACTCAAACATCAGATTTATCTGCAAAAGTAAACATTTATTCGGCTTTCACGACCTATGAGGATAAATAGCCTCTCCATATGCTACAACCCCAGCTTCTGGTGGCGGGGGTAGGATTGATGTGTGAATAAATTAACGAAACACTTTCACTTACCGTATAAAGTAAAAGAGTAGCAATTCAGAAAGTCATTAATCAGAAATCATTTTATAACAAGTATATAGCACCAAATGGGAACACTCAACACTAGTTTTATCTAACCATCCCTACTTCTAAGTATTAATGCAGTTTTACGGAGGAAAAACACTGTTGAAAAGAAAAATAGCATTTTTTGTTATTGTTTGGTTTTGTTTTTTGAGACAGGCTCTCACTCTGTCGCCCAGGCTGGAATGCAGTGGCACGATCACACCTCATTGCATCCTCGACCTCCCAGGCTCAAGTGATCCTCCCACCTCAGCTTCCCAAGTAGCTGAGACCACGGGTGCTGCACCACCATGCCCAGCTACTTTTTCTATTTTTTGTAGCGATGGGGTTTTGCCATGTTGCCCGGGCTGGTCTTAAAGTTCTGGGCTCAAGCAATTCGACCGCCTCAACCTTCCAAAGTGCTGGGATGACAGGCATGAGCCACTGCACCCAACCACAGAAAGGCAGTTCTAACTGTCCACCTCCACCACTTTTCTCTGTAATTCAGGCATTACTGACCATTTCATCTTTGAGACTGAGATAATGCTTTGACCTGGCATTACTACAAAAACTCTAGGTTTCAAATTATACTCAGTCTTCCATGCATTCTATCTTTTTGGAACTAAACCTCCAAGAGTTTATCTCTAATTAACATAACTTACAATTTGGGGATGGGTAACCAATCAAAACTGAGGTACCAAGGGCTGAACCCCTCCTGAAGACAGAATAATGGAAAACCCTGGCACTAACTTTGAAAACCAGCGGGCAGCCAGAGGCCACACAGTGCAAGCAGCGGTCAATGCAGTACATAGGGAGGACAGATCCTCTGCTCAAGTTGGCCATAGGGAGGACAGACAGATCCTCTGCTCAATCTGGCCTACCTCATGATTCCACCCAACTTGTACCTCAGTCTCCTATCTCCTGGTACTTGGTGTCCATACAACTCAGCTCTCAGAACACCGTGGCGGATGAGGACAACGGCGCATCCCTTTTCTGAAAGGCTGGTGACTCACTCGCTACTGCCCCCTTTCTGTTTAAAGGCCACCTTCCTTAAGTAGTCTTGTTTTCTGGAATCCCTCAGCTCACACAGCCAAGAGGAGACTCATTCTTTTTTTTCTTCCCTTAAACACCAACTTTCATTCTTACAGAAGGAATAGAAATCACCACCCTGCTCAGATGAGCCAATGCAAATACCTTCTCTGAAACAGGCCTTCAAAACAAAATATCAAAGGGGAAGAGTAGCTGATTTTTTAACCCTTAACACTGAAAAATGCAGAGCTTCAGTTGAAGTCACAGATGAAGTACAATATGTGTTATGTTCTTAGCAGGGAAATGACTCAAGATTCAAAACAACTTTAGTAGCATCATTGAAAGCACAAAAATGTAAATTCTTTCCCAGCAGACCCCTCAAAATCCAGTGACGATCATTCAGGGACAACAGGCTCCTGTTGGTCATGGTTACTGACAGAGCTTAATTCTCACGCTGTCTCTTGAGTATCTTCACCTCATCAAAGAGCCTAGGTTTGTAGCACATTTTCATTTGTGATATTAAAAGACAAAGAATAGCAAAAAAAAAAAAAAATTAGAGAAAACAAGTGGAGGTTAGGCAGATGAAACAAACTATGTTAACTGTTTGGCATTTGAAATAGGCAGGTCACATTTTGAGAGGCTGTTTCTACCACTGTAATTAGAGAAGTGCATGGGTGTTGCTCCGCCTAAGGAGGGGGAAAAAAATCGAGTTGGCTCTTTCCCTTTTCCAGTACTGAAAGCAGTGGATAACACTGTTTCAGCTCCACTGCCCCAGAGAAAGAGTGCATTTGAGCAGTACAGTGGATCGCTCTGTTCTCTGATGACTGACTTTGGAAGTAGCCAGTGCAAGACAGAAACTACCAACTGGAAACAGACCTTCCAGACTTGAAACTCAACTTCATCAATGTCCATACCACACAAATCTACTTCCTGTCTTCTTCTCCTTTCTCTGACGGGGGAAAAAAAAAGTGGGCAAGGACTAGATCTCTGCTAGTTTTATGGAGATGAAATGAGTGCTAGGGGTACATCAAGCAAAAAAACATTCAACCAAAAATAAGAAGGCAACTCCAAGTCATGTAAAAAGGGTCACTTCAGAGCTGTGAAGGAACACGCTTGTCTTTATCTCTGAGGACCTTAAGAAAAGTATTTCCCACTTGGAAATCTACTACACACTCATCTTTCTCCTCCCCAGAAGAATGGCCCTTGGTTTCACCGTTTCAGGCAGCAAATTCTGACAACGGGATCCTGTGTTACTTGCCCTGGTAATATCAGTTTTCAGGATTGTATACCTATATTGCAATATAAAGAAGAATGGCACAGAGTCCATGAAGGGAACATGAGAATAAGCCAATAAGTCTCTCCAGAGAAACGCCCTTCCCTTCCCCAAGATACAACATAAATGAAAGTAGAAATAACTTTAGTACTTCACATGCTTGTAAGATGCCATTCTCTAAATGGCATAAATTACAAACCCAGTTTTAAGGACTAAAACTCACTTATTTCTTTAGTCTTCAAATACCTACTCACCATTTACTAAGTAAAATGAAGATAAATATTTTGGATCTAAAGCTATATTACTTACTGCATGAATATGTGAGTCACTGGGAGCATACACACCCCTCTAGTTAAAAAAAGAAAAACTATGCTTGCTGCAGATATTTTACCTACTAACCAAAGCAACATACTACATACTAGTGGACAGAAAGCACTGCCTCATCGGGTAAAAATAATCTGATGTATGAGGAATACAAAAAGCAGTTTCAAACTCCAGCTGTCATTTCCAGAGAGTGTGTTGCCAAAGGTATGAATGAGAATGAGTTATTCTCCTGCAGAAGAATGATGTTCTATCAAACAAAACCGAGGAAAAAAAAAACAAAATTAGAGAGCATTAAAAGAAAACTTCACTCTACGATAGTCAGATGTTAATAGAAAGATTAATTTTGCGGTAGGAGCCAAAACAGAAAATGCTGGGTAACTATATTTGTGGGATTAAAAGCATCACCCTGAGGTAACATATCCTTCTTAAGTTACAACAAACAATAAAATACAATGGACTAGCATATGCCTACTAGAAGTCAAATACAGATGAGACACAGTAAACAAAATATAACAAGCAGACAGCATGTTACAAATAAATGTATACTATTGGAAAAGGTCTCTGTGAACTGTAATTTGTAAACGCACTAGGGTAATTCATTATTTAAAGAGATCTGAGGTTAAATTCTTCACCAAAGCAAAGAACTATATAGAAAGCACATAGTCACTTCTCTAATTTGTCTGGTTTGTAAATCCAGAGTTTCAAATATTAGGTAGAGTAAGGCAATTCACACAACACAAATGGCTAAAACACATTTGAAAAAAAAAGTTCAAGCTCACCCATAATGCAGGAGATGGAAATCTAAAAGAGGGGCCCCTTTTCACCTACCAGATTGGTAAAAAATGTAAAAGATGTATATTACCCGATATCTTCACTGGTAAAAATGAAGAGGAAGTCCCATTAATACAAAAAAATGTGCACTGGAACTCTTGAAGAGCAATTTAGCAGCACCCGTTAAAATGTAAGATGCACACATACACACTTCTGGCTATCTATTGTAGAAATACCTATACTAGTGTCCAATAATGCTCTTGACAAAGGTATTTGTACTAGTAAGAACGAATTACAAAATACCCCTTGATAGAGGAATGGGTGAATAAATTGGATACATCCACACATGCAGCCACTAAGCAGAGTAAGGCAGAACTGATGCTTTGATGTGGAAGAATATCCACCATCTACTGCTGAGTGAAAAGAGCAAGTTGCAAAGTCGTATAAAATTTTGATCTCCTTTTAAAAACTAAGTATGTGTGAGTGAGTGAACGAATGGTTGTCTCAAACAGAAGTTATCTCTGGAGGAGGGAAAAGAGAAGCATATGCAATTTCACTTTTTATTTTATACAGTTTAAAATTTTTATGGGTTTCACTTTTTTAATTTAGGTAAAAGGGAGTTATGTTGCCATGAAACTATTAATCTGCTAATCCACTAAAAGTTCAAGAGATGCTCTGGGGGAAATCATGCAAAACCCCCTAGAGCCTAGTAATACGGCCACTGTGATTTCCACAAAATCTGCTCAGATGAGCGGGTCTAAGAGGAACCAACCTTATTCTAATCAACCTTATTTTTTATTTATGCAGAAAATGATAAAAGTTTTAGAACAAGACAACCACTTTCTCCCAGACAAGCAGTATGGAGAAGATTCAGTACAAAAATTTTCTTATAGATTTATGTAAGTCCCCACCCAAACGAAAAATATCACCAAAAATAACAGATGTCAATCACATTGGCCCAGAACCTTACATCTTTAAACTCCCTAAAGTCATGTTCAAGCCTAGGCTCAAATCTCACCCATAAAGTTCAGGCCCACAACTTTGAGAACTAGAAAGAGCTACATTTTCCTTTCATCTTTTGTAGAGACTGGTATAACACATCTTTCTCTTTCTTCTCTTTTTAAAAGGAATATCCCTTGATTTTCAAATGCAACTCTGAAAATGATACACTCAGTAGGGGTTTTAAGCACATCTTGGAGAAAGGAAGGTAGAATATTAAATGAATAATCATACCATAAAATACTCCCATCTAAAATATGTTTAGAAAATGTATACAAGAAACAAGTTCACAAATTTGAACTAGTTTTTAAAAGGCAACCAATTTACTAGCACAATCTCAAAGTTGTAAAAAAGTACACAGTGCCTTTCTCTCTAATGCACTTAATATTAAACAGTGTTAGGATAATATTTTCCAGGCTAGAATGTACTTTCTGCTTGCCCTAATAATAAATCTATGCCCAGATGGGAAATGGAACCAGAACTAAATAAACACAATATAGACAATGAGCAGGAGAGCCAGAAAAGTTAGCTAATGAGCCTGTGATGCCTTCACAAGCTCTAAAGTGGGTTTCTTCAAAAAGGAAAAGTCAAACAATTAGAATGGAGAGTACAAAAAGTTAGATATTCGATGTGTGTGAAATGCAATTACAGATCAGAGGGTGAAGCAAATGGATTTCTTTCTGTATGTGATGGCTGATATCACGTTTTGTCAGATATGTAAGCTGAAAGGAAAGCATGCTACATAGTCATACCATAGAAATCAGTCATCAAATCATCAACAAAACTTTAAAACATGCAAACTTTGTTCTCGATGACAACTGGTATTCTAAACAAAACAAACCCTTACTAGAATGAAATACGGCCTAAAATTAGTTGCAGTGAGTCCAACTCAATACATAAGTAAAAGCGATGAAGAATAAAAACAAAGAGGAAGAACAAGGAAGAAAAGCCACTTGAATACAAAGTGATTCCATTTTTTTCTCAACACCCACACAAAGACAGCAGTTTCTGACAAGAATGTTCTCGGCAAAAAATAAAATTACAGAAAGGCTTTTTTTTTTTTTTTCCAATGAGAAAAAGGCAGCTCTATATGCAGATTAGTAGGCCCCAATTATTTTTTAAGGCCCAAATTTACAGCCCTCATATTTCAAAATTATCTAAATAACATTTTTTTATTGGAAAGAAAATATGACTGGAAATAATGTTCTTGTTTGGAATGCTTATTTCATGTTGTGCTTGAAAATAAAACCAAAAGTGGTAGCTTACCTTGGCACTGGAAGCCTTGTTTCCCAAACCCCCTGAAAAACAAAAACAAGAACAAAATATCTTAACATATTTTCTGTTGGATAGCATATTTTAAACAAGTTATGTGACCAAGTACTCTACCACTAAAGGTTTGTATGTGAAACCCAATGATTTAATAGAAAAAAACATACCTAAATATCTAGTCAGATTACTGTGTAAATTCAACCTTGGGGGGAAAAAAATCTTGCCTATAAAGGATCACTGAACTATTTCGATGTATCAACCTTTTTTCCAATTTTTTATACTATGTTATCAATACTAAAATTTCAAGACAAGAACATGACTGTATATTCAAACTTGTTGGCTACAACACAATATTCAAGTAACAAAACAGTTTATGGTTAAAATTGTAAAAGGAAGTTGCTTATTTTGTTCCTGAAGACCAAATGAAAATTGTTTTTATCTCCCTAAAGATAACAAAGTGGCTTCTTTTTGTTTAAAATATCACATGTCTAGAAACTGCCAAACGGCATCACTTTTAACATTTAATGTTGGCTTAAGAAACCAGATCTTAGAAAATATAATTCCTATTGTTTGCATTTGAGATGACCACGATCTAATTTCTACTGAGAACCAATAGCATTCAAAGCACATAGGGAGGCTATTTTGTTCTTGTACATGACTTTAGAGAATTTACTCTGTAAGCAGAGAACCCTGACGTGGACGTTCAATTGCAGGTATTGTTCTACCAGAATGAACTGCATTAAAATTTCTTCGGAAGGTTGAGAGTCATAATCTCTTGCTTCACATAGAATGTTTCATGTACAAAGTATTTCACATACTTTTAAAATTAACTTAGAGTCATCCCCCCTACTAAAAACCATATCTAACTCTAAACATTTCGCTTAAAAATATCAGTGATTTAATATTGAAATAAACGTGTAAATCAAGGACCCCGTAGAAGCAATAATGAAAGCAAACTGAAAAAGACAATCCCCGTGGATGGTTTCCTGGGACTTCCAATTGGTTGGTTTACAATTAAATGCAGAGTGCTGCAGGGATCCTCAGGGGGGCATTTTCCACTTCACAATACTGGTGGTGACCTGAGCGCCTCTTCAGCTCACCAGGGGCTGATCCTTCAAGGGCAACTGATAGTGGAAAGACAATAGCTAGCCTCAGTATGCTGCAAGTCCCTTTCTAACTCTCCTACTTCCTGCAAAAGTCACCAGCAGTCTGTTCCCTTTTAATGGACTCTCACAGCTGACCTCCTCTTAACCAAATGCAATATTCTCTTTGCCCTGATGCTCCGAAATTTTTATTTTAAATAGCCTTATCTACGACTACCTACTCCTTTGAGCACAGTCGCTTCATATGCCGACTAGACAGTGGAAATCACTCATAGAGGTGGCTGTGCTTTTCATAAAAGTGTACTTGGGAGCAGATGTCTAAAAAGGAAAGGAAAAATTAAACACCTTATTCGCACCACGATCATGGGACCTGCCCTTTGGGATGTTTTTCCCCAGGTGTGATGGATTCCGACAGAGCCATCCATACTATGCTCACCCTAGTGGCCCAAGATACCTGTGCCACACAGCTGGCTGGTGGCAGGATTCACTCCGTGACTGCCACCCTGTGCAGCTCCCCCTGGCCTAGAAGGAGAGGGAGCTAAGAAGCCCTAGCCATAGCTCTGTCTTGCCCGGAACTTCCTACACCACAAAGAAGAGGTAGAAGAGTCAGGACGTCGGGCAACTTAAAAGAAAAACCAAACTACTGCTGCTCTAACTAGAGGACCTAGAGCTCCTTTAGTTCCAGCTTTCAAAACTTTTGTGTGGTGACGGGGATCTGGGAAGAAGGGTCACACACCTTTTGAGGATCAGATGAAAGCTGTAATTCTCTCACCAGGAAAAAGATTCACAAACACAATTTCCCTCAGTTTTACAGGGTTCAGAGACCCCTGAAGCCCTTCTATGTATCGATTCTCCATAAGCCCCCAGGGACCCTCCGAGTTAAGAATGCCTGAATTCATTGGCGATTACCTGATCTCTGACCTCTGGCCCTTATATTATTTTTCTTAAATAAGGCCTCTGCCCTCATCAACAGGGTTACAGGTCTAATCTCGAGTTGACAGGGTCTGTTTCATTTTTTTTGAGACGGAATCTCGCTCTGTCTCACCCAGGCTGGAGTGCAGTGGCCCGATCTCGGCTCACTGCAGCCTCCGCCTCCCGGGTTCAAGCGAGTCTCCCGTCTCAGCCTCCCGAGTAGCTGGGATTACAGGCGTGTGCCACCACGCCCGGCTAATTTTGTATTTTTAGTAGACGGGGTTTCACCATGTTTGCCAGGCTGGTCTCGAACTACTGACCTTAGGTGATCCGCCTGCCTCGGCCTCCCAAAGTGCTGGGATTACAGGCGTGAGCCACCGCGCCTGGCCGACAGGGTCTATTTTAAATGAGTCCCTCTGCCCTTGTGCCATTTGCCTGCTAGAACTCCCCCTCCCCCACTGCAAGCTTTCAACAGTTTGCTCTCTCTCTCTCTGCTCACTCAGAAAAGTCAGTCTCTCCGTGCCCAGTAGATGCAGCCTACAGTAGGCAGGGGCCCAAGATGCCAGCGCAGTCCAGCCCGATGGGAAGCACAAACACAACCCCCCCACCCCGAACGCGCCCAGCCTGGCTCGCCAGCAACTTGGACCGCGCGCAGTGCAATCGCCGCCGCTCCCCCGTTACTCCGGGGCGCGTTTCTCCGGGAACCTTTGCCCCCTTAGGGCCTCTCCTCCTCCCCTGTCCCCTGGGCTCACACCCCGGCAAGCGGCCGCTCCGCTGGGTGCGTGCGGGTGGGCGCGCCCGGGGAGGTGAGGGGCCCGGCCCGGAGAGGGATCCCCTTCGCCACCGTACGGGGCCAGCCTCCCTCTCGCGCCAGGGGGTGTGTGTGGCGGGACGGCGACGTCCCGGGAGTCCTGCCCGCCGGTGTCAGGGCCGGGCGCGCGTGTCACTCCGGGCGAAGAGTTCGGACTCCCGCCGGTTCCAAGTTATCGGAGTGAGCCAGCCCCGGGGCGGACGCGCCGGAGCGCCGGGTGCCGGGACCCGGAGGCGGGGAGGAGCGGGGCAGGAGTGCCCGGCCCGGCACCTACCAGATGAAGTCGGTGCAGTGGCTGCAGAAGGTGGGCTGCTTGAAGAAGCGCGCGATGAATTTGTGGTCCTTCACCTCGTGCACGTTCTTCTGCCTCAGCGCCCCTTTGCGGGCGAAGCGGTTGGCCACGTCCTGAGACGCCGTGGAGTCGTTGCCCGGGAAAACGTCAGCCATGGTCCCCCCCAACCACCTCTTGCCTCCGCCGGGGAGCTGCGGCCGCGGAGGGCCGGGTGGGCGGGGGCGGCGGGGGAGAGGTGCGGGCTCGGGGCGACCCCGGGCGCGGGGCGCGGGCCGGTGGCCGAGGTCGCGGCGAGGGGGCGCGGCGGGGGCCGGGGAGAGTCGGGCTGGTGCTGCGCGGAGCGGGAGCGGGAGCCGGAGCCGCTGGCTCGCCCGCTGGCCCCAGGCTCACTGACAGCCCGGTGCCCGGCGCTCGCGCTTCCTACTCGCGGCGGCAGAGGCGGCCCGGAGCGGCACCGCCCACCGCGCATGCCCCGAGCGCGAGGCCGCGAGGACGAGCGGCGGGGGCGCGCGGGCCGGGCGCGCGCGGGGGTGCGGCGAGGGTGCGGCGGCGGCGGCGCTGAGCGGACCGGACCGAGTGCGGAGGAGGCAGCGAGTGCCTTGCGGTGCTGGGAACACTGGGCAAGGGGAGGCGGCGGCGGCGGCGGCGGCGGCGGCGGCGGCGGCGGCGGCGGCCGGGGGAGGGCCGGCCCGAGTGGGGATGCGGGGGAGGAGGCCGGGAGTGGCGGGTCCGCGCTCCTCCGCCGCCTTTTTCTTTCCTCCCCTTCCTGCGCCCGGCTCTCCTCCCTCTCGCCCTCCTCCGCCTCAGTTCTCCTCCTCTTCTTCCGCTCTTGCCGCCCGGCCTCCTCCTCTCCCGGTCTTCCTTCTCCCACTCCCGCTCTCTCTCTTGTCGACGGGCTCGGAGTCCTGCGCCACCCGTGCCGGGCCGAGAGGAGCCCGCGTCCGGGAGTGGGCTCCACGCGCAGCCCCTGCCCCGGAGCCTCCCGCCCGGTGCTCACCTCCTAACCCCTCAGCACCCGCAGCAGGGAGCCCCTTCCCCATCCTCAGGACCCCCGGTGTCTCCAGGGCACGACGCCCGTGTTTTAGCTGCCTGTACCAGCTTGAGGTTTCACCTGGCCAAAATGTCACTTTCATCACGTGTGCACTAAAAGACCTAGCCCCTAGACCTTCCTACAGGAGGAAGAGAGCGATTTTTAAATAATTAAGCATTGACCCTTTCCCCTACCTTCTCTTCTTGACCTATACCTTATTTCACCTGCGTGTGGTAGAGACTTTTAATTTGTACGTCGGGCATTTATCACCACGTGGGATGGTTAAAGGACTTGTCTTAGGTATTTATCCCGTTATTCAATGGCCACCAGAGCGACGATGTTGATTATCAGGCTTTCTTGATTTTACAAGTCCAGGACCTTAATTTAGAAATCATTTTGCATCCCAAGCTAATTACTGCAATACTGTCAGGTGCAGAGTGCAGCCAGTACGTTTGTAACTTACCAAGTAAAACTGCCTGTGAAAGAGTAGCGGGCATGGCTATGCAAAGGACGCAGGTGGGGATGCACCAGCTAATCACTCGCTGAATATTTATCAGGTCTGCCTGGAGGCCGCTAAAATACATAAGGGAAATAATCATTTCTCAGCGTTTCATTGGTGTTTTGTTTTATTTGCCAGATTCACGAAATCCCCAAAACGACTTTACGAGCTAAAGAGACCAAGAAAGAGAACACGTTTGATCCTTCAATAAATTTATGTTGAAAAAAAAAACTTTTCTAAAATACTTTCTTAGAGCATGTAACATAGGCCAAGTAGAGCTAATATTGTTTTCTTTGAGATTGCCTAATTGTGATGCTTGATGATAGGAATGTCCTTTATATTTTTAACAAATGGAAGCTCTCCTGACTGGCCGTCAGTGGTGCATGCACTTGACTGATCCATTTACAATCTCTTGAGCCAGTCTTGGTGCTTCAAGAGCCTGCACCTGCCTGGTATTCTAGCTGGTCAGAAATTTCGCCACTCATGGTCGCCCCTCGGGTCCAAGGAGTCAAAAAGGGAAGAAGCAAAGAGGAATGAAGAGCAGGGCATGTTGGGGAAATAGTCCCAATTCTCCATGAAACACTAGAAGCATCTCAAGCCATGGTGGTTTATTGCTTGAAAGCAGAAATCAAATGGAACATAGTGGAATGAAATAATTTCTTTTCTCATAGTCGTCTTTTATCTAAGACGGAGATCCTGGCACATTTTACAAAGACAAGCTTATTTCTATGTCCCTGAGGCTTTCATAGGAGGATGGAGAGAGCTGGAGGGTGAAGTTGCTGATAATGGAATCCTGAGTAAAGTCATAGGAAAGACAAGAACAGAATGAGCCCTGGCAGCAGCCTGCGAATCTCCTGTGTACTCCATGGAGTGACTGTCTTAGCTGTCAGTAGATCAGATGGAACAATGTGTCTGTTTTCTTTTAGGTTGTGGCTTTGCATTCTTGCCTCAGTTGTTAGTGTTGTTCCTGGTGGGTACGAGGAGGAATGATTGACTGGAAGTCAACTGATTCATGGTTGGGCTGGGCATGAAAGCATCAATAGCCCACATCTTAGCTCAGTTGGGGAGAGGGGACTGTGCACCCAGAGTGGGGATTTATCAATTACCAAGCAGTGTAACACTGTCCCTAGCAAGGACTGATGGAAATGTGGGCCAGCATCTACTCCTGCAGCCTACCTGAAGTCCCCATGGTATAACTAAAATGGAGGAGATTAAGGACGGGAGAACCCCCTGGGTTGGGGGTAGTCAGTCAGTCATGAGGGCATGAGTAAATTTTATTTTCGAGTCTGCTATTTCATGGGGAAGGTGCGGGAAAAGAACAGGGAATGTCAGACTGAACGCAGAGTTTTTCAGAATCCGCTTCTGTCCTCTGCCTTTGAGGAGTAAGCTCAACACTGTTTGGAGAGGTGTCACCTAGACCAGGGGGACCCAGAGGCTGGAGGCTGGGATCAAAGTCAGACCACCAAACAGATGACTCAGAATCCCAATGGTTTGAAGCCAGCGGTCTTTCAGATACAATTTACAGCTTGCTGCTCTATGCAGCTAACTGGACTGTTTTCAAATGAACCAGGACATTTTCAAATTGGGCAATAGGAATTGCATAAGTATCGAAAAAGCATCATTCTGAGATTTATGGTAACCAAGATGACTTAAGGCTTATATTTTATTCTATGCACCATATTCAAGGTTTAGGAGAGGCAAGGCAACTGCCGAAATGCGTAAGCAGGCAGCAGTCAGATTCACTGTAACTGGCAGATCTCTAAACAGGTAGAGGTGAGGATCTACCTGAGTAGCAGAACACTAGAGTCAGGGGCCATTTTGGGGTAAGTTTAAGGAGCAGGGTAGTACTGTATAGGAGTGGATGAGTCAGATGCCCCAGTCAGAGGTTAGTTCCAAGGCTTCCAGGTCTGGTCCTGCAGGTTGCTCATAGCACAGGAGCTCCCAGTCAAGAGACTAAGTAGGGGCTAAAACTCAACTCGCATACTCCTTGCCAAGTGTACCTTTGGGCCTCTGTCTTCCCAGAAAAGCCACCATTTTTAAATTCACACCAAGGTACCACATGGGTTAATGAAGGCCCTGGTTGGTTGTGATTACAGTTGATTGATTCCAGTTGGTTGTGTCTCCACTGAAAGAGCTTCTGTGGGCAGCCTCCCTGGAGTTTGAGGCTTGGGGACTTTGCTTCTAAGCAAGCCTTCTTCTAGGATCTCTTTCTGTCTCCTGTATCTCACAGCATCACTAGTCCCTCAATGGCTCAAGTTGAAAACCTAGGCATCATCCTTATTCTTCCCTTGGTCTTACTCCCATATCCAATCCATGAGAAAGTTTAATTGGTGCTTCCTCCAGGACAGATCTCAAATCTATCCACCCCCAACCCTAGCCTAAGCACTATCATCTCTTTCCTGGGCCACTGCAGGACCACTTAATTGGTCTTCCTGCTTTCGTTCTTGCCCTTCTCAATTTGGACTCCACAAGTAGCCATCTTTTAAAAATGTACCTGTTTAAACCCACTTTATGTCTTGAATAAATGGAAAGATATGCCCTGTTCTCATACAGGAAGAGACATTGAAATGTCAGTTTTTCTTAATTAAACCATAAATGTAACTTAGCCCAATGAAAGTAGAATTTTTTTAGAAGTAAACAAGCTAATTCAACAGTCCAAATGAAAAAAAAAGTAGGAATAAATATCCCACCAGATATTAATCAAGAACAAAAAGAATAACAAGCCCAAGAAAAAATAATGGCAAATGTCGTGAACAGATAGTTCTCAGAAAAGGAAATACAAATAGTTCCTATGATAAAATTCTCAACATGTCTCATAAAAAGATAAATGTAAATTAAGATCATATTGAAACCCCACTGTGACCTAAGAGTTGGGCACACATAAAAAGTGTAAGGAACACACTGTTTCATTAAGGGTGTACAGAATCAAATGGTTTCATACATCATTAGCGGGATTGTAAATTGTCGCACACAGACATGATACAGAGCAATTTGGCAATAATTGTCATTTAAAAATGTATCAAACATTTTGATGCATGTACTTTTAAAAGGTTGATACATTTTATAAATGTAATCCTAGCACTTCCACTTCTATAAATGTATCTTGCATATATAAACGCACGTGTACATGAAGGCATATGTATAAAGGCAGCACTGACTCCAGTAGCAAACAATTATTAAATGTCTATCCACAGGAGATTAGTTAGATCAATTATGCATTCATTTGCTAGAATTATTTGCAGCTGTTTAAAAAATGAGATTTTTTTTTTTTTTAATTATATGTACTGATATAGAAATATCTTCCAGATGTATGAGTGAAAATGCAAAATGCAGAAATGTGCATAGAATGTTAGCATGTATGGGTTTTTAAAAAGATTATATATAAATATACATTTAAAATATCTGGGCTGGATGCAGTGGCTCATGCCTATAATCCCAGCATTTTGGGAGGCCAAGGTGAGAGGATCATTTGAGCCCAGGAGTTTGAGACTAGGCTGGACAATATAATGAGATCCGTGTCTACAAAAAATACATAAAAAATTAGCCAGGCATGGTAGCATGTGCCTGTAGTCTCAGCTACTCAGGAGGGCTGAGGCAGGAGAATTCCTTGAGCCTAGGAGATTGAGGCTACAGGAGCCAAGATTGTACCTCTGCACTCCAGCCTAGGTGACAGAATGAGACCTCATATCTAAATAAATAATAAATGAATTGCTTTTTAGCCAAAGCCATAATGCTTGAATTCTTTGAAAATTTCAAATCTGCCGGGCGCGGTGGCTCATGCCTATAATCCTAGCACTTTGGGAGGCCGAAGTGGGCGAATTGCCTGAGTTCAGGAGTTCAAGACCAGCCTGGGCAACATGGTGAAACCCTATCTCTACTAAAATACAAAAAACTAGCTGGGCGTGGCAGCATGCGCCTGTAGTCCCAGCTACTTGGGGGGCTGAGGCAGGAGAATTGCTTAATCCCAGGAGGTGGAGGTTGCAGTGAGCCGAGATTGTGCCACCACACTCCACCCTGGGCAACAGAGCGAGACTCCATCTCCCAAAAAAAAAAAAAGAAAATTTCGGATCTAAAGGACCCACCCAAATAATCCCCGTATCTTTTCATTCGTGACTAGTTTAATTGACATGGGAGAGGGTATTAAGATCGTTCATAATGCTTCCCCAAACCTTGCTGGGGAGAAGTATCTGGCCATGCACATTTCCTGAATTTTTTAAACAGGAGCCAGTGGCCTCTATCATCAATAGGAGTTAACATATTGAAGTTTTTTCTTTTTTTTTTTTTTTGAGACGGAATCTCACTGTGTCACCCAGGCTGGAGTGCAGTGGCGAAATCTCGGCTCACTGCAAGCTCTGCCTCCCGGGTTCATGCCATTCTCCTGCCTCAGCCTCCCGAGTAGCTGGGACCACAGGCACCACCCACCACGCCCAGCTAATTTTTTGTATTTTTAGTAGAGACGGGGTTTCACCATGTTAGCCAGGATGGTCTCGATCCCCTGACCTCGTGATCTGCCTGCCTCGGCCTCCCAAAGTGCTGGGATTACAAGCGTGAGCCACTGCACCTGGCCTGAAGTTTTTTCTAAAAAAAAAAAAGAAAGAAAAAAAGAAAAACTTTTATAAATGAATTTTTTGAAACATATATAAAAAGTTTCAAACAATGAATCTCATTGAATCCTTGTCACCCAGCTTCAACAATTATCAAATCGTGAAGAATCCTATTTGATCTATCTCCTTCCTTATCTCTTTATCTCTAGATAATAAAACCTTGAAATAAAACCACCGTGAGGAGACTCCTGGAGGTGATGCTATGTTCCCTGTCTGTTGGTTTCACAATTACGCACATATAAAACTCATCAAATTGTACACTTTAAGTATGTGCAGTTTATTGCAAATCAATTATACCGCAATAAAACCTTGAATTTGTTGAAGGTTATAAAGAGCTAAATACAGCAAAACGAATAAGCAAACTAGAAGAAGACTAGTAGAAGAACCAGTTGTGTCTCTACCATGGCCTTCAGCTGACTTTGCCTGGAGGGCCAAGATAAGCTCACTCTGTCCAGTAGATGTGAGGCTGAAGTTGAGTTACTTTCCAAAAACTGAAACATGACCCTTCAGCTCTGTAGCAGACACTCTGCTAGTCCCAGGAAAACAAAATAAAGACGATACGCTCCCTGTCACTGAGGAGCTCAGGTCTTTCTGCTATAGCCCAAAAGGAGAAAGGTTTAGCCTGGAGGGGAGTCTCATTTTAAAAAGTACAATAGATTGGGAGGCCAAGGCGGGCGGATCACGAGTCAGTAATTGAGACCCTCCTGGCTAACATGGTGAAACCCCGTCTCTACTAAAAATACAAAAAAATTAGCTGAGTGTGGTGGCAGGCGCCTGTAGTCCCAGATACTTGGGAGGTTGAGGCAGGAGAATGTCATGAACCCGGGAGGCAGAGCTTGCAGTGAGCCAGGATTGCACCACTGCACTCCAGCCTGGGCAACAGAGCAAGACTCCATCTCAAAAAAATAAAAGAAAAGAAAAAGCATAATCGAATGGGCAAAAGCAAGTAAATTAAAATGAAAAGAATGCCATTTATTTCTCTTATCCCTTGAAAGACATTAAACAATTAGATGCCCAATCCAATTTAGAACCCCCAGCCAGATGTTTTGATCCGCCTTTCGTCTTCTTTCTTCCTCCTAACATTCACTCTCATCTCCCACATTCTCAGCAGGCTTCCTGAAGTCCCCTTATGGCTGGGCTGTGGTGGCTCATGCCTGTAATCCCAGCACTTTGGGAGGCCAAGGAGGGTGGATTCCTTGAGGTCAGGAGTTCGAGACCAGCCTGGGCAATATGGGTAAGCCCCGTCTCTACCAAAAATATAAAAAATAGTGAGTCTTTAAATAAATAAGTCCCTTTATTTACCCTCGCCAAAATAGGTTCCTTCTTCTACTCATAGCAAGATCAGTGTTTACGCCCTCTCCTCTCTTTTATTATTTTTTGTACTCTTTATTATATATGACTTTCGACAAAAAATCCCTCCACTTCTCTCTTTAAGGTAAGCCTTCCATCCTTGTTTTATAATTTTGCATCATAAAAAGTCTAGGAATTAGTTGTAAACAGGATAGGTTAGAGTGGGATCAGCATCTGAGCAGAAAGAAAATGCTGGCATTACCAAGATTCTCATCCACTCTTTCAACAATGAATGCTAAGTCCCAGAATACCAAGATATTATTTGTATATTATATATTGACACAGTCATGAGCAAAACATAGTCCCTACCTTTGTATAATTTGTGTTCCCTTTGGTGATTGGCATGGGATAGGGATCCTAGCAAAATTTAACTTATCACATTTGTTCACTTATATTCATTTATATAATAGCCATCTTTTTTTTTTTTTTTTTGAGATGGAGTCTCGCTCCATCACCCAGGCTGGAGTGCAGCTGTGTGATCTCGGCTCACTGCAACCTCCGCCTCCCGGGTTCAAGTGATTCTCCTGCCTCAGCCTCCCGAGTAGCTGGGATTACAGGCACCCACCACCATGCCCGGCTAATTTGTGTATTTTTAGTAGAGATGAGGTTTCACCATGTTGGCCAGGCTGGTCTCAAACTCCTGACCTCAGGTGATCTGCCCGCCTCGGCCTCCCAAAGTGCTGGGATTACAGGCGTGAGCCACCATGCCTGGCCAATAGCCATCATTTAATACACATGAGCAGCCGGGCACAGTGGCTCATGCCTGTAATCCCAGCACTTTAGGAGGCCAAGGTGGGCAGATCATTTGAGGTCAGGAGTTTGGGACCAGCCTGGCCAACATGGTGAAACCCCCACCTCCACTAAAAATACAAAAATTATCTGGGCATGGTGGCATGTGCCTGTAGTCCCAGCTACTCGGGAGGCTGAGACAGGAGAATCGCTTAAGCTGGGGAGGCAGAGGTTGCAGTAAGCCAAGATTGTGCCACCACTCCAGCTTGGACAACGAAGCGGACCCTGTCTAAAAAACAAAACAAAACAAAACAAAACAAAAAACACATGTGTAACTCCCTTCAAAACATTGATCCTGTTTTAATTTGGATGGTTTGGTCAGGCGTGGTGGCTCACGCCTATAATCTCAGCACTTTGGGAGGCCGAGACGGGTGGATCACGATGTCAGGAGTTCAAGACCAGCCTGGCCAAGATGGTGAAACCCGTCTCTACTGAAAATACATAAAAATTAGCCAGGTATGGTGGCAGGCACCTGTAATCCCAGCTACTCGGGAGGCGAAGGCAGAGAATTGCTTGAACCCGGGAGGCGGAGGTTGCAGTGAGCCGAGATTGCACCACTGCACTCCACCCTAGGAGACAGAGCGAGACTCCATCTCAAAAATAATAATAATAATAATTTGGATGCTTTATGCTATACACAGTAATGGAGTAAATACTGTGGGACTGTGTACATGCATGAATACAAATTTATCTTGTCACCTGTTACCTGTCTTTTGTCAGTTTAAGTTGCAGGCCCCCCATATTGGTGGGAGTAAAAACTCCCATCAATAGGCATAGGGCAGAGATTTAAGCAAAACTTGCCTCAGGACGTGTGTCTAACAAGGTTCATATAGATAAATCAGTAAGTGACAGAGAATGACCACCTCCTCTTAGAGCTATTTCACAAGATTCAATGTGGTGATGACAGCCTGGGTCTTTGGAAGGCACACATAATATTATTTGGCAAACTGTATAATCTGCCATTGTATCTGTGGTTATCACAGCCTTAGTACTAGAATGGTGATACTTCCCAAAGCCTTGGAATCTATTCAGATGTCATTCAAATTTCTGTACAAAATGCAATTCTAACAAACAGGAAGAACATAAAAAATATTCAGAAACAGAACTTAATAAACATAAACTGAGCACTTATAACAGGCACTGTTATAGATGCTAGAGATAAACAATAAATAGAACAGTGTCTTTTTGTTTGTTTGTTTTGCTTTTGTTTTGACATGGGGGTCTCACCACACTGCTCAGGCTGGCCTCAAACTTCTGGGCTCAAGCAATCCTTCCATCTCAGCCCCCTGAGTAACTGATACTACAGGCATGTACACTGTGCCCAGCCAGAACAGTGTCAGTGGGAGGGAGGTTGTCAAAGCTTGTTTAGAGGGAGTTTCAGAGAGAAGGGAAGGGGAGAAATTGAAGTCAGAGGCTACAGAATGCTGTTGCAAAGAAGAGTGAAAAAAGAGGGTGGCCGATGAGATCTAAGTAAATTTTTATGGGAAAATAACTGTATTTTTGTACAAAAATAGGAATGGCCCTAGAGAGGAAAGGAAGCAGTAAACGAATGTGTCAAATAACTATGTTGGCTAAGTATGGTTGATAGGTGTCAAGGAGAAAAAAACTTTTCCTCCACTCACTTAGGTCCTGTGAATTAAACTCACAAAAGACAGACAAGAAGCAAAGATACAAATGTGTATATACATATATAAATGTGTAAATTTGTATTTGTGTGTGTGTGTGTGTGTGTGTGTGTGTGTAGGAACACAGAAAAAAATGTGACTCAGCTGGATGTGGTGGTGCATGCCTGTAATCTCAGCTGCTCAGGAGGCTGAGGCAGGAGAATCGCTTGAACCCGGGAGGCGGTGGTTGCAGTGAGCCAAGATCGCACCATTACACTCCAGCCTGGGCAACAAGAGCAAAACTCCATCTCAAAAAAAAAAAAAAAAATGTGACTCAAAATGTTGGTTAGAATTTGGGGCTTATATACTGTCTTCATGGAGAAGAGGGAGAGAAAGACAACTTAGGGGAAAACCAATGACTTTTAGGAAAGATAAATGGTCTTTTAGAAGACCAGATGGAAGATATAGTAGTTTTGTGTCAATGTCTGTTTAGGTGATCTCTTGATCCCAGTGTTGACTTGTCTCCAGTGATAAAAGCCAATCTTCCCTGGTTATGAAACTGTCAGGGCTAGAATTTATATCAGTTGAGATCTTTTGGGAGTCTCCACTTTCAAAGGAATCCAGAAAACAAAAGTTTCTTCCTGCATCTGCTCATTCTCAAATGCCTTCAGCTCAAAATAATTGTTATGCCACCATGGCATAGCCTGTGTTTTGGAGACAATGGCAAAGCAAATATTAAAAAAAAAAAAAAAAAAAAAAAGAACCCGGCTGGGCGCGGCGGGTCACACCTATAATCCCAGCACTTTAGGAGGCCGAGGTGGGTGGATCACCTGAGGTCAGCAGTTCCAGACCAGCCTGGCCAACATGGTGAAACCCCGTCTCTACTAAAAATACAAAAATTAGACAGGCGTGGTCGTGGTGCCTGTAATCCCAGCTACTCGGGAGGCTGAGGCAGAGAATCACTTGAACCCGACAGGAGGGGGTTGGAGTGAGCCGAGATCGCACCATTGCACTCCAGCCTGGGCAACAGGAGCAAAATTCCATCTCAAAAAAAAAGGACCCTACCTTGCAGGCAGATATAAGAAAGATATAAGAAAAGTCACCCTGGTATCACAGGCCCACATTGCATTCTCTTCTGAAATGTTTGTTTTTTTAAGTTTAGAAGCAAACTGTGTATACTTGTGTTCAAGAGAAGTTAGCATACTAGAGGTTTTAACAGACTAATTGTGTTTCAAATTTAAAATGTATGAGTAATGATTATAGACTGAGATTTTAAGTTGAAATCATATGAATTTTATAAACATTTTTAAAACACTTAAGAGAATTTTAAGATATTCACCAGTTGTATAAGTTTAATTACTTAGGTTTATAAAAACTTACTTGTTTGTTTGTTTGTTTTGAGATGGAGTCTCCATCTGTTGCCCAGGCTGGAGTACAGTGGTGCAATCTCAGCTCACTGCAGCCTCTGCCTCCTAGGTTCAAGCAATTCTCCTACCTCAGCCTCCCAAGTAGCTGGGATTACAAGTGTGTGCCACCACACCCAGTTAATTTTTGTATTTTCGGTAGAGACAGTGTTTCGCCATGTTGGCCAGGCGGGTCACAAACTCCTGACCTCACATGATCTGTACACCCCAGCCTCCCAAAGTTTTGGGATTACAGGCGTAAGTCACAGCACCCAGCCTTACTTAAATGTTAAGTCTTTTTTATAAAACAGTTTTTTTTTTATAGAGACAGGGTCACACAATGTTGCCCAGTCTGGTCTTGAACTCCTGAGCTCAAGTGATCCTCCCGCCTTGGCCTCCCAAAGTGCTGAGATTACAGGCATGAGCCACTGCACCTGGCCAAGTGTTAAGTCTCAATGAGGAAATCTTTGTCAGGCAATTGATAGTTTATTATTGTTTTCCTTAAACACCCGTAAAGTGATCTGTATACAGAAGAGTCAGATTTGTAAGCAGCACTTAAAAACTTAAATATGTTTAAAAATCTGTAACTGTAGTAAATTAAATATGAAATTTAAAAATATGTCCTCCTAAATGATGTTATGGGCAAAAGGAAAGGATGACAATGTTGGCTAAGTATGGTTGATAGGTGTCAAGGAGAAAAAAACTTTTCCTCCACTCACTTAGGTCCTGTGAATTAAACTCACAAAAGACAGACAAGAAGCAAAGATACAAATGTGTATATACATATATAAATGTGTAAATTTGTATTTGTGTGTGTGTGTGTGTGTGTGTGTGTGTGTGTAGGAACACAGAAAAAAATGTGACTCAGCTGGATGTGGTGGTGCATGCCTGTAATCTCAGCTGCTCAGGAGGCTGAGGCAGGAGAATCGCTTGAACCCGGGAGGCGGTGGTTGCAGTGAGCCAAGATCGCACCATTACACTCCAGCCTGGGCAACAAGAGCAAAACTCCATCTCAAAAAAAAAAAAAAAAAATGTGACTCAAAATGTTGGTTAGAATTTGGGGCTTATATACTGTCTTCATGGAGAAGAGGGAGAGAAAGACAACTTAGGGGAAAACCAATGACTTTTAGGAAAGATAAATGGTCTTTAGAAGACCACAGGATGGCCATATTTGCTCAGCATACTGCTTCCCAAGTCAGTGGTAGTAGAACCTCCTATTCGCTGTTAAGCAGTTCCTGTCTTTCTGGGTTCTTTCTCTTTGCTTCCACAACACTCCACGCTTCTCCAGCACAGTCTGGAAATTATCTTTTTATGTTGTCTCACCAACTACAAGAGTTATAAAACGCTTTCTTGATACCTCTCCCACTTTGTGGTACAACACCTAGCATATTCCAGGTCCATTCACTCCACACCCGATAAATATTACTTGAGTGCCCCCTATATACCAGACAGTGGGGGCACAGCAGTTACTGAAATAAAGTACCTCCTCTATGGAGCTTCCATTCTAGTTTGCTGTGCTGAACAGAAGGAGAATCTGGTGCCAGACCTCCTTTTATTGACCAGATCATTCATATAATATTAACTTCTTCAGCTGATGTATTTGCATTTAATTTTTTTTTTTTTTTTTTTTTTTTTTTTTTTTGCCAGGTATGGTGGTTCATTCCTGTAATCCTAGCACTTTGGGAGGCCAAGGCAGGCAGATTACCTGAGGTAAGGAGTTTGAGACTAGCCTGGCCAACATGGTGAAACCCTGTCTCTACCAAAAATACAAAATTAGCCAGCCATGGTGGTGCGTACCTGTAATCCCAGCTACTTGGGAGGCTGAGGCAGGAGAATCGCTTGAACCATCAGCAGGGAAGTAGGGGAATACCGGAGAGGATAGGTGGCCTTCTTGTCCCCTCATCATTCCAGATTAACATAAAGGGATTTGGAAATAAATTCCCCTTTTGATGCCTGTGAAACAGGAGATTGTCAAAAGGGGTGTTAATTAGTCTCTTCTCTCTCTCTTGGTCTGTTGGGACTGCTATAACAGAATACTACAGACTGGGTGACTGATAAACAATGAGCATTTAGCTGGGCTGGGTGGCTCATGTCTGTAATCCCAACACTTTGGGAGGGCGAGGCAGGCAGATCACAAGGTCAAGAGTTTGAAACCAGCCTGGCCAACATGATGAAACCCTGTCTCTACTAAGAAAATAAAAATTAGCCGGGCATGGTGGTGCGTGCCTGTAATCCCAGCTATTTGGGAGGCTGAGGCAGGAGAATCGCTTGAACCCAGGAGGCAGAGGTTGCAGTGAGCCGAGATCAAGCCATTGCACTCTAGCCTGGGCAACAGAGTAAGACTCAGTCTCTGACCAAAAAAAAAAAAAAAAAAAAAAAGAGCATTTATTTCTCACAATTCTGGAGTCTGGGAAGTCCAAGATCAAGGTGCTGGCAGATTTGGCATCTGGTGAGGGCCACTTTCTGGCTTAGAGATGACACCTTCTTGCTGTGTCCTCACAGGTTGAGGACGAGACTCTCCCGAGTCTCTTTTGTAAGGGCACTAATCCCATTCAGGATGGCTTTGCCCTCATGACCTGATCACCTCCCAAAGGCCTCCCCACCTGATGCCCGAAGGTTGGGAGTTAGGATCTTAGCGTAGGAATTTGGGAGGAAATATAAACATTGTCTGTAGCACCTCTGTTTCCTTGCTTCCCCGCCTCTGCCTGGAGGCTGATACTCAGATTGCCTGGGGCTTTTGTTTGTTTGTTTTTTGTTTTTTTAATTTTTTTGTTTGTTTTGTTTTGCTTTGAGACGGAGTTTCTCTCTTGTTGCCCAGGCTGGAGTGCAGTGGTGTGATCTTGGCTCATTGCAACCTCCACTTCCCAGGTTCAAGTGATTCTCCTGCCTCAGCCTCCCGAGCAGCTGGGATTACAGGCATGTGCCACCATGCCCAGCTAATTTTTTATTTTTAGTAGAGATGGGGTTTCACCATGTTGGCCAGGCTGGTCTCCTGACCTGAGGTGATCTGCCCACCTCAGCCTCCCAAAGTGCTGGGATTACAGGTGTGAGCCACTGCACCCAGCCTGTTTTTGTTGTTTTTCTGAGATGGAGTCTTGCTCTGTTGCCCAGGCTGGAGTACAGTAGCAGGATCTCAGCTCACTGCAACCTCCACCTCCTGGGTTCGAGTGATTCTTCTGCCTCAGCCTCCTGAGTAGCTGGGATTGCAGGCACCCGCCGTCACGCCTGGCTAATTTTTGTATTTTTAGTAGATACTGGGTTTTGCCATGTTGGTCAGGCTAGTCTTGAACTCCTGACCTCAAGTGACCCACCAGCCTTGGCTTCCCAAAGTGCTAGGATTGCAGGCATGAGCCACCATGCCAGGCCTCAGAGTGCCTGGTTTTTAAAGGATATCATCCAATCTTTCCCTCTTTGTGCCCAAGAATCCAGACTCTGAACCAGCCGTGCCTCTCATGAAAAAAACAGAACATCTTTGCTGCCCCCTTGCCCTGTCACCATCCTTTCTCTGAACCCTTGCTGCCTTCCTCTACTCTGCTGCTGCCAGTCTCCAGGTCACTGGCACCGCAAACACATCCAGCTGCCTCAGGGAAGGCATGCTTGTGCCATATCCTCTCAAGCATGGTGGGCAAAGTCCATAGCTCCTGGCTTGTGATCTTACTCACACATATTGCAGACTCCTTGGAATCAAAGGTGAAAGCCAAGGTTCCTGTCTTTAAAGAGCTCAGAGTCTACTTGTTTTTGTTTTTGGAGATAGGGTCTTACTCTGTCACCCAGGCTGGAGTGCAGTGGCACAATCATAGCTCACTGCATCCTTCAACACTTGGTCTCAAGCAATCCTTCTACCTCAACCTCCTGAATAAATAGGACTGCAGGCACACATCACTGTGCCCAGGCGATTTTTTTTTTTTTTTTCGATGGAGTCTCGCTCTGTCGCCCAGGCTGAAGTGCAGTGGCACATTCTCAGCTCACTGCAACCTCTGCCTCCTGGGTTCAAGCGATTCTCCTGCCTCAGCCTCCCCAGTAACCAGGATTACAGGCATGTGCCACCACACCCAGCTAATTTTTGTATTTTTAGTAGAGATGGGTTTTGCCATGTTGGCCAGGCTGGCCTCAAACTCCTGACCTCAAGTGATCTGCCCTCATCAGCATCCCAAAGTGCTGGGATTACAGGCCTGAGCCACTGCACCCAGCCATGGGTGATTTTTAATTTTTTTTTTTTTGTAGAGATAGTATCTCGCTATGTTGTCCAGGCTGGTCTCAAACTCCTAGCCTCAAGCAATCCCCCTACCTTGGCTTCCCAAAGTGCATGAGCCACTGTGCCTGGCCTGGATCTATTTGTCTTGGTCCAGTGATCAATGATTTTGGGAGATGCTCTAACTTCATTTCATTTCTGAGTGATCATCCATCACAATGACCTTTCCACACTTTAGTCTTAAGTTCTTCTGATTTTCCAACTTATTTCACCAAATACTCATCTTTCAACAGATACTAAGGTGAACAGGAAGAGCTCTCATCCAAATAAATTATCTAGGGGAAGAAAAAAAGGATTTAGTGAAAACCATTCACAACTCTTAATTTATCCTTTTACACAATTGAATTTTCAGATCTAGAGTGTCTTAATACACCTATAGCTATATCCATTTCTACCTGCTCCAATATCTAAAAAGTGTTGAAATATTAGACTGAACTATCAATCACCAATTATTTTGATAATATAAAATAGCTTAACCACCACAGTTTGTCTCAAGTTGCTTCATAGGAGAAACAGATCCATAGAGAAATAGATACATGTATATTTTTAAGGAAGGATGTGAAGTATAGGGAGAGACCATCTCTTCATGCTGCAGTTGTATTCCTGTAGGAATGTACAAAATGGATTTCTATTTACTGGAAAAGATTCTGGGTGGATTTCAGATGTGGTCATCTGAGATGCTGGAGCCCTATTCATCTGTACAGAACAGGCAGGGGGCTCCGAATTAATGAATCCCAGAACCAGAAACATTTCCACTTTACAACTAAGCGTGCTGGGACCAGACTTTCTCAAACAAAACAAAGTAGAGAGCTAAAGTCGTCGTGATTTTGCCTGAAACAGTCGGCCAATTACAGCCAAAAATGTGTTCCCTAGAATTTCAGGAACACCGCCTCGTAGTTCTCCTTCACCCCTCTTGGGTGTTTGGGACAGAGAGAAGCAAACAAACAACTCAAGGGGCAAAACCTGGCACCCTCCTCTCCCCATTCCTCCTTCAGTGATCTTAGTGATAAAGGTGCTTTGCTCGTCAGCTTGAAAGAAATTACATTGGCCGGGCGGGGTGGCTCATGCCTGTAATCCCAGCACTTTGGGAGGCCAAGGCGGGCGGATCACGAGGTCAAGAAATCAAGACCATCCTGGCCAACATAGTGAAACCCCTTCTCACAAAAAATACGAAAATTAGCTGGGCATGGTGGCACACACCTGTAGTCCCAGCTACTTGGGAGGCTGAGGCAAGAGAATCGCTTGAACCCGGGAGGCAGAGGTTGCAGTGAGCCGAGATTGTGCCACTGCACTACAGCCTGGTGACAGAGCAAGACTCCGTCTCAAAAAAAAAAAAAAAATTGACATATTTTCAGTGAATCTACACAGAGGGAGTGTGTTTCCTCAAAAACATCCTGTTCCTGTGTTCCCTTTCTGTGAGTGGCAGGGTTGGGGGTGGGGGGGGTATGCTCTTTTTGCATTTGAACTAGTTTTAAACTTTTAAAAGAAAACTCAAGGGCATGTTAAAAATAAAATAAAATACAAACACAAATATTAGAGAAATGTTTCTCTCCCTAGTGCTCCCACTTCTCCAATCCCACAGAGATAACTTCTATTTTTTTTTTTTTTTTTTTGAGATGGAGTTTCGCTCTTGTCATCCAGGCTGGAGTGCAATGGCACTATCTTGGCTCACTGCAACCTCTGCCTCTTGGGTTCAAGCAATCCTCTTGCCTCAGCCTCCCAAGTAGCAGGGATTACAGGTGCCCACCACCATGCCCAGCTAATTTTTGTATTTTTAGTAGAGACAGGGTTTCACCATGTTGGTCAGGCTGGTCTCGAACTCCTGACCTCAGGTGATCCACCTGCCTCAGCCTCCTAAAGTGCTGGGATTACAGGCGTGAACCACCATGCCCAGCCCCCATAGAGATAACTTCTGTATAATACTTGCCTTTGAAAGAAAAATATTCATATTGCACATGGTATCTTGATCCAGGTTTTTAAAAAATGAAAGACAAAATGCTTCAGATAGCCTCTTACTGCTCATCACAGATCTTTTTTAAAAATGACCAACAAATTGGCTCCTCCAGACATTTGGCATTAACTAGTTAACTGGCACCCATAGCTTAGGGCATCTTTGTCTAACCACATCAAAGAACGTCTTTAAATGTTTACGCAGCCTTGGAAGTGATCAGTACATGTCTGTGGATCAAATAGGTTGTATTTGGATCCCTAAAATGCTATTTCATGGAAAAATAATAAGTAAGCATGCAGCCATCACTTTTGGCCTCCTCTGCCACATAAAATATGCTTTAACATAGATTTCCACCAAAAAAAGCCTCAAGGAACAATCAGAAATTTAACCTGTGCTAAAGAGAGAGACAGAGAGAGAGAGAGAGAGAGAGAGAGAGAGAGAGAGACTGGTTATTGGAAAGGCTCTGAGTGGATTCATTCCAGATGTTTTTATTACTGCTGATTATCCAAGTGAGGACCAAAACCTTCTTTTACTTTTTATTTATTTACTTATTTTTGAGACAGGGTCTCATTCTGTCACCCAGGCTGGGATGTAGTGGTGTGATCACAGCTCACTATAGTCTCAACCACTGAGGGCTCAGATGATCTCCCATCTCAGCCTCCCAAGTATCTGGGACTACAGGTGTGCACCACCACATCCATCTTATTTTTGTATTATTTTGTAGAGATGAGGTCTCACTATGTTGCCCAGGCTGGTCTCGAACTCCTGGGCTTGGGTGATCTTCCTGCCTCTGCCTCCCAAAATTACAGGTGTGAGCCACCATGCCCTGCCCTCTTTTACTTTTTTTTTTTCTTCTTCT
The DNA here is from genome assembly GCF_000001405.40 of Homo sapiens. Lineage (NCBI taxonomy): Eukaryota > Metazoa > Chordata > Mammalia > Primates > Hominidae > Homo > Homo sapiens. Next base: position 66,284,665 of record NC_000017.11, on the reverse strand, counting down.
TCTTTTGAGACAGAGTTTCACTCTTGTTGCCCAGGCTGGAGTGCAATGGCGCGATCTTGGCTCACGGCAAACTCTGCCTCCCCGGTTCAAGTGATTCTCCTGCCTCAGCCTCCTGAGTAGCTGGGATTACAGGCATATATCACCACACCCAGCTAATTTTGTATTTTTGGTAGAGATGGGGTTTCTCCATGTTGGTCAGTCTGGTCTTGAACTCCTGACCCCAGGTGATCCGCCTGCCTCGGCCTCCCAAAGTGCTGGGATTACAGGTGTGAGCCGCCGCGCCCGGCCCCCTTTTACTTTTCATGAAGAAGATTGGAGCAATAACAGTAGAAAATGTGCAGCTATATTGGAAACTCTATCAATGTCAAGTTGTTATGAAAGTTGCTACTCTTTTGTCCATTGTCTGAGAGATTCTGTAAACAGAAGCCTGTGGTCTCTGCCTCCTGCTCACCATCACTTTGCTCACAGGCTGAGGCTCCCGGAGGGGCTGGCTGAGCAGCTGGAGTCTTGTGTGTCTCCTTAGGCTAACAAAAAACCTAGACAGACAGCAAAACACTTGCATTCTTCAAGCTTTTCCTTGGGAGGATTTCTACTAGCAGATCAGTGGCACCTGATAGGAAGATTCATAAGCAAACAGGAATTCCATGTGTGTTATGTGAATTTGTACTCAAGGATGCAATTGAGGGCCGGGTGTGGTGACTCTCTCCTGTAATCCCAGCACTTTGGGAGGCTGAGGCGGGTGGATCACTTGAGGTCAGGATTTTGAGACCAGCGGGGCCAACATGGTGAAACCCCATCTCTATTAAAAATACAAAAATTAGCCACGTGTGGTGGCAGGCACCTGCAGTCCCAGCTGCTTGGGAGACTGAAGCAGGAGAATTGCTTGAACCTGGAAGGTGGGAGGTTGCAGTGAGCCGAGATTGCATCACTTCATTCTAGCCTGGGCAACAAAGACTCCAAAGAGGAACGTAATTGACATTCTGTAGCTCCTTGATAGTGCTTCATGGACCCTCAAAAAATAAAGGAGAGAATAGTGTTTTAGAGTCAAACAGATCTAGATGTAGTTCCCAGCGCCAATCCATTTGACTGTGTGACCTGGATCATTTAACCTCCCTGAACCTCCATTTCCTCTTCTGTAAAGTGGGAATAATAATGAACATCCCTCCAAAAGCTGCTGGAAGAACTAAGTGAGATGGAGTCCATGAGGCCCAAAGCCCAGTACCTGGCACATAGTAGATGCTCAATAAATCTAAGTTCCCTATCTAAGACATATATATTGGGGATGGAAGAGAGAAAGGATCACAAGGGGAGAAAAAAAGGAAGACAAGGAAGGAGAAAGCCAGGGCCAGCAGGAGTAAGAATCAGTAAAACGTATTTTCTCATGTGACTCTCCTTGTGTTTGTTTGCACTCCTCTTTCTTGAGTGTGTGCTTTTCTCTTTGCAATAAATCTCTGTAATTTCATTATTTTCTGACCCACCTTTGAATGCCTTCTTGTGATGATGTCAAGAGCCTGGACACCAGCTGGGGTCGAGGTCCCATCGGTGTTTGGGGACCTCCCTCAGCCCACTGGTGTCATCTTTATGGCCATCCAGGCTGGAGTGTCGTTGCCGAATTCTAGAACCACTGGCAGTTTATAAATCCTACTCCAATATTAGTCGGAGTCTTCTCACTCTCTGGAGTTACTGCTAATTTCTTCCTCGTTCCTTGGCGTCAACTGCAGCCTGACTCCCCTCAGCTGTAGCGCCTCTGCTCCCTCTGGCTGGAAAACCCAGTTCATCCTGATGGGATGAGAGGGAGGTGGGAAGGTTTCAACCTACACTGAGTAGCCCTGAGGAGCTACCGTCCTTCCTGACTGGAGGCTAAAGAGGGTGGAGGGTAAAATCCCACACCGTGCAGTGGCTAGATGGCTTCCAAGGAGCACTGTGACTTTTTTCTGGGAAGGATCTTCTGTTTTCCCAAGGGACCAGCTGTGGCAAGACACTGACCCTGGTTGGGAGCTGTTTCATTTTTCCTGTCTCTCTTTAAACTCGGCTTTTTGGCTGGGCACGGTGGCTCACACCTGTAATCCCAGCAATTTGGGAAGCCAAGGTGGGCGGATCACTTGAGATCAGGAGGTCGAGACCAGTCTGGTCAACATGGTGAAACCCTGTCTCTACCAAAAATACAAAAATTAGCCAGGTGTGGTGGCGCACGCCTGTAGTCTCAGCTACTTGGGAGGCTGAAGCATGAGAATCACTTGAACCCAGGAGGCAGAGGTTGCGGTGAGCAGAGATCACATTGCTGCACTCCAGCCTGGGCAACAGAGTGAGACTCCATCTCAAAAACAAAAACAAAAACAAAACAAAAAAACCCCGGCTTTTGCAATTTTCTCTCCCCACGCTGCTTCTTCTTACTTCACACAAAGGTTTAGTGAACATTTTGGACACAGTAAGATAGGCCTCCTAGATACTGCCCTCTGGAATGCCAAATCCAGGCCTCTGATTCTTAATGGGTCCCTTCAAGGTCCCTGTTTATTGGCTGTGCTGAATCATCTCTACTTCCAAGTGGTACTTGGTGATAAACGTTCAGATGGATATCAGCAGGCTTGTGACTTTCAAATGAAACCTACAGCTGGTCCGGCTTCTCTTTGAAAGCCTCCCCGTTTTCAAAGCCTCAGGGGCCATGGATCCCTGGACAACACTAGGGCTCCAGGGATGCCTACATGCCAAGGCAGTCAGCCAAGGGTCTAGGAATGCCTGTCTTCTGTCATGGCCATGGAGGTGACCAATTGTAAGGGCTGAGCTCTTGCACTTGGCATTTCATCAGCTGAGGACCATGAGCAATACACTGTGGGGACCACATCTATGCCTTACAATGACCCTAATTGGAACGATCAACAGAGCCAGGCTGATGTAAGAAAAATAAATCATATGGTGACTTGTTTAGTGGAGGGAATAAAAAAATGTACCAGGCTGGGCATGGTGGCTCACGCCTATAATCTCAGCACTTTGGGAGGCAGAGGTAGGTGGATTGCTTCATCTCAGGAATTTGAGACCAGCCTGAGCAACACAGCGAAACCCCATTTCTACAGAAAATACAAAAATCAGCCAGGCATGCTGGCATGTGCCTGTAGTCCCAGGTACTTAGGAGGCTGAGGTGGGAGGATGGCTTGGGCCTAGGAGGTGGGGGTTGTAGTTGGTTAAGATCGTGCCAATGCACTCCAGTCTGGGCAACAGAACCAGACCCCATCTCAAAAAAAGGAAAAAAAAAAAAGGAAATAAAAAATGTACTGCTAAGCCTGTGAACTATAATAAAATAAGGGGAATAACTCAAGGAAAGGATGACAACCCAGATTTGTGTCGGGGTGCCTTGTGGAAGCCCTAACAAAATATACTAACATTGACCCCCAATGCTGATGCTGGACAGATTTTACTAGGGACACACTTTATTAACCAGTCAGCACCTGACATCAGAATAAAATTACAGAAATTGGCTTGAGGACCCCAAATGCCTATTAATCAAATGCTTGATGTGGCTTTTGGGGTATTTAGTAATAGGGACGGGGCTGGAGAGGCTGAAAGGACCCAGCGTGGCAAACAACAGAACAGACAGCATGCTCCAATGACAGCAGTTGCTGTAAGCAGCGCCCTGTAACCTCAGGGTCACCCGGGGGGATGCTTCGCCCATGGACCAAACAGGCCTAACAGCAAACCTGCAGGCAATGGTTGCTGCTTCAAGTGTGGGAAGCCAGGACATTGGAGTGAAGACTGTCCCAGTCAGGGGACCCCACCTAGACCCTGTCCTGCAAGCAGGAGGGCCATTGGAAAAGGGATTACCTTCAGCTCCAAAGGGAAAGGAGAATGCCCGATGCCATCATGGCTGTAACTAGACCAAGGTTCCTGGTGGCTCCCACAAAAGGCATGGTCATCACAACTGAGGAGCCTCAGTGATTCTTCACGTGGCTGGTAAGAATATTAATTTTTGGCCAGGCGTGGTGGCTCACGCCTGTAATCCCAGCACTTTGGGAGGCCGAGCCGGGTGGATCACGAGGTCAGGAGTTCGAGACCAGCCTGGCCAAAATGGCAAAACCCCATCTCTACTAAAAATACCAAAAATTAGCCGGGCGTGGTGGCGGGCTCCTGTAATCCCAGCTACTCGGGAGGCTGAGGCAGGAGAACCCGAGAGGTGGAGGTTGCAATGGGCCGAGATCGAGCCACTGCACTCCAGCCTGGGTGACAGAGTGAGACTCTGCCTAAAAAAAAAGAAAATTAAATTTTTTCTTTACAGGCGTGAGCCACCGCGCCCAGCCAAGAATATTAATTTCTTTTTCTTTTCTTTTTGAGACAAGTTCTCACTCTGTCACCCAAGCTGGAGAGCAGTGGCGTGATCAGGGCTCACTGCAGCCTTGACCTTCTGGGCTCAAGTAATCCTCCCACCTCAGCCTTCCGAGTAACTGGGACTATGGGCAGCCCTGATCATGCCTAGCTAGTTTTTTGTATTTTTTTTTTTTTTTTTTTTTTTGTAGAGACAGAGTTTCACCATGCTGCCCAGGCTGGTCTTGAACTCCTGGGCTCAAGCAATTCATCCGCCTCAGCTTCCCAAAGTGCTGGGATTACAGGTGTGAGCCACTGTGCCCGGCAAATATTAATTTCTTAATTGACTCAGTGGCCACTCTGTCCTGAACTGCCACTCTGGGCCCTTATTCTCCAAAAGCTGCACTGTCATGGGTGTCAATGGCACCCCCAAATCAAAACACTTTACCCCTAAGCTACAGGCTAGAAAACTATATGGTAACTCTGGTTTCTAGTTATGCTGGAATGTCCTACTCTTTTATTGAGACAGGACTTCCTAGCCAGCTTTGCAGCCACTTTACATTTATCAGGCCCTCCTTCTTGGCAATGCTTGTATTTTCTAAACCAGCCTCAGAAAAACAGGAGATCCTCCATAAAATAAAGTCTCAAGTAGACCCATAAGTATGGGACCAAGAAACCCCTTGCAAAGCAATACATGCTCAGCCTGTGATCATCTCTTTTTTTTTTTTTTTTTTTTTTTTTTTGAGATCGGAGTCTCGCTCTGTCGCCCAGGCTGGAGTGCAGTGGTGCGATCTCGGCTCACTGCAAGCTCCGCCTCCCGGGTTCAAGCCATTCTCCTGCCTCAGACTCCCAAGTAGCTGGGACTACAGGCGCCCGCCACCACGCCCGGCTAATTTTTTTTGTATTTTTAGTAGAGACGGGTTTCACCATGTTAGCCAGGATCGTCTCGATCTCCTGATCTTGTGATGTGCCCGCCTCAGCCTCCCAAAGTGCTGGGATTACAGACTTGAGCCACTGCGCCCAGCCGTGATCATCGCTTTAAAGACAAAAACAATTTCCCATGCAAGAGCCAATATGCCCTCAAACCGGAAGCCAGGTGAGGACGCCAACCTTTAATTGAGAAGTTTTTAAAACAGGGCCTCCTGGTTCCATGTCAGTCAGTCTCTTTGTAATACTCCTTCCGTCCCTGTCCAAAAACCAAATGCAGAATAATCATCTAGTTCAAGACTTAGGAGCTATTAATGAGGTTGTAATTACCTTACATTCTATAGTGTCAAATCCTTTTTAATTACTTATTTATTTTTTTGAGACGGAGTCTTGCTCTGGAGTGCAGTGGCGCAATCTCAGCTCACTGCAACCTCTGCCTCCCAGGTTCAAGCAATTCTCCTGCCTCAGCCTCTGGAGTAGCTGGGACTACAGGCACGCACCACCATGCTTGGATAATTTTTGTATTTTTAGTAGAGACGAGGTTTCATCATGTTGGCCAGGCTGATCTCGAACTCCTGACCTCAAGCGATCCACATGCCTCGGCCTCCCAAAGTGCTGGGTTTAGAGGCGTGAGCCACTGCGCCCAGCCCTATAGTGTCAAATCCTTATGCCATATTTACCCAAATACCAGAGACACCAATTGATTCACGATATTAGATTTCAATAATGCTTTATTTTGTATCCTTTTACACTCTGACTCTCAATTTTTGTTTGCTTTTGGGTGGACTAATCCTGAAACTAATTTTACCCAGCAGTACACCTGGATAGTACTGCCTCAGGGCTTTAAGGATAGCCCTCACTTGTTCAGAAATGCTTTGCCACAAGAATTAAGAGAGTGGCCGTGTGCATGGGCTCACACCTGTAATCCCAGCATTTTAGGAGGCTGAGGCAGGTGGATCACGAGGTGAGGAGATTGAGACCATCCTGGCTAACATAGTGAAACTCCTTCTCTACTAAAATACAAAAAATTAGCCAGATGTGGTGGCACACGCCTGTAGTCCCAGCTACTCCGGAGGCTGAGGCAGGGGAATCGCTTGAACCAGAGAGGTGGAGATTGTAGTGGGCCAAGATAGAGGCATTGCATTCCAGCCTGGCAGCAGAGCGATTTTCTGTCTCAAAAAAAAAAGAGATAGATTCATTCTTTGATGTTATACATTATTATTATTATCTGTTTTAATATTAGTCACTGTTGTACAGAAACCAGCCAGTTATTGATCAGGCGACTACATGATGGGAATAGAATATTTGGGAATAAGATAATTAAAATAACTATGGGCAGTCCTATTATTGTAGGGGTAATGAAAGAGGCAAATGGATTTTCATTCATTTTAATTCTCAAGGGGTTTTGTTCTTCTATGATTAGAACTTTTCTTAGCATTAGGTTTGCACCGCAGTTCTGATAAATTTCCATCTTTTTCCAGGAATCTTCATGAATATTCCACCCCTTAATTCAATAAACCCATAAATGTAGGGACTCCAAACCCCATTGCACTTGCACTTCCCTTTCTTAAGTGTGTAATTCTGCCTTTGCAATAAATCTCTGTACTTTCACTGAAAGAAAAAAAAAAAAGGTCTCACTCTGTCACCCAGGCTGGAGCGCAGTGGTGCTATCACTGCTTACTGCATTTCAACCTCCAGGGCTCAAGCCATCTTCTCACCTCAGCCTCCCAAGTAGCTGAGACTACAGGCACAGGCCACCATGCCCGGCTAATCTTTTTATTTATTTATTAATTTTTTAGAGACGGGGTCTTGCTATGTTGCTCAGGCTGATCTTGAACTCCTGGCCTCAAGCAATCCTACCACCTCAGCCTTCCAAAGTGCTGGGATTACAGGCATAAGCCACCACACCTGGCCATGATAAAACTCCTTTTTGTCATGGAGAAAATCCTCAGTGCTCCACGCTCAGCTGCTGCATGTTCCAGAGCTTCACTTCTCCCTCCCGCAGTTCAGCCTTTGGCCATTTCATTCCTCATTAGCACCTTCCCTGGGAAGAAGAACAGAGAGAAGCTGGAACTCAGGTCAGTCAATTTTGCTATTAGTAACTGTTGCCAAGATTGAGTTGGGGAGAGGAAAAGAAGCAGTCAAAATAAAGGTTAGGAATTATGTGTATATTTTTATAATACAGCTGTCTATTTCTCTGTCTCTCATTTCTCTCTTTTTTTTTCTTTTTTTTTTTTGAGATGGAGTCTTTCTCTGTTGCCCAGGCTGGAGTGCAGTGGCACTGTGTCAGCTCACTGCAAGCTCCACCTCCCGGGTTCACACTATTCTCCTGCCTCAACCTCCTGAGTAGCTGGGACTACAAGCGCCCGCCACCACACCTGGCTAATTTTTTGTATTTTTAGTAGAGACGGGGTTTCACCATGTTAGCCAGGATGGTCTCGATCTCCTGGCCTTGTGATCCGCCCGTCTCGGCCTCCCAAAATTCTGGGATTACAGGCATGAGCCACTGCGCCCAGCCCTCATTTCTCTTTACTGAAACATCTCTGTAGAAAAGTCTGGGTCCCATGTCTCCACTTCCTCACCCCCACTCATTGCTTAACCCCACTCCCAATCCAGTGTTCTGCTAGGTTTGTCTTTTCCAAGGCCATGAGTAATCTCTTGGTTGCCAAATCATAGGGCCTTTTCTTATCTGTGTGATATTGGAATGGCTAACCTTAACACTCACTGTTCAGATTGCCAGCTATGCCCTTATCTTCTGAGAATACTTGTTGTCTACCCAACTCCATTTTCCCCTTCTGCTTTGCAATGCTTTTCTAGGGATATGTGCCCATCTAAGATACTACACTCCTAAACTCCTTTGCAGCTGTGACCAGTGAGATATGAGCAGGATTATGCACAGAGAGAGGCAGCCTAGAAAGCCATCAGCCACTTCTTCTGGCGGCTTGGACAGGATCCTGACTGTAGCCTCCTTTTTCCAGCCAGCCAGGGCTTTGGAGGCCTGAGATCATTACATCCTAATGAAATTTCCTTTTCCCGAATACAGCTGTGGTCTAAGCAGCCTCCTGTAGAATAAGTGTTCTGGGAGGCTGCAGCTATACCTTTGGGGGTCCCTGAGAAAGGGAACGGGAAATTCATTTGGGAGAAGAGGGTTTCTGTGTGAAGCATTGAGAATGATCCTTGGTTGTTCTTTCTGGTGCAAAGAGTGACATATCGAGAGACAACAGAGCTGTAGGGGATAGGGACAGGAGCCCCACCTAAGCACCAGCACGAGCCAGGCTGGAAGGGGGACCTCTTAGCTTGAGCAGCTGGAAATGCCCAGGTTCCTGCTTGTGCTTAGAGAATTGGAGGAGATTGGAGTGAGAAGTGCTCTGCAGAAGCCTCTGGAAGTCAATCTGACACCTCAGCGGAGGATGAGAAGCAGGCCCCATCAGGAGGACGGGTGGGACTGGGGTGGGGTGGGGCTGCATGGGAATGATTGTGCGGCGAGTAGACGAGCCAAGTAGGAAAAGATCAGCAAGTTGTATAAAGGCCACTGGGGAATACTCCTAGTTAGAGTGGGGGACCTTGGGCACAGTGAGTCACTGTGGCATCACACAATCCTTGCTGGTTTTGTTTTCTCAGTGACACATCTTCCTGATACACTGTGGTCACTCTACTGGCTAGTCTGCAAGTGGTGCCAGCTCACTGAGTCATCTACTGGAAAGACTGTCTTAGGCACGTAATACCTTGCAAAGATAATCTGCACTGCTGTGGGGTGGTCCATAGGGCTCAGATGAATTCCTGAGACTTTGGGTAAATCCTATTCTCTTCTGAGCCTCAGTTTTCTTAGCTATGAAATGAGAGTGGGATTCCACTTATGTGAACAAAGGCTATTGGCTTTGTTGTAAGGACTAACGAGGTGATATATTTATTTCTTATTTTTATTATTTTTATTTTATTTACTATTATTATTATTATTTTTTGGAGATGGAGTCTTGCTCCGCCGCCCAGACTGGAGTGCAGTGGCACAATCTCAGCTCACTGCAACCTCCACTTCCTGGGTTGACACAATTCTCCTGCCTCAGCCTCCCAAGTAGCTGGGATTACGGGCACATGCCAACATGCCTGGCTAATTTTTTTTTTTTTTTTTTGTATTTTAGTAGAGACAGGGTTTCACCACGTTGCCCGGGCTGGTCTCGAACTCCTGAGCTCAGGCAATCCGCCCACCTCAGCCTCCCAAAGTTCTAGGATTACAGGTGTGAGCCACCATGCCTGGCCTGTTTTTATTTATTTTATTTTTGAGACAGAGTCTCACTCTGTCACCCAGGCTGGAGTGCAGTGGTACGATCTTGGCTCACTGCAACTTCTGCCTCCCAGGCTCGAGCAAGCCTCCCACCTCAGCCTCCCCAGTAGCTGGGATTACAGGCATGCACCACCATGTCAGGCTAATTTTTGTATTTTTGGTAGAGATGGGGTCTCACTATGCTGGAGTTGGAGAACTCCTAGGCTTAAGCAATCCTGCCTTGGCCTCCCAAAGTGTTGGGATTACAGGCGTGAGCCACCATGCCAGGTGAGGTCTAGAATTTGAGGCCAGCCTGGGCAACATAGTGAGACCCTGCCTCTACAAAACACTTTAAAAATAATTAGCTGGGCATGGTTGCCTATGCCTGTAATACTAACTACTCAGGAGGCTGAGGTAGGAGGATTGTCAGAGCCCAGGAAGTCCAGGCTGCAGCCGGATGATGGAGCAAGACTCTGTCTCTAAAAAATTTTTGTAAATAGGCCAGGCGCAGTTGCTCACGCCTGTAATCCCAGCACTTTGGGAGGCCGAGACGGGCAGATCACGAGGTCAGGAGATCAAGACCATCCTGGCTAATGCAGTGAAACCCCGTCTCTACTAAAAATACAAAAAATTAGCCAGGCGCGGTGACGGGCACCTGTAGTCCCAGCTGCTTGGGAGGCTGAGGCAGGAGAATGGCGTGAACCCGGGAGGCAGAGCTTGCAATGAGCCGAGATCGCGTCACTGCACTCCAGCCTGGGTGACAGAGCAAGACTCCGTCTCAAAAAAAAAAAAAAAAATTGTAAATAATAATGATTTAAAAAAACATTCAGGCTCTTTCTGATACTTATGCATGGTCTAATGAATTCCCTTTCTTCTTGTTTGTGCAATGGCTGTCTCTAACACAAGGTTTAGACTTTTGAATACTTTTTTTTTTTTTGCACAGATACCGTTTCTTTTTCTTGTTTAGACACAGGATCTTGCTCTGTCACTGTCACCTAGGCTGGAGTGTGTAGCTATCACAGCTCACTGCATCCTCCAACTTCTGGGCACAAGGGATCCTGCCACCTCAGCCTCTTGAGTAGCTGGGACTACAGTTATGTACCACCCAGGCCCAGCTACACTTTTTAAAGAGATGGGGGTCTTGGTACATTGTCCAGCTGGTCTAGAACTCCTGGACTCAAGCAGTCCTTCTGCCTTGGCCTCTCAAGGTGCTGGGGTTGCAGGCATGAGCCACTGTGCCCAGCTTTTTGTTGTTGTTGTTTTGTTTTCGTTTTGTTTTGAGAGACAGGCTCTATCTCTGTCTCCCAGGCTAGAGTGCAGTGGCATAATCATAGCTCACTATAGCCTTGAATTACTGGGCTCAAGCAACCCTCCTGTCTTAACCTCCAGTGTAGCTAGGAATTTAGGTGTGTGGCACAACACCTGGCTGATTTTTAATTTTTTTATATAAATGGAGTCTCACTATGTTGGCCAGGCTGGTCTCAAACTCCTGGCCTCAAGCAATCCCCCTGCCTTGGCCTCCCAAGGTGCTGGGATTACAACCTTGATCCACCATGCCTGACCAGCACAGATAATTATTAATGATTGTTTCATACTCCAGATGTCAGCTTGCTTTGCAAAAATGTAGCAGTATCTATTATGTTCTTTGTAAAGATACGAGTAATAAAAGCTCACACTGCAAAATTTTCACAAATGTAATTTCATTTATTCTTCACCAAAGCCTTATTTTGTGGATCAGAACATTGAGGTTCACTGCCATCATGACTGATTTTCTAATTGTTATGATATCCTTCTGGAAAGGTGGGGTTTTTTTTTGCTGTTATCGTACATCTCAAGGGCCTTTAATGGGATGAGTGACTCACTGTAAAGTTTGTAAGTTGGGTGACTTTATCACTGACATCCCTCAGGAACAGCCACAAGAAGTAAATGGGGGTGGATTTTTAGTGTTTGCCACTGACACATTCTTAGTTTTAGCCAAAAAAAAAAAAAAAAGAAAAAGAAAAAAAGAAAAAGCTAAAGCAACTCATTACACAAGAATGCCGCCCCGTCTTGGACTCTCCTCTTCAACAAGGATGATTCCTGCCCTGTAAAATTACATTGTAAGAAACGTGTCAAAGATGAAAAAATTTGGAAGCATGTTCAATCAATAAGATTGCTGGAAAGCAAATGGAAATTACATTCTATCCAGGGAAAAGGAGAGCCAGCCACCTGCCAGAAATGGAAAGTTCACAGGACTGAAAAATAGCATCTGGCTTCCTTTGCAGTAGAATGTGGAGCCAAAAAGATACTTTCACTTAAAGGCAGTTAGGAAATTACCAGTTTGCTGTGAAGAGCACTGACCAGAGGGTGGGGAGAGGTGACAGAGGACAGCCACTGGAATCGGAGGAACCTGGCTGCTGATCTGGGCTCCTTCACTTCTGGGATAACCCCAGGCAAATTATCAACCTCTCCGGGCTGTTGTGGGAATTAAACAGAATAATGCATACAGGGCCCCTGTTAGCATCATATGCATCTAACATGCTAGTCCTCTTCCTCCACCCGTTGGGATCACCTTGTGACTTTCACCTTTTTTTGGTTGCTGTTGTTATTTGGTTTTTCTTAGTTTACATCAGACACCTTGTGCAGTGGGCGCCATCTCCCTTTATGGAAGGTGAAGAGGCCTCATGCTTCTTGCCTCTGACACGTGAAGAACAGGAACACGAACAGGCCTGAACTCTTATGCACTTTCATATCTTTTTGTTTTTTTTTTTTTTTTTTTTTTTTTTGAGGCAGGTTCTCACTCCGTCATCCAGGCTGGAGTACAGTGGCACAAACTCGGCTCACTGCAACCTCCGCCTCCTGGGTGCAAGCAATTCTCCTGCCTCAGCCTCCTGAGTAGCTGGGATTATAGGTGCCTACCACCATGCCTGGTTAATTTTTTTGTATTTTTATTAGAGACGGGGTTTCACCATGTTGGCCAGGCTGGTCTCGAACTCCTGACTTCAAGTGATCTGCCTCCCTTGGCCTCCCAAAGTGCTGGGTTTACAGGCATGAGCCACCGTGCCTGGCCGAACTTTCATATCTTCATTTGGATTGCCTGAAAGCAGAACAACAGGCAAGGGCATGGGTGTCGGGAGTTTATTTTGGGAGTCATCCTAGGGAGCAAGGCTGTAGGAGTGAGGAAAGTGAGATGTAAAAGGAGGTGGCAACAATGAAGGCTGTCTTGCTGAGCTTCTCAGTGTGGACACTGGAGCTCCATCCATCCTGTTGGGGACCATCTGATGAACAATATAGAATGAATCTCACAGTTACTCTTAACGGAAGCCTAGAGCAATTTCACTCCTGGTCATGTACCCAAGAGAAATGAAAACATATGTCCACACAAAAACTTGTATATGAATATTTATAGTAATGCTAGTCATAATAGCTAAAGGTGGAAACAACCCAAATATGTCCATCAACTGATGAAGGGATAAATAAAATGTGGTATATCCATACAGTGGAATATTATTCAGCCATAAAAGGGAATGAAGGTTTTTTTGTTTTGTTTTGTTTTTTTGAGACAGAGTCTCGCTCTGTCATGTAGGAGTGCAGTGTGTGATCTTGGCTCACTGCAATATTCACCTCTGGGTTCCAGGGTTCAAGTGTTTCTCCTGCTTCAGCTTCCTAAGTAGCTGGGATTACAGGAACGCACCACCATGCCTGGTTAATTTTTGTATTTTTGGTAGAGACGGGGCTTCATCCTCTTGGCCAGGCTGGTCTCAAACTCCTGACCTCAAGTGATCTGCCCACTTCAGCCTCCCAAAGTGCTGGGATTACAGGCATGAGCCACATGAAGTTCTGATACATGCTAGAACATGGGTGAATCTTGACAAGATTATGCTAAGCAAAAGAAGCCAGACACACAAGACCATGTACTCTATGGTTCCATTTGTTTGAAATGTTAACAACAGGGAAATTTATAGAGAAATGAAGTAGATTAGTGGCTGCCTAGGGATGAGAGGATTAGGGGAGTAGGAGGGTGATAGCTTAAAGGGTTTGTTTTGGGCATGATAAAAATGTTCTAAAATTAATTGACTGTGGTGATGGTTGTACATTTCTGTGAATATACTAAAAAAATGGAAGTTTACATTTTAAATAAGTGAATTATATGATATAATGAAGCAGGATTTTTGTTTTGTTTTTGTTTTTGTTTTAAAGGAGGGGGACTGGGGCACTGAGTGAGGATAGACTCTGGAGTGTGTTAACTCTCCCATCACTTCTGGGCTGCAGACTGAAAACTGAGTGAATTCCTTGGGGTTCAGCCAGAGAAGCAGTGGGTGCTTTAGGTGGAAGACTCAGCATGCCTGCACCTAGCTGTGGCCACAATGAGAGGCAGCCTGAGAAAGTGTGGTCAAGGGCACCATGAATGTTGGCTGTACTCCTCCCTGAACATTGCATCTTAAGAGAGGGTCATAAAGATGTAGGAATGAGAGGAAGATTATTGCAATATGATCCAGCAATCCCATTTCTGGTTATATACACCCCAAAAGTTGAAAGCAGGGACTTGAAGAGATATTTGCACACCCATGTTTATAGCAGCATTATTCCCGATAGCCAAAAGATGAAAGCAACCCAAGTTATAGATTGATGAATGGATAGACAAAATATGGTATAGACACACAATTGAACATTATTCTGCCTTAAAGAGGAAAGAAATTCTGACCTACGACATGGATAAACCTTAAAGACATTAGGCTAAGTGAAATAAGCCAGTGATGAAAGGACAAATGTTGTGTGGTTCCACTTATGTGAAGTACTTACATAAGTACTTACACCAGTACTTAGTACTTATACTAAGTACTTACACCAGTACTTAATGCTTATACTAAGTACTTATACCAGTACTTAATACTTATACTAAGTACTTACACCAGTACTTAGTACTCATACTAAGTACTTACATCACATCAGTACTTAGTACTTATACTAAGTACTTGCATCAGTACTTAGAATAGTCAAATTCATAGAGACAGAAAGTAGAATGGTGGTTACCAGCAGCCGGGAGAAGGGGCAAATGAGGAGTTAGGAGTTAGAATTTAATGGATACAGAGTTTCAGCTTAGGAAAATGAAAAAAATCCAGAGATAGAGGTTGATGATATTTGCATAACAATGTGAATGTACTTAATGCTACTAAACTGTAACTTTAAAATGCTTAAAACATTTTTTTTTTTTTTTTTTTTAAATTTATTTTTTTATTGATAATTCTTGGGTGTTTCTCACAGAGGAGGATTTGGCAGGGTCATGGGACAATAGTGGAGGGAAGGTCAGCAGATAAACAAGTGAACAAAGGTCTCTGGTTTTCCTAGGCAGAGGACCCTGCGGCCTTCCGCAGTGTTTGTGTCCCTGATTACTTGAGATTAGGGAGTGGTGATGACTCTTAAGGAGCATGCTGCCTTCAAGCATCTGTTTAACAAAGCACATCTTGCACCGCCCTTAATCCATTTAACCCTGAGTGGACACAGCACATGTTTCAGAGAGCACCGGGTTGGGGGTAAGGTCACAGATCAACAGGATCCCAAGGCAGAGGAATTTTTCTTAGTGCAGAACAAAATGAAAAGTCTCCCATGTCTACTTCCTTCTACACAGACACGGCAACCATCCGATTTCTCAATCTTTTCCCCACCTTTCCCGCCTTTCTATTCCACAAAGCCGCCATTGTCATCCTGACCCGTTCTCAATGAGCTGTTGGGCACACCTCCCAGACGGGGTGGTGGCCGGGCAGAGGGGCTCCTCACTTCTCAGTAGGGGCGGCCGGGCAGAGGCGCCCCTCACCTCCCGGACGGGGCGGCTGGCCGGGCGGGGGGCTGACCCCCCCATCTCCCTCCCGGACGGGGCGGCTGGCCGGGCAGAGGGGCCCCTCACTTCCCAGTAGGGGCGGCCGGGCAGAGGCGCCCCTCACCTCCCGGACGGGGCGGCTGGCCTGGCGGGGGGCCGACCCCCCCCCACCTCCCTCCCGGACGGGGTGGCTGCCGGGCGGAGACGCTCCTCACTTCCCAGATGGGGTGGCTGCCGGGCGGAGAGGCTCCTCACTTCTCAGACGGGGCAGCTGCCGGGCGGAGGGGCTCCTCACTTCTCAGACGGGGTGGTTGCCAGGCAGAGGGTCTCCTCACTTCTCAGACGGGGCGGCCGGGCAGAGACGCTCCTCACCTCCCAGACGGGGTCTCGGCCGGGCAGAGGCGCTCCTCACATCCCAGATGGGGCGGCGGGGCAGAGGCGCTCCCCACTTAAAACATTTTTTAAGCCAATGGCTTACTGCACAAATAAAAAAACGCTATTAAAAAAGAAGGGGGAGAGTCATGCTGTCTGTGCAGCCCCTTGCTGGGCTTCCTGCTCCCACACCTCCCTTGGCTCTGCCTTTTCCAAGCCTGATTCTCCAGCCTTCTCGAAGAATACATGAGCTCCCTGATTTCCTTCCAGTGCATTCCTTTTCTGCTCACGTTTGCCAATTACTCGCTGTTTCTTGCAACCCAGAACCCTGACTCATCCACATCTAGAATAGAATTGGCAAAGCAGAAGTTTCAGGTTGTTTTACACTATAGCCATTTATTAACACAAACCCTAGGGCCAGACTTAATATTATAGATGGGACTGTTTTTAGACAAGATTCAGCTTTTCTTAACAGCTAAAAGGAATTAGGTCCAACTGATGATTCAGGAAAAGTATGTGCTGTGAAGTGGCTTCTTAGTGGGGTGGGAGTGGCGTTGGGTCCGCTTGCTCTCTTTCTGCCGTCTTCATAAACACATTCTCTCTGACTGCAAGGCTACCATAGCCATCATTGGTTGGCAGCTCTGTCTTTTACCCAAATATGCTGATGGTAATAAAAAGGAAAGGAGCCATCTCAGCCTCCGACCCTCCCACCTAAACCAACCCTGGGGCTTCACAGCAGGATCAGGGAGATTTATTAAAAGGAGAAAAAAAAAAAGAGTTGCCAACCTAAGTTATACTCGCCATTCTCCACTCGCTCCCATCCCTGAGAAGGAGAGGCCAGTATGGTATGTGTGAAGACTCATTGCAGGGGCAGGTGGGGCAGTTCTGTGGAAATAACCAAATGGGAGCAGTTAGAAGGAGTGTGGGAGGCAGAAACTGACCAGAGGGGAATTGACTGCCCCTCAAGCATGTATGAGCACACCCTGTGCATGAGGTCCTTTCAGTCAATGAAGAGAACCTCTATGGGGCTATCATTGTCACCCCCAGAGCAGCAAAGCCTGACATACAGAGACCATGTCTTGGCAGGGACCAGAGCTTATCCGTAGCATCCTGGAACCCAAGGATCAACTTGAGAGATGCTGGGATCATGGACGAAGGCCTTAGCTCAGCCCCTGCCCCACTTTTCTCCCATCCAAGTACTAACCAGGCCCGACCCTGCCTAGCTTCCAAGATCAGACAGACGGAGAATGTTCAGGGTGACATGGCCATAGACAGCTGGGCCACTTTTCTAAGGCCACAGGAGCCCAGGGACTTTCTGACCAAGTGGAGGAGGAGTGAGTGACAGACTCAGGAATCTATGAGGATTGAACTTTCTGCTAGTCATTGGGTAGGAGCCCAGAGCAATTGAAATTTGATTTTGAGATAGAAAGTAATAGAACCTTTGGTGCACCAGAATTTATACTCAGCACATAACTCTTCCACTTTTCAACTTCCAGCTTTCACTGCAGTCTGTAATCATACCTCAAGTCAGATGCCTAATTCTCTTCATTGCAGAAGCAACCTCTGTAAGCAAACGCTGTACAGTGGAGCTATGTTACATGTTTTTTGTTTTTGTTTTTGTTTTGAGATAGAGTCTTGCTCTGTCGCCCAGGCTGGAGTGCAGTGGCACTATCCTGGCTCACTGCAACCTCTGCCTCCTGGGCTCAAGTGATTCTTCTGCCTCAGCCTCCCGAGTAGCTGGGACTACAGGCATGTGCCACCACTCCTGGCTAATTTTTGTATTTTTTAGTAGAGACAAGCTTTCGTCATGTTGGCCAGGCTGGTCTCGAACTCCTAACAAGTGATCACCCACCTCGGCCTCCCAAAGTGCCGGGATTACAGCGTGAGCCACCGTGCCCGGCCCTGTTTTGTTTGTTTGTTTGTTTGTTTGTTTGTTTGTTTGTTTTTGTTTGTGTGTGTGTGTGTGCATATGTGTCTGTGTGTGTTGCTTTTGTCTTTTTTCAACTATTACTTTAGGTTCAGGGGGTACATGTGCAGGTCTTTTACATGGGTAGATTGTGTGTTGCTGGTATTTGGTGTATAAATTATTTCATCACCCAGATAGTGAGCAGAGCACCCGATAGGTAGTTTTTTGACCCCATTACATGTTTTCGATTAAAAGAAGTTTAATCTGAACTTGACCCAGGTCTAAAGCTATGCTGCAGTCTCCTTGTCATCTCTTTCTGGTTACTTTCCGTCTTTGATTTTTGTGATTATTAATTTTACGTATCAACATGACTGGCCAAGTAGGGCCCAGATTCAACATTATTTCTGGATGGGTCTATGAGGGTGTTTACAGAGGAGATAAGCATTTGAATCTGTGGACTCAGTAAAGTAAATTGCTCTCCCCAATGTAGGTAGGCATTGTCCAATCCACCAAAGGCCTGAATAGAACAAAAGGCAGAAGGAGGAGGAGTATGCTCCTTTTCCCCTGTCTCTCTGCGTCAGCCAGAGAATCTCCTCTTCTCTCCTCTTCCCCTGCTCTCGGAGCGACTTTTCCATCACCAGTTCTCCTGGTTCCAGGCCTTCACACTCAGGCTGAATTATACCATGGGCTTTGCTGGGTCTCCAGCTTGCAGTTGGCAGATCGTGAACTTCTCCATAATTGCATGAACCAATTCCTCATAATATTAGCTTGGTGCAAAAGTAATTGCAGGCCAGGTGCAGTGGCTCACACCTGGAATCCCAGCACTCTGGGAGGCTGAGGTGGGCAGATCACTTGAGGTCAGGAGTTCATGACCAGCCTGGCCAACATGGTGAAACCCTGTCTCTACTAAAAATACAAAAAACATTAGCTGTCTGTAATCCCTATAATCCCAGCTACTCCGGAGGCTGAGGCAGGAGAATCACTTGAACCTAGGAGATGGAGGTTGCAGTGAGCTGAGGTTGTGCCATTGCCCTCCAGCCTGGGTGATAGACTGAGACTCCATCTCAAAAAAAAAAAAATGAAAATTATTGCAGTTTTTGCCATGAAAGTAATGGCAATTATTTTTGCATCAACCTAATAAATCCTATATATAAGCAGAATGTTACTGTTAGGTTTGTGTAGAGAACCCTGATTAATACAAACCTTCAACTGATTTTTGCTCCCAAGTTAGGGCTGCCCTCTCTTTCTTAGCCATGTGGGGAACTTCTGGGATGTTAGGACCATCTCTCAGGTCTCCCATCAAAACTCCTCACTCAGCTACTTGAACTACTCTTGGGCAGTCAGGGCAGCCAGAAGTCCCTAGCGCAGTGGTCCTCAAACCTGGTAATGCCTCAGATTCGCTTGGAGCAAACTAAAAATACATCCAGATCCTGAACTAATGCCTGACTAAATTGTAGGCTCCAGGGACGGGACCAGGTGTCTTTAGTTTAATAATTGTCTCAGGCAGTTCTGAAACACAGCAGGGGATGGAAACCATTGTCTCGAGCAGAGCTTCTCAGACTGCCAACTTCCTAACCCCAGAGGAGAATCAGCCAGGAGTCCCTGGAGCAGGTCTGGGTCCATAGCTCCACTGCCCACTAAAAGCCGAAATGTCTTTGAAGCCTGGTGTTTCATCTTCAAACTTATTTTTATTCTGATGTCTTAAAGCATGAATTCTGCCCTCTCTGACTAATGGCTAATTTTGATTTTATGGCAGTGTTAATAATGCCAGCTATTATAAATCCGGATTTCCCATCAGTCATCATGTATTAACTTTCTACTCTCAAAGTTTCCATGAAAATACAAGGATGGTACTTTAATTAACTAAACCTATCTGACTGTCACAACAACATGCACAGTAGTTACAATTAAACAGTACCCATTTTACAGATGAGAAAACTGCAGCTCAGAGAAACAACATAGCTAGTAAATGACAGCAGCATTTTTTGATTTTTTTTATTGTGGTAAAATATACATAACATAAAATTTATCCGTGTTTAAATGTCAAATTCAGCGGCCTTAAACACATTTACAATGTTGTACGTTTGTATTAGTCCATTCTCACACTGCTAATAAAGACGTACCTGAGACTGGGTAATTTATAAAGGAAAGAGGTTAAATGGACTCACAGTTCCATATGGCTGGGGAAGCCTCACAATCATGGTTGAAGGTGAAGGAGGAGCAAAGGCAGGTCTTACATGGCAGCAGACAAGAGAGAAGAATGAGAATGAGTGGGGGAAAGCCCCCTATAAAACTATCAAATCTCATGAGAAATCACTCACTATCATGAGAACAGCATGAGGGTAAGGACCCCAAAATGATTAAATTACCTCCCCCTGGTTACCTCCCATGACACGTGGGGATTATGGGAACAACAATTCAAGATGAGATTTGGGCAGGGACACAGCCAAACCATATCAACATTCATCACCGCTATCCAATTCTAGAAACTTTTCATCATCTTGAACATAAACTCTGTATCCATTAAACACTAACTCCCCATTCTCCCATCCCTCCAATAGTAACCACTGCTCTTTTTTCTGTCTTTATGAATTTGACTACTCAAGGTACCTCATGTAAGAGGACTTAGACACAATATTTTCCTCTTGTGTCTGTCTTACTTTATTTAGCATGCCTTCAGAGTTCATCCATGCTATAACATGTATCAGACAGAGCAGCAATTTGAGCCCATTTCTAATAGATTTCTAAATCCTTGCTCCTTCCACTTCCCATTTGCCTCCAAATATTGGAATGGCTGGGAGGTAAAAGAGAAATTAAGCATATTTTGTTTGGTCAAAGAGTTAGAAATGAGATGTTCAGTGGAGGTTTCAGAGAGGCAAAGTCCAACCTCAGAGACTGGAGAAAAACTTCTCATATTTGGAGCTGACTCAAAATGAAACAGGGCTGTCTCATTAGGGAGTGTTACCTGCCTCTGGATGTGACCAAGCATCGTTCAGATAACCAGGTGCCAAGGCTGATTTATTCTAGTCCCCAGGATTTTTGGTGGGAGAGGGGAGGTGATGTAATAGAAATAACTATTTTCTTTTCTTTCTTTTTTCTTTCTTTCTTTCTTTCTTTCTTTCTTTCTTTCTTTCTTTCTTTTTCTTTCTTTCTTTCTTTCTTTTTCTTCCTTCCTTCCTTCTTTCCTTCTTTCTTTCCTTTCCTTCCTTCCTTTTTCTTTTCTTTCTTTCTTTTTTTTTTTTGAGACAGAGCCTCACTCCATCACCCAGGCTGGAGTGCAGTGGAATGATCTCGGCTCACTGCAACCTCTGCCTCCTGGGTTCAAGCGATTCTCTTGCCTCAGCCTCCCTAGCAGCTGGGATTACAGGTGTGTGCCACCATGCCTGGATAATGTTTTTGTTTTGTATTTTTAGTAGAGACAGGGTTTCAGCATGTTGGCCAGACTGGTCTCGAACTCCTGACCTCAAGTGATCCACCCACCTTGGCTTCCCAAAGTCCTGGGATTACAGGGATGAGCCACCATGCCCAGCCAAAATAACTGTTTTCAACTGGAAAGCATTTAAAACGTATATTCGGCTGGGCTCAGTGTCTAATGCCTGTAATCCCAACACTTTGGGAGGCCGAGGCAGGCGGATCACGAGGTCAAGAGATCGAGACCATCCTGGCTAACATGGTGAAATCCCGTCTCTACTAAAAATACAAAAATTAGCTGGGCATGGTAGCGCATGCCTGTAGTCCCAGCTACTCAGGAGGCTGAGACAGGAGAATCGCTTGAACCCGATAGGCGGAGGTTGCAGTGAGCCGAGATCACGCCACTGCACTCCAGCCTGGGTGACAGAGCGAGATTCCATCTCAAGAAAAACAAAACAACAACAACAACAAATGTATATTCCTGGGCGACCCTGCAGAGTCTAATTTATTGATATTGGAGAGGACCCAGGGATATATTTCAGAAAAGCCCTTGGAGACCTGGAGATGTACTCCAGGGTGAGTAGCCAGTGGATGAGATGCTAGCCAACCCCCACCCCAACACCAGATCTATTCCATTCGGGGGCTGGATAATCATTCTCAGCCAAGGAGTTTAAGTTTCAACTCATTTATCAAAAGGACAAGGTCTGCACTAAAATGGGCTCTAATGACTGTCCAAATCCTCTGGGGAACAGAGGTCAGTGGTAGGTGGCTGTGTCTTGGTAATGATTCAAGTACTGAAGAGAAATATTAAATGGTGAGCAGTCCAGCCCATTTGCATCATGAAACATTGCCAGGCTTGGGAAGTAGTAATAAAAATTGTTTCCGTGTCTGTGGAAGTAATGGGTCCCACTCAGCACCCCTCTGGGTCCCACCCAGCATGTGTACCAGCCTTGAGCTCTAGGTGAACACCTGCCCCTTCTCCATCCCTGCCCCCAGCACTCCCTGGTCCCTACCTGTCCCAGCACTTAGTTACCAGGGTGTGGAGGTGGATTGGGAGGAGAAGAGGAGAGGCACATCAGTGGGCAGCAGACATATGGCACTAGATCAGATTAATGACACAGGACTCATCTGGGGATCTTGTTAAAATGTAGATTTTGGCCAGATGCGGTGGCTCGTGCCTGTACTCCCAGCATTTTGGGAGGGTGAGGTGGGTGGATTGCTTGAGGTCAGGAGTTTGAGACTAGCCTGGCCAACACAGTGAAACCCTGTCTACTAAAAATACAAAAAATAGCCTGGTGTCATGGCACAAACCTGTAATCACAGCTACTCAGGAGGCTGAGGCAAGAGAATCAATTGAACTCGGGAGGCAGAGGTTGCAGTGAGCAGAGATGGCACCATTGCACTCCAGCCTGCGCAACACAGCAAGACTCTGTCTCAAAAAATTAAAAAAAAAAAAGAAAAAGAACATGCAGATTTTCCTTCAGTGTCGGGCATGGCGGTGGGACTGGAGACTGCATTTCTTTTCTTTTTTTTGAGACAGAGTCTCACTCTGTCACCCAGGCTGGAATGCAGTGGCACAATCTTGGCTCACTGCAACCTCTGCCTTCCAGGTTCAAGTGAGTCTCCTACCTCAGCCTCTGGAGTAGCTGGGACTACAGGTGCCCGCCACCACACCTGGCTAATTTTTTGTATTTTTAGTAGAGATGGGGTTTCACCGTGTTAGCCAGGATGGTCTCGATCTCCTGACCTCGTGATCCACCTGCTTCGGCTTCCCAAAGTGCTGAGATTACAGGCGTGAGTCACTGCGCCGAGCCTGGAGACTGCATTTCTTACCAGCTCTGAGGTGATGGATGATACTTGCTTCTGCTGCTGATGTCCCTGTTCCAGAGACCACACCTTTAATGGCAAGGGTGAGGGGATTCTGGAATCCGAATACCTGAGTCTAAATCCTAGCTCTACCCCATAACAACTGCATGACCCTGGGCAAAATACTTAACCTCTGAGAGCCTCAGTTTCTGAATCTGAGAAAGGGGGAAATAATAGGACTTAGCGAATTGTGAGAATCACATAAGATAAGGTATAGAAAGCACTTAGCACGATGCCTGGCACATAGTAGGAACTGTACACTAAGATTAATAAGCAGATTGGGCCTCGTGCGGTGGCTCATGGCTGTAATCCCAGCACTATGGGAGGCCAAGGTGGGTGGATCACCTGAGGTCAGGAGTTTGAGACCAGCCTGGCCAACATGGTGAAACCCCATCTCTACTAAAAGTACAAAAATTTGCCAGGTGTGGTAGTGGTTGCCTGTAATCACAGCTACTCTGGAGGCTGAGGCAAGATAATCGCTTGAGCTTGGGAGGTGGAGGTTGCAGTGAGCCAAGATTGTGCCACTGCACTCCAGCCTGGGAGACAGAGTGAGACTCCATCTCAAAAAAAAAAAAAAAAAAAGAGCAGATTGGGCCTGGTGAAGTGGCTCACACCTGTAATCTCAGCACTTTGGGAAGCCAAGGAGGCAGGATCACTCGAGGCCAAGAATTCAAGTCCAGCCTGGGTAATATAGGAACACCCCATCTCTTAAAAAAAAACAAATTTAGCCAGGTGTGATGGTGCATACCTGTAGTCCCAGCCACTCCAGAGGTTGAGATGGGAGGATTGGCATGAGCCCAGGAGTTTAAGGTTGCAGTGAGCTATGGCTGTGCCATTATACTCCAGCCTGGGTGACACAGTGAGACATTCTCTCTAAAATAAAAAATAAAGCAGATTGAAGAAAGCGGGCTTCTAGTAGAAACAGAGACAGGAAAAAAGGCAGAAAGTAACTTCCAGATCAAGAACTGAGCTGGCCTCTGGGCATGGCTGTCTCTTCTACTGCTTTTTTGTTCAACCACCTCATGTGTTAGCCCACATGGAAAATGCTTCTGCTTTGTAATCTGCACTTTTTATGGGGCTTGTTCAGATGGTGCTGGTATAAAGGCTGAAACCCACATTGCTGGTGGGAACTACCTATGGGGTTTCCTTGAATTTGGTGCCACCGCACCTGCTCAGCGACCGTGCCTTGATGTGCTTTAGATCAGCCATCCCTAAATTGCTATCCTGTCGCTTCAGTCCAAGCAGAAAGAAGCGAGTAATGAGTCCATCCTGATGAACAATTCAGGGAGGAACATTCTTTTCTTCCCCTGGTGAGACTTCATTGACTACCCAGGCAAGAAGCAGCAGGAGCTCTGAATTACCGTGATCTTGTTAGCAGCTATGGCTTGCCATTGGTGGAGCAGGTACATCTTGTGCTGAAGGATGCTGGTAGGGCAGAACACTCATGAAAGTCTACTGGCCTGATTTTTTTTTTTTTTTTTTTTTTTTTTTTTTGCCAATTCAAGAGAATTGTCTGTACAACTCTTAGTCTTAGTCTTATTTCTCCTGGACATTCAAGACTCTAATAGTAGGCTAACTCATTTTTTATTTGTAACTAACTATCAAAGCCTGGTATAACTCAGTGAGAAAAAAAAAATCCTGGTTAGAAATGTTGCAAACAAACAAAAAAAATCTTCTCTAATATGTGACCAATCCCACAGTAGCCACAATGGCTTAGAAGGCATTTGAAGTCTCTTCTACAGCAGTCTCATGGGGCCTTTTTTATTGTATCAGAAGGATGAAAGATGGGTCAGCTCCTCCAGGATTCTTATCTTTTATTTCAGGAGTCTTCAGTTAAACCTGAGCTTCAGACCTTTTCCATGTAATTGGATCCAAGTCAGGACCTCAGTCTCTGTTTCCCACCTTTGAGTTTAGGAGAGCAAGCTCTAGGGCTGCATGAAACAAGAGGTCCTTTTACCAATAAAAAAGAGAGGCCAGGTGCAGTGGCTCATGCCTGTAATCCCAGCACTTTGGGAAGCTGAGGAGGGCAGACCACCTGAGGTCAGGAGTTCGAGACCAGCCCGGCCAGCATGGCAAAAATCCCATCTCTACTAAAAATACAAAAAGTGGCTAGGTGTGGTGGCACACGCCTGTAGATCTAGCTACTCAGGAGGCTGAGGCAGGAGAATCTCTTGAACCTGGGAGGTGGAGGTTGCAGTGAGCCGAGATCACTGCCACTGCACTCCAGCCTGGGCGACACAGCAAAACTCCATCACAAAACAAAACAAAAAACACACACACACAATAAAGATGGGACAAAAAGAAGTGTCTTGGTCTGTTCCTGCTGCTATAACACAAATACCTTGAATAGGTTCATTTATAAACAGCAGGAATTCATTTTTCACAGTTCTGGAGGCTGGGAAGTTCAAGATCAAGGCACCTGCAGATTCAGTGTCTGGTGACGGCTGGTCTCTGATTCCAACATGGAGTCTTGTCACTGAATCCTCACGTGGCAGAAGGCATGAATTCTTACTACATCCTTTCATGGCAGAAAGGCTAATACTGGCTGAACTTTCTTCCTCAAACCCTTTTATAAGGGCATTCATCACTTCATAAAGGTCCTGCCTCTTAATACTGTTGAATTGGGGATTAAGTTTTGACATGCCTTTTTTTTTTTTTTTTTTGAGACAGATCCTCACTCTGTCACCCAGGCTTGAGTGCAGAGGCGCGATCTCTGCTCTCTGCAACTTCTACCTCCCAGGTTCAAGTGATTCTCCTGCTTCAGCCACCCGAGTAGCTGGGATTACAGGCAACTGCCAGCTAATTTTTTTGTATTTTTAGTAGAGATGGGGTTTCACCATGTTGGCCAGGCTGGTCTAGAACTCCTGACCTCAGGTGATCCACCTGCCTCAGCCTCCTAAAGTGCTGGGATTACAGGCGTGAACAACTGCGCCTGACCTATGCCTTTTTTTTTTTTTTTTTGAGACAGAGCCTTGGTCTGTCACCCAGGCTGGAACGCAGTGGCGCAGTCTTGGCTCACTGCAACCTCCACCTCCGGGGTTCAAGTACTTCTCCTGCCTCAGCCTCCTGAGCAGCTGGGATTATTGGTACCCGCCACCATGACCGACTAATTTTTGTATTTTTAGTAGAGACGGGGTTTCACCATGTTGGCCAGTCTGGTCTCAGACACCTGACCTCAGGTGATCCGCCCGCCTCAGCCTCCCAAAGTGCTGGGATTACAAGCATGAGCCACCTCACCGGGCCTTGACATGCATTTTGGAGGCACACAAACATTCAGCCATATCAGGAAGGTTCAGCAGTCCGAGTCCAAATTGGTTTCAGGCAATAGCAGCCCTGATGAATGTAATATTCCAGATGGATCAGTTGCACAGGTAACCTATAGCTTGTGTCTTGAGTCAACACATTTCTCATTTTAACCATTTCTCATGCAGATCTTTTTGAAATGCACTTCACACACTTTAATATGGAAAATTCAATCTATTTTCCATGGATTTTGTAATCATCATTACGATATTCTTTATTCTAGTTACAAGCTCAGGAATTGTTGAAGTGTAGACCCATACACAAAACAGCCTCAGACCCTCAACTTTTATAACTAATCTTTATTGCTTTTTTAATTACAAAGTGATACGGTCTTAAGTTTTTTTTAAGTTATGCATTTTTTTGTGTAGTTTTTACTATCTCCTTCTAGACTATTCGCCTGGCATGTTGTCACTTTTGTCTCTCTTTAATGTATTTCTAGCAGCATCCCTCTCATTTATAATCATTCATCTAGATTTTGGCTGGAAAACTGCACAATCAGGCTAATTACAATTGTGTGTGAAGAATACCCTTAAGACAAACGCTTAGCCAACCAATATGACTGTTAGGATAGAAGGATAGAACTTACCAGTGGATTTGGCATGAAGTTTACACTGTGGAATCAGATAGGCCCAAGTGTAAAGTGCCTCTTATTGGTATTGGGAGCTTCAACAAATGACCTTATCATCCTCAGTTTCCTCGGTGTACCTTCAGTTTCCTTAATGTAAAATTTAAAAAACAAGGCTGGGCACAGTAGGTCATGCCTATAATCCTAGCATCTTTTGGCCGAGGCAGGTGGATCACCTGAGGCCAGGAGTTCGAGACCAGCCTGGCCAACTAGGCGAAACCCCCATCTCTACTAAAAATACAAACATGACAGACGTGGTGGTGCACATCTGTAATCCCAGCTACTGGGGAGGCTGAGACACAACAATCGCTTAAACCCGGGAGGCAGAAGTTGTGGTGAGCCAAGATCACACCACTATACTCCAGCCTGGGTGACAGAGTGAGACTCTGTCTCTAGATAAATAAATAAATAAATAATAAACAAAACAAAACAGAACACCTAACTTGCATGGCTATTGTGAGGATTAAAGGGAATAGGATGTAAAACACTCATGACAGTGTTTGGCTCGTGATGGTGACTCGAGGAACACTAGTTTCCTCTCTCATGCATCCCTCCCATGTATCAGGATATTGTGGCAGAATGTGTCTAGGACAATAGTTCTCAAACTTGAACTTGCATCAGAATCTCCTAGAGGACTTGTTAAAATATAGATTGCTGAGCTGGGTGTGGTGGCTCATGCCTGTAATCCCAGCACTTTGGGAGGCCGAGGCTGGCGGATCACGAGCTCAAGAGATCGAGACCATCCTGGCCAACATGGTGAAACCCCGTCGCTACTAAAAATACAAAAATTAGCTGGGCATGGTGGCGCATGCCTGTAGTCCCAGCTACTTGGGAGGCTGAGGCAGGAGAATCTCTTGAACCCAGCAGGCAGAGGTTGCAGTGAGCCGAGATCGAGTCACTGCACTCCAGCCTGGTGACAGAGCAAGACTCCATCTCAAAAAATATATCTATATCTATATCTATATATAGATATAGATAGATAGATAGATAGATAGATAGATAGATAGATAGATAGATATAGATTGCTGGGCCACAACCCCAGAATGTCTACTTTAGGAGGAGCAGGTTGGGTCCTGAAAAATGTTTCATAAAAAATTTCCAGGTTATACTAGTGATGGTGATGCTGCTGGTCTGGGGGCCATACATCGAGAACCATCAGTCTAGGAGGTAGATATACTTGCATCCAAATTCCTGCTTGGCCCCTTGGCAGTTGTGTTAATTTGGGCAAGTTATTTAACTTTTCTGAGCCACAGTTTCCTAATCTGAAACAGGGGCACGATAACTTTTGCCTGATAAAATGTTGTAACGTGATATGGCAGTTGGGAAAGATCTAGTACTTAATAAATCTTTTTTTTTTCTTTTTCTTTTTTTTTTTAGATGGAGTCTCGCTTTGTCACTCAGGCTGGAGTGAAGTGGCATGATCTTGGTTCACTGCAACCACTGCCTCCCAGGTTCAAGCAATCCTCCTGCCTCAGCCTCCGGAGTAGCTGGGATTACAGGTGCCTGCCACCATGCCCGGCTAATTTTGTGTGTGTTTTTAGTAGAGACGGGATTAAGTCACGTTGGCCAGGCTGGTCTCAAACTCCTGGTCTCAAGTGATCCACACACCTTGGCCTCCAAAAATGCTGGGATTACAGGCGTGAGCCACCGCGCCTAGCCAATAAATCTTCATTAATCTCAATGTTGCCTTCTTTGTGGCAGAGTCTCTTCCTGTTTAGCTTAAGGACTTGTAGTGTTCCAAGGAACTACAGCGACTAGATGATACTGCCCCTAAAATTATGTACATCTTATCTTAGAACCTTTAAAATAAGACATCTGTCATTTCTCAAGAAGGACAATAATAAGATCTGTAGTAGGTAGCAAATTTTGATCCTGAGCAGGTAGCTTAGGACGCCAATTTCATTAACTTCCCACCGGTTTATCTTCTGGGGCAATGAAGGATTAATTTAAAAAGTACTACATCCTGAAGACTGAAAAGAGTTTTACGGAAGAGCATATACAAGTTCATGAGTACCTTCTCTATTGGGTATATGTGGGCTGTGGGCTGTGGGTTGAGAGCAGCTACCCAGAGGCATAAAAGCATTCTCATAAGTTGCAAAGCAGGTACAACGCTAATTGAATTTGTTCTGCTCAGATGACATACTCTCCAGGAAAGAAAAAAAAAATGTTTTCCTGCTGTGAAATTGGTTTGCTGGTGTTCTGACAAATGAAAGCCTTATAGTAAAGGCATCAACTTTAATTATTCATTTCTATTTGCTTAAAGACATATTCTTATGTGACATACATATGCTCATACATTTCCTTGTTGTAACAACATGAACTAAATAAGTCACTTTCACACATAAATGAAACTCCATGAATTATTATTGCTAACGCACGTTCTCTATATTATTCAGCTGGAGAAAAAGTAATGTTTGTGTAATGGGGAAGAATTACAGAGCGAAAGATGAGGATCTTTTTAGTGTTTTTTTCAGGTAGACAGGAAAAAAGGCAAAGGCTACCATCTGCTATTACTGATGATATTACTGAGGAATTGATACATTTCTATCTATAGAGATTTATTAATGTACAACTGGTTCTACAACTTTATTTGTTCAGTCTACATAACCAAAATGAGGCTTCAAGTCCGGAAGTTCCCTGTTACCCAAGGCAAACGTATTAGGGTCTGTTCTGCCATCTGGTGTTCTTTGAAGGAAACATCCACAGAGGCATTATGAGATAAATAGCCAGTGTTGCCTATGTTGGTGGTGGGTGTTACAACCTCGATGAAAAGCAATTCCAGAATCTCTGCCAAATTCCAATAGGAGATAATTTGAGAATATATATTAAGAAGAAAAATATACATACCCTTGGAGTACCAATTTCACTTTTATGAATTCATCTTTTGGATATATTTATACATGTGCACAAAGAAATGTATATAAAAATATTCCTAGCAGTACTGTTGGTAATAGCAGAAGATTGGAAACAAGCTAAACATCCATGAGTAGGGTACCAGTTAAATAAATTGTGACATATTCCTACAATGGATATAGTATAGCATGTTGTTGTTTGAAAAAAAAGTCAAATCTATATTTACAGATATGAAATGATCACCAAGACACACACACACACACACACACACACACACACACACACATATATATGTGTATATATATATATTTTGTTTTGTTTTGTTTTGTTTTGTTTTAGATAGAGTCTCACTCTGTCACCCAGGCTGGAGTGCACTGGTGTGATCTTGGCTCACTGCATCCTCCGCCACCCTGGTTCAAGTGATTCTCCTGGCTCAGCCTCCCAAGTAGCTGGGACTACAGATGCATGCCACCACACCCGGGTAATTTTTGTATTTTTGGTAGAGACAGAGTTTCGCCATGTTGGCTAGGCTGGTCTCGAACTCCTGACTTCAGGTGATCTGCCCGCCTCAGCCTCCCAAAGTGCTGGGATTACAGGCATGAGCCACCACACCTGGCACCAAAACATTGTTAAGTGAAATAAACATGATCAAGAACAATGTGTATCGGTAGGGTGTGGTGGCTCACACCTGTAGTTCCAGCACTTTGGGAGGCCAAGGGGGGCGAATAATCTGAGGTCAGGAGTTCGAGACCGGCTTGGCACCAACATGGCAAAACCCCGTCTCCACCAGAAATACAAAAATTAGCCAGTCATGGTGCATGCGCCTGTAGTCTCAACTACCCTGGAGGTTGATGCAGGAGAATCACTTGAACCCAGGAGGCAGAGGTTTCAGTGAGTCAAGATCATGCCACTGCACTCCAGCCTCGGCAACAGAGCAAGACTATCTCAAAGAGAGAGAGAGAAAAAAAGTAACAACATGTGTAATATGCTGAAATTTGTATAAAAATGTTCATAATGCATAGGATATTTCTAGAAGGTTTAATCAAAAATAAAATTTTGAAGGCCTCCCCACAACCATAGGAATGGACTTCCTCCTTGGCCAGGACACCTAAAATTTAGCCTGAAAGACTTGTTCAGGCCATGATGGGGAAGTGGGGGTCAGATATGCCTCATTATACCCCTCCAGCATTAACATCAATGCAGACTTTTAAGTCTGATATGAAACATTTACAATCTAGTCTCACTGAAGCCTGTTACTGCTACTTGGAGGCTTCATCTGCAGGATAAAACTTTGGTCTCCACAACCCTTTATCTTTTTTTTCTTTTTGAGACGTAATCTTGCTCTGTCACCCAGGCTGGAGTGTAGTGGCGCAATCTCGGCTTACTGCAACCTCCGCCTCCTGGGTTCAAGCGATTCTGCTGCCTCAGCCTCTGAAGTAGCTGGGATTACAGGCGCCCATCACCATGCCTGGCTAATTTTTGTATCTTTTAGTAGAGACAGGGTTTTGCCATGTTGGCCATGTTGGTCTTGAACTCCTGATCTCAGGTGATCCACCTGCCTCGGCCTCCCAAGGTGTTGGGATTACAGGCACGAGCCATCATGCCCGGCTTCACAATCCCTTATCTTAATCACAGTATAATTAAATCTACCTATGACCTGGAAGCACCCCCTAATCTGCCACTGCTTCAACTTGTCCCACCCTTCCAGATCAAACCAATGTTAATCTTACATGTATTGATTGATGTATTGTGTCTCCCTAAAATGTATAAAAGCAAGCTGCACCCCCAACCCCATCCCCTGCTGACCACCTTGGGCACATGTCATCAGGACCTCTGAGGCTGTGTCAGTTGCATCCTTAACCTTGGCAAAAATAAACTTTCTAAATTTGTTGAGATTTGACTCAGATACTTTTTGGTTTACCAAGGATACTCAAGAAAGTGGTTGGCCGGGTGTGGTGGCTCACACCTGTCATCCCAGCACTTTGGGAGGCTGAGGTGGGCGGATCATGAGGTCAGGAGATCGAGACCATCCTGGCTAACAAGGTGAAACCCCTCTCTACTAAAAATACAAAAAAATTAGCCAGGCGTGGTGGCGGGTGCCTGTAGTCCCAGCTACTCGGGAGGCTGAGGCCGGAGAATGGCGTGAACCCAGGAGGCGGAGCTTGCAGTGAGCCGAGATTGTGCCACTGCACTCCAGCCTGGGTGACAGAGCGAGACTCCGTCTCAAAAAAAAAAAAAAAAGAGTGGCAACCGTGATTGACTTTGAGGGCAAGAACCAAGGTGATCACCAGTGAGAAGGTAACTTCTCTCTCACTATTTACATATTGTACTGTAGAAATACTTTTCTTTTTTCTTTTTTTCTTTTTTGAGACAGAGTCTCACTCTTGTTTCCCAGTCTGGAGTGCAGTGGCATGACCTCTACTCACTGCAATCTCCGTCTCTTGGGTTCAAGTGATTCTTCTGCATCAGCCTCCCAAGTAGCTGGGATTACAGGCTCCTGCCACCACACCCGGCTAATTTTTTTGTATTCTTAGTAGAGATGGGGTTTCATCGTGTTGGCCAGGCTGGTCTCAAACCTGTGACTTCAGGTGATCCACCTGCCTCAGCCTCCCAAAGTGCTGGGATTACAGGCATGAGCCATCGCACCCAGCCTAGAAATACTTTTTAACATGTGCTTGTATTACCAAACCCTAATATGTATGCTTGGATGACAATGAACTAAGCTGACTTGAAGCCTCATTTTGGTTTTATAGACTAAATAAATTGTACAACATTGTGTGTGTGTGTGTGTTTGTCTTTTACAGAGTTTCACTCTTGTTGTCCAGGCTGGAGTGCAATGGCATGATCTCAGCTCATTGCAACCTCCGCCTCCCGGGTTCAAGCGATTCTCCTGCCTCAGCGTCCCACATATCTGAGGTTACAGGTGCCTGCCACCATGCCCAGCTAATTTTTGTAGGTTTAGTAAAGGTGGGGTTTCACCATGTTGGCCAGACTGGTCTCGAACTCCTGACCTCAGGTGATCCACCTGACTCAGACTCCCAAAGTGCTGAGATTACAGGTATGAGCCACAACACCCGGCCAGAACTTTAATACATCTCTATAGATAGAGATGTTTCATCAGTATTGCCTAACACATGTTAAAAAGTTCAAATAACTTTTAAAAACTAGTGTCCTGCTGTAGTTCTAGATTGTCATGACTATTACCAACAAATTCACTGAAAAATATATTTTTTAAAGAAAAAAAAGAGAATTCATCCCAGTAAACAGTTTGTAAACCAGGGAGATGCAGTCTTTGGTACAAAACAAAGGTGCATTCTGAGAGAATAAAGAGAGAAGTTATCTTTTATAGAGAAAGTTCCCTCCCAGGTTCCCACTCTGGTCTGCTTATGCAAATGAAGGATGCAAATTTATGTAGTTCTGATTGGTCAACACTTGCTGAGTTCCAGTTGGCTGATGCAGATCACAGTCTATTGACTGATTTAGGTCATGTAAATAGAAATAGACAATTCACACTACTATATGGCCCAAATGTTAAATACGTAAAATTCAAGACAAAAAATTTTTCTCTTATGTCCATTGCTGTGATCTAGTGTTAGCCATGGTCTTTTGTTCAAATAACATGAAATGAGGGCATAAGATTTTTTTTTTTTTTTGAGACAATCTCACTCTGTCGCCCAGGCCGGAGTGCAGTGGCACAATCTCAGCTCACTACCACCTCCACCTCCTGGGTTCAAGTGATTCTCATGCCTCAGCCTCCTAAGTAGCTGGGATTACAGGCATGTGCCACCATGCCTGGGTAATTTTTTGTACTTTTTAGTAGAGACTGGGTTTTGTCATGTTGGCCAGGCTGGTCTCGAACTCCTGGCCTCAAGTGAGCCACCTGCCTCGGCCTCCCAAAGTGCTAGGATTACAGGCGTGAGCCACCATGCCTAGCTGAGATTTTTATATTTATCATGCTGATTTTGATAAATACATCTCAGGGACTAACATCTACGTGTGGAAGAAAAGGAGGGTCAGGAGTTATAGTAATTTCTTCCCCCATTTACAGCCACATGAAGCTCTATCTTGCTACTAGCTGAAGACAAGCAGTAAATAATAAACTGCATTGGCTTATTTTGAAAAATGACTTTGAGAAAGGTTAAGAAACACTATTCAGTGGCAATCTTATCTTTTAACTGAGGCTTTGCAAGCAGCTGCTGCTGGGGCCTCAAGAGATGTGATAAGATGACAAGATTAACTTTGGTTATGTAGGGGAAGAAAAATAATTTTCTTTCTACCCTCCATAGTTCTTAACTGGGACTCCCTGAGCAGATTAACAAGAGAAAAACAAACAAAAGTTTATTAGCGTGTATACCTCATGTACGCATGGAAGAAAACCGTGGAGAAATGCATAAACCTCCAGAGTAGATCTCCAAGGAAAAGTTTAATCTTCAGGTTTAAATGCTGCCCTTTTTATTAAACAAAGAAAGAAAGGTGTGGGGAAAGACCCCACAGTCTTTCAAGATGGCCAGAAAAAGCACTGAAAAGCAAGGGTCAGTTTTGTTGTTTTGTTTTGTTTTTTTGAGATGGAGTCTCACTCTGTCGCCCAGGCTGGAGTGCAATGGCGGGATCTTGGCTCACTGCAAGCTCCGCCTCCTGGGTTCAAGGGATTCTCTTGCCTCAGCTTTCCGAGTAGCTGGGATTACAAGGATGCGCCACAGCACCAGGCTAATTTTTGTATTCTTAGTAGAGACAGGGTTTCACCATGTTGGCCAGGCTGGTCCTGAACCCCTGACCTCAGGTGATCCACCCGCCTTGGCCTCCCAAAGTGCTGGGAGTACAGGCGTGAGCCACCACTGCTCCTGGCCAAGGGTCAGGTTTGTTATGCAGAGTTAAGTCCAGGCCTTCTCCATCCTTTAGGAGTTTCTAGTGATTTTCTTTATAGATGTAAATTTCCTTACAAAAGGGCGACTTTTCTGAAATACTCCTGTGTCTGCAGTTTCTCAAAATAACCAGCTCGAAATAACCCATACATAAAAGAGACATATTTTGGGGTAGCATATTCTGGTCTCCTGCAGTCATATTTGGGGGTGGTGTGTCCTGAGACCTATCAGTCACCTTTTCTAAATCTTTTCCAGTTCTGCCCTCTCTCTCTTTGGGCCACCACACTGGCTCTCCTTCCATACTTTGACTCTTTTGTTCCAGCTTCACTGAGGCCTAGAACTCCCTTCAAGGTATTCCTCCTGGGCCAGGTGCGGTGGCTTGTGCTTGTAATCCCAGCACTTTGGGAGGCTGAGGCAGGCGGATCAGTTGACCTGTAATTCCAGCTACTCGGGAGGCTGAGGCAGGAGAATTGCTTGAACCAGGAATTGGAGGTTGCAGTGAGCAGAGATTGCGCCACTGCACTTCAGCCTGGGTGACAAGAGCAAGACTCCATCTCAAAAAAATAAAAAGATATCCCGGCCAGGCACGGTGGCTCACACCTGTAATCCCAGCACTTTGGGAGGCGGAGGCAGGCAGATCACAAAGTCAGGAGATTGAGACCATCCCGGCCAACATGGTGAAACCCTATCTCTACTAAAAATACAAAAGTTAGCTGGGCGTGGTGGCGTGTGCCTGTAATCCCAGCTACTCGAGAGGCTGAGGCAGGAGAATTGCTTGAACCAGGAATTGGAGGTTGCAGTGAGCAGAGATCGCGCCACTGCCCTCCAGCCTGGGCGACAGAGCAAGATTCTGCAAAAAAAAAAAAAAAAAAAAAAAAAAAAAAAATCCCTTCTGTTTCAACCAAAATGCTTACCTTTTGAATGCTACTCTATCTGCTATATGTAGGTCATCTGATTAAATTAGTTCATTCATATTACAATATGAATGAGGCTTAACTTTTCCAGGACATATTTATATTTGTATTTTCTTTTTTTCTTTCTTTCTTTTTTTTTTTTTGAGACGGAGTCTTACTCTTTTGCCCAGGCTGGAGTGCAGTGGCATGATCTCTGCTCACTGCAACCTCTGCCTCCCGGTTTCAAGCTGATTCTCCTGCCTCAGCCTCCCTCAGCCTCCCGAGTAGCTGGGATTACCGGCGTCCACCACCACACCCAGCTAATTTTTGTATTTTTAGTAGAGATGGGGTTTTACCATCTTGGCCAGGCTGGTCTTGGACTCTTGATCTTGTGATCCACCTGCCTCAGCCTCCCAAAGTGCTGGGATTACAGGCATGAGCCACTACACCTGGCCTTTTTTTTTTTTAAGGTAGGGTCTTGCTCTGTCACCCAGGCTGGAGTATGGTGGCACTATCACAGCTCACTGCATCCTTGAACTGGGATCATGCCATTCTCTCACCTCAGCCTCCTGGTTAGTTGGGACCACAGGTGCATGCCATCATGCCTGGCTAATTTTTTTCTTTTGCAGTTTTTTCGTGGAGATGGAGGTTTGCCATGTTGCCCAGGCTGTATCTGTATTTTCCAAAGAGAATTTTATTAGCGGAAGTGAACTTCCAGTTGGCAAGTGTTGCCAGGGAAATGGCTCTGAGCAACGACATTACTTCCCTCATTGCTTCCCTTATCAGTCAGTTAATAGCTATTTCTGGAGCACTGACTGTGTCAGGCACTGGTCTACGTGCTGGGGATGCAGCCAGTAAAGACAGAGTCAGCCCTTGAGAGGCATGTGTTGTGTGGGACATTTATTGGCCATAATAAGGATGGCACCATGTCTGAGAGGCTGAAAAAGAGACCCAGAGCCAGTGAGCGAGACATAGGGTTTATTGAGGACTTCTACATGGAGTGGTCCAGGGGCAGTGAGCTGGACAGGAGAACCGTGACCTGCCACCACACCCAGCTAATTTTTGTATTTTTTATAGAGACGGGGTTTTGCCATGTTGCCCAGGCTAGTCTTGAACTCCTGAGCTCAAGTGGTCCATCAGCCTCAGCCTCAGCCTCCTAAAGTGCTAGGATGACAGGTGTGAGCCATCGCGCCTGGCCTGCCCTGCTCATTTTTCTACATAGCACTTACCTTAACCCTTCATCTATTTGTTTATTATTTATTTATTTTTGTCTTTCTTCTCCCACTATGATGTCAGCAACTTCAGGGTAGAGATTTTGCCTGCTGTGTTCACAACTGTGCCAGCACATGGCTGACCTTGAAGAACAGTCCTGGAGTAAATGAATACTTGGATGAAAAGTAGGAAAAGGGAGAAAGCTGCTGATACAGGTCAGCAGAGCCAGATCACACAGGGCCTAGTAGACCAGGATGGGGAGTTTGCATTTTGTTCTAATTTTTTTTTTTTTTTTTTTTTGGAGACAGAGTCTCACTCTGTCGCCCAGGCTGGGGTGCAATGGCGTGATCTCGGCTCACTGCAAGCTCCGCCTCCCAGGTTCACACCATTCTCTTGCCTCAGCCTCCTGAGCAGCTGGGACTACAGGCGCTTACCACCACGCACAGCTAATTTTTTGTATTTTTTTTAGTAGAGACGGGGTTTCACCATGTTAGCCAGGATGGTCTCGATCTCCTGACTTCGTGATCTGCCTGCCTTGGCCTCCCAAAGTGTTGGGATTACAGGCGTGGGCCACCATGCCTGGCCTTTGTTCTAATTTTAATGTGAAGCCATGGAGCATCTAAGCAGAAGAGTGACCCAATATGTTATTTTAGGATGATCACTCAGTTGAACTTCCAGGGCCTAGAACTTGATGTTATGATTGACAGGATGCACATCACTTTTTGAAGAAACCCACTTCATTGCTGAAAGTCTTTAATTATTAAACATTAGGGCAGGCGCCGTGGCTCACACCTGTAATCCCAGCACTTTGGAAGGCCGAGACAGGCAGATTACTTGAGCTCAGAAGTTCAAGATCAGCCTGGGCAACATGGTGAAATCCGTCTTTACAAAAAAATACAAAAATTAGCCAGGCGTGGTGGCAAGCACCTATAGTCCCAACTACTTGGGGTGGGGGCTGAGGCAGGAGGATCGTTTGAACCCCAGAAGTCGAGGCTGCAGTGAACTGAGATTGTGCCACTGTACTCCAGCCTGGAGGACAAAGTGAGACCCTGTCTCGAAAAAAAAAAGAAAAAGAAAAAAATCCATTTTTTCACACATTGAATCTTTCTTTCTTCTCTAAAACTGGTACCCATTAACCCAAAGTCTGTGCTCAGAATCCACTGAAAACAAGTTTAAAACTCCTTCCACATAATGGTTTTTGAAATATTTGGAGACTTTCTTAGTCTTCTCCAGGGTAGGCTTTCATGATACTTTGACTTATTATCCTGTTACATGACTTTCAGAGTTTTCATTGTCCTTCAGAGAGGTCTGGCTTTTCAGTATGCTCCTGAAGAACTGCCAAACTTTGGTCTGACCAACACAGTGCAAAGCAGTAATTGTGTTCAAGACTGGAGTTTTCTGTGTCTGAACACAGCCTAATTCAATTACACTTCAGCTGTGTCACTAGCAGGTCAGGCTAAACTTGTGGTTGATGGAAACATCTGGAACTTCTTCAAGCTCATGCTGCTTCCTCCTCCACTTCACCTGCATGCTGAGATTTGCAGTGATCTTGTGAAATGTATCCTGTGGTTTCCGGCTGAAGTGGTAAGGTTTTTGAGATCAACTCTCTCTGCGTTCTCTCAGTTGCGTAACATCTGAAAATTTGTAGTTTTGTTCTTATACTTTTTTTTTTTTTTTTTGAGATGGAGTCCTGCTCTGTCACCTAGGCTGGAGTGCAATGGCGCCATCTTGGCTCACTGCAACCTCTGCCTCCCAGGTTCAAGCAATTCTCTGCCTCAGCCTCCCGAATAGCTGGGATTACAGGTGCCTACCACCACGCCCAGCTAATTTTTGTAGTTTTAGTAGAGGCAGGGTTTCACCGTCTTGGCCAGGCTGGTCTTGAACTCCTGACCTCGTGATCCACCCACCTTGGCCTCCCAAAGTCCTGGGATTACAGGCATGAACCACCACGCCTGGCTCTTGTTTTTATTCTTTATCCAATTTGTTGAAGATATTGAACAGAATAGGACTGTGGAAATAATTCTATAGTCTTGTTTTTTTTTTTACACAGTCTCACTCTGTTGTCCAGGCTAGCGTGCAGTGGTGTGATCTTAGCTCACTGCAACCTCCACCTTTCAGGTTCAAGAGATTCTTATGCCTCGGCCTCCTAAGTAGCTGGCATTACAGGCATGCGCCACTACACTCAGTTAATTTTTTGTATTTTTAGGAGAGATGGGGTTTCATAATGTTGGCCAGGCTGGTCTTGAACTCCTGACCTCAGGTGATCCGCCTGCCTCGGCCTCCCAAAGTGCTGGGATTACAGGTGTGAGCTGCTGCATCCAGCCTATTGTCTTATTCTTGAAATTTTTTCTTCTTCGTTTTCTTTTCCAAGATGGAGTCTTGCTCTGTTGCCCAGGCTGGAATGCAGTGGCGCAATCTCTGCTCACTGCAACCTCTGCCTCCCAGGTTCAAGCAATTCTCCTGCCTCAGCCTCCCGAGTAGCTGGGATTATAGGTGCCCACCACCATACCGGGCTAATTTTTGTATTTTTAGTAGAAACAGGATTTCACCATGTTGGGCAGGCTGGTCTCAAACTCCTGACCTCAGGTGATCCCCCCACCTCGGCCTCCCAAAGTGCTGGGATTACAGGCGTGAGCCAGTGTGCCTGGCCTGAAATTTTTTCTTAACTGTCAGCTTTTAAAATAATGAACTGGGGGGTAGAGGAGTATATTTGTGTGTATGTAGTGTGAGGTTCCTTAGCTGTGGGATATTGGCAGACAGACAAAAGTGAAGGTTTTCAAACAGAGCCAGTAGATGAAGGGG
This sequence comes from Homo sapiens, assembly GCF_000001405.40. Lineage (NCBI taxonomy): Eukaryota > Metazoa > Chordata > Mammalia > Primates > Hominidae > Homo > Homo sapiens. The sequence goes on along the minus strand of NC_000017.11, from coordinate 66,245,282 downwards.
ACATGCCATGGTGAAGAAAATTAATGAGAGAACACATAGAAACAAAGGGGAAAGCACAGATATTCTTGACAGGTTAAATAATAAGTTGAATTTCCTTTGATCTAGGAGACAAGGGCAGTCATCTGTCAAGCTCCTTGACGTATTTTTGCTTGTTCACATATCCAGACATTGTGAACCCAGAAAATCTGAGGCAGGTCTCAGTTAATTTAGAAAGTTTATTTTGCCAAGGTTGAGGATGTGCCTGCGCCCGTGACACAGCCTCAGGAAGTCCTGACGACATGCGCCCAAGGTGGTCGGGGCACAGCCTGGCTTTATACATTTTAGGGAGACATGAGACATTAATTGCTTTATGTAAGAAGTACATTGGTTCGGTCTGGAAAGGCGGGACAACTTGAAGCAAAGGCAGGAAGACTCAAAGCAGAGAAGTTACATTCTTTTGAGTTTCTGATTAGTTTTTCCAAAGGAGGCAATCAGATATGCATCTATCTCAGTGAGCAGAGGGGTGACTTTGAATAGAATGGGGGGCAAGTTTGCCCTAAGCAGTTTCCAGCTTGAGGTTTCCTTAGTGATTTTGGGGGCTGAAGATATTTTACTTTCACAATATCATAAGACTGCTTCTTAAGATCCATGGTCCTCTCGAAGAGGCCAGTATGAATCAACATCGGTGGGTGTTCATACTCACTTTAAACTTAAAGATTTAGGCCAGGTGGGGTGGCTCAAGCCTGTAATCTCAGCACTTTGGGAGGCTGAGGCCGGCAGATTGCTTGAGGCCAGGAGTTCAAGACCAGCCTGGGCAACATGGCAAAACGCAGTTTCTACCAAAAAACAAAAGAAAACAAAACAAAACCCAAAATTAGTTGGGTGTGGTGACTTACACCTGTAGTCCCAGCTACTTGAGAGGCTGAGGATCACTTGAGTTTGGGAAGTTGAAGATACAGAGAGTGGAGATCATCCCACTGTATTCTAGCCTGGGTGACAGAGTGAGACCCTGTTTCAAAAATAAATATAAATAAATATATATAAAGATTTAAGCTTAAGGCCGGGCGCAGTGGCTCACACCTGTAATCCCAGAACTTTGGGAGGCCGAGGTGGGTGGATCACAAGGTCAGGAGTTTGAGACCAGCCTGACCAACATGGTGAAACCCCATCTCTACTAAAAATACAAAAATTAGCCAGGTGTGGTAGGGCATGCCTGTAATCCCAGCTACTCAGGAGGCTGAGGTAGGAGAATTGCTTTAATCTGGGAGGCGGAGGTTTGCAGTGAGCTGAGATCGTGTCACTGCACTCCAGCCTGGGCGACAGAGCAAGACTCCATCTGAAAAAAAAAAAAAAAAAAAGATTTAAGCTTAAAACAAAAAGCAATAGATGATATTTGTGGGAGACATTCATGCCTCTACTCTCTTAAAAAATAATGAATCATTCCCCAAGTCCTCATTTTACTTTCATATAATCTAGACCTATGGCAGCTAATAAACCTCTGTGGAGTTTGGGTGTTTCATGTTATAGCTATTGAGCAGAACTTTTCATATACAGTTTGTACAAGCAGCTGTCAAATCACTTAGAAGTACCATATCCCAAGCCACAGTTCGGTATCTTACTCCCAAGGATGCCAGTAGATAACTCATCAAATGCTTTACTAAAAGAGGGATATACATTGTAGCTAAAGTGTTGCCCTTTTCTACTAACCTAATAACAATGTCAAAAAACATAATTGGATTTAATTTGTTGAAACCTTCAAATGTTTTGAAGAGAGTTCATATTATTTTTCAGTCATCATTTCACATTCATCTACATACCCATAAACCATTTGTTTAACAATTCATACCATTGGGCTGTGGATTTATGTCAAACTTACTGAGGCTTGGCTGTCAGAATCTATTGCTTTTCCTTCTGTGTCTTCAGGCATCTTTGTGTTCATCGTTTTTGAAAATGTTTTTTTCTCCCATCATGAAATAATACAAACACATTACATAAAATTTGGAAGCAGAGAAAACAAGAAAAAAAAATCTCCTTCTAACTCAAATACTCAATATTTTGGTACACTAACTTCCAGCATTTTTTCTAGATATATTCTTTTTAAAAAAATTTTTAGGCCGGGCATGGTGGCTCACGCCTGTAATCCCAGCACTTTGGGAGGCTGAGTTGAGCGGATCACAAGGTCAAGAGATGGAGACCATCTGGCCAACATGGTGAAACCCCATCTCTACTAAAAATACAAAAATTAGCTGGGTGTGGTGGCACACACCTGTAGTCCCAGCTACTTGGGAGGCTGAGGCAGGAGAATCTCTTGAACTGGAGAGGCTGAGGTTGCAGTGAGCCGAGATTGCACCACTGCACTCCAGCCTGGCAACAGAGAGAGAGACCCCATCTCAAAAAAAAGAAAATCTTTATGTTAAGTTCCAGGGTACATGTGCAGAATGTGCAGGTTTGTGTATGTGGGTATATATTCTTAACAGTATCACAGTGTTGTACATGTATTTTTTTTAATTGAGACAGGTTTTAGCTCTGTTGCCCAGGCTGGAGTGCAGTTGTGTGATCTCAGCTGACTGCAACCTCTGCCTCTGAGTTCAAGTGATCCTCCTGCCTCAGCCTCCTGAGTAGCTAGGACTACAAGCGTGTGCCACCATGCGTGGCTAATTTTTGTATTTTTGGTAGAGATGGGGTTTCACTATGTTGCCCGGGATGGTTTCAAACTCTTGAGCTCAAATGATCTGTCAGCCTCAGCCTCCCAAAGGTCTGAGATTACAGGCATGAGCCACCTCACCCAGCCAATTGTACATGAATTTTAAAATACAATTTTCATTTTATTAGATTGTCCTCCTTACCATCCTATATTGTAAATATTGTTGATAGTGAACTTCCCAGGGTCACAATTACACGTTTTAACAACTTGGAATATGTTTTCCTGGGTTTCTAGCCCCTAAATTCATTTTGGACAGCTAGTTTCTTGTATTATTTTCTAGCTGGACTTTTATTCCATCTTCCTGATATACATTTTTATTTTTCAGTGTGAGTGTAATTTCTTTCTTTCTTTCTTTTTTTTTTTTTTTTTTGCTATATAGGTGTTTTAGTCTGTTCTTGGGTTGCTGTGAAGAAATATCTGAGACTAGAAAATTTACAGAGAAAACAGTTTTAATTGGCTTATGGTTCTGCAGGCTGTTTACACAGCCAGCATTTGCTGGGCTTCTGGAGAGGCCTCCAGGAAATTTTATTCATGGTAGAAGGTGAAGAGGGAGCAGGGAGCAAGAGAAGGAGCTGGGAGGAGGTGCCACACACTTAAACAACCAGATCTCATGAGGACTCAACTCACACGTGCCAAGGAAATGGTGCTACTCCATTCCTGAGAAATCTGCCCATAATCCATTCACCTCTCACCAGGTCACACCTTCAACCCTGGGAATTACACTTCAGCATGAGATTTGGGGGCACAAATATTCAAACTCTACCAATAAGTCAGAAGAAAACTAACAATTAAATAATCGGTCTCTCTCTTTGTCAGCTTTCAACCTTAGGTTTAGAAACTTCATCCTTGTAAATCGGAACAAAAATTGGGCTAACCTTTCAGGAAGGCAACTAGGCAGTATGTTTGAAGATTCTTAAATGTTTTACCCTTTGCTTAAGTAATTCCACATCTAGGACTCTATCCTAAGGAAACAATTTATTCAAAAATTTTATAAAAGGGCCGAGTGAGGTGGCTTATGCCTATAATCCCAGCACTTTGGGAGGCTGACGTGGGCGGATCACTTGAGGCCAGGAATCCGAGACCAGTCTGGCCAACATGGTGAAACCCTGCTTTTGTAAAAATACAAAAAATTAGCCAGGTATGGGTGGTGGGCACCTGTAATCCCAGTTACTTGGGAGGCTGAGACAGGAGAACAGCTTGAACCCAGGAGGCGGAAGTTGCAGTGAATAAGATAGCACCATTGCATCTGCACTCCAGCCTGGGTGACAGAGCAAGACTCTGTTTCAATGAAAAAAAATTTGTAAAAGAATCTTGGTTGCTCTGCCTATGGGGAAGCCATTCTTTTACTCCTTTACTTTCCTAATAAACTTACTTTCACTTAAAAAAAAAAAGAATCTTAACTGTACCTTTATTCATAATGGTGAAAGATAGCACCCAAATATCCCAAAGTAAAGAAATGGTCAAAATAGAGAGCATCTACATGATGTAAGATTGTGTAGACATTAAAGAAAAAAGCAAGCTTTGAAGACACAAATAATAATCTGGGAAAGTGCTCATGATATGAAAATAAAATATACAACAATATACCGAATATGATTCCAATTCTGATTATGACATATACAAATGCTGAAAAGAAATAACCCTAAATGGTGATATTATAGGATTTTTAGTCATTTCCTGTTTGTTTTCCAGATTGATTTAAATGATACTGTATTACTCTCATAATGAGAAAAGTATAATTCCATATGTACGAATCATCTTCCTTGTGAAATACAATAACTCTTCCTTCCTCTTTCCATCCTGACTTCTACACTTTATTGTCTTTGCATTTTTTCTGATCTTTATCACATCTTGGATTTAGTTTAGTCAGCTGAGCTCCTGACATTTTATGGACTTGGTTTATACTGTACTTCGTTTTTTTTTTTTTAATTTTTTTTGAGACAGAGTCTTACTCTGTCACCTAGGCTAGAGTGCAATGGCACTATTGCTGCTCATTGCAACCTCCACTTCCTGGGCTCAAGCGATTCTCGTGCCTCAGCCTCCTGAGTAGCTGGGATTACAGACGTGCACCACCATGCCTGGCTAATTTTTTTTTATTTTTAGTAGAGACGGGGTTTCTTCATGTTGACCAGGCTTGTTTCGAACTCCTGGTCTCATGTGATCCACCTGCCTCGGCCTCCCAAAGTGCTGGGATTACAGGCATGAGCCACCGTGCCCGGCCTCTATGCTGTACTTCGAATTCATCCCATGTAATATTCCCCTTCCTCCATCCTTTTTTTTTCTTTCCCAACCTGAGCTCATCAGAAAAACTTCCTGGGAAGTCATATTAGTTTCTCTGGCTGCCTCCTCATCTTCTGCACCAGATCGTCAGCAAATGCATTTCCAGAATCTTATTATCAAGCTCTCATCTGTTAAACCTCATTCCCTTTTAGGTTTTCTGGTGATGAGATCATCCCCATAATTTCTTTCTAATTCTCACAATATGTTTTTCTAAATAGTCCGTGACACTTGTGTGAAAGGTCTCAATGTTCTCTTCTTCTTTCTTTCGAGATGGAGTCTCACTCTGTCACCCAGGCTGGAATGTAGTGGTGCGATCTCAGCTCACTGCAACCTCCACCTCCCAGGTTCAAGTGATTCTCCTGCTTCAGTCTCCTGAGTAGCTAGGACTACAGGTGCGCACCATCATGCCCAGCTAGTTTTTGTATTTTTAGTTGAGACAGAGTTTCACCTTGTTGGCCAGGCTGGTCTCCATCTCCTGACCTCATGGGATCTGCCCGCCTCGACCTCCCAAAATGCTGGGATTACAGGTGTGAGCCCCCATGCCCGGCCTCAGTGTTCTCTTCTTTGTATTCCAAAGCATCATGGCCTTTTTGTCTCAAACTTGTCCTAACTCAGAACTTCTTGTGAAGCAGGAAAATGAAGTGAGCTGGGGGGCTGATACCAGACTCTCACACTGGGACTGGACAGAGGGCTGAGATGATCCAGCCAGCTGAACAGCTGACTCTGGAGGGACTGGCTGCAATTTGTGGTGGTCATTGGCTGAGAGTTGGGTGACATAATGACCCTACTGAATGTCGCAGAAACATCTATATTATTTTCTATACCAAGATAAGTTGGGGAGACTTACAATTTTGCTACTCATGGGGACTAAAACCGGGTAAGCAGTATCATTATGGGACGCTCATTTAACCTGCATGAACCACATGCCTACCTTTGTGTGATTTTGTGTAGGAATTTCAAATTCTTTGGAGTAAGACATCAGAGGCATGTATATTAATGACAAGAAGAATGTTAATGAGAACTAACTTTCATTAAACACTCATTATAATATCACCACTTAGGGTTATTTCTTTCAGCATTTGTATATGTCATAATCAAAATTGGAACCATATTCAGTATATAATTATGTATTTTATTTTCATGCCATAAGCAATTTCCCAGATCATTATTTGTGTTTTCAAAGATTGCTTTTTTTTCTTTAATGACTACATAATCTTACATCTTGGAGATGCTCTCTATTTTAACCATTTCTTTGCTTTGGGATATTTTGGTGCTTACTTTCACCATTATGAATAAAGCTACAGTTAAGTATCCTGCCTGCATTCTAATTGAATCCTGACTACACCCATTTGAAGGGGGATTTGTTTATTTATTTATTATTTATTTTTTGAGACAGAGTCTTGCTCTGTTGTCAGGCTGGAGTGCAGTGGCGCAATCTCAGCTCACTGCAACCTCCGCCTCCTGGGTTCAAACGATTCTCCTGCCTCAACCTCCTGAGTAGCTGAAACTACAGGTGTGTGCCACCATGTCCAACTAATTTTTGTATTTTTAGTAGAGATGGGGTTTCACCATGTTGGCCAGGATGGTCTCCATCTCTTGACCTCGTGAGCCACCCCTGTTGGTCTCCCAAAGTGCCAAGATGACAGGCATGAGCCACCTGCACCTGGCTGGGGGTTTTATTTATTATCTCCATTTTAGACATGAAAACTTGACTAGAGAATGTTACTTGCCCAAGATGACACAGCTACTAAGAGGCAGAGCCAGGACTCCAACTCAAGTATACGGTGATTAAAACCTCTGTCCTTAGCCATGACACCATGGTCTTGCCACAGTGATGAACTTGCCCCCATTCTCTGATGGGGTCACTCTATGAAGAGCCAGAGACTATGCTCCTTTTTCTATTTGGTGCACACCATCCTCCACAGACTCAATATCACAATTATATCTAAGCACCTTTCTCCAAATCCAATCTAACACGTAACATATGGGTTGGTGAATTTGCCTAGCAAAATTCCTGCCAGTTTCTAAGTAAAGACTTTGGCCCCTAGCTAGGACTCCGTTCCTCTGGCATTTCAGGCCTTGATTTCGGGGAAAAGGGGAAGGAAATTCCTTCCTTCTAATGTATGCTTCACAAGAGCAGCACATGTTCTGGTTCATCAGAATGGCCAGTTTCATATTGTTCATCTCACAGATGAACACCACAGAAGATGCCATTGGTTTGGAGAGTGGAATGAATGGAAGATGAGTTTATGTGGCAACATACTACGGTTTTTCTTCTTCCAGTCTCTCTTTCTCCCTGCACTACTCTCTGATCCCAGTGTGTCTTCTACACTGCTATCGATATACTTTCGAAAATACAAACCTGATCCGGTTCCTCCCCTTCACCGCCTTCAAGATAAGTTCTAATTCCTAAACGTGGCTTACAAGAGCCTTTGCCAGCTGGGTGCGGTGGCTCATGCTTGTAATCCCAGCTCTTTGGGAGGCCAAGGCAGGTGGATCACTTGAGGCCAGGAGTTCGAGACCAGCCTGGCCAAGATGGCAAAACCCCGTCTCTACTAAAAATACAAAAATTAGGCCCAGTGTTGTAGCTCCGTAGCTAAGGTTCTCTCCTTTCACAGTGGTGGCCCGTGTTCGATTCCTGGCTTAGAGAATGAGTACTTTCTGGTTAATATCTGTGTGACTTTTGGGGCTGGGTATGGTGGCTCATGCCTGTAATCCCAGCACTTTGGGAGGCCAAGGCAGGCAGATCACTTGAGGTCAGAAGTTTGAGACCAGCTTGGCCAACATGGTGAAACCCTGTCTCTACAAAAATACAAAAATTAGCCAGGTGTGCTGGCATGCCTGTAGTCCCAGCTACTCAGGAGGCTAAGGCAGGAGAATTGCTTGAACCCAGAAGGCAGAGGTTGCAGTGAGCCAAGATCACACCACTGCATTCTAGCCTGGGCAACAGAGTGAGACACTGTCTCAAAACAAAACAAAACAAAACAAAAAACAAACAAAAAAAACAAAAGAGCCTTTATCATCTAGTTCCTACCCACTCTCCACCTTTGTTTGCTGCTATTCCTTACCTGAAATATTCTGCACCAGCAACACTCAACAATTTGCAACTGTTGGGTGCATGATGCTGTTTTATGCCTTTGCTCTTTGGCAACAACCTGGAACATCCTCATCATTGCCACTACATCCTTATGTGCGGGGATACACATGCATCTGACACTTTCTTCTATGATTGTAATTGTAGCATTGTACCTCAGTCTTAGTAAACTGCGAACTCCTTATAGCCAGTAGTCAACTCTTGTTTATTTCTGAAATTCTGCTATCAACCACAAATTACAGCTTAGTAAGGGCTTAGTAGCAGTTTGTAAAAAAATAAAATAAAATAAAAAAGAAAGCCTGGGCACGGTGGCTCATGCTTGTAATCCCAGCACTTTGGGAGGCTGAGGCAGGCAGATCACTTGAGATCAGGAGTTTATGACCAGCCTGGGCAACATAGGGAGACCCCCATCTCTACAAAAAATAAAGAAATAAGAAATAAGGCTGGGCGTGGTGGCTCACGCTTGTAATCCCAGCACTTCGGGAGGCAGAGGTGGGCAGATGACTTGAGGCCAGGAGTTCGAGACCAGCCTGGACAATATGGCAAAACGCTGTCTCTACCAAAAATACAAAAAATTAGCCAGACATGGTGGTGCAATGACTTGTGATCACGCCACTGCACTCCAACCTGGGTGACAGAGTGAGACACTGTCAAAAACAAACAAACAAACAAAAAACACCCAAATAAATAAATAAATAAAAGCATTAATGGCACTTAGGAGAAAATGCACAAGAGACTCAGAGCTGTGTCATATTCAAAGTACAGAAAATAGTCTCACTTGGCAAGGGAGAAAATGTATGTGGTAGAACCGTATTAGCTGAACTTGTCTTAGGTGAACATTGACGTGCTAGATCAGTGGATCTTTATCCTTACTTCAATCATACTTACCTGGACAATTGTTTTAAAAATCACTATACCGGCCGGCCGCGGTGGCTCACGCCTGTAATCCCAGCACTTTGGGAGGCCAAGGCGGGTGGATCATGAGGTCAGGAGATCGAGACCATCTTGGCTAACACGGTGAAACCCCGTCTCTACTAAAAATACAAAAAATTAGCCGGGCGCGGTGGCGGGCGCCTGTAGTCTCAGCTACTCGGGAGGCTGAGGCTGGAGAATGGCGTAAACCCAGGGGCGGAGCCTGCAGTGAGCAGAGATCGCGCCACTGCACTCCAGCCTGGGTGACAGAGCGAGACTCCGTCTCAAAAAAAAAAAAAAAAAAAAAAAGCACTATACCCAGAAATTATGAGTATTGGTATTTTTAACAAACAATTGGGAACATCTACTATGCAGCCAAGGATAAGACTAACTACTCTAGATAAAAATAGAAATTGCAACATATGGATATTAGTTTTTTCAAGGTAAAAGCTACCTGTATTCAGAGGATCCCAGTGTCCACACAAAAATGTCCCAGTGCTGACTTAGGCCCATTATTGATTTCTAGACATATTTAATCATGCCCATTAAGCCCTGTGACATGTTTATACCCCTTATAAATGCATATCTAGTTCCTGACATATTTTATCATAAAGAGAAGGCATTTGAATCTTTTCTCTGAAATGTGGTTGGTAGATATTGACTAGAATTCCAACTCAGAAGGAGACAACATTGAAAGTAGGTTTTTAAACAAATAATCTAAACTGTTGCTAAATGTTTAATATCATGGTCAAAGTCTCTGCTTGGGAAGTAAATAAGAAAGTTTTTGAACATGTGATGCAATGTGGTTTCAGGAATACAAAAACCTTGGACTCTGAATCCAGGTCTCTATAGTTTAATTTACAAATTAGCGTAAGAAACGCTATAAAGTCATTAACAGTTTCAAAAGACGAGGTCCCATGTTACTTGTGATAAAAATGTTGTTATTTTATATATTCTTAAATTCTCAGGTATTCTTGATCATGCTTGTATATATATATACGTATATTTTATATATTATATATATTATATATACATATATATTATATATATATTTTCAGATGGAGTTTCACTCTTGTTGCCCAGGCTGGAGTGCAATGAGTGATCTCAGCTCACTGCAACCTCTGCCTCCTGGGTTCAAATGATTCTCCTGTCTTAGCTTCCCAAGTAGCTGGGATTACAGGCGCCCGCCACTACACCCGGCTACTTTTTTGTATTTTTAGTAGAGATGGGGTTTCACCATGTTGGCCAGGCTGGTCTCGAACTCCTGGCCTCAAGTGATCCACCTGCCTCATCCTCCCAAAGTGCTGGGATTACAGGTGTGAGCCACCATACCCGGCCTGTTAAAATATATTAATAGCATGTTAAGTGTAACATTAAACCCAAGAGTTGCCAATCTTTACTGATGAGTATAAACCCTGAAAATACAAGACAGCCACTTGATTTGCCAAAATTCCATATTTTTTAACAGTTTTTCCACTTGCTCTGCCAAATAAAACTTCAATGGTAAGTTTAAATGTGTCTTTAAAACTGTCATTTAACATTGGTAAGCAGCCAGCTCCTCAGTTATTATCATAGGTTAGTTTTGGGAATGTGAATCGAAGTGCGTGGAGGGAAGATAGATCAGTTAACTGATCAACCAGATGGTGCTAAAGTTATGTGGCCCAATGTGTCACAAACTGGAAGGTGAAAATAATTGAAAGGTGCAATTGCATCTTATCTCTCCAAAGACTTCTTCATTAGGGCCATGTGTGTTTCTGGAAGAGTTTTAGGAATACCTTGTAGTTCTCTCTCTTTTTTTTTTTTTTTTTTTTTGGAGATGGAGTCTCGCTCTGTCACCCAGGCTAGAGTGTAGTGGCGCAATCTTGGCTCACTGCAAGCTCCGCCTCCCGGGTTCACGCCGTTCTCCTGCCTCAGCCTCCTGAGTGGCTGGGACTACAGGCGCCCGCCACTACGCCCGGCTAACTTTTTTTTTGTATTTTTAGTAGAGACGGGGTTTCACCGTGGTCTCGATCTCCTGACCTCGTGATCCGCCCGCCTCGGCCTCCCAAAGTGCTGGGATTACAGGCGTGAGCCACCGCGCCCGGCCAGGAATACCCTGTAGTTCTCAGACATGTTCAAGTTCAGCCGGAGGTAATGGCTCACACCTGTAATCTCAGCACTTTGGGAAGCTGAGGCAGGCGGATCACTTCAGTCCAAGAGTTCGAGACCAGCCTGGCCAACATGGCGAAACTCTGGCTCTACTAAAAATACAAAAATTAGCTGAGCATGGTGGCCAGCTGATAATCATCATAATCCCAAAATTATGATTATGAATAAATTAATCATAATTATACTCATAATTTATTAATTATGCAGATTACCATTTATTATCTTTGTATTTAATTGTTCAAACAAGGGAAATTTTTACCAGCCGAAGAGTAAACATGAAAGTTGTAATTACAAATGCATGTAACAGCCCACAAAAGCCGTCAAACTAAGTTTGATTTAGTGGTTTCTCCATTTTCCTGTCACTGTTATTTTGCATAATTTTTCAAAGCTCAGTAGCTGGCAAATAGGAGCTGAGTGTCAATGATGGCGGTGGGGTGGGGGCCAAGCTTGTATTCCTCTTTAGGGGGCGATGCAAATAAAATTTGAGGCCTCGTATGATCCAGTTTAAAAATCACATCTCAATAGAAGGACTTTCAAGGAAACCACAAAAAGCGTCCTTCCTTCCTTCCTTCTTTTCTTCCTTCCTTCCTTCCTTCCCCTTCCTTCCTTCTTTCTTTTTCTTTCTTGTGCTCTCTCTCTCCTTCTTTCCTTCTTTCTTTCTCTCTCTTTCTTTCTTCTTTTTCTTTTTCGTTATTTTTTAAATGATTTCAAATTACAAACATACAGAAAAGTTGTAAGAATAGAACAAAAACTTCCTTGTTCTCTTTACCCAGAGACCCTAGACCCTTCCATTCAAGTGTCACCAAATGCCCCTTCGGGCCCACACTGTGCACCCAGTTCTCATGTCCACCTGGGTTCCCTAAGTCTTTCTTTGCCTTTCATGGCTTTTGCCCTTTTGAAGATGACAGGGCAGTCATTTTGCATAACGTCCTTCAATTTGTGTGTGTACAGTGCCTTCTCATGACACAATCCAGGTTACTAAGCTTTTGGCAGGAATATCACAGAAGTGACGCTGTGTCCTTCTCATTGCATCCTCTTGGTGGAGGACATACATGCCAATTTATCCCATTAGTGGTGACATTAATTTTGATTACTTAATTAAGATGGTGTCTGCCAGGTTCTTCCCCTCTAAGTTTCTCTTTGTCTCCTTTATAATAAATAGTTATTTTATGTGGAGACATGTTTAAGGCTGTATGAACATTTCTCATCCTACTTGTATCCCCTGATTCTAGCATCAATTGATACTTCTTTGCCAGAATTAAATCGTTTCATAATTATTTCCAAATTACAATTCTCTAAGTCCAGTATTCCTCTATATTAATTGCTTGGCATTATACTCTAAGGAATAACTTTCTTATCTCTTCACATAATTGTTAATGTGTTTATTACTATCACTGTGGACTCACTGATTCCTATTTTATTCAGTGGAGTATAATCCATTACTATTATTACTTATTTGGACAAACTGTCACATATTTGACCAGAGAAAGCACCCCCCGCCCCCCGCTTTTTTTTTTTTTTTTTTTTTTTTTTTTTTTTTGAGATGGAATCTCACTCTGTCGCCCAGGCTGGAGTGCAGTGTCACGATCTTGGCTCACTGCAACCTCTGCCTCCCGGGTTCAGGTGATTCCCCTGCCTCAGCCTCCTAGCTGGCATAACAGGTACACGCCACCATGCCCTGCTAATTTTTGTATTTTTAGTAGAGACGGGATTTCACCATGTTGGCCAGGCTGGTCTCAAACTCCTGACCTCAAGTGATCCACCCACCTCGGCCTCCTGAACTGCTGGGATTACAGGCGTGAGCCACCGCACCCAGTCAAGAAAGCCACTTTCAAATGGCTTCTCTGTCCTTTGGACATGTCCCTATCATTCTCTGAGCATTACCTAAGTTGTTCAAGATGGTGTTCCAGGCTCATCTTGTACTTTTCCTTGACCCAGTTCAAGAATCAGCCAATTTTCTAAGGAGCTTTGGTGCCTTTCGATGGTGGATTGCATTTATTTATTTATTTAGATAGTGTCTCGCTCTGTTGCCTAGGCTGGAGTGCAGTGTTGCAATCTCATTGGCTCACTGCAACCCCTGCCTTCTGGGTTCAAATGATTATCTTGCCTCAGCCTCCCAAGTAGCTGGGATTACAGGCACCTGCCATCATGCCTGGCTAGGTTTTGTAGTTTTTGTAAAGACAGGGTTTCACCCTGTTGGCTAGGCTGGTCTTGAACTCCTGACCTCAAGCGATCTTTCTTTCTTCCTGAAGTGCTGGGATTACAGGCATTAGCCACCACGGCCTGGCCAAGAATTGCATTTAACAACCAATATTTAGGCACTGTGTGTGCTCATTGCTACTGGATGTACTACTGCTATTATCCTAGTGGACAGAACTAAGAATTATATGTATATTCAGGCATACATTCACACACATGTACATACCATTATATCTATATTGATTTCTGTATCTGTTTATATATACGCACAATTTGTACTGTCTCCATTTTCAATCCAACACCTCAAGGTTCATGCTAACTTTCCTTCTTTCCGCATTGTTACTTCTCTTGTTAGTGAGAAACCTGACCCCCATTATCCTCAATATATTTGCTTGTTTGCTCAATCTCCTATATGTAGCTAAGCTTGTGACACCATCACGCTGCCATCCTTACACAGATAAGCATGACTTTCCCCTTGAGGCCTTCCTTGTGACTTTTAGACTGAGTTAGGATGAAAAGAAGGAGGAAGGGAGGAAGAGAGGAAGGGAGGAAAGGAGAAAGAGAGGAAGGGAGGGAGGAAGGAAGGAAGGAAGGGAAGAAAGGAGGGAGGGAGGAAGGGAGGGAAAAAGGGAGGGGAGAAGGGAGGGAAGGAAGGAGAAGGGAGGGAGGGAAGGAAGAAGGGAGGGAGGGAAGAAGGAGGAAAGGAGTGCATAGTTTTCCAATTGAAGTATAATCAAGTAAACACACAGATCTTAAATATTTGGCTTGATGGCTTTTGAAAATTGCATGTAGCCAAGTAACAACCACCTAAAATAGAATATAAACTATTTCGACACCCCTACCCCAAGTTTCCTAATGCAAGGGAGCCCAGCCACCAGGAAACATCATTAAAAACCCTTCTCCTTGTCCTCTCTCAATATCAGGCACTCAGTTTGTAGCTGTTGCTGAAAATATTCTCGTCTCAATTTTAACCTTTTCTCAAATTTTCTTTAACTGATGCCCGACCTCTTTGGTTTCTCTCTCCTTTTCCCCTTCTACTTCAGATCTTACTATACAGAACGACTTGGCTCCTCCTGACTTCATTAGTTTTCTTTCTTCTTCATTCATCAAGGAGATTCTCCACAATAAAGCGGAACCTGGGAATTATCCAGAGAACAAGAATCTCCTTCCCCTTAGAAGGACAAATAGGGAAGGACCACTGTTATTTCACATTAGTGGCAGCACACTCTTCTTATCATGGAACACAATGTTCATTAGGATCGTAATTTAAGAATCATCTGCCTGACAGATGGAGATTTCTCAAGCTGATGTGTCTCAGGGAATTTTAGACCTCTGGATATAAACCAAGATCACCCAAATGAGAGCAAGCGGAGGTTATTTATTCAGAGCTTGCTATAGGAAGGGAGGCAGCCATTAACAGTTGTGTTTGGCAGAGACTCAAAGTCAAAGTCAGACAGAGGAGTGGGAAAGCTTTATAATAGAAAAAAGGAAAGGCTTCAGGTGTGCTCCAACGGATTGTTGGTATGGGGAGGATGGAAGGAAACTAACTAGAAGTGAGGTGTCCATGTGATTGGTTAGAGAAATATGTTTGGATTTCTCTGGTTGGCCTTAAGTTGGGCCAACTGCTATAGAGGTTGTAGGTTTGGCTTTCTAGACCTGTTGCTACAGATGTGTGGGTCAGAGTTCTGTTTTCACATATGGCCTGGCTATTGTCCATTTATATATCCTTTTTTTTTTTTTTAGAGCAAATGATGTAGAAGAGAACTAGGGAATCAAAGACAACCCCCCTTCCGAACCCTCTCAAGCAACAACATCAGCACTGGCCCATTATCTTATCCTACTCAAGTTTTTTTTTCTTCTTCGAGTCCCAAGTTGTTAATTTCAAATCAATTTTCAAATTCCTGAAACAGATCTAGAAACCTGTCTAGACAGATCCAAGACATATTAAGAATGGATGAGGAGGACTTTGTATTGATCTGACGTAAGAGAAGATAGAGAATTCAAGGATAGCTCTAAGGTCCTAACTGGAGCTATAGGAGCTTGCAAGAGAGGATGTTGAGCTCAGTTTGTAGGGAATTAAAGTTGTAAGTGCCTCCTGGAAGACATTCTTTGTAATTATACATCTGAAAACTGGAACATCATTTTAGAGAGGTGGAGACTGAGAACAGAGAGTAGGTGTTTGTCCAAAGTTTATATGCCAAGGCTGTGAGTGAAACAGGAGCTTCGATCTTTTGGTGTTCCATCTACAACATACACAAAACAAAAGATGGAGAATGAGAAGTCCAGGCAACCCCGGAAACAACAAGTTTCTGTCAAAAGCAATAATGAACTGTTTTGTGCCATTAACAAAAACGTTATGAAGACAGAAACCATCTCCCAAAGATTTCATAACAGAGCCACATAAGTGGAAAGTAAATGATTAAAGAATGTGGGTCTCAGAGTTCCATTCAAATCATGATACTTTATCTTCTATTTACAAAGATAAAAGTACACCAGAAAATGGTTAATGTTTAAGCGCTTTCATATTTGGCTCTGTCTTTTTAGCAGACGAAAACCACTTTGGTAGTGCCAGTGTGACTCATCCACAATGATTTCTCCAGTGCTCATCTTGTTCTCGAGTTTTCTCTGCCATGTTGCTATTGCAGGACGGAGTAAGTACTTTTTGCTTTTGAAAAAATAATTAATATATCCAACCCCTTCGTATATGTCAGGGATCAATAATGATAAGTAGGCCGGGCGTGCTTGCTCACATCTGTAATCTCAGCACTTTGGGAGGCCAAGGCAGGTGGATCACCTGAGGTCAGGAGTTCGAGACCAGTCTGGCCAACATGGTGAAACCCCGTCTTTATGAAAAATACAAAAATTAGCTGGGCATCATGGCCGAGGTGGGCGAATCAGTTGAGGTCAGGAATTCGAGCCCAGCCTGGGCAACATAGTGAAACCCTGTCTTTACTAAAAACACAAAAATTAGCCGGGCGTGATGGCAGGCGCCTGTAATCCCAGCCACTCGGGAGGCTGAGGCAGGAGAATTGCTTGAACCTGGGAGGCAGAGGTTGCAGTGAGCCGAGGTCCCCCCATTGCACTCCAGTCTGGGCAACAAGAGCAAAACTCAGTCAACAATAATAATAATAAGAAGAAGAATAATTAAATTCTTTTTTTTTTTTTTTGAGACAGAGTCTCGCTCTGTCGCCAGGCTGAAGTGCAGTGGTGCGATCTCGGCTCACTGCAAGCTCCGCCTCCTGGGTTCACTCCATTCTCCTGCTTCAGCTTCCCGAGTAGCTGGGACCACAGGCGCCCGCCACCACACCCGGCTAATTTTTTGTATTTTTAGTAGAGACGGGGTTTCACCGTGTTAGCCAGGTTGGTCTCTATCTCCTGACCTCGTGATCCACCCGCCTCAGCCTCCCAAAGTGCTGGGATTACAGGTGTGAGCAACTGCGCCCAGCTGATAACTAAATTCTCTTTAGAGTGGATGCTGGAGGGACTGGATTGATACTGATTCTTTAATATTGCCATGTGTAAAGCTCCTCTGTAAGATACGTAGCCAATTTAAGCCTCAGCATACTGACCTGTAAAATGGGGATAATTATAATACCTCCTTCAAATGGTTGTTGAGGGGATTAGATGAGATAGTGTATATGAGGTATTTGGCATGCAACTTGGTATGCTTATAATTGGTAACAGTACACACATTTTTCATTTGTGGGCTTAGCTGAACTTTAAAATGCAAATAGAGATTTGTTAACCATCTGCTTTGTGCCCTCTTTCAGCCTGTCCCAAGCCAGATGATTTACCATTTTCCACAGTGGTCCCGTTAAAAACATTCTATGAGCCAGGAGAAGAGATTACGTATTCCTGCAAGCCGGGCTATGTGTCCCGAGGAGGGATGAGAAAGTTTATCTGCCCTCTCACAGGACTGTGGCCCATCAACACTCTGAAATGTACACGTAAGTCAGTACCTTCTCTCACATTCTCTTCCCTCATTTGGATTCTGGGTATTTTGGAGGAATAAGCTACCTCGTCATGCTCAGAGTGCAGAGGGCCAGTAGATGCTGCAGAAAGCCAGGTTGGAGAGAAATGAGAAGGTCTTGGGGAGTTCTCTCTGTGCAAAGAGAGTAAGGGTAATAGGTGCTATTGATAGAAGAGGAGAAGATCATAGCCTGAAACTAGGGTAGGTTTAAAAATGAGATCTGGTGTGGCAAAAGGAGAAAGAAACACTACAGAAGTTAAAAGAACAGTGGAGAGGCTTTGAAATGTCAACTGATGCCAAAGAGACATTTGGAAAAACAAAATTTGGGGAATCATCATATCTTTGGACTTCACCTGAAAATGAAAGCGGACTTAATAGTTACTGAAATGAATACAAATTTCATCTACATTATGTATATATTATATTATAATGAAATACAAGAAAAGAGGTCAAATTAAAATAATAATATAACGTAAAATATATCAATCTCACTATGGCTTTACTGTAAATGGTTGCTTTTATTTATTTCTTAGAACATGGTTCTATGATATCATGCTAGCATTATTCTTTACAGTCAAGTATTATGCAATCAACCAGATTGAATTTATGGTACATTTAATTATATGTAGAAGTTAAGCAGTAAAAATAGATGTATGGATCTGGTGATTTTGGTTATATGAACAGGACCTTTGTCAAAGTTATGCATGTTCATGCAAGTTGATTTTACTATGCTTTTTTGCTTAAAGAGCCTAAACATAATTTTTAGTAAAAAGCCAATGTAACATCATTAGGGAAAATTTTTCTTTAAATCAGGGCCAGGTGCGGTGGCTCACACCTGTAATCCCAGCGCTTTGGGAACCTAAGGTGGGTGGATCGCCTGAGGTCAGGAGTTCAAGACCAGCCTGGCCAGCATGGTGAAACCTCGTCTCTACTAAAAATAAAAAAAATTAGCCGGGCATGCTGGCATGCGCCTGTAGTCCCAGCTACTCAGGAGGCTGAGGCAGGAGAATCACCTGGGAGGCAGAGGTTGTAGTGAGCTGAGATTGTGCCACTGCACTCCAGCCTGGGCAGCAGAGTGAGACTCTGTCTCAAAAAAAAAAATAAATAAATAAATAAAATAAAAATCAGCTATAACTCTGGAACACTAAAAATTTCATTTTTTTATTTTCCATGCATATCTTTTTGCATTACTGCAGAGAGCAGGTATAATTTTGTATTTTTCTGTTTTCATCAGCATATCATAAAAATTGTATCTCCACATATTTCACAATTCATATTTTATTGGCTACATAATAGTTCAACTTTTGATTTACCATGATTAATTAAAACAGTCCCCTGATGAACCCTTAGACTATCCAATTTTTTTTTTTTTTTTGGAGACGGAGTCTCACTCTATTGCCCAGTGCAGTGGTGCCATCTTGGCACCCTCTGCCTCCTGGGTTCAAGCTATTCTCCTGCCTCAGCATCCAGAGTAGCTGGGACTACAGGCACCCACCATCATGCCCAGCTAATTTTTGTATTTTTAGTAGAGATGGGGTTTCACCATGTTCAGGCTGGTCTCAAATTCCTGACCTCAAGTGATCCACCCTCCTCTGCCTCCCAAAGTGCTGGGATTACAGGCGTGAGCCACTGCTCCCCGCCTGTCCAAATTCTGTTATTAGGAGAAACAGTATAATGAACGCTTTTGTACATATATCACTTGTCTTATTTTGAATTGCTTTCTTAGAATAGTTACCAGTAAAGTTATTGAACCAAAGGATGAAAATGAATTTATATGTTTCATTTAATGAAAAATTCTATAAATAGAAATTTACCTGTTTATGTTTTTTTTTAGCCCAAAGAAAAGTAACATTTTTTATCTTTGTATCACAGCCAGAGTATGTCCTTTTGCTGGAATCTTAGAAAATGGAGCCGTACGCTATACGACTTTTGAATATCCCAACACGATCAGTTTTTCTTGTAACACTGGGTAAGAACTTTCATGGAACTAAGCAGTTAACAGACTGAGCACATTTTTGTATCCTTAAGCTAAACATCAAGACTGGTCTATATTTTGTTTTCAGCCTTTAGGTTGGACTTTCAAATGCAAATCGATTTTAGTCCTGCTTTTTTTTTTTTTTGAGACGGAGTCTCGCTCTGTCGCCCAGGCTGGAGCGCAGTGGTGCAGTCTCGGCTCACTGCAAGCTCCACCTCCTGGGTTCACACCATTCTCCTGCCTCAGCCTCCTGAGTAGCTGGGACTACTGGCGCCCGCCACCACGCCCGGCTAATTTTTTGTGTTTTTAGTAGAGACGGGGTTTCACTGTGTTAGCCAGGATGGTCTTGTAGCATTGAGGGTGGGGTAAGGATTGGAGAATATAACAACTAGTGCAATACGTAGTCACCACTGTATCTAATTTTTCTGCTCCTGATTAATTATCTCAGAGGAGGTACATTAAAATGATTGAACCTGGATGATAATTCCATATGATCTCTGGGCCAAATCTTGGATAGGGTTAAAATACTTTAGGAATAAGACTTGGGCTTTAGTTATTAGGCTAATTTGATTGACCAACCTGGTAGTCTCTAGAAGAGAATTCTATGGAGAAGGTTGGGAGTGTGACAGTGGAGAATGCAATGCAGTTCCACATCCCCAGGAAGCAATCACTTGTGGTGGGCACAGGCTCATCTGGGAGCAAAGGGAGGCAGTCACTTAACGGTGGGCATAGACTCATAAGGAGCAAAGGCACCCCTGTGACATTATTGAGAGCACATTGGCTATCCACTAGGGTAAGTTTCTACTGGGATTGGAGGTTAAGGAATACTACATGTGAGAGAGAAATACACACCTTTCATCTGAAACACCAATCTACCAATGGGTCTGGTAACAAATGACCTTAAGAAAATTGGCTTCGAAGACATAATGTTACATTTTTCTTTCTTTTTTTTTTTTTCCTTTCTTTTTGCTCTGTCACCCAGGCTAGAGTGCAGTGGTGCGATCTTGGCTCACTGCAACCTCCACCTCCTGGGTTCAAGCAATTCTCCTGCCTCAGCTTCCCAAGTAGCTGGGATTACAGGCGCCTACCACCACACCCAGATAATTTTTGTATTTTTAGTAGAGATGGGGTTTCACCATCTTGGCCAGGCTGGTCTTGGACTCCTGACCTTGTGATCCACCCTCCTTGGCCTCCCAAAGTGCTGGGATTACAGGTGTGAGCCACCATGGCATCCTGCTCCTTTCCTTTCCTTTCCTTTCCTTTCCTTTCCTTTCCTTTCCTTTCCTTTCCTTTCCTTTCCTTTCCTTTCCTTTCCTTTCCTTTCCTTTCCCTTCCCTTCCCTTCCCTTCCCTTCCCTTCCCTTCCCTTCCCTTCCCTTCCCTTCTCTTCCTTTCTTCTTTCTTTCTTTCTTTTTCTTTCTTTCTTTCTCTTTCCCTCCCTCCCTTCCTTCCGTCTTTCTTTTCTTTTCTTTCTTTCTTTGTCTGTCTCTCTCCTTCCTTACTTTTTCCTTCCTTTCCTTCTTTTCTTTTCTTTTTTTTTTTTTTTTTTTTTACAGGATCTTCCTCTGTTGCTCAGTCTAGAGTGCAGTGGCACAATCATGGCTCACTGCAGCCTCGACCTCCCAGGTTAAATCCTTTTGAATCCTTCCTTCCACCTCTACCTCTCGAGTAGCTTGGACTATAGGCACACACTACCACGGCCTGGTGACTTTTTGTAGAAATTGGGCCTTTGCCACATTGCCCAGGCTCAAACTCTTGGGCTCAAGTGATCCGCCCATCTCGGCCTCCCAAAGTGCTGGGATTACAGGCATGAGCCAAAGTACCCAGTCAGAATGCTATATTTTCATTGGAAATAGACTGCATTGCTTTTATTCATTGGTGTCAGTAGGCTGTAAGAAAATGAATAATGAAGATTACTCAGTTTGGTTCACTTTTGTCATCCTGAAAAAGAGATGGTTCTTTGCTTTATATTAGAAACAGTCATCTTGGCCAACTCTTTAAAGATGAGGGATTTAAGGGTTTGGATTCTCCACTCACCAGCTGTGGAACCCTGCAGTGATTCACCTGCATCATTGGTTGGGAGGCTCCATGAGCCATAGATGAGTACTAAGTTTGTCAGGAAGACAGCATTATACGATGGAAAAGAAGTCAATAGCATTAACATGAAGCAATGCTCAATGGAGAAGATATTTGAGATGTCAGTGATGGATTATTTTACTCCTTGATAGAATGAATTTTCCTTTTGCAGGTTTTATCTGAATGGCGCTGATTCTGCCAAGTGCACTGAGGAAGGAAAATGGAGCCCGGAGCTTCCTGTCTGTGCTCGTAAGTCTGTGGGCAAGGTGATCAGCTGGTTTGCCCAGAACCTTTCTGGTTTTAGCACTCAAAGTCTCACATCTGGAATCTCTTCAGTCACAGCTCAATGAGATGAATGGTCACCCTTGTGGGGGATATTCATCCTGGTATCTTGCTCTAGAAGATGAAACAACCACTTTGGAATGACAGAAGGGAAGCATTTTACTCACGGACACATTCTGTATTCTCCACCTCGCGGTCATTACTCTATCTAAGCCAGTCATTTCTGGGTGTGTTGACTCCAATGCTCTCATAGTGCTTTGGAAGTGGCTTGGATATGTGTGGCATTGGTATATCAGGGACTGTCACCACTTAACTAGAGGAACTTCTGCAAACAGTGAGATCAAACAAACATCTTCCTCCCACTCTGGAATTCATTCATTCATTTATTAACTTATTCAATAAACATGAATTGAGGATCTACTGTATGCTGGATCCTCTTGTTAGCACTGAGGCTGCAAGGCCAAAGGAGGCAGCTTTGCCTTCAGAGAGTAAGCCTAGTGACTTACGGGACAGACGAGGAGGAAAGTCACCCTCACAGTAAGCCAACAGCCCATCAAAGGGGCTTGCATCCTAGGAGCTGATTGGCATTCCTCCAAAAAGCACTGTTGTTTTTTCAGAGGATCCTCAGCCAAGCTGTCAGAGTCATCTCTGGGCTTTGCTTATGTAGGGAAGGACGTTCTTATGTTCCCCAACTTGTGATTTATACATCTTTGACCAGGAGGCCCAGGCATTTCAATACTAATTATAGTTCTTCAACATGTCAGTGAAGTCTGTCTTTAGCAAAAGCAAGAGGAGGGCAGGTGCAGTGGTTCACGCCTGTAATGCCAGCACTTTGGGAGTCCGAGGAGGGTGGCTCACCTGAGGTCAGGAGTTCGAGACCAGCCTGACCAACATGGAGAAACTCCGTCTCTACTAAAAATATAAAATCAGCTGGGCATGGTGGCGCATGCCTCTAATCCCAGCCAATTGGGAGGCTGAGGCAAGAGAATCACTTGAACCCGGGAGGCGGAGGTTGCAGTGAGCTGAGATCGCACCATTGCACTCCAGCCTGGGCAACAAGAGTGAAACTCCATCTCAAAAAAAAAAAAAAAAAAAAAGCAAGTGGAAAGTAAAGCAATTTCAAATAAATAATTGTTTAAGAAGACCTGAACAAGCAAAAACGAAAGTTTTTAAAGGACAAATTAAGTAAAATTTTCACTCAGCAGTAGGAATCACGATGGTTCCTACAGTTTTCACTTAAAACAGATTTATACCGATTATGTAAATTTGCTTCTTTATTTAGAGGTAGGGTCTTGCTCTGTTGCCCAGGCCGGAGTGCAGTGGCGTGATCACAGCTCACTGTAACTTCGATCTCCTGGGGCCAAGTGATCCTCTCAGTCTCCTGAGCAGCTGAGACTATAGATGAGCGCCACCAGATCTGGCTAGTTTTTAAAAATTTTGGTGGAGACAGGGTCTTGCTCTGTTGCCCAGACTGGTCTTGAACTCTTGGTTTCAAGCAACCTTACCTGCCTCAGCCTCTCAGGGCTCTGGGATTACAGGCGTGAACCACGGTGCCTAGCCATAAACTCACTTTCCAAAAGGGTTGTAAATAGAAAGACTGCTTGAGCTTTAATCTAATTTAAATGAGTATTTCTCATACTTGAATGCACATATGAGTCTCCTGGGCACCTTGTTAAAATGTAGATTCTGATTCAGGCACCTGCAGTGGGGTCTGAGCTTCTGCATTTCCAACAAGCTATTTTCCCAGGCTATGCCCGTGCTGCTAGCCCCTGGACCACATTTTGAGCAGCAGGGATCTAGGGAAGTCAAGGTAAATCGCATTTTGGTCAGCACTATCTTCTTTTATGCTAGTATAACTTGTTGAAGCTCCATAGTACTCAGGTCAGGGTGACAAGCCACTACTATCTCTCTGGGTTCCTGAAGCTACTTGGGTAAGCTCCATCCATACCAAGAATCCAAAAGCAGGGAGGTATTCAGCAGAAACAGACTGAACTGGTAATGGAACTCATTCCCAAACTACTATGTACCAAGTTGCTGTCACCAGCCATTATTTCAGGATGGTCCCTCAGCACTGAGGGACAAATTCTGCCTTCCAGAAGCATCTTCCAAGGTAGTATATGAATAAAAGATTTTATAAAACCTAACCATTGTGTTGTTGCAAAAGGCAGTGGCAAGACTTAAATTTCCTTCATTTTTTTGGTGTTTTGACTGGTTTGGACATCTGACTTGAGGGCTTCCTTCCTTCCTTCCTTCCTTCCTTCCTTCCTTCCTTCCTTCCTTCCTCCCTCCCTCCCCTCCCCTCCCCTCCTCTTTCTTTCTTTCCTTTCTTTCTTTCTTTCCTTCCTTTCTTCCCTCCCTCCCTCCCTTCTGACTTCCTTCCTTCCTTCCTTCCTTCCTTTCTTTCTCTCTCTCTCTTTCTTTCTGTCTTTATTTATTTATTTATTTATTTCCTTCCTTCTTTCTTTCTCTTTTCTGAGACAGACTCACTCTGTTGCCCAGGCTGGAGTGCAGTGGTGCGATTTTGGCTCACTGCAACCTCCGCCTCCCAGGTTCAAGCGATTCTCCTGCCTCAGCCTCTGGAGTAGCTGGGACCACAGACACACACCTCCATGCCTGGCTCATTTTTGTATTTTTGGTAGAGACGGGGTTTCACCATGTTGACCAGGCTGGTCTGAAATTCCTGACTTCTAGTGATCTGCCCACCTCAGCCTCCCAAAGTGTTGGGATTACAGGCGTGAGCCACCGTGCCCGGCAGGTCATATTTTCCTATTAGGCATCCACAATTGACAATTTTTACCCTGCTAATTTGATCAGTTTGCATTTTCTCAAGTTTATCCTTAGGGTTTTTTTTTTCTTTCTGGAAAGAGTATATTTAAAAGCCTTAACTATTTTCATAGAAATGATAGTTCTTTATTTTCCCAGCCATCATCTGCCCTCCACCATCCATACCTACGTTTGCAACACTTCGTGTTTATAAGCCATCAGCTGGAAACAATTCCCTCTATCGGGACACAGCAGTTTTTGAATGTTTGCCACAACATGCGATGTTTGGAAATGATACAATTACCTGCACGACACATGGAAATTGGACTAAATTACCAGAATGCAGGGGTAAGTGCAATGATCAGACAAAATACGCATGGTAGGGCAAGATCCCATTTGTGAAAGGTATTGAAAATTCTGACTATCATGGAGTGTTTCCAATGAACTCATTCAACAGCTGTTTATTGAGCATCTACCATGTGCCAGGCAGTGTGCTGGGCACTGTGGATTCCCGATGAATGAGACCTGGCTTCTGACCCAAGGGAATTATAAATAATGCAATTAACTGTCTGGAGCTGCCTGGGACAGCTTCCCATAGGTGGTGACCTTTGAAATGGGTCTTGGAGGAGCAGTAGAGAATGAGGAGAAGGCATACCACACATGGGGGAGACATGAAAGGCAGGATGTATCCATGGACAGCTGGACATTTCAGCGAGGCTGGTGAAGTTCTCTTCTGGGTGAAGTTCCTGGGTTAAATTGGAGAGTCCTAGGAGATGAAGGTTAAGACTGGGTTGCTGTCTGATTGTTACACATTTTAAAAATCTTTACCCAAGTTTAAGAATCACAGAAATATTTGATTTTTAAGAAATTATGAAAATTATTTCGTCTCTAACTTGACCTGTCATTACTATCTTCAAGTTTGTCAGCTGCATAACAAACAGACAAATTATAAAGTTTATCATGTGCACAAATAGTTTGTTTTTTTCTTTTTTTTGAGATAGTCTCACTCTGTCACTCAGGCTGGAGTGCAGTGGGGTGATTTTGGCTTACTGCCACCTGGGTTCAAGCGATTCTCATGCCTTGGCCTCCCAAGTAGCCGGGATTACAGGTGCCCGTCACCATACTTGGCTAATTTTTGTATTTTTAGTAGAGACGGAGTTTCACCATGATCATCTGGCTGGTCTGAAATGCCTGACCTCAAGTAATCTGCCTGCCTCAGTCTCTCAAAGTGCTGGGCTTACAGGTGTAAGCCACTGCTCCTGGCCAAGAGTTATTCTCGTGACTATTAACTTCTCCAGTGGTAGATATTACAGATATCCAGTGAACGATTCAAAACATAAGTGATTTTCAGCATGGAGGAGCTACCAATAACAGTAGTAACTTGTACCTTTCTGGGCACTCAACTATGGGCCAGGCACTGGTCTCCTGCTACATATGTGTCATCTGACCTCATTCTCCCAAGTCCTAAAAAGTAGGTTCCTTTTTTTTTCAATTTCACCTAGACGTATCAACTGTTAATATGTTGTAACATTTTTCTCTCTGTTTCTCCATAGAAAGATCCCTTTTATTTCCTGCATCATCTGAAAATAAGTTGTATATATTACGATACTTGCCCATAAAGCCTTCAGCCTGAATATACTAAGAACAAGGACATTTTATATCATCACTTCATATGTTTTGGATTATTAACAATAATAATCCAAACCATTCTAATAACATAACAACAACGATATCATGCAACATTTATCTCAGATGCAAATTTTCCCAATTGACCCAGAAGTATCTCTTATACATGAGTTTTGTTTTATGCAGGATCTAATCAAGAATCACACCTTTAATTTAGTTGTCATGTCTCTCTAGTCTCCTATAATAATAATTATTATTATTATTTTGAAATGGTGTCTCACTCTGTCACCCAGGCTGGAGTGCAGTGGTGCAATTTTGGCTCACTGCAACATCTACCTCCCAGGTTTGAGCAATTCTCCTGCCTCAGCCTCCCAAGTAGCTGGGAATATAGGCACCTGCCACCACGCCCAGCTAATTTTTATAATTTTAGTAGAGATGGGATTTCACTGTGTTGGCCAGGCTGGTCTCAAACTCCCGAACTAAAATGATCCGCCTGCCTCAGCCTCCCAAACTGCTGGGATTACAGGCGTGAGCCTAGTCTCCTATAATTAAGAATAAGTCCTTGCCTCTTTTGTTGTCTTTCATTGACATTTTTGAAGAGTACAGGCTAGTTGTCTTGTAGAATGTTCCATAATCTGAACTTGATTGGTTATTTACTCATGATTAGATTCATGTTAAATATTACTGTTAAGAATACATTCTGCACTTTGGGAGGCCGAGGCAGGTGGATCATGGGGTCAGGAGTTCAAGACCAGCCTGGCCAATATGGTGAAACCCCGTCTCTACTAAAAATACAAAAATTAGCTGGGTGTGGTGGCGTGCGCCTGTAGTCTCAGCTGCTCAGGAGGTTGAGGCAGGAGAATCGCTTGAACCAGGAGGGGGAGGTTGCAGTGAGCCAAGATTGCACCACTGCACTCCAGCCTGGGCAACAGAGTGAGACTCTGTGTCAAAAAAAAAAAATACATTCTGTCATATCAGGAAGCACATAGTGTCAGCTGTTCCATCACTGGCCATGCTTAGTTTGATACTTAGTCAGTTGAGGGGTGCTAGATCACCTTTTGGTAAAGGCACTGCTTTTTCTTTGGAATAGTAAGCAACCTGTGGGTGATACTTTGAAACCATGTGAATATCCACTGTTGGGCAGTCATGGTAGAATCCAATGATGATCCTTGAATCTGTCAATTATGACATTGGAGGCTGAAAAATGGTGACTTTCTAATTCTATCTTTTCCTTCTACATTTATTCACTGGCTTCCCTCTATAGAGAAGAGCTTTCCCTCCATCCACCATTTTTTAGTATTATTATAGACACATGGATTCTTATTTTTTTTTTGAGTTGGAGTCTCACTCTGTTGCCCAGGCTGGAGCATAATGGTGCAATCTCAGCTCACTGCAAGCTTCACCTCCTGGGTTTGAGTGATTCTCCTGCCTTAGCCTCCTGAGTGGCTGGGATTACAGGTGCATGCCACCACACCCGGCTAATTTTTGTTAGTAGAGATGGGGTTTTGTCATGTTGGCCAGGCTGGTCTTGAACTTCTGACCTCCTCAGCATCCACCTCAGCCTCCCAAAGTGCCAGGATGACCGAAGTGAGCCACTGTGCCTGGCCACATGAATTCTGTTTTATTTAATGTGTGGTAGAACCAAAATTGAGCCAAGCAGTCTGACTCTGGAGTTTGTACCCTTAATTACCTCCTTAAACTACCTCTGAGAATATTGTGCTCCTGGCTCCAGCCTTGCTTTCTCGCACTGCAGCTCATAAGGACGTGGGTTTGGGCCTCTACTGTTGAGGATCTTAAGGAGGCCAGGAAGCAGCACCATTTTTCTTTGACGTATTTCCTGCTGGCTTCTTCCATAGTCTGAATTGAATAACAGTAAGATTTACTATTTTAAAGCCAAATAATGGTGTACTAAGTGTGAATGGGGGGGGGGGTTCAGTCTTTGCATTTTAATTTTATGGTTTGTTAGAAATAGACTTTGCTTTTCTTCTTTCAAACCCACCATCTTAGACTGTGTAGAGATGAAGTTTGCAATAAATAATACCTTATGATTATATGTGAAAACCCAGAGAACTTAGTGAAGTCTCATTAATTTACTTTCAAAGTGTGGTTGTTTCTTTTTTAATATCCAGGGTACCACAGATATAAGAGGAGTGGGGACAGAATTAAGCACAAGGTAACTATAAATTGCATTCCAGTTACAGGAACACACAGTGATTCAGTGGTGTGACAGAGACAAGGATGTAACTATTTCATGACTATTGGATAGCACTATTTATTACTAATATGTCTTATTGAATAAATGTTTTAGAAGTAAAATGCCCATTCCCATCAAGACCAGACAATGGATTTGTGAACTATCCTGCAAAACCAACACTTTATTACAAGGATAAAGCCACATTTGGCTGCCATGATGGATATTCTCTGGATGGCCCGGAAGAAATAGAATGTACCAAACTGGGAAACTGGTCTGCCATGCCAAGTTGTAAAGGTATGGAAATATAGGCGAGGTCCTGTAAGATCTCTGAATTGATACAGTGGATCACCTTTACTTGCTATTTTCTTGTTCCAACACTTTTCCACTTGTTGCTCAGACTTGCTAGGAAACTGCTGGCATGTGACTTCAGGACTCACAGGTGCATGGGGAAGCCTCATGCTTAGGAAGTATCCTTGACCTTAAACAGTATGAAATAAACAGATCCTTTGTAAGCATTGGTGATATGGTGGGAGATCATGTGGGCTTTCTTTATTTGCTTTTAAGTCTTTGCCTCTGAGCACTCTTTTTTTTTTTTTTTGAGATGGAGTCTTGCTCTGTCGCCCAGGCTGGAGTGCAATGGCGTGATCTCGGCTCACTGCCACCTCTGCCTCCCGGGTTCAAGCAATTCTCCTACCTCAGCCTCCCGAGTAGCTGGGATTACAGGCACCCCACCACCACACCTGGCTAATTTTTGTATTTTTAATAGAGATGGGGCTTTGCCACGTTGGCCAGGCTAATTTCGAACTCCTGACCTCAGGTGATCCGCCCGCCTCGGCCTCTGTAGAGAAGAGCTTTTCTTCCATCCATCATTTTTTAGTATTATTGTAGACACATGGAGTCTTTTTTTTTTTTTTTGAGATGGAGTCTCACTCTGTTGCCTAGCTGGAGTGTAATGGTAGAATCTCAGTTCCCTGCAACCTTCACCTCCCAGGTTCGAGTGATTACAGATGTGAGCCACCATGCCCACCCCTTTTTGTGCTCTGTCTAGCCAAGGCTCTTCTCATTGCAAAAACCAACCACACATTCGAGTGAGTTCAAGGAAATTGGGGATATTATAAGGAGGCAACAGGCAAGTCGATCATGTGGGCATTGAAGATGAAGACATGAAATACAACTGATACTCCTGAAGATTGGAACTGAAAGGCAGGAACTATTCCTACTTTTTCCGTATCTCAATGGTCTCTCCCATTTCCGTCTCTCTGCTTATTCATCTTGAACATGGCTTGATATACACCAGACCCTCTCAGTTACAGGATTCATCACCAACTGGCATCTTTCCTGGAGACACTGGTTCCTTTTGAGTTAGGTGTCTACCCTTGATCCCATCAGTGTCATGCATAAGTAAAGAACAACAACAGCCTAGCATTAGAACTCTGCTCAGGTCACTATGGGCTGGACAGTTTAAGCAGAAAGAGGAACTCTGGGGCAGCAGGCAAGATGACAAATAACTAGCATCTTAGGTTACAGTTCCCTAGAAGCAGAGCCTGAGACGGGGATTCGAGTACAGTTGATTTAGTGAATGTCTCAGGAGAAGAAAGAGTGAGGCAGATTTGCGAGGGTAAGGCACCGGTTCTCAAACTTCGCTGTGGATCAGCAACACCTGGAAGGCTTGTTTTAACACAGGATTTTTGAGCTCCACTCTTAGAGTTTCTGATTTGGTAGATCTGGGATGGGGCCTGACAATTTGCATTTATGCCAGGTTCCCTGGTGATGCTAATGCTGCCGAGCCAGGGAGAAATGTGGTCTCTGCTAAAATGAGGTTCAGTTTGATCCCACTGGGAGCTCTGGAGTGTGAATTCCACCCTTGAGTTAATCCCACTAAGAGCCAAGGGGACCTGCTTTTTATATTCCCTCATCAGTCAGTCTTTGGCTTTGAGCTGCTCCCTTCCCTGACCCTGGGGGTGGTTTGCATAAACTCCTGGGAGAGGTGGCTTCCCTATGGCTGAAGGCAATTTTTCAGAGTATTTATGAGCTGTTATCAGCCAACACTCACAATGGCTGGTGGATAGATGCACCTGCTTAATGAATGCAATCTGAGAGGGCAGAGTAGGCTTACATGAAATGTCAATATCTGTTAGTTGCTTTTTTTTTTTTTTTTCACTGAAATGGAGGCTCTGATGCTTCTGTTCTGACCTTCTGTGGCTACTGTAGGGGAAGAGAAGGCCATCTTGGAAGCTATGAATAATGGTTCTATTGACAGAGAACTGCAATTAGCAATCATATTACCATTACTTACTATATATATTCTTGGATTTTTCTTGCCTTGACCAATTTGTGTAGGTGTACTCATCTACTGTTTCAAATGCTATACTCTCTTTCAGAAAGACTTCCTGAACTCTTAAGTCCTGATTACAAGTATTCTCTCTTTCAGCATCTTGTAAAGTACCTGTGAAAAAAGCCACTGTGGTGTACCAAGGAGAGAGAGTAAAGATTCAGGAAAAATTTAAGAATGGAATGCTACATGGTGATAAAGTTTCTTTCTTCTGCAAAAATAAGGAAAAGAAGTGTAGCTATACAGAGGATGCTCAGTGTATAGATGGCACTATCGAAGTCCCCAAATGCTTCAAGGGTAAGTCTGCATTGGAACGTTTAGCTAGGACTCCCACTTGCCCGTCATCATAATCAGAGCCTTTGTTCTATAATGATTGTCAAAAACCAGATGAGGCCAGGTGCGGTGGGTCACGCCTGTAATCCCAGCACTTTGGGAGGCTGAGGCGGGTGGATCACCTGAGGTCACGAGTTTGAGAGCAGCCTGGCCAAAAAGGTGAAAGTCTGTCTCTACTAAAAATACAAAAATTAATTGCTGTGGTGCCGGGTGCCTGTAATCGCAGCTACTTGGGAGGCTGAGGCAGGAGCATCACTTGAACCTGGGAGGTGGAGGTTGCAGTGAGCCGAGATCGCGCCATTGCACTCCAGCCTGGGCAACAGAGCGAAACTCCGTCTCAAAACAAAAACAAACAAAACACAGATGAATTTGGCCACTGGGTTTTTAAAAAGAGGGGTGAGAGGGAGAAACAATGATATGAAGCAGTGAGCTGCAGATGGCGTCCCCACTTGCATTTTCCTTTCCAATTTTTTTTTTTTTTGAGACAAGGTCTCACTGTCACCCAGGCTGAAGTGCAGTGTTGCGATCACATCTCATTGCAGCCTCTACTTTCTGGGCTCAAGTGACCCTTTCACCTCAGCCTTCTGAGTAGCTGAGATTACATGCACGCACCACCATGTCCAGCTATTTTTTATATTTTTATTAGAGAAGAGATTATGCCATGTTGCCAAGGCTGGTTTTGAACCCTTGGACTCAAGCAATCCACCTGTCTCAGTCTCCCAAAGTGCCAGGATTACAGGCATGAGCTACGCGCCCAGCCTCTTTTCTAAGTCTTTTCTGTAAAACTCAGGGTTGTGGTTATATTCAATGAATGCTGAGGTGAATGATGCCATCTTGTATAATTCCAAGTTGAGCTTGAATAATAATGAACCAAATATTGAATAATAAAATATCTACCTCATCTTGGTCCCACATTATAGAGAACTCACCCCAAGTGACAAAACAACTCATGGCAATGATAATTGGTCTAAAGATCTAACATTTCCCCTTTCTCAAGCAATTCGTAGAGTTTGAAAAGTATCCATTAGAGCAAAGTATCCATTAGAGCAAAATATTTTAAGGAGAATGATACCAGGTTTGTGTGAGATAAAGAAGTGTGTAATGGCCAGCGTTTAGAGCTGCTAACCTTTTAAGGTTTCAGATTTAGGGTTGAAATGTCTCTGATGCCAGAAAGTAAGAACCAGCCAGAGGCTGAAGCTGTCCTTGGCTCTAGGTTTAGAAATCTTTCAAAAACATTGACAATCTTGTTTTAGCAGGTGGGAGAGGACAGTAGGGAGCAGACAAAGCTAAGAAGAGAGGAGTCTGAGAAGTGTCCAGCTAGTGGGAGAGAAGGGAATGATAACTGATTAAAAATACCCACCTCATGGGGTTGGTTTGATTATTAGAAATATGCATGACATGGAGGAATATAATTTTAATTGTAAATAGTTACAAATGCACTGAATAAATTGCCATTATTCAAAAGACAGCAGAGCCCTGGTGAGATGTTAAATACAAAACATGACAAAATACAATAAGCTTAAATAAAAATCAGTAGAAAAAATGTGAGAAAAGAATAATTGAAAAAAGTCTTAGCTTTGTTGATATATTTCTTCAGGATCTTCTCCCTTATGGTCTTTGGACAGATGCAGTACTGTAAAGGGCCGATACTGTTTTTTCCCCTTTAATCTTGACTGTTATAGAACAGTCTTCACTGTATATAGAACCTTTAATTTTATCTCTTGAAAATGAGGATCTTGGCCAGGCGCAGTGGCTCACACTTGTAATCCCAGCACTTTGGGAGGCCAAGGCGGGCGGATCACTTGAGGTCAGGAGGCCAGCCTGGCCAACATGGTGAAACCCAGTCTCTACTAAAAATACAAAGATTAGCCAGGCATGGTGGCACGTGCCTGTAGTCCCAGCTACTCGGGAGGCTGAGACAGGAGAATCACTTGAACCTGGGAGGTAGAGGTTGCAGTGAGCTGAGATTGTGCCACTGCACTCCAACCTGGGCAACAGGGCGAGACTCTGTCTTAAAAAAAGGAAAAAGAAAAAGAAAAAGAAAATGAGGGTCTTATCATTTCCCTAATGTTTTCTCCCATCACTTAAACCTCACACTAAATGGTTTCATTCACATAATCACATGTATTCTATATACTCGTAAAATGTATTTGGTTTGGCTTAGCTATTTACCACATTTAAGAAATGATTGTTTCTCTTAGAATGTTTATCTTTTTCTCCCCCAACAGAACACAGTTCTCTGGCTTTTTGGAAAACTGATGCATCCGATGTAAAGCCATGCTAAGGTGGTTTTCAGATTCCACACAAAATGTCACACTTGTTTCTTGTTCATCCAAGGAACCTAATTGAAATTTAAAAATAAAGCTACTGAATTTATTGCCGCACCCATTGCAGTGTTAGCTTCATGGTAGCTTACTTTTAGTTATGTCATTTGGTTAAGAAATGCAAATATTTGGAACGTCATCATTCTATGGCTGTGAAGTTGGCAGTATAAACAATTGTCTGGGTGTCCCACTTTTCCTGTGCGTAACCCTGATCTCGGCTGGGTGCGGTGGCTCACGCCTGTAATCCCAGCACTTTGGGAGGCAGAAGCAGGTGGATCACCTGAGGTCAGGAGTTCGAGAGCAGCCTGGGCAACATGGTGAAACCCTGTCTGTACTAAAAATACAAAAATTAGCTGGGCATGGTGATGTGGGCCTGTAATCCCAGCTACTCGGGAGACTGAGGTAAGAAAATTGCTTGAATCTGGGAGGTGGAGGTTGCAGTGAGCTGAGATGGTGCCACTGCATTCCAGCCTGGGCGATAGAGTGAGACTGCATCTCAATAAATAAATAAATAAACAAACAAACAAACAAACAAACAAATCCTACTTTCAAGCACTTTCACGTAAAACACCTGCAATACAATATTTTTCATAGAATGGGCCACAGACCCCCTCCTTCCGTTACTATTACCTATCTGCTTATTTCAAAGAACAAGTGTTGTGCCCCAGAATTGTTAAGAATGGCCCAGAGTTCTGCATTTATGACAAAGTTTCCAGATAGTTCTTGCGCATCCTCAAGTTTGAGAAGCATTGCCATACAGAAGTAAGCATGGACTTCCAGGTCAATAGGACTGAATTTGCATCCTTGATGCTGGGTTTACATAGTGCCAAAAAATTTTTTCTGTATCCACTACAATTCCATGACCCATCATTGACGTCGTTCCTTTGCATATATTCAACTCCCTTGCTCTTCTCTCCTTTGGTAGTGTTTGCTGGCCAAACTCATCCCTGGCACCATCTGCCTTCCTTATGCCTGCACCTAAGGAACTGAACGTGGCTGGAAAAAAAGAGAAACTCACAACCATGCCAATAGGTCCCATTTTAAATTCATAAACACAAACTTTACATGGGCCTCCAGCTCTGCCCGACAATCCTATTATATTTCTCTAGTTTGTTCACTCCCTTACTCTCTAAAGTGGCTATTTCACTTCTCAACCTTTCTCAAGCCACCTTCCTTCTCCTCACCCTTAGCTGATAACTTGGCTCCTTATTTCACTGAGAAAATGGAAAAGATCAAAAGATCATTTTTTTTTAATCTTTCCACTCCCGAATCCATCATTCTACCAGCATCGGCAACCACAGAATCTGCCTTCTGTCAGGTTACAATGGATGAACATCTAAGGACAAACCCTCTCTTTATGTGCTAGGTCCCATTTTCTCTCTCCTACTTAAGGATTTTACTCCTCTAATTAATGCTTATCCATGTTTATTTTTTCCTTTCTATTGGAACACTTCAATCAGCATACAGATATACAGTAATATCACCCATTAAAAAAAGAAGCCCTGTTACTTCACATCTTTCTTCCAGCTACTGCTCCAACTCTTTAGTCCCTGTTTTTACAAAAGTCCTGGAGTTACTTCCTCTGCCATCTGCACTAGGTACTACCCATCACTTCTCCACAATCTGCATTCTCCATAGGATTTCCCCACCCATGCCTCTTTCTCAGAACTTAACCCGATTCCGTGTGATGTGGACCAGATCTTTTCTCCAAGATGCTTCTCTGCTCCTCCTCCTTTTACAGAAACCAGAGTGGCTCCCCTCCCTTCTAGGCTTTCATTCAAAAGCTCCAAATTCCCTTTACTTAACCTTAAAAAACAATTTTATGGGCAGGTGTGGTGGCTCACACCTGTAATCCCAGCACTTTTGGAGGCCAAGGCAAGTGGATCATCTGAGGTCAGGAGGTCGAGACCAGCCTGGCCAACATGGTGAAACCCCGTCTCTAGAAAAATACAAAAAATTAGCTGGGCATGGTGGCAGGTGCCTGTAGCCCCAGCTACTTGGGTGGCTGAGGCAGGAGAATCGCTTGAACCTGGCAGGTGGAGGTTGCAGTGAGTCGAGATGGCGCCATTGCACTTTAGCCTGGGCGACAAGAGCGAAACTCTGTCTCAAAACAAACAAACAAACAAATAACAACAACAACAAAATTTTACTTTTTCTTCCTCAATTCTTTCCTTCAGACTCTGTGTATGTGTGTGTGTGTGCGTGTGTGTGTGTGTGTGTTGTGTGTGTGTGTGTGTGTGTGTGTGTGTGTTGAAGGTGGAGTTTGAGAGGTTGTGGTATTTCCCCTTTGTAAACCAAAAGCCCTATTTAGGGATTTTTGCCAAACAAAAAACCATCTGCTCTGGTTTCCTCCTCTCAAAGCACAAAGCTTTAGAACCATTGTTTTCTTTAATTTGTTGCATGTCAGTTTAAAAATAGACCTCTCTTATCCTACCTAACAGCTCTAGACATGGAAGGAGGGCAGTAAGCATTTAGAATGTCTTCTCTTGCCCACACATAGTCACTGCATTGGCTCTGAAAAAGGGGAGAGAATATTTTTGTATTATCCCACCTTTTGTTGCAAATGCTTCATAATTCATTTTATTGTTTTTAAATTTAAAATATATGTTGGAACTAATAAACAAATTCAGTAAATTTCCAGGATATGAAATTAACATACAAAAATCATAGCATTTCTATACACTAATAGCAAACCGTCTGAAAAACAAATTAAGAAAACTCCCATTCACATAGCTACAAAAATATATAAATATACTTAGGAAGAAATTTAGCCAAGGAGGCGAAAGACTTGTATGCTGAAAAATATAAAATATTGATGAAAGGAATTTAAAAAGACACAAATAAATGGAATAATATTAATGTTCATAGATTGGAAGAATTAATATTGTTAAAATGTCCATGTTACCCAAAGTGATCTACAGATTTAGTGCAATCCCTATCAAAATTCCAATGACATTTTTCACAGAAATAGAAAAAACAATTTGTATGAAACTACAAAGGCCCCTGAAGAGCCAAAGCGATCTTGAATGAAAAGAACAAAGCTACAGTCATCACATTATCTAACTTCAAAATATACTACAAAGCTATAGTAATCAAATCAGCTGGTAAAAATACAGACACATAGACCAATGTAAGAGAATAGGCAGTTCAAAAATAAACTCACACATTATAGTCAATTGATTTTCTACAGAATGTCAGGGGTTGGCCAGGGCTGCAGTCTTATCTGAAGGGTCAAGTGGAGGAGGATTCACTTCCAAGCTCACTCAGTGGTTGTTGGCATGATTCAATTCCCTTTGGGCTATTGGAAGAGAGCCTCAATTTTTTACTGTTTACCTGTGACTTCCCTCAATTCATTGCCCTTCAGTCCTTAAAGGAAAATTGGATGGCACAGTACAGTACCCATGACAATACACTCTTTTTTTTTTTTGCTTGATCCACTGCTTTGTATGCTTTCTGAGAATAGCTCCTCCAGGATTCTGATAGACCTCTTTTCTTGGGTGAAACTCAGTAGAGTAAGGTTAGTGAGATAAACTACAACACCTGATGCTGCAGTTGGCCTTCGAACTGCAACTGATACTCATCTTCTTCCTCCACCACCATCCATTTCGTATTCTCCTCATCCTTGGCTGGCTCTTCTGTTGGTCTCAGTGGCTCTTCTGGTGGTGTGACAAAGACCTTCATCCTTGAGGGGTCTGAAAGGCCTCTATGCCTTTCTGATGTTTCTATGATTTTTATAATCAAAATTGTATCAAGGAGTACTGAGGAGGCAGCAGCCCTATTTGCTCCTGATGATCAGAGTCAATGACCCTTTCTAAGATGGTGAGATCTTTGCTTGCTGGTTCCTTGGCAAAAGGAGCCCAAAGTTGCCAGGCACCATCTGTAGTTTATAGTTCAATAGGACTTGCTGTGCCCCTAGTGGAAGTGTTTCCCTTTTGGAAACAAGGCCTTTTAAACTATTTATAGATTTCAGATGTGGAACAAAAGCATAAGTGTCCCCAAGTGAGTCAAGGGGAGAGATAATAACTTGGCCACTGCTGCTTCAAATCCTTGATTCCCAGACCCATGTATTGTTCCTACTGGGGAGACAATGAAGATGTTTGATTTAAAGTATATACTTCATCATAGAGGATCATATCTCAAAGCTGGTGCTTTGATTATGCTTTCAACAGGCCATTTCAAGGTTCTATCAGCTGGCAGCTTCTGGATGGTTTGGTAGGTAATGTGATCAGTTGGTCCTGTGGTCAGGGGCCTATTGTCATACCTCCTTTACTATAAAATGGGTTATCTGGTCTGATACAATGTTATGTGGGATCCTGTATCAGTGGATTCGAACTCCGTAAGTCCTCAGATAGTGATGCAGGAAAAACAAATGCATATCCAAATAAGTATTGATTCCCAGCATAATGGATCTGTACTCCTTCAGTAGAAGTAGGTCCAATGCAGTCAACTTGATACCTTATGTGCCAGTGGATCTGCTTGTGAGATAGTGTCATCTTGGAGGCTCAACATTGGCCTCTGGTCTCTGTTGCTTGCCAGGTTGGACATTCAACCAAGGCAGCATCCAGATCAATCTATATAAGTAGGAGACCATGCTGTTGGGCCTATGAATTATCTCCATCCTTGTTACCATAGCCATTTCAGTCATGTGGCCATTATGCCAGCACTGGGGTGGCCAGTGTTAGAGGCCAGATGCTGTCAACTGGCTGAGTCTTTTTCTCTATCTGGTTATGTAGTACCTTGCTAGTGGGAGTTAACATGTGCATCAAAGATCTTCACACTTTGTGCCCACCCCATTTATTCATTCACATGCCTCTACTCCTAGTCCTCTTTGTACCTGATCTACCCATCTTTCTTCTCACCTCTCAGACTCTGTCAAGCCACTACCTATGAGTTCATATATATTCTAATCATAAGCCACTTCTTTTTCCACACAAGGAAGATGACCATCCAAAATTCTTCCCATGGGGAGGACTTTTTCTCACCACTGTTTTTCAAGATGCTCTTTGAATAAGCTGTATTGTAGCTGTCATCCTTTTTTTTACCTACACACATGTACAGACCTTCATATCCATGAACCAAGCTCAGGCTTTTTCCTCCGCTCTAAGCTGGTCCTACGGGATCATATGGGGTCATATGGCTATAGATGTGCACTTAGGAATGCCATTAGTACAACAGTGATGGATGATGTGGAGTTTTGACCTTCTGATCACGTAGCTTCAGGGTATATCCATTATCATCTTATCATGAGTTGTTGCTAGGCACA
Source organism: Homo sapiens (assembly GCF_000001405.40). Taxonomy (NCBI): domain Eukaryota; kingdom Metazoa; phylum Chordata; class Mammalia; order Primates; family Hominidae; genus Homo; species Homo sapiens. The sequence continues at coordinate 66,206,829 of NC_000017.11, read as the reverse complement.
CTTGACCTCATGACTTGGTGGGTATGACAGAATATAGCTGGTGATGGGCAGCTGTAACTGCCTGGTCACTTGGTGCCAAGCATCTAGTATATTAGAAATTGTTTCTCAAGTGGCATCTAATTCTCCACTGTAGATGAGATGGCCCTGCTTTTTAGTCTTCTTAGATCTAGAAGAGTTCTTCCATTTTTCTTCCTCCTTTCTTACAATCTATATATATTTGAGATGGAGTCTTGCTCTGTTGTCCTGGCTGGAGTACAGTGGTGTGATCTCACTCACTGCAACTTCTCCTGCCTCAGCTTCCCAAGTAGCTGGGATTACAGGTGCCCACCACCATGCCTATTTAATTTTTTTTTTTTTTTTTAGTTGAGACAGGGTTTCACCATGTTGGCCAGGCTAGTCTTGAACTCATGACCTCAAGAGATTTGCCCACCTTGGCCTCTCAAAGTGCTGGGATGACAGGGGTGAGACACTGTGCCCCCTCACAATCTTAATATTTTTAAAGAGTAGAGGACAATCATTTGGGTTTGTCTGAAGTTATGTTATGACGCGATTTCAGTTGTATTGTTGCCGGGATTACAAGAGAAGTGAGATTGTAATCTTCTTAGTGCATCATATCAGGAAGTACATGATATCAATTTATGCCATTACTATTGGTAATGTTAACTATGATTACTTGGCTAGAAATCTGATGTCTGCCAGATTTCTACATTGTAATCTTACTATATTGTCCTTTGTAATTAATTAATCAGTATCTCATGGGGAGATACTTCACAACTATGTGGATATCCTGTTTTTCATCAAATTTTCATCCAGTAATTTTAGATTTTTACCTAAATCAATTGTTTTTGTGATGGTTGCCAACAAGTAATTTTTAAATTTATCACTCCTTCTACATTTATTATTTCTCATTCTGCTGTAAGGGAGTACTTTCCCATTTCCCCAAATTAATTAGTTAATTAATATTAGTGTGAACACATGGATCCTTATTCAGTGAGTTATGATTCACTAATATAATTAATTATTTTGATGCTTGAGTTGTCACAGAATTGATCAGTGGGAGCCACTTCAAGTGGCTCATGTGTCTTTTTGATATGTCTCCATATCCTTTGGGTACTTCCTAATTTTATTTAAAAAACAAATTTTTTTTTTTGAGACAGCGTTTCTCTCTTGTTGCCCAGGCTAGAGTGCAATGGTGCGATCTTGGCTCACCACAACCTCCGCCTCCCGGGTTCAAGCAATTCTCCTGCCTCAGCCTCCCGAGTAGCTGGGATTATAGGCATGCGCCACCACACCCAGTGAATTTTGTATTTTCAGTAGAGATGGGGTTTCTCCATGTTGGTCAGGCTGGTCTTGAACTCCCGACCTCAGGTGATCCGCCCGCCTCGGCCTTCCAAAGTGCTGATATTACAGGTGTGAGCCACCGTGCCCGGCCCAGGACTCTGAATTCCTTCTTTGTACTTTTCTGAATTTTGTATTATCCTTTTGTATTCCTTCTTTGTATTATCCTGACTTTTGAGGAAGCTCAAAACAGCTATTTTGAATTCTCTGTAGGAAAGGTCACATATCTCTCTCTTTAGGATAGGTCACTGTTGCCTTATTTAGTTCATTTGGTGAGGTCATGTTTTCCAGCATGGTTTTGATGCTTATGGATATTAATTGTTGTCTGGGCATTAAAGAGTTAGGTATTTATTGCAGTCTTTGCAGTCTGGGCTTGTTTGTTGGGAAGGCTTTCCAAGTATTCAAAGGCAATCGAGTGTTGTGATCTAAGTCTTTGGTCACTGCAACAATATGTGCACTAGGAGAACCCTAAGCCCAGCAATGATGACTCTTGCAGAGCTCTTAAGGTATCACTTTGGTGGTCTTAAGTAAGATCCAAGAGAATTCCCTGGATTACCAGGCAAAGACTCTTGCTCTCTTCTCTTATTTTCACCCAGACAGAGTCTCTTTCTCCATGCTGAACTGCTTGGAGCTGGGTGACACAAGCAGCCTTGTGGCCTCAACAACTGGGACTGTACTAGGTCAGACCTGAAGCCAGCACGGCACTGGGTCTTGCCTGGCTACCGTCTGTTGTTCACTCAAGGCCTAAAGGCTCTTTAGTCAACAGGTGGCGAATCCAGCCAGGCTTGTGTCCCTCCCTTCAGGGTGGTGAGCTCTCCCTAAGCCCAGGGCAGGTCCAGAAATGCTGTCTGGGCAGGGCCTGGACTTGGGAACGTTAGGAATCTACCTGGTGCTCTTTCCACTGCGCCTGAGCTGGCACCTAAACCGCAAGATGAAGTCCTTCCTACTCTTCCATCTTCTTCCCTCAAGGAGAAGGAGTCTCTCCCCCTAGTCACCACAATCCCAGGCCTGCAGTGATCACTGCCTGGCTACCAGTGATGTTCACTCAAGGCCCAAGAGCTCTTCAGTCAGCTTGTGGTGAAGGCTGCCAGGCTTCAGTCTCTTCCTTCATGCACTGGGCACTGTGCTCCCCTCTGGCTCAGAGCAAGTCCAGAAATGCCACTCAGGGGCCAAGGCCTGGAATCAGGGACCCCAGGATCCTGCTTTGTGCTCTATCCCACTATGGCCGACTTGGTACCCAAGCTGCAAGACAAAGCCCCTTTACTCTTTCCTCTCCTTTCCTCAAGTAGAAGGAGTCTCTCCCTGTGACCACCACAGCTGGAAATGTGCTGGGTCACACCTGAAGTCGGCATGGCGCGGGATCTCACTCAAGTCTTGTGGTGAGTACTGCCTGGCAACTGGTGGTGTTAATTCAAGTCCGAGGACTCTTGGATCATCCGGTAATGAATCCTGCCTGAACCGGTACTTCTCTTTAAGACAGTGGCTAGAGTGTGTCAAGAAACGTTGTCCAGCAGACAGGGCCTGGAACGGGGGCCTCAGGATTCAGCCTGGTGCCCTATTCTACTGTGACTGAGCTGGAATGCAAGTTGCAAGACAAAGTTCTCTTTACCCTCCTCTCTCCTCTCCCCAGGCAGAAGGAAGTAGTCTCTCCTGGAGCTGCAAGCTGTGCTGCCTGAGGTCGTGGGAGGGGTAACACAAGCACACCCTTGGCCACCCCAGCTGGTGTCTCACAGGTTGTGTGCACAAAAAGACCACTGGCTCCAGCTCAGCACAGCACTAGGACTTGCCTAGGAATTTCAGTCCTTGTGGCCTAGACCACCTTTCAAGTTTATTTAGGACCCCAGAGCACTTTACCCCATGGTAGTGGGGCTAGTTGGAACTCAAGTTCTGTCTGGCTGCTGGGATGGATGATTCTTTTCCAGCTAGGGCTGGTCTAAATGCTCCCTCGTGGTTACTAGGTGAATTCTGCCCTGTGTGGCTTTCTGCTGTGACAGACAGCACTGAATTCCAATGCAAAGTCCAACAAACAGTTCACACTCCCTCCCCCAAGCACACAGATTCTCCCTCTGCACCACATGGCCACTGATGGGGAAGAGCGAGGGGTGGTGTCGACAACTCGAGATTGTCTTTCCCAGCCTCTTCAATGCCCCTTTCCTTGATATAATTTTAAAGCCAGGTACAGGGATTTTTGGTTATGACGGTGCTTTTTTGCATGGATGGTTGTTCTATTTGGTGTTCCTGTGAGGGGGATGATCACTGGAGGTCTCTATGTGGCCATCTTGCTCCACCACTTCTTTTTTTTTTTTTTTTTTTTGAGGCGGAGTCTCACTCTGTAGCCAGGCTGGAGTGCAGTGGCACGATCTCGGTTCACTGCAGCCTCTGCCTCCTGGCTTCAAGCAATTCTCCTGCCTCAGCCTCCCCAGTAGCTGGGACAACAGGTGTGCACCACCATGCTTTTGGTTAAAACACAATACTCCAAGCTTGTCATAATTTGTAAACCTCAGCTTTCTAAACCTCAGCCATTTCCCCAATGAACTGAAGATAACGGTGTTTAGAAATGAAGGTCTGGGCCGGGCGTGGTGGCTCACGCTTGTAATCCTAGCACTTTGGGAGGCTGAGGTGGGTAGATCACGAGGTCAGAAGATCGAGACCATCTTAGCTAACACGATGAAACCCCGTCTCTACTAAAAATACAAAAAATTAGCCGGGCATGGTGGCGGGCGCGGTGGCGGGCGCCTGTAGTCCCAGCTACTCTGGAGGCCGAGGCAGAAGAATGATGTGAACCGGGAGGCGGAGCTTGCAGTGAGCCGAGATTTCACCACTGCACTCCAACCTGGGTGACAGAGTGAGACTCCGTCTTAAAAAAAAAAAAAGAAATCAAGGTCTGCATTGTGTCTGGGTGTAGTGCTCATTGATACAGAGGCATCACTGCTTCTAGGTCTTCTTCAACAGACAGAGCTAGGAAATACATACACATATTTATGTACACATGCACTACTCATATACACAATAATTAGGTCTGCATTTTGATAGCACCAGATAGTCAGCATGCCTAACTTTGACACCTCAGCACTTCTGTTTTAAACCCTTAGCACTTTTCCAACACTCCTCCCTTCCCCAGCCTATTCTACAAAGAAGCTCCTGGGATATGGCAAGTTTGTTGAAGGTTGTGTTTTGTGCCATTTTGTTCACTGGAAGGCATTTTAGGGGGCTGGATAGGTTTGGATCACTGAAAAATAATCAGAGCAGACTTTAGAGCTTAGACGATAGTCCTGATTCCTCTCATTTAATCGTATTTTCACAGAAATAAAAATCTGCTATTTTTGTAATTGGAAGAGGCAATTTGGATTTGAGGAGTCCATCGGTAGAAACTGCCCAATTGCAGCCCCTCTATTTAGTGATTATGTGGTCTATTTTGTGCCATAAGTAGATTCCCTTTTTCAAGTGTTTTTCTTCTTAAATGCTTTGATCACCAGGTTGCCTGTCATCACAGTTGTGCCGTACCCTCCCTAGCCATAGTTTGCGGTGATCTCCCCCTACTGGAGATGGTACAGGAAGTACTAACCGCCACAGGTAGCCTAGTGAAGAAAGAACCACAACCATAAGGAGCTGGTTATCATCCTCCTTTTTTTTTTTTTTTTTTGAGATGGAGTCTCGCTCTGTCTCCCAGGCTGGAATGCAGTGGCGCAATCTCGGCTCACTGCAAGCTCCGCCTCCCGGGTTCACGCCATTCTCCTGCCTCAGCCTCCCGAGTAGCTGGGACTACAGGTGCCCGCCACCACGCCCAGCTAATTTTTTGTATTTTTAGTAGAGACGGGGTTTCACCGTGTTAGCCAGGATGGTCTTGATCTCCTGACCTCACGATCCGCCCGCCTCGGCCTCCCAAAGTGCTGAGATTACAGGCGTGAGCCACTGCGCCCCGCCCATCCTCTATTTTTGCACAGTTGAACTGAATCTTCCCAAAGTAATATTACTCACCTAGCAATCATAGACTAAATGAACTCTATACTATATAACTGTAACTCTACAAATGCATATAACTATATAACTATACACTCTATAAATGCACATGGCTAGGGAGGTCTTCTTCCAAGACAAGTTGGTCCCTGAAGGTGCTTCTCAATGACCGTCTTTTTTCTCTTGGTTTATGGCAGGACGGCGTTCTAAATGCAAAGGAATCAATGTTTTCACGTATCTCTTATGCTATATTTCTGCAAGAAGTTTATAACATAATTCTCTCGTTTCTAATACATGGACCAATCTTTCAATATATAGGATCTCTTTCCTGTGCCCCAAACTTAATAATAAGTACTATTCCTCAGTGACATTTCCTATCTATTAACCTGAGGATCATTCCCTGCTTTAATCTCTCAATAAAAGATTAAAAAGATAAAAGAAAGAAAGAAAAGGAAAGAAAACAACTTGAGCTGTGTGCATGTGTGTGCCAGTATGCCTGTGTGTGGGTGTGTATGTGGTTGCTGTGCAAATATTTGTTGCTTTTGTGTGAGTGTGAGTATATATGTGGTATGTGTGGCATGCATGTGGATTTGTGTATGTGGTTTGAGTGTGTGTGCTTTGTGTATGTGCCCATGCGTATGCATGTGAGTGTGTGTGTGTGTGTGTGTGTGTGTCTGCGCATGCACGTGCACATGATAATTAGTTCTTTGTGTGCCATTGCTGCCTCCTAGTGGCATCTATTCCTTTCCAAAGTGCTGGCAAAACAGTTGGGAAAGAAAAGAAGCCCTCATATTGAAGTTTCCTGTGTCAGGCACTGGGTACATTTTTCTACATATCTCACCTCTGTTAATTCAATCTCCCCAATCATCCCATAAGGAAAATAAATAAACTGAAGCTCAGGAAGATTATGTAACTTAGTTTACCGAGGTCACAAAGCTAATAAATGACAGAACCAGATATCTAAACTTCAGAATGATTTCTTTCGTACCATTTTTATACTGCTAGTTAAGCTATGATTTTTCCCAGTAGCTTCCTGGAAATATTTGCATTCTAAAGTTGGAGTTTTACAGCCTACTCCTGAAACAAGTTGGTAGAAAAGATTGTTGTATATTCAAGGCTTGGAAGTATCCTAGGTTGCTAGTTTTTATGGATACTGGCTAGGGCATTATGGCAATATGTATATCACTGAAGGGAAGGGAGAAAGAGTAGCCAGTTTATCTCTGTTAATATCCTATAGCATGAATTGCCCAAGAGGCTAAGATAGAAAAAGCAGCAGAAGGAGGAATGAAATGGTGAATATTGCTTAGTTCTAGCATAAGGAAGAAATCCAAAGTCACTGTGCTAAAGGCAGTGACTCTTTTCTTAGTAGTGAAAAAAAGAAAATATGCCTCCTCATTCTTAGTTTCTGCAATCTTTATACTGTATTTATTTATTTATTCTATTAAAAAAATAGAGACAGGGTCTCGCTATGTTGCTTAGGCTGGTCTGAAACTCCTGGGCTCAAGTAATCTGCCTTCCTCGGCCTCCCACAGTGTTAGGATTACAGGCGTGAGCCGCTGTGCCTGGCCTATAATGCATTCATTTGTGGTATAATCTATACTTCTGTGGTCTGTAAATAGAAAGTTCTGCATTACTTACCATTCAGTTTAAGGAATTTACCAGGTACAGGATTGTTTTCATATTTGTCTCTAATGTGTTTATATAATAATTACAATTCTTGGTATTTACAAATTGTTTTCCATCTAGATAGCTAAAAGTCATTTACATTTTTCACTCTAATGATGGAGTATCTTAATAATGCAAAATGGTGAATCACGGAAATTTGATTGCTTTGAATGTTAGCTTATGCATATTGCTAATTTTGAAACAATAAATTAAAAATATGGAAGATACTTATATCTGTCTAATATATCCATATAACTATATATAAAGTTCCACAAAAATAGATAAAGGACAAAAGAGATACTTTGCAGAAGAATAAAAGACTAATAGAGATATTTAAATATTTCAACTTCTCTAATAGTGAAAAATGCAAAGTAAAAAGGGATGCTTTTTTTTTTTACACACAATTAGCACAGATCTAAAAAACCATTAATGTGAGACAGTCATTCGCACAGACCATTGAGTGAAGTTGCAATTTGAAAAATACTTCCAGTAAGTGATTTGGCAGTACTGATCAAAAGCCTTAATGCTTTTATAATGCCCATAAGAATATCTTTTATGGAGAGAGCTAAAATTTCAACCAAGATGTATATAATCAAAGGCATTCATTGCAACATTATTTATAAGGGCAAGAATTGGTAAACACAGGAGAGTAATTGAGAAAATTATCATATCCATATGATGACATAATAAGTAGATATTAAAAATGATAATATAGATATAAAAATTTGAGTAAATATATACAAATGTTAATAGTAGTTATTACTTAATGGCAGGATTGCACATAAGTCTTTTCTTCTTTAAACTTTCCAGTATTTTTCAATTTCCTTATAAGGGAAATGAAACTTTGAAACCATGAAAACTTTTTACTTTTAATTTTTAATTTTATTTATTTATCTTTTTGAGACGGAGTTTCGCTCTTGTTGCCCAGGCTGGAGTGCAATGGTGTGATCTTGGCTCACTTCAAACTATGCCTCCCAGGTTCAAGCGATTCTCTGGCCTCAGCCTCCTGGGTAGCTGGATTACAGGCATGTGCCACCATGCCCAGCGAATTTTGTATTTTTAGTGGAGACGGGGTTTCTCCATGTTGGTCAGGCTGGTCTCGAGCTCCCGACCTTGGGTGATCCACTCGCCCTGGCCTCCTAAAATGTTGGGATTACAGGCATAAAAAAGCTATTTAATACACGTTTTACTTTTTCTGCTCTTTCTTTACATCACTCTTTTCCTTATCTTTATCTTTCCCCTTGTCAGCTTTTCTATCTTTTTGCTCTCTTTTTTCTCCTGCCCTTCTTTCTTGTCTCCATCCTGGTTGGCAATCTTGTTGTTGATGAGGTTGTGCAGGGCGACCACAGAATGGATCAGTGAGGCCCACAGAATGGATCAGTGAGGCCAAGTACACTACCACCATCTGGTCATTGGTCCTCAGGTAAAAGGCTTTAATAGGCTCCTGCAGGCTAACATCTGGCAGCAGGTTGAAGACGTCCTGCAGCTCGTAGATGATCTGGTGGTTGATGCGCAGCTTGCCTGTGGCTACTTTTTCCAGGTAGCTCCTGATATCCAGAAGCTTGGAGTTCGGTCCCTTCAAACCATGGACCCGGTTTGTGATCCGCTGGGACAGAGTGCCCACCGTTGTGTTGTGTCTTTGATGTCTCGTAACAAGTGTTCAACTCCAACTTCCTCAGCTTACTCTGCTCCAATTTCACTGGTCACATGTTCAAATGTTTTCAAGGTTGGAGTTCCATCATCTTGGATTTCTTCCACTGAAATGTATGCTTCTGTGGGCAGCCCTAGGTCCTTTGGATTCACGTCAATAATGATCAATACCGAGTTAGGATAGTATCTTTTCATGAGTTCATTGATGGTAATGCCATTCTTGTGTATTTTCAGGCCTGTGTGGTACCAGCCAACTATTCTTTCTCTGGCATTGACTTTCTTAAACATTCCATACATGTTTTCCAAATAATCATGGTCTAAAAACCACATAGAATTGTCTTTGTCATCTTCATCAAAAGGAACTGCAAAACTGTTCAATACATCAAGTACTTTCTTTTGCCATGACCCCCAAAACAGACCAATGACGCATTTCTGGATTCCAACCTTGCCGATTCGGTTGAAATGATCCACCACGCTGAGCAGCACCGGGGATGGCCCACCACCTTCTGTACTACCAGCTCTGGCATCGAGACACACCTCGCCCAGGCCTGGCTCCCTGCTACCTGCAAACACCGGCAGCGGTAGTGATTTCCCTGGGGCTCCATCAGGCCCAGGCTCTTCTTCCCTCAGCAAAACAAAAAACCCAAATAACAGTGGCTTAAACAAACAACGGTAATCTCTAGGTCTCCCACTATAGTTACTTTAATTTTATGGAGCAAGAGTTTAAATTATACAGATTGGCCGGGTGCGGTAGCTCATGCCTGTAATCCCAGCACTTTGGGAGGCCAAGGCGGGTGGATCACCTGAGGTCGGGAGTTCGAGACCAGCCCGACCAACATGGAGAAACCCTGTCTCTACTAAAAATACAAAAAATTAGTCGGGTGTGGTGGCACATGCCTGTAATTCCAGCTACTGGGGAGGCTGAGGTAGGAGAATCGCTTGAAGCTGGGAGGCGGAGTTTGCAGTAAGCACGCCATTGCACTCCAGCCTGGGCAACAAGAGCAAAACTCTGTCTCAAAAAAAAAAAAAAAAAAATATATATATATATATATATACACACATACATATCTATACAGATCATCAGATTTAATCCTTCAAGATACAGATTAGTTCAAATTACAGACGAATAATTATCTTTCTAATTAATAAAAGCTCACATTTTCCTATTGATTTTTTCTGTAGAGAATAATTGAATTCACATTGTTCAATGTCATCTAGACTAATTCTTAAGTTTATATTTTGAAAATAAGCAGATCCCTTTCAACATGGGAAGTATAGCACAGTTATCTTCCCACACAGAAAATAAAAACAATTATTTTTAGGGTCCTCTTTGTACTACCATTATCAACAATGTCACCATTTGATTTTTAAAAATTGAGATAAGATGTCATTTGTTTTTGAAACAAACCTACTTTCATTTAAGTCATTTGTAGCTGTTAGGAAACAATATTTTCAATAGAAATAGTGTTTCAATGTCACTCTCTTTTTATCAAAGATAAAACAAGGTTCTGTATATATTTTCCTATGCTGACTTTATAAGCACAGCACGGTGTTTTCTTTATTTCCTCTCTATCCCAAAACGTGATTTATATCTTTTTTTTTTTTTTTTGAGACAGAGTCTCACTCTGTCACCCAGGCTGCAGTGCGGTGGTGCGATCTTGGCTCACTGCAATGTCTGCCTCCTGGGTTCAAGCAATTCTCCTGCCTCAGCTTCCTGAGTAGCTGGGATTACAGGTGCCCACCACCAAGCCTGGCTAATTTTTGTATTTTTAGTAGAGATGGGGGTTTCACCATGTTGGTCAGTCTGGTCTCGAACTCCTGAGCTTGTGATCCGCCCACCTCGGCCTCCCAAAGTGCTGGGATTATAGGCGTGAGCCATCGCGCCCAGCTGCATTATTTATATACCTTTTAAGCCAGGTGACATAATCTGAGTTGAAATGTGGTTATTTGGTATTTGTCTTATTACCTCCTACTATCTCATAAATTTTTGGAGGGTAGAGACTTATCTTTTTTCTCATAAGTCCAGAATCTTTGTTGTAGTTAGAACCATTTGGGTTTACCCATCAGTTCAGTCCTCTGAGAAAATAACCCCAAACCCTCTCCCCAAAGTGCAAAGATGAGCTAAGAAAGTCATGTTTATACAATAGGATGCCCTATCTCCTGGCCATATCTCATTGGACTAATTGTGCTTACCTGATTCAAATTAGATCACTCAGTTTCACTCTCCGTAGCAAGAGATTTATATTCAGAAAAGTTAGTCTTCCGGGTTTCTAGACTGGAAGCTTTATGCATAGGGTGGTCATATTCTACCACATGTGCAGAGAAAAGCACGAAAATTAATGTTCATTCATTTGGTGATTCAGTGAACATTTATGGATTGTTTCTATATGGTAGGTACCCTGCAAGGTGCTGTCTGTGCAATGGTGAACCTAACAGGTATCGTCTTCATTCTTTTGGAAACTATAGGCATTTTTAAAAGATTACACCTGGGTTGGGTGCAGTGGCTCACACCTGTAATCCCAACACTTTAGGAGGCAGAGGTGGGTGGATCACTTGAGGTCAGGAGTTCAAGATCAGCCTGGCCAACATGGTGAAACCCCATCTCTACCAAAAATATAAAAAATTAGCTGGGTGTGGTGGCACGCGCCTGTAATCCCAGCTACTCTGAAGGCTGAAGCAGTAGAATTGTTTGAACCCGGGAGGTGGAAGTTGCAGTGAGCTGAGATCACACCACTGCACTCCAGTCTGGACGACAGAGCGAGACTCCGTCTCAAATAAATAAATAAATAAATAAATAGATTCCACTAATTAATATTTGATGACAAATTTTGATAAATGCAATGAAGAAAAGAGAACCAGGGGATTTGAAAGGAAATAAGGGCTGGTTTGAGAATCAGTGAAGGCCTCTCTGAGGTACTGATATTTAAGCTAAGGTGAAGAGCAAAGTGTCATAGCATTTCCAGTGGAGGAAACATTCCCTTAATATGCCTGCATATACCTGATGTTCAATAAATGTACATTGAGTTGGAAGATTATTATCTTTATGCAGTAACTAGACGTAGAAGGAAAATTCATTGATTACCATAGGTGTTTGGCCATAAAACATTTATAAGACACTGCATTTTTTAGGCCACATAAGCCTGGAGCTACACTACAACAGTGACAAGAGAATATATATATATATATATATATATTTTTTTTTTTGAGACAGAGTCTCGCTATGTCGCCCAGGCTGGAGTGCAGTGGCACGATCTTGACTCACTGCAAGCTCTGCCTCCCGGGTTCATGCCATTCTCCTGCCTCAGCCTCCCAAGTAGCTGGGACTACAGGCGCCCACCACCACGCCTGCTAATTTTCTTTTTTGTATTTTTAGTAGAGATGGGGTTTCACCGTGTTAGCCAGGCGGGTCTCGATCTCCTGACCTCGTGATCCGCCTGCCTCGGCCTCCCAAAGTGCTGGGATTACAGGCGTGAGCCACCACGCCTGGCCGACAAGAGAATATTTACCTGGCTTCATCCTTGAGGTTCCTGAATAGGCTCTGAGTTCAGCAATTTCTTCCCAAATATTTGTAGAGGTCCCCAGGGTGAGTCACATGGGTGCTCTGTGTATGATGGAACTACCCTATCATAGTGCTCTGTCTCTGACTGAGCTACTTGGGAGGCTGAGGTGGGAGGATTGCTTGAGCTCAGGAGTTGGAGGCTGTAGTGAGCTATGATCATGCCACTGCACTCCAGCCTAGGTGACAGAGCCAGGCTCTGCCTCTAAAAAAAGAAAAAAGAAAATTCTCAAAGGAAGTTCTTTACACTGTAAGATTAGGAATCACTCTCTTATACAAAGAGGAAGATGCTACATGAAGGGCAACTCACGGCCAACACTTTGCTTCATGCATCATCACTTTCCCCTTCAATTTTGCATATTGCCATTGAACCAGATCTCTTTAGGATGACTTACTTTTTCTTTTTTTTTTCGAGATAGAGTCTCACTCTGTTACCCAGGCTAGAGTGCAGTGGCGTGATCTTGGCTCACTGCAACCTCCACCTCCTGGGTTCAAGCGGTTCTCCTGCCTCAGCCTCCTGAGTAGCTGGGATCACAGGCGTCTGCCACCACACCTGCTAATTTTTGTATTTTTAGTAGAGACGGGGTTTCACCATATTGGCCAGGCTGGTCTTGAACTCCTGACCTCATGATCCACCTGCCTCAGCCTCCCGAAGTGCTGGGATTACAGGCATGAGCCACCATGCTCAGCCAGGATGACTTAATTTCTAGGAGGTTCCTTGGTTCTCAGGTAAGGAGTTTCCAAGTGAAACTTGCCTACCAGTCGTCTAAACATGACATGTAGGCTTGAGTTCTAAGGTGAACACAGCTCAGGCTCAAGCTGGTATCCCTTTCATGTTATATACATATAACATAAATAATAAAACTCTCTATGCATATCTTAATATTTTTATTTGCATGTGTGTGTATATATGAATGAAAAATATATAAATGAAAATGATATATATAAATGAAAAAAATGACAATCAGCTTGTTCTTAAAAGCGGGAAGGGAGATCTACTCATCTTATTTTCACCTAAGTAGAGGAAATATTTAAAGACATTTTTCATTTTCAGTTATATTTTTCTGCTATAGTTATTTCCTCTGAGATGAGCTTGAGCTTGTTACATTTTTTCTTTGATTTATCTTCTATTTATTTATCTTCTATTTTTCTTTTCATGTTTATTTAGACACCATTTGTCAAATTCATTTCATATTCTTTCAGCAATGCAGTTTATGATTCTAAAAATTGCATATATTTATTATGCACAACATTGTGAAATGACTAAGTCAAGCTAATTAACATAAGCGTTGCTTCACATACTTATTAATTTTGTGATGAGAACACTTAAGATGTACTCTTTTAGCAATTTTCAAGAACACAATACATTATCATTTACTATGGTCACCACGTTGTAAAATAGATCGCTTAGACTTATTCCTCCAATCTAACTTAAATTTTGTTTCCTTTGACCAATGTCCTCCTCCTCCTGAGGCTGGAGTAGGGTAGTTTATCTTTTTTTTTTTTTTTGAGTCTCGCTCTGTCGCCCAGGCTAGAGTGCAGTAGCGCAATCTCGGCTCACTGCAACCTTTGCTTCCCGGGTTCAAGCAATTCTCCTGCCTCAGCCTCCCGAGTAACTGGGATTACAGCCGTGTGCCACCACGCCTGGCTAATTTTTTGTATTTTTAGGAGAGACAGGGTTTCACCGTGTTAGCCCGGATGGTCTCGATCTCCTGACCTCCTGATCCGCCCACCTTGGCCTCCCAAAGTACTGGGATTACAGACGTGAGCCACCCCGCCCGGCCAGTTTATCTATCTTGAATGTATTAACTGACTGGTTAAATTCCTGCAATTGCATGCTTGATTTTGCATCCTTGATTCTCAGTACTAATTATCTGGATTATATATCATTCCCTAGTTATAAACATGTTCAAGTATGCTTTTGAAAACTAAACATTCTTAAAAGCATTCTGTACCCTTTATTTTCCTTAGCATGATTTGTCTTTGAGACAAGGAAGAGCTAGCTGTTGGTGTTTACTTCCAGTGAGATAGGTTTTAAAAAGAACCTTTTGAAGAATTTGACTTGGGTTTTGATATATCAGAGAGTGAGGAAATTTTCACTTGAGACCCATTCAACTCTGATGTCTGTCCACATAACGGATCACCCCTTTTGTGAACATCCTCCAGCCGCCCCATTTTCTGTGCCCTTATTTTTTCGCCACGGCCCCTAAGGTGATCATAAGCGACTCTGCGCGGGATGCGGGAGGGCAGCAGCATTCAAACTGTGGTCGGGTTATCCCGGAAGCTTCGACTGGGGACCCGCCAAGGGGCCCACAAGCTGGGGTGCGAGTCTGGCGGTTGCTGGGCCAGCAGGAGCGTCGCCATGGCAACGGGGCCGCGCGCACGCCGCCACCTGTGGGTGGAGAAATGCCCGCGCGGAAGTCTCCGCCCCCAGCCTGGGGCGCCGGTGGTCGCCGCCGCCGGGAACGTCGCCATGGCAACCGCACCGCAGGCTAGAGGGGTGGAGTAGGGGGCGGGGAAATGCGAGCGCGAAAGTCCCCGCCCCCGGGCTGCTGGGCGGCGGCGACCCAGCGGCCCGCAAGGATTTGAAACCGTTTGGCAGGGGCGGCGGTGGCGGCGGCGTTGGCGGCAGCGGCCGAGCGGAAAGCTTGCGTGTGGTGGTGCCAGGTTCTCGTTTTTTTCTGAATTTCCTTCCCCCGCCCCTCCCACCAGGTTCTTGAGTGGAATTTTGCGCCGGTGGCTGCCGCCCCGCCCTTGCGGGCCCGTTCGGGAAGGGGCGTCGCCCTCAGGCCCTGGGCCCGTTCTCCGGGCCTGGGGGGCGCGCGCCCCTGGGGTCCCGGCGCTGCCCGCTGTGGTGTCCCCGGCAGGCAGAGCGCGATCCAGGCCGGGACGACTTGGGAAAGTTCTAAGTAAAGTTTGATCAGCCGGTTTGATCGGTCTGACGTGGTCCAAGAGTCTGACCCAAGGGTTTGCGACTGGGAGAGGAAATCTGTGTCCTGGACAAGGTAGGAGCGCGGCCTGGGCCTGGGCCTCGGCGGGCCGAGGAAGGGACTGCCAGGAACGGCACCGCTGGAGTTTTCAATTCCGTCCCAGAAAAGAGTCTCAGAACAATCAGCTGGATTTGCGGGGACAGAACCAGGGCGCTGGTTGGTTTGCAGAAAGTCATAGGCCGCTTGGAGAGGCCCAAGCCCAGCACCGCCGCATGTAGGATGCTACCCTGTGTTTCTGAGTTAATTATTTTTAAGTGTTCAAGAGAACGACATAAGTAAATGTGAACAGCTTTTCTGATCATTGCACGGCTACTTTTATTTGTTTTTAATATTTTAAGATGAGTCAAAATAAGATAGAAAAGGCACATTAAATTCCATGAGCCTCTCCACAGTGGTCAGGCTGCAGCTTAGTGGAATGCATGGTATTAATAATTTGTGCAGTGTTCAGGCCCAGCTGTCACTGTCCACTAAGAACCTAGGTCAGTGACTTCACCTCACTTAAGCCTCAGCTTCCTTCTTCCTCTGTGAAATGACCATGGAAATGGTGCGGAAATGGTAGGGCCGGGCCAGAGAATAAACTGAGATTTGTTTCTAAAGCACACACTGAGCTACGGGTAGAGTCAGGGAAGGCTCTTGTCAAAACATCCACACGTGTAAGCCAGAGAAAACGTGCACCTCTAATCCTTTTTAATTTGTCGACGTTTCCAGTTTTCTTTAATGACCCACAATATATTTAAAATATGATTTGATTGAACAAAATGGGTTTTACACAACTTCCAAGAACGTTTGTTTTGTTTGGCAAGGAGTGTGATATGAATGAAGTGTATTCTTTGCTTGGCAGTTGTGACTCCTTTTTTTCCCAGACCTTTTAATACTTGTGGTTTGGTTATGTTTGCTGACTGTAGGGTAGGTAAGCCCATTTTGTAGCTGTCCAAAAAGAAGTTTAAAAAAAGGCAGCATGGGTGAGTTTAATAAAAGACATGATCCAAATATAGATTGTAGCTATAAGCAAGAGTCACCCAATTTACTTCTTTTTTACCTTTGGAATTATTTATTTTTTTGAGACAGTCTTGCTCTGTGGCCCAGGCTGGAGTGCAGTGGTGCAAACTCAGCTCACGCTCACTGCAACGTCCGTCACCTGGGTTACCTTTGAAATAATTTATATAACTGATAGGCACACTATAATTACTCTAAGCCTAAGCCAAAGATGTTGCTTTACTTATTTTTCAATTCCAGTAATTTAAATTTTCAATTCTGATAAATGGTATGAAACTTTTGATAAGTTGGAACTTAGATACAATTTGTGAATATGATGTAATTTGTTTTTAAATTATTTATTTTTCATTTTCAATTTTTTTTTTTTTGAGACGGAGCTTTGCTCTTGTCACCCAGGCTGGAGTGCAGTGGCATGATTTCAGCTCACTGCAACCTCTGCCTCCCAGGTTCAAGCGATTCTCCTGCCTCAGCTTCCTGAGTAGCTGGGATTACAGGTGCCTGCCACCATGCCCGGCTAATTTTTGTGTTTTTAATTGGCCAGGCTTGTCTCGAACTCCTGACCTCAGGTGACCCTCCCGCCTCGGCCTCCCAAAGTGCTGGGATTACAGGTGTGAGCCACTGCACCCGTTCCATTTTCAGGTTTTTTGAGACAGGGTCTCACTTTATTGCTCAGGCTGGAGTGCAGTGGTGTGATCTTGGCTCATTGCAGCCTTGACCTCTTGGGCTCAAGTGATCCTCCCACCTCAGTCTCCCGAGTAGCTGGGACTACAGATGCATGCTACCATGCTTGGCTAATTTTTGTATTTTTTTGTAGAGACAGGGTCTCACTATGTTGCCCAGGCTGGTCTTGAACTCCTGGGATCAAATGATCCACTCACCTTGGCCTCCCGAAGTGTTTGGATTACAGATGTGAGCCACCACACCTGGCCAATAAGATGTAATTTGTATAGCAATAATTCCTTGAAGGTTTGAAATGTTAGTTTTTTTGTTTCTTTTTCCATTTCTTTATTTTTTTGGAGAAAAATTAAGGGATAAGAAGAAGCAGATTTTTAGTTTTTACCAAATGTTACTTTGATTCTTTAGTTTTTTTTTTAAATGTATACTTCAATATTGCATGTCAATATAGCAATTCCAATTGCCTTTCTACTTTTCAAAATACTTTTTTTTTTTTTTTTGAGACAGAGTTTTGCTGTGTCACACAGGTTGAGTGCAGTGGCACCATCTCAGCTCACTGCAAACTCCGCCTCCCGGGTTCAAGCGATTCTCCTGCTTCAGCCTCCCTAGTAGCTGGGAATACAGGTGTGTGCCACTTTGCCCAGCTAATTTTTTTGGTATTTTTAGTAGAGACGGGGTTTCACCATGTTGGCCAGGCTGGTCTTGAACTCCTGACCTCAAGTTATCCGCCTGCCTCAGCTTCCCAACGTGCTGGGATTACAGGTGTGAGCCAACGCGCCTGGCCTTCAAAATACTTTTTAATTAGTTGGAGATATTGCTCACTTATATGTAAATGGCCAATATAATAAATCTGAGGGCTAGAGGTTTCAGAATTTTAATCTGAGCTTTGTGCTTGATTTCATGATTTTGAGTTAGTCATTTAATGGTTGAATTTTAGTTTCCTCTAATGTTAAACACTAACATTTCCTGCCCATGTCAAAGGATTTATTGAGAATTAGTGATTAGGAGGAATCTTTTTTATTTTGCTTTAGCTATAGATGTTCTCAGGCAAATGTTTGAGTACGTGGGCAGTATATAGTCTTTAAGCCCCGGAGTACATCTAGGCCAGAGCTGTGCTTTAAAACTCTGGGTTTATGATTTTCCATTGGTTTGTTCATCTATTTGAATTGTTGCTTTTCAACATTATGATCTCACATCCAGCACTGGTATCATAGCCTTCTGTTACCACGTGCATAACTGATGGAATATATTGTATACATGTAAAACAAAACCAACCAAACAAAAAATGATGAGTACCAGGTAATAAGCTAGGTACTTACTAAGATGTGTAAATCATGGTCCCTGCCTTCTAGGAGCTTCTCACAGATAATGGAAGATGTATGCATAATAATACACAGATGTGTAAAAAAAAAAAAAAACAGCATGATAAATGCTGTACACAGATGTGAACAGTTTACACTGAGAACAGAGCAACAGCCAGTCTAGGGCAAGGGGGGGCCAGCTTCACTCAGGTGACATTTGAGCTGCATTTACCTGACTCCAGGTGGAGGGAATAGCCTATGAAAAGGGGGTGGGATTAGATAAGGGCTCGGGGGTGGGGGGGGGTTTGACCATGGTGAGGAGTTCATTGTGGCAAGAGGGAAGTGGGCATTTGTGGGTTGGTGTAGTTAGGCAAAGTGTGTGTGTGTGTGTGTGTGTGTGTGTGTGTGTGTGTGTTTGTGTGTGTGGTGTGAGAGACAGGCCTAAATGCAAAGGTACTTGTATGCCTAACTTTGGGTTTGGATAGTATTCTGTTTTAGGCAGTCACGAGAGATTTTTAAACAGGAAGCTATAGGCTTAGCTTTGTCATTAGGAAACTCATTCTGGAGCAGGTGAGGAAAATGGACTCAAGTAGAGAAAACTGACAGTAGGGAGACAGATGATGAGGCTGCCGCAGTAGTTCAAATAAGTGGTAGGCAGGCCTCTATCTGAGATCGTGGCAGTGAGAATAGGGAAGCAGGCAGATTTTGAGATATTTCTCAGCATTTATTGATGTATTGGTTTATGGGGGTTCAGAGGATGGGAACATTGAAACTTCTAGCTTGGGAGATGAAGTAGATGATGATGTCATCAAGCAGAGTACATCATAGATTTATGGAGAAAAACATCAAGGATTGTTTTCTTGGACATATAAATCTAGATAATAAACAGGACATTAGTGAATAGGTCCAGGAGCTATTGTAAATGAGTCTGGAGTTGCAAAGAGAGGCTGGAGTTTGAAATAAAATTTAAGGGTGAATGGCATGAAACGAATACTTGAAGCGATGGTACTGAATACAATCACTATGCGAGTGTGAAAAGTCAGATCAAAAGGAGACTAAGGAAAGAGCACTGGAGAGTCCATATTGACTGGAGAAGCCAGAGCCATTGAGAGACCGAGAAGGAATGATCTGAGGCAGTAGGGGAGCCAGCAGTGAATGGAACCACTGAAGTCAAAGAAGAGTTTCTTAGGAGCAGGGAGTTGTCAGAAGTGGAAGATGCTGTGGAGATGTCAAATAGGATGCAAACTGAAGACAGCCCTTTGGATTTGGCAATTAGTGGATCACTGGTGAACTTTGAAAGATTTTTGCTACCATGATGGAGATAGAAGAGGTAATATACAGGGGGTGAGATCTGGATAGAAGTTGATGAAGTGGAGAAAGTAAGTGGATTTGGCGAATGGAATGCTAGAATGAGGGGAGATTTTTAAACAGGAAGTGATAGACTTAGCTTTGTCATTAGGAAACTCATTCTGGAACAGGTGAGGAAAATGGACTCAAGTAGAGAAAACTGACAGTAGGGAGACAGATGATGAGGCTGCCACAGTAGTTCAAGTTAAGTGGTGGGCAGGCCTCTATCTGAGATCGTGGCAGTGAGAATAGAGAAGCAGGCAGATTTTGAGATATTTCTCAGCTGCCATCAGAGGGGAAGGAGTGAGTGGAGATGGAAAATTTTACATAGCAAATAGGCAATTGATAGAGGACAGGTAGAGGGAGAGTTACTGCGTCTGATACAGGAGCAGAGGTGGAAGAGTGTTTTCTCTGAGAGGTAAGTTGAGAGGTGGGAGGAATAACATCTTGGGGTGGTACCACCTGACTATTATTTTTTCCCTGAAGCAAGATTTATGATTTTTAAATTGAGAGTTAGGAGAAGCTGGAGTTATTCAAGGGGCTGTAGGATATTTGGGAAAAGTTTTAAAGTTGCTTTGTGGAGTAGGAAATAGCAAGACTCCTGAGGGTTCAGGTAATGTTGGAAGCCATCTGACTATAAGGCAGTGCCATTTTTTCCCAGCAACCCTGTAGAGCATGAAGGAGGGCATCAAGGGATTGCAGCCTTGCCAAGTAGAAAGGAAAGATCTAGTGGAATAAGAAGAGAGCATTTAAGAGGACAAGAGGCAGCTGGGCATGGTGGCTCATGCCTGTAATCCCAGCACTTTGGGAGGCCGAGGCAGGCGGATCACGAGGTCAGGAGATCAAGACCAGCCTGGCTAACACGGTGAAACGCCGTCTCTACTAAAAATACGAAAAATTATCTGGGCGTGGTGGCGGGTGCCTACTCGGGAGGCTGAGGCAGGAGAATCCCTTGAACCCGGGAGGTGGAGGTTGCAGTGAGCCGAGATCGTGCCACTACACTCCAGCCTGGGTTACAAAGTGAGATTCTGTCTCAAAAAACGAAAGAAATAAACGAAACGAAAAGAAAAAAGAGGACAAGAGGCTAGTTTCAGACGGGTTTCTTTGCAAGATGACAGAGATGAGAAAGGGGAGTACATGGTAGTCAGATGGTTGGAGCGTTGAGCCTCATGAGGGATTTTGGGGCTGAGGGAGGAAGAGCAGTAGTTGGGAAGTGGCAGGATGGATCTTGGTAAGTGTTTTCCTTCCATTGCATGGTTGAGTGGAGAAAGTGAAAGACTACAGAGGATGCATGAGAGAGCGGGTGGGGAGAGAGAGAGAGAGAGAGAGAATGAGAGAGATTATGAGAGACCTTGGCTTACCTCTAATGACTGAGGAAAGTAAAGTCAGCAAGTAAAAGCTACGATTTACTTACAGAGACAGGGTAGAGAGAACTTTCTATGAAGAGGTTGTTAATGATGAAATGATGGAAACCATTTGATAATGTGGTAAATATTAGAAGCTGGTTTAGCAGATAGAGGGCAGTTTGTGGAGCAAGATAGCTTATGAGGCAGAACAAAGCTTTTCACCGAATATAGAATTTGTAAATGGAATAAATGACAAATTGGCACTATTCATAATGTAAAGGTAGCGCACATCCCTATCAGGACATTTCACAGTTTAAAGGAACATGTAGTGTGTGTATGTATTTTTAACTTAACAAATTTTGTCAAAACCTACACTTTTGATTTTTGGGATTCACCCCCTTTGTATTCAGTGTTTTTCTTGTTAATTAGAAGGAAGTATGATGACCAATATTTTACAGTTTTTAAAAAGGATTAAAAAGTTTAAATTTGGCGGGGCGCAGTGGCTCATGCCTGTAATGCCAGCACTTTGGGAGGCTGAGGTGGATGGATCACGAGGTCAGGAGTTCGAGACCAGCCTGACCAACATGGTGAAACCCCATCTCTACTAAAAATAGAAAAGTTAGCCGGGCATGGTGGTGTGTGCCTGTAATCCCAGCTACTCAGGAGTCTGAGGCAGGAGAATCACTTGAACCCAGGAGGCGGAGGTTGCAGTGAGCCAAGATTGTGCCATTGCACTCCATAGCCTGGAGAACAGAGCAAGACTCTGTCTCAAAAAAAATTTTTTTTAACTTATATACAGCAAATGCACTTTTTTTGGCATATAGTTCTTGCCACTGTAGGTTCTTATAACTTCCTACATAGATAGTGTACAGAAAAATTCCAACATGCCAAATCGTTTCTTTGTGCCATCCCTTTGTGTTGAGACTCTGCCCCCACTGCTATCCCCATGAGCTGCTGATCTGTTCTTTATGCCTATATTGTTTGCCTTTTCTAGAATGTCACACAAATGGAATTAGTATGCAGCCTTTTGAGAAGGGCTTCTTTCACTTAGCATAAGGATTTGAAGTTTCCATGTTTTGTGTGTATCAGCAGTTCATTCCTTTCTGTTGCTGAGTACTATGTTATTGTGTGGATATGCCACAGTTTATCTAGTCACCATTTGAGGGACATTTGGGCTGTTTTCAGTTGTTTGGTGGTTATTTAAAAAAAATCACATTTGGATTTTTTTGTGTATATAGATTTTTCTTTTCACTTAGCTAAATACTTGGGAGTGGGATTTCTGGGTCATAGGCTGAGTGTATGTTTATTTTTGTAAGAAACTGCCAAACTGTTTTCCAGAGTGCCTGTACTATTTTGTATTTCTACCAGCAATGCATGAGAGTTTCTGTTGTTGTCCATCCTCACCAGCACTTGGTATTGTTTGCATTTTTAATGTTAGTGGTATCTCAGTATAGTTTTAATTTGCATTTCTGTAATGATATTGAGCATCTTGTCATGTGCTTACTTGCCATCTGTATTTCTTCTTTGGTAAAGGGACTAATTTTTTTTGCTGATTATCGGGGTAGTTTGTTTTCTGATTGTTGAATTTTGAGAGTCCTTATGTATTCTTGATACAAGTCTCGTATGAGATGTATGATTTGCAAATATTTTGTTCTGGTCTGTGGCTTATCTTCTCAATTCCTTAACAACGTCCTTTGCAGGACAGTTTTTTTTTGTGAAGTTCAATATGTCAGCTTTCTTTTTTATTTTTGAGATAGGGTCTTGCTCTGTCACCGAGGCTAGAGTTTAGTGGTGCGATCATGGCCCACTGCAGCCTTTACCTCTCACACTTTCAAACAATTCTCCCACCTCAGCATCCCAAGTAGCTGGGACTACAGGTACGTGCCACTACACCTGGCTAATTTTTAATTTTTTTTTTGTTTTGTAGAGATGGGGTCTCACCAAATTGCCCAGGGTGGTCTTTAACTCCTGAGCTCAAGCATTCCTCCTGCCTGGGACTCCCAAAGTTCTGGGATTACAGGCATGAGCTATCATGCCTGGTCAGTTTTTCCTTTTGTGGATAGTGCTTTTAATGTTGTATATAAGAAATCTTAGCCTTACTCAAGTTTGCAAAGATTTCCTCCCATGCTTTCTTGTAAGAGTTGTATAGTTTTACATTTTTACACTTAGGTCTGTGATTCATATTGAGTTAATTTTTATATACAGGATGAAGTTTAGGTTGAAGTTCTTTTTTTTTTGTATATGGATATCCAATTGTTATGACATCATTTGTTGTAATAACTGTCATTTCTTCATGGATCACACCTTTGTTGAAAATCAGTTGTTTATGTTTGTTTTGGTCTGGTTTCTGGACTCTCTAATCTTTTCCACTGATCTGTCTATCCTTTCACCAATACCAATTGTCTTGACTACTGTGGCTTTGGAGTACATCTTAAAATCTGGTAATGTGAGTTCTCCAACTTTGTACTTTCTCAAAATTGTTTGGGCTCTTTAGTTCCTTTACTTTTTCATGTAAATTTTAGAATTAAGCTTATCTCTACAAATAATACGGCTGGGTTTTGATGGGAGTTGCATTAAATCTACAGGTCAATTTGGGGAGAACTGATATCTAACACTTAAGAGTTTTTTTTATCTTTCTCATCAGAGTTTTGTAGTTTTCAGCATACAAATCCTTAATATTTTGATTTAAAATCTTTTACAGATTGGATTATGGAAGTGGGAAGTGAAGAAGAAAAATGGGAGAAGCTGGATGCAGAATTTGATCACTTTGTGGTTGATATGAAGCCCTTTGTTCTAAAATTACCTCATAGGACAGGTAAGATTATGTTTGAAGATTAGATTCTTAAGATTAATTTTTTTCTTTATATTATTTAGTCAAACCAATGAACTATCAACATGGAAGAAAAACTGAATTTCTCTAGTAACAATTTTTGCCATTGACATAGGACTGTTTACACTGAGTTGTTCAAGGGTAGATAGACATTCAGTGATAATGTCCTGCCAAACTGTGGAAAGATCTTATTGTGATGCCTCGTCTCACATGTCATGAACTTATAGCACATGGATCTCTAAAGTTAGCTACAACCTTTTTTCTTGCATCTTTTTCTTTTCTCTATGGAAATTTTTCTTGCAAATTTTTCTTCTTTCTATGGAAAGGGCCAGAGACAGGAGGAGCCTAGTGTTCTCCTGTTCTCCGGCCCTGTCTATCAAAGCAGAAAATAATCTATTGGTTTTTTATGCTTATTTGTTGGCAGAACAAAATCCAGTGTGAATAAAGTTTTGTTGCTATCTTGTCTCCAATTCCTGGCCTGTTATTTCTAATTATGGAATGAAAGTCTTTTTCTCAAGTTAGAGAATTTTCATGTAACTTAAGACACTAGAGAACAATTGGGGAGAATTTTGGGGACTGGGAAGATTCTCTAAGGCGTAGTAGGTGTGAGATTGTCTGTAAAGGTAAATATGACTTGGTAGCTTTTGAGTGGTAGGTTTGGAGTGGGACCAAGAAACTATGGCTTTTACTTTCTGTAAGTTGCCTGTTTCCCTAAGGTGTCTGAGTAGACTCTATATTCAGTGAGGAACTGACTCAGTATTAAATATAGCAATCCCCCTTAATCTTGAGGAATACATTCCAAGACCCCCAGAGGCTGCCTGAAACAGCTGATAGTACTAAAACCTATATATGCTCTGTCTTTTCCTATACATACACACTGATGATTAAATTTAGTTTATCAGTTAGGTACAGTATGAGATTAACAGCAATAGCTAATAATAAAATAGAACAATTATAACAATATAATGTAACAAAAATTGTGTGAAAGTAATTTCCCTCTTTCTTTCAAAATATCTTATTGTATTGTGCTCACCTATTTTTGGACTGCATTCGAGTGTAGGTAACTGAAACAGAGGAAAGCGAAACCATGGATAAGTGGAGACTGTTGCATTTATTCCAGGGAGCTGTGTTAGGAGAAGGGAGTATGATATATAAATTATGCATTCCGTGTTCACTTATTGTTCTAGGGCCTTCAACCTTTCCTAGTCCTGGGTAAGTTGCCATGGTCTTCCCTTGAAGACCTCCTCCTCTGCCTTCTGCTCTTGACCTTGTCAGGCTTTAACCTCTTCTTTCTTCCTCTGCTATTTTTCAAATGACTATTTCATGTCCTATGACTTGTTCATGATTATTTGAATGATATCTAATGATATTTTTATATTGCATCCTCTTCTGATATTCACTACATTTTTTCTTTTTGTCTTAGATTTGCTGATTAGGAAACATTTGTATTAAAATTTCTCATTGTAAATGTATTTCAAATCAAACCATCCCCATATTTTATCTTCTTTAAAAAAAGATTTTAGGGGCCAAGCGCGGTGGCTCATGCCTGTAATCCGAGTACTTTGGGAGGCTGAGGCGGGTGGATCATGAAGTCAGGAGATCAAGACCATCCTGGCTAACATGGTGAAAGCCCGACTCTACTAAAAATACACACACACACACAAAATTAGATGGGCGTGTTGGTGGGCACCTGCAGTCCCAGCTACTTGGGAGGCTGAGGCAGGAGAATGGCGTGAACTCGGGAGGCAGAGCTTGCAGTGAGCCAAGATCACGCCACTGCACTCCAGCCTGGGCGACAGAGCGAGACTCCATCTCAAAAGAAAAAAAAAAGTTAGGTACATAGAATTCATTAATTATAATCTTTGATTCCTTGACACATTGTCAGTATTGGTACATCTATGGCATTCTTTTATTTAATTAGTTTATAATAAGCAATCTGAAACTCACATCTTAAACAAGAACTAGAAATTCATAATAAATTACATCTTATTGCTAAATTCAACTTGTGATAATGGGTTTTCCCATTATTTTACATAGAGGAATGCTTTCATTAACCAAATTGTACTAAATTCTGGACATTAGAATATTATATAGATTTCAGTTTGCTATGGGATGTGGAAAGTATGTAGATTGAAAAACTATTTACTTAAGTTTATCAGTTTCACTTTTGTATTTTCTTCTTGTTCAAAGTGTTCCCAATATTTCATGAAGTTTATTTTATGATTATATAATTTTCATATCAAAAAATACAAAAAATTTTAAAGGCATAAGTTTCCAACCTGAAATGATGTTTGCACCATAGTAAATCCGGTCTTAGTGTATTTTTGTAGGTAAAACAATAAATGAATATGACCTTTGTAAACTAAAAGATTAGAGCAGATTTATGATTTGCATTAGATATATAATCCTCAAATTGACTTAGACTGATAAAAAATTAATACCAGAATAGTTTTCCTGAGACCTAAAACAATCCTGTGTCATGGCAAGATAATATAGACCATTATATGTAGATTAAACTGTGCTGTGATTTTTAGGTAGATTTTGAAAAGAATAATTATTTCACAAAATGACATGTCAGTAGTGCTCAATTATTTTTAAAGATGTTAAAACCCTCAATCAATCAGCTACAAATCCCTGGGTATTATTGGATTTCATAAATAAAACATTCAAGATTTAATTTTAGAGTAAGTTGAAAATGCTTAGATAAATCAGAGATTGCATTTTATCTCTTTCAAGGTTTACATAATTAAAATTATAGAAAGATTTTTCAATATATCTAAAATTATTTTAGAGATGCAAAATTATAACAAAATTTTATCACAGAATTTTATTTATAAAAAGTCTCCCAGCAAAGGAAAGCCCTGGACCTGATGGCTTCACTGATGAATTTTACTAAACATTTAAATAATAACTAATACCAATCTTACTCAAACTATTCAAAAAAATAGAGGAGGGAGGAATATTTTCAAAGTCATTCTGCGAGGCCAGTATTACCCTGATACCAAAACCAGACAAAGATACATCAAAGAAAGAAAACTACAGGCCAGTATCCCTGATGAACATTAATGCAAAAATCCTCAGCAAAATACTTGCAAGCAGAATTCAACAATATATTAAAAAGATCATTCATCATGACCAACTAGGATTTATCCCAGGGATGCAAGGATGGTTCAACAGATGCAAATCAATCCATGTGATAAATCATAACACAATGGTGGACAAAAACTGTATGATCATTTCAATTAATGCTGGAAAAGCATTTGATAAAATTCAACATCCCTTTATGATAAAAACCCTAAAAAAAACTGGGTATCAAAGTAACAGTCCTCAACATAATAAAATTCATATATGACAGACCCATAGCTAGTATTGTACTGGATGGGGAAAAACTGAAAGCCTTTCCTTTAAGATCTGGAATACAACAAGGTTGACCACTTTCACCGCTGTTATTCAGCATAGTATTGGAAGTCCTAGCTAGAGCAGTCAGGCAAGAGAAAGAAATAAAGGGCATCGAAATTGGAAAGGAAGAAGTCAAATTATGCTTGTTTAAAGATGCTATGATCTTATATTGGAAATACCTAAAGACTCCCCCAAAAACCTATTAAAACAGATAAACAAATTCAGTAAAGATGCAGGGTACAAAATCAACATACAAAAATCAGTAACATGTCTATATGCCAACAGCAAACAATCTGAAAAAGAAATCAAGAAAGTAATCTCATTTCCAATTGCTACAAATAAAATAAAATACCTAGGAATTAACCAAAGAAGTGAAAGATCTCTATAATGAAAACTATAAAACATTAATGAAAGAAATTGAAGAAGACACAAAAAAACAGAAAGATACCCTATGTTCATGGATTGGAATAATCAATATTGTTAAAATGTCCATACTACCCAAACCAATCTGCAGATTCAGTGCAATCCCTATCAAAATACCAATGACATTCTTCACAGAAATAGAAAAAAACAACCTTAAAATTTATGTGGAACCACAAAAGACCCAGAATAGCCAAAGTTATCCTGAGCAAAAATAATAAAACTGGAGGAATTACATTACCTGACTTCAAATTATACTACAGAGCAATTGTAACCAAACCATCATGGTACTGGCGTAAAAACAATCACATGGACCTATGGAGCAGAATTAAAAACTCAGATACAAATCCGTACATTTACAGGAATTTCATTTTTGACAAAGGTGTGAAGGACTTACACTGGGGAAATGACAGTCTCTTCAATAAATGGTGCCATTTACTTAAGTTTATCAGTTTCACTTTTGTATCTTCTTGTACAAAGTAATCCTGATATTTCATTAGTTTGTTCTGTGATTACGTAATTTTCACAGCAAAAATGCAAACATTTTTAAAGGCATTCTTCTGTATACGGATATCAAGTTTTCAATATCCGTATACAGAAGAATGAAACTAGACCCTTGTCTCCCACCATATACAAAAATAAAAATGGATTAAAGACTGAAATCTAAGACCTCAAACAAGGAAACTGCTAAAAGAAAACATTGGGGAAAATCTCCAGGGTAGTGGTCTGGGCAGAGATTTCTTGAGTAATACTCCAAAAGCACAGGCAACCAAAGCGACAATGGACAAATGGGATCTCATCATGTTAAAAAGCTTCTGCAAAGGAAACGATCAACAAAGTGAAGAGACAATCCAGAGAATGAGAGAAAATCTTTTCAAACTATTCATCTGACAAGGGAATAACCAGAATATATAAGGAGCTCAAACAACTCTATACAAAAAAATCAAATAATCTGATTTAAAAATGGGCAAAAGATCTAAATAGACATTTCTCAATAGAAGACATACAAATGGCAAACAGGCATGTGACAAGATGTTCAACATCACTGATCATCAGAGCAACGCAGATAAAAACTGCAGTGAGATATTATTTCACCCCAGTTAAAATGGCTTTTATCCAAAGACAGGCAATAACAAACACTGGCAAGGATGTGGAGAAAAGGTAACTCTCCTACACTTTTGGTGTTAATGCAAATTAGTGGAGTGACTACGGAGAAGAGTTTGAGGTTCCTCAGAAAAACTAGAAAATAGAGCTACCATGTGATCCAGCAATCCCACTGCTAGTTATATACCCCAAAGAAAGGAAATCAGTGTATCCAAGAGATATCTGCACTCCCATGTTTGTGGCAGCACTGTTCACAATAGCCAAGATTTGGAAGCAACCTAAGTGTCCATCAACAGACAAATGGATAAAGAAAATGTGATATATGTACACAATGGAGTACTATTCAGCCATAAAAGATAATGAGACCCTGTCATTTGCAACAACATGGCTGGAACTGGGGGACATTATGTTAAGTGAAATAAGCTGGGCACAGAAAGACAATCTTCATATATTCTTACTAATTTGTGGGAGCTAAAAATTAAGACAACTGAACTCATGGAGATAGAAGGATGGTTTCCAGAGGGTGGGAAGGATGGGTGGGGAGGAAGTAGGGATGGTTAATGGGTACAAAAACATAGAGTGAATGCGACCTAGTATTTGACAGCACAACAGAGTGACTACAGTCACTAATAATTTAATGGCATATTTAAAAATAACTAAGAGTATAATTGGATTGTTTGTAACACAGAGGATACATGCTTGAAGTGATGGATAGATACCCGATTTATCCTGATGCGACTATTATACATTACATGCCTGTATCAAAATATCTCATGTACTGCCTAAATATATATATCTACTGTGTACTCACAATAATTAAAAATTAAAGTTATTTAATGATAATCTAGAGATTTTATTTTTGAGAAAATATTTCTTTGCATTTGTCTTTCTCATTTACCAATTACCTAATAAAGTGAAATTGTAGACCAGGAGTTAGCAGACAATGGCCCATGGGCCAACTCCTGCCCACAGTCTTTTTTTGCCAGGTTTTATTGGAACATAGTCATGCCATTTGTTTACTTATGGTCTCTGAGTGCTTTCATGCTACAGTGGCAGAGTAGTTATGCCAGAGATCATATGGCCTGTGAAGCCTAAAGTATATACTCTCTGGCCTTTAACAGAAAAGGTTTGTTGGTCCTTCTTTTAGACTAAAGCAGGTGCTATTATAGGTCTTTGTAATTGAATGTTTCATTTTATAAAAAATAAAATTTCTAATAGTTCTTCTGTATTTATAGAACGGCAGAGGTGTGCTCTTTGGATTAGAAAGCTGTGCGAACCTTCAGGAACAGGTGCAGGAATAATGGGGAGGAAGAATCGGAACCTGTATGCAAAATTGTTATTGCATATGCTTAAACGAGGTGCGCTTGAAGGCCCTTTTACACACCGACCTGAACCCGGGACACTAAAAATTCTACCTTCATACATGGTAGGTATCAATGAACAAAAGGTATATATTAGTTTCATTTAAAAAAAAGCGTCAAGTTATCATCCCTTTGGGGAATGGTAATACTATTAGGTTGTATGTGCTAGATAATATATTAAAATTGTTTTTTTTCTTCCTGATTCAATTTTTTTCCACCTTTAATAAAATACATGTATTGCTTATAAGGGGAGTATCCTTATTGATTTAGTTATGCCTCAGTATTCAACAGTATTTCTAAAAAACTGAAAACGAAATTTTTTATATTGAGCTTTACTTTTTGCTAATTTTCACTGGATTGTAATGGTAATTTTTACGTAATTCAGTAAATTCTAGTTTTTAAACTCTTTCATATATATTATTTAAACGTTTATGAGAGGTTGGAGTGCATGATTTGTAAAAGTTCCTTTTTACTCTAATAAAATGACAGTAATGGAGTTTGAAAGTCATTTTCTGTACTTAAATTAATTTCATTGTCAAAATCAGCTTTATTGCAAAGGCAGTTATTATTATGCTTGGTGGATAAATTGTCACTGCCCTGGTCCTTGTAACCATAAAATATACCTTGGTTTGTTTGGTATTTGAGTGCCTGTACTTAAGAAATCTGGAGTACTAGGTATTGGTAGCTTTGATAGTTGCTGTTAGGATATATATGTATTTTTTTAATGAACTGCAGAATTCTTGTGTCATGTATTTTAAAACTTTTATTAGTTTACTTAAAGCACAATTTAGTCAAGTGGCACGCTGAACATTAGAGAATAATTCCTGTTTTCCATGGCACAATGCCAAAAGTTTTAATGACTATGTCATTTAAAAAGAAATTTCTGTGCATGTCCCATATGGAGTGGAGGGTCTTGTGTCATCCTCCCTAAAGAACAGTGCCTTGAGGATTCTGTCTGTAGGATTGGGAGAATTGTTGCAGAGGTGTGCAGTCAATGCAGAGTTTTCTTTAGAAACGTGTAAAGGTAGAACATTTTATGAAGCACATCTAGATGTGAAGATATGAGTACATTGTATCATGTTTTCCCATTCACACTTAATTTCATAGAATCAAAGGGAAGGGCTTTATTTAACAAATAATAATAATGTGAAAGTTTAGAGAACTCTCTTGGGTTTCCCAGCTAGTTAGCAGTGTGGCCAGAACTAAATCCCAGGTTTTTCACTCTGCTGTTCCCACCTTATCAAGGGATTCCTAATTTTAATTCCTGGGTTGCACTGTTTGTGTTTCTCATCCCACTGATTTCTTTTTTTGTGTATGTAAAGTAGTTAGTGATTACAGAAAGAGATAGGATGGCACATAATTAAAAACTTTGTATTTAACTTTTCATATTTAACTAATATTCCTTTAGTAATATAAACATTACTATCAGATTTATCTGTTATGTACTTCTGTTTATTGTATTTCTTAGACAGTAGAGTGCAACTAAAATGTAAATATGTTATCACTTAATGTATTTTAATATCTCATAATTCAATGTACATTTAATTTTTTAAATGTTTGAATGTAATTGAATTTGAGTATTTGAAAGGCTGTTTTCAAACTTGAAACTTGATGGAAATTTTAGTGGTTTATTATAGTACATTTTGAAAGAATAATTTTTCTAATTTTAAAAAATCAGTCCATCTATTTTGATGAACCAAATCCAGCACGAGCAAAAGGTTCAAGCCCAGAGGGATTACCAGCCTGGGTACTGGGTGAGCTGGAGACAAGTGAACACAAATTAAATGAATCATGGAAACTCTCTTCTGGAGAAGATAACACTTTAGTACAGTCGCCAACTGATGTCTACAGGTATGTAAAGAGAATGGGATTTTGAATGTGTTTCATCATTTAGTCTGTCTTTGGAACTGATTTATACATTCTGTTTTTCCTTTTTTTTATAATGGAAGTAGTTTACTTTTCCCTTAACTGCACATTCAAGATTATTTTATATTTTTAGCCATTTAATAGATACCTGTTAACTTCATATATATTTTTGATTGCTTGACAAGTGGTCCCTGAGCATCTTTAAATGACACAATTATGTATTTTCCTTTATGACAAGCATACATTAAAAGCATTATCAATAACTTGAACAAAATATCCTGCAAATCCACCTTGAACAATATTTGTTTTCACTTAATGATATAATGAATGTAAGCGTAAACCCCATTAGACTGTGCTTTCTTACTAGAGTATTAAACTTAAATAGGTTTTTTTAGTGCAAATAAAAATAAATTTCCAAATTTTTGAAATGTTCAAAAAGGCCATTATTGTGGTAGCATAGTTTTTGGCTTTAGGGAAGGGATAGATTTAAATTTGGACTTTTATCAAATTTTTACTTTTCTGTTTGGCCTTATTCCTTGAAATGTTTTAGTAAAATATAGGACAGTGTCAATTACCATGTACCATACTTTATAATTCCTTCCTCACCATTCTCTTGGTAATTTTAATTTTAGAAATCTGTTTCTGTTAACAGTATAATCTTTCTTGTCCACTATAATTTTTTTGGTTTATTCCTTAAACAGATATAGAAATGTTATTAGTAATTTGAAATGTCTCCACAGTTGATGTAGTCTGTTTATATGTTTTTCAGACCTGAGATATTATGGTCGAAAAAGATAAACAGGCCGGGCATGGTGGCTCACGCCTGTCATCCCAGCACTTTGGGAGGCTGAGGCGGGCGGATCACGAGGTCAGGAGATCGAGACCATCCTGGCTAACATGGTGAAACCCCACCTCTACTAAAAATACAAAAAATTAGCCAGGCGTGGTGGCGGGTGCCTGTAGTCCCAGCTACTCAGGAGGCTGAGGCAGGAGAATGGCATGAACCCAGGAGGCGGAGCTTGCAGTGAGCCGAGATTCCACTACTGCACTCCAGCCTGGGCGATAGGGCGAGTCTGTCTCAAAAAAAAGAAAAGAAAAAGATAAATAAAAGTGAGAGATCCAGTCCATATAAAATTATTTCAGTAGAAAGGAGAAACAGAATGGGGAGGCAAAAAGGAAGAGGTGAAATAATTAAGGGCATATTCAGAAGAGTAAAAAGAAATGAATAGATGAGTCTGTAGGAAGTGTGGTGTTAAAATACTTATTTTTACATTCATAGGAGAATTACAATTAGAAGAGGTGTAATTGTAGAATTTTTGTAGCCTTTGAAGCAATCTTTTTATATGGAGGTATAAAGAGATTGTGGTCTGTATACAAAGAAAAATACGATTCTTAGTTTAGCTGCAAAATACATCAGTTGTTTGCCAAAATATCTGCTAAGAGTCCAGCTAAATTCTGGGTTTCTTTCTAGATGTAATGAATGTGGAGTTTACAGTATAAAGGTGAACTAAAGTAGTTTCCTGTATCTTAGAGCTTAGAGCATAGTTTAAAAATATGTGATCTTCCTGGACTGAATGAATCGTGTGGGTAGATTTGCTTGGTTGGACTTAAACAATGTCTTTAACAATTTTAAATGAGTTGTCAAAATTAACATTTGGGGAATTTCATATAAAAGCCCAACTTTCTGGCTTCTCTTTAAAACTGGACACCTAGAAATCTTTCTAAGAGACAGCCATATGTTGGAGCTAAGTAGTGCTTGGTTACCCCCCTTAGCATATGCCTTCATGATTTCCTTCTAATTCCTGACACCAAATTTGATGTCTATTGCATCTGTTATTGAGCTTGAGGTTTTTTTTCCCCTTTAAGTAGGGTTAAGAGGAAAATGAAGTATTTGTTTTTCTATTTTTATGTTCTATCAAGTGAAAGAAGAAAGGTAGAAAAGAGGGATCATGTGATTTAAGAAGGGGAGAGGATTGGGCACAGCCTGTGCGTCTGTGGTCCTAGCTATTCAAGAGGTGGGAGCAGGAGGTTAGCTTGGGCCCAGGAGTGTGAGGCCAGCGTGAGCAATAGGGTGAGACCTCATCTGTGAACAAAAAACAGAAGGGGAGAGACAGACACTATGTCTTTGTAGAAGTGAAGGATATCCTTATATCTGGTAGTATAATCACTCATCTGTTAAGTCCTCCAGACTTTTGATTTATAACCATTGTTTTAGATGAGTGGGGGAGAAAGATGAGCACATGGATAGTTTCAGTGCAGTGGCTATGCTTAGTCATGGAAGTATTTGCAAGGATTCAGGTGTGTATAAGAGAAGGGTTCAGGGTAGGAAATAGACTTGAGATTTCCAGGGAGTCCGGGTGAATAGATTTTTTTCTTCTTTGGAATACAGGATAAAGTTTGAGAAAATACAATGAGAATATCCTTCAACTATTAGCCATTGACTTTTTTGAGAAATGGAACCATAGTAAAATCCCCACAATTGTAAAAAATAACTTAATTCTCTTTGTTGGTCACCTATTATTAAAGGTGTTTTAATGCAAAAGGATTGCTAGAGTATGAGGCATTCGTTGTCAGTTATATAATAAGTAATGGGAAAAGCAGGCACTCTGGTGAGTCCTACCCATCCTTCAGAGATTGCAACGTGAAAAAAGCCTTATCTGATATCCCAGGGCAGTTTAGGCGACCCCGCCATTTACTCCTTTAGTACTCTGTGTTTCTTTGCTGCCTTCATCCCATGTGTAGAGGCTTACTATCTGTCCTGTGTGCTAGATTGTAAATTTCATGAGGTAGGAACTTGTGTTTTTGCTGTTTGCTGTATTTGCTATATTTCCAGCCCCTAGCACTGGGAAGGAACGTGTTAGGAATTCTGTAAGTATCTATATTCAACAGTGAATGCATTCATGAACAAGTAGATTGTGTTAGACACTGCCACATATTTAATTTAATCTGTACAAAATCCCTTTGAAACGGGTATATTGTGACAGAGGAAATGGCCTAAAAGGATTTTTTTTTCTTTTTAACATTTCAGAAAACGTTGAGGGAAGCATAAATTTTAGAAAATATAGAGGGAAGCTTAGATGTAGTTTATAGCGATTCCCTTCACACACTGTGAGGAATGACAATGAAGGAGCTGGAAAGGACATGCTTAAAATATCCTCTGTCAAATGTCAGAATCACTAAGGTCAATTAGGGCTGCCAAAACAAAATATCTCAGGGTATCTTATGTTTCTTTTAATTTAATAGTTTTAACTTGATTATTTTTACAATTTTAATTTGATTTACATTAGTTAACAGATATTTGTAGTTTTTACATACATGAAGACATTTAAAAATAAAACTAACATTTACTTTAGCTAAAGCCAAGGAAACTAATCTTAAGGTGAAATATGTATCATGTGTGACATCAGATCACATTTGGTGGTGAATCGACTATTGATGGTTCTGTCTTATTTCTTTTCTAAATTTCCTCCTTTACTCTGAGTGATCATAGTATGCTAATGAAAAAGTTAGTATCTGCTAATCTTGACTTAATATATCTAATCAGTTCTGCAAGAAATTGTTTTAAAAAGTTTAAGAGGCTTATAATATTTGACACATGTATGTTTTTATGGTGAATAATTTATTGTTACTTAGAACTGAAGTTTAATGCTGCCTCATAAATTTTACAGCCACTTCAACTTGTCCTTTGAAAAACCTCTTTAATCTTAAAAGATTTTTCCCCCTTAGTGTTTCTTTTTTGATCACTTTATAAAATCCTGCTTTACTTAGACCTTTTTGTATGTGAAGTATTTCTAATGGCATTTTAGATGATGCTGTTTGTGTCCTAGCCTTTTTATATTATTAAAGATGCAGAGTCCTTTTGAAGCCTTTTTGTTAGGACTCTCTATTCAGTAGAGATGGCACCTTTCCTTTACTTTTATTCTTCCTGTAGGATATGGTATATAGTCTTGTTCCAAACTTGTTAGAAGTATGGTGAGGTCATACTCCATCTGGCTTATTCTCACGCTTTATTTTTTCCACCAAGTATACATTATATACTAGTGTACTTAGCATTTCACACCAAACAGCTTCAACACTTAGCTAGTAGTCCTGTCCTGGTTCTCTTCTTTGCTTTCATTTTTCATATTTCTTGGTTTAAGATAATCTTATTGCCCATATTTTCTATAAGAAAAACTACTGTTCCACATTGCATTGCTATTATATATCTGTTACTGCATTTTTATGTCAAATATCTGCCTATTTTCTTTTTCTTTTTTTTTTCTTTTTGAGATAGAGTCTTACTCTGTCACCCAGGCTAGAGTACAGTGGCACAGTCTTGGCTCACTGCAACCTCTGCCTCCCAGGTTCAAGCGATTCTTCTGCCTCAGCCTCCAGAGTAGCTGGGATTACAGGTGCGTACCACCATGCCTGGCTAATTTTTGTGTTTGGTAGAGACATGGTTTCACCATGTTGGCCAGGCTGGTCTCGAATTCCTGACCTTAAGTGATATGCCCACCTTGGCCTCTCAAAGTGCTGGGATTACAGGCATGAGCCACCATGCCTGGCCTATCTGCCTATTTTCTTGACAATGAAATATTTTAGTTATATTTGAGTTTGGAGCATGACTTTAGAAAATGTTACTAAGGAGACCATAGACTTAGATCTCATGCATGTATAGTTTGGTTAATTTCATTTAGATCTACAATCATGAGCTATATCAATATATATTATCTTTCTGATCAGCCTTCAGATACTTACCATGGAGGTCTGATAAAGACCTTAATTGTCTTGTTGGTGGTCTTCATGATCCTCCTTCTGGTGTTCATACCCTTATATAATCCCCTCCCCTTGAGTGTGGGCAGGTCCTGTGACTTGCTTCTAACCAATAGATTATGGCAATGGTAATGGGATATTATTCCCAGGATTACATTACTTCATCTTGCCAGTAGACTTGCTGTCATTCCGTTTGCTGGTTTTGGAAAATGCAGCTGCCACAAATCATACATGAATCAGATAGCCATAAGGAACGGAATGCTGCTGACATCCACACAAGTCGGGAAGTGAATCCTTCCCTAGTTGAGCCTCTAGATGAGAACCCAGGTCTGGTCCAATCATGATTGCAGCCTTTTGTGGCCCTAAACAGAAGACCCAGTTCAGCTGTGCCTGGACTTCTGACCTGCAGAAACATGAGAACATTTATGTGTGTTGTTTAAAGCTGTTAAATTTGTAATAATTTGTTATAAAGCAATAGATGACTAGTACAGTCTTTATCCTCATTTTGGAAAAGTATGCAATCTATATATATAATACATGTTTATAAAAACCTCAATATAGAAATATTTAGAGTAAAAAGTCACAATCCTTCTGTGTCCTCTTTATCCCACTTTGGAGTGGTAATCACCATTAACAATTTTGTGCATATCATTTTACAATAGACATCCACACCTATATAATTAAGAAATTACAGGCCGGGTGCGGTGGCTTATGCCTGTAATCCCAGCTCTTTGGGAGGCCAGGGCGGGCGGATCACAAGGTCAGGAGTTCGATACCAGCTTGGCCAATATGGTGAAACCCCGTCTCTACTAAAAATACAAAAAAATTAGCTGGGCATGGTGGTGGGTGCCTGTAGTCCCAGCTACTCGGGAGGCCGAGGCAGGAGAATCGCTTGAACCCAGGAGCCAGAGGATGTAGTGAGCTGAGATTGCACCACTGCATTCCAGCCTGGGTGACAGAGTGAGACTCTGTCTCAAAAAAAAAAAAAAAAAAAGAAGAAATTAAAAATTGGCTCATAATGTACATACTGTTCTGAGACTTGCTCTTTTTTTTACTCAGCTATGTCTTAAACCTGTATCATGTGGACTTCTAAATTACAGATAATCCATAATGTGGATATACTATAATTTAATCTGTCTCTTCTGCTTTTAATTTTTTATTGTTATAAAGAATGCCTGAGTTTACATCCTAGTAATCCATCATCAGGCACCTTATTTAAAAATGCACCCAGGGTTTGTTTTAATCAGACATTATACGATGACAGACATAGAGACAAGTTGCCTTTGAAAGAAGAGTTTATTTCTCACAGTTTCCAAGAGGAGGGAGGCATGCCACACCATGCAGGCCATGTGGAGAAGCACAAGGGTTGGTCAGGAGGCAGAAGTAGCAAGGAGAAGCATGGGTGAGAGCCTTTTTATATAGTGGTGGGATGTTCCCTATTGGACAGAAAGTGAAATACCGATGTTGGGGTTTGTAGTTGGAGGGTTTGTAATATAATTTCCAAGTGCCCACAAAAAGACAGGAATGGTAAGGATGTGGACAACTTTGGCTGTTAGTTTGGTCCATGATTTCAAGATGCCAAATTATCAGTTAGAATATCAAGAAGGATTATTATATGCCTGCATCTGTTTTGGGCTATTATGGACTCCTAGGTGAGAAATTGCTTTGTTGGTGGAGTTATTAGTTGGTTCAACATCTTGTGCAATGGTTAAAAATATATATATATATACACACACACACACATATATACATATATATACACACACATATATACATATATATACACACACACATATATACATATATACACACACATATACATATATACACACACATATATATACATATATATACACACACACACACATATACACATATATATACACACACATATATATAGGTTATTATGGCAAGATCTAATAGGATAAAGTTAAAAAGAAGTACATAAAGTATAGGAAGCTTCCGTTTGTGTTTGTGTATATGTGTTTTAGAGGCTCTGTGGATACATATGTGTTCGTGTGCAGGGAATCTTTCTGGGTACCACACATGAAACTGTTAAAGGTGGTTAGCTTTAGGGATTTGGACTAGTTTGGAGTGTACATTTAAAAACGTTCTTGTAAAAAAAATGTGTCTATGGTATTTCTAATAATCACACTCTTATTTTGATAGATACTGTTCAGTTGCCTTCTGAAATATCATCTTGTTAAAATGTTTGTGCATACACATTGCAAATTAATAAATTTGTATAACAGATATATATACATTTAAACATAAAAATAAAAAATTTTCTAGTAAATAAATGTTTGTGGATTCCACTTGTATTTCTAATTTGTGAAAGCAGAGGCCAAGTGAGGCAAGTCATACCATTTATGGATCTCCTACTGCATGCTAGGTACTGTTCTAGAAATCTTTTCCAAGTCATCAGATTGAATCCTCTCTATAGTCCAGTGAGGCTGACATCATTGCCCTTTTGTATTTATAGACAAGATAACAGCTTCAGGAAAGTCCAGTGACTTTTCCAGTGATGGATCCAATATTGGAATGCAGGGCCTTATGATTTCACACCCATGTTCTTTCTAGTGTATCATATAGGCATAAGTACTTTATGCAGCAAATATGGAAATTTCAGTTTTATCTGTTTTTTTCCACTTGTGCTGCGTCAGCAATCCTGGGCAGCTATACCTTTGTTTTTGGTTATTTCTAGGTTGAGCTGAAAGAAAGCAGTTTGCCTTTGTTCACATTCCACTTCTGACACTTGGCAACCATCTGTCCTCAGGCAAGTTACTTAATTTCTCTAAACCCCAGTTTCATCACTCGTAAATGGAGATAGTGGTAGTACTAACTTCGGGGTTAGTACTACCACTATCTCCATTTGCAAATGGAGTTGTAAGGACAAAGTGAAATAAGACGTGTAGAGCCCTTGACAGAGGGCCTGTTAAGTGTTAGCTGCGGCTACCACCATCATCACTGGTATGGTGATCATTATTGTAATAGTTCATCAGGGCCTTGCTTGTTAGATTGTTTGACCATGCTTTTGCTTCCCTAATTACTAATCCTCCCAAAGGGTATTATCTTAAAGTCTGTTGGTCATTAATTATTTTCAGTTACTAAAAGTCATTTTGTATTCCCTGAGAAAAATAAATTATGACTCTGCAGAAAGGTTATGATTGTAAGTATGAATCCTGCACAATATCAAAATAAAGAATGGTAATTCTATTTTAAAAGAGGCTTTATAGGAATCTTTAAACAATGTAATAGGCCTCTTTTTCAAGGATAGAAGGAACACACAGTGGCTGGCCTCATTGTTTACATTTTTTCACGCCATATATTTGAAGCTGCCTAAGTAACTGTGTGTTTTTTTTTTTTTTTTTTTGAGATGGAGTCTTGCTCTGTCACCCAGGCTGGAGTGCAGTGGCACGATCTCGGCTCACTGCAACCTCTGCCTCCCGGGTTCAAGCGATTCTTCTGCCTCAGCCTCCTGAGTAGCTGGGATTACAGGCGTGTGCCACCACGCCTGGCTAATTTTTTTATTTTTATTTTTAGTAGACACGAGGTTTCATCGTGCTGGCCAGGCTGGTCTCGAACTCCTGACCTCAGGTGATCCCCCTCCCTCGGCCTCCCAAAGTGCTGGGATTACAGGTGTGAGCCACCGTGCTCGGCTGGTAACTAATATTTTGATTTTAGTTCACATCATCTATATATTCTTCATGCTTTATCTCAAAGAACACAAAAGTAATAGGTTGTATTCTTGCTTTACAATTCTGTGAAAAATGTTTTGAAGCTTCTTGTTAATGGCTTGTAGTAATTTTATGTCTTTTCAGTGAAGTATACGTGGTCTGGTAGCTTATCACCAAAGTGCAGTGAGGTTCTGGGATAGGGAAAGATGTAAAAAAATGATTTAATAGCACTTATTATTTTTACTGAAAACTTTGATTAAAAGTTAGGGTAGGGTGAAGAGGAGTAATGTTAAATAAACCCTGACCTTTAAACACTGCTTTACAATGGAAGAAACACGTTGCTTCTGCTTATTTGAGAGGAATTTATTGATGAAAAAGAAGGCATTTAATTAGGTGCCATTTTATTAGGAGCCTACACCAGATTGCTTAGGATTTCTAGGAGAGTGCAAATAATTATTATTAACTACCTACTATTTTTACCATATCAGATTTAGGCTAATTTTATATAAATTATATTTATCTTTTAACTCATGTTGGGTCATCTAAATAATACATGTGTTCATACCTGTAAGAAAGAACTTGGAGAATAATTATCCTATTTTAAATAATTATAGAGGACTATAGTTTTTACATCTTTGCTTTAATGAGATTTTGCCATGGGTTATTTGATGCTAGATTTTAGTTTGGAATGAAGATTCTAATTATGGTCCTGCCCTTATGGAAAATGTGACTTGCTTTATAATGATCCTCTTTATGATATGGTTTTCCAGGAATGCATTGTGGCAAAAAGCTGGGATTCTGTATGTCTTACCCCAATATAGCTAGCATTTCATTTGTGTGTGCAGTTTAATAACATGGCCAGCAGATGGTGATCAAGTATAATGAAAACCCACTTGTGGTTGAAGAAGTTAATCTATGTGAGCAAACATTTTTCACTTTAAAAATATTGATTTAATTTTTTAGTCTGGGCATGCAAAAGAATCTTTTTACTTTGTTAAACTCCACTTTTATATGTAAATGATACTATATAACATTATAAATTGCTCCTCCTGAAATTGTTGGATAATTTAGCAAGGAGCCAATCAATACCTTTCCTTCTTAGTAAAACCTTCTTAAATATTACCTGCCAAAAGTACATTCATTTTATTTGTGAATAACCCTGATGTTTGGGCAGATATGTGTTCTACAGCAGTACTGTTCAATAGAACTTTCTGATGGTAATGTTCTATAGGCGGCACTGTCCAATACAGTCGCCACCAGTAAACGTGACTATTGAACACTTGAAATGTGGCTGGTGTGATTGAAAAACTGAATTTCTAATTTTAATTAACTTAAATAGCCACATGTGATTAGGGGCTACTGTGTTGGGCAGAACAGTACCAGATCCGAATCTTCTGCTTGGCCATTGCAAAACCTGACTGACCAGATGGAGAGCTGGTGGCCTGTTCTCTGTCTCGGTGGGGATGTGGGGTAGGAATGGGGACTAGGGCTTGGGTGCTGGTGCATAGAAACTGGCTCTGCCACATGGGAGACCTTTCTTCTGTGCTTACTTGCATTTCACGGGCAGCTCCCTTTTTTGGTGATGATCACCCATGATCAACATCTAGTTGCTCTTGGTCAATTTCTGCTGTCAGAGGAGCTCCTACTAACAAAAAAGAAACTGTTTATAAATAAATATACACACACACACACACACACACACACACACACACATATATGTGTGTATATATATATATATTTTTTTTGAGATGGAGTTTCACTTTGTTGCCCAGGCTGGAGTGCAATGGCACGATCTCGGCTCACCACAACCTCTGCCTTCTGTGTTCAAGCAATTCTCTGCCTCAGCCTCCTGAATAGCTGGGATTACGGGCGCCTGCCACCACGCCCAACTAATTTTTGTATTTTTAGTAGAGACGGGGCTTTACCATCTTGGCCAGGCTGGTCTTGAATGCCTGACGTTGTGATCCATATGCCTCGGCCTCCCAAAGTGCTGGGATTACAGGCATGAGCTACCATGCTGGCCATTTTTTTTTTTTTTTTTTTGAGATAGAGTTTCGCACTGTCGCCCAGGCTGGAGTGCAGTGGCGCGATCTCCCCTCACTGCAACCTCTGCCTCCTGGGTTCAGTGATTCTCCTGCCCCAGCCTCCCGAGTAGCTGGGATTACAGGTGCCCGCCACCACGCCTGGCTAATTTTTGTATTTTTGGTAGAGACGGGGTCTTGCTATGTTGGCCAGGGTGGGCTCCAACTCTTGACCTCAAATGGTCCTCCCGCCTTGGCCTCCCAAAGTGCTGGGATTACAGGCGTGAGCCACTGTGCCTGGCCAAATCTGACTAATTTGACAATCTTTTATACAATGGACACTTGCTGATAGACACTTAACCTTGTACTCTAGAAATAGGACTGCTACATAAATGAGAAGTGAAAACTGCTTGTTAGAGTACACAATAAAATACAACATTTCACACATATAAAACCTCTTAGCTACTCATTAATTTTCAACATTAATGTGCTAATTAAATGTCACTCTTAGGTATTTACTAAGATGAGGCCAAGTGGCAACTATTTGTAACTGGGATGGAGCAGCTTTGAAAA
Source organism: Homo sapiens (assembly GCF_000001405.40). Taxonomy (NCBI): domain Eukaryota; kingdom Metazoa; phylum Chordata; class Mammalia; order Primates; family Hominidae; genus Homo; species Homo sapiens. The sequence continues at coordinate 66,164,005 of NC_000017.11, read as the reverse complement.
TAATGGTCCTTGGGCCATTTAGGCTTTTTTCTCCCCCAGTAAGTCAGCTTTCTGACAATTTAGTCACATTTCTCTTTTTCTTTCTTTTAATGAGTGAGGCTTTGTAATGACATCTTTTAATTTCACAAGTTTCTGTTTGTCAGGTAATATTGAACAGTTTGGGTTGTCCTTTTTAATAAACAAAAATGGATAACAGCTTATATTTTAACATTTAATTTTAATGAAATTTAAATATTGAGTGTTCTAAGTCAGAGATATATTAATAAACAATGATTTAAATGTACGATTTTTAAATTTGTTTTTATTTTTAAGTTTTAAAATCAAGTGTGCCATTTTAAAGTAAGTAGTTGGAAATACGAAGTCTTAAAGTGTTTATGGATCTGTGCTCACCTTTTTCTAGTTTTGTTAAGCATCTCATTTTTTTTCATTTAGTTTTCTTTTTCTTTCTAATAAAGTTCTTTTTGAAAAATTAAAATAAGTATGTTGTGGATTTTTGGAAGTTATTTTCATTTTTTAATTTTCAGCATTATTTGATACTTTACTGGATTATTAATTGTTATTTATTTTTATGTTTCATAAGTATATTTAGTAATATACCCAAAGAAGACTGTTCTGCAGATGGTATATAACAATATTACCTGCTGCTCAGATAAATGAAAAGACAGAAAATCAGAAGTTCTCATTTTGGTTTTCTGATAATTTGTAATTCAGTAGTTGTATTACTCTTAAAATATTTTACAGCTGTGAAACATAGCATGCATGCAAAAAACATGTACAGTGCATAGGTACACTTTAAAGAGCCACTAGAAGATAAGCATTTCTATACTTTCAACCTAGCCAATAAATAGTATATTACAGTTCTCCAGAAGACCGCTGGGTACCCTTCTCCGATTGCCTCTTCCCTTTGCTTGAGAGGAAATTACTGTCCTGTATTTTGTGTTAATCAGTTATTTACCTCTCTATTTTGAATTTCATGTAAGTGGAATCATACTGTATATATTATTTTGAGACTTGCTCCTTTAACTCATCATATTTTTCAGATTTATCCATGTTAATAAATATAGCTATAGTTCATTCTTTGTCTTTTGGTAAAATGTTAAAATCAAAATACAACACACATACAACAAGACACATCAAAGTGTAAAGCTTGATGAAGTTTTACAAAATGTATATATCTGTGAAATCTCTTTCCAGGTCAAGATAGAGAATATAGCTACCTCCCCAGAAACTCTTTCTTGCTCTCTCCCAGTCATTTATCACCTCTTGAAGAAGGAACCACTATTCTGTATTATGTTACCATAGATTCGTTTTCATTGTTTTTGATTCATAAAGCGTGTTCCCTTTTGTTTCTGTCTTCTTTTGCTCAACATTATGTTGTGAGATTGATCCATGTTGTTGCATTTAGCAATGGATTTTTAAAATTATTGTATGAATATATCACAATTTATATATCCATTGTACCATGGTTGGACTTTTGGTTTTTGACATTACAAGTGATTCTACTGTGAATACTCTTTTACATGTCTCTTAGTACACAAGTATACACATTTTTTTGAGTGTTGACTTAGAAGTGTAATCATAGTAGGCACTGCTGATAAAATTTCTCAAAGTGGCTGTACCAGTTTACATTTCCACTAGCAAGATTGAAAGTTCCCATGGCTCTCCATCCTTGCTGAAACTCGGTTTGTAAGTTTTTAATAATTTTAGCAATTCTGGTATGGCAGATGTATAGTTTGAATTTGCATTTTCCTTCATGACTAATGATATCAAGATCTTTTTTAATGTTTATCGATGATTTGGATATCCTCTTATGTGAAGTTTCTGGTTGAGTCTTTGATCTTTTTTAAGTATGGAAAAAATGGTTTGTCTGTCTTTTCACTGTCGATTTGTCTTTGTATATTCTGGATACTAATTCTGTGTTGAATATATGTATTGCAAATATCTTTTTTCACTCTGTGGCTTGCATTTTCACTTTCACTTGTGTCTTGGTCCATTTCGTGCTGCCGTAAGAGAATACCTGAGATTGGGTAATTTATAATGAACAGAATTTATTGACTCACAGTTCTGCATCTGATTTTTAAGAAAATTATACTTTAAGTTTTTTTTTTACAGTGTAATGTGATATGTATTTACTTATTTTTAAATTCGTGCAGAGTTTTTTTATTCTTTTTTTTAATATACTTTAAGTTCTGGGATACATGTGTAGAATGTGCAGGTTTGTTACATAGGTATACACATGCCACGGTGGTTTGCTGCACCCATCAACCCATAATCTACATTATGTATTTCTCCTAGTGCTATCCCTCCCCTAGCCCCCAATCCCCTGACAGACCCGGTGTGTGATGTTCCCCTCCCTGTGTCCATGTGTTCTCATGTTCAACTCCCACTTATGAGTGAGAACATGCGGTGTTTGGTTTTCTGTTCTTGTGTTAGTTTGCTAAGAATGATGGTTTCCAGCTTCATCCGTGTCCCTGCAAAGGACATGAACTCATCCTTTTTTTTATGGCTGCATAGTATTCCATGGTGTATATGTGCCACATTTTCTTTATCCGGTCTATTATTGATGGGCATTTGGGTTGGTTCCAATTCTTTGCTATTGTGAACAGTGCAGAAATAAACATACGTGTGCATGTATCTTTATAGTAGAATGATTTATATCCTTTGGGTATATACCCAGTAATGAGATTACTAGGTCAAATGGTATTTCTGGTTCTAGATCCTTGAGGAATTTCCACACTGTCTTCTGCAATGGTTGAACTAATTTACACTCCCACCAACAGTGTAAAAGCATTCCTATTTCTTCACATCCTCTCCAGCATCTGTTGTTTCTTGACTTTTTAGTGATTGCCATTCTAACTGGTGTGAGATGGTATCTCATTGTGGTTTTGATTTGCATTTCTCTAATAACCAGTGATGATGAGCTTTTTTTCGTATGTTTGTTGGTGGCATAAATACCTTCTTTTGAGAAGTGTCTATTCATATCCTTTGCCCACTTTTTGATGTTTTTTTTTTCTTGTAAATTTCTTTAAGTTCCTTGTGGATTCTGGATATTAGTCTTGTGTCAGATGGATAGATTGCAAACATTTTCTCCCATTCTGTAGGTTGTCTGTTCACTCTTATGATAGCTTCTTTTGCTAGGCAGAAGCTCTTTAGTTTAATTAGATTCCATTTGTCAATTTTGGCTTTTGTTTCCATTGCTTTTGGTGTTTTAATCATGAAGCCTTTGCCCATACCTATGTCCTGAATGATATTGCCTAGGTTTTCTTCTAGGGTTTTTATGGTTTTAGGTCTTATGTTTAAATCTTTAATCCTTCTTGAGTTAATTTTTGTATAAGATGTAAGGAAGGGGTCAAGTTTCAGTTTTCTGCATATGGCTAGCCAGTTTTCCCAACACCATTTAATAGGAAATCCTTTCCCCATTGCTTGTTTTTGTCAGGTTTGTCAAAGATCAGATGGTTGTAGATGTGTGCTGTTATTTCTGAGGCCTCTGTTCTGTTCCATTGGTTTATATATCTGTTTTGGTACCAGTACCATGCTGTTTTGGTTATTGTAGCCTTGTAGTATAGTCTGAAGTCAGGTAGCATGATGCCTCCAGCTTTGTTCTTTTTGCTTAGGATTGTCTTGGCTATGTGGGCTCTTTTTTGGTTCCATATGAAATTTAAAGTAGTTTTTTCTAATTCTGTGAAGAAAGTCAGTGGTGGCTTGATGGGGATAGCATTGAATCCATAAATTACTTTGGATAGTATGGCCATTTTCACTGTATTGATTCCTCCTATCCATGAGCATGGACTGTTTTTCCATTTGTTTGTGTCCTCTCTGATTTCCTTGGGCAGTGGTTTGTAGTTCTCCTTGAAGAGGTCCCTCAGATTCCTTATAAGTTGCATTCCTAGATATTTTATTCTCTTTGTAGCAATTGTGAATGGGAATTCACTCATGATTTGGCTCTCTGTTTGTCTGTTATTGGTGTATAGGAATGCTTGTGATTTTTGCACACTGATTTTTGTATCCTGAGACTTTGCTGAAGTTGCTTATCACCTTAAGTAGTTTTTGCGCCGAGACAATGGGGTTTTCTAAATATACAGTCATGTCAGAGACAATTTGACTTCCTCTCTTCCTATTTGAATACCCTTTATTTCTTTCTCTTGCCTGATTGCCCTGGCCAGAACTTACAATACTATGTTGAATAGGAGTGGTGAGAGAGGTCATCTTGTCTTATGCCGGTTTTCAAAGGGAATACTTGCAGCTTTTGCCCTTTCAGTATGATATTAGCTATGTATTTATCATAAATAGCTCTTACTATTTTGAGGTACATTCCATCAATACCTAGTTTATTGAGAGTTTTTAGCATGAAGGGGTGTTGAATTTTTATTGAAGGCCTTTTCTGCATCTATTGAGATAATCATGTGGTTTTTGTCATTGGTTCTATTTATGTGATGGATTACATTTATTGATTTGCATATGTTGAACCAGCCTTGCATCCCAGTGATGAAGCCAACTTGATTGTGGTGGATAAACTTTTTGATGTGCTGTTGGATTCGGTTTGCCAGTATTTTATTGACGATTTTTGCATCGATGTTCATCAGGGATATTGGTCTGAAATTTTCTTTTTTGGTTGTGTCTCTGCCAGGTTTTGGTATCAGGATAACTCTGGCCTCGTAAAATGAGTTAGGGAGGAGTCCCTCTTTTTCTATTGTTTGGAATAGTTTCAGAAGGAATGGTAACAGCTCCTCTTTGCACCTATGGTAGAATTCGGCTGTGAATCCATCTGGACCTGGGCTTTTTTTGGTTGGTAGGCTATTAATTACTGCCTCAATTTCAGAACTTGTTATTGGTCTATTCAGGGTTTTGACTTCTTCCTGGTTTAGTCTTGGGAGGGTGTATGTGTCCAGGAATTTATCCATTTCTTCTAGATCTTCTAGTTTATTTGCATAGAGGTGTTTATAGTATTCTCTGATGATAGTTTGTATTTCTGTGTGATCAGTGGTGATATCCCCTTTATCATTTTTTATTGTGTCTATTTGATTCTTCTCTTTTCTTCTTTATTAGTCTGGCTAGTGATCTATCTATTTTGTTAATCTTTTCAAAAAACCAGCTCCTGGATTCATTGATTTTTTGAAGGGTTTTTTATGTCTCTATCTCCTTCAGTTCTGCTCTGATCTTAGTTATTTCTTGTCTTCTGCTAGCTTTTGATTTTGTTTGCTCTTGCTTCTCTAGTTCTTTTAATTGTGATGTTAGGGTGTCAATTTTAGATCTTTCCTGCTTTTTCCTGTGGGCATTTGGTGCTATAAATTTCCCTCTAAACGCTGCTTTAGCTGTGTCCCAGAGAATCTGGTACATTGTGTGTTTGTTCTCATTGGTTTCAAAGAACAACTTTATTTCTTTTTTTATTTTTTTGAGATGGAGTCTCGCTCTGTCATCCAGGCTGGAGTGCAGTGGCGCGATCTCGGCTGACTGCAAGCTCCACCTCCTGGGTTCACGCCATTCTCCTGTCTCAGCCTCCTGTGTAGCTGGGACTACAGGCGCCCACCACCACGCCCGGCTCATTTTTTGTATTTTTAGTAGAGATGGGTTTTCACTGTGTTAGCCAGGATGATCTCGATCTCCTGACCTCATGATCCGCCTCCCTCGGCCTCCCAAAGTGCTGGGATTACAGGTGTGAGCTACTGTGCCCAGCCAAGAATATCTTTATTTCTGCCTTAATTTTGTTATTTACCCAGTAGTCATTCAGGAGCAGGTTGTTCAGTTTGCATGTAGTTGTGCGGTTTTGAGTGAGTTTCTTAATCCTGAGTTCTAATTTGATTACACTGTGGTCTGAGAGACTGTTTATTATGATTTCTGTTCTTTTGCATTTGCTGAGGAGTGTTTTACTTCCAATTATGTGGACGATTTTAGAATAAGTGTGATATGGTGCTAAGAAGAATGTATATTCTGTTGATTTGGGGTGGAGAGTTCTGTAGATGTCTGTTAGGTCCATTTGGTCCAGAGCTGAGTTCAAGTCCTGAATCTCCTTGTTAATTTTCTGTCTTGTTGATCTGGCTGATATTGACAGTGGGCTGTTAAAGTCTCCCACTATTCTTGTGTGGGAGTCTAAGTCTCTTTGTAGGTCTCTAAAAACTTGCTTTATGAACCTGGATGCTCCTGTATTGGGTGCATATATACTTAGGATACTTAGCTCTTCTTATTGCATTGATCCCTTTACTATTATGTAATGCCCTTCTTTGTCTTTTTTGATTTTTGTTGCTTTAAAGTCTGTTTTATCAGAGACTAGGATTGCAACCCCTGCTTTTTTTTTTTTTTTTTGCTTTCCATTTGCTTGGTAAATATTCCTCCATCTCTTTATTTTGAGCCTATTTGTGTCTTTGCATGTGAGATGGGTCTCCTGAATACAGCACACTGATGGGTCTTGACTCTTTATCCAATTTCCCAGTCCGTGTCTTTTAACTGGGGCATTTAGTCCATTTACATTTAAGGTTAATATTGTTATGTGTGAATTTGATCCTGTCATTATGATGCTAGCTGGTTATTTTGCCTGTTAGTTGATGCAGTTTCTTCATAGTGTCGATGGTTTTTATAATTTGGTATGTTTTTGCAGTGGCTGGTACTGGTTTTTCGTTTCCATATTTAGTGTTTCCTTCAGGAGCTCTTGTAAGGCAGGCCTGGTGGTGACAAAATCTCTCAACATTTGCTCGTCTGTAAAGGATTTTATTTCTCCTTCACTTATGAAGCTTAGTTTGGCTGGATATGAAATTCTGGATTGAAAATTCTTTTCTTTAAGAATGTTGAATATTGGCCCCCACTCTCTTCTGGCTTGTAGGGTTTCTGCCAAGAGATCCGATGTTAGTCTGATGGGCTTCCCTTTGTGGGTAACGTGACCTTTCTCTCTGGCTGCCCTTAACATTTTTTCCTTCATTGCAACCTTGGTGAATCTGACAATTATGTGTCTTGGGGTTGCTCTTCTTGAGGAGTGTCTTTGTAGTGCTCTCTGTATTTCCTGAATTTGAATATTGGTTTGTCTTGCCAGGTTGGGGAAGTTTGCCTGGATAATATCCTGAAGAGTGTTTTCCAACTTGGTTCCATTCTCCCCGTCACTTTCAGGTACACCAATCAGACGTAAATTTGGTCTTTTCACATAGTCCCATATTTCTTGGAGACTTTGTTCCTTTTCATTCTTTTTCTCTAATCTTGTCTTCACACTTAATTTCATTAAGTTGATCTTTAATCTCTGATATCCTTTCTTCCGCTTGATCAATTTGGCTATTGATACTTGCGTATGCTTCACGAAGTTCTCGTGCTGCGTTTTTCAGCTCCATCAGGTCATTTATGTTCTTCTCTAAACTGGTTATTCTAGTCAGCAATTCCTCTAACCTTTTTCAAGATTCTTAGCTTCCTTGCATTGGGTTAGAACATGCTCCTTTAGCTCAGAGGAGTTTGTTATTACCCACCTTCTGAAGCCTACTTCTGTAAATTCGTCAAACTCATTCTCTGTCCAGCTTTGTTCCCTTGCTGGCAAGGAGTTGTGATCCTTTGGAGGAGAAGAGGCGTTCTGGTTTTTGGAATTTTCAGCCTTTTTGTGCTGGTTTTTCCTCATCTTCATGGCTTTATCTACCTTTGGTCTTTGATGTTGGTGACCTTCAGATGGGGTTTCTGTGTGGACACCCTTTTTGTTGATGTTGATGCTATTCCTTTCTATTTGTTAGTTTTCCTTCTAATAGGCCCCTCTGCTGCAGGTCTGCTGGAGTTTTCTGGAGGTCCACTTCAGACCCTGTTTGCCTGGGTATCGCCAGTGGAGGCTGCAGAACAGCAAAGATTGCTGTCTGTTCCTTCCTCTGGAAGCTTTGTCCCAGAGGGGCATCCGCCAGATGCCAGCCGGAGCTCTCCTGTATGAGGTTTCTGTCGACCCCTGCTGGGAGTTATCTCCCAGTCAGGAGGCATGGGAGTCAGGGACCCACTTGAGGAGGCAGCCTGTCCCTTAGCAGAGCTCAAACACTGTGCTGGGAGATCCACTGCTCTCTTCAGAGCCAACAGGAAGGAAGGTTTAAGTCTTCTGGAGCTGCGCCCACAGCCGCCCCTTCCCCCAGGTGCTCTGTCCCAGGGAGATGGGAGTTTTATCTATAAGCCCCTGACTGGGGCTGCTGCCTTTCTTTCAGAGATGCCCTGCCCAGAGAGGAGGAATCTAGAGAGGCAGTCTGGTTACATTGACTTTGCTGAGCTGCAGTGGGCTTTGCCCAGTTCGAACTTGCCCATTGTGAGGGGAAACCCGGCTACTCAAGCCTCAGTAATGGCGGATGCCTCTCCCCCAACCAAGCTCAAGCATCCCAGGTCGACTTCAGACTGCTGTGCTGGCAGTGAGAATTTCAAGCCGTTGGATCTTAGCTTGTTGGGCTCTGTGGGGGTGGGATCCAGTGAACTAGACCACTTGGCTCCCTGGCTTCAGCCCCCTTTCCAGGGGAGTGAACGGTTCTGTCTCGCTGGCATTCCAGGTGCCACTGGGGTATGAAAAAAAAAAAACCTCCTACAGCTATCTCGATGTCTGCCCAAACAGCCACCCAGTTTTGTGCTTGAAACCCAGGGCCCTGGTGGTGTAGGCACCTAAGGGAATCTCCTGGTCTGTGGGTTGTGAAGACCATGGGAAAAGTCTAGTAACTGGGTCAGAATGCACTGTCCCTCACGGCACAGTCCCTCATGGCTTCTGTTGGCTAGGGGAGGGAGTTCCCTGACCCCTTGTACTTCCTGTGTGAGGCATCACCCCACCCTGCTTCGGCTCGCCCTCTGTGGGCTGCACCCACTGTCTAACCAGTCCCAGTGAGATTAGCCGGGTACCTCAGTTGGAAATGCAGAAATCACCTGCCTTCTGCATTGATTTCACTGGGAGCTCCTGACTGGAGCTGTTTCTATTTGGCCCTGACTCACAGTTCTGGAGGCTGAGAAATCCAGAATCAAGGTGCTGGCATCTGATGAGGACCTTCTTGTTGTATCATCCTATGGCAGAAAGTGAGAAGAGAGAGAGAGAGGGAGGGAGGGAGAAAGAGAAGTGGGCCTAACTAGCCCTTCTATAACTAATCCACTTTGGCAATAATTGTTTATGAGGGCAAAGCCTTCATGGCCTAACTACCTCTTAAAGGTCACACCTCTTAATATTGTTATAATGGCAATTAAATTTAAATATGAGTTTTGGAGCAGAGAAACCATAGCAACTGGTATCTTCTGTTGAATGTTATTAATTTTAATATAGTTTTGTCAGTTGACTCTGTTGTTTTTTTTTGTTTCCTGTTTGAGATTTCTTACCTCGCCTGTTACAAGATCAGAGAGTACTCATCTATGTTATTTTCTAGAAGCTTCTTATTTTACCTTTCTCATTTAGGTATGTGGTACATCTGGAATTGATTTTTATGTATGAAGTGAGGTAGGGGTCATGGCTAATTCCCTCTGTCTATCACAATGGATATGTGTTTGATCTAGCATTATTTTTATTTTATTTTATTTATTTTTTCTACACAGAGTCTCGCTCTGTCACCTAGACTGGAGTGCAGTGGCACGATCTTGGCTCACTGCAACCTCTGCCTCCCGGGCTTAAGTGATTCTCCTGCCTCAGCCTTCTGAGTAGCTGAGATTACAGGCTCCCCCCCCCACACCCAGCTAATTTTTGTATTTTTAGTAGAGACGGGGTTTCACCATGTTAACCAGGCTAGTCTTGAACTCTTGACCTCAAGTGATCTGCCCATCTCGGCCTTCCAAAGTGCTGTGATTAAAGACATGAGCCACCGTGCCCAGCCTAGCATTATTTTTAAATGTCATTCACACTGCTGTAGTTGGCCCCCCCTTTTTTTTGAGACGGAGTCTCACTCTGTTGCTAGGCTGGAGTGCAGTGGCGTGATCTTGGCTCACTGCAACCTCCACCTCCCATGTTCAAGAGATTCTCCTGCCTCAGCCTCCTGAATAGGTGGGACTACAGGCATGTGCCACCACACCTGGCTGATTTTTGTATTTTTTTTTTTTTTTTTTCTTAGTAGAGATAGGGTTTCATTCTGTTGGTCAGGCTGGTCTCGAACTCCTGACCTCAAGCAGTCCACCCACCTCTGCCTCCCAAAGTACTGGGATTACAGGTGTGAGCCACCACACCCGGCCCTTGGCACCATTTGTGTAAACCAGGAGATCTTGTTTGTGTGGGTTTTTTCTGGTCTCTAGTTTCTTTCATTGGCCTGTTTATCTATGTGCTAATACTACACTGCCTTAATACTGTAGCTTTAAAATAAATCTTGATATTTTATAGTGTAGTGTAGGTCCTCCAGCTTTCTTTTTCTTCCTCAAGATTGCCTTGGCTATTCTTGGTTCTTTGCATTTCCATATACATTTCAGGATTAGCTCACCAGTTTTTACTTGCATATAAATGTGATGTGTGCATGTGTGCGTGCATGTTGAGATATTTTATTATGAATGCATTGAATCTATAGATAAATTAAGAAGAATTGATATCTTTATAATATGGACTTATACCCAGAGCCCCAGGCAAGCAATTATCTTTTTTTTTTTTTTTTTTGGCCTTTTCTAGAAATTTCATGGGTAATACGTAGTCCTATGTATCTAGTTCTTCCACTTACAATATTGTTTTTGAAGTTCATATTGTTTCTTGTATCAGTAGTTCATTCCTTCGTGTTCCTGAGTGGTATTTCATTGATGAGTATACCACATTTTGTTTATCCATTCACCAGTTAATGGATATTTGGATTGTTTTCAGTATTTGGCTATTATGAATGTTGCTGTTTTGGAAGTTCATTGCAAATTTTTATTCGGACATATGTTTTTCATTTCTTTTGGATGGATATCTAAGAGTGGGTTGTGTGGTAAATTTATTTTTAACTTAAAAAATCATCAAACTCTTTTCCAAACTGGCTGTTCCATTTTGTATCCCCATTACCAATATTCCAGTCTCTTCACATGAGTATTCTCGTCTCTTCACGTCCTCATCAACTCTTGGTATTGTCAGTGGCTTTGATTTTGTGCATTTTAGTTGGTATGCAGTGGTATCTCATTGTGGTTTTAATTTGCATTCCCCCAGTGACTAATGACACTGAGCATCTTGTCATGTGCTTATTAGCCATTTGTATATCTTCTTTGAAGAAATGTCTGTTCTAATAGTTATCTGCTCCTAACACACCCAACATACAATGGGCCAAGCAGAGGATAACCTCCACAGACATTTCTAAAAAGTCACTAGTTCATAACAATTCTGAAATCCAGATAGGCAAGTAGTGGAATTTTCTTAGTTAAGTCATTCTTAAGTTTTGTAGAGGCCCTCTTGTTTGATTGAGAGGATCTGTCAGGCATACTCTTAATCTTTTTAAGGGGATCTGTGGATGAATGCATAGTACTCTGAGATATACCATCTTTTATCTTTTCGATCTTCACAAAATATTTTACATTTATACCCTTGGCTTTATGTCTATGCAGTGTCCAAAGTTTGCTTGGACTTTCTTAATTTAGGATATTTTGCCATCTAGAGAGGCTGAGAATTTTTAAAACCATGAAGTCTTAGTTCCATTTTCTTTAACTTTCCTTGACTCAATTTTACTCTACTCTTGCACCTAAGAGCGACAGCACTTAAAGCAATAGCAAATACTTTGTAAATCTTCTTAGCTATATTACTCACTTAGTTCCTCAAGCATATTTTCTAATTTTTGTGTTACTGAAGATGATGGTATAGCTTTCTATCTCTATGTAAAAAGGATCCCCCTTCTTCTCATTTCCGATAACAGATTTCTTACTTCCTCTTGAGCCCCACTGGCAATATCCTCAAATTCCAGATTCCTACTAATGACCTCTTCAAATCAACTTTGTCTTTAGCACACTACACACAAAGATGTTTCCATATTCTTAGGCTGTACTTTACTTTCAGATACCAAAATCTGTATTATCTATAATACAGATATCTGCAGTTATCTATTGCATGTCTTTCTAGCTATACCTAGCTATACGTGTTTTCATTATATGCTTAGTATTTGTTCTAAGTATGTGCTAGGCAACATCTAAGAGAAATTCCATTACAAATTACTCTAAATCTTAGCAGCTTAAAGCAACATTTATTTTTTAATTTTTTTAAAATTTTTTAATTTTTTTCTCATGGACATGGCTTAGCTGGGTTTTCTGGCTTAGGTTCTCCTATAAGGTTGCAAACAAAGTATTGACTGGGGTTGTGGTCCCAGCTGAAGTCTAGATTGGGGGAGAATCCACTTCTATTCTCACTCATATGGTTAATAGGATTCAGGTCCTTGCTGGGGTATTGCTCTGAGGGCGTCAGTCTTTGCTGGCTGTCATCCAAAAGTTTCTCTCAGTTTTTTCCTATTTGGGCCTCTCTATAGGATAGCCTACAGCATGGCAGCTGGCTTCCATCAAAGTGGACAAGTAAGAGAGCAAGAGAGAGGTAAGCATGATGGAAGCTAGAATCTTTTTGTAAGCTAATCTTGGAAATTATAGCTTATCACTTTTGTCGGATTCTGTTTATTAAAAGCAAGTTTCTAGGTCCAGACTATACTCAAGGGAAAGGACATACCACATGGGCATGCATACCAGGAGTTGGGGAAAATTGGGAGCCATCTTAGATGTTGCCTAGCACATACTTAGAACAAATACTAAGCATATAATGAAAAGACATATAGCTAGGTATAGCTAGAAGGATGTGTAACTAGAAGGATTAAAATGGAATACTATAAAATATTCAGTGAACATAAAATAAGGCAGGGAAGGAAAAACGAGGAGCAAAGAAGAGCTGTGACAAAACCAATAGCAAAATGACAGACTAAATAGAACCATAAATAATTACATTAAATATAAATGAACTCAACACTGGAAGCCAAAGACAGTGCTTTTTGGATTGGATAAAAAAAGCAAGAGCCAACTTTATATTATTTATAAGAGACATACTTTAAATACAAAGATAAATAGCTTGAAAGTAAAAGGATGCAAAGAGATGTATCATGGAAACAATAAGCATAAAAAAGCTGGAATGGCTATACTGAATATCAGATAAAATAGACTTTCACAACAAGGAAAAATTATAAGACAAATAGTCATTTTGTAATGGTAAAGAGTCTATTCATAAGCATGATGTAATGATTATAAATGTGTATTTAGCAAACAAAAGAGCTTCAAAAATACATGAAGCAAAAACTAATAGTACCAAAGGGAAAAACAGACAAATGCATAAACATTATTGCATTTATTATTCCTTTTCTTGGGAATTGATGGAGCAACTTGACCAAAAAGTCAAAAAGGATGTAGAAGATTTGAGGAATACTCTGAACTACCACAGCCTAATTGACATTTATAAAATACCCCATCCAATAACTGTAGAATGCACATACTCCAGTGTGGGGAACTTCAATACGCCGGATAGAACAAATGACAGAAGGTTACTAAACAGAGGACTTGAACAATTCAATAGACCAGTTGAACCTAACAGACATAAAGAACACTCCAGTGGCTGGGTGCGATGGCTCACGCCTATAATCCCAGCAGTTTGGGAGGATGAGGCAGGCAGATCGCTTGAGGTCAGGAGTTCAAGACCAGCCTCGCCAAAATGGTGAAACCCCGTCTCTACTAGGGGTATTGTACTGTATTTTGTATTGTAAAAATAACAAAAAAAAATTAGCTGGGCATGGTGGCACATGTCTGTAGTCCCATCTCCTTGGGAGGCTGAGTCACAAGAATTGCTGGAGCTTGGGAGGTGGAGCTAACAGTGAGCCAAGATCGTGCCACTGCACTCCAGCCTGGGTGACACAGTGAGACTCCATCTTAAAAAAAAAAAAAAAAGGCCGGGCGCGGTGGCTCACGCCTGTAATCCCAGTACTTTGGGAGGCCGAGGTGGGCGGATCATGAGGTCGAGAGATCGAGACCATCCTGGCTAACCGGGTGAAACCTTGTCTCTACTTAAAAAAAAAAAAAAAAAAAATTAGCTGGGCATGATAGCATGCGCCCGTAGTGCCAGCTACTCGGGAGGCCGAGGCAGGAGAATCACTTGAACCTGGGAGGCAGAGGTTGCAGTGAGCTGAGAGATCACACCACTGTACTCCAGCCTAGGAGACAGAGTGAGACTCCATCTCAAAAAAAAAAAAAAAAAAAAACAAACAAACAAAAAAAAAAACCCTAAATTTACACCTTAAGGAACTAGAAAAAGAACAAACTAAACCTAAAGCTAACAGAAGGAAGGAAATAAAATATGAAACAGAAAAACAGTAGAGAAAATGAAACTAAGAGTTGGGTTTTTGAAAAGATCAGCAAAATGAGCAAACTTTTAACTACATGGGTAAGAAAAAAAGAAACAAGACTCATTAACTAAAATCAGAGAGAAATTTAACACAAAGAAAAAGGGTTGTAAGAGAGGACTATGAGCAACCATATGTCAATATATTTGATAACCTAGGTGAAATGAACAAATTTCTCACAACACATGACCTACCAAGACTAAATTATGAAGAATAGAATATCTGAACAGACCTTTAGTAAGCAGATTGAATCAATAATCAAAAACCTCTCAACAGACAAAAACTCAGGACCAGGTGGCTTCATTGGTGAATTTACCAAACATTTAAAGAAGAATTAATGCCAATCCCTCTTCAAACTTTTCAAAAACATTGAAGAGGAAACACTTCTAAATTTATCACGTGAGGCCAGCATTAAGTTGATACTAAAACTAGACAAATGTGGTACAAGGAAAGAAAACTATAGGCCAATATCCTGACAAATATTTGCTGCAAAGGCCTCAGGAAAATACTTGTAAACTGAATTCAACAGCACATTAAAGGTTTACACATCATGACCAAATGAGATTTATTCGTAACTTGCAAGAATGGTTCCAAATATGAAAATCAGTAAATGTGATATACTACATTAGCATTAACAGAATCAAAGGAGAAAACCCTCACACAATCATCTTAATTGAGGTAGAAAAATCTTTTCACAAAGTTTAACTCCCTTTTTTGATAAGAAGAAACTTAAATTGGGAAGATAAGGAAATTACCTCAGCAAAATAAACGCCATCTATTTAAAGCCTATAGACATTATTCTTATAGTGAAAGACTGAAAGCTTTTCCTCTAAGATCAGGAACAAAGAAAGGATGCTGTCTTTTGCCTTGTGTATTCAACATAGGCAATTCGCAAGAAAAAGAAAAAGAAAAAGTCATCCAAAATGAAAAGGAAGAAGGAAAATTATCTTTGTTCACAGACATGATCTTATATGTAGAAAACCCTAAGGATTTCACAAAAGCTGTTAGAACTAACAAATGGATTTAGCTTAGTTGCAGGATACAAAATCAGTGCAAAAAATTAATTAAATTTTTATATGCTAACAATGAACAATCTGAAAAGCAAATTAAGAGAATAATCTCATTTACAATAGCATCAAAAAGAATAAATTACTTAGGAATAAGCCTAACTAAGGAGGTGAAGGACTTGTACACTGAGAACTACAAAACCTTGATGAAAGAATCTAAAAAGACACCAATGAATGAAAAACATCCTGTATTCATGGATTGGAAGACTTAATATTATTAGGCGGTTAATACTACCCAAGATAATCTACAGATGCCATACAATCTCTGTCAAAATTCCAACAGTGTATTTTTTTCAGAAATAGAAAAATGCATCTGATATGGTTAGGCTGTATCCCCACCCAAATCTTACCTTGAATTATAGCTCCCATAATTCCCACATGTTGTGGGAGGGCCTCAGTGGGAGATAATTGAATCATGGCTGTTTCCTCCATACTGTTCTTGTGGTAGTAAATAAGTCTCACTAGATCTGATGGTTTTATAAGGGGAAACCCTTTCTCTTGATTCTCATTTTCTCTTGCTGCCTCCATGTAAGAAGTGCCTTTTGCCTTCTGCCATGATTGTGCGGCCTCCCCAGCCATGTGGACCTGTGAGTCCATTAAACCTATTTTTCTCCCCAATCTGGGTATGTCTTTATCAGCAGTGTGAAAACAGACTAATACAGTATCCTGAAGTTCACATGGAATCACTTGGGACATTGAGTAGCTAAAACAAATTTAGAAAAAAAACGAAGTTGGAGGTCTTACATTTCCTGATTTGGAAACTTGCTGCAAAGCCACTGTTATCAAAACAGTGTGGTACTGGTATAAAGACAAATATATAGACCAATGGAATACAATAGCCCAGAAATAAACCCTGACATATATGGTCACATAATTTTCGATAAGGGTGCTATGACCATTCATTGGGAAAAGGACAGTCATTTCCACAAATGGTGTTGGGAAAAAAGGATATCCAAATGCAATAGAATTAAGTTGGACTCTCACTTTACATCATATATAAATTAACTAAAAATGGATCAAAGACCTAAACATAAGAGCTATAATAGGGAAACATACGGAAGACATAGGGAAAAGCTTTATGACATTGGTCTTGGCAGTGATTTCTTTTTTGGATATGAGGCCAAATATACAGACAAATAAAAAAAAAGATACATTGAACTACATCAAAATTAAAAACTATCTACATCAAAATTAAAAACTGTACATCAAAGGACATAATCAACTGAGTGAAAAAGCAGTCAATGGAATGGAAGAATATATTTGCAAAGCATATATTTGAAAAGGGGTTAATATCCCGAATATGTAAAGAACTCATCTCAACAACAATAAAAAAAACTAGATTAAAAGATGGGGAAAGGACTTGAATAGACATATCTCCAAAGATGATATAAAAATGGCCAATAAGCACATGAAAAGTTGCTCAACATCACTAACCATTAGGGAAATAAAAATCAAAACTATGATGAGATGTTACCTTACATCCATGAGGATGGCTACTGTGAAAAAAAAAGTGTTGGTGAGAATGTGGAGAAATTGGAGCCCTGTGCACTGTTGGTAAGAATGTAAAATGGTACAGCTGCTGTTGGAAATGACATGGTAGTCCTCAAAAAATTAAAAATAGAATTACATTATCCAACATTCCCACTTCTGGGAATTCTTTTTACATCCAAAAGAATTGAAAGCAGGGTCTTGAAGAGATATTTGCATATTCATCTTCATAGCAGCATTATTTGCAATAGTCAGGAGGTAGAAGCAACATAAATGTCTATCTACAGATGAATAGATTAGCAAAATGTGGTACATTTAGAATGAATAATATTCAGCCCTAAAAAGGAAGAAAGTCTTGTCACATGGGACAACATGGATAAATCTTGAAGACATTATGCTAAGTGAATAAACCAGTCACAAAAAGACAGATACCGTTTAACTTATATGAGGTCTCTAAAGTTGTCAAATTCATAGAAACGGAAAGTAGAATGGTGGTTATAGGGGCAGTGGGAAGCAGGGAATAGGGAGTTATTGTTTAATGACTGTAGGGTTTCAGTTTTTCAGGTTGAAATCTGGAGACAGATGGTGGAGATTATTGCACAACAATGTGAATATACTTAATACCACTGAACCGTATGCTTAAAAATGATTAAGACTGTAAATTTTGTGTTATATGTATTTTACCACAATTGATAATAAAACATTTTAAAAAGAAGATATAATAATATCGGGAATGAAAGAAGGGACTTGACACAGATCCTACAGATGTTAAGAAGATAAGAGAATGTTATAAACCACTTTATACCAGTGACATTGTTGATGAAATAGACACACTGCTTGAAAGACAGAAAAACTAAATACTGACTCAAGAAATGGGAAATCTGAATAGCTCTATATATACCAAAGAAATTGAATTCATAATTAACCACCTCACAAATCTCTTAAGCCCAGATGGTATCACTGGTGAATTCTTTAAGGCTTTTATGGAAGAAATTTTATCAATCTTCCCTGAGTTTTTTTTCCTACATGAAATAGAGAAGGAGGGAATGCTTCCCAAGTCATTTTGTTAGGTCAGTATTACTCTGCTTCCAAAAGAAGACAAAGACCTTACAAGAACAGAAACCTACCTAGCAGCATTCCCTTATTAACATAGATTTTAAAATTCTTAATTATCAAATCAGATCTATTAATATATGGAAATAATATTATATTTTGAATAATTTGAGATTAACATTTGAAAATTTATGTATTTCATCATAGTTTTAGAAATATAATGTAATCATCTCACTAGATACAGAAAAAGCATATAACAAGATGCAACACTCATCCATGTTAAAAACTCTCAGCAAATTAGGAATAGAAGGGAACTTCCTCAGCCTGATTCATTATCCATGAGGAATGAAAGCAATTATAGAAAAGAAGAGAAAGTTAGGGGACTTCACTTTCCTGATTTTTAGGCTTAAAATCAAGCTGTAGTAATGAAGACAGTAGTATTGGTGAAAGGATAGATGGATTTATAGAATAGAATAGAAATTCCAGAAGTGAGCCCTCATATACATGGTCATTTGATTTTCCACAAAGATGGCAGTGGAATTGAGGGAAAGAAGGTCTTTTTATCAAATTATGCTGTAAGAACTGAATATCCACTGGGGAAAAACTGAAATGAGTTATAGGCCTAAATGAAAATGCTAAAAGTATAGAGTTTCTAGAAGAAAACAGAAAATCTCTGTGACGTTGGAACAGGCAAAGATTTCTAAAATAAGATATAAAAAAACACAAAACAATGAAGAAAAAATTTACAAACTGAACTATCTAAACCTTTTTTTAAAAAAGGCACCATTTGGAAAATTACCTGGCAGGGTACAGAATGGGAGAAAAATTTTCATCACATATATCTGATAAAGGACTTGTGGCTAGAATACATAAAGGATTCTTACAACTTAAGGGAGCACACAATCCAGTTAATGTGCAAAAGAGTTTACAGACACTTCACAAGAGAAAATATGTAAATGGCTAGTATACATACATGAAAAGATGGCCAACAGCATTCTTTAGCAGGGAAATGCAAATTATAAAGCACAGTGTGATACCACTGCATACCCCTTAGGATTATAAAGACTAAAATTTATAAATGGCTAAAATTATAAAGACTGAGAAAACCAAGTATGGTGGTGAGGTGATGAAGCTGAAAGTCTCATACACTGTTGATGGGAGTATAATATTGCACAACCACTCTGGAAAACAGTTTGGCTATTTCTTATAAATTTTAAGACAACTTACCATATGACCCAGCAATTCTATTCCTAGATACTTGGTAAAGAGAAATGAAAACATATGTCCACATAAATACTTGAATGTTCATAGCAGCTTTATTCATAATAACCCAAAGGGGTAAACAATCTAAATGTCCATAAACACATGAATAGAAAAGCAAATTATGGTTTATGTATATAATGGAATACTACAAAGCAATAATGAACCTTTTTTTTGTTTTGTTTTTGAGGTGGAGCCTTGCTCTGTTGCTCACACTGGAGTGCAGTGGTGCGATTTCAGCTCACTGCAACCTCCACCTCCTGGGTTCAAGCAATTCTCCTGCCTCAGCCTCTGGAGTAGCTGAGACTGCAAGTGTGCAGCACCATACCCGGCTAAATTTTGTATTTTTAGTAGAGATGGGGTTTCATGATGATGGCCAGGCTGGTCCTGAACTCTTGACCTCAGGTGATCTGCCTGCCTCGGCCTCCCAAAGTGCTGGGATTACAGGTATGAGCCACTGCACCTGGCCAATAATAAACTTTTGATACGTGCAACAACATGGAGAAATCTCAGAAATATTCTTGGCCAGGCCAAGCGAGACATAAACATGTACATACTGTTTAATTTCATACATATGAGACTCTTGAAAATACTGCTTGTCTGGAATTGGAGGAAGAGGTAAGTTGACTCTTAACTCTCAGGCTCAAAGAATTTTTGGGTGTGATGAAAATAATATGTATATTTATTGTGGTTACACAGGTGTGTACTTTTGTCAAAACTCATCAAACTCTGCATTTTACAAGGATATGGTTTTACTGTATGCAAGCTATACCTCAGTAAACAATAAAAATCAGGTACAGGTGTGGCTGTCTTCCATGGTGTGGCTTCTTTCAGCCTGAACCTGTGAACTAAAGGAAGGCATTATTCTTTCCCACACACTCACCTACACAGCCAACAATGGTGAGAGAGGGACCGGAGAACTGCAGTAAACTTTCCCATTCAAAGAGCAGAGAAATAGGAGGCAGATTGCAATGATAGTTTATAGCAGTTCTGAAATCTAGCCAGGCATTTGTTGCCCGTTTCATGATAGGTCTTAGTGCTGTTTCTTGGGAGTGGTTCTTCATGGCTGTTTGCTCTGTTTTTCATGATCTTGGCTCTTCCCTCTGAGCTATGTTTCTGTTACCACAAGAAATAATTTGCTTTCAGCTGAATAGTTTTTTCAGCCTGCTTTCTGTTTGTATGAATTTGGGGAACCAAATGCATATTTTCATTTTGAACTCTTTCAAATGAAGCTATAATTCCTTTAAAAATTTTGCACCTTTCTGTGTATCGAATTGTAATCCATTCCATTAGACAAACACCGTATTCACGAATTTCTTTGAGACAGACTTTCTCTGTTTTGGTCCAGGAATCAGGATACTGTAGTACAACACCCTTATGATTCTTAGAATCCCTCTTATCTGTCAGAGAGCTTCTAAGAGGTACAACATGGAAACGTTTAGAAGCCTTTTTGTTTTGCTTTTTTCAGGCACTGCCCAAATCTTTCTGAGGTCTTAACCAAGTGTGTAAAGATGTGTCCTTGAAATTTTGATCCTGAGTCCATATTTTACTGGCAAAACCTTGGATTTGATCTTTGCCCTTGGATTGTTTCTTCCTTCAGAGCCTTTTGCTAGTGGAAGAAGCTGAGAATGAAAAATAATTTGCTTTTACCATCTTATATATCCTATGTTGGACATATGAATATATCTCTGGACCCTGCTTGAAATCTGAGCCTTGTCTTCTCTGCTTCATTTCTCTTGATTTCTTCTGTTTCATACACAGCTAAAATAATCCATTTGGCAACAAAAATCAAATAAAATACCTAGGAATAAATTTAACCAAAGGTGGAAAAGATCTATACACTGAAAACTGTAAAACATCAGTGAAAGAAACTGAAGACACAGATAAATGGAAAGATATCCTGTGCTCATGGATTGGAAGAATTAATATTGTTAAAATGTCCATACACAAAGCAATCTACAATTTCAATGCAATCCCTATCAAAACTCCAACGGCTTTTTTCACAACAATAAAAAAAATATGAAAATTCATGGAATCACAAAAGACTCCAAATAGCCAAAGCAATCTTGAGCAAGAAGAACAAAGCCGGAGAAATGATACTTCCTGATTTCAAAATGTATTACAAATCTATAGTAATTGAAACAGTATGATACTGGCGTAAAGACAGACATATAGACCAATGGAACAAAATAAAGAGCCCAGAAATAAACCCACGCATTTACAGTCAACTGATCTTTGACAGAGGTGCCAAGAACACACAATGGTTAATGGATAATCACTTCAATAAATGGTGTTAGGAAAACCGGAAGTCCACAAGCATAAAAAGAAAATTTGGCCCTTATCTTGCACCATACACAAAAATCAACTAGAAATGCGTTAAAGACTTAAACATAAGATCTGAAACTGTAAACGACTAGAAGAAAACGTAGGGGGAAAGCTTCTTGACATTGGTCTAGGCAGTAATTTCTTAGATATAACCCCAAAACATAGGCAACTAAAGCAAAGATAGACAAATGGGATTTTATCAACTTAAAAATCTCCTGCACAGCAAACAATCAACAGAGTGAAGAGACAAGCTACAGAATCAGATAAAATATTTGCAAGCCACATATGTAATAATAGGTTAATATTCAATCTATATAAAGTACTCAACTCAACTGCCCCAAAACAACCCAATTTTAAGATGGGCAAAGAACTTGAATACACGTTTCTCCAAAGTGGACATACAATATATAAAATGTTCAACATCACGCATCATCAGCAAAATGCAAATCAAAACCACATGAGCTATCACTCACACCTGTTAGAATGACTATTATCAAAAAGACAAAAGATATCAAGTGTTGTCCAGGATTTGGAGAAAAGGGAATCTTTGTCCACTGTTGGTAGGAACATAAATTGATATAGCCATTATGGAAAACAGTGTGGAAGTTCCTCAAAAAATCAAAAATAGAATTACCTTATGATCCAGCAAATCCCTCTTCTGGGTGTAAAGCTAAAGAAAAATCAGGATCTCAAAAAGCTGTCTGTACTCCTGTGTTCACTGCAGCATTATTCACAATAGTCAGGATGTGGAAACAACCTATATGTTCATCTACAAATGAATGGATTAACAAAATATGGTATATACATAAAATAGAATATTTTTCAACATTAATAAAAGGAAATGCTATCATATGTGACAAGATAGATGAAGCTGGAGGACTTTTGCTGAGTTAAATAGCCAATCACAATAGGATAAATACTATATAGTAGTCAAACCCATAGAAGAGGAGAGTAGAATGGTAGCTGCCAGGGGCTTACAGACGGGGAAAATGGGGAGTTGCTGTTCAATGCATATAAAATTTCAGCTACAGAAGATGAAAACGTTCTAGAAGTCTGCTGCACAACACTGTGATTATAGCTGCAATACTGTGCTGTACACTTAAAATCTTAAGTAGATCTCATGTTGTGTATTTTTACCACAATAAAAGAAAAAAACTATTTTAAAAAGAGAAATTTCTAAAATGTTTATTTAATTTTTTTCAATATGATTCAAGTAGACATTTCATATGTGAAAAGGGGATGAACAGTCTGATCATAAAAATGTGCTTACAATTGAAAAACATGATTACTAAATCTGAAAATCACAATGGAAACAGAAAACAGCAGATTAAATATTACAGAAAACAGCAGATTAAATATTACAGAAAATCAAATCAGTGAATTAGAAAACCAGCTCAAAAAATTTTCTGAGAAAACAAAGGAAAAAATAAAAAGATGGCTATAACAAATGGAAGTGTAAGAGATGAAGAATATAGATTCAAAATCCCCAATACAGAGATAATATGAATTCCAAGAGGAAACAAACAGAAACTGGAGAAGCAATAAAGAAGTAGTACTCACAATGCTCATCAAGATTATACTGAAAAGAGCCTGAAAGAATGAACTTAAGGCTGGGCACGGTGGCTCACACCTGTAATCCCAGCACTTTGGGAGGCTGAGGCGGGCAGATCACTTGAGATCAGGAGTTTGAGACCAGCCTGACCAACATGGCAAAACCCCAACTCTACTAAAAATAAAAATAAAAAAAAAATTAGCCAGGCGTGGTGGTGTGTGCCTGTAATCCCAGCCACTCGGGGAGGCAGGAGAATTGCTTGAACCCAGGAGGTGGAGGTTGCAGTGAGCCAAGATTGCACCATTGCACCCCAGCCTTGGCAACAAGAGCAAAAATAACAGTAAATGGGACTGCTCTCTTGATTTCTTTTTGGATAATTCATTGTTAGTGTAAAGAAGTGCTACTGATTTTTGTATGTTGGTTTTGTATCCTGAAATTTTACTGAATTCATTTATTAGTTTAAATAGTTATTTAATGCAGTCTTTAGGGTTTTCTGCATATACAATTATGTCATCTGCAAATAGAAACCATTTTCCTTTTTACTTTCTGATTTGGATGCCTTTCTCTTGCCTGACTACTCTGGCTAGGACTGCTGTACTATTTAATAGGTGGTGACAGTGAGCCTTCTTGCCTTGTTCTTGATCTTAGAGGAAAAGCTTTTTTTAGCTTTTCACTGTTCGAGTATTATGCTAGGTATGGGCTTTGTCATATATGCATTTTATTATTCTGATGTACATTCCTTCTGTACTGAATTTATTGAGTTTTTATCATAAAAAAATATTGAATTTCGTCATGCTCTTTCTGCATCGATCCAAATGATCATATAATCTCTATTCTTCATTCTGTTAATGTGGGGTATCGCATTTATTATTTAGCATATATTGTACCATCCTGGCATCTTAGGGATAAATCCCACTTGATTATGGTGTATGATTCTTTTAATGTGCCATGGAATTCAGTTTGCTAGTATTTTGTTGAGGATTTTTGCATCTATGTTATTCAGGTATTGGCTTGTAATTTTCCTTTATTGTAGTGTCTTTGTCTGGTTTTGGTATCAGGGTAATGCTGGCTTTGTAAAATGAATTTGGGAGTATTCCCTCTTCAGTGTTTTGAATGGGTTTGAGGAGGATTGGCATCACTTCTCAAATGTTTGGTAGAATTCACCAGTGAAGTCATCTGGTTCTGGGCTTTTCTTGGTTGGGAGATTTTTAATTACTGATTCAGTTTCCTTACTAGTTATTGGTCTGTTCATATTTTCTATTCTTCATGATTCAATCTTGGTAAGTTTTGCATTTCGAGTAATTTGGTCATCTCATCTGGGTTATCCAATACATTGGCATACTGTTGCTCATAGTACTTTCTTACAGTTCTTTTTATAACTTTTTTTTTTCTCTTGAGATAGATTCTCACTCTGTCACCCGGACTGGAGCACAGTGGTGCAATCACTGCTCACTGCCGCCTTGACATCTTGGGCTGAAGCAATCCTACCTCATCCTCCCAAGTAGCTGGGACCTCAGGTGTGTGCCACCACATCCAGCTAATTTTTATTATTTTTATTTTTTTGTAGAAATGAGGCTCACTATGTTGCTGAGGCTGGTCATGTACTCCTGGGCTCCAGCAGTCCTCCTGCCTCAGCCTCCCAAAGTGTTGGGATTACAGGCATGAGCCACTGCACCCAGTCATTCTTTTTATTTCTGTTAAATTGAGTGTAATGTCTTATCTTTCATTTCTGATTTTAGTTGTTTAGTCTTCTCTCCTTTTTTCTTATTCTGTGTAGCCAAAGGTTTTTCAATTTTGTTGATCATTTCAATAAATCAACTCTTAGTTTCATTTTCTCTGTTGTTTTTCTATTTTCTGTTTTATCCCTGCCCTAATCCTTACTATTAATATTTACTTCCTTCTGCTGGCTTTGAGTTTAGTTTGTTCTTTTTTTAGTTCCTTAAGGTGTGCATCTAGGTTGTTAGAGTTTTTTTTCTTTTTTAATATAAGCTTTTACAGTTGTAAATTTTCCTCTTAGCACTGCTTTCACTGAATCCTACACATTTTGGTATGTTGTGTTTTTGTTTTCATTTGTCTCAAGATGTTTTCTAATTTCCTTTATTTTGCTTTCTTATTTGACTCATTGATTGATGAGAATTTGTTGTTTAATTTTCACACATTTGTGGACTTAATAAGTCATTTTGTTAATTGCTTTCTGACTGTTATATAATTCCTTTGTTCATTTCTTCCTTATATTTCTTTGTGATTTGATGATGTGTTTATTGTTACTGTGGTTTGCTTTGATTCTTTTTTTTTATGTTTTGTGTACTTACTATATTTAAAGAATTTGTGTTACCATAAGGCTTACATAAATCATCTTATAGTTGTAACAACCTATTTTAAGCTGATAACTTCGATTGCATTAAAAAATTCAATACTTTTACTCACACACTTTGTTATTAATGTCCCGATTTTCACCTTTTAATATTCTGTATTCATTAACAAATTATTTTGTGGTATGAAACCATCCAAGTTGTCCCATAAAATGGATGTTTATGGTTTTTTTGAATAAACATAGAAATTAACCCACCCAGTCTTAACACTGGAGAAACTTAACGTTTGTCTTATTTGAGTTCCTGTCTCTGGAAACCAACCATCAGGTATCCCAGATAGTATCAAGGAACTGAAACTTACCAGATCACTGCATCTAGACAATGTTATGCCAGACCCCTCACCTATCATGATTGCCTGACCAACCACCTGCTTCCTGTTGACGAACTCCTCTTCCTTACCAGTCCCTAATTCCTGTTTTCCCACAGGTAGTTACAGTTCTTCCTGCTATATAAACTAATTTTAGTTGGGCGAGGAGATGGATTTGATACTGATCTCCCATCTGCTTGGCTGCAGTGCCCAAATAAAGCCTTCTTCCCTAGCAATACTCATTGTCTCATTGATCTCATTGATTGACTTTCTGTGCGGTGAGCAATGGGACCTAGACTGGACTCCTGGTGTTTCAGTAACTGTTATAGTTATTTTTAAGACTTTCATCTTTTCATTTTTATGTTGAAGTTGAAAATGATTTATGCACCACTATTATATCAATAGAGTAATCTGTATTTTATATATAATTTTATCAGTGAGTTTCATATTTTCATGTGTTTTCATGCTACTAACTAGTGTCCTTTCATTTCAACTTGAAGAACTCCCTTTAGAATTTCTTTTAAGTCAAGTGTAGTGGTGATGAACTCCTTCAACTTTTGTTTATCTGGGACCGTATCTCTCTTTCATTTTTAAAGGACAGATTTGCATGGTATATAATAATATCCTTGACTGGCAGTTTTTCTCTTTCAGTACTTTGCATATATCATCCCATTCTCTCCTGGCCTATAAAGTTTCTGTTGAAAAATCCTTTTACAGTTTTATGAGTCTCCTTTGTATGTAGTGAGTTGCTTTTCTCTTTTTGATTTCAAAATTCTTTGTCTTTGACTTTTGGCAATTTGATTATAATGTGTCCTGGTGTAGATCTCTTTACATTCAACCTACTTGGGATTCTTTGAGCTTCATAAATCTGGATGTCCATTTTTCTCTTCAGATTAGTTCTTTAAATAAGCTTACTGCTTTTCTCTCTCTTCTCTTTCTCTAACTTTAGTAATATGTAAATTGGCCTGCTTGATAGTGTCTCATAAGTTTCTTATGTTTTCTTCAGTCTTTTAAAAACATTTTTGCTCTTGTGGAATGTATAATTTCAAATGTCCTGTCTTTGAGTTTACTGATTCTTTCTTGTACTTGATCAAGGCTGCTGTTGAGCCCCTTTAGTTAAGTTTTTAGTTCAGTTATTGTATTCTTCAGCCCTCAAATTTTTCTTTTTAAAAATATTTTGTTTGTTAAAATACTCATTTTGTTTATGCATAATTTATCCTAAGCTTATTGAATATTTTGATTATGGTTGTTTTTAATTCTTACCAGCTAATCCATTTACCTTCATTTCTTTAGGGTTGGTTTCTGGAGATTTATTTTGTTCCTTTCTTTGGGCCATTTTTCATTTTCCTTGACCCTTTGTGTTAATGTCTGCATATTTGAAAAACAGCCGCTTCTCCCAGTCTTTATGGATTGGCTTTGTACAGGGGCAGACCTTCAAGAATCGGCCTGAGTAGAGATTCTGGGGTCCTCATAAACTTTTTCTGTGGATATGTCTTCTCTGGACTTCTGTGTGTAAATTTCTAAATAGTGGGATTTTCTGGTTTCTGTTTTTAGGAGATCATAATCTCTTGTTCCTTCTTATTCTGTGTCTTGTACCATGGGCCTTCTGGAGCTAGTAGCACACTGGCTCAATCCTTTTTTGGTTATTACTTGCTTTTTTAGTTTCAGCTGCCCCTAGGCACTTAGTTTATGCTGCGTCCCACCAGTGCTTCAAGACAGATGAGACAGAAACAAGTTCCTTGGGCAGTCCCCCAAGAGTCTGAATGTTGGATATATGCTTTAGTTTTCTCTTTCCCTCCCCAGGGAGAAGCTGTGGACCATGAGTTTTTCTAATTGTGCTGAGCCAGGGGTAGGAGCTCTGGCCGTGAGTGTTTACTAGTCCAAACCACCACCTTTGTTCTCAGTGGTCCCCAGGCATTTAGAGAATACCAGTCCTGTGAGTACTTGCAGAATCCGGTCCCTTAGGCAGCCCCTTCCAAAAGCCAGAATGTTGGACAGATGCTTCAGCTTTTTCGTTCCCCAGGGAGAAGTTGGGACTGGGGGTTTCCACCTGCTAGTTCTGAGCTGGTGGGAGGGGCTATGGTCAGTTACTGCATACTAGTCCAAACTGGAGGCTTCGTTCTCAGCAGTTCCCAACCTGGGACCCTTTCCTGTCACAGCTAAGATTCAGGCAAGACAGCAACAAGTCCCTTAAGTAACCTTGCTTATGGCGCAAGAGGATTCCACAAATTTTCCTACTGGCTTCAGTGTGGTTGGTTTCATGCTTGCCTGGAGTACAGGAGCCTCTCATCTGGTCTCTGGATGTCTCACAAAGGAAATTTTGGTCTATGTATTGTTGTTGAATTTATGTGTCCATTGAGAGAAGGAGAGTCTTGCTGACATCTGACGTCACCCCCTAAAGTAATTTTCTTTTACAGGAGGACATTTGATTGGTCTTCCTTTAGGCTTTATATCTATATATCTATATCTATATCTATATCTATATATAGTATCATTCCTTATTTCTTTATCTGTACAGGGATAAGTTTATATTTTTCTAGTATTAAGAATCAGCATTGATACTTTGAGAGTGTTTGTGAATTCCTGTTGAAATATTTTCTCATTAGGAAAAAGTGAAAGGGAAAATTTATATTCTCCTAGTTTTATGGCTTAAGAGTAGTAAAGGGCATGTCAGGGAATGTTACAAATGTACTGAATTTTTTCTTTCCATGTTGGTTTTGGCATCCTGAAATTAATTGAGGCACAATACCGCTTTTCTGCTTGGCACAAGTACCATATTATGAGCTCACTGTGATCAGGTCCCCTGTACCAATTGTAGGTTGTGCTTATAAGCACCAGGACTTGCTATTCTGTGTGGCGTGTGGCACTTGTTATTCATAAAAAGGCTTTTAAGGTTGAACTTTTCTCCCACTTTCTGTTTCACTGTTCACTCAGACCACTAGTGCCATCACTGAATTTCAGCCTTTGTACTTACTTAGAGTTTAAGTTGTTTCCAGCTGGAGACAGTCTTATGGCAGAAAATGAAACATCTGTACCTAATGTCCTGTTTTTCTTGTGCCAGCCAGATTTTAACAATGATACCAACCTTCTCCTTCAGTTGGCTCAAATGCCTTCACAAGAAGCTGGCTTCTGCAATGCCTCTCCATTACTTGGGCTTCATTGGAGCACGTATTAGGGGTAACATAGTAAGTTTAGTTAATAATAATGGACATGTTGAATTGGAAGTAGGGCTATTCATTTTGTTTTGTAATGGGTTTGGAGGCCAAGGGAGCAATTTGGACTATAGATGTAGATTTTGTAAGCAAAACTTATTATTTGAAAAACTAATACATTGGATCATCCAGAGAAAGCATGTAAAATGAAAATAAATTAGACACAGAACTCTGGGATCACAGCATGTATGGGATGGGCAAAGAAAGCTAGTGAAGGTTATTGTGAAGGAGATCTCTGAATGATAGGATGAGAACCATGGAAAAATGGTTTTTGTTTGTTCGTTTGTTTTTAGACAGGGTCTCACTCTGTCACCCAGGCTGGAGTGCAGTGGAACAATCACAGCTCACTGTAGCCTCAACCTCCCGCTGGTCTCAAGTGATCCTCCTACCTCAGCCTCCCAAGTAGCTGGGACCACAGGCATGTACCACCATGCCCGACTGACTGCTTTTTGTCGCATGTTGCCCAGGCTGGTCTCAAACTCCTGAGTTTAAGCAATAGGCTGACCTTGGCCTCCCAAAGTGCTGGGATTACAGTTGTGAGCTACTGCACCTGGCCAGAGAATGGTTTTATGGAGCCATTGAATGCAGCATCTTTAAACTACTATCTCTAATGTTTTAGTGAGATCAACTAAATTAAGGACAGATTATGACTCATTTTCTTGAGTGTCTAGGAGACTGTTGATGACCTTAGTTATAGGACTTTTGGGATGAATGCAAGTCATACTGTAGTTGATTGAAAAATATATGACAAGTTAGAGCATGGACCCAATAACATTTTTGAAAATTTATCGTGAGGGTAAAGAGGTTGGTACAGAAGGACAGCTACAAGTGAAACAAGAGGGTGTGTCGTTTTATGTATGCAACCCTGTGCAATAAATAGATAAACATTTCAGGCTCATTTTTAAATTAGTATTTTTTTATGAGAAGAATTTTAATATTTAAGCATTTTTCAATTTTTAAGTATAGATCTTTTTATGATTATTTAATCTATTCTTAAGAATACGCCACTGCTTAGTATGACATATCAGGTTACCTCTCCTCATAGAGTTTTAAATGCTTGTATCAGCTGATGCACATTGACTGGTACAATTATACTCAAAATATTAACTTTGCCCATTTTTCTCATTTGATTTTAACTATTTGGATGTTTGTACTACTGAATAGGGGTATTAAAAAAAACAGCTCTCTTTAAAACAGCTTTTTCAGCCATTTTACATTACTTATTAACTAGTCTAAGGAATGTTATTCTGTGAGTTTTAATTACAAAATACATTTGTTTTAATATTGTCTTTTGAATTAACATTCTGTCTTTTAGAAATACTTCGTGTAGGTCACAGTTTGTGAAGGAAATCCTAATATGGTTTGTGGTTGAATGTTAGTGACTTTAATTCATTGTATAATGGTTATTTTCCATTTAATATATCTTGAAGCAGTTGTTCAGAGAATAGGTGTTCATAATCATGGGACTTG
The DNA here is from genome assembly GCF_000001405.40 of Homo sapiens. Classification (NCBI taxonomy): domain Eukaryota; kingdom Metazoa; phylum Chordata; class Mammalia; order Primates; family Hominidae; genus Homo; species Homo sapiens. Next base: position 66,133,641 of record NC_000017.11, on the reverse strand, counting down.
CATTGAAGTGGTTTGAATAAAATCATATAAGAGAGACTCCAGGCTAAAGGAGGCCATTTAAGAATGTATTTTATATGATATTTATATTAGAGACGAGTCTTTTTGATGAAGTCCATTTAAACTCATTTCCTACTTACTCTGCATTTCACATTTTACCTAAATTAACATGGTGTGTTTTTAAATAGAAGATTTTGATATATCTGTGGTTTCTGACATGCTTTCAAATTAATTGAAACTTTAAACTACATGAAGGTTTTGTTATTTTATATATTTTAAGGCTTCATGTTGATGTGGAACATGAATCCAACCAAGTTTGCTGACCTTAAAACAATGTTCTTCCCGTAGAATATATGCTTCATTTTCTCTCTTTTTACACTTGGGAAAAATGGGAAAGGAGGAGAAAAGATTTAAATACAGGTGATTTATTACAGTCTGACTTAAAAATAGCATTTGCATAAGCAAGTCTGTGGCATTTATGTAACTTCTTATAATTTAAATGAAATGAAATATAAATAAAAAGGTTATTACTTGTATTTCTTTTCTTTTTTTTTTTTGATGTGGAACATCATTTTTTGTGTGTTTTTTGTTGTTGTTGTTGTTGTTTGAGATGAGTCTCGCACTGTCTCCCAGGCTGGAGTGCAGTGGCACAATCTCAGCTCACTGCAACCTCTGCCTCCCAGGTTCAAGTGATTCTCCTTGCCCCAGCCTCCCAAGTAGCTGGGATTACAGGCACTCGCCACCACGCCCGGCTATGGAACATCATTGTTAATACAAACTATCATCTCAGTTCCAAGGGAAAGAAATGGTAATCCTAGATTCTAATACTCTGTGTCCTCTGAATTCTCCAAATTGTGATTGCGATTATTTTGGTCTCTTAGCAGGGAACAGTACACTGGGAAGCTCCGAGTGAGATCACACTCCTTGAGTCCAACTCACAGAGAAGATGGACAAAATATTACCCCAAAGATTTGTGTAAGATTAGATTTTACTTTTGTTTGGTTTTTGCTTGTTGTTTTAAAATAGCTGAACAAAGTTTTAATTTCATTTGTTGAAGTACCAATGATTGCTTCAAAACAGAATAAAGTTGGATGATTCTGGTGAACATCCTGATGTTAAAGAAGGTGGGGTGTTTGGTATATAGTGTAGTATCCCTTCTACTTCCTCAATGATTCTGAGGTGTTATATTCATCAATCTGTTGTTTCTCCTGTGTGTCAAAGAATAACATTTTCCCTTTGTTCAGAATTTATGTGGAAATGATTATATACCCAGTGATCATAAAATTAAGAAGAAGCTGGAATTAACTTGTAGTGAAGTAGGGAACACTGCTTTTCTAATGAAGGTAAACTGTATATTTTGAAATAAGAATGTCTGTCTTGCATCTATTTGTTCAACATAGATTTGCTTTGGACAAGGTGCTAATGAGCACTCCAGTTAGCTTTTTTTTTTTTTTTTTTTTTTTTTTTTTTTTTTTTGAGATGGAGTCTCACTGTTGCCCAGGCTGGAGAGCAGTGGTGTGCAATCTTGGCTCACTGCAACCTCCGCCTCCCGGGTTCAAGCCATTCTCCTGCCTCAGCCTCCCAAGTAGCTGAGACTACAGGCATGCACCACCATGCCTGGCTAATTTTTGTATCTTTAGTAGAGACAGGGTTTCACCATGTTGACCAGGCTGGTATTGAACTCCTGACCTCAAGTGATCCACCCGCCACAGCCTCCCAAAGTGTTGGGATTACAGGCATGAGCCACTGCACCCAGCCCCAGTTAGCTTGGAAAAGAGAAACACTGTGCCTGCTTATTCCAGTCTTTATTGCCTAACTCTGGCTGTCTTGAGTTACATGACTTTTAGTTACAAGAGAAAGCATGTGTAACACATGACTGTTTTTGTTTTTGTTTTTTTGTGATGGAGTCTTGCTCTGTCGCCCAGGCTGGAGTGCAGTGGCACCTGCATGATCTCGGCTCACTGCAAGCTCCGCCTCCCGGGTTCACGCCGTTCTCCTGCCTCAGCCTCCCGAGTAGCTGGGACTACAGGCGCCTGCCGCCACACCTGGCTAATTTTTTGTATTTTTAGTAGAGACGGGGTTTCACTGTGTTAGTCAGGATGGTCTTGATCTCCTGACCTCGTGATCCGCCCGCCTCAGCCTCCCAAAGTGCTGGGATGACAGGCGTGAGCCACTGCCCCCGGCCAACACATGACTGTTTTAGCACATAGCACTATATACATAACTCATTGCATTTTATCGAATGATAATTTGGAATTAAAAAAATATAAAGGGCAGCATATTTTAAATAGTGATAAACTACAATCATTATATTTACTCAGAATAAGCAAGGCAGGTACATTGTCTTATTTAAGAAATTCTTGTTCATGAGAAAAACATACAAAAAGCAGAGGACCACTAGTAGAAGTGATAATGAATTTTAATATAGTATTATAAATAATAATGCAGTATTGTATTGAAAAGAAATGTAGAAACTCAGTAAAATATGAAGAACATTTTAGTGCATTTAAAAAAATTACTTCATAGTAATTTAAATGACCATAGATATAAATAGGTACATTTGTTAGCAATTAAGCCTTCTAAAAGCATGAGAATGCTGTATCAACAAATCTAATTTTAAAATACACTTTCTGGGCTGTCAGGTAGCCATTCTTTTCCACAGACTTACCTTTCTTAGTTTTTAGGGTTTTCTGGTCATTGTCAATTTCTGGGTACAGATCTTAGGTTGTCTCTAGTTCATTATAGTTTTCATCTGGGGCTGATAAATGTGTAATACAAAAATTATACAGGAGGGAAAAAAGCATGGAATTGTTATGTTTTAAAAAGTGAAGAATCACCATAATTGTGTGTGTTTTTTTTTTTTTTTTTTGAGACGGAGTCTCGCTCTGTCGCCCAGGCTGGAGTGCAGTGGCGTGATCTTGGCTCACTGCAAGCTCCACCTCCCGGGTTCACACCATTCTCCTGCCTCAGCGTCCCGAGTAGCTGGGATTACAGGTGCCCACCACCACGCCCGGCTAATTTTTTTGTATTTTTAGTAGAGACAGGGTTTCAGCCTGTTAGCCAGGATGGTCTTGATCTCCTGACCTCGTGATCTGCCCGCCTCGGCCTCCCAAAGTGCTGGGATTACAGGTGTGAGCCACTGTGCCCAACCATAATTGTGTTTTTATGATGTGAGTCCAAAGATTATTTATCTTTATGTTCAGTGTGTGAGTGAGAATTAATTTAAGAACAAAGAGCTTCTTGGACATCATCACAAAACTTCCCTGTTAACTAATTTTTATGAGAATAATTCATCTTTTCACGTCGCCCCTGCCCCCGACAATACACTTTAAAGCTACTGTGGTATACCACAATTAAAACTTTTTGTAAAAGAACTTAAAGAGAAGAGCCTGGATTAATTTTTAATTTTTTTTTTTTTGAAATTTAGTTGCTGTGTGAATATATTGTTAAGGCAGCTCATAGCCCTCAGCAGTCATTACTTAGAACTGAGAACCCTAGTTCAGTTGTAACCTAATCCTTTCCTCTGAGGGCAATACAGCATTACCAGACAAGCACACAAAACTCTCATTGCGCTGAATGACATGTATTTTGTTCTTTTTTTCTCCCTCCCGTCCCACTTCTTTCTCTTCTTTTTCTCCCTCCCTTCCCCCTCTTTCCCTTCTTTTCATCCCTTCCTTTCTTCCTTTTTTCCTTTTTTACTTCCTTCCTCTTTATTTCCCTTTATCTCTTCTATCTTTTCCTCTTTTATCTCTTCCATCTTTTCCTTTTATTTCTTCCATCTTTCCTTCCTCTCCTCTTCCTTTTTCCCTTTTGTATTTCAGGAAGTTTATTCGAAAAAATCTCCTGTTTCTTTGGATGATAGTGACATTGAAGCTCGCCTTAATAGTTGGAATCTTGGGGTAAAAAAAAGTATTTGCTTTATGTATATATAGATGTGTCAAAATCATATTGTATGTGTATAATATCTGAACTAATTTGATTTTATTCAGTGAACGTTGGATGTTAGACATATGTTACTGTGTGGCCTTGAGAAGGGCTTAAGTATAGGAAATAAATAACATTCTGAACAAACATAAAATAGTCCCTGTCCCCAACAAGCTAACTTTGTTATGTGTGAAATAAGAGATATGCACATAAAATAGTTAAATAATAATAAATAATAATTAAAGATAGTATATGGTAGAATACCAAGATGAGTTATGTGAGTCGCCCGAGGTGGAGGGGAGGGAAGGGAGAACTTGAAGCAACACAGCCATTTGGGTTAAAAACACTCAAGGGGACCCCATGGATGAGCAGCTCTTACGGAAAACAGTTTATAGAGGCTGAGGGTCATGAAAGTATTTGGAGAGGTAGAGAGGTGGGAATTGGAGGCAGAAATAGGCACGAAGAAAGATGTAGTGGGGTAAGTGAGCTGTCGTGATTGGGTGTTTGGAATTTATGTATGGAATCTGTGGGCACTGTGTCAGGCTGCGTTGCATTGGAGCTTTGAATGCTAAATTGAGAAGTTTAGCTTTTAAATTTTAGGCAACATTGAGCCCTGCATTTTTTTTTTCTCATTTCACTTTACATAAATGCTAACTGTTTAAATGCTTTGAGGAAACAACAAAAAGTGCTTAGAATGATTTTAGAATATGTTTTATTATAAAAATAATTTGTAATTTGAAAAATATAGAAAATCAGAGGAATAAAAATCAACAGAGACCTGTGTTAACATTTTGTTATATAACATATCTTTTCCTCCCTTTTTTCTGTGTGTTTTTATAAGATTCAACAAAATTTATTATAAATGCTATCTTATATGCAATTTAACATTTTATATGAATTTATAAGAATTCTATATAAATGACTGTGAATGGTAGCATTTATTTTTCTTTCGGATGGATATTCCATAAACTTTTTAAGTGTTCTGCTATTTTTGGACATCTGAATTGCTCCCAGTTTGTTTAACACAAGTAATTTTGCAGTAAAATTCCTTATAAGAATCTTTTTATACATATTTGATTGCTTTCTTAGCTTACATTACATCTTTGGTACATTGTCTTCCAGAAGGTTCATACCAATTTCAACCAGCAGTATCAGTTGTCCATTTTCTTCAACCAGCAGTATATCAGTTGTCCATTTTCCACCTATTCACTGACATTAGGGATTGTTATTTCAAAAAACTTAAAAACTTCCTACTAATAATGGTCTTTAATGAAAGCAGTGCTTTAGGGAAATTGACTTGGTGGGATTATGAAAGTTCTATTGGATATGAGTAGAAATGCAGACAAGGTCTTGATTATCTTTTAGGTCTTTTTTTTTCTTATACTTTTTCTTTCTGTCTTTTTTTTTTTTTTTTTTTTGAGACAGAATCTTGCTGTGTCGCACAGGCTGGAGTGCAGTGGTGCTATTGTGGCTCACTGCAACCTCTGCCTCCTGGGTTCAAGCAATCCTCCTGCCTCAGCCTCCCAAGTAGCTGGGATTACAGGTGCGTGCCACCATGCCTGGCTAATTTTTGTATTTTTAGTAGAGACGGGGGTTTCACCATGTTGGTCAGGCTGGTCTCGAACTCCCGACCCTCAGGTGATCTGCCCACCTTGGCCTCCCAGAGTGCTGGGATTACAAGTGTGGGCCACCGCGCCTGGCCGTTTTAGGTCTTTATAGTGGACTCCATGTTAGTATGATTGCTGGGAGGAGGGAAAGGTAAAAAGGAAAAACTTTTGAGAGAGTAAAATGTGCTAAGTGACTGATTGAAAGGCTGAACTGAAGGGCACCTAAAGGCTTGGTTCTGAGAAACGGAAATGTTGGCCTTTTGTCAGTTAATTGACTGTCAGATGAGGGCGGATCCATTTTAAAGGTTTTAATTTAAATAGTGGAGTTTGAAAACTGGTAAGGTTAAATGGGATAGTTCAAGGCCTAGAGCTTCCTGAGAGTCAAGAGCTGGAGGTATATGTTGGAGTCACACTGTTTGAGGAGGCAGCTGCGCCCGGAGACTAGAACAGCTCTAATCTTTGGAGAGCTCAGAGAGTCAGGAGGTCTGGGTGGAGAGCAGAGTAAGGGAGGATGTCTGGTTCATGGAATGGGCACAGTTAGAAGGTTGGGAAATGGATAGGAAATTAAAGTAATGTGGGCCTCCTATTAATTTTGGGAGTTTTCTAGAGAAGGAGAGAAGTAGAATTGATGAGAGGAGGATAATAAATCAAAAGAAAAACATTTTCATGTTTTAAGGTGCAGGGGAAGTTGCCATTGGAGGCAAGTCCTGTTACCAGTGTGGGAGAAGAGCACAGGAAATCCTTCAGAAAGACAAATTCCTTTTGCCAGAGAGCAACATCAAAGTGGAAAAGAAAATTCTGGAGCTATCCTTTTAAACTCACCTTTGCCCTTAGCCACTTGAAACATGATATACATTACTTAGCACATAGAGTACTTTTCACGGTTGTTTAACTGTTCTGAGAATTAAATCTTTCCTTGGTATAATAAAATTAAAATAAAACATTTAAGATATTGTGAGGTAATACTTTAAAAGTAGGTCTGTCTAGGGTTTTGTTTCACATTTTTATTGTTCAAAGAATACACTTACAGTGTAAAATATAAGTCTTGCATTTTTATATATTTGTACCATATAGGCATTAATCAGGCTGAGCAATATCTCTTTAAATAGAATAATTTAAGTATTCAATTTATTAGAAAGCTTAGATTTTGCTTTGATTTTAGTTTTGTCTGAGAATGTGTGACTGGCTTGTTTTCTTTCTTCCTCTGAGTGATCCATTAGTAGCCAGAGTTAATTTTTGTGCTCTGGACTACGGATACATTTTTTATATTACTGATGTTACTGTCAACACCTTCATTCTGATGCCTTAGATGTTGTAGAATTTGAATTTTCTAGCTTTTGTTAAAAAATCAAATTTTTCCCAAATATATTCTTTATTTTCCCAGAAATCAAATTCCCAAATGTATTCTTTATTTTCCCAGGAGTATGTTAGTATTTTTTCTAGGAATACATAATTCAAATAGAGATTTATTTATTAAAAACTAGCAATGATATTTTTCTCTTGTATTTTTTCTTAATATTTAAACTTTTCAACATTTAGTTTTTATGACGCTTTCTTGCTTTCTCAATATATTTTTTACCTATTTCGTGTCTGACTCTCTAAGTCACAAGCTGAATGTTTGTGCTGTGGGTATTCGCTATTTGTAAGTTCATTTGAGTGCTTGCATGGATGGAGGCTTTGGAACATTCTCCCTTTAGTGACTCGTGGATCATTGTGAAACACTCTATGTGTACCCATTTGAAAAAAAACTTTAAAAATTATGTCTTATTTGGTTTTTCAAGTTTTAGATTCTATTTATTTTGCGATTAATGTAATATCTTAAGATCTATGTCAGGAATATTGGAAGTTTTTGATGTTGACTAGGAATTATTTGTAGCTTCCTTTGTAAAGTGCTACAGTTTTAAGGTAGTAGGAAAAAGTCATAAGTATGTTCATTCTGGTTTCTAGAATGTGCTTGTGAATTTTCTTTGATAAGTGAGGCATATAATATTAACATTCAATGAAAATCACAATCATGAAACAAGTTAAGCATCCTGTCTCTCTTTGAATTTAAATCCCTTTATCTACCTTATAGGTATAGAAATGGATGGGAAAAATTAGCTTGCTGACACAATTGAAATCTTCCATTGAATGAAGCTTTTAAATTTAGCACTAAAAATCATGGTCATTATTGACTGATGGTTTAAAAGAAAAATGGCCATACATAGAAAGACCAACTTTTATCCTAAGAAAATTATGTTATCCTTACTCTTGTGTGGTAATTGAATTGATAATATTTTCTTTGCAATTCTAATTACACAGAGATTTGTAGTCTCTTTTCTTATTTTTTCCTTTTTCTCCTTTCTCTTCTTTTTCTCTTCTTTTTTTTCTTTTCTTTTCCTCTTCTTCATGGGTCTTTATTGTAATTTTACTTAAGGTTACAGAGAAGGGAAATGTGTTCATTAATGGGGTACTTTGTGGTATGATTAGTTGGGACAATTCTCATTAAGTAAGCATCTAATTTCAGCTGTCTTATCTAGTTTTATTTTAGGCAATTTCATGCTTTTTTTTTCATGTAGGTTAGAAACCTGCCCATTTTCTTATTTTTTCTTTTTTTTAGAGACAGGGTCTTGCTCTGTCACCAAGGCTAAAGTGCAGTGGCATGATCATAGTGCTCACTGCAGCCTTGAACTCATGGGTTCAAGTGATCGTCTTGCCTCAGCCTCTTGAGTAGCTGGTGGTGCACACCACCATGCCTGACTCCTGTCCATTTCATACTACGCAATGGTCTGGGAGAGAAACTGAGCTGAAAATTCTGATATTTTAGGCTTCTCATTTGGCTGTAGTTTTCCACAAATGAGTGAAAGTGTCAGATTTTGAGACTAGGACAAAGTTACCCAAATGAAGAAGAGTTATGAGAGTGGTTTACATAAAAAATTAATACTTTGATAAGACAAATTCTCTTTGTCTTTCTCTAGAGTTTAAAAATATCTGGAAGTATCTACTCAAAATGGTAGCTGATAATTCCACATGGTAAAATATCAGCACTTATTTTCTTAACATTTTAAGTGTTTTTTTAAATAGTAAATATTTATTATTCATAAAAAACAAACAAAGCCGTAACAGTATTTATAGCATTTTCCCCAAAGCTTGCTTTTGGGGAGTGTAACTATATTCAGAGTTTTATTTGAGAAGTTGACATTTATTTCTTTTAAAAGTGAATGTAAACTTCTGGCCATGAGTAAATCTATTACAGCCAGGTTCTCCCACAACCAAGAATTCTGGACAAAATACAAAAAGCAAACCAACTGGGGACTCTGAAAAGTCAATAATAACAGGCCGATTGAGAGGGAAGTTGGAATATGAAGAATCACTGATATAGTGGCAGGAAGTTTCCTGGTTTTCTGTTTGTGTTTTTTTTCTTCCTTAACTCCCAGCTTTGACTCCAGGGTGGGCCAAATTGAGGGATTGTGTAGCAGGCATGGATGGCAGAAACTTACAGAGCAGCCCATCTTTTTGGCCAGAGAAGTGGGAGAATGGAAGAATGTGAGGGGATTTTTTTTTTTCTTTCTTGGCCCTGCCTCTAGACCAGCCCCAGTGGAAAAACTATGCTATTGTGGTATAAGGGCAGCAGTTAGCGCCCATCTGTTTGGCTGGATCAACAGATAAAAGAAACCTCTCTTCATGCAAAGAATATGGGAGGAACATTTTATATACTTTTTTTTTCCCATGTATTTTCGCTTGCTATTATACTTTCCTCTGAGAGTATGCCTAGTCACCTGGAACTGTACAATAGTGCAATGAGGTTCCTTCAGAGTTTGGCCAGTGGGACTGGAAAAGAAGCTCTCAGAGCCAGAGAGTATGCAGGGAAATCCAGGAATGGAAAGAGTGGGAGAAGGGGATTGGTAGTCTGTGTATGAACCATACAAGTTCCAGTCTTTCCCCAAGGTGGACATGTGTGGAACATAGCCCCCAAATCATAGCCTCATAGAAGTCTTAGAGAACTGAACTGTCATGTAAACTATTGCCCTAGTCCCAGACCACCCCTTGAGTGGTACATGTGAGAGGCAGACTCAAATGACATAGTAAAGACTTCAAACTTGAAACTGACACCAGAGCTACTGTCCGTAGGAGAGATGGAATTCGCAGACTGATCTGAATGCAGTTGACTGTCCACTGAGACAAATGAACAAGCATCGCCATTTTTCAGAACCTTACAATATAATTATAATGATTAAGATAATAATTTTTCAGATCATAGAGAATTAAACTAGAGATTGGTAACAAATTATTTGGGAAATCCACAAATATTTAGAAATTAAACAACACACTTCTAAATAATCCAGGGGTAAAAGAAAAAATCTCAAGGGAAATGAGAAAATATTTTAAAATGACAACACAACATATCAAAATGTGTGGGATGTAGCCCAAGTAGGTTTCATTGGGAAATTTACAGCATGAAATACTTATTTTAGAAAAGAAGAGGGGGTTTCTATTTCTAGAATGGTAGCATGAGGAGCTCCACAGATGTGCTCCCTAGCAAAACAAGCATAATTGCTAATTGGTAATTAAATCTGGAAATTGTCCTAAAGGCATAGAGCAAATGAAGACATTTATTCAAGAAAATCAACTACAGCTTGGTAAGAACAGCAAGAGTTTTTGGCACTTCAACCATGACTCGCTTTCACTTTTCCCCTGTTCCTTCTCCAGCTCAGCTTCACAGAAATTCCATTCCCAGTGGGTGTGGCAAAGAAGATGAAGTTTCTCTCCCCTGAGCTCCCAATCAAGGGATACAGTATTGTATTGGGAGGGGCATGCTGCCAGCATTTCTTATCCCTTTGAAGTCTAAGTGGAGGTGGCTAAATTCCTGGTGAGTGCAGCTTAGTGGTTGGGGGAAAGGGCTCTTTTCCTCCACTCAGCCAAGACTGATAGGGCAGAAGCTCTACCCCAGACACAGTAGGTCAAGAATACTGTGGCCTTCATTGTCCTTACCTCGACTTGTTCATAGGATAGAGATTTCACTCCAAGAGATGCAAGCCGGGAACAAGAAAGCTACTCCCTCTGCACAGTGCCCAGTGTAGTAGCTCATAGATTTTTGTACAGGGGGAGAGGCAGTCTGAAGACCAGTGAGATCAGAAGCTCTCCTCAAAGAAATGGACTAATGGAAACAGTGTTGGGAAGTTCAAACCTAAGGATGCTGTAGAAAACAATGGAGATTTTTAAAGAGGAGACTGGTAGTTCCTACTAATTAACAGCAGTAAGCTAAACCACAGGCTAGTACATTCACCAGAGAGAACCAGGGACAGAGACAGCTAAGAAGAGTCCTCCTGGGGTCAGAACAATCCTCAGAGACTACCTCAGCATCTACCCCTGCCTGAATTTAATTGGATCAGCCTATGGAGCAATTTATGACCCAGGGTGTTGTTGAAAATAATAGAACAAACAGCCAGCAATTAGTAGACATAATAGCTGGGTGTCATATCAAATTAGATATAGAGTTCAACAAAAAGATAAGGGGAAAAAACAGAGGAGCCCTGCTAAATCCACTGTCATCACAGGTGACTGTATGCATGCCCAAGGCTGCATACACTGAGGGGTGATTCCAAAGTCTTCACCCTGTGGGAGAAATATACTTTATGAAATAGTCTAGCCAAGCCACTAATCAAATAAACAAATGAAAACAACTAAAATTACTCATGGAGAGGGGAATCAGTGTCCAAAGTTGCTACATTGTATTACCTAAAATGTCCAATTTTCAAGAAAAAAAATTATAAGACATGCAAAGAAACAGGAAAGTATGGCCCTTATACAGAGAAAAATTATGCAACAGAAATGGCCTGTGAGACCAGATTTAACAAACAAAGACTTCAAAATAGCCATTATAAATGTGTTCAAAGAACTAAAGGAAACGATGTTTAAAGAAGTAAAGAAAGCTGTGATGGGCCAGGCGCAGTGGCTCATGCCTATAATCCCAGCACTTTGGGAGGCTGAGGTGGGCGGATCACGAGGTCAAGAGATCAAGACCATCCTGGCTAACATAGTGAAACCCCATCTCTACTAAAAATACAAAAAATTATTTGGGCATGGTGGTGCACACCTGTAGTCCCAGCTACTTGGGAAGCTGCGGCAGGAGGATCACTTGAACCTGGGAAGTGGAGGTTGCAGAGAGCCGAGATCGCACCATTGCACTCCAGCCTGGGCGACAGAGCGAGACTCTGTCTGAAAAAAACAAAAACAAGAGCAAAAAACAGAAAGCTGTGATGACCATATCACATCAAATACAGAATATCATAAAGAGATTTAAATTATGAAAAAGAACCAGAGCTGGGCACAGTGGCATGCACCTATAGTTCCAGCTCCTCAGGAGGCATAGCCACTGTACTCCAGCCTGGGCAACATAGTGAGACCCCCATCTCTAAAAACAAAAAGCAAAAAAAAAAAACAGATGGAAATTATAGTGTTAAACCGTATAACCGAAGTGAAAAATTCACCATAGGGGCTCAGCAATAGATTTGAACTGGCAGAAGATTCAGTGAACTTGAAGATAGATTGATAGAGATTATGCAGGCCAAAGAAGAGAGTGAAAAAAGAATGCAGAAAAATGAACATTGCCTCACGGAAATGTGGAATACCATAAGTGCACCAACATATGTGTAATGCGGGTACCAGAACAAGAGGAGACAAAGGAGCAGAAAATACGTTTGAAGAATGATTGGCTGCAAAATTTCTAGTTTGATGAGAAACATCAATTTGCGCATCCAAAAAGCTCAATGCACTTCAAGTTTAAATACAAAGAGTCACACTTAGCCACAGTACTAAAATTGCTGAGAAACAAAGAGAAATCTTTTTTTTTTTTTTGAGACGAAGTGTCGCTCATGTTGCCCAGGCTAGAGTGCAATGGCACGATCTCAGCTTACCGCAACTTCTGCCTCCCAGGTTCAAGCGATTCTCCTGCCTCAGCCTCCCAAGTAGCTGGGATTACAGGCATGTGCCACCACGCCTAACTTTTTGTATTTTTAGTAGAGACGGGGTTTCTCCATGTTGGTCAGACTGGTCTCGAACTCCCAACCTCAGGCGATCCGCCCGCCTCGGCCTCCCAAAGTGCTGGGATTACAGGCATGAGCCACTGCACCCGGCCAACAAAGAGAAAATCTTGAAAGCACCAAGAGAGAAAAGAAAGTTCTAAATTATGAATCTAAACCCCCATCTAAAGAAACTGGCGAAAGAACAAGTTAAACCCAAAGTAAGCAGATGAAGGAAATAATAAAGATTAAAGTAGAAATCAATGAAATTGAACACAAGCAATAATGAAAATCAGTGAAACCAAAAGCTGGATTTTTAAGTGATGAATGGAATCAATGAACTTTTAGCCAGACTGACAAAGAATGAAAAGAATAGATTTGCTAATATCAAGAATGAAAGAGAAGATATCATTACAGACACTATAGATACTCAAAGTATAATAAGAGATTACTGCAAGCAACTCTATGGGCATACATTTGACAATGTAGATGAAAGGGAAAAAGTCCTTGAGCAACACAAACTACCAAAAATTCACTTAAGATGAAATAGATAACCTGCATAGTCCTATAGCTATTAAATAAATATAATTTATATTTTAAAACCTCCCAACAGGCTGGGCGCAGTGGCTCACACCTATAATCCTAGCACTTTGGGAGGCCAAGGTGGGCTGATGACCTGAGGCCAGGAGTTCGAGACCAGCCTGGCCAACATGGTAAAACCTCGTCTCTACTAAAAATACAAAAATTAGCTGGGTGTGGTGGCATGTGCCTGTAGTCCTAGCTACATGGGAGGCCGAAGCAGGAGAATTGCTTGAACCCAGGAGGTGGAGGTTGCAGTGAGCTGAGATCATGCCACTGCACTCCAGCCTGGGCGATGGAGTGAGACTCCATCTCAAAAACAAAAACAAAAACCTCCCAACAAAGAAAATTTCAGGCCTGCATGGTTTCACTGACAAATTTAATTAAACAATTAAGGGAGAAATAATACCAATTCTATACCATCTCCACCGGAAGAGGGAACACTTTCCAATTTGTGTTGTGAGGCCAGTTTCATCTTAGGGAGATATTCACATATCTGGCAAATACCTTTATCCAGAATATATAAAGATTCTGAAACCTCAACAATAAGAAAACAACCTAATTAAAAGATGGGACAAAAGATGCTATGATGAGATACCACTACACACCTATTATAATGGTGAAAACAAACAAAGACCTGACAATACAAAATGCTGGTGAGGATGAGGAGCAACTGGAACCCTCACCTCTTGCTGCAAAATATTACTTGGAAAACAGTTGGCACTTAAAAAAAATTAAAACACATTTATCACATGACCCACCAATCTCACTCCTAAGTATTTACTCAAGTGTGATGAAAGTCTGTGTTCACACAAAAACTTTATATGCAAGTATTTTTAACAGTTCTCTCTCTCCCTCTTTTCTGGTAATTGTTCAAAACTGCAAATAGTCCTAAATGCCCCTCAACTGGAGACTGGATAAACAAATTATATGTACATCTATACAATAGAATACTTTTTAGTAATGAAAAGGACTCAATTATCAAATCACACAATAAAGTGGATGAATTTCAAATATATTATATTGAATGGAAGAAGCCAGACTAAAAAGGCTGTTTTTTAAATTGCATTTATATGGTATTGTGGAAATGGTAAAACTATAAGAATGGAGAACAGATTAGTAGTTTCCAGGTGTTGGGCTAGAATTTGGCTACAAGGGTATAAATAGCACTAGAGATTTTTATTTTATTATTTTTTAAGTTCTGGGGTACATGTGCAGGATGTGCAAGTTTGTTATATACGTGTGCCATGATGGTTTGCTGCACCTATTAACCCATCACTTAAGCCCAGCGTGCATTAGCTCTTTTTTCTAATGCTCTCCCCACAACCCTCTAGCCTCCCCTGACAGGCCCCAGTGTGTGTTGTTCCCTTCCCTGTGTCCATGTGTTCTCACTGTTCAGCTCCCACTTATAAATGAGAACGTGTGGTGGTTGGTTTTCTGTTCCTGCATTAGTTTGCTGAGGATCATGGCTTCCAGCTTCATCCATGTCCCTGCAAAGACATAATCTTTTTTCTTTTTATGGCTGCATAGTATTCCTTGGTGTATATGTACCACATTTTCTTTATCCAGTCTATCATTGATGGGCATTTGGGTTGATTCCATGTCTTTGCTATTGTGAATAAGCACTAGGGATTTTTTTTTGTTTGATGGAACTATTTTGTTATTTTAAAATTTTTAATTATGGATACATATTAGTTCATATTTATGGGGATGTGATATTTTGATACAAGCATACCATGTGTTATAATCAAATCAGAGTAATTGAGATATCATTTACCTCAAACATTTACCATTTCTTTGTGTTAGGAATATTTCAATCCCATTTTTCAGTTATTTTAAAATATACAGTAAGTTATTGTTAACTATAGTTACCCTACCATGCTACTGAACACTAGATTTTATTCCTTCTATCTAGCTATATTTTCATACCTATTTACCAGTCCCTATTTAACCCTCACTCCCCACTACCCCTCCCAGCCTCTGGTAACCATCATTCTATTTTATACCTCCATGAGTTCATTTTCTTTTTTATAGCTAGCACATTAGCACATATGAGTGAGAACATGTGATATTTGTCTTTCTGTGCTTGCCTTATTTCATTTAACATAATGTCTTCCAGTTCTATTCATGTTGTTGCAAATGACAGTATTTCATTCTTATAGCTAAATAATATTCAATTGTGTATATATACCATGTTTTCTTTATCCATTTATCCTTTGATGGGCAATAAGATTGATTCCATATCTTGGCTACTGTGAATAGTGCTGCAATAATCATGGGAGTTTAGTATAAATGCAGTAATCTGTCCCATGTTTACTACAGCACTATTAGATATCTCTTCCATATACTGATTTCCTTTCTTTTGGATGTAGACCCAGCATTGGGATTGATGAATCTTATGGTAGTTCTATTTTTAATTTTTTAAGAAACCACCATACTGTTCTCCATAGTGGCTGTGCTAATTTACATTCCCACCACCAGTGTCTAGGGGCTCCCCTTTCTCCACATCCTCGTCAGCATCCTTTATTGCCTGTCATTTTGATATAAGCCATTTTAACTGATGTGAGATGGTATCTCATTATGGTTTTGATTTGCATTTCTTTGATGATTAATGATTTGAGTATTTTTTTCATATACCTGCTGGCCATTTGTATGTCTTCTTCTGAGAAGTGTCTATTGAGATCTTCTACCCATTTAAAAATGAGGGATTTTCCCCCTATTAAGTTGTGTGAACTCTTTATGTATTTTGGTCATTAATCTCATGTCAGATACTTAGTTTGCAAATATCTCCCATTTTGTGGGTTGTCTCTTCACTTTGTTGATTGTTTCCTTTGCTGTGCAGAAGCTTTTTAGCTTGATGTCGCCCCATCTGTCCATTTTTGCTTTGGCTGCTTGTGCTTTTGAGGTCTTACTCAAATAATCTTTGCAGAGACCAATATCCTGGAGTGTTTCACCAACAGAACTGTTTTCTTGGTATTTTGCTGGTTATACCACTGTATTCTTTTGTCAAAGCTCACAGAGGCATAGAGGGAATTTAAATTTAAAAAATTCAAAAAGTTAATATATTCTGCTGTTTTCCATGAGGAGTCAGCCATGAGCAACATTTTATTTTTTTTTTGGTCTTGTGCTTTATTTATTGTTTTAAGGAAAAAGAAAGAAATTATTTGTGCTCCTGACCTGCAAGGATATATTCCATTTATAGCTATAGCTAACGATGGGTAAAAGAGCTGAAGCCTATCAGAGTGACTAATAATTTCTGTTTTTCTATGTAGTATGTTTCCTTTTAAAAATCATGATTCACCTAGAGTTACCTTTTTGAAAGAACTGAAAAAAATTTTGAGCCTGGGTACGGTAGCTCACACCTGTAATCCAAGCACTTTGGGAGATTGAGGCGAGTGGATCATGAGGTCAAGAGATCCAGACCATCCTGGCCAACATGGTGAAACCCCGTCTCTACTAATTTTTGTATTTTTGTAAAAATTTTTGTAAAAATACAAAAATTAGCTAGGCATGGTGACATGTGCTTGTAGTTCCAGTTACTCAGGAGGCTGAGGCAGGAGAATTGCTTGAACCCAGGAGGCGGAGGTTGCAGTGAGCCGAGATCGCACCACTGTTTCCCAGCCTGGCAACAGAGCGAGACTCCGTCTCAGAAAAAAAAAAAAAAAAAAAAGGAGATTGGAGAAATTACCATGCTTCATATATAATTTTTAAAATGGTATGGCAGTTTCTAAAAGTGAATAAAAAGTATGGTTCCAGAACAAAGACCAACTAAAAGAATGGGATATGGATTTATAGACTTTTCACATAGTCATGGGATAGTTATAAAACTGATTTAACTGAGGCATAAAGAAATTCTAATTAAATGAGTTCATT
Organism: Homo sapiens; assembly: GCF_000001405.40. Lineage (NCBI taxonomy): Eukaryota > Metazoa > Chordata > Mammalia > Primates > Hominidae > Homo > Homo sapiens. The sequence continues at coordinate 66,116,660 of NC_000017.11, read as the reverse complement.
TGAATAAAGCTAGACAGTAACATCAAAAAGATAGTTCCCTTTCCGTGTTTTCATCTGAAAGCTTAAAATGAAGTACAAACACACTCCTGAATAGCTTTGTGTAAAAACAGTAATAAAAACCAAGTGCAGACTAAAATAAATCATGGTAAAATTTGACAAAACATTCTGTGATGTGCCCAAAGTGATATTGAGGATCAAAGATCCCTTATTTAATTTAATCAATTAAAAAAACAAAGCCAAAATATAAACAAAAACCTACAAGAAACAATCAAAATTTCCCCCAAAGCATTAGAACTAATCAATGAAACAGAAGCTGGATCTTTGCAAAGAACAATAAAACGGAAAACTTTATGGTGTCTTCAATGTGATCTAGAAACAAGAGGACAAAAAAAAATGTTAATTGTTGAAAAGAGATCATAATGGTAGATACAGAGCTCTCACAATTATAGGTAAGCACTGTATCTGCTGGTATATAAAATGCATCAGTGTGTAAGGAACGTTACAAATTTCAAGGAAAAGTTGGTAAATACTTTTTCATTACTTACCCTTCCCTTGTCTTGTAGCTGGGTCAAATTTTTTCTAACCCTCTGCTGGGTCAAAATTTTCTTCCTCTGTTCTTCCTGTAAGAAATGTGGAAACCTGGCCATTGTACTCAGTGTGGCCTTCATTTTGGGGCTGATTGAGACCTGCTTTAACCTTCATTTCGGGGCTTATTGAGGGCAGCTATCACACTGGCATAGCCAACAGACAAGGAAGTCCAGCTGAGATTGTTACTGAAACACCAGGGGTTCAGTCTAGGCCCTGCTGTTTGCTGCACAGAAAGCCAATCACTGAGACAACAATTATTGCCAAGGAAGAAGGCTTTAATTGGGTGCTGCAGCCAAGGAGATGGGAGATCAATCTCAGATTAATCTCTCTGAATGACTAAAATTAGAGGTTTACATAGCAGGGAAGAACTGTAACAATGTGTAAGAAAACAGGAACTAGGGAGAAATAAAGGAGCAATCATGGTGAATGAGGGGTCCAGCATTGCATTGTCTGGATGTGGTGATCTGGTCAGTTTCAGTTCTTTGATATTTTATTGAGATGCCTGAGGAGGGAACTCAGATAAAACAAATGCAAGTTTCAAACTTTAAGACCAGAAGAGCACATTTCTATGTTTATCCGAAAGAACTGTCTATGGGACTCTTGGGTCGATTTCAAGAATGCACTGTCCCAGTAGATGAGCTGCCCAAGTTGCTGACTCACAGAATTGGGTGCTAAATAAAATGGTTGTAGTTTCAAGCCATGAAGTTTTGGGATGATCTGTTATGCAGCAAAAAGCTAACTGATATGATAGATATTGCCAGTTTTCCAAAGTGGCTGTGCCAATCTACCTTCTCAGCAGCACTGTGTGCTAGAGCCCATTACTCTGCCTGTTCTCCAATACCTAGTATTGTCAGGGTTTTTTTTTTGTTTGTTTGAGACAGTCTCTGTCACCCAGGCTGGAGTGCAGTGGCATGATCTTGGCTCACTGCAACCTCTGCCTCCCAGGTTTAAGTGATTCTCCTGCTTCAGCCTCCTGAGTAGCTAGGATTACAGGTGTCCGCCACCATGCCTGGCTAATTTTTATATTTTTAGTAGAGACAGGGTTTCACCATGTTGGCCAGGCTGGTCTCAAACTCCTGACCTCAGGTGATCCATCTGCCTCGGCCTCCTAAAGTGTTGGGATGACAGGCATGAGCCACTGCGCCTGGCCAGGCAATTTTTTTTTTTAATTAAAAAAAGCCATTCTTGAGAGTAGTTAGTGACATAGTATTGTGTGGTTTTAATATATGTTTTCCTGATGACTAATACAGTTAGGTGCATTTTAATATGTTTATTGTCAATTTGGATAGCCTCTCAAAGTGTTTACTGAAAGCTTTGTCAGTTTTCCTGTTGTCTGCCCTTTTCCTATTCCTATATAAGAGCTTTTTCTCTATTCTGCATGAGAGTCCTTTTGGAATATAGTATTGTAAATTTTCTGTGGAAAAATGGTTTTAAAGTTCTAAAATATTTACTTAAAAGCATAATTTTGGAGCATATTCAATTTGGTGTTGAAGAGTGAATTTATTTTGTTCTATGGAGAGAGTTTTGGCACTTCTGACTGATGCTATGATTTAAAAACATTTATTTTAGTTGTGTTACTGGTAATATATTGCTTGACAATGTCCTTCTTGCTAAGATAGTATATCAGATAAAGTGCCTTTTAATTTTTCTGGAAATGTAAAACTTCTCTATTTGATAACCATTAGTTTATAAGAGGTTCTTTGCTTATGTCAGTTTGACCAAATGCCAAGTAATTTTAAAAAACAAGTGGACAGAAAACCCTGACAATCAACAAAGAAATCTGCTAAAAAAAATAAACAAAATAAAAAGTCAAAAGCCAGTTTTCATTAAAAAGTATTCAGATGTCTGTTTTCATGTCTAGCCTAAGTTATTACATATTTTATTATTGCGATTCTATTTGCCTGTTAAGCAAGAAATGTGCAAACATGTTATTTATTCGTGCCATTGAAACTTAATTATTTTCAGCTTTGCTTTCTATACAATATTTTCTTCGACTTCAGTGTTTCATTTAAGACTTTTTTATTTTCCATTTTGGACATTTATTGTGGTATTCTTTTTTTGAGGTAGTATGAGAGAAGAAGAACTTTTCTAAAAGAGCATAAAAAATGTTAAGACTGTTTACAGATTGCTTCAAGTTCCGTGTTACTTGTGGATTACAAAGTGGGAACATTGAACTTCAAAGCACATCTGGCTGCTGTTACAAAATCAGAAAATAGATTGCTTATTTCCCCCAAATAGACTCAAGAACATGCTTTACCATGAATAATTCCCATTGCATATTAAAATTGGTTATGAGACAAACTCAGTGTATTGTAAATGAATAACAACATAATTCACTGTTGTTTACAGTGTTCATTGTTGCTTTAAAAAATTAGAATAGACATTTTCTATTTATTTGTCAACTTGAGAAAGGAAATTTATGATGCTAGAATGAGTCTTTAACTTCTTTATTTAATGGCTTTTAAAGATGAAGAGGTTGAAATAGGAGTTACTTCTGCATAGTTGAAATGCTGCATTGTAATTAGCTGAACCAATATTTTGTACCCTGCTTGTAAATGTAGAGCTGAATAAAAATAAATCACAGATGGTTTTCTTGGCTTTTGGTTTTAAATTTTAAACTTAATTAGTGCTTGAGCATCTTTGGAAATTCCTGTTTCCTCTTTATTTTTTCCTTTATATTTTGATTCTGCTTCATGAGTTGGGTTTTGTATATTTGCAGAATTGCATGTATCTTTGAAGAACTTACTTCCTATGCTGCTTTATACAAAACCCTGCAACATTCCAAAAATAAATTATTACCTAATATATGTATATATACACATACATGTATACATATGTATATGTATATATGACGATGCATATTTATACCTTCAGCTGGTACATATTTAATTGCATGTACTTTGCTGCCTGCTGGACATTTGCTGCCTCTATTTTTCAAGTTGCAGTGTGTATATGGCACTGGGCTACTTATTTTTATTTTATTTTATTTATTTACTTTTTTTTGAGACGGAGTTTCGCTCTTGTTACCCAGGCTGGAGTGCAATGGTGTGATCTCAGCTCACTGCAACGTCTACCTCCCAGGTTCAAGTGATTCTCCTGCCTCAGCCTCCTGAGTAGCTGGGATTATGAGACAGGGTTTCACTCTGGCACCCAGGCTGGAGTGCAATGACATGATCTTGGCTCACTGAAACCTCCGCTTCTCGGGTTCAAGCGATTCTCCTGCCTCAGCCTCTGAAGTAGCTAGGATTACAGGTGTGCACCACCATGCTCTGCTGATTTTTTTATATTTTTAGTAGAGACAGGGTTTTGCCATGTTGGCCTTGCTGGTCTCGAACGCCTGACCTCGAGTGATCCACCTGCCTCGGCCTCCCAAAGTGCTGAGATTACAGGCGTGAGCCACCATGCCTGGCTGGCACTGTGTTATTTACTGAAGAATATGCGCATTTCTCTGGTACCATGTTGAGGTAGATTGTATTATTATCTTAATAATTGTTTCCCTGAGTAAAAGTACCAATTCATGTACCCACTAGTAGTGTTTCACATCTTGAACATTTTTATTGTAAATTTTTAATTTATGCCAATCTATAAAATTGTAAAATATCACCGCATTGTGATATTACTTTATATTTTTTATATTTCTAAGTATATTGACCATATTTTATATGTTTATGAGCCATTCATAATTCCTCATCAGTGAAATGTGCCCCAAGTTTTTTTCCTCAATTTTCTCAAGTGTATTGACATCTTTTTTTCATTGTTTTTTTAATTTTTTTATTTTTTTGAGACAAAGTCTCACTCTCATCCCCCAGGCTGGAGTGCGATGGCCCCATCTTGGCTCACTGCAACCTCCGCCTCCCGAGTTCAAGTGATTCTCCTGCCTCAGCCTCCCGAGTAGCTGGGACTACAGGTGCCTGCCACCATGCCTGGCTAATTTTTGTATTTTCGGTAGAGATGGGGTTTTACCATGTTGGCCAGGCTGGTCTCAAGCTCCTGACCTCAGGTGATCTGCCCGCCTCAGCCTCCCAAAGTGCTGGGATTACAGGTGTGAGCCACCGCACCCGGCCTTTTCATTGATTTTTAAAGGCCTTGTTTACACATTTTGGAGACTAATCATTTGTGCAAACATCTCTCAGTTTATGACTTGTTTTTATCATTTTCTTGATGATGTATTTTTTGGAGAAGTTCTTAAAATGGTCAAGTTTATTAATTTCTCTCTTACTGATGCTTTTTTAAAACATTTATTTTAGGTTTGGGGGTACCTGTGAAGGTTTGCTACATAGGTAAACACATGTCATCACCCAGGTATTATGCCCAGTACCCAATAGTTCCCTTTTCTCTCTTCTCCCTCCTCCCACCCTCCCCTCTCAAGTAGACTCCAGTGTCCGTTGTTTCTTTCTCAGTGTTCTTATGTTCTTGTCATTTAGCTCTCACTTATAAGTGAGAACATACAATATTTGGTTTTCTGTTCCTGTGTTTTTAATAGTTTGCTAAGTGTAATAGCCTCTAGCTCCATTCATGTTCTTGCAAAAGAAATGATCTCATCCTTTTTTATCACTGCATAGTATTCCGTGGGTATATGTACAGTATTTTCTTTATCCAATCCGTCATTGGTGGGCATTTAGGTTGATTCGATGTCTTTGCTATTGTGAATAGTACTGCAATGAACATTCGCGTGTGTCTCTACTGTAGAATGATTTATATTCCTCTGGGTATATATGCAGTAATGGGGTTGCTGGGTCAAATGGTAATTCTGCTTTTAGCTGTTTGAGCAATGGCCATACTGCTTTCCACAATGGTTGAACTAATTTGCATTCCTATCAACAGCGTATAAGTGTTCTCTTCTCCACAACCTTGCCAGCATCTGTTATTTTTTGATTTTGTTTATAGTAGCCATTCTGACTGGTGTGAGATTTTATCTCATTGTGGTTCTGATTTGCATTTCTCTAATGATCAGTGATATTGAGCTTTTTTTTCCGTATGCTTGTTGGCCACGTGTATGTCTTCTTTTGAGAAGTGTCTGTTCATGTCCTTTGCTCACTTTTTAATGGGCTTGTTTTTATCTTGTAAATTTGTTTAAGTTCCTTATTGATGCGGGATATTAGACCCTAGTCAGATGCAAACATTTTCTCCCATTCTGTAGGTTGTCTGTTTACTCTCTTGATAGTTTCTTTTGCTGTGCAGATGTGCAGAAGCTCTTAAGTTTAACTAGATCCCACTTGTCAATTTTTGCTTTTGTTGCAATTGCTTTTGGTGTCTTTGTCATAAAATCTTTGCTAGGACTATGTCCAGGATGTATTGCCTAGGTTCTCTTCCAGGGTTTTTATAGTTTTGGGTTTTACATTTAAGTCTTTAATCCATCTTGAGTTGATTTTTTGTATTTATGCTTTTTTTTTTTTCATTTCTTGTTTGGCAAATCTTTTCTAGATTGAGGCCATAACATCATTCTTCTAAATTGTCTTCTGAAAGTTTTTGTAGTTCTGCTTTTAATATAAGATCGAATCCATTGGGAATTTATTATATATGGTGTGAGGAAGTGATCTGATTTTATATTCTTCTATTTATTGAACATTCCCTTCTTTTCTCAAAAATTGGCAATGCTAGACCTTTCACAAATCACATTATCAAATAAGTATACTTGAGTTTCTTTCTGCCAATTTCCAGTTGGTTCAATTGGTTTGTCTACATTACTATAGTTTTATTGTATCTTTTCTTTTCTTTTTTTTTCTTTTTTTTTTCTTTTTTGAGCTAGAGTCTCATTTCATTGCCAGGCTGGAATGCAGTGGCGCAATCTCTGCTCACTGCATCCTCCGCCTCCCAGGTTCAAGTGATTCTCCTGCCTTAGCCTCCCGAGTAGCTGGGAGTACAGATGTGTACAACCACGCCTGGCTAACTTTTTGTTTTTTTGTTTTGTTTTGAGACGGAGTCTTGCTCGTCACCCAGGCTGGAGTGCAGTGGCACAATCTTGGCTCACTGCAAGCTCCGCCTCCTGGGTTCACACCATTCTCCTGCCTCAGCCTCCTGAGTAGATGGGACTACAGGTGTCTGCCACCACACCAGGCAAATTTTTTGTATTTTTAGTAGAGATGGGGTTTTACCGTGTTAGCCAGGATGGTCACGATCTCCTGACCTCATGATCTGCTCGCCTCAGCCTCCCAAAGTGCTGGGATTACAGGCGTGAGCCAACATGCCCGGATGGTTTTATTATATCTTTATAAATTGCCAATTGCCCCACCTTGATTTTTTTCATCAGGCATGTCTTGACTACTTTTGCCCTGTTTTTGTTTATATACATTTTGTAAGGTCATTATAAGTTTTACAAAAACCCTGTTGAAATTCTGGTTTGGATCACATTTAATTGCTAGATCAACTTAAGAATTGACATTTTTTGCAACATCGAGACTGTCCAAAATGGATTCTACTCTCTATTTTTTTTTCAGTCTTTAGCCCTAATCTTTTGATGAAGCTTATTTGCTCTATAAAGGTCTAGGGTATCATTTTGTCAGTTTATCTAGGAATTATGCAGTATATTAGAAATTATATCTTTGTAAACTCTTCTCCTAGATGATTTTTACTCATTTCAGAAATGCAGTTGATTTTTTTTTTATTATTATACTTTAAGTTTTAGGGTACATGTTAAATGTAAAAAAAATTTAAATTTGTATGGGAGCATAGTAGGTATGTATATTTATGAGGTAAATGAGATATTTTGATAACAGGCATATGATACATAATAATGACATCAGGATAAATGGGTATCTGTCATCTCAAACATCGATCCTTCATTTGTGTTACAAACAATCCAATTACACTCTTATAGTTATTTAAAAATGTTCAATAAATTATTCTTGACTGTATCACCCTATTGTGCTATCAAATACTAGGTCTTATTCATTCTCTCTAACGATATTTTTGTACCCATTAACCATCCCCACTTTCCCCAACCCCCTCTATCCTTCCCAACCTCTGTGAACCATCATCCTACTGTCGATCTGCAGAGTTCAACTGTTTTAATTTTTAACTCCCACAAATAATTGAGAACATGTCAAGTTTGTCTTTCTGTTCCTGGCTTATTTTGCAGAACTTAATGATCTCCAGTTCCATCCAGGTTTTTGCAAATGACAGGATCTCATTCTTTTTTATGGCTGAATAGTACTGCATTACGTGTAAGTAACACATTTTCTTTTTCCATTCATCTGTTGATGGATACTTAGCGTGCTTCCAGATCTTCACTATTGTGAACAGTGCTACAACAAAGATGGGCATGCAGATATCTCTTTGATACACTAATTTCCTTTCTTTTGGGTATATACCTAGCAGTGGGATTGCTGGATCATATGTTAATTCTATTTTTAATTTTTTGAGGAATCTCTACCCTGTTTTCCATAGTGGCTGTACTAATTTGCATTCCTATTAACACTGTACAAAGGTTTCATTTTCTCCACATCCTTGTTAGCATTTATTATTGCCTGTCTTTTGGATAGAAGCCATTTTAACTGGGGTGAGATGATATCTCATTGTAGTTTTGACTTGCATTTATCTGATGATCAGTAATGTTAAACATCTTGTCATATGTCTGTTTGACATTTATATGTCTTCTTTTAAGACATGTCTATTCAGATCTTTTGCCCATTTTCAAGTCGGATTATTGGTTTTTTTCCTATAGAGTTGTTTGAGCTCCTTTGCAAATATTTTCTCCCATTCTGTGGGTTGTCTCTTCATTTTTTGTGATTGTTTCCTTGGTTGTGCAGAAGCTTTTTGACATGACAAGATCCCATTTGTTTATTTTTGCTTTGGTTGCCTGTGCTTGTGGGGTAATTGCTGAAGAAATCTTTGCCCACTCCAATGTCCTGGAGAGTTTCCCCAGTGTTTTCTTTTAGTAGTTTCCTAGTTTGAGGTCTTAGATTTAAGTTTTTCCTACATTTTTATTTGATTTTTATGTATGACAAGGGATAGGGCTCTAATTTCATTGTTTTGCATGTGGATATCCAGCTTTCCCAGCATCATTTATTGAGGAGAGTATCCTTTCCCCAGCATATGTATTCTTGTGATCTTTGTCAAAAATAAGTTCACTGTAAATATATGGATTGACTTCTGGGTTCTCTATCCTACTCCATTGGTGTGTGTGTCTGTTTTTATGCCACTACCATGCTGTTTTGGTTACTGTAGCTTTGTACTATAGTTTGAAGTCAGGTGATGTGATTACTCCAGTTTTATTCTTTTTGCTCAGGATAGCTTTGGCTATTCTCAGTCTTTTTTTGGTTCCATATAAATGTTAGTATTATTTTTTTCTATTTTTGTGAAGAATGTTGTTGGTATTTTTACAGTAATTGCATTGACTCTGTAGATTGCTTTGGGTAGTATGGACATTTTAACAATTTTGATTCTTCCAATCCATGCACATGGAATATCTTTTCATTTTTTTGTGTCTTCTTCAAATTCTTGCATTAGTGTTTTATAGTTTTTGTTGTACTGATCTTTCACTCTTTTATTTAAGTTAATTTCTAGGTGTTTTATTTTATTTGTATCTATTGTAAATGGAATTAATTTGTTGATTTCTTTTTCAGGTTGTTTGCAGTTGGCATATAGAAATGCTATTAATTTTTGTATGTTGATCTTGTGTTCTGCAACTTTACTGAATTTGTTTGTCAGTTCTTATAGTTTTTTGTTGTAGTCTTTAAGTTTTTTTAAGATATAAGATTATATAATCTGCAGACAAGCATAATTTGACTTCTTCCTTTCCAATTTGCATGCCCTGTATTTCTTCCTCTTGTCTGATTGCTCTAGCTAGGACTTTCGGTACTATGTTGAATAACAGTAATGAAAGTGGGCATCTTGTCATATTCCAGATCTTATAGGAAAGGCTTTCAGTTTTTCCTGTTCAATATAGATATGAGCTGTGGGTCTGTTGTATATGACTTTTGTTGTACTGAAGTATGTTTCTTCTTTCCCAGAATTTTCAAGGTTTTTATCATGAAGGGACGCTGAATTTTATTAAATGCTTTTTCAGCATCAATTGAAATGTTCATACAGTTTTTGCCCTTCATTGTGTTGTTATGATTTATCACATGGATTGATTTGCCTATATTGAACCATCCTTACATCCTGGGGATAAATCCTACTTGGTCATGATGAATGATTTTTTTTTATGTGTTGTTGAATTCAGTATACTAGTATTTTGTTGAAGATTTTTGCATCAATGTTCATCAGTCATATTGGCCTGTAGTTTTCTTTTTTTGGTGTGTCTTTGTCTGGTTTTGGTATCAGGGTAATACTAGCCTTGAGAATGAGTTAGGAAATATTCCTTCCTCCTCTGTTTTTTGGAATAGTTTGAGTAGGATTGATATTAGTTCTTTTTTAAATTTTCGATAAAATTCAGCAGTGAAGCCATTGGGTCCTAGGCTTTTCTTTGTTGGGAGATGTTTTTATTACAGCTTCAATCTCATTACTTGTTTTTGTTCTGGTCAGGTTTTAGATTTCTTCCTTATTCACTCTTGGTAGGTTGTATGTGTCTAGGAATTTATACATTTCTTTTCAGTTTTCAAATTTATTAGCATATAGTTGCTCATAGTAGCGTCTAATGATTTTTTGATTTCTGCCATATCAGTTGTAATGTCTCTTTTTCATCTCTGATTTTATTTATTTGAATCTTCTCTCTTTTTTTCCTACTTCATCTGGTTGAAGGCTTGTTGATTTGATCTCTTGAAGAAACTTTTTGTTTTGTTGATTTTTTGTGTGTTTTTTAAATTTTCATTTCATTTATTTCTGCTCTGATCTTTATTATTTCTGTTCTACTAATTTTGGGGTTGGTTTGCTCTAGCTTTTCTAATTCTTTAAGATGTATCATTAGGTTGTTTATTTGAAGTTTTTCTACCTTTTTCATATTGATAATTCTTGCTATAAACTTTCCTCTTACTACTGCTTTTACTGTATCCCATAGATTTTGGTATGTTGTATTTTCATTTTTATTTGTTTCAAGAAAATTTTCCTTCTTTATTTCCTTCTTTATTTCTTTATTGACCCATGGGTCATTCAGGAGCATATTTAATTTCCATGTGTTTGTATAGTTTTCAAAATTCTTCCTGTTATTGATTTCTAGTTTTATTACCTCGTGGTCAGAGGTAATAAAACTTGATGCAATTTAAATTCAAAAAAGTTTTTAAAGACTTATTTTGTGGCCTAACATACAGTCTGTCCTTGTGGATAATCCATATGTGGATGAGAAGAATGTTTACATCCTTTGGATGAAATGTTCTGTAAATAGTTATTAGGCTCATTTTTTTGAGATGGGGTCTGGCTCTGTTACCCAGGCTGGAGTGCAGTGGCATGATCTTGGCTACTGCAACCTCTGACTCCTGGATTCAAACCATCCTCCCACCTCAGCCTCCCAAGTAGCTGAGACTACAGGTGCACGCTACAATGCCCAGCTAATTTTTGGAATTTTTGTGAAGACGGGGTTTTACAATGTTACCCAAGCTGGTCTTGAACTGCTGAGCTCAAGCAATCTGCCCACCGTGGCCTCCCAAAGTGCTGGGATTACAGGCATGAGCCACTGTGCCTGGCCCAGGTGTGTTTTCATTAAGCTACTGTATGTCTTTTGATTGGAGAGTTTAGTTCATTTAAATTGAATGTTATTATTGATAAGTAAGGACTTACTCCTGCCATTTTATTAGTTGTTTTCCGGTTGTTTTGTGGTCTTCTCTTCCTTTTTCCTTCCTTCCTGTCTTCCTTTTAGTGAAAGCCATTTACTCACGTGGTATGTTTTAATTTCTTGGTTTTTATTTTTTGTGCATTTGTTGTAGGTTTTTTGGTTTGAGGTTAGCATGAAATGTGCATGTAATTTAACGCATTATATTAAACTGCTGATCATTTAACACTGATTGCATAAACAAGCAAAGAGAAAACTAATAAAAACTCTACACTTCAGCTTCATCCCCCCACTTTTTAACTTTTTGTTGTTTCTATCTTATTACACTATGTCTTGAAAAATTGTTACAGTTATTATTTTTGAGTGGTTCATCTTTTAGTGTTTCTACTTCAGATATGAGTAGTTTATACACCACAATTACAGTGTTATAATAGTAATATACTTACTTTACTAAGTATAATACTTACTATAACCAGTGACCTTTATACCTTTAGATGATTCATTATTGCACATTAATGTCCTTTCCTTTCGGATCAAAGAAATTCCTTTAGCATTTCTTGTAGGATAGGTCTGGTGTTGATCAAATCCCTCAAGGTTATTTTTGCTGGGTATACTATTCCAGGATAAAAGCATTTCTTCCTCAGCACTTTAAATATGTCATGCCCCTCTCTTTTGGCCTGTTACATTTCCACTGAGAAGTCTGCTGCCAGAAATGCCTACCAGGACCCAAGGCCTGGAATTGGTGACCCCAGGAGCCTGCTTGGTGCTCTTCCCTACTATGGCCAAATTGGTATCCAAAGGTGAAAGACAATGTTCCCTTTTGTCTTCCCTCTCCCTTCCTCAAGCTGAGGGGATTTCTTCCCCTAGACACCACATCTGGGAATGTGCGGGATCATTCTTGAAGCTAGCATGACACTAAGTCTTACCCCAGGCCCACGCAAGTACTGCCTAGCTGTCACTGCTGAGCATTCAGAGACCAAGGGCTCTTTAGTCAGCAGATGATGAATTCTGCCAGGAGTGGGTCCTTTCTTTCAAGGTAGTCGGTTCCCCTCTGACCCAGTGTGTGTTTAGAAATGTTTGGGAGCTAGGCCCTGGACTGGGGGCCTTGGGACTCTGCCTGGTGCCATAGTCTACTGTGGCTGAGCTGGTATCCAAGTTGCAAGACAAAATTCTTTTTACTCATCCCTCTCCTCTCTTCAGGCAGAGTGAAGGAGTCTCTCTCAGAGCTGCAAACTGTGTTGCCTGGGAGTGACACCAGCACTCTCTTGGCTACCCTGGCTGGTGTCTCACTATGTCACATGCACCCCCAAGCCCACTGGCTTTGAGCTCAGCACAGCATCAGAGATTGCCTAGGACTTGCAGTCCTTGTGACCTAGACTGCCTTTCAAGTTTATTTAGGACTCCAGTGCACTTTAGCCCATGGTGGTGGTGGAGTTCGCTAGAACTAAGGTTCCGACTGCTGGGATGAATGATTTGCCTCTGGCTAGGGTTGGTCTAAATGTTCCTCTGTGGGTGCAAGCTGAATTCTGCCTGCTGTTTCTTTCTGCTGTGACAGGGCAGCACTGAGTTTCAATGCAAAATCCCACAATCACTGTGCTCTTCCTTCCCCAAATACACAGATTCTCTCTTCATGCCATGTAGCCACTGCTGGGGGATAGGAGAAGGGTGATGCAGGTGATTTAAGACTGTCTTTCCTACCTTCTTTGGCATCTCATTCCTTAATATGCTAAAACCAGGTACTGTGATCACTCACCTGATTTTTTCTTCTTATGAAGGTGCTTTTTTATGTGAATAGTTGTTCAATTTGATGTTCATGCTGCGGGGAAAATTGCTAAAGGCTTCTATTTGAACATTTTGCTCTGCCTCTTTGATCGCAGTTGACTTTTATATGTTGGTTTGGCATCTGGCAACTTTGCCAAACTCTTATTAGTTCTATTATTTACTTGTTTATTTATTCATTTATAGAGTTCTATGTAAGTAGGTATCTGCAAATGATGAGGTGTTCTAGTTTTTACTTTCTAATCTTGTACCCTCTTCTTTCTTTCTATCCTCCTCCTTTTTCCTTTTCTTATCTTTTTTAAAAAAATGCTGTTTAGGATTCCACTACAGTGTTGAATAGGAGCATGTTCATAGTGGGTGGTACTCATTGTATCATTCCCAATCTTAAAGGGAATGCTTTCAGTTTTTCATGGTTTGTTTTTTTTTTTTGAGATGGAATTTCGCTCTTATTCACTCAGTGCAATGGCACTATCTCGGCCCACTGCAACCTTCACCTCCTGGGTTCAAGCAGTTCTCCTGCCTCAGCCTTCCGAGTAGCTGGGATTACAGGCGTACGCCACCATGCCTGGCTAATTTTTTGTATTTTTAGGAGAAACAGGGTTTCACCATGTTAGCCAGTCTGGTCTCGAACTGCTGACCTCAGGTGATCTGCCCAGCTCAGCCTCCCAAAGTGCTGGGATTACAGGCGTGAGCCACCACACCTGGCTAGTTTTTCATACTTGTAGTTTTTTCTTACTTATAGTTTTTTTGGTAGATTCCATTTATCAAATTAAAAATGTCTCTATTTTGTCAGGATATTTTTAAAAATCATGAATGGTTGTGGAATTTTTTAATTCTTTTTTTTTTTTTTTTGAGATGGAGTCTCGCTCTGTTACCCAGGCTGGAGTGCAGTGGGTTATCTCGGCTCAGTGCAAGCTCTGCCTCCCAGGTTCATGCCATTCTCCTGCCTCAGCCTCCCGAGTAGCTAGGACTACAGGTGCCCGCCACCACACCCGACTAATTTTTTTGTATTTTTGGTAGAGACGGGGTTTCACCATGTTAGCCAGGATGGTCTTGATCTCCTGACCTTGTGATCTGCCCACCTCGGCCTCCCAAAGTTCTGGGATTACAGGCGTGAGCCACCATGCCTGGCCTGAATTTTTCTTTATCTTTTGAGAGGATTATATAGTTTCTTCCTTTAATCTATTAATGTTATAAACTCCACAATATATTATTTTCATTATATTATGTTTTTGTTCATTTTCCTTTAAATAGTTATATATTGATTGAATGGATTGAAAATATAAAATTAAAAGCCTTATCTATTTATGCAACCATTTACCATTTATGGCCTATTTATTACTTTATGTAGAGTTTCCATCAGGTGTTATTTTCAGGTGTTTACAGTTCTTTTTCTCACAGCTTGTCATAAACGTCTCTCAAAGTACCTGGCACATGGTAGATGTTTAGTAAATAATTGTTGAAAGAATATGACATAACCCCAGGTGTGACACAAGAAATTATTTCTTTGAAGGATCTCTGATATTGTTTTCTAGTTACTTATGTACTCTCAGATTTTTTGTCTTCTCAAAACTACCATGCTTTTATCTATATAAGGTGGAAAAATAACTGTTGAGATGGTGAAACTTTTCTCAGCTTGATGTTTTTTAATCTACACAAAATAATTTTCACATTTTTCTTAAAAAATAGCCATCTCTTCTTTCTAAAATACATTTATAGCTTCTATCTAATAGCTTGTATTATTTTAAATTCCATGGTGATTTCATTTAGCTAGTCCGAAATAACCACTAAGTTTTTTGCAGTGTCTTTCCACAAAAACTCAGCATGATTGTTTTTTTTTCTCAGAATTAACATTATTTAAAAAGCATTTTTTTCCAGCATGTATTTAAACTATACAGTAATCAGAAACTGCCATTTAACTGGACTAATCAATAGTATTTGGTTTCCCAAAATCAAAATATAAGATAATTATCAATTAGGTTTATGCTATCTTGTTAAAGAAACCAGTTTTTTTTTTTACAATTTTTATGATGAAAATATTCAAGTAGAAAAAGAATAGTACAACAGTAACTTATTGCTGCTGCCTTTTAAATTTTGTGATTTTGCCTTATTGGAACTATTTGAAAGTAAATTGCAGATGTTATAATACTTAATCAGGAAGCATCAGTCTCTTGACTGAAGGTTCCTTGATTATCTTTTTTTTCCCTCTTGATTATCTTTTAACTAAGATAAAATGTTCATGCTCTAATAGAGTCTACTGAATGGACCTTGTGATACAGTATTTTCTGAATTCTTGCATGTTTCAAATGGTTTCTTATGGTCTTGATTCTTGGAGGAAATCTAGATTGTATGTAAAATATTTGATTTGCATTTTCTTTACCTGAGTTCCTTAAATACAATGTTTTATATGATGTATGTTACAGTTGAGAAGTGTGATACATACTTTTCATTTTTCATAAATATATAAATAAATAAAGTTATAAATGTCTAATCTTTTTGACTGAGGGTCCAGAGAATTTTTAAAAAATATTCGTAAAGTTTAATATTTGGACTTTTATATTATACTCTGAAAGATATTCGGCATATCACATCGGATTTTATTCAATATATTGTACAGTCATCTCTCAGTATCAAGAGTTGATTCATTCCAGAACATCCTCCTTCCTTCCCACAGATACCAAAATCAGCAAATGCTGATGTTCCTTAGATAAAGTAGTGCAGTATTTGTACATAACCTATGAATCATTAAATAATCTCTATATTACTTATAGTACCTAATACAATATAAATGATATGGAAATAGTTGTTATACTGTACTGTTTTCTTGTTTTCTAATTATTACTTTGAATATTTTCAGTTTGGTTGGTTGAATATGTAGATGTAGAAGCCATGAATATGGAGGGCCATCTGTTTATGTTTCAGTCGATGGTCTTAGGTCAGTTTTCCAAGGTAAAGAGTGAGAGTATTTAATATGATTCAGGTATTATTTTATTTAAGAATATTTTCTTAATAATTTAAAATATTTAGTTGCATTTATTTTATTTTTTTCAGGGAATCCAATTATACATTTATTGTATTCTTGTTTCTCATTTTCTTTATCCATTTCTCTTGGATCCTTTTTAAACACGTTTTTATGTCAGTTTTATTTCCTGGTTTTTGGCTTCAGGTCCTATCTTTATCTCTTGCTGTTACTATAGTTATCTTTTCTCTCTTGGACAACTCTTTTTTTTTTTTTTTTTCTGTTTTTTGAGACGGGAATCTCACTCTGTTGTCCAGGCTGGAGTGCAGTGGCGTGATCTTGGCTCACTGCAAGCTCCGCCTCCAGGGTTCATGCCATTCTCCTGCCTCAGCCTCCCGAGTAGCTGGGACTACAGGCTGCCACCACCACGCCCATCTAATTTTTTTGTATTTTTAGTAGAGATGGGGTTTCACTGTGTTAGCCAGGATGGTCTCGATCTCCTGACCTTGTGATCCGCCCACCTCGGTTACAGGCATGAGCCACCATGTCCAGCCTCTCTCTTGTACAACTCTTAATTTAGTCTTCATTTCTTGGATGATTTTTGTTACTCTTCCATGTTTTTTTTTCCTGAATCTAGTCACCTCCTATTTAACATCTTTGTATTTTTGTCTTTATTTTGATTTGTAGTATTTTTATGCCTGAAGTTATTTAAAAGTTATATTTGAATACCTGTTGTCCTAGTGGTGGTGGAACAAAAATATTATTAAGTATTGACATGTAGGAGAGCGTCCTATTTTAAGTGGGTTGCACAAAAACCCTGGTGTATGAGAGTGGGGAGATATGGGAATCAAAAGGAAGCCTGTATTACTGTTTTCCTGTATTTTAGCTTTTTAAAAAAGTGTTTCCTTCTGCTGGCAGGTTTTGATTTTGGTCTTCTATTTTATATAGTAAGTTTTTGTGGATATTGGATTCTTTTTTTCTGTTCATGATTATCTGTTAGATTTTTCTGAACAAGTAATAGCCAGTGATTGTGTGGGAAGTGGTAGTGGGTGGCTTACTTTATTTCTTAGTTCTGGACAGCCCTCCTCCTCTGCTACACTGAAGTTTAACTTCTTTAACAAATGGTGCCTTTTGTGGTTGTCAGCCTGGCTTGTCTTCTTTATTCTTTTTTTTTTTTTTTTTTTTGAGACAGAGTTTCATTCTTGTCACCCAGGCTGGAGTGCAGTGGCATGATCTCAGCTCACTGCAACCTCCACCTCTTGGGTTCAAGAGGTTCTCCTGCCTCAGCCTCCTGAATAGCTGGGATTATAGTCACCTGCCACTAAGCCCAGCCAATTTTTGTATTTTTAGTAGAGACGGGGTTTCACCATGTTGGCCAGGCTGGTCTTGAACTCCTGACTGCAGGTGATCTGCCTGCCTTGGCCTCCCAAAATGCTGGGATTACAGGCAAGAGCCACAGCTCCTGGCCATGGCTTGTCTTCTTTTGATTCTTTGATTCTGTCTTGTTTCTGCAGGGCCCTTATCTTCAGCTGCTTTTTTATCTCCCTTTATCATGAACAACCTTCCTTCAAAGGTGCTTCTCTCTACCTCAGAAGTGATTCCTTCCTAGAACTGCCTTTCTGGTTCTTCATAGTTTCCAAGCCCCTTGTTTTGTGCCCATCTCTGGCACTCTGAGCCATTAAGTTTTTTTGTGTGGCCCACTTAAGGTAGGCCACTTTTCTTTGACAGGTCAGTATTTGATGATATTTAGTTCCACCACTACTAGGACCCTGAGGTACTTCCTTTTTTCCCCATGCTACCACTCTGGCTCAGGATCTAATTCTGCTGATTTGGTATCTTTATTTGGCCACCTACATGTTAATCCAGGGATTTGTATTCCCTTTCTCCTTTTTATGATGTAGTCATGGATGATGGGCATTTTTATTTGGTCTCTTTATCAATCTGTATGTGTCTTTGGAGGATGGGGAGAGACATTTAAATTCATACAGTTGCCATTACTTTATAGGATCTGGCGTCCACACGAAAGAAAATTGTTTTGTGTATTTCCTTTAACCTAGATGCTAAAATAATTATACTTTATATCCTGTCTATTGCTATATTCCTTTTAAGTTTTACTTGATTGGATTCTATTATAAATGTTATGACTTCTACATTTTTTGATTAATTGATTCTTCATTCACCGTTATCTTTATTGTCAAATTGGGTATGGATTGTTCATTTTCAAGAGTTATTAACCGTAATAAATCGTTTGGGGAACTTTTTGAAAACACAATGGGATTTTGGAGAACTAGAATCCAATAATTTATATTTGAAATGTTTATCACTTGATCCTCATAGTACACTCCAGGATGTTAAAAGAAAAACCTTAAAGAAATTAAATTGAACAGAGTTTAGTAGGCAAAGAATGATTCATGGATCAGGCAGCCCCTGAATCATAATAGGTTCAGAGAGGCTGCAGCACTACTGGATGATTGAAGATTTATGGACAGAAGAAGGATAGTGATGTACACAAAATGGAAGCGAGGTACAGAAACAGCAGGATTGGTTACAGCTCTGCGTTTGCCTTATTTGAATCTGGTTTGAACGATTGATTGCCTTTAATTGCCAAAACTCAGTGAGTGGCACAAGAGTAAGCTGTAGTCTGTTTACACATCCAGTTAGGTTACAGTTCACCATGAATGGAGAAACCTTTAGGCTGAATTAAAAATATGTGAGGAGGCAGCTTTAGATGAATCTTAATTTAACAAGTGTAAGAACCACTACCCTAGGTTGAAGTGATAGTTTGTGTTCTTGTACTTTGTGAGATTATCCATGTAGTAATTTGTGGGTTTGTGATATGAAGAAATTAGACTTTCACGGTAGAGATTTTTAATTATCACTTTATTTGTGAGTGAAATAGTAGAGATAACTATCAATATGTCTACTTTATCATATAGTATATTCATGCAATAAATACTTTATTGAAAGGCTACTATACATTAGATATTGTGCTAGGTCCCAGAGATACAAAACTGAGAAGATGTCATCCCAGTACTCCTTCTGTTCAAAGACAGATGTGGAGACATACTGATAAACACTCAAAGTATTACATAAGGGCTATGAGAGAGTGGACATAGGATACTTTAGGAGCTGATAAGAAGGTGGAATCAGGTACAGGTTACTCCTTTCTTTCCTCTTGTTTCTTCCTTCTTTCTGAAGAAATATTAATTGGGCACTGAGTTGGGTGCTAGGGATAGAGTGGTGAACAGGGCAGTCATGGTCTCTGCTTTCAGAGTCCACACTGTTTTGAAACAGGGAGATGCCAGATTGTAAAAGGGAACTAGCATCCAGGGTACTACTGGAGTAGTAGGAACTAGGTTTCCTGGGGGAGATGATTTTTAAACTACAAGTCTTGAGTAAGTTAACCATGTGTAGAAGTTGGGGGAATGATCTTACAGGTTGCAAAGACTCAGACATGGGAGACAGTATAGTGCTTTTAAGTTAAAACAAATTGTCTGGTGTCCTTGGAATGTGGGGTATGGTGAAGATAGATGAATCTGAAAGGGAGATTTAGGGGGAGTCCCAAAGGAATTTTGTGTTCTCTTTGCTATTAGAAAGGTATGTTTAAGAATTCATGTACCAAATACATCTGGGAGTGCAGTGATTAAATTGCGACTGTAAGAACAAATAGGTGTGTGCTTACAGGGTTTGGAGGGCTGGGCAGAGAAATTCAGAGGTGGACAGGCATGAGAACATCTGCCATGTTCTGGTAATATAAATCATTGTGGATCCTGGGAGCATAAAATGTGAAGTGAAGGGTAATGGAAGATGAGAGTGGGCAGTTAGGCAGTGAGAGGATCATGAAGGTTCATTTTGGCATGCAAGGGAGTTTATGTTTTATATTTTACTTGTAGGGAGCCGCTAAAAATATATCATACAATACCCATTCTAAAAATGAATTAAATATTAAGAATCTAGAAAATGTTTCATATGGCAGCTTAATTCTATATTTTATCAAATAATAATTAAAACTCCAAAATTAATAAATCCTTATTTTGTTTTATTTTTAAATTTTCAGATAGAAAATCCTCGATACCTGAGACAGAAGCCTATCCCAGTTTCTCTGGTATGTGAGAAATCCATTGGACTTTTTCTAGGGGCAGGTATTTTAAAATAAAATAATCACTAAGTTATTTATAGAAAATAATGCGGATCTACATTAGGAAACATAATAGTTTTTGAATTTTATCACTTGGAAGTGATTTTTTCCTGCAGTGTTAGTACTATTTTGGTACGGGCCTCAGGCAATTTAGAAGTTTTCTTTGGGGTTAAGGATAAACCAGATCTGAAAACATGTTAAATAACTCCTGTTCATTTAGCAGATGACACCGAAATTCAGCCTGAGAAAATCCAGCAGTTTCCATGATGATCATTTTCTCTCTCGAATACGTGAGAAAGAGGTAGGAATGAGATATTGCTGATAAACCCATTGATAATACAGTTTTAATATTTTATGTAATCTAGGTTTTCAGGTTTTAGTTAAAATAATGGTATATTCTAGGAAGAGGTTGCACTTGAAACAAATATAAAACATGATGCATGGTAGGCAGGGTTCATCTTTCTGTTTTGTTTTTTGTTTTTGTTTTTCCAGAGATAGAGTCTCTATCTTTTGTCCGGCTGGAGTGCAGTGGTGTGATCAGAGCTCACTGGGATCAAGCAGTCCTCCCACCTCAGCCTCCTGAGTAGCCAGGACTACAGCTGTGCCACCATGTCCAGCTAATTAAAATTTTTTTTTTTTGGTAGAGATGGGATCTTACTGTTTTTCCCAGGCTGGTCTTGAGCTGTTGGCCTCAAGTGATCCTCCTCCTACCTTGACTTCTCAAAGCATTAGGATTATAGGCATGAGCCACCACACCTGGACAAAATTGTAGATGTTTATTGTGTACAACATGATGTTTTGAAATATGTATACATTGTCAAATGGCTAAATTGAGCTTGATATATGAATCACCTCACAGACTTATCATTATTTTTTGTAATGAGAATACTTAAAATGTACTCTCATAGTGATTTTTGAAATACAATCCATTGTTATTAACTAAAGTCACTATGCTGTACAATAGATCTCTAGAACTTATTTCTCTCATCTAACTTAAATTTTGTATCCTTTGACCAGTATCTCCCAACTCCACTCCTTGTCGCCTGGCCTCATAACCACCATTTCTCTACTTTTGTGAGTTCACCTTTTTTAGAATCCACATATAAGTGAGATCATGTGGTATTTGCCTTTCTGTGCCTGGCTTATTTCACTTAACATCGTGTTCTCTAGGTTCATCCATGTTGTACTAAATGACAAGATTTCCTTCTTTTTAAAAACTGAATAACATTTCATTGTGTGTGTGTGTGTATGTGTGTGTGTGTATGTGTATATATATATCACATTTTTTTCATTTATTTGTTGATGGACACTTTATATTGATTCTATATCTTGGCTATTGCTGCAGTGAACATGGGGGTGCAGATAGCTCTTCAATATAGCAATTTCATTTCCTTTGGATTTATACCTAATAGTGAGATTGCTGGATCATGTAGTAGTTCTATTTTTAATTTTTCAAGGAACCCTCGTACTGTTTTTCTATAATGGCTGCACTAATCTACATTACTGCCAACACTGGGCAAGGGTTCTTTTTTCTCCACATCCCCTCCAATACTGATCTTTTTTCTTTTTGTTGATAGCCGTTCTAATAGGTGTGACGTGATATCTCAGTATTGTTTTAGTCAGCATTTCTCTGATGATTAGGATTGTTGGGCAGTTTTTCATATATCTGGTGGCTATTTGCGTGTCTTCTTTTGAGGAATGTCTATTCAGATCCTTTGCCCATTTTAAAATCAGGTTATCAGTGTTCTTACCATTGAGTTGTTTGAGTTCCATATATATTTTGGATGTTAACCCCTTATTAGATATATGGCTTGCAGATATTTTTCTCATTGTGTAGGCTGTCTTTTTACTCTGTTGATTGTTTCCTTTGCTATGCAGAAGCTTTTTAGTTTGATATAATCTCATTTGTCTATTTTTTCTTTTGTTGACTATGCTTTTCGGTTCATATCCAAAACATCATTGCCCAGAGCAATGTCATGGAGCTTTTCCCCTATTTCTCTTATAGTAGTTTTAAAATGTCAGGTCTCACATTTAAGTCTCTGTTTTAAATTGATTTTTGTATATGGTGTGAGATAAGGGTCTAATTTCATTCTTCTGCATGTTGGATATCCAGTTTTCCAAGCATCATTTATTGAAGACACTGTCTTTCCCCATTGTGTGTTCTTGGCATCTTTGTCAAAAATCAGTTGACCTGGCCAAGCATGGTGGCTCACGCCTGTAATTGAGCACTTTGGGAGGCTGAGGTGGGCGGATCACTTGAGATTAGGAGTTTGAGACCAGCCTGGCCAACATGGTGAAACCCCATCCCTACTAAAAATACGAAAATTAGCCGGGTGTGGTAGGGCATGCCTGTAATCCCAGCTACTCAGGAGGCTGAGGCGGGAGAATCGCTTGAACCTGGGAGGCAGAGGTTGCAGTGAGCCAAGATTGTGTCACCGAACTCCTGCCTGGGTGACAGAGCAAGACTCCATCTCAAAATAAATAAATAAATAAAAATAATAATAATGAAAATCAGTTGACACTAAATGTATGGGTTTATTTCTGGGTTCCCTGTTCTGTTTCATTAGGTCTGTGTGTCTGGTTTATGCCAGTTACTGTGCTCTTTTGATTGCTGTAGCTTTATAGTGTATTTTGAAGTCAGGTAGTGTGATGCCTTCACCTTTGTTCATTTTGCTCAAAATTGCCTTGGATACTCAGGGTCTTTTTAGTTTCATATAAATTTTAGGGTTTTCTTTATATCTGTGAAAAATGCCATTGGAATTTTGATAGGGATTGCATGAAATATATAGATTGCTTTGGATAGCATGGACATTTTAACCATTATTAGTTCTTCCAGTTCATGAACATGAGATATCTTTCCATTTATTTGTATCTTCTTTAATTTCTTTTATCAGTGTTTTACAGTTTTCATTATACTGGTCTTTAATCTCCTTGATCAAATTTATTTCTAAGTGGTTTTTTTTTTTTGGTACCTAGTAAGAGAGGGATTGTTTTCTTGATTTTGTATAGTTCATTGTCAGTGTATAAAATGGCTACTGATTTTTGTATGTTGATTTTGTATTCTGCAACTTTAGTGAATTCATTTATTAGTTCCAGCATTTTGGTGGAGTCTTTAAAAATTTTTTTTTTACATATAAGATCATATCGTCTGTAAATAGAGACCATTTCACTCGTTCCTTTCCAATTTGGATACAATTTATTTATTTATTTAGGAGACAGTCATGCTCTGTTGCTTAGGCTGGAGTACAGTGGTGCAATCTCAGCTCACTGCAGCCTACGTCTCACGGGTTCAAGCAATTCTCCTGCCTTAGCCTCCCCAGTAGCTGGCATTACAGGCATTTGCCACTGTGTGCCATATATATATATAATTTTATTTTTTTGGTAGAGACAAGGTTTCACCATGTTGTCCAGGCTTGTCTTGAATTCCTGACCTCAAGTAATCTGCCTGCCTCAGCGCCCCAAAGTGCTGGGATTGATTACAGGCATGAGCCACTGTGCCTGGCCACCCTTTTATTTATTTCCCTTGTGTAATACTCTGGCTAGGACCACCAGTACTATGTTGAAAAGAAGTAGTGAGAGTGGACATCTTTGTCTCATTTCTGATCTTAGAGGAAAAGCTTTCAGTTTTTCACTGTTGAATATATTGTTATCAATGGGTTTTTCATGTATGGCCTTTATTGTATTGAGGTACATTTCTTCTATACCTAATTTGTTGTTTTTATTATGAAAATATGTTGAATTTTGTAAATGCTTTTTCCACATCTACTGAGATGATTATATGGTTTTTATCCTTCATTCTGTTAATTGGTGTACAACATGTATAGATTTGCATATGTTAAAGTATCTTTATATTCTTGGGATGAATTCCACTTGATCATGGTGAATGCTCTTCTGAGTGTGCTGTTGAATTCAGTTGGCTAATATTTTGTTGAGGACTTTTGCATCTATCTTCATCCTTAATATTGGCCTATAATTTTCCTTTCTTGTTGTTTTCTTGTGTAGTTTTGGTGTCAGTGTAAAGTTGGCCTCATAATATGAGTTTGGAAGTATTCTGTTTTTTTTGGAAGAGTTTGAGGAGGATTGGTATTAGGTCTTTCAATGTTTGGTAGAATTCAACAGTGAAGCCATCAGGTCCTGGGCATATGTTGTGTGTGTGTGTATCTGTGTGTGTGTGTGTGTGTGTGTGTGTGTGTGTTTAAATTAATGCTTCAAGGCCGGACTCGGTGGCTCACACCTGTAATCCCAGCACTTTGGGAGGCTGAGGTGGGCAGATAACCCGAGGTCAGCAGTTTGAGATTAGCCTTGCCAACATGGTGAAACCCCATCTCTATGAAAAATACAAAAATTAGTTGGGTGTGGTGGTGTGCACCTGTAATCCCAGCTACTTGGGAGGCTGAGGCAGGAGAATCGCTTGAACCTGGGAGGTGGGGGTTGCAGTGAGAAGATCGCACTACTGCACTCCAGCCTGGGTGATAGAGCAAGACTCCCATCTCAAAAAAAAAAAAAAGTAAATACATAAATTAATGCTTCAGTCACCTTACTTATTATTGATTTCTTCAGCTTTTTTATTTCTTCATGATTCAGTCATCATACGTTCTGTGTGTCCAGGAATTTATTCCTTTCTTGTAGGCTATCTAATTTGTTGACGTATAATTACTCATAGTAGTCTTTCATGATCCTTTGTATATCTGTGGCATCAATTCTAACATCTCTTTCATTTCTTATTTTACTTATTTGTCTTCTCTTATTTTTTTCTTAGTCTAGCTAAAGTTTTGTCAATTTTGTTTATCTTTTCAAATAACTAACTCTTAATTTTACTGACCTTTTCTATTGTTTTTCTAGTCTATATTTCATTTATTTCTGCTCTGATCTTTATGATTTCCTTCCTTCCGTGAACTTTGGACTTAGATTGTTCTTTTAGAAGTTATTTAGGTGTAACATTAACTTGTTTATTTGAGATCTCCTGTTTTGATGTAGGCATTTATTGCTATTCACTTCTTTCTTAGAACTGCTTTTGCTGTATCCCATAAGTTTTTGTATGTTGTGTTTTTATTTTCATTTGTCTGTAGATATTTTTAAATTTCTCTTTTAATTTCTTCTTTGACATAGTAGCTGTTCAAGAGTGTGTTATTTAATTTCCATGTATTTGTCAATTTTCTGAAATTCCTCTTGTTACTGATTTCTAGTATTAAACATGTGGTCAGAAAAGATACTTGATATGATTTCAGTCTTCTTAAATTTGTGAAGATTTCTTTTGTGAACTAACATATGATCTATGCTGAAGAATATTTCACATTTGGTTGAGAAGAATGTGTATTCTGTGGCCACTGAATGGTACATTTTGTATATCTGTATATCTCTTTTAGGTTTATTTGCACTAAAGAATAGACCAAATCTGATGTTTCCTTATTAATTTTCTTTCTGGGTAACCCGTCCGTTGCTGAAATTGTGGTCTTAAAGTCCCCTACTATTATTGTATTACACTCCTTCTCTCCTTTTATATCTATGAATATTTGCTTTATATATTTAGGTGATGTTACTTTGGGGGCATATATATTTATAATTGGTATATCCTTTTGATGACTTGAGCCCTTTGTCACTGTATAATGACCTGTATCTCATTTTATAATTTTGATTTTAAGTCAGTGTTATCTGATGTATTTCTACCCTCGCTCTTTCCATTTCCGTTTGCATGAGATATCTTTTCCTCTTCCTTCACTTTCAGTCTATGTAGGTTCTTAAACATGAAATGAATTTCTTATAGGAAGCATATAGTTGAATTTTGTTTTAATCCATTCAGTTATTCTGTCTTTTGATTAGAGAATTTAATCCATTTGTATTCAACATAAGTATTCATAAGTAAAGACTTGCTACTTCTGTTTTGTAATTTGTTTTCTGGTTGTTTTATAGAACATTTGTTCCTTTCCGTCTTGTTATCTTTCTTTGTGATTTGATGAATTTCTGTAGTGGTATGCTTTGAATCCTTTCTTTTTATGTTTCGTGCAACTATTGTAGGTTTTTGCTTTGTGATTACTACGAGGCTTACATAAAACATCTTATTTTCATGACAGGCTATTTTAAACTGATAATAACCTTGATTTATCACATATAAAAACTACATTTTACTCTGTTTCATTTTTTGATGACACAATTTACATCTTTTTATATTGTATAGAAAGAAATTATTGTGGCTATTATATTTAAATAATATAATATCTTCATACTAAAGATATAAGTCATTTCCACAACATTATATTATTAGACTATTCTGTGTTTGATTGTTTCCTTACTTTTACTGGTGAGTTTTATCCTTATATATGTATTTTTTGTTATTCATTAGTGTCTTCTTCTTTGAGCATCAAGATTTCACTTGAGCATTTTTGTAAGACAAGTCTAGTGGTCATGAACTCCCTAAGGCTTTTTTGTGTCTTGGTACATTTTTAACTTTTCTTTATTTCTGAAAGACTGCTTTGCCACTCACAATATTCTTGGTTGGCAGTTATTGTCTTTCAGTACTTGGAATATATCATCCTACTCTTTTCTGGACTGTAAGATTTCCTCCATGAAATCCGCTGCTAGTCTTATTGGAAGTCTCTTGTATATAATTTGCTTTTCTCTTGATATTTTCAGAATCTTCCATTTGTTCTTTATATTTGACAGTTTGATTATAACATGGCTTGGTATAGTCTTGCTTGAATTAAATCAGATTGGAGACTTTTGACCTTTTTGTACCAGGATATATATATCTTTCCCTCAATTTGGAAAGTTTTTAGCTATTATTTGTTTAAATAAACTTTCTACACCTTTGTCTCTCTTTTTCTTCTTTAGCTCCTATAACTTGAATATTTTCTCTTTTGATCCTGTCCCATACGTCCTGTAAACTTTCGTCATTCCTTTCCAGTCTTTTTCCTTTTTCTTCTCTGACTGCATATTTTCTAATAACCTGTATATTTGAGTTTACTGAATTTTTTCTTTTGCTTGATCAATTCAGTTGTGAATGCTGTTATATTTTTCTTTTCATTCGTTATATTTTGCAGCTCCAGAATTTGATTTTTTAAAAAATTTCTCTGTTAAATTTCTCATTTTATACACTTACTGTTTTTCTGATTTCAATAAATTATTTCTCTGTATTTTCTTGAAGCTCACTAAGCTTCCTTAAAACAATTAGTGTGAATTATTTGTCAGGCAGTTTATATATTTTCATTTCTTTGGGGTCAGCTATTGGGAGATTATTTTCTTTTGCTGGGGTTATGTCTCCTTGGTTTTTTATGTTGCTTGTTGCTTTATGTTGGTGTCTGCACATTTGAAGAAGTAGGAAATTATTATAGTCTTTGTAGACTGGCTTCATTTGAGAAAGCCAGTCATCATTGAGCCTATCCAGAGATTCTGGGCAGGCTGTTTGGCCTATTGGTGGGCTCTCTCCTACAGTCCCCAGGCAGGGTCAGAAAGTGGGTGGGCCTGGTATCTTGGTCCTCATGTTTGAGCTTGGAGCCTGGATCCACTGGGTAGATGTGTTGCTTTGGTCCATGGGAGTGAGCTTGGAGTTTGGGTCTGCATGGTAAGCCTGAAATATGTATCCACCAGGGCTAGCCTGAAGCCTAGGTCTGCAAGGGCTGACCTGGTTCTAGGGTGGGTTTAAGCCTGAATCTGCAGGGGCCAGACAGGTTCTGGGATGGACCTGGTTCTTTGGTCCACTGGGACAGGCCAGGGGCCTGAGTGTGCAGGGGTGGGCCTGGGTCACGATTCTGTAGGGATGGACCTGGAATCTTATTTTCTGAGGGCTGGCTTGGCACCACAGTTTATTGGGATGAGCCTGGACCCTGGGTCTGTTAGTCAGGTCTAGACCCTGAGTCTCCTGGTGTATGGGACCACAGGGGTTAATATGGAGATTGGGGCCCCAGTGGCCGACCTGGAGTCTGGGCCAGAGGTGTTGACTGGGAGGTTGGGTGGGTCTAAAGCATGGGGTTGTGTTGGCTGACCTGGCTCTGAATCCTGCGTTATGCTTGGAGCCTGGGGCCAGATGGGCTGGCCTGACATTGGGTATGTCTGGAGCCTATATTCACATGGGCCAGCATGGAGGCTGAGTCTGTGAGTGCTGGCCTGATGACTAGGGATTCTGGAGGCTGGCCTGGTTCCTGGGTAGGCCTGAAACCTGAAGTTGTCGGGGCCAGCCTCGTGCTGTGAATAGTCTGGAGCCCAAGGTCACTGGGCCCGCCTGGCAATGTGGTGAGTCCAGAGACTGAGTCTGCTGGGCTGGCTTTGGAACCTGGGGCTGTGGGATCTTGCATTGTGCCAAATTAGGCCTAGAGGCTCAGTCTGTGGGTACTGGCCTGGAGTCTTGGGTCTTGGGAGCTGACCTGGAGCCTGGGGCTACAGAGGCTAGCCAGGAACCTTAGTCTGTAGGGGCTGGTCTGGCTCTGGGGTGGAGCTGAAGTTTAGGCTGCTGGGGTCAGTCCAGCACTAGGGTTAGTTTGGATGCTGTGGCTGCTGGTATCAGCATGGGGTGGGGTGAGGTGGACCCAGGGACTAAATCTACTGGGCCAGTCTGGAGCCTGGGGCTGTGAGATTTTTCCTTGTACCAGGGTGGATTTGCAGGGTCAGTCCTGGGGTACTGGCTGGGAGTCTAGGGCTGAGGAGTCCTGCCTGATCCTACGTTTTACTGGGACTGACCTGGTATTGAGGTCTGAGGTAAAGTCTAGTGCTCACCTTTCTTCCCTCCTCCCAAGTGGAGGGTCTCTCCACGCTTTACTGTCTGGAGTTGGGGGAGGGGTGATGTGAGTATTTTAAAACCTGCAGCCTCGGACTTCTGAGTAAAACTGTCCTTTCTACATTCTGCGTTATGTCTTTTCCTATTTCGTGCTGTAATATTTCACCTTGTTTACTTAGCTCTTATGAAGGTATTTTTGTGCATGTTTATGTTCAAATTGATTTTTCTGTGGAGGGACGAGGGCTTGAAAGTCCTAGTCTGCCATCTTGCTGACATTAGACTCAGGCTTTTCTTTCTTGTATAATCCTGGTGTTACAAAAACTGTTGAAATAAAAACAAATGACATTTTAAAAAGCATATTTGTCCTTTGAGCTCTTGTTTTGAATTTCTTTTTCTAAAAATTGTCATTCATGAATTATAAAAATCATTTTGAGTCATTCCCAACTATTTTTTCTTTTAATTTTATTTTGTATTAATTCTTACTGTTGAGACTGCTTACCATAAATAATTAAATGAATTGAAAGGAAATCATCACTTAAAAATTTTGTTGATGACAACTTGGGGCAGGAGTCAGCATACCAATGCCACCCACATATGTTTTCAAAGAAAAAACATTTAAAGCTATCATGCATTGCATCAGAAATTCATTTTTAAATGTGTTTGACTTTATTTTTTCCTAAATCCTTATGTTTCTGTTTTTCTTTTGGGCATACTATAAAAATATTTGAGGCATCATTGAGAAGTTTGCATGTAATCATAAACTTATTCCATATATTAAAATATATTCAGTGTACATTTTTCTAAAATAATCCTTTGTGCAATTACAGTCATTTCTGACTTATTTTGATGAAGTTTTTTTATCATATTTTTCTCCATTGCACAATATTTAAAAGTATCTGCTGATTTGCCCCTGTGTAAAAACTATCTTAGTTTCATCTATCTTTTAAAGTAGCATGTCTGATTATAAAATAAATTATGTAGATTTTTATTAAAGACATTTTGGGAAATAGAGACATATGTAAGGAGGGAAATAAAATCACCTATAGAATCAACACCTAGAAATAAAAAATACTGGTAATATATTTACGTTTTTTTTTCTTTTCTCTATGTGTTCTATAAACATATGTTTTCCTTAAGAAAATTGGTATGGCCAGGCACGGTGGCTCACGCCTGTAATCCCAGCACTTTAGGTGGGCAGATCACGAGGTCAGGAAATTGAGACCATCCTGGCTAAAATGGTGAAACCCCGTCTCTGCTAAAAAAAATACAAAAAATTACTCGGGCATGGTGGCGGGTGCCTGTAGTTCCAGCTACTCAGGAGGCTGAGGCAGGAGAGTGGCATGACCCCGGGAGGCAGACCTTGCAGTGAGCCGAGATCACGCCACTGCACTCCAGCCTGGGTGACAGCACAAGACTCCTTCTCAAAAAAAAAAAAAAAAAAAAAAAAAAAAAAAAAAAAAAAAAGAAAAGAAAATCTTATGTCTACTTGCTTAAATCCCTTTTATTCAACATTTAATTGTTGGCATGAGGATAAATGCTGTTCTGTTTCGAAGTTTGTTAGAGCCTTACATGTCCCTATAAAACAACTCTTGTGCATGTTCTCATCTAAAAATGCCTTTATTGTTGCTGGGTAATATTTTTAAAACAATAAATAGCATTCTTTTAAGTGAGTCAACTTTATTTAAAATTAAATATTAGCTCTCAAGTATTTAATCATCCCTTTCTCAACTCATTCTTCAGAGATAATTATTGCTGAAAATTTAATGGGTATTCTCTTTAAAATTCTCTAGGATTATTTCTTTTTAAGTAAAATTAGATCATATACTGTATATAGACCATTTCATTGCTTTTTTTTTTTTTTTTTTGAGACGGAGTCTCGCTCTGTCGTCACCCAGGCTGGAGTAGAGTGGCGTAGTTTCAGCTCACCGCAACCTCCACCTCCCGGATTTAAGCAATTCTCCTACCTCAGCCTCCTGAGTAGCTGGGATTACAGGTGTGCGCCACCATGCCCGGCTATTTTTTG
This sequence comes from Homo sapiens, assembly GCF_000001405.40. Classification (NCBI taxonomy): domain Eukaryota; kingdom Metazoa; phylum Chordata; class Mammalia; order Primates; family Hominidae; genus Homo; species Homo sapiens. The sequence continues at coordinate 66,085,821 of NC_000017.11, read as the reverse complement.
TATCTTTAGTAGAGACGGGGTTTCACCAGGTTGGTCAGGCTGGTCTCAAACTCCTGACCTCGTGATCCGCCTGCCTCGGCCTCCCAAAGTGCTGGGATTACAGGCGTGAGCCACCGTGCTCAGCCCATTTCATTGCTTTTTGACTGACATATATATTCTGATGATTTTTTCCATATCAGAAATATCACCCCATTCTTATTCATAATTACATAAATTTTACTTTACTGATACATCATGTTTTATGAATATAATTTGCTATTGATGCATGTAGGCTGTTTAGAGTATTTTTCTATAACAAATGGTATTTCAAGAATACCCCTATGCATATCTTTGTGTATTATGTGTCTTTTCTTGCAGAATAAATGATGTGAAATGGAATGGCTCAGTCACAGGATGGCACATTTGCATTTTAGATTGACGTTGACAAGTTGTCCTTAAAATAAGGTTATGTCTGCATAGGGCTGCAGGCATGGGAGTGTATGGAGTATTGGCTAGTGGATATAGAGTTTCTTTTTAGGATGATTAAAATGTTCTAAAATTAGATTGTGCTAACGGTTGTATAACTCTCTGTTATATTAAAAACCTTTGATTTGTATTGTGTAAATGTGTGAATTTTATGATATATAAATTATATTTCAGTAAAACTTAAGAAGGGTTATGTCTATTTAAGTTAACATTAATGGTATAGAGAATGCCTCTTTTTCCATTTTGTTATTAACACTCGAGCAATTTGCATGTTAAAGTATCACTTCTTTTTTGTATGTCTTACAAATATTTTTCTCTGTGAATATCTTTTGATTTGTGCTACTTTTTAGTGTAGAGAAGGTTTCTTCTATTTTTAACTTTTTAAAATTAATTTTGAATTTTTGTGCGTACATAGTAGGTGTATATATTTGTGGGTTACATGATATAGTTTGATACAGGCCTGCAATGCATAATAATCACATCAGGGTAAATGGGGTATCCATCATCTTAAGCATTTATCCTTTGTGTTACAAACAATCTATACTCATTTAGTTGTTTTAAAATGTACAATTAAATTTTTTTTTTGACTGTAGTCACCTTATTGTTCCAGCAAATTATAGGTTTCTTCGTTCTTTCTACTTTTTATACCCATTAACCATCCCAACTCCCCCCCTGCCTTCCCACTACCCTTTCCAGCCCCTAATAACCATCATTCTACTCTCTATCTCCATGAGTTCAATTGTTTTTAATTTTTAGCTCCCACAAATAAGTGAGAACATATGAAGTTTGTCTTTCTGTGCTTGGCTTATTTCACTGAACATAGTAACCTCCAGTTCCATCCATGTTGTTGGAAATGACAGGATCTCATTCTTTTTAATAGCTGGGTAGTACTCCATTGTGTATGTGTACCACATTTTCCTTATCCATTCATCCGCTGATGGATACTTAGCTTGCTTCTAAATCTTCACTATTGTTATTAGTGCTGCAATAAACATGGGAGTGCAAATATCTCTTCAATATGCTGATTTTCTTTTTTTGGAGTATATACCTTGGAGTGGGATTGGTGGATTGGTAGTTCTATTTTTATTTTCTTTTGAGGAACCTCCAAACTGTTTTCCATTGTGGTTGTATTAATTTACATTCCCACCAACCCAGTGTACAAGGGTTCTCTTTTTTCCACATCATTGCCAGCATTTGTTATTACCTATCTTTTGGATAAAAGGCATTTTAACTGGACTGAAATGATATCTCCTGGTAGTTTTGATATGCATGAGAAGTTTCCTTTTAAATAGTTGCATCTGTCAGCCTTTTCTCTAGGCTTCTGGTTTTTGTATTATGCTTACAAAAGCCTTTCACCTTCCAACATAACAAAAAATTACCTCTTTTTTGTCTATTTAAAAATTTTATTTTTCTATTTAAATATTAGATCTCTTTCAGAGGTTTTGCTGTAAATACTGATAGTAATCTATGTTAGTTCTTTTTTTGTTGTTTTGTCTTTGGACATGGAGTCTCGCTCAGTCACCCAGGCTGGAGTGTGGAGTGCAGTGGCACAATCTTGGCTCACTGCAACCTCTGCCTCCCAGGTTCGAGCAATTCTCCTGCCTCAGCCTCCCGAGTAGCTGGAACTACAGGCACTCACCACCACGCCTGGCTAATTTTTTTGTATTTACAGTAGAGACGGGGTTTCACCGTGTTGCCCGGGCTGGTTTCGAACTCCTGAGCTCAGGCAGTCTGCCCACCTTGGCCTCCCAAAGTGCTAGAATTACAGGCGTGAGCCACCGCGCCTGACCTCATTAGTCAGTTCTTAATGGTATAAAATAAAAATTTAGGAGTTTGAAATACTTATATTAAAGGATCCAGTAAGTCTGGAGATAATTAATTGATACCAATTTTTTACAGATTATAGAGTTTATCTGTGTCATTGTATTAGTCCGTTCTCATGCTGCTAATAAAGACATACCCAAGACTGGGTAATTTATAACGAAAAAGAGGTTTAATGGACTCACAGTTCTGTATGGCTGGGAGGCCTCACAATCATGGCAGAAGGCAAAAGAGGAGCAAAAGCACATCTTACATGGTGGCAGGCAAGAGAGCATGTGCAGGGAAACTGCCCTTTATAAAACCATCAGATCTCATGAGACTTATTCACTATCATGAGAACAGCACGAGGAAAATCCTTCCCCATGATTCAATTACCTCTCACTGGGTCCCTCTCACAACACATTGGAATGATGGTAGCTACAGTTCAAGATGATATTTGGGTGAGGACACAGCCAAACCATATCAGTCATGAAGGATTTATTAAAGTATTTAATTTTGTTGAAGTTTTAGTGAGTCTTAAAATATTTAGCCTTTAGAAATGGAGCTATTTAATAAAATACAACTTCCATTTTAAATTCATATTGTTCAGAAGATACTTAGATGTTAACATGAGTAAAATATGTAAAATTACTAATAGAATTAATGGTTATTTAACCTAATTTACTAATTAATATTAATATTAATATTAATATCTAGTTTTATTGGAGTTAAAGAATTATAGTGGTTTGTTTTGGTGGCTACAGATACACATATAAAAATTTTTTTTTTTTTTTGAGACAGAGTCTCGCTCTGTCGCCCAGGCTGGAGTACGATGGTGCAGTCTTGGCTTACTGCAACCTCTGTCTCCTGGGTTCAAGCAATTCTTGTTCCTCAGCCTCCCAAGTAGCTGGGATTACAGGCACACGCCATGACATCTGGCTAATTTTTATGTTTTTAGTAGAGACAGGGTTTTGCCATGTTGGCCAGGCTGGTCTCGAACTCCTGACCTAAAGTGATCCACTGCTTCTGCCTCCCAAAGTGCTAGGATTATAGGCATGAGGCACCGCACCTGACCCACATATTAAATATTTTAAGATGTTCTTAACAATTTTCAATTTATTTTGGGCATATTTCTCATATGTTATGGGAAAACATGTTCAGTGACAGTGATCCTTTATTTTAACTTTAGCCTATCATTCACAAACATACTTGGACTTGCTTGCCTTTGTAATTGCTAACACATTTTCTCTGATATCCACATCACAGAATTGTGTGACAGTGAGCATCATCAAGCAACGGGTCTTTCTTTCTTTCTTTCTTTTTTTAGTAATCTGAAGAAAGGCTTTTTGACATTATGACATTTGGAAAAGTTTTCTCACTGAAAATGAAAGAACAGACAACACAACAAGAAGAGGTCAATTTTTCAGAGAACAGATGGTAGAAATTGCTCCTTTGGTAAAAGGCGAAAGATTTATACAATCTGAAGAGAAACCGGAGTAAAAAATTACTCTTTTTGTGAAATAAAATAGAAAATTTCCTTTGACCTTTCTTTTCACCCATATTGAATGTTTCCATCTATTGCCTAAAAAGAGATGTTGCTTCTTTATTATGTGTAATGCCAAGTAGGCCTTTTTTTCCCCCTGAGATGGAGTCTTGCTCTGTTGCCAAGGCTGGAATGCAGTGGCGCAATCTCGGCTCACCATAATCTCTGTCTCCTGGGTTCAAGCGATTCTCCTGCCTCAGCCTCCCGAGTAGCTGGGACTACAGATGCGTGCCACCATGTCCGGCTAATTTTTGTATTTTTAGTAGAGACAGGGTTTCACCATGTTGGCCAGGCTGGTCTTGAACTCCTGACCTTGTGATCCACCTGCCTCGGCCTCCCGGAGTGCTGGGATTACAGGCGTGAGCCACTGCGCTTGGAATTAGGCCTTTTTTTTTTTTTGTCTGTGAGTCTGCTAGTCAAATATATAATTTAAATAACTCTAGGATAAAGAAAGCCACAGTTATTGACATAATAAATGACAGAACTGTTATAGATTTCATATGAAACATAGCATTCAGATATGCATAATGTCACATAATTTGATAAATAATTGTACAAAGAAATGCCATTGTAAATGCCACCCAGGCAAGAATTAGATAATTGCCAATATCCTAAGAAGCCTGCTGTCTGACCATTTGTAATCATATTCTCTTCCATCTTTCCTAGAAGTAACCACTATTCTGATTTTTCTGATGATAATTTTCACCTATTTGTTTTAATATTGATTTTAGCATTAATACCTGCATCTTTGAAAATTGAAATATTTTTATTTTACCAGATTTTGAACTTTATATGAAGAGAACTAAACTTTTTATTTATTTTTATTTTTTATTTTATTTTACTTTTTCTTTTATTATACTTTAAGTTCTGGGATACATGTGCAGAACGTACAGGTTTGTTACATAGGTATACACTTGCCATGGTGATTTGCTGCACCCATCAACCTGTCATCTACATGAGGTATTTCTCCTAATGCTATCCCTCCCCTAGCCCCCTACCCCCTGACAGTCCCCAGTGTGTGATGTTCCTCTCGCTGTGTCCATGTGTTCTCATTGTTCAACTCCCACTTATGAGTAAGAACATGCAGTATTTGGTTTTCTGTTCTTGTGTTAGTTTGCTGAGAATGATGGTTTCTAGCTTCATCCATGTCCCTGCAAAGGACACGAACTTATCCTTTTTTATGGCTGCATAGTATTCCATGGTGTATATGTGCCACATTTTCTTTATTCAGTCTATCATTGATGGGCATTTGGGTTGGTTCTAAGTCTTTGCTATTGTGAACAGTGCTGCAATAAACATACATGTTCGTGTGTCTTTATAGTAGAATGATTTATAATCCTTTGGGTATATACCCAGTAATGGGAATGCTGGGTCAAATGGTATTTCTGGTTCTAGATCCTTGAGGAATCTCCACACTGTCTTCCATAATGGTTGAACTAATTTACACTCCCACCAACAGCGTAAAAGTGTCCCTATTTCTCCACATCCTCCCAGCATCTGTTGTTTCCTGACTTTTTAATGATGGCCATTCTAACTGGTGTGAGGTGGTATCTCCTTGTAGTTTTAATTTGCATTTCTCTAATGACCAGTGATGATGAGCTTTTCTTCGTATGTTTGTTGGCCGTATAAACGTCTTCTTTTGAGAAGTGTCTGTTTCTATCCTTCACCCACTTTTTGATGGGGTTGTTTGTTTTTTTTCTTGTAAATTTGTAAAGTTGTTCCTTGTAGATTCTGGATATTAGCCCTTTGTCAGATGGATAGATTGCAAAAATTTTCTGCCCTTCTGTAGGTTGCCTGTTCACTCCGATGATAGTTTCTTTTGCTGGGCAGAAGCTCTTTAGTTTAATTAGATCCCATTTGTCAATTTTGGCTTTTGTTTCCATTGTTTTTGGTGTTTTAGTCATGAGGTCTTTGCCCATGTCTATATCCTGAATGGTATTGCCTAGGTTTTCTTCTAGGGTTTTTATGGTTTTAGATCTTATGTTTAAGTCTTTAATCCATCTTGAGTTAATTTTTATATGAGGTGTTAGGAAGGAGTCCAGTTTCATTTTTCTACCTATGGCTAGCCAGTTTTCCCAACACCATTTATTAAATAGGGAATCCTTTCCCCATTGTTTGTTTTTTTCGGGTTTGTCAAAGATCAGATGGTTGTAGATGTGTGGCGTTATTTCTGAGGCCTCTGTTCTGTTCCGTTGATCTATATACCTGTTTTGGTACCAGGAACATGCCGTTCTGGTTATGTAGCCTTGTAGCATAGTTTGAAGTCAGGTAGCCATGATGCCTCCAGCCTTGTTCTTTTTGCTTAGGATTGTCTTGGCTGTATGGGCTCTTCTTTGGTTGCATATGAAATTTAAAGTAGTTTTTTCTAATTCTGTGAAAAAAAAGTCAATGGTAGCTTGATGGGGATAGCATTGAATCTATAAATTACTTTGGGCAGTATGGCTATTTTCACAATATTCATTCTTCCTATCCATGAGCATGGAATGTTTTTTCATTTGTTTGTGTTCAAAGAGAACTAAACTTTTCATATTCTTTTATGTCTTGCTTCTTTTGCTCAATAGTATGTTAGAGGCATTGTTGTGCCATATAGTTGTAATAGGTTTGTTTGCACTGTTTTCTATTTAATGAATGTCATATTTCTTGCCTTTTTTGATAAACTTTATTCTAATTTTTTGCCTTTACAAATAATAATTCTATGAATAACCTTGTGTGTGTATCCTGATATACATATGCAAGAGTAGAAACGGGGTTTTACCATGTTGATCAGGCTGGTCTCGAACTACTGACCTCAGGTGATCCACCCATTTCAGCCTCCCAAAGTGTTGGGATTATAGGCATGAGCCACTGTGCCCCGCAGCATTCCTTTTTCTTAGCAGCCTTGCCAGTATGTTAAGTATTATTATTATTATTTTTGTCCTTTTAGTAATAGCCATTCTTACTGGTGTGAAATTGCATCTCATTGTGGTTTTGATTTGCATTTCTCTGATGATTAGTGATGTTTCATATGTTCGTTGGCCCCTCGTATGTTTCAGCAGAAATCCTACAAGCTAGAAGGGATTGGGGCCCTATCTTCAGCCTCCTCAAACAAAACAATTATCAGCCAAGAATTTTGTATCCAGTGAAACTAAGCGTCATATATGAAAGACAAGTACAGTCTTTTTCAGACAAACAAATGCTGAGAGAATTTGCCACTACCAAGCCACCACTACAAGAAGTGCTAAAAGGAGCTCTAAATCTTGAAACAAATCCTAGAAACATATCAAAACAGAATCTCTTTAAAGCATAAATCACACAGGACCTGTAAAACAAAAATACAAGTTAAAAAACAAAAACAAAAATTAAAAAAAACCCAAAGTATGCAGGCAACAAAGAGCATGATGAATGCAATGGTACCTCACATTTCAATACTAACATTGCATGTAAATGGCCTAAATGCTCCACATAAAAGATATAAAACTTCCCGAGCACAGTGGCTCACGCCTGTAATCCCAGCACTTTGGGAGGCTGAGGCAGGTGGATCATGAGGTCAGGAGTTCAAGACCATCATGGCCAATCTGATGAAACCCCGTCTCTACTAAAAATACAAAAATTAGCCGGGCGTGGTGGCGCATGTCTGTAGTCCCAGCTACTTGGGAGGCTGAGGCAGGAGAATCCCTTGAACCAGGAATGCAGAGTTGCAGTGAGCTGAGATCGTGTCACTGCACTTCAGCATGGGAACAGAGTGAGACTCCGTCTCAAAAAAAAAAAAAAGAAAAAGAAAAGAAAAGAAAAAAAAAAGATACAAAAGCACAGAATAGAGCAGAATAGAGGACCTAGAAATAAACCCAAATACTTACAGCCCACTGATCTTCAACAAAGCAAACAAAAACATAAAGTGGGGAAAGGGGCACCCTTTTCAACAAATGGTGCTGTGATAATTGGCTAGCCACATGTAGGAGAATGAAACTGGAACCTCTTCTCTCACCTTATATGAAAATCAATGAAGATGGATTAAGGACTTAATGTAAGAACTGAAACTATAAAAATTCTAGAAGATAACATTGGAAAATCCCTTCTAGACATTGGCTTAGGCAAGGATTTCATGAACAAGAACCCCAAAAACAAAGATAAATGGTTGGGACTTAATTAAACTAAAGAGCTTTTGCACGGTAAAAGGAACAGTCAGCAGGGTAAACAGACAACCCACAGAGTGGGAGAAAATCTTCATAATCTATACATCTGACAATGGACTAATAACCAGAATATACAACTTGATGACAGTGTGCCTAGGTGATGATCTTTTTGTGATTAATTTCCCAAGTGTTCTTTGTGCTTCTTGTATTTGGATGTCCAGGTCTCTAGAAAGGCCAGGGAAGTTTTCCTCAATTATTCCCCCAAATATGTTTTCCACACTTTTAGATTTCTCTTCTTCCTCAGGAATACCGATTGTTCTTAGGTTTGGTTGTTTCACATAATCCCAGGCTTCTTGGAGCCTTTGTTCATATTTTCTTATTCTTTTTTCTTTGTCTTTGTTGGATTGGGTTAATTAGAAGACCTTGTCGTCAAGCTCTGAGTTTCTTTCTTCTTTTTGTTCAATTCTATTCTATTGCTGAGACTTTGCAGAGCATTTTGCATTTCTCTAAGTGTGTCCAATGTTTTCCTGAAGTTTTGATTGTTTTTTCTTTATGCTATCTATTTCCTTAAATATTTCTCCCTTCACTTCTTGTATCGTTTTTTTGGATTTCCTTGAATTGGGCTTCACCTTTCTCTGATGCCTCCCTGATTGGCTTAATAAGTAACCTCCTGAATTCTTTTTCAGGTAAATCAGGGATTTCTTCTTGGTTTGGATCCATTGCTGGTGAGCTAGTGTGATTTTTTTGATGGGTGTTAAAGAGCCTTGTTTTGTCATATTATCAGAGTTGATTTTCTGATTCCTTCTCATTTGGGTAGGCTCTGAGAAAAGTCTAGGACTGAAGGCTGTTGTTCAGATTCTTTTTTCCCACGGGGTATTCCCTTGATGTAGTATTCTCCCCCTTTTCCTACGGATGTGGTTTCCTGTGAGCTGAGCTGCAAGTGATGGTTATCTCTCTTCTGGGTCTAGCCACCCAGCGAGTCTACCTGGCTCCGGGCTGGTACTGGGGGTTGTCTGCACAGAGTCCTGTGATGTGAACTATGAATTGCTCAGCCATGGATACCAGCACCTGTTCTGGTAGAGGTGGCATGAGGGTGAAATGGACTCTGTGAGGGTTCTTAGCTTTAGTGGTTTACAGTTCTATTTTTGTGCTGGTTGGCCTCCTGCCAGAGGGTGACACTTTCCAGAGAGCATCAGCTGTGGTACTATGGAGAGGAACCAGTGGTGGACGTGGCCCTAGAACTCCCAAGAGTATGTGCCCTTTGTCTTCAGCTACCAGTGTGGATAGGGAAGGCCCAGCAGGTGGGGGCAGGGCTAGGCATGTCTGAGCTCAGACTCTCCTTGGGCAGCTCTTACTGTGGCTGCTGTGGGGGATAGGGGTGAGGTTCCCAGGTCAATGGAGTTGTGTACCTAGGAGGAATATGGCTGCCTCTGCTGAGTCATGCAGGTTGTCAGGGAAGTGAGGGAAGGCTGGCAGTCACAGCTCTCACCCAGCTCCCACACAGTCTTCAGGGCTGGTCTCACCCCCACCATGTCCCCCTAGCAGCCCCGAGTCTATTTCCAGGCAGTGGGTGAGCAGGGCTGGAGAACTTGCCCCAGGCTACCTAGTTCCCAGCTGCAAAAGAAGAGGGCTTTGGTTCTTACCCCGCCGCCTGTGGAGTCTGCACACTGGGTTTGCACCTTTCTCTGAGTTCTGGCCCAGAGCCTTCTCGCCCAGTTCAAATTGTTACAAAGTTCAGCTGGAGACTTCCTTCTCTCTGTGGTATTTCCCCCTATGCCTCTAGCTGCCCTCGCAAAAGGTCCCTGTGGTACCAGGCAGGAATGGCCTGCTTGGGGACCCAGCGAGCTCCCAGGGCCTTTCCTACTACTTCCTCTACCCCTGTATTTCACTCAGCCCTCTAAATTGACCCAGCTGTGGGTAAGGTCGGAAATGTCTCCTGCAAACCAGACCTTGAGTTTTCCCAGTGGGGGTGTGTGTTTGGGAATGGAGGGTCTCCCTTTCCCACTTCTGCAGTTTGGGAACTCACAGTATTTGGGGTGTCTCCCGCGTCCTGCAGGAGCAGTCCTCTTCCTTCAGAGGGTCTGGGGGTCCCCTCGGGGTTCCTGGTTCATTCTTGCAGTCATTCTTGAGCTAAAATTCATGATGCAAGCCTCTGCACACTGCTCTGTCTGTCCGAGTTGGAGCTGCAATCTAGTCCTCATGCCTCTCATCCACCATAATGATTCCCATTCAAGATCCCATTGCTAATTTTTTAACAGTCTCTTATAATTAGAGTGTTTAGTCCATTTAAATTTAATATAGTTACTGATCGATATGGTTAGGTTTAATCTACCTTGTTGGTGTTCGTTTCCACTGGTACCCCCTTTTTTTATTTTTCACTACTCTGTTGCTCCTTTCTTGCCTTATTTTTAGTTATTTTTTTGTTATTCTATTTTAATTTTTCTATTGACTTCTTGGCTATACTTTCCCTTTGTATGTTTTCTTTATTGGTTGCTTTTGGGCTAAAATTATGCATCCTTACCATATCAAAGTCAATTTTTAGTGTCAATATTGTGCCGCTTACACTGGACTTTTCCCATTTTCTAATTTCCACCTCATAAATCTAATAACTTTAAAACAGTATAATCTAATTTAACCCTACAATCACTTGTGCTATTGTCATAGTTCTAAATACCTTATGAAACCTAACTTTTGAGGTTGTTGTATTATCTTTAAATAGTTGTGTTTTGGGGAATTGTGAGAAGATAAAAATGGCTTTTATGTATCTCTGCTCACATACTATTTCTAGTACTTTCCTTCATTTCAGAGTTTCTAAGTTTTCATCTTTAAGAATACCTTTTACTATTTGTTTTAGTGCAGTTCTACTGGTGATGAGTTAAGTCATCTGAATTTTTCTTTTAGCACTTCTAAGATGTTATTCCTTTGTCCTCTGGTTTCCATTGTTTCTGTTGGGGAGCCTGTTGTTTCTCTGAATGTAATGCCTGTTTTCCTCTGGCTGCTTTTAAGATTTTTCTTTTTTTTTTTTTTTCTTTTTTTTTTTTAGACAGAGCCTCACTCTGTCACCAGGCTTGAGTGCAGTGGCACGATCTTGGCTCACTGCAACCTCTGCCTCCTGGGTTCAAGCAATTCTCCTGCCTCAGCCTCCTGAGTACCTGAGACTACAGGCACGTGCCACCACGCCCAGCTAATTTTTGTATTTTTAGTAGAGACGGGGTTTCACCATGTTGGCCAGGATGGCCTCGAACTCTTGACCTTGTGATCTGCCTGCCTTGGCCTCCCAAAGTGCTGGGATTACAGGTGTGAGCCACCATGCCCAGCCAAGATTTTTCTTTTTGTTTTTGTTTTTCAGCAGTTTGTGATGTTTCTAGGCGTTGTTTTCTTGCATTTATCCTGCATAGAGTTCATTGAGCATCTTGTTCTCTAAGTCAGTATTTTTATATTTTATCAAACTTGGGAAATTTTTGGCCATTATTTCTTTAAATAATCTTTCCCTATTCTTATTTGCTTCTATAGGAACCCCAATTACATGTATATTAGACTCTTGGATTTTGTTTCACAGTTTCCAAAGTGTTATTGATTTTTAAAAATCAATTCTTCAATCTTTTTTTCTGTCAGATAATTTCTCTTGTTCTGTCATCAAATTTACAGACTCCTTTATCTGTTCTCTCTAATCCATTAAGCTCATCTAGTGAATTTTTGTTCCTTTGAATTATTGCACTTTTCGATTCTGGAATTTTCATTTGTTTCCTTTTTATAATTTCCATCTATCTGCTGAGATCCCTTATCCGTTCTTTCATTAAAATAATATTTTCCTTTAATTTTTGAATATGTTTTCCTTTAGTTCTTTGAAGGTATTTATATGAACTTCTTTAAACTGTGGTGTGCTGAAGTAGAGTCATCTTGGGCCTTATTAACTTATTTATTTATATTGATTTTGCCTAAGGACAAAATTTTCTTTTCTTTTTTATTTTTTTGGTGCATCTTTATTACTTTCTAGATAAAGGACCTTGTGGTTGATACCTTGTAGGGACTCTGGATTCTGTTATTTTTCTCCATAGAATTTTTTTGTTGTTGTTGTTCTTATAGGCTGTTCAATTACTAGTTAATCACCTTTAAGTTGTGTAGACTTGGTTTTTACATTCTGTTAAGGCAAATACATAGAAAGCCAAAGATATTATCCAACACCATGGGACCTGTCTTACAAACTATCTTTCTGAGGCTTGCTTTCAGTCCTTGTAGGTAGGTTTAGAGTAGTCCTAAGGTGTGGCCTTTATGTTGTTTCAGCTGAATTCCCAGGTATTTGCAAGTTGTTAGGAAGCTGTCTCCACCTGGCTGGGCAGGTCTTTGGTGCTTCCCAGCACTTTAACCTGTAGCAGCTGTTACATTTTCTACTTTGTAGCAGTAATGTTTTGTTATTCACCCAGGGTGCACACATCCCAGCCATCAGCCTGTGGTTGAGGAGTGACAGGGAAATCTTCTGGGAAGCTTATACCTCTTTTAGTACCCTGCATTTAAGATTCTTTAACTGCTCAGAACTCTGACCTCTGCTTTCTCAGCTCAGTAGGCCTGTGGTGCTCCACATGGACTCCAGTTGTTGTACCCAGGCGGAAAGTTGGGACTATCGTGGTCTTCAATTCTTGAGGATCACAGTACTGCATTACCTATTGTCCAATACTTGAGAATGGTTATCTCATATATTTTATCCCATTTTATGGTTAACAGTGGGAGGTTAGTGTGGTACCCTGCTTCATTATAGCCTGAAGTAGATCTGCAAGCCTAATTTTTACATCTTACATTTGAAATTGATAATGTATATTCTGATGTCAGAAAAAGAAAACTTAAATGTTTTTTGAAGTCAGGCTTCCTTGGAGGTCAAACTAATTAGAAATGTTTTTCAATTTCAGACTATATAGATGAACACATAGGTACATATCTATATTTATATCTACATCTATATCTAAATCTGCATCCTTATACTGTCTTTATATAATATAGTAGCAAGATTGTTTCTATATTCTAATCCTGATGTTTCATCAGGCATCATGCCCTAGTTGTACATAATACATCCAGGATTTCTACTTTAGAGTACAGGGTGGAAATATAGAGGTATTCTGTAGCATCAAGGTAAGAGTTTCCAGAGATGAGATACTCTTAACTTTTTAAAAGGATGGCAGTGGAGAGACTTTCTTTGTAATATTACCCTTAGAGTAACTTGGTGCTCACTGTCTTAACCAAGTTACTGAGCTGTACATTGGAGATATTGGGACAAACTAGCCTCCTTCTAATATGATGCAATGAAAAAGGACACAGTATCACTTTAGTGTCATTCTTGCCAAAATCTCATAAACCTAGTCATGAGGAAACATCAGACAAATCCTAATGGAGAGACATTTAATAACGGTCTGTACTCTTAAAAAATGTCAAGGTCACTAAACACGAAGAAAGGCTGTTCCAGATTAAAGGAGAAATAAATAGTTGATGTGACAACTAAAAGCAATGCGTGATTCTTGGTTGGATCCTGGATTATGAAAAATAATAGCTATAAATGACATTACTGTGATAATTTGTAAAACTTGAGTATAAACTGTGCAGTAGATAATATCATTGTGTTAATATTACATTTCCTCAATTTGATAACCACGCTTTGGTTATCAAAGACAGTGTTCTTGTTCTAAGGAAATATATATTGAAGTTTTTAGGGATAAAGAGGCAGGATGCTTCTAATTTACAAATAATTGAGGAAGTAATATGTATGCATTTATATATATAGAGAGGTAGATATAGACATAAAATGACAAAGCATATAGGGCAAAATATAAAAAATTGGTAAATCTGGGTAAAGGGCATGTGGGAGTTCCTTGTGCTATTATTGCAACTTTTCTTTAAGTTTAATATTATGCCAAGGCAAAAAGTTATAACCAGAAGAATAGAATTTAGATAAATATCTTTGGTTGTAAGAACAGAGATCCATCAAGCTACATAAAATAAAAAGATACACAAAAATCCTTTTGAGTTCAACTAACCCTAGTGTCATTGAGATTGTTGGAGCCTGAGTTTGCTTCCCTCGTATTTCAGATGCTATGTGATTTCTAATCTTTGTGTATTTGCTCTACTTTTTTCTATATACTGGATTGGCCTGCTTTCTCTTGGTTGCTGCACTTTAGAACTTGGGTTTGCTCCCCAAAATAGCTAACTTGGTGTGTTAGTTCAGATTCTTGAGAGAGAATCTGAATGATTTTTTGCTAGCTAATGGATTGCTTAAGCATATCTCAGGTATTTATTCCTAACTTGGTCAATAAATAATGAGGTAGGGCCGGTGAGAGGTGTTGGGTTGGGGTTATGGTAGCACACTCACATGGTATTTAGGGCTTACCCTCAAAAGCTGAGGGTATGACAAGTTCTCTAGAAGGTGTTATGGGAAGATCTGGCAATGAATCATGTCTCTTAGACCTGGCCAGCTTTGTCATACTGTTTTTTGGCTTTAGTTCCCTTTTAATAGACCCCAAAAATGCTTCTGTGAAGGATCTTTACATGGAATTAGATTGTCTAGCCTCCTTTCTGCAAAAACGAAGAAGAAATATTGTGTGATTTAGAGGCAAGGGAATTGAATTTTTTTTTTGCATAGCAAATGGTTAACTGTCTCTTTCTCCACCATTCATAACATTTAAGTCATGAATTTGTATTATGTTAACTTTTGTTTGTGAAACATAAAATCTCAGTTTGATATGTTAATATGATATATATGTTTATCTTGCTAAATTTATTTTGTATTTGAAAAAGTAATTGAAAATATAAAGTGTATTTCAAAAATTTTCAAGAAAATATTTTGAAGGTACATTAATAATATTAAAATGTTTTTCCTAAATGTGGTTGACTGATATTTTTGCATACTTACTTTGTGCCACACATTGTCCTGGGTATGGTCATTTAAATTATTTTATTGAATATGATTTTCACAATCCACTGAGGTAAGGATACTTTTCCTTAATTAGCAGAAGAGGAACTAGAGTGTCAAAGGGTCACTTGCTCAAAGTCACAACAGTGCATATATGGTGGGATTGGAATTAGAGTTGGAAAAGAGGTCTGCCAGACTCCAATGTATAACACTTAACTCTCTTAAATTGTGAGGAATCATGTGACCAAATACTTTCACATTTGAGATAATCAATTTTATGTTGCTCTTCTTGAAACCTGTCACTATTGCTCTTTTAATTCTAGGATACCCTTCTTATATTAAGAAGATTGGTTACATTTTTGGCTTTGCTCAGAGCACCGTTGCATGTGGTGTTGGTTTGGAGAGGATAGAAGTTAAGGAATGCTTGGAAGGAGATAAAGTCACTCCCTTGAGGGAGCGGGGGTCTATGATTCCGGGAGAGAGAACTGAAAAACTGTCGAAAGATATGCACTAATCAGTAATTTGCCATTTTTATGGATATTCATTCTCAAGTCATATTTACATATGTAGGTTAATTAGAGTATTTTAAAATGAGCAAGTAGATCAAAGAAAAAAAAATAAAAGGTTGGAAGAGACTTACTGAAATGAAAAATAATGAAGAGTAAAATACTGTGTGGATTTAAATGTAAAAGCAAAATATCACTTTAAAATGCCTTTCTCTTTTGTGCGGGAGAGAATGGGGAGAGTAGTGAATCTGTACTTCATATTGTCAGTTTTGCCTACCAGGTGAAATTTATTTTAAAGACTTTTAACTAGTTTGAAAGTAATTAGAGGACTGAAATAAACATATTGGTATATGTAATGTGATTGCTAGAATCTGTGACTACAAGGTAAAGGTGGAAAATGATAACTGTCTTTTTTATAGGGAATTATTTTAGTTTAATTGTGTATTTTTTGCCAAAGGGAAAGTAAATTAATAACACCCTTGAAATATTTTTCTTGAAGCTGGACATGAAAACAAAAATGATGGAAGCTAAATTTCATGAAGAAAAGCTTAAACTGCAACAGAAACATGATGCTGATGTTCAGAAGGTAGGATATATATCTCGTGTTTTAATTATATTGAACACTAAAAATATTCTAGGTTTTATGATGATCCATCCAGTTATCCATCCATTCTTCCAACCATCCATCCACTTATTTATGTACTTTATGACATTCTGTTATAAGTGGAATATGCTAAACTAATATCCCAGCAAAAGTTGATTTTTTAACTTTATTAGCTAAACATATGTGTTTATTTAAAACCTTATATTTACATTACCTTTTAGTCCTTCTTTAACTATTGCATTTAGGCTGACCTTCTTATAGTCTTTTATCTGCATTCTGTCATTACCTTTCATGAAAGTTGAAATAAGACATCAATGGTAAATACTAGAATTTGTTTTATTCTAATATTCTTTTGGTTTTCTGGTAATTAAATTTCTTTTTTAATTTAAAAAGGAGCTCTTGGACTTGTATGCATTTTAGTGCTGGCACTGACAATAAAGGCTTGTTTTTCAAGTAGCTCATTGGGATTGATGCTTTCTAATCTTTCAGCCTGTATTTTCAAATAAAACTTATTTTTTTTTCTTAGCTGGCACAGCAAAAATTGTTAATTATGGTTATCCTATATGGGATTTGGGTTGTTACTATATTTTAGTAATGATTAAAACATTTAGTGATAATAATGTATGTATGTGTTTTTTTGAAATACATGGAGGTTGATCCAAATGGAAACTTTGCATTTAATGTTTCAAAACTAAGCCTATGATTCTGCTTCCCAAAACTGAGTACTAGAGACAGAGGCAGGTAGTTGCAGTAGTTACAGCATCAGGATTATGTATCCAAGCTTTCTTAAAAGCTTAATATATATATATTAATATTTAGTAAAATACGTATTTGGCTTGTCCTTTAAAGCAATAAGGAGGAAACCACTGACTGGATATTAGAGAAAAAAAAACTGAACTCTCCTTTTCCAATTTCCTCTCCCCCATTCAGATATTACAGGCAAATTTTTTTTGCTCTTACTAGAGTTTTACTTTAGTTTAAATTGTTTAGATAATAGTTCTCTATCATAAGTATGTTAGAGAGTCAGTAATATAATTTCAATATAACATGTACAATTGAAATAGAGTCTATTGATGTATAAGATAAATGAATATAAAAATTTATTTGGAAAAATTACGGTGATGGAATTTGAAATAGGTTTCTTGGTATGTCTGTTACAAAGATTTACTCAAAGTAACATATTTAATAATAAAATTCTTTCCAGCAATTTCTCTTTAAAATAAATCCTGAAATTTATTTGCAGCAGACAGTGCAACTAGTTTGAAGTGCCAAGTAAAATATAAATAAAATCCTTTATGCTAGATTTGAAAAGTATATTCATCAGTTTACTCTTGTCTGGCATTTTCTAAGCATCAGGAATTGGCAAGGCGTAAAATTTAGAGTGTTTTACCTATTAGTATACATTCTTTTTCTTTTTTGCTTCTTTATGGCTATTATTATCCAGAGATGGGATCTTGCTATGTTGCTCAAGCTGGAGGAGGACAGTGGCTATTCACAGGCATGATCCATGATCATGGCTCACTTCAGCCTCGAATTCTTGGGCTCAAGTGATCTGTAAGCCTCCTGAGTAGCTGACTATATGCATGTGCTACTGTGCCCCGTTCTTTTCTGTTGTTCTTGTTAAGCTGACTTTTGGGTGTATGGGAAATATACCCCAGCCATAAGAAAAGTAGATATTCCTTTTTCCCCTTGATTAGCATTTTCTCTTACTTGCTATCTTTTTTACATTTTGGTTATTTCTGTAGTTTTTGTGAGTATAGATGTATTTTGAAGTATAAAATCACAAATTTTATTAAATGATTACATTTAAAACTTCTGACATAATATAAATTAACAATAGATTTTAATGCAATTTTTGACATATTTTGAGCTGATTTTTCTGATTCACAGTAGCAGAGCTAGATATAAAGGAGGCTGATTACATGTCATCTCCTCATGTATCTGGGAATTCTTTTACTGTGCACTAGGAGGATAGAACGGTGCTTGTGGGCGGATCCAGGGACATGCCCAGCTGAAGAATATTCTATCCCAGTGCAATGTGATGAATTATACTCTCCCAACCTGGCAAGTTTCTGATGACTTCTCTCTGCCACTTTATGACAGCTTAATTTCTGAATTATATTTTAGGGAATCACTGAAATTATTATTTATACTGTCCTTAAAAATTATTATACAAAAATCTCAGATAACGTATTTCTTTCAGATAATAATTATTCTTGTATATTTAATAATTTTCTTAATGCACTATAATATAATTTTTACAGTTTGGGGGGAAACCATTTATGAGATTAGCTGAGATAGACTTACAAAAATATTATGCTCATTGAAAAGTTATATGATTGGTTCTTTACGAGTTTCTATTAATGTATACCTACTAATTCACCATTCACTTATTATCTGCTGGAATTTGCTAGCAGATAAACAACAGTAGATATCGTAAGTATAAGAAAAATATGTGAAGAGAAATATTAGACACATACAATTTCAGCTATTTTTATGCTAATCTGAGAAAAAGAATCCCTAACTCCCTTTCAGGACAAAACACTTCTACCTAATTTACAAAACACTGACATTTGAGAATCAATTTAAAAAGTCACTTAAATCACTACAATGCCAATTTGCGGCAATATTCACTAGTCAAAAGGAGGAAAGTCTCACGATTTCAGGCAACTTGGAAGCTTCCAAGTGTGGCAGATCATATAGATTCTACCTCCTAGCTGCTGCAAGAGCAAAACGTGAACTTCTGACTAGGCTAGAATTATTAACATGGACATACACAAAAACACACGCATCTAACTGAAACAGCAGACAGTAAAGCTGTGGATAAGAGATACTACTTTGTGTGTGTGTGTGTGTGTGTGTGTGTGTGTGTGTGTGTGTTTATAATTTCACAGTGTAGTCATATTTGTTAAAATCACTTTTTCTATTTATGTTTTAGAATTAAATATATCAGGATTCAAAAAAGTGTCCTATATGTAAAGTAGTACAATATACTGAAATATTTTAAATTTATTTGCAGATTTTAGAAAGAAAGAATAATGAAATAGAAGAACTGAAAACTTTATACAGGAGTAAACAACATGAAACTGAAGAGACTATTAGAAAGCTTGAAAAGAAAGGTGATGTTGTGTTGTTACATACATCTTTTAATAACATTTCCATTTTATTTTAGTGATGTGGAGAAAAAAATTTGATTTCTGACCTTTTATAGTATGAGATAGGAATGTTTATGTGGGGTTTCATCAGTGGATATATTTATATAGGCTTCCATATGAAGGGGCAAAAACTGTGTTTATTTGTGTGTGTGTGTGTGTGTCTGTGTGTGTGTTTGTGTAGTGACAGTGATGGAGTAGTACTGGTGGTTGGTTTAGATACAGAGTTGGAAGAGTATGTTGCTTTCACTCCCTCTTCTTAACTCTAGCCTCATTGGGATACAGCTGCCATAGAGTATTGAGGGCAGTCATAGAATTAGGACTTACTGGCCTTCATGAGGAAGTCAAAGGAAATTATTCTTCTTTATCTAGTAAAATTCATTACATTAAGTATCTACTTTTATGTCTGATAGTATTTGCTGGTATTGTGATTGACAGAAAAAAATTAAAATGTATTTCCTATTTGCACTTTAATTAAGAAGGAAAAGAAAGCATGTAATCAAGTATTAAGTTGACTATGGACAGATGGAAAGTCCGGCATGAGGAGGTAACCACTTGAGCTAACTCTGACCGTAGTTGACTATGATTATGGGTCGAAACATCTACATCAATAGGTGGTCATGAGAGAGAGTGTTGAAAATATTGTTTTGGGAAAGGAACTTTTGTAAAATTTTGTGAAATTTTAAAGTCTTGGTTAGTTGGAGAGAAGAGTTGCAGGTACTGGGATGGGAATGCTGAAATAGGTAAGTTGTAGGAAGGGTACTTCTCAACTATTTAGCTAGAATGGATACCCCATGCATTAAGAGATAGATTTTAGGCCGGGCGCGGTGGCTTACGCCTGTAATCCCAGCACTTTGGGAGGCCGAGGCAGGTGGATCATGAGGTCAGGAGATCGAGACCGTCCTGGCTAACACAGTGAAACCCTGTCTCTACTAAAAATACAAAAAATTAGCTGGGCGTGGTGGCGGGCGCCTGTAGTCACAGCTACTCAGGAGGCTGAGGCGGGAGAATGGCATGAACCTGGGAGGTGGAGCTTGCAGTGAGCCGAGACCGTGCCACTGCACTCCAGCCTGGGCAACAGAGCAAGACTCCGTCTCAGAAAAAAAAAAAAAAAAGATTTTAAAATATTAAGATAGTTGACTTGGGGCTAGATTAAGTATGACCTTGAATTTTAGATTTAGAAGCTTGAACTTTGTCCTGTAGATGCTGGATGTAAAGAGCCAGGGAAGGATTTTGAGATGTGAGTTTTAGGACCTCATGTTTTGGGAGGAGTAGCCTGGTAATGGAGGGTGTATTGAACAGAGTAGGCCAATTCCAAGTCTGTTAGGCAGAGGCAGAATGGAGTGAAGGAGAGAGAATTCTACTTATTAGAAAACATAGGCTGTAATTCCAGCTCTGTTACCAGTGTCCGATGTATGATAGCAAGTTGTCTCTGGGTCTTGGTTTACTCATTATAAAATGGTGAGATCAGAATAAATAATATATAAAGTCCCTGCCAACTCAGAGATGTTCTGCTTCTGTGCTGCTGTAATTTTGCATGTTAAGGTGAGAAGGATTTCTGAATGATGGCGCTGGGAGTAGTTAGAATGGAACCGAAGAAAAGAAGAAGTTTTTAAGAGTGAATCATGATTTAGTGAATGAGAAGATCTAGGCAATGAATAAGAGAAAAGGAGAAGGGAAGGTTTTCATTTAGGATTTTCTGTATGGAACTTACTGGCTCTCCCCCAGATCAAACCTGAGTATATCTGAGTGAATGATAATGGCTTTGACAAATTAGGACAGCCATTACATAGATAAGTTAACCAATTAAATAAATATTTGTAGGTTCATTTCCACCCTTAAATGTTGGTAAAAGCAATTATAAATTCGTTTAGGTTTTTTCTCCAAATATTACCAGTGTCTAGAAAAATATTTTAAATTTATTTCCAGGTCTTCTTCTTTACCCTGATTCAAAATAGGTAATTCAAACATGCCTAAGGTTTAAAAATGATGAGGTTTTAAAAATAATGTTTCTAAAGGCATTTTGAATTGCAATCAGATCTTAGTTTAATTTTGGAAGTGTAAAGTAAAATATATTGTAGATGGTAAAGACCCACATTAGGTTAACTTGGATTCATCTCCTCTCCTTATTTGTTGTGTAGTTGAGATATAAGAGTGAAAACAATTTTTAGGGAAATGTTTACAAAAATTTTGCTGTCTCGAAGTAAATGAATAAAAACATATTTAGTAAGCTATGATAAGATTATATCCAATTAAAAATAGAGCTGAATTTATTTTACTATCCAGAAGAGATGAATATATTAAACACATTTTCACTTAAATCAGTGACTGTTTAAATAATTTTAGTAAAGAAGATAGAGAAATGATTTATAAGGCAAATATTTTATATAATTTAAAACCTATTTCATTTTAGTAACATAAACTTCAAAAATGATTTAAAAGTATCTAGCAGCAACAATATATTGAAAGGAGGGGTTCCTTTATTTATTCATTCAGTACACGTCTTTTTGAGCACTTGCCTGTGTGGCACTGTTATGCCCTGTGGATAAAAAGTTGAAATCTCTTTCTTCTCCGTGAACATAGTCTCATTAAAGAGGAAACAGGCAAGTAAATCACTATAATGTTAATAAATGATTTAATTGAGAAATACTCAAGGTTTCATGGGAATAAAGAGGAATTTCTTTCTGTCCCTGCAAGGGGAGAAATCTGGTTGAGTGAATCATGATTTAGTGATTCTTTATGACTGGTTCATAAAGAAGGTGTGATTTTTCAGTTGAGAGTCTAAGGATGAGTAGGAGTTTTTCAATAAGGGAGGGAAGGGCATTCTATGTAGATAGATGATCATATTTAGGCAGTGATATAAGAAAGAATATGAACTCAGGAATCTGCATATAGGTTGGTGTGTTTATAATAGTGGTTTAAAACATGCAAGTGGGAAGAGATATGGCCAGAACCATGAGGAACTCTTGTCCATGTCAGAGGCTTTGACCTATACTTATCTTTTAGATGAGAAGAGCTGTAGAACGTTTGTAAGCCTGGGCATAACTACCAGATTTGCACCAGTGAAAGGCCTCTTTACTTATTTAAATTTTTAAAATTTCAGTAGCTTTTAGGTTACAAGTGGTTTTGGTTACATGGATTCATTGTACAGTGGTGAAGTCTGAGACTTTGGTGTACCCATCACCCAAGTAATGTACATTGTATCCAATATGTAGTTTTTAGCCCACACCCCCTTTTCCACCCCCTGCTTCTCAATCTCCAAAGTCCATTATACCATTCTGTGTTCCTTTGCATACCCATAGCTCAGCTTCCACTTATAAGTAAAAACATATGGTATTTGGTTTTCCATTCCTGAGTTACTTCACTTAGAATAATGGTGAAAGATTTCCTCAAAGCAACAGAGGACTCCTTGGAGGGGAATGATGCTTGAGACCAATACACTGTTACAATTGTCTAGGGAGCCAGTAATGATGAATTTAACCAAGGCTGTCTGTGGTGGTAGAAATCGAGAAAAAGAGCAAGGAATAAAAGATATTTTAGAAGAAAGCATTGAGAAGACTTGGTGAAAAATTGAATTACCTACTAACTGGTGCACTAAATTTTATATCATCAAACTCTATGTACCTAGAATTGGTTTAACTATGTTTTCAAAATTTTTGACAGTTCAGACACTGATACGTGACTGTCAAGTTATCAGAGAGACTAAAGAAGACCAGATTGCAGAGCTGAAAAAGATATGTGAACAAAGTACGGAATCTCTAAATAATGACTGGGAAAAAAAGGTAAGCTACATAAAATACTAATGGAAAACATAAAAGTTTATGCTTCCAAGTAACATATTTAATTATAAAAGTAATAGATTTCACAGAATATACAGAAAAGTTTAAAAAATAACTAAAATTCCAGGCTGTTTAGAAATAGCTACTGTTCATGTTTTGGTATATTTTCTTCTGGAAGTCTATGGTCTATAAAATAGTTTTCATTTAGAAAATATTCTTTTGACTAGCTCTTGAATTTAATTAATGTTCTGGATTTCTTATCAGCCAACAGATTTTAAACAAAATTAGTTAAATAGCACTAAAACAGTTTTTGGAAATTAAGCCATTTTAATTTTGTATTTGGGCCATTGGAGTATTTCTTTCCTGAAATTTTAGAAAATATAATATGGACTAGAATTTATTGTATAAACTTATTTTATTTTTGATTGACATGTAATGATTTTACATTTTTTAGGGTACAGTGTGATATTTCAATACATAGATACTTTATATACTGATAAAATCAGAGTAATTAGCATTTCTATCACCTCAAACATTTATCAGTTCTTTTTGGTGAGGACATTCAAATTCCTCTCTTCTAACTTTTTGAAATATATAATACATTATTATAAACTATAATCACTCTACTGTGCATTAGAAAACCATAATTTATTTCTCCTATATTATTGTCCATTTTTATTATATTGTCCATTTTTATTATAAATAAACCATAATTTATTTCTCCTATATTAGTGTCCATTGTCCACTATGTATTAGTCCATTTTCATACTGTTATAAAGAACTGCCTGAGACTGGGTAATTTATAAAGGAAAGAGCTTTAATTGACTCACGGTTCAGCATGGCTGGGGAGGCCTCAGGAAACTTACAGTCATGGTAGGAGGTGAAGGGGAAGCAAGCCACCTTCTTCACAAGGCGGCAAGGAGAATGAACACAGGAGGAACTACCACACACTTATAAAACCATCGGATCTCATGAGAACTCACTCACTATCATGAGAACAGCTTGGGGGAACTGACCCCATGATGCAGTTACTTCCACCTGGTCTCTCCTTTGACACATAGGGATTATGGGGATTACAATTCAAGATGAGATTTTGGGTGGGGACACAGCCAAACCCTATCAATAACTGTAACATTATACCTGCTTTTTAACTTCTCTCTGTCCCCTTTCCTCCCTCTCCTCCCCTGCTTCTTGTAATCGCTATCTGTTCTCTACTTCTATGAGCTCAACTTTTAAAATTCCACGAGTGTGATTATGTATTTGTTTTTCTGCTCCCAGTTTATTCCACTGAACACAATGTCCTTCTAAGTTTGTCCATGTTGTTGCAAATGGCAGGATTTCATTCTTTGTTATGGATGAATAGTATTCCAGTGTGTGTGTGTGTGTGTGTGTGTGTATCTATCACATTTTCTTTATCCATTCATCCTTTGATGGGCACTTACATTGATTTCATATCTTGACTATTGTGAATAATGCTGCAGTAAATGTGGGAATGCAGATATCTCTGACATATTGATTTTATTTTCTTCAGATATATATCTAGTAGGGGGATTGTTAGATCATATGGTAGTTCCAGTTTTAATTTTTTGAGGAACCACACAGTTTTCCCTAATGGCTGTACTAATTTGTATTCCCTCTAGCAGTATATAAGGGTTCTCTTTTCTCTATATCCTCACCAACACTTGCTATCTTTCGACTTTTTAATAATAATCATGCTAACTACAGTTAGATGATATCTCATTGTAAGTTTGGTTTGCCTTTCCCTAATGATTAGTGAGGTTTAGCATTTTTCATCTACCTTTTGGCCATTTCTGTGTCTTCTTTTGAGAAATGTCTATTTAGGTCCTTGGCCTAAATAAGTCATTAGGTTATTTTTTAATCATCAGAATATTTGTTTTTTTGCTATTGAGTTGTTTGAGTTTCTTATATATTTTGGATATAAACCCCATATCAGATGTATAATTTGCAAATGTATTTTCCCATTCTGTAGGTTGCCTTTTCACTCTGTTGATTTTTTTTTCCATGCAGAAGCTTTTTAGTTTGATGTAATCCCATTTGTCTTTTTTTTTTTCCTTGCTTTTGTTGCCTGTGCTTTGAGGTGCTGTATAGAAATTGTTGCCTAGATTTATGTCATGGAGCTTTTCCTCTATGTTTTCTCCTAGTAGTTCCATAGTTTTGGTTCTTCCATTTAAGTCTTTCAATTCATTTTGCGTCGATTTTTGTGTATGGTGAGAAATACAGGTCTAATTTCATTGTTCTGCATGTGGATATCCAGTTTCCCCAGCACCATTTATTAAAGAGACTATACTTTCCCCATTGTATGTTCTTGGCATTTTTGTCAAAAATCAGCTGGCTGTAAATGTGTGGATTTTTTTTCTGGGTGCTTCATGCTGTTTTATTGGTCTGTGTGTCTGTTTTTATGCCAATAGCATACTGTTTTAGTTACTACAAGTTTGAAGTATATTTTCATGTCAGTTACTGTGATGCCTCCACCTTTGTTCTTCATGCTTAAGATTGCTTTGGCTACTCAGAATCTTCTGTGGTTACATGCAAATTTTAGGATCGCTTTTTCTATTTCTGTGAAAATGTCATTGATATTTTGATAGGGATTACATTGAATCTGTATATTGCTTTGAATATTATGGATACTTTATTTCATTTTTTAAAATAATTTCAGCATTTATTTTAGATTCAGAGGGTAGATGTGCAGGTGTGTTACATGGTTATATTGTGTGACATTGAGGTTTGGGATATGAATGATCCCATCATCCAAGTAGTGAGCATAGTGCCCAACAGTAGTTTTTCAGCCTTTGTCCCCCTCTTTCCTCTAGGAGTCCCCAGTGTCTATTGTTCCTGTTTTTATGTCCATATATACCAATGTTTAGCTCCCACTTGTAAGTGAGAACATGCTTGGTTTTCTATTTCTGCATTAATTTGCTTAGGATTATGGCCACCAGCTGCATCCACATTGCTGCGAAGGACATGATTTCATTTTTTTATGGCCATCTAGTATTCCATGGTGTATATGTACCACATTTTCTTTATCCAATCCACCATCGATGGACATCTAGGTTGATTCCATGTCTTTGCTGTTGTGGATAGCATGGCAATGAACATACAAGCGCATGTGCCTTTTTTGTAGAATGACTTATTTTCCTTTGGGTATATACCCAGTAATGGGATTGTTGGGTCAAATGGTAGTTGTTCTAAATTCCCTGAGAAATCTCCAAACTGCATTCCACAGTGGTTGAACTACTTTACGTTCCCACTAACAGTATATAAGCATTCCTTTTTCTCTGCAACCTTGCCAGCATCTGTTGTTTTTAATCTTTTAAATAACACCCATTTTTACTGGTGTGAGGTGGTATCTCATTGTGGTTTTGAATTGCACTTCTCTGATGACGTGTGATGTTGAACATTTTTTCGTATGTTTGTTGGCCACTTGTATGTCTTTTTTTGAGAATTGTTTGTTCATGTCCTTTGCCCACTTTTTAATGGGGTTATTTGTTTTTTGTTGTTGAATTGTTGAGTTCTTTATAGATTCTGGGTATTAGACCTTTGTCAGATACATAGTTTGCAAATATTTTCTCCCATTCTGTGAGTTATCTGTTTACTTGATAGTTTCTTTTGCTGTGCAAAAGTTCTTTATTTTAATTACGTCCCACTTGTCCATTTTTTATTTTTGTTGCAATTGCTTTTGGGGATTTAATCATAAATTCTTTACCACGGTCAATGTCTAGAATGGTACTTCCTAGGTTTTCTTCTAGGATTTTTATAGTTTTAAGTCTTATACTTAAGTCTTTAATCTATCCTGAGTTAATTTTTGTGTTTTGTGGGGTATCCAGTTTCATTCTTCTGCATATGACTAGCCAGTTATCTCATCCCATTTATTGGATAAGGGGTCCTTTCTCCATTTTTTTGGTCAACTTTGTCAAAGATCAGATGGTTGTAGGTGTGCATCATTATTTCTGGGTTCTCTCTTCTGTTTCATCGGTCTATGTGTCTGTTTTTATGCTAGTACCATGTGGTTTTGGTTATTGTAGCCTTATAACATAGTTTTAAGTTGGGTAATGTGATTCCCACTGGCCTTGTTCTTTTGTTTTATTTTGGTTTTGAGACAGGGTCTTGCTCTGTCACCCAGTCTGGAGTGCAATGGCACCATAACAGCTCACCACAGCCTTGAGCTCCTGGGCTCAAGTGATCCTCCTGCCTCAGTCTCCTGAGTAGCTGGGACTACAGGTGTGCATTACCACACCTGGCTAATTTAAAACTTTTTTTTGTAGAGGTGGGGTCTCACTATGTTGCCCAGGCTTGTCTTGAACTCCTGACCTCAAGCGATCCTCCTGCCTCAGCCTCCCAGTAGTGCTGAGATTACAGGAGTCAGGCACCATGCCTGACTTATTCTTCTTGCTTAGGATTGCTTTAACTATTCAGGCTCTTTTTTGGTTCCATATGAATCTTAGAATCTTTTTTCTAATTCTGTAAAAAATGACATTGGTAATTTGATAGGATAGTGTTGAATCTATAGATTGCTTTTTAGTTGGTTCTTTTCTAGTTTTTATTTTGTTATTTCTAGTCATGTGGTTTTTCTTTCTCACATTTTGGTTTTATCTTTTCTATAAATTTGGCATATTTTTGTATTTACTTCAATGACATTGTGTACCTAGCAAGTCCCCTGCTTTCCTTTGTCTGAATTCCCTAATTTCATATATTCTAGTTTAAATTGTCAGGTATTTGAAGAGAAGAGGCTTCTGCCACTTACAAGGGTACGTCTTTTTCTTTCTGCTGGATTAGTAAAGCTTTTTTTTCTAGTTATACAATAAATAGTGGATGTGTAAATACGTAAACCTGCTTGAAGTTTTTTTTTTTGTTTTTTTTAGAGTCTTGCCCTGTCACCTAGGCTGGAGAGCAGTGGTGCAATCTTAGCTCACTGCAACCTTTGCCTCCTGGATTCAAGCTCTTCTCATGCCTCAGCCTCCCAAGTAGCTGGAATAACAGGTGTGGCCACCACTGCCTGGCTAATTTTTGTAGTTTTTGTAGATATGGGGTTTTTCCATGTTGGCCAGGCTGGTATCGAACTCCTGGCCTCAAGTGATCCTTCCGCCTTGGCCTCCCAAAGGGCTGGGATTACAGGTGTGAGCCACTGTACCTGCCCCCTCACTGAAGGCTGTGTGTGTGTGTGTGTGTGTGTGTGTGTGTGTGTGTGTAGAGTAATTTTATGTAAATCTGGGCTGAGATGAAAACTGAGTACAAGCAGGACAGGCACCAAAATTAATAAGCACATGTTAGATACACTTTGTTATTTATGTAGTCATTCATTCAACAATTATTATGTATTCTACATGGACAAGGTGATATATGTATGTGTGTGTGTATATTCCCTAATAGAAATATGCATCCTATGTCTCTCACCTTAAGTCCCAGTTATTCAACTACCTATTTAAAATCTCTCCTTGGTCTGAATTCCATCATTGTCCTTAAACTTCATCTTCTTCGTTTGTTGCTAAAATGGGTATTTCCTTTTTCCCTATCCCATGGAGAATACCTATCCCATGGAGATGCCTATCCCATGGAGGGATATACCTACCCAGTAGGGTATTCTCTATGGGATAGGGATCAACTCAGCTACTTAAAGACTCTTCTTTTTGCTTCAGCTCACACATCTAATGCCTTGCCAAGTTCTGTTAATTATTCATCTTTTGAATGTATCTACCACTCTTCCTTCCTTAGTTCAGGAGACCCCTGTCTCTTGCCTAGATCACCTGTAACTGGCCTCTACCTCCAGTCTGTCCGTCGTCATTCCATGTCCCACAATACAGCCAAATTGGTCTTTCACAAACACAAATCTGGTTGACCTCACAATCATGTTTAAATCACTCTAGTGTTTCCCATTGTCCTAGTGGCTCCCATTGTTTCCTTAGTTCTTAGGACTTACAAGGCTTTTCATGATAAAGACTCTGGTGATCTTTCAAGCCTCATCTTTTCTCACAATTCTTCTTCCTGTCTTGACTTTTGCCCCAGCTGTCAACACGTTTTGCTGTTCTGTGGGCCTTTAAAAAATATTGAGTTATGATTTACATGCCATAAAATTCACCTTCTTAAAGTATACAATTCATTGGTTTTTTTGATGTATTCACAAAGTTGTGCAACTTCCACCACAATATAATTTACAGACCATTTTCATTGCCCTAGAAAGAAACCTTTATCCATCAGCAGTCAGTTACCACTCCCCACACCCCAGGCTCTTCAACCATCAATCTACTGTTTGTCTTTATAGATTTGCCTATTCTAGATATCTCATATAAATACAATAATATAATATGTGGCATTTTGTGACTGGCTTCTTTCACTTACCGTAATGTTTTTAAGTTTCACCCTCACTGTAGCATGAATCAATAGTTCAATCAGTTTTATGGTCAAATAATATTGCGTTGTATGGATAGACCACATTTTGCCTATCCATTCATCAGTTGATAGACATTTGAGTTGACTCCACTTTTTGGATATCGTGAATAATGTTGCTGTGAACATTTGTGTGTGTTTTTACATTCTGTTAGGTGTAGTCCTAGGAGTAGGATTCCTGGGTTATGTGGTAACTCTGTGTATCTTTTTGATAAATTTTTTGAGGAACTGCCAAAGTGTTTTCCACAGTGGCTGCGCTATTGACCTGTGGGGTTTTGTAATACTTTTCCCTTTATTTGGGACAGATTTCTGTTGCCTCTGGGTCTCCTCTGGCATGAGCCAACTATATGGTTAAAGACGAATATGTAGGATGCTGGGAAGGGCATTGGTGTCTCCTGTACCCATTATCAAACTCTGGGTAAAAATTCTTCTTGAGAATTCCTATGGATCAACTCATTGTTATGTCCTATGGTTTCATAAACTCCAGCAAGATTTGTATCCTATAGCCTAATAATATTTGCTACTAAGATAGTTTATCCCTTAAAGGAACGTTTGCCCTTTAAAGCCTCCTAGACTGAGTGACCTGGACTCCAATTCATTGTTAGGTTTGGGAAAGTGCTCACTGATGCATTATGCCTGGTACATAGCAGGTACTAATAAAATTTGTTGAATGAATACATTTTAATCACCTCTGGTTAGACTATGAGACCAGATGCCTATCTAGTCCTCAAACACATCAGCCAAGTAATAGCATAGTTGTTTTTGCCAGTGCCATTTTTACCCTTGTAGTCTCAACTACAAATTCCTTGGATGAGTGTTGTAGACTGACTTACAGCCACCCCTCCGACAGCGACGGTCCCTTTATAAAACAACTGTGGAAGACACATGAGAAACCACTAAGTTTTGATGGGCTATTAGATTTTTGACATTCGGCAGGCATATGTTCTAGGGGCTTTGGGAGACCTTAAACATGAGGAAACCACTACATCATATAATTGCTCCTGTAAGTACAACTGTAAAATTCTAAGTGACTCCTTTAGAGCCCATTATCTGAGTTACTATCATGTCACTCGACAGCTGTGAAGGAGCACTGAGATTTGGGTGCATTGTACCAGCTATGTGACTCACTTTTGAACAACAGACCTAATACTGCTTTACAATGTTTATTTCAGCAAAACTAAAAATTAGATACATCAGGGATTTCGGGGACCACTTACAAATAATCAAAACTGTGTATGTTAAACTTGCAAAATCCAGGAGTCTTCTGTATGGCTATTACTGAGCATCCTCATTCTTCCTATTCAGCTAGAAACTAGAAGAAGCGTTCTTGAGACCTTTACCAGTACAATTATCATAATTATTGCCTGCATTCTGCCCTAGCTTCCATCTCTCACAGGTTTTCCCTGTCCTTCCAGTATCTTTCTAGTCAAATAAGAGTTCACACTGCCTCTATTTGTCCTTTCTCTCTTCCCTATTTATAGGTAGTGAATCAAATGTATTATTTGGGGCCAGGCACGGTGGCTCACACCTGTAATCCCAGCACTTTGGGAGGCTGAGGCGGGTGGATCACTTGAGGGTAGGAGTTCGAGACCAAGCTGACCAACATGGTGAAACCCCGGCTCTACTAAAAATATAAAAAATTAGCCAGATGTTTTGGCGGCTGCCTTTGATCCCAGCTACTTGGGAGGCTGAGGCAGGAGAATCACGTGAACCTGGGAGGCGGAGGTTGCACTGAGCCGAGATTGCACCACTGCACTCCAGCCTGGGTGACAGAGTGAGACTCCATCTCAAAACAAAAACAAAAACAAAAAGCCAAATATATCATTTGGACTGTTTGGACTCCTGGTCTCTTCTCCTATTGGGTAGGTGTGGGGTTGGATGCAGGGAATGGAAGTTAGACTCGGAGTTGTACCCCCATTAAGATAAGTGAAGGAATGCCCACAGGGCTGGGAGCACAGATTTTCAACCCCTTTTGGAAGATGTCCATTGAAGCTTGTCTGGACCTCCTGTATTTGCCTTTGTTTTCCTTACCTTAGTTTGTGTAGAAATTTTAAAAGCTCATCCATTTAAACAGTATATACATAATGATTTTTATAAATAAAGACCTCTGTACATGTAGTATACAATTCTGCTTAGTCATCCTACCCATATTGTTTGACTGATAAATGTGATCTTTTTGTCTGTTTTTGTATAGATTAGGGAATGACTAGAAGTAATTTCTTGTTTGAGGTGCAGGTAGGGGAGAAAGCAGTTTTTAACATTACTGGTGTACAAAATTCCGTGCAAATAGGATGAATAATGGGGACAATGGGACAATATTCCTAATTAGTTACAATATTATAATGTTTCTGTTTTCTCATTTCAGACTAATACTAGTAATGTTCACTTGTATTATCTGCCTGATTTATTTACCATTTCTACCTGAGGCAGATAATTCCTTTTAATATTTGTTCATCCATTAAAATTTTCAATTCAGGAAAGTAAAGGAAAAATTAAGTGTTTCTTGATCCTGCTTTTTATATGATATCTTTACCTTGAATGTTTACTGGTGGTTTTTTGTATCTTTTGGTGTTCAGGTCATCATATATATAAATAGAGGAATATAGAAACCATTTTTTCCGCTGAATTACAAAATAGTCAATTCCATAGTAGTAAAAGAGTCAACTCTTGATTTCCTGATGTAGCTTCACAATGCTGTAGCAGAAATGGAACAGGAAAAGTTTGATCTTCAAAAGCAACACACTGAAAACATTCAAGAATTGCTTGAGGATACAAATGTGCGTCTGAATAAAATGGAGAGTGAATACATGGCGCAAACACAGTCCACAGTGAGTCTTTAAACCTGTTCTTGACATCTTAGAACCTGTCTTCTCAATTTCCATGTCCTCATGTTTCCCTGATGTGCACAGTGTAGAAAGAAGTGTGTTACAGAATCAAAAGAAAAACTTTACCTTCCTACTCCATACAGATTTATGTGTGGCCATGGACAGACCCTTGAAGTCTGTGAGGGATTTGACTCTAGTGTGTTTAATGCTGCTTTTTATTTATTATTATTATTATTTTTACTTTTATTTTTTGAGACGGAGTCTCACCCTGTCACCCAGGCTGGAGTGCAACGGCATGGCCTTGGCTCACTGCAACCTCCGCCTCCTGGGTTCAAACTATCCTCCTGAGTAGCTGGGATTACAGGTGCCCGCCACCATGCCCAGCTATTTTTTGTATTTTTAGTAGACAGGGGGTTTCACCATGTTGGCCAGGCTGGTCTCGAACTCCTGACCTTGTGATCCACCCTCCTTGGCCTCCCAAAGTGCTGGGATTACAGGTGTGAGCCCCTGTACCTAGTCTTATTTATTATTTTTTAACCCTCAGAAGCCTTTATAAATCTTTTTTCTTCTTGTTTTTTTTTCCATTGACTTTCAGTTCAGAGATAATCTCTTTTCTTTTTTTTTTTTCCTTTGAGACAGGGTCTTGCTCTGTTGCCCAGGCTGGAGTACAGTGGCTTAGTCTCAGCTCACTGCAACCTCTGCCTCCCAGGCTCAAGCGATTCTTGTGCCTAAGCCTCCCAAGTAGCTGGTACTACAGGTGCATGCCACAGCATCCGATTAATTTTTATATTTTTAGTAGAGACAGGGTTCCGCCATGTTGGCCAGGCTGGTCTTGAACTCCTGGACTCAAGCGATCTGCCCGCGTTGGCCTCCCAAAGTGTTGGGATTACAGTCATGATCAACCACGCCTGGCCATTTCTTTTCTATCTTTTTTTGTTTGTTTCATTTTTTTTTAAATGGAAGACTTGATTGTTTTTCTGAAAATAATGCTAATGTGAAGGAAATCAAAGAGGGAGATTGGAGTAGTGTGACCACTCTGACCAGTGTTCTTAATAGATCATATTAACTCGGGAACCAGACATAGACATCACATGGGTAAGCCCAAAATGGTCCTTACTGAAGTAATTCAGGAAGGAGGTCACCACAGTCAGGCTACACAGCAGAGAGACCTGTGACACTGGTCAGGATGAGATAGAGGATCTCCCAAAGAGAATCTTCATTGATTATATATATATATGGCTGTGGAGTCTAGGTCTGGGGAAGTGACTGTCTTCAGCTCTTTAGGAACCTGCCTTACATCTCAAGATCCATAAGCCTGGAACAGTTTTGCTGGAAGGCTACTCTGCATGTGGCTCAGAGCTCCTCATGTCCGTGTTCAGTGCATCGCATCAGTCTTGTTACTGATACAAATGGTCCCCTACTTAACGATGGTTTGACTTACAATTTTTTGACTTTATGTTGGTGCAAAGGTAAGATGCATTCAGTAGAATACCAGATGCTCCTCAATTTACTATGGGCTTATTTCCAAAAATGGTTGCATGGGTACTTAAAGTGATGCATATTGCTTTTGCACTGTCGTAAAGTCAAAAAGTCATGTAAGTCAAGCCATTGTAAGCTGGGGACCATCCATCTGTACATTCATTCTGTTCTTCACTTTCAATACAGTATTCAGTAAATTACATGAAATACCCTATACTTCATTATAAAATAGGCTTTGTGTTAGATGATTTTGCCCATCTGTATGCTAAAGTAAATGTTCTGAACACATCTAAGATAGGCCAGGCTAAGCTATGATGTTTGGTAGGTTAGGTGTATTAAATGCATTTTTGAATTAATGATATTTGAAACTTAATGATAGGTTTATTGGGACATGATCTCATTTTAAGTCAAGGAGCATCTGTATGTAATATGACCTCATAGAATGGTCAAGTGTTGTATCCCAGGCATGAACTCTGTCTCATTTACCATTCACAACCTCCCCAGGCCAGCCTGGCTTGGTCCAAGTACTTTCTTGAATTTAAAGCTGTGGAATTTAAACAAGAGTTGTTACGCAGGCGTATGACACATATATCTTAGAGTGTGTTACCTTGCACCCTTGGACCAGCACTAAGGTCTACCTCACATTGAAAAAGAAATGAGAAGTGGTATGCACAGTTGTTTGGAACCTGGACTTTAGGGTCAGACAGTTGTGGGTTCAAATTCCAACTCCTTAATAGCTTGAGTGTCATGTAAGCTCTTCAGATGTTAATTGTTCTTATTTGTGGAATAGAATAACAGTAGTACAATATAATGTAAGTTGTTGGAAATATTAATATACATAAATTAAGTATATAATATATACATATATTAATATACATAAAATATTATATTAATATACACAATAATAAACACTCAGATCATTGTTAATATTATGTTCAAAAATGAAACATACAAGAATGACAATCAAGAGAGACACACAAACGAAAAAGAAGGACTCAGTTTAAGAAGTTCCCAGCACTTTGGGAGACTGAGGTAGTTAGATTGATTGAGCCCAGGAATTCAAGACCATCCAGGGTAACATGGTGAGACCATGTCTCTTAAAAAAAAAAAAAATTAGCTAGGCCCGGGGGGGTGTGCTTGTAGTCCCAGTTAGTTGGGAGGCTGAGGCAGGAGGATTACTTGAGCCCATTAGGTCAAGGTTGCAGTGAGGTGTGATTGTGCTACTGGATGCCAGCTTGGGCAATGGATCCAAAAAAAAGAAAAAATTAACACATTTGTTTGATGAAGAGTGGAAAATTGTTTGGGCCTCCATTCCCTTCCATGGAAATAATAGGAATAGGGTAAAGAAAAAGGTGTAAGCCCTGATGGACAAAGAGAATAAGAGAGCAATACAATTTTTGGAGTTGGAAAGGCAATGGATTTGTTGAAATTGATCTAGCAGGCTCAAGAAAGCATAACCCTAAATCAGCAGTGAAGGAACCTGAGAAGCAAGATGAATTACACCATGGGAGCTCCAGAGGCTCCAGGCATCTCTGGAAGAGGGCTGATAAGTGGCCCTTCAACACATAAATTGCTAGAAGGCCTATTTAAGAGGCAGCTAGATGTTTAATTGGAGTGTTAGGTACAAGGGGTTTTTTTATACTCTTCTTTGTAATTTTGTAGATATTTGATAATACGACTTTTTAAAAATAATAAAATAAAAAATGACCAAATCTTTATATCTTCTCCCCCATTTTGTGAAGCATGGGATTGTCTCTTCTACAACTCAGCAGAAGACACTAGGTTATTTTCTGGAGAGAATACAACAGTCTCTGGATTGGGAGACTTCAGGCACAGTTGAGGTTTTTACCATGGCAACTGGCCAAGTGTGGTGAACAGATCCCTGGGAGTCCTTGAGGCTCTAGAATCCTTTGAGTGTCCAAATTGTAAAACACTGACATCCTCTCCCCATTCCCCTACCCTGAAGAAAAAACAACAAAAAATTAAGTCACTAATATGAGAAAAAATGCGAAATACCTTTAGGTTTCTTTATCTCAATATCCATTTCCAGAAGACACTGGAGCCACATCTATTAATAAAAAATAAACATTAGAAAAAAATGTGACCCCACTTGGTTTTCAAGTATGAAGATCTGAGATGAGCAGTTTTGAACATCATCTCTTTGATTTTTATATATGTAAATATCACTATAATGTCTCTAGTTATGGACTTTTTGGCATTATTTTGAGCCCTTTAAATTTGAGTTTTTTAATTTAGTTCTGAGTATTTACAATCATTATTTCTTTGAAAAGATCTATCCCTTCTACCTCTTAGGTCTTATGCTATATTTTCTATCTCTTTGTATTTTCTTCCTATTCTTTATTTCTATGATAGTTTCTCATTCTGTTTTTACTCTCATCAGTTAATTCTTTGGTAGAGTTACTCCTGCTTAGGGATCTATTACTTTTTATTTCAGTGATTATTTTTTATACCTAGTATTTTCATTTGACTCTTTATTTATTTACTTTTTTGAGATGAAGTTTCACTCTGTCGCCCAGATGTAGTGCAGTGGCACAATCTCAGCTCACTGCAGCCTCCACCTCCTGGCTTCAATCGGTTCTCCTGCCTCAACCTCCAGAGTAGCTGAGATTACAGGTGTGTGCCACCATGGCCCAGCTGATTTTTGTATTTTTAGTAGAGATGGAGTTTTGCCATGTTGGCCAGGCTGGTCTCAAACTCCTGACCTCAGGTGATCCACCCACCTTGGCCTCCCAAAGTGCTGTGATTACAGGTGTGCACCACTGCAGCTGGCCTCATTTGACTCTTTATTAATTAAGCTTATTTAAAATTCTTAGTTCATCTGTTCTCATAATTTATCTTCAGAATGTTATATAAGTCATAATGTGCTGTGTATTATGAATGATAATATAGGTGATAATATTATTATATATATGCAAGTACTGCTGACTTTCTTTCATAGTGTTTTTTTTGAGGTATCTAGATATTTTGGACTGTGAGCCCATGTCCCTTGGGTTTATAAGTTACTCTTACGCATATTGGGGAAAACCTGGAAGACTAGGTCCTTGTTTTGGTCAATTAGAGTCTGTTCAAGTAGCAAGGATGGGGTGAACCTCAGGGAGAGATCTCCATAATACCACAGGACCACTGTTGAACTCTCCTTTGCAAATTCCCATGTGCGATCAGCAAGCCTTGTAATCCTAAGGGAGAGAAATACAACTTTGGAGAGCGACAGTCTCCTAGATTGTAATACATCAGCTGATAGGATTTGGAGGGAAAGATGGTCTTTTGATGAAAGAAGTTCTTATTTTAACTTAGTCAAATGTATAAGTCTTTTACACTTAGTGCTTTTTTGGCCTGGCGTGGTGGCTCTCCCCTGTAATCCCAATATTTTGGGAGGCCGAGGTGGGCGAATCACCTGAGGCCAGGAGTTCGAGATCAGCCTGGCCAACATGGAGAAACCCCATCTATACTAAAAATACAGAATTAGCTGGGCTTGGTGATGCGTACCTGTAATCCCAGCTACTCAGAAGGCTGAGGCAGGAGAATTGTCTGAACCCAGGAGACAGAGGTTACAGTGAGCCGAGATCACGCCACTGCACTCCAGCCTAGGCAACAGAGCGAGACTCTGTCTCAAAAATAAAAAAAACAAAATAGTGCTTTTTATGTCTTGTTAAACAAATCTGTCTGTATTGTAAGTGCAAGAAGGTTCGCCTATATATTCTATGAAAAACTTTAAAGTTTTGCCTTTAACATTGAGGCCTTAATCCTTCTGGAGTTAGTTTTTGTGACTAATGCAGGATAAGAGATTTAATTTTGTTTTTTTCTATGTGGATAACTTTTTTTTCCCAGCTTTACTTTAGAGTAATTCCTCCTTCCTTCATTGATCTGTCATGCCTGCTCTTATATATTGAACTTCTATATATGTGAACATTGGATAATTTCTCTGGCTCTGCAATGATTATACTGTCATCTCTATTACAGCTTCATAATTACTCTTGATGTCTGATAAGGAAGTCTTCCTTCCTTGTTCATCAGAAGAGTCTTGGCCATTCTGGGCCCTTTCCTTTTACAAATACAGTCAGCTGTCTGGATCTATCGGTTCCTCATTTGTGATTCAACCAACCACACATAAAAATATTCAAAAAAATAAAAAAAAAAACAAAAATGATACAACAATAGAAATAATACAAATAAAAGTACTGCATAACAGCTATTTATGTAGCACTTACATTGTATTAGACATATTGTAGGTAATCTGGATATGATTTAAAATATACAGCAGGGGGTGTATAGGGTATATGCAAGTACTATGTCATTTGACATAAGGGACTTGAGCATCTCTGGATTTTGGTATTGTAGGGGGTCCTGCAATTAGTTTCCCACAGATGGCAAGGGATGATTGTACATTTAGAATCAATTTACCAAGTTAATAAAGAAAACAGTACTCTGGGGTCTTTAGGACATCTTTTGTAATATTTATTCCTGAGTCTCAAACTTTTGTTGTATAAAGTTTTATATTTCTGCTGTAGAAAAGACTCAAGAATAAATGTGTGTTAGAAATTTCAACCCTTTACATGTATGTAGCAAGTATTTTATAATTTATCATACACTGACTAGAACTTACAGAAAAATGTTAAATAATGGTGACAATAGTGGTTTTAAAATGAAAGTTTTTGTTATTGCAAAAAGATATACAAGCTCACTATTGAAACTTTAGAAAAGAGATGATGAAAAAGAAAAAAATTAATATCTACATAATAAAATTACTCTCTAATTGAAAGTATATGTGAATGTCCGTTCTTCTACATTTTCAAACCAAAGATGGGTGTTTTAATTAAAAACAGGCTGGGTGCAGTGGCTTTCGCCTGTAATCCCAGCACTTTGGGAAGCCAAGGTGGGCGGATCACTTGAGGTCAGGAGTTCGAGACCAGCCTGGCCAACATGGTGAAACCCTGTCTCTACTCAAAATACAAAAATTAGCCGGGCATGGTGGCGTGTGCCTGTAATCCCAGCTACTCAGGAGGCTGAGGCAGGAGAATCACTTGAACCCAGGAGGCAGGGGTTGCAGTGAGCTGAGATCATGCCACTGCACTCCAGCCTGGGCAACAGAGGGAGACTCCATCTCAAAAAAATAAATAAATAAAATAAAAATGAAAATAAAAATAAATAAAAACAAACCGAAAGTTGGCCAGTTTGATAGTTATGTTGATTTCCTAGGGCTGCTGTGGCAAATGACCACAAACCGAGTGGCTTAAAGCAACAGAAATTTATTGCCTCACAGTTTTGAAGACCTGAAGTATGAATGAAAGCAAGACACCAGCAGAACCTGCTTTTCTTGAAGGTTCTGGTAGAGGAAAATTCTTCTTGTCTCTGTGGAGCTTCTGGTGGCTGCGGGTGGTCCTCGCCATTTTCTGGCTTACAGCTGCAGCATGGCAGTCCTGCTGTCAACATTTGCATTTTCATTGTGTATTTCTGTCTCGATGTCTTCACATGGCCTTCTCATAATGACAGAAGTTGTTGGATTTAGGGCCCACCCTAATCCAGTATGATATCATTTTAACTTGCTTACATCTGCAAAGACACTATTTCCAACCAAATAAGGCCACACTCATAGGTACGGGAGATTGTCCTTCAACATATCTTTTTGGAGGACACAATTCAGCTCACAAAATAGGTAAAAAATGTGATTTAATTTTTGTTTTAATTATGTTATCACTTATAAATGAAAATATTAAAAATTAAACCATTGGATTTAAGAAGGAGAAAAGCTTAATATGCTCATGGAAGATCCTTATAAACGATCATGTTTTCTATTTTGTTTAGGTTGCTCAGAGTCAAATTTGGGACCCATTTTTAGTAGTTAAACACACTAGTATGGTGTATGCTTTCTTTGGGGACTATATTTTTAAAAACTTTTTGGCCGGGCGTGGTGGCTCACGCCTATAATCCCAGCACTTTGGGAGGCCGAGGCGGGCAGATCACAAGGTCAGGAGATTGAGACCATCCTGGCTAATACAGTGAAACCCCATCTCTACTAAAAATACAGAAAATTAGCCGGGCGTGGCAGCATGCGCTTGTAGTCCCAGCTACTCGGGAGGCTGAGGCAGGAGGATGGCGTGAACCCAGGAGGCGGAGCTTGCAGTGAGGAGAGATCGCACCACTGCACTTCAGCCTGGGCGACAGAGCGAGACTCTCTCTCAAAAAAAAAAGAAAAAGAAAAAAAAAACTTTTTAACGTCTGTCTTAGCAGGCAACTGGATTCTCATATCTGTCTTTGCATTTATTCTGTTGTGGTATCATGTGTCATGTAGCCTCTGGAAAACTCCACTGTACACTTGTGAGGAAATGATAGTGAAATAGGCAATTTATGTCTTTGTATAGTTATAGAAATAGTTTTGACCTTGTGGATCTACTAAAAGAGTCTTTGGGAAGCTCAGGAGTTTGTTGACCAAACTTTGAGAACTGCTGCTCTAAGCCACTGGCTTTCATTTCATTTTTGACCATGACTCCCAGTAAGAAATAAATTTAATAAATTATGCCCAGAACATACACAAGTACATATATGAGCACACATCTGTCTGCATATTTATAACTCAAACAAAAGTTTCATTTTTACTATTGGCCATTTACTCTAACATATTCTGTATTTTTCATTTTGTTTAATTTCATTTAAAAATTGCTGGGTTGTGATTTAAAACTTGATTTCACATGGATTGAGACCCACAATTTGAAAATCACTGCTTTAGGGAGTATGTATTTAAGAGTGTAATTTCTGTATCCATAGTAAGCTTTTCAAAGTGGTCATACCAGTTTATGGCACTGCTCAACAAGAGTAGGAATTGTCTTCACATCCTTGCCAAGACTTGGACTTACCAAATTTTAAAATATTTTGGCCAGGCATGGTGGCTCACGCCTGTAACCCCAGTACTTTGGGAGGCTGAGGCAGGTGGATCACTTGAGCCCAGGAGTTTGAGACCAGCCTGAGCAACACAGCAAGACCCCATCTCTACAAAAAATAAAAAAATTAGCCGGGCGTGGTAGTGCACGTTGTAGTCCCAGCTACTTGTGGGGCCGAGGTGGGAGGATTGCTTGAGCCCAGGAAGCCAAGACTGCAGTGAGCTATAATCACACCACTGCACTCCAGCCTGGGTGACAGAGTGTGACCCTGTTTCAAAAAAAAAAATTTTTTTTTTGTTTCTAGCTTGAAAAAATGTATTATTTTAATTTCCATTTCCCTTTTGGCTCTTACATTTCTTGGCCTTTTAAAATAGCCATTTCATCCCCTTTGTCTATTTTTAAATTGAGTTATTCTTTTCCTTGATTTATAGGAACATTTTATATATTTAGGATACAAATAAATCATCACATTCTTTTTCGTCATTCTTTTTTTATTGAATAGACGTAACATGAAATTTACCATTTTAATAATTATAAGTATATAGTTCAGTGGCATTAAGTACATTTACACTGTAGTGCAACTATCACTACCATCCAGCTCCAAATTTTGTCATCTTTCCTAATACTTTGTACCCAGTAAACAATAATTCTCCATTTGCCGTCTTTATTCAGTTCCTCACTTTTAGTCTCTTACGAATTTGACCATTCTAGGAAACTCATGTAAGTGGAATTATGCAGTATTTGTCCTTCAGTGACTGGCGTATTTCACTTCGCATAATGTCATTATGGTCCATTCATGTTGTGGCTTGTGTCAAAATTCCTTTTTAAAGGCTAAATAATAATTCCACTCTATGCATATACCACATGTGTGTCCATTCATTGGCAGATGGACAGTTGAGTTGCTTCTGCCTTTTGGCTGTTGTGAATAATGCTGCCGTGTACGTGGGTGTACAGATACCTCTTTGATATTTAAAGGCATGGACAAAAAACAAATTTAAATCTAAAATACATTTTCATTATTTCAACATTCTAAATCTTCACAAAGTGAATATATTTAATAAATATATTAAATAATATTACAATGGAAATTTGTAAAATATATTGCTTTGATGTTTATTGCA
The DNA here is from genome assembly GCF_000001405.40 of Homo sapiens. NCBI lineage: Eukaryota > Metazoa > Chordata > Mammalia > Primates > Hominidae > Homo > Homo sapiens. The sequence goes on along the minus strand of NC_000017.11, from coordinate 66,044,242 downwards.
TAGGTATATTTTATTTATTAAATAATATTGAGAGAAATATCATTCACAATGGAATTTTTAATTTTTATAAGTTTGGGATAAAAAGAAAAGTCATGCTTTGGAGCCAAGAGGTACCTGTCAGAGAACTTTCATTCTATTTTTAATGAAAGTTGAATTTTAAAAATTAGCATTCAAACCTTGTCATAGGTAATACTAGTAAATATAGAGAAACATGGACGGAGTCTGTCAGCAGGATTGAATTTAAGAATCGTCAAAAGTAGACAGGTCTTGCTGAGCAGCTCCTGATTTAATAATTAAACAAGGTAGAGTTCAAGGCCTGGCTTAAGATGAAAGACGGGACTGTCACTGAGAATCAGTTTCTCTGTTTTGCTGTTCTTTCAGGCTTTTTTCTTTTTTGTTGAGTCTAGTGTTGTCTTATTGCCATTTATTGTAAGCAGACACTTGTATAGATTATGAGACTTACGCATTTTGGTATTGGCAGGGATTTTCTTATGAGAAACTCATAGTGAAAATATGCAAACAATAGATTTTTAAAACAAATATTAAAACGTAAATATAAAAATTATAGCTTCCTTGCTAGATGCTTGGGAAGATGAAGGCTGTAAAATGATAGGGTCTATTGACATTAGGGTTTAGACACACTGAAAATCTGTGGGCGGCTTTATTGAGATTCTAGGCTTTCTTACTGGAGTTCTTAACATCTTTTGTACCATGGACCCTGCTGGGAATCTGGTGAATTCTGTGTAGTCCTTCTCAGAATAGTATTTTAAAAATAAAAGATTACAAAGAAAAATTATATTGAGTTACAGTTGTTAAAATATTCATAAATCAAAACTGTGATAAAGTAATACATATGCTTCTAAATTAATGCAGTAAATATCAAAATCTAGCAGTAGGCATGATAGTAATTTCTAATGAGGGTAAACAATGTATAGTGATTGCTCAGTAGTGTAATGAACTATAAAAATATCCATGATTTCTGTTTGTTCCAGGTATTGCTAATGCTACCTTTGTCTGATGACTACATTCACAATTGGGAAATGTTAACTTTCAGTTAGGGTGGTGAAAATGAAAGTGAACTTTAAAGAAAAAATTCAAATTCAGCGACAGTCTGAATTCCATCCATGATCCTCTATGGTAGGTTAAGGTAGGTTAAGATCCTTTACCTTAAAGAGTGCCAAAAGCCTTAGACATCTGAAATATTTAACTATGTTAGTAGTGACATATGATAATTCATAGAACTACTCATGGACACACTGAGATAGCTAGAATTTGATTTTATAGTTTCTATCACCATTTCTTCTCCCAAGCTCACAATGATTATAATCGAGAGAATCTCCAAATAGCACCAATTCATCATGTTGAATAAAATGACCATTTAAAAATAGACACTTTTTTTTAATAGTTTTAGATTTACAGAAAATTTAAGAAGATAGTGCAGAGAATTCCCATATAACCTGCACTCGGTTTCTCCTGTTTTTCACATCTTAGGTTATCTTGGTACACTTTTCACAATAAGTAAATCAATATTGATACACTATTAGCTAAAGTCTTTCATTTATTCAGATTTCCTTCGTTTTTACCTAATGTTGTTTCTTTTCCAGGATCTCATCTAGGATACCACATGACATTTAGTTGTTAGGCCTCCTTACTTTCCTCTTGGTTGTGATAATTTCTCAGACTGTCCCTGTTTTTTATCACTGTGACAGTTTTGAGGAGTATTGACTGGTTAGGCATATTGTAAAATGCCCATCTAGTAGAAACTGTCTGATGCTTTCCTCATGATTAGACTGGGGTTGTGGGTTTAGGCAGGAAGATCCTCAGAGTTAAAGTGCTATTCTCATCGTATCATATCATGAATACATATTATTATTATTTTATTATTTTATTTTGTTGAGACAGTCTCTCTCTGTCACCCAGGCTAAAGTGTAGTTGCACAATCTCAGCTCACTACAACCTCCGCCTCCTGGGTTCAGGTGATTCTCCTGCTTCAGCCTCCTGAGTAGCTAGGATTACAGGTGTGTGCCACCATGCCCAGCTAATTTTTGTAGTTTTCAGTAGAGACAGGGTTTTGCCATGTTGGCCAGGCTGGTCTCGAACTCCTGACCTCAGGTGATCTGCCTTCCTCAGTCTCCCAAAGTGCTGGGATTACAGGCATGAATCACCGTGCCCAGCCATGAATACATATTATCAACATGACATCATACCTGTGCATATTAATTTTGATCATCTGGCTGAGGTAGTGTTAATTAGGTTTCTCCAGTGTAAAGTTACTCCCCACCTTTCCATACTGTACTACTTGAAAGGAAGTTACCGTTTGGCAGCCCGTGTTTAAGAAGTAGGGAGTTTTACTCCCTGCTCTTGAGGGTGGGGTATCTATATAAATTTTTGGAATTTTTCTGCATGGGAGACTTTTTCTCCTTATTTATCAATTTATTCTATTATTTATTCATACTAATATGAGAATGTGGATATTTTTCTTATGCTTTGGGTTATAAGCCAATATTTCTTCATTTTGTTGCTCAAATTGTTCCAGCTTTGGCCATTGGGAGCTCTTTCATTTGACTTCTGTGCTTCTTGGACATGGCCCCATCAATACGGATTATATGGAGAAATGGTATTGGAAACCAATATCTGTGTGCTAGTTATGCATGCTGCGGTTGGGGTATCATTTCTCTTGCACCCTCTCACCTGACCAAGGAAATACTGACCTGTGTATACAGTATATACTAGCCTGTGTATACAGTAAGTCCTTATTTAATGTCATTGATAGGTTTTTGGAAACTGATTATAAGTGAAGTGACATATAATGAAACCAAATTTTTTTTCTCGTTATTATAATGAAATGATGTTATTTGAGGACCTGCTATACACTGTTTTGCTTAAAGGTGTTTTTTAATAAATTAACATTTAAACTCTGCTCTATTTGCCACTTAGGTCAAACATAATGTTTTTCCTTGTTTGACAAAAATTTTAATTTCCTACAATACTTATTTTGGTGATGGCTATATTTTTTGTTTCTCAATGTATATTCATTATATAATAATTCTAAAATCATTTTCTCCTTGTTCTTTTGAATTTTGGGGACTAGTAATATAGGATAATAGTTTTAATGAAAATTACAATTATTTACTTTTTTTTTTTACCAAGCCATTTACTGTGAAAAGTGGTTCTTTCAATAAATTGGTCAATTGAATATTCATATAGAAAAAATGCATCTTGAACCTTCACATCATTTAATAAACCCATTTTAGGAACATCTTAGAATTAAATGTGCAGATAAAATGATAAAACTTAAAGAGGAAATCTTAGAATATCTTCTTGGCCTGGACTAGTCAAAGGTTTCTTAAAAGGGAAATTAAATGTTTACCTTAAAGAAAGATACTAATAAATTAGGATATATTAAAATTAATACCTTTTGATCACCAAAGGTATCATTAAGAAAGGGAAAAGAGGCTGGCATGGTGGCCTATGCCTGTAATCCCAGCACTTTGGAAGGCCAAGGGAGGCAGATCACCTGAGACCAGCAGTTTGAGACAGCCTGGCCAACATGGCAAAACCCTGTATCTATTAAAAATACAACAATTCGCCAAGCGTGGTTGGCACATGCTGCCAGCTACTCGGGAGGCTGAGGCATGAGAATCTCTTGAACCAGTAGGTGGAGCCTGCAGTGAGCCGAGATTGCACCACTGCACTCTAGCCTGGGCAACAGAGCACAGCAAGACTCTGTCTCAAAAAAAAAAAAAAAGAAAAAAAGGGAAAAGGCAATTCAGAATGGAAGAAGATATCTGCAATTCCTTTATTCAATAAAGGTCTTGCATTTTAAATATAGAAAAAAATCATCAAGAAAAACAATTCAATAAAAAAGAGCAATGTATTTGAATAGGCAGCCCACAAAAGAAGCTATTCAGATGATTAATAAACACTTAAAAAGGTGCTCAAATTATTAATAGTCAGGGAAATGTAAATTCAGTATCTCTACATACCTACAAAAAGGGCTAAAATTAAAAAAACAAAATCACAGTACAAAGTTTTGACAAAGATACAGAATAGTCTGAAGTCTCATACACTGCTGTAAGAAGTTCAAATTTTTATATCCAGTTTGAAAAGCTCCTTGATAGTAACTACTGAGGCTTGACATAGGCACATCTTATGACAGCGGTTTCACTGCAACATGTATAACCAAAAGAAATCTGTACATGTGTGCATCATAAAACATGTATGAGAGTTTTCATAGCCACATTATTTTTAATAGTCAAAAACTGAAGACAACTCATCAATAGAATGGGTAAATTATTTTAGCATGCTATATACAGTACTGAAAAATATTACTCTTACATTCCACAACATGGATGAATCCCATAGGCATATAATATGCATGAAGAAGCCTGACCCCAAAAAGTTACATACTGTGTGATTCCATTTATACAAAGTTTGAAAAGGACAAAATTTATTTGTACTGATAGAGGTCAAAATAGTGGTTACCTTTGGGTGGAGGGTAACTAATAAGGCTTTAGGGAGGCTGGCAATGTTCACACTTCTAGTGGCTCATGAGTTTTCAATTTTTAAAAAAGTTATCAGAATTTATTTTTAAGATTTATGATTTATAACTTCACAAATCATAAACGTATGTATCTTTAAGACATAAGCACCTTTTGTTATAAATCATAAACTCTATCTTTAAGACTTATGCAGTCTTGCTCTGTTGCCCAGGCTGGAGTGCAGTGGCACACAAACTTCTTATGAAAATAGTCCTATTTTCATGGATAAATTCTTCTTCTTATGAAAATATGTCCTATTTTCATAAGAAGTTTGTGAAATAAGATAAAATTAGTTGCTCTTTTTGCCATAGGGGTTTGCCATAGGAGAACTGTGGATACCAAGTAGTTGCCTAATACTAACCCTTTTTAATTTTTAACTCCTACAAGGTTTCGAATTAAGTTTGTATGTAAAACTCCAACATTTATATCTCCAGTACTGACTTCTTATGTCAGTAGATGTTGTACGATGAAAAGACCATGAGACATTTTATATTTTCTAAGACTTAACTTATAGGAAATCAAACCTATGATAATTAATACCAAAATAATACCCTTTCCCAAATTTCCTCTTGTCAGTTGGCATCATCATCATTCTGTTGGCACATTAAATTTTGAACCTGGAAGATTTATGTTTTTCCCACTTTTCATCTCCCTTATTTAGTATGTTACAGAATCATCCATTTTACCTCTCTGAAAATTTTCCTGGATCTGCTCTCTTCCCTTCTGTTTCCACAGCTACCAATTGAGTCCTGGCCGTTGTTGCCTCATTCCTGACTCTTCCAGTAACCTGCCAATTACTCTTCCCTGTCTCCTCTTACTCCATAGCCAATAGATGCATTTTTTTCTAATTTTCCCATGATTAAGAATCTGAGTTCCTAGTATCATGCCTATTATAATTAATGCTTACAAGTTACATCAGTTCACGAAGTCCAACCTAGTTTTCCAAGTGCTACCTTTCAGTTCCCAATGTGGGAAGATATCCTGTTCATACAAGGTAATCTGTTCATCATTTTCTGTACAGTAACTTATTTCTTCCCTGATTCTGTTGTCATATACCACTGAATTCTGCTTCTGCATTGTCTGTTACAGCCGGCAAAACATAGTTCTACATCAGCATTCTTTTTCTTGACTAAGTTTTTACTCCATTTTAAGAACTCCACTATTTTGCATCCTCTCAGCTCTTTTATTCCGTTTAAAAAATTAATTTGGCAAATGTTGTTGTTTTTAAGATACTTTATATATGCCTATAGGCTTTCCCTTGATGTTATAGGTTCAAAATTTATGTACTTTGTGTGTAAAATTGTGTGTAGAACATTAGTGTTCAGAAAATGCTTTAAAAATCAAAAATAAAATGAATAAGTGACGTCACATAGTTTGCTTCTTCAGTCAGAAACTTGGCATCAGTATATACAAAAGTATTTGTTTGACAAATAGAGATCTTAATGCAAAGGCCACTTTTTCATTTCATGTAATACTTATCTGCATGTGAGAAAGCATGCCAGCTTCTAACAGCAGTTATGTCTTGGCAGGTGTTCACTGTTTGAATAAATCGTATCAGAATCTTCTTTTTTCTTTTCTTTTCTTTTCTTTTTTTTTTTTTTGAGACAGAGTCTTGCTCTGTTGCCAGGCTAGAGTACAGTGGCGCGATCTCAGCTCACTGCAACCTCCGACTCCCTGTTGTATCTGGTACAGCCCCAGGACTTCCTAACCTTATGTCAGCCTTCACAGACAGTACCAGCTAGATTGGTTTTGTCCATCTGGTGGGCCTCAGATATATAATAATCATATCTATGTATATACTTAAAATCTATATTATACATAACATTCTTTGAGTTATTTTCTGAAGAATTCTCAGGAGAAGTAGTCTTTTGACAAACCAGTAAAGTTTGGCCTCAGGTATGTTGTAAAATTCATTTTAAAAAGTAGTATGAGCCTGATGGAATATGGTGAGTAGTGTGCTGAAGGGACTGGTTCTGGGGCCTGTCCTTTTTATTTCTATTACTGATGAAGTAATTGGGAATGTACTTTTCATACTTTTATGGTACTAGAGTAAGAATTGTTGTTACGGAAAGACAAACATAATCTTGTAGTATTATAAGAAAAATCATCCTATGGAAGTCATGATAAAATTCAGGATGGGCAGTTTAATTTGTTGAAATGGGGGAAAGACTATGCATAAATACTGGAAAGAAGGATGATTTAATCATTACTTAGCATTATAGTTAGAATTGTTCAATGTAGTTTGAAATGCTAATGTCATAATACCGCAGTGACATTAGCATGACCAGCACGGGAGAGCCAGAGGAGAGAGGAGAGAACAGGGAGAGGAGAGAGAGAGGTGGTCACGGGAAGAAGGAGAGCTGGAGAGTGGATGGATATTGAAATGTTATTTTTAGAGCATTCTGGTTGTATATTTTAAAATTTAGTTCTTAAAAATTATTATATTTTAAACCTGATAACTTTTGACTTTATTAATCTAAGCTAACTAAAGTATATGTTTAAGAAATCATTGGATAATGAGCCACTTTTATTTCCACACATATTTAGGAGACATTTTATGGTAACAGATTATTTCTACTGGTCTGTTCCTTTAGCAAATAGATTATAATATCCCATTCATGAGTCTCATTTCTCCTGGAATGAGCATTTTAATAAAGGGGCTTAGAAATGAGTAGAATTTCACTAGCCAGCCCTTTATTATAATAGATTGTTCAAGGTAGAAAACACTACAACCTTCAAATTACACAATTAAAAAATATCTTATCTTGGGACTGATAATAATAGCAGTAATAATGTGGGAGGTTAAGAAAGAGACCTCAAGTATTGCAGTGTTGCATTTTAGCTTTTCTTTGTTTACTTTATGTTTTGAAATGATATGTCTACCCGAGGTATTTTTGCAAATTTATTTTATGTTAATTCCATGAGCAGAATATCAAAGTCCTGGAGAAGATGTAATGCAGTGGAATAGGTTTTGATTCAAGGAGATCTTGGATCAAATTCTTTTTTGCTGCTTACCAGTTTACCAGTAGGGCAACTGTGGCCACGTTAATCAATTTTCCTAAGTCCTAGTTTTTTCATATTTAAAATGATGTTAATGATACCTACCTCATAGTTTTGCGGGAAAGAGAAATGGCCTAAAGCTGGTAAAACACTTAGCACAGTGCCTGACCTATAATGAGGGTTCAGTGGTGGCTGTTGTCATTATATTCATCATCAAAATACGTCGGTGGTCCATGAAGCCTTGGTTATTGGGCAAGAATTTTACATGTATGCACATTTAATGTGGTGTTAAGTTTTAGCCATTGTTTTCTCTTTTTCTTTTTATTGTGGTAAAAACACATAGTGTGAGATCTACCCTCTTAACACATTTTTAAGGTACAATGCAGTGTTAGTAACTATAGGCACGATATTATTGGCATATCTTTAAAACTTTTTTGTCTTGCGTGACTAAAACTCTGTACCCATTGAGTAGCAACTTCCATTTTCCATTCTGTCTAGCCCCTGGCAATCATCACTCTACTTTGTTTATATGGGTTTGACTATTTCAGATATTTCCTGTAACTGGAATCATGCAGTGTTTGTCCCTCCTTGACTACCTTATTTCATGCAGCATAATGTTTTCAAGATTCACTCAAGTTGTAACATAAAACAGGCTTTCCCTTTTTAATGGCTGAATAATATTCCATTGCATGTATATACCACATTTTCTTTAGCTATTCATTCATCCATGGACATTTACATTGTTCAGGCTCCCCAGTGTGGATGTGTATTTGGAGGCTGACTTTCCCCCATCACACTTCGGGAGCTCAGTTTTTCGGCTGTCTTGTGGTGTTTGCAGTGGCAAGCTGTTTTATTCAAAGGGTCTGTGAATTCTTTTGGTTTTCCTGGTATGTTTCTGTGGTGGTTCTTGGAGCAAAAGTTCACAATGTGAGTCTCCAGATGCTGTTCTGTCCATCCAGGAGAGAGCTGCACATTAGTCCCATCTCCTATTCACCATTTTCTCTGGTTTATGCTATGCCGTTTATACATCTTGGCTATAGTGAATACTTTTGCATGGGAGTACAAATATTTCTTTGAGATCCTGACTTCAGTTCTTTTGGGTAAATAAGCAGAAGTGTGATTGCCAGATCATTTGGTAGTTCTATTTTTAAATTTTTGAGGTGCCTCCATACTGTTCTCCATAATGGTTATACCATTTTTCATTCTCACCAGCAGTGCACAAGGGTACCAGTTTCTCCACAACTTCACCAACAGTTGTTTTCTGTTGGAACCTGAAGGTTTGTCAACAGGTGAAGACAAATAAGGATGGGCAAGTAGCACGTTCACAGAGGTACTCACTTGTCGGTACTTACAATACATGCATATCCTCAAAAAGACTGGCCAGTAGTGCAGACCACAGCATTTAATAGGGCAATGAACAGGAACCACGTCCTCTCATAGTTCTGCTCCTTTTGAACAGGTACAGTCCTCGGGTTACCTATTTTAGTCACAAATCTCTTCCTTTCAGATCTGATAATTTTTTTCATCATTTTAATAATTCCTTAGTCAAAATTTCAAGTTCAGGCTGGGCGTGGTGGCACACGCTTGTAATCCTAGCACTTTGGGAGGCCTAGGTGGGCAGATCACTTGAGGTCAGGGGTTCAGGACCAGCCTGGGCAACGTGGCGAAACTCCATCTCTACTAAAAAAAAAAATATATATATATATATGTATATATATATATATACATGCAAAAACTTAGCTGGGCATGGTGGCACATGCCTGTAGTCCCAGCTACTTGGGAGACTGAAGCATTAGGACTTGGGAGGCAGGGGTTGCGGTGAGTCGAGATTGCGCCACTGCACTCCAGCCTGGGCGACAGAGTGAGACTCTGTCTCAGTGAAAACAAAAACGAAAACAAAAACAAAAAAAATTCAAGTTCACTTTATCACTGTTACTTTGTTCAATGATATACAGATAGCTGAGGTCACAATATTGCTTCAATGTCTATCATTTTTCTTCTCTGATTTGTTGGATATCTTTCTGTTTTATCTCTTTTTTTCTTTCTCTCATAAAAATAGTTTTATGCTTTTATCTGAGCATTTTTTCTCTCATCTCCACTGTAATTATTCACATTGTAGAAAGAGAGCTGTCTGGTTTTTCTGGCTAACAGAAACCCTTTTTCTTTAGGCAAAGTCTGTGGATTTATTTATTTGTGTAATTCAACCCCCTTTGCCTTGGTTTATTTCTTTAGCAATTTGATACTTTCTAAAATTTTATGATGTTCACATTTATTTTGGATTCATATAAGGAAAAAAAGAAATAGATTTCCAGAAATTCTTTTAATATAGAGGGGAATATCTTTACCTCTATGTTGGATTTCTTGTATTTTATCTCTATTTTTTATAAAACATGCAAAAATCATTTTGATATATTCTATATTGGACAGATGTTTGTTATTTCCTCATTGTAACCCTGTTATAACCTTATAAAATGCTAATATTTTCTATAATATGGCCAGAAATCACTCCAGTTTTGAATATGGAAGGGACATTTTGACATTTTAGCAGTTATCCTGTTTTTATTTTTGAGAATACAGTAGTGCCTTGGTATATGCAGGGGATTGGTTCCAGGACCTCTGTGTATATCAAAATTGGCACACATTCAAGTCTTGCAATCGGCATTGTGGAGTCTGGGTACAGAAAAAGCGGACCCTTCATGTAAGTGGGTCTCACATCCTGTGAATATTGTATTTTTGATCACCATTTAGTTGAAAAAAAAATCTGCATATAAATGGACCCATACAGTTCAAACCCATATCATTCAAGGTCAGCTGTTTTGATAATTGGCAAATGTTTATTGAATACCTACTACAAGCTAAGCAGTGTGCTAGAAAGAAACAGGAGATCTAGTGCAAATAAAGCAATGTCTTGGCTGTCTTAAGCTTATACTTTATTGTGGAAAACAAACAACAAAGAAAGAAAAAGCAAAAGAAAGGGTAAGAGGCCACAGAAATATAGGCAGTAGAGATCTGCTTATTTAGGTAGAATGGCTATGGAAAGATTCCTTCACAAGATGACATTTAGGTGGAGAACTGAAAGAAGTGAGGAAATGAGCTATGCAGGCCCCTGGAGGAAGATGCTTTAGGCAGAGAGAACAGTAAATGAAAAGGCTTTGAGGCTAGCTTGATGACTTTGAGAAACAGCATGGAGGCCTGTATGGCTGGAGTATAGTAAATGAGAGGGAGGGTGGTAGGAGATGAAATCAGAGGCCATGATAGTCTCTTCTTATTCTGAGTGATAAGAGAAGCCATTGGAGGGTTTTGCAAGAGAGTGACAGGTCTGATTAATGCTTTAAAAGGATCATTTCCTTGAAGTTTAATAATTTTACTTATGTCTTGGCATTCTTCATTCTGTGTGACTTTTACAGTATACTCTATTTGTATATTATTTTCATGTATAGTTTTCTTGTATGTCATTAGGTACATTTTCTTGTTCTACCATTTCTGTTCTTTAGGTACACTAACTAGGTAAATGCTGGATCTCCATTTTGTTTTCTTCTATGTTGGTTGTTTGCTCTTACAGTTTTTACTTGCTCATAATGTTATTTCTTTCCCTTAATCAATCTCATCCATAGATTGCTTTGTGCAAAAATGGTTTGTGTGATTTTTTTCATTCAGCATAATCTTTCTTGCTTCTTTTTCGTGCCAGATTATGTTGAAAGAAGCTACAGTTGGAATGTATGCATCTGTTATTATTGAACCAGCGATGTTATTTGCATGCCACTTAGTTTGTACAAGTGTGTTCTGATGACATTTTCAGGATTTCCAGCCACGAGACTTCTTCTTCTGGACTATTCCTGTAATTATATTTGATCTTCACTTAATTTTGTGTGATGTCTCATATATTTTGAGTCAGGAAAACACATGCCTCATATGTTTTACAATTTCAATATATGGGGCATCTGCATGTCTATTTCTATTTTTCCTCTGATTTTATTTCTTGGTATGCCTGTTATTTTGTGATTAATTGCCAAACATTGTGCACAAAAAATAATAAAGGCTGTGGATGATGTTATCTTCTTCCAGAGAGGCTCTTCTCTCACTTCTGAGAGGCAGCTGGTGTAGAGACAGATCACTGGATCCATTCAGGGACTGAATTGACTCAAGGCTGAGTTGCAATCTTGGTAATCTTTGGTCTACTTTTGACTAACTTTCGCTCCTAGTGGTAGTCCTCAACACAGGTCTCAACTGAAAGCCTGTGATATTATTAATACTAGGGGCTCTCCTCCTTGGACAATCTATTTTACTCCTAAGTACACTGATACTGCAGAAAACTCTAGTGTGCTTTTCTGAGTTTTTTTTTTTTTTTTCACTTGGTTTCTTGGCTTCCTGCCCTGTGAATGCTAAGACTTTGACAAATTTGGCCAGGTGCAGTGGCTCATGCCTGTAACGCCAGCACTTTGGGAGGCCAAGGTGGGCAGATCACTTGAGGTCAGGAGGTCAAGACCAGCCTGGCCAACAGGGTGAAACCCCACCTCTACTAAAATTACAAAAACTAGCCAGGTGTGGTGGTGTGCACCTGTAATTCCAATACTCAGATGGCTGAGGCAGGAGAATTGCTTGAACCTGGGAGGTGGAGGTTGCAGTGAGCCGAGATCCAGCCTGGACAGAGTGCAACTCCATCTCCAAAAAGAAAAAGAAAAAGAATTTGACAAATTCTCTTGAGAAAACTGCTGGTGTGGTGCCCACTTCTCTGTGTGTTGCTTTTCTGAGGGATCTTGTGTCCTCAAGTCCTGGCTGCCTCGGCCACCATCTGCCTTTGTTTCCTTGCCCCATCCTCATCTTCCGTCATTGAAAAATACCTCTAGGGTAAAAGCACCTTACAGGATGATGCCTCATCTCTATGATGTTTTCAAACTGCCTTAGAAGTTCTCAAGTGCTTTCCTACTAATTAAATCTTTCACTGGCCATGGTGGCACACGCCTGTAATCCTAGCACTTTGGGAGGCTGAGAAGGGTGAATTGCATGAGGCCAGGGGTTTGAAACCAGCCTGGCCAACATAGTGAGACCCCATCGCTACCAAAAAAGGTACAAAAATTAGCCAGGTGTGGTGGCATGTACCTGTAGTCTCAGCTGCTCAGGAAGCTGAGGTGGGAGGATCACCTGAGCCTGGGAGGTTGAGGCTGTAGTAAGCCAAGATTGCGCTATGAGACCCTGTCTCAAAAAAAAAAAAAAACAAAAAAAAAAAACAAAACAAAACTGGGTTTTTCAGTTGTTAGCATTGGGATTGTGATCTGCTGCAAGCTACTCTTTTATTGCCAATAATAGAATATCCTCTTGTAGGGTTTATTAGTATGGAATTTGCATTTCTATTTTTAGTTTATCTTGTCTGTTTTTGGTTTCCAAGAGACGAAGGAATACAAATCATCTTTATTCCGCCATCTAAAACTGGAAGGCAAAGTATATGTTCTTTGTTTCTTCCAGTTAATGAATACGCAGGACATAAAGGGTGTTTAGAATATATATTAGGAAATGGAAACTATTTTCTGAAAGGAGCTCCTAAAGCAGAGGGATAATGAAGAGACAAAGTGAATAAGATGCAGGAAGAAGAAATCAGAACTTCTGATGTTTGTCAGTCTAGAATTGTATGCATTTAAAGAAGTTAGTCTATAAACCATGCTTTTAAGTTAGATAAGTCATTTATATAGATTGGAAGCTGTTACACCAAAATTTAACTTGTATACCTATTTGGTATTGTAATGAAGAAAGGATGAGATGAAGAAAGGATGTCAGGGTTGTAATATTATCTAATGCTTAAACTGCATCTTTAAAATGGTTCTCTTAGAATAACACAATAGTTGAGTGCAACATCATACTAACCTATCCTTATTGCTCACACTTATTAGAAGTTTAATTTTAAAACTGAAAATTAACTGTCCCTTCATCTAATGCTTGCTTACCCTAATTTTAGATAAAGTATCTAAAAGATGATAAATACCTTTATCCACGTTTTAAATTGCAGTTCTACAAAGGGGAAAAATTCTAAATAAATATTAAATAATAGAGAAATGATTTAGTTGAGTGATAATCTTAATACTGTGGAAGAGTAGAGAAGTGCATTTTACAAAACGGCAAAGATGTTAAAAAATGAATAAAAATCTTGCACACTAACACAACTAATTAAATGTTCCTATACACTTAAAAATAAGTGTATCACTTATGTGAACACCCTTGTGCTACAATTTTGGGGCTATGGATTTCCTTTAAAAATACTATTACATTACTCTTATAACACATTTCAAAAACTTAAAATCAAACGCAAAGATCACTGGTAAGTAGTCAGCTAATGGCCGTACGTATAAAGAGGCATAGAGACTGAAACCTTCCTGAGGATAGGAACTTTGTCTTATTTACTGCTATGTATCTACATTCTTGAATATTACCAGCCTCAGTAAATATTCATTAAATGAACAAAAGGCTAAAAGTATATAACTGTGATGTTCTTATTTTTCTGGTAGTATGCATTGTTTTTTTAAAGACTTGGTTAAGTTCAAGGTTGATTTAATTTCTACTACCATGGTTTATGATACATTTGTTTTATTTATTCTTATAGATTATACGTGTTCCTCAAGCTTCTTACAGATACAAAAGTGTTACAACTGAGTCAGAGACTTTCTTAACCATGACCTGTTCTTTTAGAACCACATGATCAAAGAACTGGAGGCCCGTGTCCAGCAGCTGACTGGAGAAGCAGAGAACAGTAATTTACAGAGGCAGAAATTAATTCAAGAAAAAGCAGAACTTGAAAGATGTTACCAGATAACGTGTAGTGAATTACAAGAAGTAAAGGCAAGGTATTGTCTGAAATCAGATATTTATCAGGTGTAGCTATAAAGTACTGATATTAACTGTATCAGTTATCTGCCAAAATTAATTACACCTTGTGCGTTTAGCCTTGGGAAGTTTCTAATCTAAATACTGCTGTTTGTTTGTTTGTTTGTTTGTTTGTTTGTTTATTTAGAGACAGGGTCTCTGTCTGTCACCCAGACTGGGGTACAGTGGTGTGATCATGGCTCACTGTATCTCAAACTCCTGGGCTCATACGATTCTCCCTCCTCATCCTCCCAAGTAGCCAGGACTGCAGGCATGCACCACCATGCCTGGCTAATTTTTCTATTTTTATTTTTTTGTAGAGACACGGTCTCACTCTGTTGCCCAGGCTGGTCTCAAACTCTTTTTCTGAAGTGATCCTCTTGCCTTGGCCTCCTCAAGTGCTGAAATTTCAGGCATGAGTCACTGTACCCAACCTGTTTTTAACATAAGCAGAATGTTTAGAAGCAGTTGACAAAATTGTGGATACTTATTTAATATATTGAATGGAAATGTATTTGGATTTAGCTGATTAAAAAATTTCATTTTAGAGATTGGTTTTAAATACATTGAAAGTCTATTTTATTCTCTTGTTTTTAGGCGTAACACACTGCATAAAGAGAAGGACCATCTTGTAAATGATTATGAGCAAAACATGAAACTGTTACAAACCAAATATGATGCTGATATAAACCTTCTAAAACAAGAACATGCTCTTTCAGCTTCTAAGGTATTATTTATGTTAATAGATAATCCACATGAAGTATTTATTCACTAAGCCTAGAGCCATAGATAGCCAAGTAGAAATTATTTGGCATTTGAAATTAATCTCTCTTTCACTTTATTCTTAAATTAACAGGAACTTCAGGAATTTTTACTGGTATTTAAAATGTTTAAAATTCGAAATGTCTACTATATAGCACAACACAAATATTTAATAAACTGAATTCTGCTATAAGCTAATCATTTTAAGTGCCAGTCTTAAAAGGAGGAAACATATAAATTCCAATGCTTAGTTGTATGAATAATACATTTCATAGAGTAACTATATGCGTTATTATTGTTTTGAAATCTTGGTTCTGCTTTCATTTTATAATTAAAATTTTGAAGTTTTCTGTAAAGCTATTATTTTTATGTCAGTGTTACATTTCCATAACATTAAATATTATGTAGCATTTAATTTCTATTTTTACTTTAAAAGATTATATTTTTATGTCAGCATTACATTTTCATAATATTTAATACTATGCTGCATTTAATTTATATTTTTACTTTAAAAGATTATTTTTTCTAGTATCTTTTAAAAACATTTTTCATTCAAATTTCTAGATAATTTTAATTCTGATTGGACTTTCAGGGGTACAAAAGGCATATTTTTTCAATCAGAAAGTATAATATGGTACAAAAATCAATATTCTGCTTTTTATTCTTCTTAAAATCCTTGTAGGCATCTAGTATGATTGAAGAATTAGAGCAGAATGTCTGTCAATTAAAACAGCAGTTACAGGAATCAGAACTTCAAAGAAAGCAACAACTAAGGGTGAGTCTTGTATTTCTACACAGAAGAACAATGGTCAAACACAGTTTTCTTGATTCAGATGTATCATTGAGAGTCAATTAAAAAAATAAAACTCAGAAATGCAGGTCATCTTTTCTGATTCTTTTATCGCATTGTATAATTTTACATTTTATTTATCTTAATAGAGATTGATGCTTTGAGATGTAGAGAATAAAGTACAATAATTTGAATTGGAATGATCTCTTTTGAGATTAGTTTTAAAAATAAATTTTATTTAAATATATCATTATTTTAGAATAATTTCCTTCTTTTAAATTACCTGCCAATCTTCATAATTTCTCTCTTTCTTTCCCTCTTTCTTTCTCTGCCTCTCTCTCTCCCTCTGTCTCTCTCTTTTGCACCTTTTAGATCTCTTTTCTCTCGTGATCAAAAAATACCAAGGACTGTTACATGATGTAACTTCAAATTTATCATTTCCATATTTATTGACTTGGTCATTTTTGAAGTAATCTCTTAATCCTAAGGGTCAGAAAGATTTTCTTATACTGTAAAGCAAGTGCTTTTGAGAATAGTAATATCTTCAGGTGACTAAGATTTTATGCCTCGTAATACAAAGCTACTCCAATTTCTACCTGTAGGGCTTACTTAATCATATGCAAAACTCTGAACTGAAGTTTGACATTAAGTAGATTGATTGATTTAATTAGGTTGCTAATTTTATTGACTCTAGTATAATTTAAAGTATAATAAATATAAACATTTATCATTCACAGGATCAAGAAAATAAGTTTCAGATGGAGAAAAGTCATTTAAAACACATCTATGAAAAAAAGGTAATATGTTTTATGGAAGCTATAAAATATTTAAAATAGCAAATGAGGCATTAATGCAGACTGATTTTTATGAAACCATACATTCTCACCTTTAAAGAACAACTTGTTTCTTTGTCTTTTTTTTTAGACAGAGTCTTGCTCTGTCACCCAGGCTGGAGTGCAGTGGCACGATCTCGGCTCACTGTAGCTTCTGCCTCCTAGGTTCAAGGGATTCTCATGCCTCAGCCTCTTGAGTAGCTGGGACTACAGGTGTGCACCACCATGCCTAGCCAATTTTTGCATTTTTAGTGGAGAGGGAGTTTCACCATTTTGGCCAGGTTGGTCTGGAATTCCTGGCCTCAAGTGATCCGCCCGTCTCGGCCTCCCAAAGTGCTGGGATTCCAGGCATGAGCCATTGCGCCCAGCCAAGAATAATTTGTTTCTAAGTTAATTTCAGCTAACCAGTAATTAAATTTTGCTTATTTTTCCTGTTTATATAATAAACAACTGCTTCAGTTCAATTATTAGTTATATCAACATTAAAACACTGCTTGTGTGTTATATTTAATGAGTGAAGAGTACAGTTGGCCTTTCATATCCATGGATTTCACATCTGTGGATTCAGTCAAACATGGATCAAAAATATTCAGGAAAAAAAATTACACAAAGGTCCAAAACTATAACTTGGATTTGCCATGTGTCAAGTACTATGTTGAATCCATGTGAATGAAGTGATGTGTAAGCATTGGATTAGGTACTATATAAGTTATTATGAGATGACTTAAAGTACATAGGAGGATGTGTGTAGGTTATATGCAAATACTACACCATTTTATAAAAGGGACTTGAGCATCCATGGATTTTGGTATCCTAAAGGGGCCCTGGCACCAATTCCCCATGGATGCTGGGGGACAACTGTATTATTATCTTAACCTCTCATTATAACATGTTGAAATTATATTTTCTTTCTACTAGTTTAAAACTACACAATCAATGGGATGTATTTGGTATTCTGTTGTGTCATATGTGCAACAAGAACTTTAAACATTTTAACAAAAGAACCTAAAACAATGAAAGTACTGACTACTACTTGAAAAAGATTAGCAATTGTTCCTTGTTGTTTATAGTACTATTTCAACTGACACATGTTGATATCCCTCCTGTAATAACTAGGGGGTTATTGACACACTTAATACCTTAGGCAGTAAAGTGCAGAGTTTTATAGATTTATTTTTAAAATTTTTGTGTGAATGTAACGGGTACAAGCGCAGTTTTTTTACATGGATATATTACATAATCATGAAGTCTGGGCTTTTAGTGTAACCATTACCCAAATAATGTACCCATTAAGTAATTTCTCATCCCTCGTCCCCTCCTAACCTCCCACCCTTCCAAGTCTTCAGTGTCTGTCATTCCACACTCTCCACACTCTACGTTCATGTGTACCCATTATATAGCTTCCACTTATAAATAAGAACGTGGCATTTGACTTTCCCTTTCTGAGTTGTTTCATTTAAGATAATGTACATACAAATGGGGTGTGTGTGTGTGTGGTCTATATATATCTATATATGTGTGTGTGTGTGTGTGTGTGTGTGTGTATGCCACATTTTCTTTATCCAGTCATCCATTTATGGGCACTTAAGTTGATTCCATGTTTTGCTATTGTGAATCATGCTGTGAGAAACCTATGAATAATGACCTTTTCCTTTGGGTAGATACCCAGAAGTGGAATTGCTGGATCAGATGGTAGTTTTATTTTTAGTTCTTTGAGAAGTCTCTATACTGTTTTCCTTGGAGATTATACTAATTTACATTCCCACCAGCAGAGTGTTAGTGTTTCCTTTCTCTGCATCCTCACCAACATCTGTTATTTTTTGACTTGTTAATAATAGCCATTCTGACTAGAATAAGATGATATCTCATTGTGGTTTTAATATGCATTTCTCTAATATTCAGTGATGTTAAGCATTTTTTCATAGGTCTGTTGGCCTTTTGTGTGTCTTTTTTTGAAAAATGTCTACTCATGCCCTTTGTCCACTTTATAATGGGGTTATTAATTATTATTATTATTTTGTTGCTGTTGCTGTTGTTGAGTTGTTTGAGTTCCTTGTAAATTCTGGATATCAGTCCCCGGGCCAGATGCATAGTTTGCAAATATGTTCTCCTATTCTTACGGTTGTCTTTTCACTCTATTGATTATTTACCTTGCTTTCTAGAAGCTTTTTTAAAATTAAATCCCATTTGTCTGTTTTTGTTGCTTGTGCTTTTGAGGTCTTAGTCATGAATTCTTTGATTAGACCAATGTCCAGAAGAGTTTTCCCTAGGTTTTCTTCCAGTATTTGTAGGGTTTCAAGTCCTACATTTAATTCTTTGATCCATCTTGAGTTGATTTTTATATATGGTGAGAGAGGGATTCAGTTTCATTCTTCTGCATATGGTAATTCAATTTGCTGAGCACCATTTATTGAAAAGGGTGTCCTTCCCCCAGTATATGTTTTTGTTGACTTTGTCAAAGATCATTTGGCTGTAGTTATGTGGTGGTGTTTCTGGGTTCTGTATTCTGTTCTACTGATCTATTTTTATGCCAGTTCCATGCTGTTTTAGTTACTATAACCTTGTAGTATAATCTGAGGTCAAATAATGTTATGCTTCCAGTGTTGTTCTTTTTGCTTTGGACTGCTTTGGCTCTTCTGGCTCTTTTTTAATGCCATATGAATTTGAGGATTGTTTTTTCTAAGTCTGAGAAAAATTATATTGGTATTTTGGTAGGGATTGCATTGAATCTTAGATTGCTTTGTGCAGTATGGTCATTTTAACAATATTAATTATTCTAATCCGTGAGCATGAGATGTTTTTCCATTTGTTTGTGTCATCTACAACTTCTTTCAACAGTGTTTTGTAGTTTTCCTTTTACCTCCTTGGTTAAATATATTCTTAGGTTTTTTTTATAACTATTGTAAATGGGATTGCTTCTTGATTTGGTTCTCAGCTTGTTTTTGATACATAGAAATACTACTGATTTTTATACATTGATTTTGTATCCTAAAATTTACTGAATTCAGTTTTAATATTTAAGAGGTTTTTGGGGGGAGAAATTGTTAGGGTTTTTTAGGTATAAGATCATATTATCAATAACAGATAATTTGACTTCCTCTTTTTCTATTTGGATGGCTTTTATTTCTTTTTCTTGCTTGATTGCTCTGGCTAAGACTTCTAGTTCTATGTTGAATAGGCATGGTGAAAGTAAGCATCCTTGTCTTATTCCAGTTCTTATTGGGATTACTTTCAACTTTTCCCTGTTTATCGTGATGTTGGCTGTGGGTTTGCCTTACAGATCCTTTAATATTTTGAAGTGTATTCCTTCTATGCCTAATTTGTTGAAGGTTTTTATCATTAGGGTGCGGTCAGTTTTAACAAATGCTTTTTCTGCATCTGTTGAGACGGTCATATGGTTTTTGCCATTAATTCAGTTTATGTGATGAATCACATTTATTGATTTGCATATGCTGAATCATCCTTGCCTCCCTGGAGTAAAACCCACTTGATCATGGTGTATTATGTTTTTGATGTGCTGTTGGACTTGATTTCTTAGTATTTTATTATGGATTTTTGCATATATGTTCATCAGGGATATTGGTCTTTACTTTTTTTGTTCATGCTTTTAAAAATCAATTTTGTCAATCTTTACCTTTTAAGTAGAGCATTCATTCCATTTGCATTCAAGGCTAATATTCATATGTGAGTTTTTTTCTTGTTATAATGTTATCTAGTTGTTTTCTAAATTATTTGTTTCTTTTTTCTCTTTGTGGGTTGGTGGAGTTTTGTCATGTTGCTATTTAATTTCTTTCTCTTCCTCCTTTGTGCAATTGCTTTGTAAGACCTGTGAGTTTTATACTTAAATGTGTTTTTATGGTGGTGAATACTGACCTTTCATTTACATGTTTAGAACTCCTTTGAGCATTTATTATAGAACCAGCCTAATAGTGACAAATTCCCTCAGTATTTGCTTGTCTGGGAAATACTTTGTATTTCTTTCATTTATGAAGCTTGTTATGTCAGGATATAAAATTTGTGGTTGACAGTTTCTTTTTAAGCACTCTGAAGATCGGATCCCAATCTCTTCTGGTTTGGAAAAGGTTTGTGCTGAGAAGTCTGATGTTAGTCTGATGTTTTTTTTCTTAATAGGTGACTAGATGCTTTTGTCTTGCTGAGTTTAGGATTTTTTTCTTCATGTTGACTTTAGACAACATCTGATGACTATTTCTTATGGTAAACTGCATCTTGCAATATCTTTTTCTAGTGTTTGTTGCACTTCTTGTATGTGGATGTTTAAATCTCTTGCTAGACTACAGAAGTTTTTGTCAATTATTTCCTTAAATAGGTTTTCTAAACTTTTTGCTTTTTCTTCTCTTTCAGGAATGGCAATCTTTTGTAACTTCAGTTGCTTTATGTAGTCCCATACTTCTCAAAGGCTTTGTTCATTTTTTTAAAATTTATTTTTAGTTTATTTTTGTTTAACTGGATTAATTCAAAAGTCTTGTCTTCAATTTCTGAGAATTTTCTTTTCTGCTTGGTCCAGTCAATTGTTGAAGCTTTCAACTGTATTTTGTAATTTCTTAATTATTCATTTCCAGAAATTATTTTTTTCTAAGATATCTGTCTCATTGGCAAGTTTTTAAAATTTATATCCTGAATTGATTTTGTGATGTCTTTGTGCTGGTTTTCAGAATATCTTTTATCTCATTGAATCTCTTTAAAATCAGTATTTTTACTTCTTTATCTGGCATTTCTTTTTTTTTTTTTTTTTCTTGAGGCGGAGTCTCGTTCTGTCATCCAGGCTGGAGTGCAGTGGCACGATCTCGGCTCACTGCAAGCTCTGCCTCCCAGGTTCATGCCCTTCTCCTGCCTCAGCCTCCTGAGTAGCTGGGACTACAGGTGCCTGCCACAATACCTGGCTAATTTTTTTTGTATTTTTAGTAGAGACGGGTTTCACCATGTTAGCTAGGGTGGTCTTGATCTCCTGACCTTGTGATCTGCCCACCTCAGCCTCCCAAAGTGCTGGGATTACAGGCATGAGCCACTGTGCCTGGCCTTTATCTAGCATTTCAAAAATTTTATTTTGGTAAGATCCATTGCTAGAAAATTACTGTGTTCCTTTGTGGGTGCTATACTACCCTGCTTTTTCATACTTCTGGTATTATTATGGTGATTTATTCACATCTGGAGAAATAGTAACTTCTTAGTTTTGAATTTCATTGAAATGTAACTTTTTTTCTTGCGGATATAACTATGAAGTATGTTGGGTAGAGCTGTTTACTTCTGGGTATGTTGAATGTTAAGGCTTTGTATGATTTCCTTGGTTATAAATAGACTTAGTGTGGTGGCTTTCTCAAATACTGGTTGTAGTAGTGGTGTACCTGGAAGGTAAGCAGGCTCACAGCCTCCTGAGAAGCCACAGTGGCATTGATGATTGTGGTAGCAAGGGGCGTGGGAATCTTACGTTATTCCCAAGCACTGTGCATTTGTGTCAGCAGATTTACTATGGGGTTTGCAGGTCAACCTCCAGACCAGTAGGTGGCACTTGCAGGTAAAAACGCCAGTTGCTCTTGTAGGAATAAAGTTTATGCTTGACCTTTGTTAACCATGAGAAGTACTTCATTGCCCAGACAATGGCTGGGCCATGGAATATTCAGTGGACTGGGTCCTGTGCTCAGTCTCAGTGGAGGCCAAATCTGGGCAGAGCTGGACTGGGCAAGTCTGCATTCACATCTCCCAACAGTAGGCACAAGCACCAGCCCTGACAGGGGTCTAGAGGTAGTCAGCAGGTGGCTGGAGATAAGGCTGGGCAAGAAACAGAGCAACCACTGCTGCACCAAGTTCTCTGCATGGGAAGTGATGGGTGTCCCACATGCCTACTCCAGGTGATCAGGAGGGGGACCCACCTCTCACTCTTCAGACCTGAGGGGGCTCACACCCCTATTCCAAGCAAGGGAGCCAGTTGCAACACTCAGAAATGTTACGTGCAGTTTTTTTACTTTATTTTTCAAAGCTGCCTGTGGCCACAAAACCTGCTACCCAGGCAAAACCATGCCTCTTCAGCAACTCTCCTCCTATTTCGGTCTATGAAGGAGGGGTATCCCAATTCTAGCACCCACAGCTGGATTGCACACCACACTTACCTCTAAGTTCTGGCTGTGGGGGCTCTTCCCCTGCTCCAGATCCAGCACTCCAAATCCTGGCCCAAGACTAATGCTGGTGCTGCCGCCACTGCTAGATTTCAGGGACCCGCCGAGCTTGATATGAGTTAGAATCAAGAATGGCATTGTCCTGTTGGGTCCCAGGTCTGGGACAATGCCTGGGGTACTTCCTGGTATCATTCCTTTTCACACGCTCCTGGCCTCTCTCCTAGTTATATCCAGGGCTTGGGAGGGATAGGGTGTTCCCCATGGCCTAGGTTGCACAGTTCCTCAGTAGACAGGTAGATTGCAGAGGGACATTCTCTTCCCCTCTCCTATATTGGAGCTTCACTCAGTTCTCAACCAGACCTAGCCACTGTCTCCCTGCTCACCTTCTCTTCCCCAGTATCTGAAGTTTTCTTTCACTTTCTGTTGATTTTTCATTTCCTTCTTGGACAAAATTCTTCCAAGTAGATGAGGCACGTTGGAAAGGCCTCTGGTCCACCATCTCGGGAAAAACAGAGTTCTATAGATTTCTGACTATGAAACTTAAGTTTCTAAATTCTTTTTTGCTATAAGATATAGAAAGTAAAAGAGTAGTTAAATGGCAAATGTTTGTTGCTGCTTTTGTCACTATCTGCTGTTTTAACATTTATCAAGTCAATCTACTTGTAAAATACAAAAATAATAGAAAATGAAAAAAGTTAACCTTTAAACTATTTAGAATACATACAAGTTAAAATTACATATGGTTTATATCACAAAATGTTAAAAAACACTTTGTAATACCACCATCTTGTTTATCCATATAGTCACTCAGCAGATACCCATTAAATGGTTATATTGGGGAAGGTATTATATTAGGTACTGGGGTGGGGTTGAGGATGAATTAGACATAGATTCTGCCCTTCATGAGCTTAGTGTATAGGAAGAAATCTGTTTCTGTCATTTGGAAAAGTGTTTCTAGCAACACGTATTGACCTGCATGAGTGCTCTTTTAAATCATAATAAATTTCCTTATTGTTGCAGTTTTAATGCAGCTCAATACAAAATGTTAAGTATATTTCATATGAAATGGACATACTTTTTCATAATCCTTGCTTCCTGTATAAGGCATCAGTATCCTTTAGGTGTATTGTTTGTCCACCGTTCATTCTTTGGGCAGATCACTGGCTGTCCATCCATTAAGGAAGAGCTTCCTGGCTTCCTGCTCTGTTGCAGTCTGGTAAGCCCTCTTCCTGATATCCTGGTATGTATGTACCTGTGAGACAGACAGGCTGTAGTGAGGAGAAAGGGATGCACTGGCTATTTGTAAAATAAGGTATTCCTATCCCAAACTTCATTACATCCTGCTGAGGACTGTTACGCACATAGAGATAGACCTAGAAAGGAAATCTTTCTTCTACCATTATCTTTTCTTGGGTATTTAGCCTCGAAGTAAACTAAGGTTTCTGCTATCAGTCTCCCTCCCTGGTGAATGTACACTAGAAAGGGAATATTGGAGCTCAGTTCATCTGTATCCAGTAGCCTGCTGACCATTCCTATTCTATTTCACTTCAAGGAGCAGACCTAAATCCTTTTTATTAGGTGTCATAACTACAGTGATTCCCTTTCCATGCGGTATCAATTGGCCTAGCTTTTTAATAACGTTACTTGTTAATGTATATTAGTTGTTTTCACTGTAACTAAGATTTGTTTAAAATAATAACAATCTTTAAAAGAAAAATAGCCATCATTGTTCATATTGCATATGTTCCTAACATTATTTACATTGGAAGAAAATGTTGCTCAGCATGCCACTTTTTATTTTACAATTAATTTCATAATCTCCCCCTTTTACATTGACATCTGTTTTTCTTTCTTTATTAAACCTGCTGTGATCTCAAGCCTTGGAGTTTTGATGTCTTATATCCCTCTCAGGGAATATCCTTTTTGATAGCTCGAAGACCTGACATAAATCTTCCGTAGCTCTGGACTATGTAATTGTAGAGCTAAATGGGATGTATAGGGCTTTTTTGTTGTTGTTGTTGTTGTTAGTGTTACAGGTGTGCACATTCAATAACTTTTGGTATAAAACTTAGTTCTAAATATCTCTTCAGGGGGAGGAAATGCCATCTGAATGACATTATTTTATCCTGCCTATGAGACAGCAGCAGGACAGGAGCATAGGATTCTAACTTGTCTTTGAGGTAAAAGAAACAGCATCAGATGCTGTCCCTAATTTAAGCACACACATATTATGTAATGGTCTTTATTGATCTCTAGTGGCTATTGTCTGCTCTTAAGATCTTTGAACATCAAACAAATAATAAGTAGTAAACCGAAATGTCATTGTTGATGAATTGTCCTCATCTGTTAAATCAGGAAATGGTTAGACTAAATGATTTGACTAGCAAGGAAACACCTGCCCCCTACAGATAACCTATTGCTTGTTTTCCAAACAGTTCCAGAGAGTAAAAGATGGTGCTGTTTACCTAGAGAAACATGCCAGACATATGTTAAGCACCTACGTTCTAAAATGTACTGAATTGAAATATCTACTTAAAATCATTCTGATGGAACTGTTTAACAAATGAGATACGAAGTCTAATGGAGTTCACAATCCTTAAAATATAGTTATTCCAATGCCTAGCAATCATGCACGCTTTTTAAATCATGTTTAAAATAGTCACAGCCGTATATTTAACATATTGGATAGTATTTTTGAACTACCACTGACATGATTTTTAAGAGTACGTGTGCCTTTAGTGATGTTTTAAACCATGAAATTGTGCAGTGAAAAGATTTATAGAAGTTATGCAATCTAATCACCCTTATTTTTCATATTGGGAAGCAGAGGTCATAGCAGTTAAGAAGCATTGTGGAGTTATTCAGCTAGTCAGTGTTTGGGTCAGTACCTCCTCTGTGCACTTTACTATGCTATGGTGTCTGCCACAGTATATCTAGTTTCTGATATATAGCACAATCTCTTTCTTATCTACACAATATTCCTTTTGTGATTACCTAAATTCTTGGGATGCAAGGGAGCAAAAAAAATATATTCAGTGAATATTCAATAAATGTGCTTATGGCTACTTAAATCAATTATTTATAGCAAATTCTCATGTTTGAAAATATATTATGTATCCTTGACTATCTGGTTTGTGTTGTCATTACCTATCACTTTTAAATACTTTTCTGGTATTAACAATTTAAAGTGGGGAAAGGATTACAAGCAAATCATTTATTGCTTACTACCATTTGTACATTAAAAAGGAAGGGGTGGAAATAGCATTATCTCTTTCTAGGTTGTTTGTTCTTTAATTTTCTTTTAGGTACAAACAAGGATTTTTTTTTTTTTTTTGAGACAGAGTCTTGCTCTGTTGCCCAGGCTGAAGTGCAGTGGCACAATCTCAGCTCACTGCAGTCTCTGCCTCTCGGGTTCAAGAGATTCTCCTGCCTCAGCCTCTCAAGTAGCTGGGATCACAGGCATGTGCCACCATGCCTGGCTGATTTTTCTATTTTTAGTAGAGACGGGGCTTTCACCATGTTAGCCAGGATGGTATCAATCTCCTGACCTCGTGATCTGCCCGCCTCAGCCTCCCAAAGTGCAGGAATTGCAGGTGTGAGCGACTGCGCCCAGCACAAACAAGGATTTTTTTTTTAACCCACCAAAAGTATTGATCTGTTCTCTTTTGCCAAGATCTGTATGCAATTATCTCTCACTTTTCTGGTGTTTACTTATGTCACCCACAGCTGTCTGGAATATAGGTAAAAACTAAAAATGCAATCCAAAAAGGCTCTTAAACAATACAGATATATTCAATTAAGAAAAAACAAATTTAAAACAATACTTATTGACTATTGGAGTATGGGCTAGATATTATCCTGGGTCCTAGGGATATAAAAATGAGAAACAGCTTCTACCTTAAGAAACCCCCAGCTCAAAAGTATGGTCATTGACACATTGATGTTTACCTCAGAGGGGAGTCCCTTATTTTCCCACCCAGATAATTTCATTCTAATAATTTTAGAAGCAATAAATTAGATCAAGGTGCTTGTGCTAGCACACTGACCAGTGTCAAGAAATGGCAGCTAAGAACTTGTCAGAGGTGAAGATTCAATAATTAATGATAAAAAGCAGTTACAAAAAGACAAAATTGGCAATTCAGGTACTACTTTCTGAAAAGGTAGACAGACTAAGGGAATTACTGTATTGTGGCACATTGTGATTTTGGGTGTTCACAATAACCTTGAGTTATTCAATCTGAGGAAGTAATAATAATGTTTCACATATACTGATCATTTATTATGTTCCTAATATTGTTCTAAGGTCTTTACATCAAGTAATTTATTAACTTATCACAATTCTTTGATATACTCATTGTTATCCCAGTTTTTCAGAGGAGCCAACTGAGGCACAGAATGTTATGTAGTTTGTGAAGGAACAGGGACACAAATCCATGCCATCTGATTATGAGCTTGGACTCGTAATCATCGTATAATTTTAGAGATAGATTTTTCTCAAAAATTGTTAATTTTTTGAAGCTTCCCATTTAAAGGCGTAAATCTCAACTGTGCTTTTATGTGGCAGTTCTGAGTCCCAGAAAAAAAAAATCAACAGTAAATAGAGGGGAAACTACTGGTACATGGTACATTGGAGGCACAGTGCCAATTTGCAAAATACTTATTGACTTGTCAGCAACTCTGATAGCAATTCCTTGTTGGTTTCCCATGTAACATATCATTTTAGAGTACCAGTGAAGCAGGCTGTATAACATATCATTTTAGAGTACCAGTGAAGCAGGCTGTGTAACATATCATTTTAGAGTACCAGTGAAGCAGGCTGTGGCTTGAGGAGAAACGTGCCTCCTCAGTAGAGCAGTGTAACCTAGTTCAAACCCTCCTGGGAATTGGTTTTAGCTGTATCTCTGAGAGAGAGATCACACTTAGAGACACGTAATAGAAGCACAGTTACAGCCCCTGTGGTTTTTGTCAAGCAGCAAACTGAATGGTGTTCTGAATATCAAGCACCAAGTCTGAGTGGTGTACGGTGTTCAAGAATGAGTAGGAGAACAGAACCAAAATGGAGTCTGTGGGAAAGCATTGTAGAGGAAAGGAATGAGAGCATTACACAGAAGATTCAGAGGAAGGAGTTTCTCCTGAAAATGTGTTACTCCGGAAGAAAATGTTTAAAAATTCACCAGTAGCATACAAGAAGATATGATATCTATGAAGGAGGAACAGACACCATAAGGAAAGAAAGGGATGAAGTGAAAATTGTCATAAGGAAATCGTAAGGAAACCAAAAGTACAATAGCAGACTTACGATCACATAGTTGCTGGTTGGGTTAGGTCAGATTTTGTAAAGAATTAAATCAGCGATATGAAGGCAAGGCATAATGACCTTTCAGACTGCAAAAGAAAGGGACAAAGAATCAAAAATTTTGAGGAAGGTGATATTAAGGCAGAAAATAGAAAACCAGTATATAACAACTGATATTTCTGAAGGAAGGCTCAGAATAAAATAACACAAAAATAACTAAAGATATGAGAAAACTTTTCAGAAGGTCTGTGTATGTAATTTTAAAGATTTCACTCTTTATCAGCTAAAACTCAATACAAGATTAAAAAATGTTTGAATTACAGTACAAAGAGAATGATTTTTATAAATGTCCAGACCCCAGGGGGAGGGGAAAGCAAAGTTTAGATGACTTTAGTCTTCTTATTTGCAAACCTAAATGTCATAAAACAATAGAGAAACTTAACGTGTGCTGTGTTTTAGGCCAAAGTGTTGTGACCTAAGAATCTTATACCTACAATTTCCTTCATGTGTAAAGGCAACAGAATGACATTTTTGAATGTGCAAAGCCTCAGAAGATATATCACTAGGATATTCTTTTTGAAAAATAAAATTACTGGATGATGGACTTTAATCAGCCTAAGGATAAGCAAAAGATCAAATCAAACAAAAAAAATACTCAAGAACGAAAAAGTACTGGTGAATGCCAAAATTAAAATAGAGATGAATTTAAATATTTATTGTGTACACAATATAAACAATGGAAATGTCAGAAGAGAATCTTGAAAAAGAAGGTATGTGAAGTTAAAACAATTTAAAACCACTATCTGCCTCAGCATCTCAAGATTATATAAAAGAAAACCAAAATGACTAGGAGAGGGAGAAGTAAACATATGCCAAGCTATTATTTTAACAGGGCAGAGGTATTAATTTTTAACTTGCTAAATATTAGAGGGATGTAGGTTAAAAATAATTGTGAAATATTTATGGCATCATTAGTGTAATTAAAATCTGTTTCCAAAGACGATGTCCTTGACAAAATACCAGCAAACCAAATTCAACAGCACATTAAGTGATCAGGCACCATGACCAAGTGGGTTTATTGTTGGGATGCAAGGATTGCTCAAGATAGGTAAATCAATAAATGTGGGAAATGATGGCTGACTAGATGCAGCTAGAAAGAATATCTGCCACCAAGGGGGTAGGACATTGGGAAGACTGGCACATTCCAAGTCGATCTTCAGAGGAAAGTTACTGAGAGTGGACAGAGGGAGGACAGAGACACTGGGCTGAAAGGGGAGGAAGCTGGGAATCCTGCATGGGGCTGCCACACACTGGGTCTTCTTCCTGGCTCCTAATGTCTCCTGGGGAATGGGTGAGTTGAGCAGGCAAGGAGTGAGCTGCTCTTGCTTTGGACCTCTGGAATCCTGGCAGCAGAAGACCCCATGACCCCCACACTTGAGCTGGCAGAGAGAGTTGCTTAGAGAGATGGTTGGGGCAGGACTCCAGCCTGTACAGAGCCCAGAGAGTTTTGATGAGGGAATGTTTGCAGGGGGGCATGGCCGGGGATGCCCATTCCCTCAGGCTGGCCATGTTCCTCTAGGAGACTTTAGCCTTAAAAGAATTGTTGAACCTGAACAGAGCAGATGGGGCCAGTCTTACCTGAACTCTCCCATCGGCTGGCCTCTCCTGGGACCATAGCCTGGCTTTGCCTGCTTACAGTGCAGACTCAGATGCTCAACCAGGATGCCTCCCTAGGGCCCTCATCATAGCTCCTGTGCTGGCAGACTGTGCCAGATTGCCAGAGAGCTCCAGCAGAGTGGCCCCCACTGACATGCACTGGCCCACTCACACTCTCCCTCTACTGCAGCCTCCCCCATGCTGCTTTACCAGCAAGCACTCACCCAAGGCCATCCTCCTATTGCCATATTGGCACATGTGTGCATGGGTGAACCTTGCCCTTCCATGCTGGTGCAGTGATGTGCGTGCATCCCACTGCGCCATTGCTGCCAGCGTGAGTGTACCCGTCCCCCACTTGCTGCTGTGTTGCAGTGCTGCCATTTCTGGTGTGAAAGCACTCAGGAAGGCCAGTGGCCCTGCCTCCCACCACGATTGCCACCAGTGTGAACATGCACAAGGAGTTTGCCAGCCCCACCCCAGCCAGAAATCCACTGCTATGCCAACACTGCCCACCAGTGTGAATGCACACACAGATGCCAGTGACCCCTCCCCTCCATGGTGCCACTGCTGCCACTGTGAATGCGCATACAGAGGCTGGCAGTTGCTGGTCTGCCAGCGCCCCACCCCAGCTAACAAGGGTGAACCCTGGTGTACTACCACTGCTGCTGGCACATGCAAACAAGCATTAATCACATTGCCACTGCCTGATGAAGCGCTTTGGCTGGCACCACTCGTTGGAGTGTTGTGGCCATCGGACCAGGAACACTTTGGCCCATTTAACACAGCAGGTCCCAACTTTGAGGGACCAGAGAACAAAGCCAGTGACCCGATACCAGCCCCTTAGAGTTAGAGTATACAGTGTGGGAGTGTTGAGCTGAGCCTTGGCTCCTCAAAATCTACTAGAAATGAAGCCAGTCGATGGACCCCACCTTATGCCACAAACCCCCAAGGACATCAATGGAGATAAAAGCAAAAAACAAAACAAAACAAAAACCCCACCATCCAAAGGACAGCAACTTCAAAGGTTGAAGGGACATGAGCCCACACAGATGAGAAAGAACCAGAGCAAGAACTCTGGCAACTCAAAAAGCCAGAGTGTCTTCTTACCTACAGACACCCACACTAGTTCTCCAGCAATGGTTCTTAACCAGGCTGAAATGGTAGAAGTAGAATTTAGACTATGAATAGGAACGAAGATGATTGAGATTCAGGGGAATGTTGAAACCCAATCCAAGGATTATAAGGAATAAAATAAAATAATATAGGATATGAAATATGAAAATGCCATTTTAACGAAGAACCAAACTTACCTGATAGAGCTGGACAACTCACTTCACGAATTTCAGAATACAATCACAAGTGTTAACAGTAGAATCAACCAGGCTGAGGAAAGAATATCAGAACTTGAAGAACAGCTATCTGAAATAACTCAGTCAGACAAAAATAAAGAAAAAAAAAAGTAAAATGAAAACAACTTCAGAGAAATACGGGATTATGTGAAGAGACCAAATCTATGACTTATTGGTGTCCCTGAAAGGGAAAGAAAGCAAGTAGCTTGGAAAATATCCTTTGGGTTATCATTCATAAAAATTTCCCCAACCTTGCTAGAGAGACCAACATTTAAATTCAGGAAATGCAGAGAACCTTTGCAAAGTACTCCACAAGAAGACCATCCCCAAGACACATAGTTATCAGATTCTCCAAGGTCGAAATAAAAAAAATATTAAAGACAGCTAGAGAGAAGGGGCACGTCACCTACAAAGTGAAGCCCATCAGGGTAACAGCAGACCTCTCAGAAGAAACCGTACAAATCAGAAGACATTGGGGGCCTATATTCAGCATTCTTAAGGAAAAGAATTTTCAGCCAAGAGTTTTATGTCCCAGCAAACTAAGCTTTATAAGCAAAGGAGAAATAAGATCCTTTTCAGACAAGCAAATGCTAAGCGATTTCATTACCACCAGACCTACCTTATAAGAGGTTCTGAAGAGAGTCCTAAACATGGGAAGGATAGACCGTTAACAGCCACTACAAAAACACACTTAAGTACACAGGCCAATGACACAATAAAGCAACCACACAAACAAGTCTGCATAATAACCAGCTAACAACATGATGACAGGATCAAATAAGCACATATCAATACTAACCTTGAATGTAAATGGGCAAAATGCCCTAATTAAAAGGCACAGAGTTGGATAAAGGCAAGTTGGATAAAGAGGCAAGACCCAATGGTATGCTGTCTTTGAGAGACACATCTCAGAGGCAGTGACACCCATAGGCTCAAAGTAAAGAGATGGAGAGAAATATACCAAGCAAATGGAAAACAGAAAAAAGCAGGGGTTGCTATTCTAATTTCAGACAAAACAGCCTTTAAATCAACAAATATCAAAAAAGACAAAGAAGGACATTGCATAATGGTAAACTGCTCAATTCAGCAAGAAAACCTAATTATCCTAAATATATATGCACCCAATACAGGAGCACCCAGACTCATAAAGCAAATTCTTAGAGACCTATGAAAAGACTTAGACAACCACAGAATAATGATGAGAGACTTCAATACCCCACTGACAGTATTAGTCAAATGTCAGATCATCAAGGGAGAAAACTAACAAAGATATTCAGAACTCAAATTTGACACTTGACCAAATGCATGTATAACATCTACATAACACTCTACCCAAAACAACAGAATATATATTCTTCTCATCTGCACATGGCACATACTCTAAAACCAAGCACACAATTGGACACAAAACAATCCTCAGCAAATAAAAAAAGCAAAATTATACCAGCTACACTCTTGGACCACAGTGCATTAAAAATAGAAATTAATACTAAGAAAATCGCTGACAGCCATATAATTACATGGAAATTAAACAACCTGATCCTGAATGACTTTTGGGTAAATAATGCAATTTAGGCAGAAATCAAGAAATTCTTTAATGAGATTAAAGATAAAATGTACCAGAATCTCTGGGATATAGCAAAGGCAGTGTTAAGAGTGAAGTTCATAATGCTTAGCACTCATATCAGAAAGTTAGAAAGATCTCAAGTTAACCACCTAATAGTACAACTAGAGCAACCAGAGAAATGAGCAAACCAACTCCAAAGCTAGCAGAAGACAAGAAATAACCAAAAGTAGAACGGAACTGAAGGAAATTGAGATGCGAAAAACCATACAAGAATACTTCCCAATACTGAACCAGGAAGTAACTGAATCCCTGAACAAACCAATAATGAGTTACATAATTAAATCAGTAATAAAAAGCCTACCAACCAAAAAAACCCCAGGACCAGAGGGATCCACAGCCTAATTCTAGCAGATGTGTAAAGAAGAGCTGCTACTATTCCTACTGAAGCTGTTCCAAAAAATTGAGGAGGAGGGACTCCTCCTTAACTCATCCTGTGAGGTTAGCATCATACTGATACCAAAACCTTACAGAGACACGACAAAAAAAGTAAGCTTCAGGCCAATATCCTTGATAAACATTGATACAAAAATCTTCAACAAAATACTAGGAAACCAAATTCAGCAGCACATCAAAAAGCTAATTCACCACAATCAAGTATACTTTATCCCTGGGATGCAAGGTTGACTCAACATATGCAAATCAATAAATGCAATTCATCACATAAACAGAACTAAAGACAAAACCCACAGGATCATCTCAATAGCTGCAGAAAAGGCTTTTGATAAAATCCAACATCTCTTCATGTTAAAAACCCTCAACAAACTAGGCATTAAAGGAACATACTTCAAAATAATAAGAGCCATCTATGAGAAACCCACAGCCAACGTAATACTGAGTGGGCAAAAGCTGGAGACATACCTTTGAAAACCTCAGCAAGGCAAGGATGCCCTCTTTCACCACTCCTATTTAACATAGTAGTGGAAAACCTGGCCAGACCAATCAGGCAGGAGAAAGAAAGAAAAGGTATCCAAATAGGAAGAGAGGAAGTCAAATATCCCTGTTTGCGGATGATATGATTCTATGCCTAGAAAACCCCAAACTCCTTGATCTGATAAACAACTTCATCTGATAAAAAAGCTATATTTTTTCAGGATACAAAATCAATGTACAAAAATCACTAGCATTCTTATACACCAGCAACACCCAAGCTGAGAACCAAATCAAGAATGCAGTTCCATTCACATTAGCCACAAAAAGAATAAAATACCTAGGAATACACCTAACCAGAGAGGTGCAAGATTTCTACAATGGGATAAAAAACATTGCTCAATGAAATCAGAGATGACACAAATAAATCAAAAAACACTTCATCCTCATGGATAGGAAGAATCAATATTGTTAAAATGTCCATACTCCCCTAAAAAATTTACAAATTCAATACTATTCCTATCAAACCACTAATGACATTCTTCACAGAATTAGAAAAAACTGTTTTACAATTCATATAGAACCAAAAAAGAGATTGAATATCCAAGACAATCGTAAGCAAAAAGAACAAGCTGGAAGCATCACATTGCCTGACTTCAAACTATATTATAAGCCTACTGTAAGCAAAACAGCATGGTACTGGTACAAAACAGACACATAGATTAATGGAACAGAATAGAGAACCCAGAAATAAGGCTGCGTACCTTCAACTGTGTGATCTTCAGCAAAGTCAACACAAAAAAGCAATGGGGAAATGACTCCCTATTCAATGAATGGTGCTGGGATAACTGGCTAGCCATATACAAAAGATTGAAACTGGACCCTTTCCCTATACCATAAGCAAACATAAAGTCAATATGGATTAAAGACTTAAATGTAAAACTGAAAACTGTAGAAATCCTGAAAGTTTACCTGGAAAATACCATTCTGGATATACAAAGTGGCAAAGATTTACAGTCAACAGAGTGAAGAGGCAAACTACAGAATGGGAGAAAATATTTGCAAACCATTTATCTGATAAGGGACTAATATCCTAAATATATAAGGAACTAAAACAATTTTATAGCAAAAACACAAATAACCTGATGTTTAAAAAATGGGCCAAGGACTTGAATAGACACTTTTCCAAAGAAGATATACAAATAACAGGTATATGAAACATTCTCGACATCACTAATCATCAGGGAAAGGCAAATCAAAACTAAAATGAAATATCACCTTACACTTGTTAGAATGGCTTTTGCTAACACACACACACACACACACACACACACACACACACACACACAAAGGGATAACAAGTGTAGGCCAGGATGTGGAAGAAAGAGAGCGTCTATACTCTGTTGGTGGGAATGTCATTATGGCAAACAGTATGGAAGTATCTCAAAAAATTAAAAATAGCACTACCGTATCATTCAGCAATTTCCACTTCTGGGTTTATATCCAAAGGAAATGAAATCAGTATGTTTAAGAGATATCTACACTCCTATGTTCATTGCAGCACTATTCACAAGAGCCAAAATATGGAATCAAGCTATGTATTTATCTGTGGATGAATGGGATTGACCTAAGTGTTCATCTATGGATGGAAGAAACTGTGGTATGTATATATACAGTGGAATACTATGCAGCCTTAAAAAAGAAAATCCTGTCATTTGCAATAACATGGAAGGTCCTGGAGGACAAGTACTGCATTATCTCCCTTATACATGAAATCTGAAAAAGCAATCAAACTCCTAGAATCAGATAATAGAATGGTGGTTACCAGGGGCTGGGTGGGGAGGGATGTCAGGGAATGGGTAGATGCTGGTTAAAGGGTACAAAGTTTTAGTTTAGGCTGGTCAGAATGGCTCATGACTAAAATCCCAGCACTTTTGGATGCCGAGGGAGGTTCACTTGAGGGCAGGCATTTTATACCAGACTGGGCAACATAGTGAGACCCTGATTCTAAAAAAATATGATCCAGGTGTGGTGGTGCATGCCTGTAGTCCTAGCTACCTGGGGGGCTGATACGGGGGGATCACTTGAGTTCAGGAGTTTGAGGTTACAGTGAGCTACCATTGTGCCACTGTACTTCAGCCTGGGTGGCAGTGAGACCCTGTCTCAAAAATAAAAGTTTTAGACAGGAGGAATAAGTATCTGGAGATATAATATGGTGATTATTATTAATAATAATCTGTAGTATACTTGAAAATTGCTAAGAGAACAAACTTTAAATGTTCTCATCACAAAAATAAGTATATGTATGATATGAATATGTGACTTAGCTTGATTTAATATTTCTACAATGTATACATATATCAAAACTTCACACATATGTATATACGATTTGTCATTTTTCAATTAAAATAAATTTTAAAAACACCATGTTGTATACCTCAAAGATGTATAATTTTATTTGCCAATTATATGGCAATAAAGCTGGAAAAGTCATTTTCTGTCTCTATGTGTCAATCTGTCAGAACATGGAGGAGTTGAGGACAGTAACAAAAATGCCATGTATAAAAAGTAACATAAAAAATTAGGAAACAGGAAAAAACGGCATAAATAGTATTTTAGTGCTAGCAATAAATCTAAGAAAAAAATGTATGATTTGGGCCAAATTCAACTTGCGAGAGAACTTGACTAAGAAAGAACGATTAAAGCAAAAGGAGAGGTGAATATGTATAAGTAAACACCAGTGTAAGATAACATCTCACATATTAGTTTCTCCCTTTAACTTTCTTCTGAATTGTCCTTCCCCCACCCTTTCACTTGAATACATTGACTTTTCTCTGTGTGTTTTTCCTAAATTGGTGGGTGATTTTTCACTTAAGATTTTATTTTTTACTGATGTAAAAACATGTTTCCAGGATCTTTGTATTAGGTCATATCTGAATTTCATTTTGAGGTTTTAGTCTTTGACTCTCTACATTAAAAAGACTAGATTTGCGTTGAAATGGTGCTTTTGTTGCTTTAGTAATGTTTGTACTCTAGTATAGTATGCTTACTATGTGCCAAACACTGTAATACATATTAGGGATCCAAAATAATAATTAAACACTTGAACATGGTAAAAACTTGAACAGCAGACTTCTTTTTCCTGCATGTAAGATAAAATAAATGTAGTGGCAAAAATTTGCAAGGCAAGTTGTTCTTTCTCTTTCTCATAAGACAAATAGTCTTTATGAGATACTTTAAATTTACCATTTAAAATATGGGGGAGGGTGGCTACAGGTTCCTAATTCTCTTGCTTTTTCTTCTCTGCCTCTCAGTGTATTCTTACTTTTGAGATTATCATCATAGCAGCCCATAGAAGCTTTTCGATATTATCTTGGAAAATGTCCTGTCTACCCTCACTTTCTTTCAGTTTATAAGCAAACATTGATTTTATTAATTTATTTATTTACTAAAACACTGAGAGCAGAAATCCAAAAGAATTTTTAAAAGAAGAGGTTAAAGATAGGGTTTGAGTTAAATAGGTCTCCATTTAAACTGATATAAATAGCTAACTACAGGTATTTTTGGCTAGCCCTGATTCAGTGTTTGATATGGTTTGTCATAGTGTATTTATGTTTTGTTGTTGTTCTTGTCGTTTCTCTCTTAAACCTGTTGGCCACTCGTTTCACTTTCAGCCTTACCTTGCTTACCAGCAGGTCTGTAGCGGGTTTTCCCACCCCACCAAGTAACTTGAGCTTTCCCACCTCCCACCTGGGCTCTGCATCCTCAGTTGCCATGTATGTAGAGCCATGGCTGCTGTTTGATTCCTTCCTTTTCATCCAGCTGTACCAAAGTTTCCCTTTTACATTTTAAGATCCGTAAAATGTCCACATTGGCTATGTTTATCTGCATATGCATATGAAGAGCTTTTTGTGAAGACATTTTTTTTTTTTTGAGATGGAGTCTCACTCTGTTGCCCAGGCTGGAGTGCAGGGGTGCGATCTTGGCTCACTGCAACCTCCACCTCCTGGGTTCAAGCGATTCTCCTGCCTCAGCCTCCTGAGTAGCTGGGCTTACAGGCGTGCGCTACCATGCCCGGCTAATTTTTGTATTTTTAGTACAGACAGGGTTTCATCATGTTGGTCAGGCTGGTCTCAAACTCTTGACCTTGTGATCCGCCTGCCTCGGCCTCCCAAAGTGCTGGGATTATAGATGTGAGCCATCGTGCCCAGCCGAAGACAAATTTTCATTTCACCCTTGTTATTGATGCTGCCATCTCATTTACTCAAATGATCCACATTTAGGAAAGAGGTAGGCATGGTGCGGGGAGTGGGGAGGGGTGGCAGTTTCCTTCCAAACTCAGTAAATAGTTATACAAATTATTCCCAGCAGTGGAAGAGAAGACCATTTCATCATAACCATTATGTGTTCAGGGAATATAGACACATTGTTTATTGTATTCTCTTGAATCTTGTAAGATTTCTTTTCTTTGATTAAAATATAATTTAAAAAATCTGAAGTATTCCATTTTTTATTTTCTTTTAAGTTATGAATTTATTTTAAAAGAATTCACCTGCCGGTAGACTCAAGAAATTCATTTTGAACAGAAAATAGGTATTTGAGTATAGTATTGAAATCATTCTATGGTAGACCAAGTTTCTATCTTGAAATATCTAAATCTAATTTTATATTAAAAATGGATTTGTGATCACTGTTTCATTGTTTGTATGTCTCTTTGAAGTAAACTTTACTCGTCTTCCAATAAATTTTCCATGTTCTTGTCATGGCAGGCTCATGACTTGCAGAGTGAACTTGATAAAGGAAAAGAAGATACTCAAAAGAAAATTCATAAATTTGAGGAAGCTTTGAAGTGAGTAAAATTGTAATGCATTTGATTTAAAACTACCCTTTATTAAACTGTGAGCCAAATTAAGTAACTGGGACCTAAACACTATATTTTTATAAGAGCTTTGCTATGGATTCGTTTGCATCAGTTTCCCATCACAAATCTCTATCTTCAAGATTTTATTACTAGCCAGTAATTTTTTTTAAAAGAAAAATCAGTTCAGCTGTTTTTAAGTGATAGGAATGTAAAAAAATAGAACTTAGTGGTTTCAGATGCTCTCTCCCTCTTAAGCGAAAACATATTTTTTAAAAAATGAGATTTAGGTCTTAGGACATTTAGAAATTCCTCCGTAGATTTTGTTGAGCAGTTTGGGAAATGAAATGTTCCAGTTGTTATATTTGAAAATGGATTACTATACAGGCATTATTTAGGAAAGAGTTTGTCTTATGATATACTCAGTATTTTAATGTTTTACTGTACTTAGGCATACATTAAAATATTAGATTTTATTTGTCTTCTCCATTCATTTACTAAATTGATTGGGCTCTCCTATTACTAGGTTTGACCTTGCAGTTTTTAGCTGAAAAAACATTGATTCATTTAGATAACTTAAAACATAAATTATTGTGAGGTCTGAACTCAATAAATATTGAGTTCCCATCATGTGTCAGCCAATGTTCAGTACATTCCCATAGAACCATATAGTCTAGTTGGAGAAATATTCAAGACATTTGGCAATTTGGTACAGAATGATAAGAGTTTAATTGGAGGAAGGTCAATACGGTGACTGACCCAAGAAAGTGATTTAAGAGGAGAAGCTTTCTTGAGCTCAATATACCTAGCTAACTCCCAGAGAATCAGTAATTTTATTTTACTTGCTTCCCTAAACCTGCAAATAAGAATGACTTAAAGAAAGGCCAAAAAGAATACCCAAGATCAAACACATTTAGTATCGAATTCTGCCTGGGAAGATTGCATAACCATTCCTTCTGTCTCACTTTGCTTGTTAATAAAATATATTGGCTCAGTTCCTGAATAGAACGTTTTAATGCGATTTATAAACTATGGCATCACAAGACATCCATATTTTTATCTACAGAGGGACTTATTTGTTTACCTTGTCAATATGAATTAGATGAAATCAGGAGAGAACAATAATATTCATTAGATATTAAGTCAAATAAATATTGAACAAAACTAGGGCAGTCTTGCTTTCTTTTTTTGAGATGGGGTCTCACTCTGTCACCCAGGCTGGAGTGCAGTGGTGCGATCTCGGCTCACTGCACCCTCCGCCTCTTGGGTTCAAGTGATTCTCCTGCCTCAGCCTCCTGAGTAGTTGGGATTACAGGCACACGCCACCACGCCCAGCTAATCTTTGGATTTATTTATTTTTTTTAGTAGAGACTGGGTTTCACTATGTTGGTCAGGCTGGTCTCGAACTCCTGACCTCGTGATCCGCCCGCCTCGGCCTCCCAAAGTGCTGGTATTACAGGTGTGAGCCACCACACCTGGCCCAGTCTTGCTTTTTTTAATGAATAGGATGCTCTCTATTCTTCATTAGTTCATTTTTTCTCTTTAAAATAATTAACTACTTTCTTCATGAAGATTTCTCCATGAACTTTATGAAATTTACCATATTTTTTCTCTCTTGTTCCACTTTGCCTTTGTTCTTTTTAAATTTCTTTATCCTTTCTTCATTTCTTCATTGGTTTATTGATTTATAAATCTAAGGAAGGGGTAATTTCTTTCAATCAGTGGTCCTCAAACTTTTTGGCACCAGGGACCGGTTTCATGGAAGACAGTTTTTCCATGGATAGGGGGTGGGTGGGGAATGGTTTTGGGATGAAACTGTTCCACCTCAGATCATCAGGCATTAGATTCTCATAAGGAGTGTGCAAGCTAAATCTCTTGCTGGCACAGTTCACAATAGGGTTCACGCTCCTGTGAGAATCTAATCTGACAGAAGGTGGAGCTCAGGTGGCAATGCTGGCTTGCCCGGGGCTCACCTCTTGCTGTGGCCTGGTTCCTAACAGGCCATGGACCTGTATGGTGCCCAGGGGTTTGGGACCTTTGCTTTAAATAGCAGTAAGACAACAAATATTTGTTTAGTACCTACAATGTTTACACATTGTAATATCATACTAAAGGAAATAAAAGGTTTAGAAGACAGCTCAAGATGTAATGATGTTCTTAATGATTTTCCAGTCCAGGTTAGGCATTTGAAGTACTTAGAATAACTAGGTATTAACTTGTTGACCATAACAGCAATTAAAGTTCAGACTGATCGTTTCAGTGTGATATTAGGAGTTTATGTATATAACAATATAGTATCTTTTAGTGGTGCTGGTAGATAGTCAAAGAGCCCTGAAGTTTCTGCAGTTTTCTATATATAACATAATCATTTTCTGAGCCAAGTAACCCTCTTTAGGTACTTCAAAAGTCTTTGCCAAAATACTGAATTTTGCTTGGAGTTAAAAGAAGATATTTTAGCATGTTAAATAAAATTCTTCTGTAGATTATTTATCCATCTTCCATATAGTTAATACCTTCATTTTGGCTAAATGTCTGGATGATCTTAACAGTACAGTACCCAGCATAGTAGTAATAATGTAGTCTGAAAGTAAAAGAGTAAATTATTGTGAGGTCTAACTTCAAAGTAAACAGCACAAGTTGGCTGTTTTCCCAAAGGAGAATATTGTGACTGCTGCTGCTTTTGAATCTAAGAATAGCGTTAGATCTGGTTGGCCCAGAGACAGTTCCATTTTGCTGCAAGACAGCTTTGTGATGTAGAAATTTGCCTTGACTATTAACAAAATTTTTTCTTTAAAAATATGCAAAGAAGGAAAATCTCAGTTTTAGAATGTAGTGTTATTTATCCATGTAGTTATTATTTCTTTCATTCATTGAATAAGGGTTTATTTCTTCTGTGCATGTTGAATATATAGTAGAGAGGCTATCAGAGAAAACTGGGATATATAAATATGAATTTATATACATATAAAAACATGATACATGCTGTATAAAGCAAAATACTTTAAAAACATAATAAGGTAATAATCAGTAAGATGGACTGGTAATGGGAGGCATCTTAGAGAAGGAAAAGTCTTTAACTGAGTTGTGAAGGAAAAGTGGAGAATAAATTATCCTGGGATTTTGGTCCCATCTTCTCCTGTCTCTGTAGAGATGCTGGTCTCTACTAGTTTTGTCTCTTTCTTTTCTATTTCCAAGCTGTCTTTCTTCACCTTGTTACATGACCAGATATACTCCTTCCATAGAATACCTTTCCTTTTCTCCTAATGACTTCTAAGTGTCAAGTTCTTTGATTCTCTCAGATTATAGAATTTTGCGACCATGTAGGGATAGTCTTGTGAATTGGGATGATATATAATGTGTTTGAGATGTTAATGGAAAAGTTGAGTGGCTTTATTCTGACACAGTAATTGTATCAAAGACAAAGGCTGGGAATTT
Organism: Homo sapiens; assembly: GCF_000001405.40. Classification (NCBI taxonomy): domain Eukaryota; kingdom Metazoa; phylum Chordata; class Mammalia; order Primates; family Hominidae; genus Homo; species Homo sapiens. The sequence goes on along the minus strand of NC_000017.11, from coordinate 66,002,245 downwards.
TTCTATGAGAGGATGATGTGCTTGATATTTATACTCTCTCCAAGCAATTGAAACTGTCAACTCATCTTTGGTTTAGAGCTCAAGTTGATATTTCAGAACCTATCATTATTTAAGAAGGAGGATTGTAGTTAGCATGTTTCACTTTAAATGCTAACTCCTTAAAGCTAATTTGCCTGTTGCTATTGTTTCTAAAAATGAAACTAGTTTAATGTTGTTGCCTTACTATTCTTTTCAATTTTTGTTCTACATATGTATTAAATACTTTTGCTTCCTATTTCGTTTTTTACTGTAGAAAATAATTTTAATAGCCTCCAGAAATGGAAAGTTATCTGAAACTTTAATGGTGTGAGTTGTACATGTTCATTTTTCATTTTTCAAAGATAAGTAATTAAAGCATATGGGGAACTAAATAGACTGTAATGAAAGGAAAATGATGGTATAAAACCAAATAGTATTTTCGGAGGAGTTAAAATTCATAAACAACAAATGTGGATAGTATAAGTTTGGTTTATTCCTTTTTCAATATTCTTGTGTTATCAAATTTAATTTTTTAAGTTTTTGGTGCTGTAAACATAATGAAGAATTATTTTGAGACAGTGTATAGTCTATTTTAAAGTATTCAATTAAAACTTCCAAAACCATCTGTTTGATTAATTTTTCAAACTCTGTTTTTACAATAAATACAAAAATGCCTTAACATATTTATTCTGATATTTTAAACTCTTTTTGCATTGTCATAAACATTCTAAATATTTTTAACCCTGACACTAATGTGGACAAGCTTTCTATTTTTCAGTTAGTATTAAGTATATGTACAGTAGTAGTTCACTAGAATATGAAAAGAAACACAACCTACAGAATGGGAGAAAATATTTGCAAGCTATGCATCTGACAAAGGTCTAATATCGAACATCTATAAGGAACTTAAATTTACAATTAAGAAAACCCATTAAAAAGTGGGCAAAGGACATGAATAGACTTTTCAAAAGAAGACATACATGTGGTCAACCATCATATGAAAAAAAGCTCACGCAGACCACACTGGTTTGCTGCCACCGCTGCTGCCATTGTGCCAGCCCCTCAGGTCTCCCTGAGGCCGGGTGACGCTCCAGAGTGGGAGACAAGCCCATTTGGGAGCAGATTGGATCCAGCTTCATTCAACGTTGCTACCAGTTATTTGATAATGATAGAACCCAACTAGGCGCAATTTACATTGACGTGTCATGCCTTATGTGGGAAGGACAACAGTTCCATGGAAAGCTGCCATTGTAGAGAAGTTGTCTAGCCTTCCGTTTCAGAAAATCCAGCACAGCATCACAGCGCAGGACGATCAGCCCATGCCAGATAGCTGCATCATCAGCATGGTTGTGGACCAGCTTAAGACATGAAGACCCCATCATGGGGTTCCACCAGATGTTCCTATTAAAGAACATCAACGATGCTTGGGTTTGCACCAATGACATGTTCAGGCTTGCCCTGCACAACTTCAGCTGACCTCCTCTCAGCCAGACATGCTGTTTCCTCCTCCCTCCTCTTCCCAATACTATTCCTGCTCCTCCAGATGCTCCAAATATCATGCACAAATGAGCAGCACCACGGTGAGAGTGGGCGCAGTGCTCTGCTGCCACCGAAGTGTTATGCATGATGTTTGGACGCTAGACTAGTTCCATCTACGGGAGAAGTTTGTGTTGTACCAGTGCATGCCTTGGAAAGACTTAAGTAATGCAAAAGGTTATCCTTTTTTTTTTTTTTTAATCTACTGACAAGTTGCTCTAGTAATCCAAAGAAGTGAAGGAGAAAGCAGCTGCCTCACCCCGCCCAGACATTGATTTGTTCAGATGTTTCAATGCCTCATGATACAATAAAACCACAAACACTTTCTTAACAGTTTAAAAAAAAAAGCAAAAAAGCAAAAAAGCTCAACATCACCGATCATTAGAGAAATGCAAATCAAAACCACAATGAGATACCATCTTACAGTCAAAATGGTTATTACTAAAAAGACAAAAAAAAAACAGATGCCAGTGAGGTTGCAGAGAAAAAGGAACACTTATACACTGTTGGGAGTGTAAATTAGTTGAGCCATTGGAAGACAGTGTGGCAATTCCTCAAAGACCTAAAAGCAGAAGTACCATTCGACCCAGCAATCCTATTACTGAGTATATACCCAAAGGAATAGAAAATCGTGTTCTATTATAAAGACACATGCACATGTAAGTTTATTGCAGCAATATTAACAATAGCAAAGACATGGAATCAACCTAAATGCCTATTAGTGATAGATTATATGAAGAAAATGTGATATATATACACCATGGAATACTATGCAGCCATAAAAAATAATGAGATCATGTCCTTTGCAGGAACATGACTAGAGCTGGAGGCCATTCTCCTTAGCAAACTAATGCGGGAACAGAAAACCAAATACCGCATGTTGTCACTCATAAGTGGGAGCTAAATGATAAGAACACATGGACACATAGAAGGGAACAACACACACTGGGTCCTATGGCAGGATGGAGGATGGAAGGAAGGAGAGGATCGGGAAAAATAACTAACGGGTACTAGGCTTAATACCTGGGTGATGAAATAATCTGTACAACAAACCCCATGACACAAGTTCACCTATATAACAAATCTACACATGTACCCCAGACTTAAAAGTTAAGTAAAAAAAAAAAATGCTTTCAGGATTATATCACTCAAATAATGAGTAAATATAGGAAAAATAATTTAGTAATTTCTGGCCGGGCGTGGTGGCTCACGCTTGTAATCCCAGCACTTTGGGAGGCCGAGGTGGGCAAATCACGAGGTCAGGAGATCGAGACCATCCTGGCTAACACGGTGAAACCCCGTATCCACTAAAAATACAAAAAATTAGCCGTGTGCTGTGGCAGGCGCCTATAGTCCCAGCTACTCAGGAGGCTGAGGCAGGAGAATGGCGTGAACCCAGGACACAGAGCTTGCAGTGAGCCGAATAGTGCCACTGCACTCCAGCCCAGGCTGGAGTGAAAGAGCGAGACTCCGTCTCAAAAAAAAAAAAAAAAAGAATTTAGTAATTTCTATTGGAGTTCATTTCAGCAAGTAAATATTTCTTGCATTTATAAAACACTGATACAGTGAAAGTATTATAAGAAATGATGAATAAAATATTTGTCTTTACTTCTAGAACAGACTTAAAATGACTTGTAAACATATTAACATGTAATTAAAATATAACAAACGTGGAGAATGGTAGATATTATTATACTAGATATAAAAGTATTTCTGTATTTAAATTCTAAATTTGCTTTGACTTGAACTCTTTTAGGTGGTTTTGGGAACAGTTTGAATTTAGTGTGGGTTAAGAGCATGGACTCTGGACCCGGTTGTCATCCGTCCAACTTCTAGCTTAAATTACTGTGTGACCTTAGGCATGATGCTTAATTTCCATGTGATTCAGGCTTTACATCTATAACATGAGGATGATTAATAAGATAATAAGATGTTCCCTCTAAGATTATTGAGAGGCTTAGAAGAGTTAATATAAAGCATTTAGAATAGTGTCTGTTATATATGTATTATTAATATTATTATTATAACGACTATATTATATACGTGTATTAGCTCTGTTTACTTAGTTTCTCATTGCCTTATAAAATCATATGAACAGGTTTTCCAGAAGAAGTAATCTTTTCCTGACATCAGTTTTTTTTCTTTTTAAAGAAAATAGCTTTATTGAGGTACAATTCTCACACCATAAAAATAACTTGTTTTAAGTGCACAATATATGATTTTTAGTAAATTCACAGAGTTCTGTGTTTTGTAACCATCACCACAGTTCAATTTTAGAACATTTCCTTTTTTTTTTTTTTTTTTTTTTTGAGACGAGGCCTTACTCTGTCACCTAGGCTGGACAGCAGTGGGCTGATCTCGGCTCACTGCTACCTTGACCTCCCAAGCTCAAGCGATCCTCCCACCCCAGTTTCCTGAGGAGCTGGGACCACAGGCATGTGCCACCATGCTCAGCTAATTTTTTTGGATTTTTGGTAGAGACAGGGTTTCACCATTTTGCCCAGGCTGGTCTCAAACTCCTGAGCTCAAGTGATCCATCCACCTCAGGCCTCTCAAAATACTGGGATTACAGGTGTGAGCCACCACCCCAAGCACAATTTTAGAACATTTCTATCACCCCAAAAAGATCTCTCATGGCACCAAATTTTAAAATAAAATAATGATTGTTTTTTTCTGACAAGATCTTCAATAGTCATTTTGCAGAAAATGCAGACTATTTCTTATTTTGACTTTCAATAAAAGCTGAAAGTTATTATATTAAGATGTGCTTTGGCATATTGTAGAGACCTAAGCTAAGGTAGCCTCAATATGTTGCTTCCTGGTTACTTTGCTTTCCAATATTTTAACTTTGATACAAGAGTGAATTTAGAAAAAAGATTGTGTGTGTGTGTGGGGGGGGGGATGTTTAGGGTGTGTGTATAAATGCATTGAAAGGGATCTAGACATTATATTTATATAAAAACATACATATATATGTATGTTTTATAGCTTATGACAATAATAAAGACAAACCAATAAAGTTTTAGAAGGAAAAATTATAATAAAACATTAATAGTAGTTAAATATTGTATGTTCACCCTAGTTGGGAAGCATATGAGGTTTTAAAAATTGTATTTATGTTTTACATATATTTTTAATTAAACGTGTCTGAGGATTCCTCAAGGTCCTGAGATGCTTTCAGTTTGTCCCAAATCACTTAAGCCAGTAAGGAGTGGAGCAGAGTGTAAACCAGGTTTCTGGAAATAGCTAAAACTCTATTTTGAGTTTTTGACTGAACAGCCTTCTGTGTATTTCATATAATAAATGGAGAGTTGTCAGGGATGACACACTTTGTTTTTAAACAGGTGAGAGTTTTTCTCGCCTAGAATGAAAGGACACCCTACCACAGCCTGTTAAGAGATGCTGTTAGGAGGCTTATGGATTATAGAATAGGAAAGAGAGCTTTCTAATAAGTGTACAATTAGGATTATTATTATTATTTTAGATGGAGTCTCACTCTGTTGCCCAGGCTGGAGTGCAGTGGCGTAATCTCGGCTCACTGCAACCTTCGCCTCCTGGGTTCAAGCAATTCTTCTGCCTCAGTCTCCCGAGTAGCTGGGACTACAGGTGCACACCACCACGCCTGCCTAATTTATTTTGTATTTTAGTAGAGACGAGGTTTCACTGTGTTGCCCAGACTGGTCGTGAACTCCTGAGCTCAGGCAAGCCACCCATTTCAGCCTCCCAAAGTGCTGGGATTACAGCCGTGGGCCACCGTGCCCATCCAGGATTTTTTAATGAAAAGAAAAAGTATTCTCCATGTAAGAGGCTTCAGGCTTTCTTCTTGTGTGAATTCATGTGTAAATACATAGATTCATCTTCTACTTTTAATTTATCAATCTTACTTTGTAAACTTGAATCTGATTTTAGCATACTTATTTTGATTCCTAAATATCCTAACATTTCAGGGTAAGTAAATATCATGAATGAACTATACTTTAGGGAGATTATCCTGGCAGGAATGAAAATATAAATTTAAGTAATGAGAAAGTGGAAGCAGGAAAATAAGGAAGATGAAGCTATCATAATAGTCCATGTAAGAGACAGTGGACTCTGGGACAGTGGTGAGCCCGTGATGGAGAGGTTGGCTGCAGCCACAGCGGATCAGATGTGCCAGGACAAGGAGCTTCTCTGGAACTCTCCAGTCTCATCTGAGTACCTTTTCTTCCACAGTTAATAAACTTCGACAAATAATTTCTAAGAGATAGCTGATGAAAAGCTGCATAGTTTTATATTTTTGTTTCATATAGATATAACATAGATTGAGTAAATGGAAATCTGAAGTATAAATATTGATTTTAAAAATATTTTCTTTTAGATTCAGGGGGTGCATGTGCAGGTTTATTACATGGATATACTGCATAATGGGGGGGTTTTTGGGCTTTAGTGAAATACTGAATTTTTAAATACTGTTTCATGATTTATAAAGATACAAATATAATGATTTTAAAAACTTTGAAACACTGGAATTTAACTTATTGTACTACACACACACACACACACACACACACACACACACACACGTATATTTTTCCCCATGGTGTAGGATTTGAGTCAAAACACGCCATGATGAAAAAATATTTAGGAATTGTATTAGGCCGTTTTCATGCTGCTGATAAAGACATACCCAAGACTGGGTAATTTATAAAGAAAAAGAGGTTTAATGGACTCACAGTTCCATGTGGCTGGGGAGGCCTCACAATCATGGTGGAAAGCGAAAGGCACTTCTTACATGGCAGCAGGCAAGAGAGAATGAGAGCCAAGTGAAAGGAGTTTTCCCTTGTAAACCATCAGATCTCGTGAGACTTATTCACTGCACGAGAACAGTATGGGGGAATCTGTACCCATGATTCAGTTATCTCCCACTGGGCCCCTCCTACAACACATGGGAATTATGGGAGCTACAATTCAAGATGAGATTTGGGTGAGGATGCAGTCGTTAGGGTAAAAATCAGACATTTTGTAAAAGAGAAATTTCAATAAAACTTGAGAGATAAATTGTTTTTAGATGTTGCTGTTTCTTGTATTGCCTACTAAATGCCCAGAATGCTCCGAGGACTGAATAAGCCCACTGAGGGAAGTGCTGGGTGGGCCCTAGAACAAGAGCACTTGTCCTGGGTGACTTTTTGATGCTCTAACTGGAGACATATCAGGGACCAGAGATGGAGCAGTAGATTTTGAACTATACTTGAACCTCAGCCAAGGGAGCCGCTATCTGGAGAACATCTAGGTGTACCCTCTTCTATTTTCCCACCTATATCAAAGATGTCTATTTGAACAGGATCCAGTTTTGCCTTTTCTTTTTTTGAAATGAGCACTTCTGTATATCATTCTCCTTTGTCCAACATTTTGTGAAGTTTTAATCTTTGAAGATAAATTTACCCACTTCCTTGTCCCCAAGGAAGGAAGAACAAAAACAATCAAAGCCAGGTTAGAATTCCGAGAGGAATGGGGAATAAAACTTGCCTCCCCACCCCCCACCCCACCCCACTCCAAGAACTCTTCAGCCTTTCCATTTTCTTTTAATCCCTAACAACATGGGACTCTGATGATCAGGCTCCTTGCTGAATTCAACTTGAAACCCAAAGGCAAGGGAGCTCTTCGGGTTTGATGGAGATCAAAGGGACTCACCCCTGGGGCACAGAACTGGGTGCAAAAGGGTAATGAGTGTGCCGAAGGGGCACATGAAAGATGTTTAGTTCAGGGGTTGATGGTGGAGCCCTTAGAGGCAGCATTCTCACTTGTGATTAGGCCAATGGCACCAGAGAGAGAAAGAGAACCGAAAGTGGCCCCACAGCAGGCAGGGATACAAATGAACTGCCCCAAATGATCACTTAGTATTGTAATCACTTGACAGGGAGTGTTGAAACTGGAATGTTCTTTTCCTTTCAAGGAAGTGCCATGAGTGTGTTCTTTTTTACATGTTTGGCTCTCCGTGTGTTTCCTATTTTCCCCCACATCCTATTCTCCTAGAACTATTTTTCTGTACGTTGTGGACAAAATTCCTATTAGAAGTTAAATGAGGGCTGTGTGCAATGGCTCATGTCTGAAATCCCAGCACTTTGGAAGTCCAAGGCAGGAAGATTGCTTGAGGCCATGAGTTTGAAACCAGCTTAGGCAATGTAGCAAGACCCCATCTCTAAAAACAACAACAATATTAGCTGGCTGGGTGGCACATGCCTCTATAGTCCTAGCTACTAAGGAGGCTGAGGCAGGAGAATTGCTTGAGCTCAGGAGTTGGAGACTGCAGTGAGCTATGACCACGCCACCATACTCCAGCTTGGGTAAGAGAGCAAGACCCTGTCTCAATAACAACAACAAAAAGAAGCCAAATGATGTTTTGAGGTCCCACAGATTGAGAGGTAAACCACATATGTGGTCAACTCAATGAAAGCCTAACTATGCAAGGGAAAAAGTGCATGGTGACATTTCTAGACTTGCACTAATCCTGTCCTTTGAAATCTTACTGTCATGCCCAGATTAGGATGTTTATTTCATCTCAGATTATGGGTTTTAGAAAACACCCTAGCCACAAGCCGTATTGGCCATGAACTGGAGATGTCTTCTGCTCATATGTATCTGATATTGACATATAACACCCCTTTTCTGACTCCATGCAGTTTTTTTTTTTTTTCCTATGAACCGAAGTTTATTGAGGGGACTTATCCTGCAGTCTCATGGTTTTTATAACTTTCTACTGAAGTATAACATACATACCAAAAAGCACACAAACTGAACACACCCATGTAAGCAGCTCCTAGATCAAGAAACTGAACATTAACAGCATTGCAGAAGCCTCCCTCCCAAGCCCCTAACCGTCACTGCCCCACCTTCAAGAGCAGCCACTATTTTCACTTTTTATCTATTTTTGAACTGCACATAAATAAAATCATACAGAATGCAGTTTTTTGTGCCTGGCCTCTTTTGCTCAATATTTAGGTTTGTGAGATTCATTTATATTGTTGTGTATCATTGTAGTTTTTACATGCTCATTTGTTGAATAGTGTTTCAAGGTGAATATACCACCATATATTTATCCATTCTACTGTCAATATTCATTTGGGCTGCTTCTGGTTTGGGGATATTATTAATAGTGCTGCAATGAACATTCTTATATGTTTCTTTTGGTAACTAAATATACACACTTCTGCTGGGTATATATCTTCATCATGCTTTTATGTTTTGTTAAGAATACACATATTATACCCAAAGGAGTATAAATCATTCTATTACAAAGATACATGCATACATATGTTCATTGCAGCACCATTCACAGTAGCAAAGACATGGAATCAACCCAAATGTTCATCAATGATAGACTGGATAAAGAAAATGTGGTACATATATACCATGGAATACTATGCAGCTATAAAAAGCAGTGAGATCATGTCATTTGCAAGGACATGGATGGAGCTGGAAGCCATTATCCTCAGCAAACTAATGCAGGAACAGAAAACCAAACACCACATGTTCTCACTTATAAGTGGGAACTGAACAATGAGATCACATGGACATAGGGAGAGGAACAACACACACTGGGCCCTGTTAGGGGGTGAGGTGGGGGAGAGAGAGCATTAGGAAAAATAGCTAATGCATGCTGGGCTTAATACCTAGGTGACGGGTTGATGGGTGCAGCAAATCACCATGGCACACATTTACATATGTAACTAACCTGCACATCCTGCACATGTACCCTCGAACTTAAAAGTAAAAATAAAAAACAAAAAAGAATACACATATGTGGGAAGAATTAAGCCTTCCAGTTTACCCAGGAGCTTGAATTTTGAATTTTGGTAGACAGGGAGAGCTAGGTTAAATTGGTCTTGTATGGGATTTTAAAGTATAACGGGATAGTATAAATCTGAATTTAGTTTTAAGATTGCCAAAGTGAGGAATTGTGACTTGATCATTTTGTTTGTAAGGTTGGTGAAAAATATCTCAAGGAATTAATAGTGATATTTAAAATGGAGAAAAAATTGAATTAAGGAGACATCTAGAAATAGCCTAAAAGGATGCCTGCAAACTTGAATAGTAAACATAAAGATTTCTGTACCTAATTCAGTCCCTGGAGTAAGCAGAAATTTTAGACTATTCATTGGCATTATCAAAGAACCAATAGAAGTGAGTGAACCCAGTCAGTTTGAGACCAAAGGGAAGAAGTTATTGGAGTTATTGGAGGCCTTTCTTCACTTTTACTTGTTATTTTTCCAACAAACTGACATATAGCTTCTTGGAAACATATCTTTTCTTGCTTAATATGCATAGTTTTTATAATATTCCATTACAGTGGAAAAACATTATTTACCCCTAAAGTTATATTTTTAAAGAAGTTATATTTTTAAACATGAGTGAAAAAGCTTTCCTATGACACTTTTAAATCTTCTTCATTTATCTTTTGTTGCTTGTTTGTTGTTATAAATCAACATTTATAATATTAGGGGAAATAGGGATTAATCTTCAAATAGGAATACCTTAAAGATACTAAAACTGCAAAGTCATAATGACTGTTTTTGTACTTTTATTTGCTAGACGCTAATCTTAATAAAAGACTTAAATGGAATACTAAACAATCTTGTGATTATTCATAGAAAGAGTGAACTTCATTTTGATTAGGTTTGTTTTTTTTTTTAATGGAACATTGCCTACTGCAAAAATTTGGATGAAGTTGTATTAAAAGCAGACAGCCTTCCAGTTTACCTAGGAGCTTGAATTTTGAATTTTGGTAGACAGGGAAAGCTAGGTTAAATTGGTCTTGTATGGGATTTTAAAGTATAACTGAATAGTATAAATCTGAATTTAGTTTTAAAATTGCCAAAGTGAGGAATTGTGACTTGATCATTTTGTTTGTAAGGTTGGTGAAAAATATCTCAAGAAATTAATAGTAATATTTAAAATGGAAAAAAAATTGAATTAAGGAGACATCTAGAAATAGCCTAAAAGGAAGCCTGCAAACTTGAATAGTAAACACAAAGATTTCTGTACCTAATATGTAAGTGAAAACACCTTTGTAGGGTCTCCTTCATAAGAAATTTTATTCTGTTTAGAAAACAAATTCGAACTTTCAAAAAGTATTCTTGAAAGATTAGTTCTAAATACTATTCTACCAGAATATAAAAGTAACCTATAACTTATGATACTTAATAAAGAAGATATGGTGCTGTTTTTAACTGATGCATATATATTTAAAGATTAATTAAGTTTGTAACTTTTGAATATATTTTTTCTATTGCTACTATTACTAAAATTAGGAACACATGCAATTTATAACGTATCATTCAACCAAAATATGTCAGATTTTCATATATGAGTATAACGTTACCTCTCACAACATAGATACTGTATAGAGTTGGGGAGCAAGAGGGAAATATTTGACATGTATGAAATCAACTTGGATTCCACTTACCTAGAATTCAATGAATTATATCAAAGTTCGATTAAAAGTAACCAGAAATTGCTGAATTATATTATAGTTAAATTATTTAAAAAGTTTATTCTTTGTCGTGGCCACTCAAGTTCTAGGGTAATCCAAAAGAGAATTATTTTGTATACCATTGTAATAGAAGGTTGTGATAAAATGAACCTATCCAGAGTTCTGAAGCCAGGACATCTCAGAGCCTGATGCCCAAGGTGTATTATCTGGGTATTGCTGTTGGTTATTCAGGGACCAGAGGCTCTTTAGTTAGCAGGTGATGAATCCTGCCAGATCTCCGCTGTGACAGGGCAGCACTGAGTTCAATGTGAAGTTCCCCAGTCGCTGCTCTCCTCCTCTCCCAAGCACACAGATTTCTCCATGCCAGATGGCCACTGCCCAGGGCTTGGGAGAGCTGATACAGGCATTCCCTTCAGCCTTTCTGGCTGGTGTCTCAGTAGGTTGTGTGCCCCTCTAGTCCACTGGCTCTGAGCCCAGCTCAGCATTGGGACTTCCCTAGGAATTGCAGTCCTTATGGCCTAGACTGCCCTTCAAGTTCACTTAAGGTCCCAGAGCACTCCAGCTTGTGGTGGCAAGGCTTGCTAGAACTCAAGTTCTGACCTTTGGGATGAGCGGTTCACCTCTGGGCATGGGCCAGTCCAGGTGCCCTCTCTGCAGGCAGATGTCAGCTGACTACAGCCTGGTTCTCTTTTCCACCATGACAGAGCAGCACTAAGTTCAATGCAAAGCCTCACAATCTCTGTGCTCTCCTTCTCCCAAGAGCACAGATGCTATCTGGCTGGTGGATGGGGGAGGAGTGGCATCAGCAATTCAAAACTGTTTTTCCTGCCCTCTTTGATGTATCTTTCAGCCATATGAAATTAAAAGTAGATACTGTGATTGCTCACCTGAGTTTTGGTTCCTGTGATGGTTCTTTTTATACATAGTTGTTAAAATTTGGTGTTTCTGTTGAGGGGAAGAATCACTTAAGCTTCTATTTAGCCATCTTGCTCTGCCCTACACTCTATGCCTTTTTATTGGAGAATTGAGTTCATTAACATTCAATGTTATTATTGATCAGTAAGGACTTAAATATTATTATTTTGTTGTTTGTGTTCTGGTTGTTTGGTAACTTCTCTTTCCCTTTCTTCCTTTATGGTTACATGATTTTCTTTGGTGGTATGTTTTAATTAATTGCTTTTTATTTTTAGTAAATCTATTATAGGTTTTTGCATTGTGGTTACTATGAGGCTCACAAAAAGCATTTTATAGCGATAACAAGTTATTTTAAAGAGATGAAAATTTATCTTAGATCTCAAAGTATAGGAAAAAACAAAAAATGAAAAAACTTACATACTTTATCTCTCCACATTTAGACTTTATGTTGTCTCAATTACACATCTTTATATTGCCCGTCTCTTAACAGGTTCCTGTAGGTAGTATTGTTTTTTATAGGTTTGTCTTTTTGGCTTCATACTAGAGTTATGAGTGAATTGCACAGCACAGTTAACAGTATTAGACTATTCTGGGTTTGTTCATATACTTAATTTTACCAGTGGGTTTCTTACCTTCAAATGTTTTCTTTTTGCCCGTTAGTATTTTTTTCTTTCTAATGGAAAAACTCTGTTTAGCATTTGTTGTAAGATGGTTCTGGTGTTGGTGAATTCTCTCAGCTTTTGTTTGTCAGGGAAAGACTTTATTTCCCCTTCATATTTGAAGGATAGTTTTGCTGTATATAGCATTTTTGTATGACAGTTTTTTTTTTCTTTCTGAACTTTGAAACTGTCATCCTGCTCCCTCCTGGGCTGTATGGTTTTCCCTGAGAGGTCTGTTGCCAAATGAATTGGAGCTTCTTTAAATTATTTGCTTCTTTTCTCTTGCTCCTTTTAGGATTCTCTCTTTGTCTTGGCCTTTGAGTGCCCAATGTTTATAGGCCTTGGGATAGTCTTATTTGGGTCAAATCTGTTTGGTGTTTTCTTTTTTCTTTCTTTCTTTTTTTTTTTTTTTTTGAGATGGAGTCTCACTCTGTCTCCCAGGCTGCAGTGCAATGGTGCAATCTTGGTTCACTGCAAGCTCTGACTCCTGGGTTCATGCCATTCTTCTGCCTCAGCCTCCCAAGTAGCTGGGACTACAGGTGCCCACCACCACACCTGGCTTTTTTTTTAATTTTTTTGTATTTTTAGTAGAGACAGGGTTTCACCATGTGTCAGCCAGGGTGGTCTCGATCTCCTGACCTGGTGATCTGCCCGCCTCAGCGTCCCAAAGTGCTGGGATTACAGGCGTGAGCCACCACGTCTGGCCCTGTTTGGTGCTTTCTTACCTTCTTGTACCTGGACATTTATCTCTTTCTTAAGTTTTGGAAAGTTTTCTTTTATTATTTCTGTGAATAAGCTTTCTACCTCTCACTGTTTCTCAACTCCCTCTTGGACACCAATAATTCTTAGATTTTGTCTTCTAAGATAATTTTCTGTATCTTGTAGGAGATCTTTTTTTCTCATTCTTTTTTCTTTTTTCTCCTCTCAATGTGTGTTTTCAAGTAGCCAGTTGTCAAGCTCACAGGTTCTTTCAATGCTTGAACCATTCTGCTATTGAGAGTCTCAAATGAATTTTTCAGTTCAGCAAATGTATTTTTCAACTCTAAGATTTGTTTGATCTTTTAACAATTATTTTAATTTCTTTGTTAGATTTCTCTGATAATTTATGAATTGCTTTTCTGTGTTATGTTGGAGATCACTGAGTTTTCTTAAAAATGCTATATTGAATTCTTGGTCAGAGAGTTCACATATCATTTCATACTAGTCAGTTGCTGGTTCCTTGCTCTGTCTCTTTGAGGAGTTCATGGTTCGTTGTTTGCTGTTGTTTCTTGAGGATGTTCATCTGTGTCTTTGCATTGAAGGATTAGTTATTTATTCAGTTTTCCTTGCCTGACTTGTTTTGTTTTTTATTGGATATGTTTGCTTTAGTGATTCATTATAATTGATTTGTTGATTTCTTTCTTTCTTATCTCGCTAGATCACTGCCTCCTTTTTGTCACTAGATGGCACCTTAAGCCCAGGTTTTGCTTGGTTCTAGTAAACAATCAGAGTGCCACCTGTCCTGAATATGGAAAGTCCTAAATGGGATATCCTAGTAGTGTGGGAAGGCGGGTTAGGAGTTTGTGCCTAGGGGACCTGGGCTGTTGAACAGTCACTCTGATTTGGTGTCTTTTTTGGCCAAGTTACAGAACAGAGTTTCCAGGACTGAGAATGATAGACTCACCTCTCCCTTTGTCTCTGGCTATCCTCAGGAATATTTCTCCCTTCAGGAACTCACAATGTTTCCTGTGGCTTAAGGCAGAGACAGGTCCTCTGCCAGGGAACCCAATATGTTGGAGAAGCTGGTTGTCCACCTTGATCTTTTTCTAGTGTGGAAACTCTGGGTCGAGGGGAAATTTTCTGTATGCCTGGGCAGATTGGAGGGGAGGGACATTGTATACATGGAAGTGTGGTTCTCCTACTCTCTGCTCAGAGTTGTTTTTTACTTCCCTGTGGTCCTGGGAACTGCCTCATTCTCATATTTGAGTTCTGTGATATTGCTGGTGATAATCTCAGTGCTGTCTGTTTGTTTTTGGTTTTCTGTGTGGGAGAGTGAAGCCAGCTTCTATGCCGCCATTTTGAAACCAGAAATCTGAATCAGATGTAATTCTCTTTTTTTCTGTTTGTGCTAGGATACAGTAAGACATCAACATTTTAAATTTTCCCTTAAAAAGTTTAAGCTTAGTTTATTTCTAATATTGTTTTCCTTTTTTTAGCATTTATTTTCCATTTTCACTTTTGTAGCTCTTTTATCATTCTTTCATATTTCTAGTTTCTTTCTCATATTTTCATGTGTTGTTTTTGTCCTCTGAGTATATGGGATGGTTTACAACATCACTGATTTGCATTTTTGCTCTTTGCCACTTCCATTATGAATTTTTATTGTGCTCTGCATTTTTGCTTCTTTTCTATTTTTCATCTTAATCATATCCCCTTTTAAATATTATTCTGTTCTCTTTTTGTCTTAGCTAATTCTTAAGATTTTACCTTGTATTTCATAGAGACGGTCTTCTTTACGATTCCTCATACTTTTCTGATATTTTCTTCTGGATATTAGATTATTTTGATGGTATATTTTTATTCTGTGTTTATAGGATGTTGTTCTTTTCCCCTGGTTCTACAATAGCTTTTAGTCTCCAACTGGTATTTTTTTCTCATTACTCAATAATGAATAAGGGAGATTTTGTAAAGTCTTGGTGTTTCGTTTATTTAACAAACACTTGTTGAGCTCTCACTGTTTGTACACTTTTCTAGGGACTTTCTGATATTAGTCTACTGTGTATTTTGGGTATGGATTGTCTTGTGTCTTCTCCATGTCAACTTGTATAATGGTCATATTCTCTTGAAGATTTTCAGGTGGATAAAAACATTGGTCAGCTGCCAGTGAAGTTCCCAGTTTCTAGGATTATTTTACCTGTAGAAACTCTGCTTTACTAGTGATATATCTTTTTATAACTTATATTATAAGTCTTTGATTTTTTGAATGAAATAATGAATCGTATAGTTCTCAGTATGTTTTGAACTCAGATTGTTTTCCCTCTTTTTGTGTCCAAGTATATTCCTTTAGCTGTGGAGATGATGGCTCCCTACATATAGTACACCAACATCATTTGTACTTTACTTTAATCCGATGCATTTTGGGAGTTGCTGGCTCTGAATGATTGTGTGTGAAACACTAGTAGATGTTAGAAAAACGTACCACCATGGAAGGAAAAAGCATTATCATAGAAGAATCACACATAGTAAATATTTTGATTTTTTTCAACACAGAATCTTTGACTTGAGGGAGGTAGAATGTGTCTTCCTATATAATTTTTCTTAGGTTCTGTTTCCTGAAGCTAATTTACATTTGCTTTCAGGTAGATCTGTATAGATATATTTTTAATTAGTCTATTTCCATGTACTTTATAGTTGTTGGAGATTCTGCCCAGGTTCTTTCACTGTGTTTTCTGTTTATCTGAGTTATTACTGTTCTTGCGATGTTTTATTTTTTTTCCCCCTTTCTCTTTCTAGGTATTTTAGTGAGCACTTGGGGGAGACTATTGGAGAGATGTTAGCCAGATATCATTTTATCTATGAAACCTAGAGCTATTCTTACTGAGATTTTTTGATAGGATTCTTTTTGAAATGTGATCTATTACTTCAATTCTCTTTACAGTTGCATAATGGATAAGTTTAGGATAAGTCAGCATCATCACTTTTGGAATAAATTATCGTGATTTGCTGTAGATTCAATCACAGATTAGTTTGTAGGCCTAAACTCTAAATGCACACTGACCTTTCCATTACTTTGAAACTTGATTTCTTAAAAAAAAAAAAAACAAAAGCCCTTGATCTCAGCTTGCTTTGTGGTCTTATGCCTCATCTTCAAGAGGATGGAGTGAGGCATGCAGAGCTGTATGACCTCCTGAGCAGTGGAACACGGTTAGCTTTCTACAAAATTAATAAGTGAATCAAAGACTGACTCATGATCTCCCAAATGGTTTTTCTTTTACTCCAGAAACATCATCATTTTCTCTGTTGTCATGAACGGTTCTTTGATTTTTCACACCATTGAATATATGCTTTATTAATATAGTAGACCATAGACAACTTCTTCTGAAGCTTTTATCCCTTAAAAAATTATTCCTGGCACCATTTGTTCATGGAGTGTATAGTAAAACCTTAGCCATCACTTTTAGACTGACAAGTGGTCCTCCTCTACCTCTCCTGTCATCCACCACTAGTTAGATGTAAAAGTGATACTACTTCTATTCTTGTGACTCCAGGCCAAAATATTGTTTCTGGTTTCATTAATGTTCTTCTTTTAAACTCTTGCCTTCTTGTATTTTGTTAATTTATAGGGTGTTTTCTTTGTACCAATCCTTCCACCAGTTCTTTGCTTCCTCTTACAATTATTGCATCTTCCTCCATTTTGAAGTCTAATTCAGGGCCCTCTTGGTATCTCTTAACTACATTGGTCCTTTCAACACTTAGACATGAGTAAGTATCCATCTTAAAACTTTTTTCTTAATCTCACTCCAACCCCTTCAACTGCGGCTTCTCTCTCTTTCTTTGCTTTTATATTCAGGTTTCTTTAAGGAGTTATTTTACTCATTGCCTCAGATTTCTCATCATCTACCTTCAAGCCAATGCAGTTTGGGTTATTCCCTGATGTTACCAAAACTTCTCCTCCTAGGGATACCAGTGACCTCCAATCTGGATTTTGTTCAGTCTTTCTTCCTCAGGACATTTTCTTCTTCATTTTCTGTGGCACACATTCTTTTGGTTTTCGTCATCCCTCTTGGTCTTTTTTGCATGTTCATCCTACTCTTGTCTTACTCTAGATTATTTCATGAGACAATCCAGTTCGAAAGTATAGCTTCAGTAACTATCATTCTGTGCCATCCTTACAGCAATGCTATACAAATGTGTATCTTGGCCTTGGGCTATTTGCTTAATTTTCTTTATGGCACTTATTAATATATGATATTTTAATATTTTTATGTATGTTCCAATTTTAAAATTCTACTTTAAAATTTGTGTTAGGCAGAGTTCCAGGATTGTGTCATATAAGCCATTCCTTTCTTTCATAATATTCTCCTGTAGCTTACTCTTATCTTTGCTGCTTTTGTGCTTTTTTTCTTGTCTGTTTTGTCGGTCTTCTGTTCAGGTTCAGGCTTTCCAGCAGATGTTATAAATTCCTGGGCTGCAGGTTGAGTCATCTGCATATATATTTAGTTTGGCCTGTGCAACGTTTCGAAAATTTTCAATTAGTTGCCAACATTATAAAATCAGAAGATTTCACATAAATTTTAGATTTCTAGTTTCTTTTGAACTATGTGAGATCTGGCACCACTGACCCCTGCCTTGTCAAGGCAACAAGTGGAACTGATTGGTTATATTAGAAGTCACAACTGCCTTTAAAGTATCACTGTCATAGAGACAACATTTTATGTTCTCTGTGCAATCAAATTAGAAATCAATAATAAGCAGCCAGTTTAAAAAAAACCCTTGGATTTAGGTTTGGAAATGTAAAATTGTATTTTTAAATAAGTTATGGTTAAAAAGAAAATCACAATAAAATTGTCAAATATTTAAAACTGAAAGATAATGATAGCATTACTCATCAAATGTTGTAGAGTATCTTAAATTGGTATCTAGACTGAAATAAGCTAAGCCTTAACCTCAAAACACTAGATAAAAAGCAACAAAGTAAGTGTGAAAAATATAGTAAAACTAAGAGCAGAGATCAGTGAAATCAGAAACACAATGTAGAGAGATAACAAAACCAATTTAATAAAATAAGTGAACAAATTAAACAGGTCTCTGTTAGACTGGTCAGGAAAAGCGGAGAAAAGACTGTTAGTCTCCATTTTCTCTGATTCCTTTATTTCATTTTGCATTGATATAAAGGAATACCTGAAGCTGGGTGATTTATAAAGAAAAGAGGTTTATAGTTCTACAGACTGTACAAGAAGCTTGGTGCCAACATCTGCTTCTTGTAGGACCTCAGGAAGCTTTTACTCATGGTTAGAAGGTGGAGGGGGAGTAGGTATGTCACAGAGCAAGAGACGGAGCAGGAGGGAGAGGAAGGGTTGCCACACTCTTTTAAACAACTATCTCTGGCATGAACCAATAGAGTGAGAACCCACTCATCACCAAGGGACTGACACCAAGACATTCATGAGGGAGTCACTCCCATAAGCCAACACCTCCCACTAGGCTCTACCTCCAACATTGGAAGGTCACATTTCAACATGATATTTGGAGGGGACACATATCCCAACTATATAAAAGACTAAAAGGCAAAAATTAAACAACATTAAAGGAATATAATTACATGGCGGGCGTGCGGTCTTTGGTTCACTGTCCTCATTTTTGTTAGTTGGCCCCTGTAGGCATTTGAATTTGGACTCCTGCTCCACAGTTACAGCTACAGTCATTTATTTTTAAATTGAGGTAAAATTTACATAACATAAAATTGACATTTTAGAGTAAGCAATTCAGTGACATTTAGTACATTCACGTTGTTGTGCAATGACTACCTCTATTTAGTTCCAGATCACTTTCATCATCACAAATAAAATCCTATACTTATTAGGCAGTGGATTCCCATTCCCCGCCTTCTGTCAGATCCTCCTAACCACCATTCTGCTTTCTGTCTCTAGGGATTTATCTTTCCTGGATATGTCATAGAAATGGAATCATACAATATGTGACCTTTTGTGTCCGGAGCTACTTTCACTTAGTGTAATGTTTTCTAGGTTCATCTACAGTGCAGCAAATATTGTCACTTCATTCCTTTTGATGGCTGAATTATATTCCATTGTGTGTATATACCATAGTTAGTTTACCTACTCAACTATTGATGGCCATTTGGGTTGTTGCTACCTTTTGGCTATTGTGAATAGTGCTGCTATGAATATTTATGTATAATTACTCGCTTGAGTACCTATTTTCAATTATTTGTGTATATACCCAGGAGTGGAATTGCTGGGACAGCTTACTGTTTGTATACTTGGCTTTCAGTATTGGTCTCCAAAATAATACTCTGGCAGTTGGCACACACATTTCCCTTTTACCCTAATTGGAACTGCAGCTATCGCCCACAAAAGGAGAAAAGCCATTGAAAATTATTTAAAGGGTTTCCAGGCACTTGATAAAAATATGTTTTTCTAGTGGGCTAGTCTGTTCAAGAATTCAAACCATCAGTTGAAATGTTGTCTGATAATCATAGAATTATAACTAAGAGAATTGTGTGTTCTTAAATGGTGTTTCTATCTAGTTAGGATAAGCAGTTAAGTTGGGCAAGTTGCCCTTCTCTACTTCGGGGATATTTTGCCTGTATGTCTTATGCCAGCTATCATAAAGCACATTTTTCTCTGCTAATCAGTACCAAAAGCACTCTGACGAATTTTTACCTTCCATATCCATCCATGTATAGTTATTATCATAAAAAATAGCATATAATTGGGTTGTTTGTAACACAAAGGATAAATGCTTGAGGTGATGGATACCCCATTTCCTCTGATGTGATTATTACACATATTAGGCCTGTATTAAAATATTCCATATACTCCATAAATATATATACCTATTATGTACCTACAAAAATTAAAAAGAAAAATATTTAAAAATATATAGTAAATAAAAACACCATTATCTTATACCCAGAAAGTTACAATAAATCGTTAGGTTGTTATACTTGCTGGCCATTTTTACTATGTCAGTATTGCCATCTTTTCCTGTAGCAGCTCATTTATGTATTTATTTTAAATTTTTTTATATATTTGCAAATCCAAAAAATAGTGCCAATCACAATGATAAATGAAGTTTTACAACCAAAACATGATTGAAGGCCAAGGTAGATGGATCACTTGAGGTCAGGAGTTCGAGACCAGCCTGGACAATATGGCGAAACCCCGTCTCTACTAAAAATACAAAAATTAGCTGGGCATGGTGGCGCATGCCTGTAATCCCAGCTAGTTGGGAGGCTGAGGCAGGAGAATCACTTGAACCTGGGTGGTGGAGGCTGCAATGAGCTGAGACTGTGCCACTGCCTTCCAGCCTGGGTGACAGAACAAGACTCCATTTCAAAAACAAACAAACAAAAAAATCAAAAACCACGACTGAGAAAAGATCAGCCATACCGAAACAATACTTCTTCAACCTCAATTAGGTTCACTTTGGACTTAAGCCTGTGTGTTAAATTTTAAAGGAAGAAAGCAAAATTAAATAGTGCTCTGAAATATAGGAAAAACATCTTCCATGTTGGTGACTTCTCATAGATATGTTGGCTATTAGCTATCGAATATGCTGGTTTCTTCATAGAGACTCAGAAAATAAGTTTCATAAGTAATAAATTTCCATAAGTTAACTGTTAATCTGGTACTAATTTTAATAGTAGATCTCTTCCTAATGGTGTTCCCAAGTTATATCCTGAACACAGTGGCTTGTATACCCTATAGATTTATTCTTCCATATAGTAAAATTACCCAGGAAGTTAGAAGATCATGAACTAATATGTAGAGATGGAGAGTGCAAGGGTGTATGTGAAGAAACCTAAGAAGATGGCCGGGCGTGGTGGCTCACGCCTGTAATCCCAGCACTTTGGGAGGCTGAGACGGGTGGATCACCTGAGGTCAGGAGTTCAAGACCAGCCTGGTCAACATGGAGAAACCCCTCTCCATGTTCTACTAAAGACATTTCTTTAATAGAAGCGTCACTACTAAAAACATAAAAATTATCTGGGTGTGGTGGCCGGCACCTGTAATCCCAGCTACTTGGGAGGCTGAAGCAGGAGAATCACTTGAACCTGGGAGGCAGAGGTTGCAGTGAGTGGAGATCGTGCCACTGCACTCTAGCCTGGGTGACAGAGTGAGACTCTGTCCCCCTCAAAAAAAGAAAAAAAAGCTGAGAAGATGAGCCAGCTGGAACAGAAAGCGCAGAGCCTGGTGGTACATTTTGAGGGAGACCTTAAATTCCCCCAAATGGTCAATGGTTGAAGAATTGGTAACAGAGTATATGATCAAAGTGACATTGGAGAAAAGCTTACTTCCCTGAATATTTCTTGCCAATAAGCTAAGTTTTGAAGGAAGGGACAGAAAATAAACTGGTGGAGGAGAGAGAATTTTCCAACCAGAAGGAATAACATGTTCCAAGGGCATGAGTCTGATGCCATATTAATGTCCAAGCATGAGGTTAGAGGTACAGCAAACAGACCTAATTTTCTGGAAGAAAGATTTTGTCAGATTATAATAAACAATAGATAAATAAATGTCAAACATTTCTATCCTTCAAAAACTTGTGTTTATTTCCTCATTGAATTTCCTTTATTCCTTCCTAAATCATAGTCCCTGAAGTTTGATGTCATGAATTTTAACAATGGTCTTTTAAAACTGGTTACTGTTAAAGCCTGAATCCTCAAGTTTTTTATTACTTGATATAAAATTTATTCATTTTAGTTGTAGAATACACAAATGTCGAGGGACTTTGAAGAAACAGTAATTTGAACCATATATCTCTATTCTTAGTGAAAAATGAAAACGCCCCAATGGAGTTTTATGTGGAGTAAACTAGGTCTGGAAATGGTCTGTATCGAGAGACCTAATGGCCTTTTGATGTCTGATTCTTTGATTTGGCTTTTTCTTTTTTAATGGGGTGTTATGTGATTATAATTAGAAACATTTTAAGTTCTTTACTTGGTAAGTTAATTGTTCCTTAGCTTGCTTTATTATGACGAAATCGTGTAGTTTAGAATGGTGATAGCGTTTGAAACTATTATTAATAGTTTCAAACTATTTTTTACCAGAGGATGTTCCAATTCATCATGCAAGGTTTATCTTACCCATATTGGGTACTCATTCATTTTGCAGGTTGTGGCTATGATGTGACTATATGTTTATTATATATTAAAGATGTTTCATTTTAATAATTTTCTAAATTTACTGGGAATATAATAGTTTGCTTTTCTTGTAACTGGAATCGTTATGTTTTAAGTTGAAAATAATAGCTAAATTACTAGAAGGCAATAACAAGAATTTACATTCTTTTCTGGTAGGCACATTTAAGGTATTCAGTTTTGTATTGATATAATAATTTGTGTGATACTGAGAAAAGTTATCCCTACCATTTAGAAAGAGCCTAAGGCCAGACACAGTGGCCTCACACCTGTCATCTCAGAGCTTTGGGAAGCTGAGATGGGAGGATTGCTTGAGGCCAGGAGTTCAAGACACGCCTGGGCAACATAGTGAGACTCTATCTTTACCAAAAATTTTTTTAATAAAAATAGACCCGCGTAGAGGTGTGGACCTGTAGTCCCAGCTTCTTGGGAGGCTGAGGTGGGAGGATTGCAGGAGTTTGAGGTTATAGTGAACTGATTGCCACTGCACTCCACCCAGGGTGACAGAGTGAGACCTTGTCTCAAAAAGCAAAAAATAAATAAATAAATAAAATTAAAAATAAACAAAATGCCTAAAACCTCTGAATATAATTTTCTTCTTAAAAATAGCTCTCTTAAGTATCAATGGTGGGGGTGGGGAGCAGCTGTTCTCTTTTCTCCTCTCTGCTTGAGCATCTGCAACCATTTTAGATCCAGAGCAGGCAAGGTTTCCAGTTTATTGTAAACATTCCTTTGCTCCAGTGAACATGCTGGCTTAACCCTCCAAGAAGCACAATGTAAAGCTCGAAGAGAAGAGAGCAATGTGTGGTTACCTTGCTTCCAGTTGAGAGGGAAATTTTCATTCTGTGAAGTATTTCTTTGTAGATATGTCTTTAGAGAACTCAGCACTTCTCACAAAAACATACTGCTTTAAATGAGTGTCAGTAGAATATGATGGTCAAGAGGCCTCTACTGACAGAGACATTTTTGACACATTTTCACACAACAGGTTTAATTTGGAACATATTTTTACATTTCTTGGATGCTTTCCTTAGGAATTGAGTTTGCAAAACCCATTTTTTAGCAGTTTATATATTTAGCTTCTTGAGTTTTACTGCAGTCAAAATTTGCATTAGCAATGAAGTGTGAAATAAATGTAACCCTTATGGGGAGTAAAATATGCTAATAAAGGACAATAATACTTCCTTGAGTGTTTTCAAGTTAACAAAATGGTTTTAATATATTTATCCTCCAAAGAATCCTATGTGGCTGTTTGTTATTATCTGCATTTTGAAAGGAAGAAACTGAGGTTCATAGAGATTTCACCGATTGTTCAAGCAATTTGACCAATATTGCAAAGTTGGCACGTGACCGAGCTGGGCCTTGCTCCGGGGCACACCGAGTCCTACTTCATTGCTCTTTTCCTGATAGAATGCCAATGTTTACCTTTATGTCACCAAAGTATTTTCCTTTTGTGCTTTTTAAATGATTGGATCCAAATCATTCAAAGATGGCAACATATACTAGATATGTCATTACTTATTTTCTTTTAGAGATAGGATCTTGCTCTGTCACCCAGGCTGGAGTGTAGTGGCATGATCATAGCCCACTGCAGCCTCAACCTCTGGGCTCAAGTGA
This sequence comes from Homo sapiens, assembly GCF_000001405.40. Classification (NCBI taxonomy): domain Eukaryota; kingdom Metazoa; phylum Chordata; class Mammalia; order Primates; family Hominidae; genus Homo; species Homo sapiens. The sequence continues at coordinate 65,978,169 of NC_000017.11, read as the reverse complement.
TCCTCCTGCCTCAGCCTCCCAGGTGGCTGAGACTACAGGTATGCACCACCATGCCTGGCTAATTATTTTATTTTTTATTTAAAAAAATTTTTTTGAGACAAAGTCTTACTCTTGTCCCCCAGGCTGGAGTGTGATGGCAGTATCTCTGCTCACCACAAACTCCACCTCCCGTGTTCAAGTGATTCTCCTGCCTCAGCCCCCTGAGTAGCTGGGATTACAGGTGCCTGCCACCATGTCTGGCTAGTTTTGGTATTTTTAGTAGAGACAGGGTTTTACCGTGTTGTCCAGGCTGGTCTTGAACTCCTGACTTCAAGTGATTCGCCTGCCTCAGCCTCCCAAAGTGCTGGGATTACAGGTGTGAGCCACCGCACCTGGCCTTTTTATTTTTATTTTTAAAGACAGGGTCTCACGTTGTTGCCCAGGCTGGTCTCAAATTCCTGGCTTCAAGGGATCCTCCCACCTCGGCTTCCCAAAGTGTCGGGATTATAGGCATGAGCCACTGTACTCAGCCACTTATTCCTCACTTAACCCCACATTGGGGAATCTGCCCTGCCCACAGCTCTGACTGCTGCCCACCATGTTCTCTGCCATAGGACCATCTTCCCTTCTCTGCCACATTCATTGGGTCTAGAGTGGACACCTGATCCAAAGGCAGCCGCATCATTTTGTTCTGAGGTACAAAGAGCTTAAGTCACACAGCTGGTGGAGGTGCCAGGATTTGAAATTGTGTGTGTTTGACTTTAAAGCCTCTATTCTTAACCACTGTGCTATACTGCATTGCTCTTCTTCCCTGAAGCTTGGGAATTCGGAACTGGAAAACTGCGAGACTGACTCAATGCAGAAGCTGAAAACCTGGAACGTTTCTATGAGGAAGGTTGACTAGGCAGCCACTACGGGCCATACGCAAGCTAAAGTGTCGAGTAGTTGTGTTGATGCCAAGAGGAAAGCGGGGCAGATGCACAAAGAGAAGCACAGATGCTGTAAGAAACGCAACCATGCATAGCAGAGTCTCGTTTATTCCAGTTCCATCTCAAGAGACACCTTCGCTGAGATCTCATGTCTTTATAATATACAGCTGTTTTTATTTGGTTACCATGAGTTAAAAGGCATTTTAAACATTTGTTTAAAAAGTGGCCGGGCCTGGTGGCTCACTCCTGTAATTCCAGCACTTTGGGAGCCCTAGGCGGGCGGATCACCTGAGGTCGGGAGTTTGAGACAGCCTGGCCAACATGGTGAAACCCTGTTTCTACTAAAAATACAAAAATTAGCTGGGCATGGGGGTGCATGCCTGTAATCCCAGCTACTTGGGAGGCTGAGGCACGAAAATCGCTTGAACCTGGGAGGTGGAGGTTGCAGTGAGCTGAGATTGCACCACTGCACTCCAGCCTGGGCAACAGAGTGAGACTCTCTGTCTCAAAAAAAAAAAAAAAAAAAGAAAAAGTTATAAGTTTACTTTAAAAAATAGATTAAATATGGCCTATATAATGTTATTACAATATGTATTTTTTTAAAAAGATCTTTTTAAGAACAAATACAGGTGAACTTTAATATCTCACCCCTGTCAAAATTATCACAAATTCTTACTAACAAAGTCTGAATTAGTATGCAGATGGCATACTTCTATAGGGTCCTTAGAAATTTTAAGGAAGATTATTCATGAAAATAAAATTAATGACATTGCTGCTTTATTAGGAACAATACATTTCAGGTTTTTTCTGTAGTTATAAACTACTATAAACAACTATAAACTAGTTATTGTAAATTTGTGTAGAACCTAAAAAAAAGGGTAACGTTTTTGATTTGGGAGACAGTCAAGGCCAATAAATAACATGCTCTTCCCCTCTCAAATTTAGAACACATTCAGGAAGATAGAAGAATCCTATAGATGAAGTTGTGGTTTGGGTGTGTGGCCAGGTGAAGGTTGGGAATCCTTTCTCATTAGATTAAATGTGCTCACCAGGTCACAGCTAGAGCCGCCCACTAGAGCCTGTAAAGGCAGGGGAGGGGGACATTCTGACAATAGGCCCTCCCTGGGGAGAGAGGCAGGGGGCTGAACACTGTGTTCACACTTGCTTGTCCGAGTCCATGGTGATTAGTGTGTGTGAAGAAAGGGCAGCAGTTCTCGTTGAAAGCGCTGAAGAGCTTACTTTATAGGTCAAATTAGGGAAGTCGGGAGGATTGCGTAACACATCCAGCACACGTGTACGCATTTAACAAATGGTAACTTCTTGGGATATTCATTTCAGATTCTTTTTGTTTAAAGAAAAAATTACGATAGGTATGGGTTTTTTCTCTCTCCTTCCCTGGAGATAATCACCTTTCTTTTCCACATGTTATGCTTTTGCCATGTCATTTCAAGGCTATGTTTAGTCCCAAATTAGGACTCCTCCTGAGTGTACCTTAAGTAAAACAGAATATTCCAAAAAAGGCTTTCAGTTGCTTTTCCTATTCTATCTTATGCATTTAAAGTTTTAAATTGTTTTAAGAAATGCTAAGTTGTATCACACACATTTTTATATGTAGTGTATTTTTTGTGGTTCAGTTCCAGTATAGTTCATGATTTTCAGTATGATTTCTTATTTGACACTGAGAAATTATCTAAAAGTATGTTTTTGTCCTTTCCAAAGAAATTGCTTTTAGCCCCTTTCAGCAGGTGGAATTAGGAAACAAATGAATATATAGACACATACATATACATCCCTGTGTGTGTATATATTTGTGTATGTTGTTTATATATTTACATATGTGTGTTTTTATATCATACACATATCCCATACTTATACATCTATATTTCTATATCTCTCTAAATATATAGAAAGTATGAACTCACACTAATTCCATTTCTAGTCAAATTCAACAGTTTATTTTATTCTTCTTATATGTTTTATTACCCTCTGACTGTGAGAAACCTGACTTCCATTATATATTTACTTATTTGCTCAAACCTAGAATAGCAGGAAACGGTTTTTCAATTGATAGACCATATCTCTGTGAAGAAAGAAACCTGTAACTAGAGTCTAAGAGTTCTTTTGTGTTCTTTTCGTCTTCAGCCCAAGAGCACATGATCCAAAGATTGTATTCTAAAGTTGATTTGGTTATTTATTCCCCCTTCAGTGTGATTATTAATCATTTGAAATACAAGTATGTTTATTTGTTTCTGTTTGTAGTTCATTTCAGAATTTCCCTCTCCTGTCCTTATTTCATTTTTTTTTTTTTAGTAAATAAAACATTAATATGATTCCAAACGCCAGACCTGGACTATTAGGTATATTCAGAGAGGTGTCACCCTACCTTCATTCCTTCTGTGTTGTCTTTGCCATTCCAAGCCACTTCTGTGGATATATGATCTTACTAGTCTCTAGTTGATCATTTCTGTGTTTGTTCCTGCACAAATAAGCAGATACATGCATATCTCATTGTTTTCTCTTCCTCCTTACACGAAAGGCATGGATACTTTTGTACACATTGCTTTTTTCATTTATTATAACCTGGAAGTCACTCGTTCTTTTTACATCAGTGTAGTATGCCAGTGTGTTTATGCAACCACTGTTCTACATATGGGTATACAGGTTGTTCCCAATATTTGCAGTTGCATGTGATGCTGTCATGAATAACCTAATGGATATGAATTTTTGTATTGTTTGGGATATAGATTCAGGGTAACTTTTTAGGAGTGGGAATACTGGGTCAAAATGACATGTATATAGTATTGTTATGTAGTGGCAAATTTTCCTCCATAAAGGTTACACTGACTTAAGTTTCTCTTGGCTGCAAATAAGGAGGATGCCTTTTGGGCTGGGCACAGTCGCTCACACCTGTAATCCCAGCACTTTGGGAGGCCAAGGCGGGCAGATTGCTTGAGCTCAGGATTTTGAGACCAGCTTGGACAAATGGCAAAACCCTGTCTCTACAAAAAATGCAAAAAAATTAACTGGCGTGGTGGTGTGTGCCTGTAGTCCCAGCCACTTGGGGGGTTGAAGTGGGAGGATTGCTTGAGCTGGGGAGGCTGAGGCTGCAGTGAGTTGTGATCTCACCACTGCACTCCAGCTTGGGTGACAAAGTGAGACCCTGTCTTAAAAAAAAAAAGAAGTAAGAAAACAGCGAAGCCTTTTAGACTCCCAAGTAGAATGTTGTTACAATTTAAACATTTTTGTAAATCTGGTAGGTGAGAAATAATGACACGGTTTTAATTTGCAGTACTCTTGTAAGTGAGATTAAACATTTTATTACATTTAAGGGCCATTTTAACACACTTATTTAGTTAGAATTGTCATACAATAAATTTCACATATTTAAAGTATACAGTTTCATATATTTTGAACTATGTACATACTCATGAAACTACCAATTCAAAAAAGATATACGTGTGAACATATGTATCACCCCAAACGTTCTCTTGTTCTCTCCTGCTCTCATGCCATCCTTCTGGTCTACCCCTTTCCACCTCCCCATATCCAGGCAACCACTGATTTCCTGTCCTTATATTTCAATTTCCAGAATTTTAGATAAATGGAAGCAGACAGTATGTATCGTTTTTCCAGTCCCTCCACATCTTTCCCAAAACTTGATATCATCAGTGTTTTAAATTTTCACCACGCTCACAAGTGTGTAGTAGTATCTTATTGTGGTTTTCACTTGCATTTTCCTAGTGACTAATGATGTTAAAAAGGTTTTCATGTCCTTATTGGCCATATGCCTATCTACCTTGGAAAGTGTTCAAATCTTTAGTCCATTTTTAAATTGGGTTGACTGTTTTCTTATAATTAAGTTTTGAGATTTCATGATATATTCTGCTTACCAGTCTTTTATTAGATAGATGTTTTTGCATATTTTCTCCCAGTCTGTGACTTGCCTGTTCATTCTTTTAATGGTTTCTTTCAAAAAGCAGGTGTTTTTAATTTTGATGAAGTCTACTGTGTTTACAGTATTTGTTCTTTTATAAATTGTGCTGTTGGTGTCATATCTAGGAAATCTTTTTCTAACCCAAGGTCACAAAGGTTTTCTTCTGAAAGTTTTATAGTTTTAGGTTTTACATTAGGACTTTGATCACTTTTTAGTAATTTTGTATATACTGGGAAGAAGTAAGGATTCAAATTTTTTCTCAGGCTGGGAGCAGTGGCTTACGCCTGTAATTCCAAGACTTTCGGAGGCCAAGGCGGGCAGATCACCTGAGGTCAGGAGTTCGAGATCAGCCTGGCCAACATGGTGAAACCCCGTCTCTACTAAAAATACAAAAATTAGCTGGGTGTGGTGGCAGGTGCCTGTAATCCCAGCTACTCGGGAGGCTGAGGCATGAGAATCACTTGAACCAAGGAGGTGGAGGTTGCAGTGAGCTGAGATCACACCACTGTGCTCCAGCCTGGGCAAGAGTGAGACTCCGTCTCAAAAAACAAAAAACAAAACAAAAATTATTTTTTCTCTTCTTTTATGATACTGGTTTCTTGTCCTTTTAACACATATAAAATCTGTAGTGACATAACCACTCTCATTTGTAATATTGATAATTTGTATTGTTTCTTTTTTTCTGACCAGCCTAGCTAGAGGTTTATCAATTTTATTGATCTTCTCAAAGAACCAGCTTTGGGATTCACTGATTTTTGCCTAATGTTCTTCTGTTCCCATTTTATTGATCTCTGTTTTGATTTTTATTATTTCCTTTCTTCTACTTATTTTGTGTTTTACTGTTCTTTAAAGTGAAAGCTAATGCCATTGTTTTGAAACCTGTATATTATTTTCTAATACAAATGTTTAATTCTATAAAGTTTCCTTCAAGTACATTGTTAGCAGCATCTCTCTAATTTTGATATTTGTTTTCAGTTTCATTAATCCAAAATGCTTTCTAATTTCTCATTTTATTTTTTCTTTGGTCCATGGGCTGTGTAGAAAAACATTATTTAGTTTCCAAATATTTGGGGATTTCCCAGATATCTTTCTTTTATTGATTTTTAATTTCACAATGATCACAAAATATGCATTGCATGATGTGAATCCTTTTAAATTTATGGAGACTTGTTTTATGTTCCAGAATAGTCTATGTTGATAATGTTCCATGTACTCTTGAAATGAATGTGTATTCTTCTTTGATTGGGTGGAATAGTCCATAAGTGTCCATTAGGCCTAGCTGCTTGATAGTGTTCTTCAAATCCTAGTTATCCTAGCTCTTTATTCTTGTCTGTCTACTTGTCCTATCAATTATTGATAGAGAGGGATATTGAAATCTCGAAATGTAATTGTGCATGTGTTTATTCACCCCTGCATTTCAATAAGTCTTTGCTTCTTTTATTTTCAGCATTTGTTTCCTGTTGATATGGCTCTTTAAGTACTGTAAATTTACTTTCTTTAGTGTTGGCAAAATTCTTTGCCCTGGAATAGGCTTTGTCTGGTATTAATATCACGACTCCAGCTTTCTTTTGATTAGTGTTGTTAGAGCAATATACCTGCAATATATTTATGCATGCATGTAATATGCATGTAATATACACGCATGTAATATGCATGTAACATACATGCATGTGACATGCATGCAATATAACGCAATATGCATGGGATATACATATAATATGCACACAATATGCATGCATGTAATATACATGCCATATACATACAACACACATGTAACATACATGCAACATACATTTAGGTGATACACATGTAATGTGCATGTGTGATATGTATGACATTCATGTCATACATGCATGATACATGTGTGTGATATGCATGCATGCGGCATCCATGTAACATGCATGCAGCATGCTGCATGGGTGCAATATACATGCTATATACATGCAATGTACATACATGCGATATACATGTGTTCCTGAAATACATATACATGTAATATATTTTTAAGACTTGTAAAACACATGTAACGTGCATATTTGTTATGTGCATGTGCTGTACATGTGTGCAGTACGCATTTGATGTGCATGTTTTGCACGTATGTAATATACATGTGATATACATACGTGCAATGTGATATGCATGTGCTGTACATGTGCTGTACATGTAATGTACATGTATCATGTGCACATGCAATATAAATCTCATACACGCAAGGAACATGCAATGTACCATGTAATATACATGTAAGACATGTGACATGCATGTATGTAATAGACATGTAATACAAGCCTCTTAAAAATTTCCAATAATTATCTTCCAAAATAAGAAGCCCTTTACAAAGTTTTTTAAAATCAGCCTGGCCAACATGTAATAGGTATGTAATATAATATGGGTGCAATAACTGCATACATGCAACATACATGCAATGCACACAGATGTGATATGCATGTAATGCGATGCAGCATGCAGATATACATGACATATGCATGTAATGTGCATGCATGCAATATACATGCGCCATACACATGTGCAATATACATTTTATGCATGCATGTAACATGTAACATACCTGTAATGTGCATGTATTAACACATGCATGTGATAAAGGCACATGTCATGTGTATGCATGTAATATGCATGTGTGTGATATGCGTGTAATATGCATGTATGTAATATACATGCGTGCATGCATGTAATATGCTTCCATTCCATATGCCTGCAATATACAGGTAATATATAAAATGCACGCAATTTGCATGTAAGATGTAGGTAACTTTCATGTAATATTCATGTGTTATACATGTATTTAATATGCATGCATATAATATGCATGTAGTGTGCATGCATGTAATATACATGCATGTGTGCATGCATGTAATATACATGCATGATGTGTGCATGCATGTAATATACATGCATGATGTGTGCATGCATGTAATATATATGCATGATGTGTGCATGTAATATAGGCACATAGTGCACATGCATGTAATATGCATGCAATATGTTTTACATATGAGATACACATGCAGTATGACATCCATGCTACATACATGCATGTAATATGTGTGCAACATGCATGTAATATACATGCATATATGCATGGTATATGCATGCATGACATGCATGCAGCATATATGCATGTAATACAAATGTAATATGCATGTTTGCTATACACATGCAAAATACATAAATGCAATATACATGCGATATGCATGTGCTATGCATACATGTAATATGCAGGTGGCATGCATGTTTGCAATACACATGTGATGTGGCATGCATGCAATATGCATGTGGCGTGCATGTTCGCAATACACATGTGATATGTGTGTAACATGCGTGTGATATGCATGTTATACATACATTTAATATACCTGTGATATGCATGCCTGTAGCGCATGTGATATGCATGTAATATGCATGTGTTAAGCATGCATGTAATTTACACATAATGCACATGTAATTTGCATGCATGCTATATATAGATGATATGCTTGTAATATGTATGCAGGTAATATACATGTGATGCGCATGCATGTAATATGCATCTATGTGATTTACATGTAATAAGCATTCGTGTAGTGTATGCATGCAATACACATTTATGTGATATTCCTGTATGCGTGTAATATGCATACAATACACATGCATGCAATATGCAGTGTTATACATGTCATATATGCTTGCAATATGTGTGCAGTGCATGCGGCACACATGTAATATTCGTGCATGCAATATATGTGTATACTTGTGTGTAATATACATGCACACAATATTCATTTAAGTAACATACATGCAATATACATGCAAGTAATGCAAATACAGTATACCTGTGTGTAATATGCATGCATTACACATGCATGTGATACATGTGTGATGTGTATGCATGTAATGTACATGTAATATGCTTGTATGTGATATGCATGTGGTATGTATTATGCAATGTACATGTAATACGTTAATCTTAAATATTTTTCATAATGATCTTAACAAAATGAGAAGTCCTTTACAATGTTTTCCTAGATCAGCCTGGCCAACATGGCAAAACCCCATGTTTACTAAAAATACAAAAAAAACTAGTCAGGCGTGGTACTGCATGCCTGTAATCCCAGCTACTTGGGAGGCTGAGGCAAGAGAATCACTTGAACCCAGGAGGCAGAGGTTGTAGTTAGCCGAGATCGCACCACTGCACTCTAGCTGGGGTGACAGATCAAGACATTGTCTCAAAAAAAAAAAAAAAAATCCACACACACAAAAAAACAAAAAACTGATATAATGTCTTAATCATTTTTGCAGTTCTAATACTGAGCACAGATCTTGGCATGTGATAGATGTTAAGTAAATGCTAATGAACATTTTAGCTTTCAAATACTCTAGATATTTGATATACAAATATTGCTATGTAAGGATAAATTACGATAAGTACTTATTATAAATTCAGCTAATTAATATGAAATGGTAAGTTAATAAAAAATGTATGTACAGATTTAAAGAAATAATGTTACATGTAGCGAAACTATTTTGGACTTCCAGTCAGATGGGTTGTTTTCATCGCTTGTTCTGGCACTTTTATGTGAACTTGAGCAAATCACTTAACTATTCTAAGTTTCAGTGTTTTCATCTAAAAAATGTAGTAACTTTTCTAATAGAAATAACGTCAAATAATATGTGAACTGCCCTAACTGTGATGAGCAGGGTAGACATTCAAATGTTCACTCTGCTTCATCATTTCCAAAGATTTAAAAATTATGGCTACACTATAAATGTTATATTTTGTAGCAATACAATTCTCTAAAAGTAGTGGGACATATCTATTGCGACTTTTCATTTCATATCACTTAGAAATCATCTATAATGAGCAGAAAAGCTTCTGTCACATGATAAATATTACATTTATATTTGATAAATAGAAAATTTGCCTGCTTGAAATTTGATCTATTTGTGCATAGTGATGAATGTAAGTGAGAATATTTTCCAGTTACTTTGAAATATTGAACTGCCCTGGGACAAGGCATGGATAATGTTTTTGAAGGAAATAAATATTTCAGATTCACATTTCAGCCTTTTTTCTTTATTCCTTTGATCTGGCTTTGGTTTACTTATCATTCTGCTTGAGTGACTTCATACTGTCTTTCTTCCTCTCCTAATAACAAGAAGTGGTCCTCACCTATTCCAGAATATTTAGGTTTTGTCATTTTACAAGAATAACGTAATTTCCTTATTATATACTGATATAATACTACATCTGTAATGAAATACATTAGTGAGTTTGTATGTAAACTCTGCATATATGGTGTACAATTTATAAATGGAAGTTTTAATCATTTGTTAAATATAGGGACATAAACGAAAATAGCATCATATGTGGGATTTATTTTGAAGTTTAAAGAATTTAAAGATTTTAAAGGAATTTTTCTTCACCATAAACCATGACTGCTTTATCTTTAAGGATAATTTTCTCAATATTTTGTTAGTTTACCATAGAAGTATTACTTGCTTTTGTATTTGCTGAGCTAGAGTTTGTTTTATTTATGGACCCATATTACAGGCAGAAGTTAGTTTAGCATAAAATTATTACATAAACTTTAAACTGTTTAAAACTTTCATTAATTTTACTTATATACCTTTATTTCCTATCTTACACATAAATTTGATCCTCTGAGAATTGTTTCTTATATAGCCTCTTACTTCATTGTTACGTTCTTTGTATTCTTTTAGCACTTAAAATTTGTCACAAGATTTAATGTGTACGATATTGCATCATTTTATTTTTCTCCTTATATTTTCATCTTTTCCCTTAGTCAGATTATAGTTTTTGCAAGATAGGAACCATGTTTTACACTTCTTTTATGTTTTCTATAGTATTTGAATGAGCAGATCTTAGAATTTGCTGCCAGCACCCTTGTTTCTGCTCCCAGAACAAAACTAACTTACTGAGAATAAAGGCTACAAAGTTGATGCCAGAACTAGTTCTTTTGAATTATGATTCAAATCCAGTTGGCGTCATAGATTTATAGACGTCCTAGCTGACATCCATATCTTCTTAAGAGGTTTTTGAATTGTTTAAGAAGATTCTTCATTCCTATTTATAACTAACATGCTTCAACCAACAGGCATGGTTTTTTAAGACTGGTGTTTGACCCTGTGGGCAAGCTCTCTGGGTAAGCCTACATTGTTGACAATAAAAGGTCTTTGTCAGAATAGAGTTCTGTAGAACTTCTTTATGCTATTATCGTACCTGTTTCAAGCTTTTCCCTTAGTAGCGAGAGAATAATTTCTGATTTAGTGTTTTGGATCATCATAGTTTCATTGAGCTTATGAGAATAATCCATTCCTTGCCTTTTCCATCTTCTAGACACTGCCCCAGTTCCTTGGCTTGTGGCCCTGCATGCATTGATTATGTTGAATCTGTAGATCAATTTGGGAAGTATTACCATATATTCAATATTAAGACCAATACTAATTTTCATTTTACTGGGCATTTCTTTCTGACTGTTGAAGTATCAAATGTTTAGCTGTCTACAGGGTTTACCATTTTTAAACTAGAATTTAGCAGAGACTACTAGTTTTAGAAGTCAAGTGAAGAAGAGGCCAAAGCAGTTTATTCATCTGTCATGCTTATGAAAGTTGTTATTTTAAATATTTTTGAGTCATTCAATTTAATCAGTTTAAGTAACAACCAGCAGCCATGAATATAGGTGATATTGCCGCTTGTGAGTCTTGTTTTCCAGCCCAGCTGGAAAGGGCATGGGGACTCTTCTAGCTGTTTTTCAGACTTGTTTGAAGTTTCTTGTTTTGTGTTGTTTTTCTTGGAGTTTCCAGGGGAGATGCCAAGCTGGCAGGAAATGAAGTATACTGTAATGTGAAGCCTTATACATACATGTTGGGTTGCAGCCATCTTTATCAAATGTACTGGAACAGAAATGTGCAAAAGGAAGATTTTCAAATTAAGGTTCACCTGTACATATACATGTTAGCTTGTAAAGCTCAAAAATACTAAACTGTCATCCATTAGTTCCCTACATTTTATTGCCCTTTTTGGAATAATCATGTACTTCAGAACATCCTTTAATCTGAGCTGGCTTGTGGTTGTTTAACAATGCAGCTTCTTTTTTCTTTATCCTTTATATACTCAGATGAGGAAAATTTACTGCACTTTATGAATAAATCAGAGCTAAAAAGCAAATTTTCTTTCCACCTTTTTATCTTCATGGAGGCCCAGCTTTAAGGCATTTGAGTGATGCGTTTCTACTTGGCCCCACAACTAGTTCCACTGGGAAAAAAAAAATCTTCAGTCCTTTTTTCCTCCTTCTTTCAGGATGCACTATTGGGATCATGGTAAAAAGGAGCGCTGTTCCTGTGCTAGGAGCAGACCTTTGCCTGTTTCAAAGCTTCAGCATTTTCATTTCTGCTTCATTACCATGTAGAAATTAAAATGGATCTTTCCCTAAAATGATTATCACCTCTTTATTTGAATTGACAGATTTAATTTATATTAAGACAGAGGGGCCAGGTGCAGCGGCTTATGCCTGTAATCCCAGCTCTTTAGGAGACCGGGGTGGATCGCTTGAGTCCAGGAGTTTGAGACCAGCCTGGGCAACTTGACAAAACCCCATTTCTACAAAAAAGAAAAAAATTAGCCAGGGGTGGTGGCTTGCACCTATATTCCCAGCTACCCAGAGGCTGAGGTGGGAGGATCACCTGAGTCCAGGAGTTCAAGGCTGCAGTGAGCCCTGATTGTGCCACTGCACTCCAGCCTGGGCGACAGAGCAATACCCTGTCTCAAAGAAAAAAAAAAAAAAAAAAGGGGGCAGAAGGTTTCTAAATATTAGTGGAGCTCAATGTATTCATTATGGTTTTACTGGACAAGAACATTGAATTACATTGAATGAGGCCACTTTTGATATTTAGTGTTACTATTAGATTAGTTCAGACAGTATGGCGGGACTGGAAACCAGATTTTACATATTTCCCTGTGCTTATAATTGAGTATAAAACAATATTTGCTATTTGTAAATCAGGGTAGAAATGATCAATTGAAAACAATGTGCCTTATTGTGCAAGGTTTTCATATTTTAAAATGGCCTCTAATTATCTGACGGATAGCTAAAGTTTATGACTTTGATTTATGTGGTCATAAATTAGTTATAAAGTAAATGAACTAAGCTTAGTAGGTAAGAATGACATGTTATAGGGAAAAAGATTCATCCTATTAAATGAAAAGTGTTTAAATAGTTCATGTGAATTATTGCACAAATAATATAAAAAACTGACTTTCAACATAGATAGGACAAAGTTGCTATTTCAGCTATAGGTCATATATTTTTATAAAATGTGTTATCTTTCTTTTGGCTATTTAATGTTCCATAATTAAAAAGTAAGTGATATATAAACTTTTAAAGTTTTCAAATCATGTTCAATATACTTTCTTTTGTATTTATATACAAACTGACCAAAGGTAATCCTTTGATAAATGTTAATCTTAATTATAAAATGGTCTTCCCAAGTGCTTTTAGAAGGGCCTCAAAAATTAAAGAGGAACATAAACTAGTCACTATAATCTCTAAACGGTCATTGCACTGCCTAACCCCAGTGCCTTGTAAACAGTGCCACAGCACCCTTTCATCAACCACAGCACCCTTTCCCTCTGAGCTTGCTCTCAGAATCCTTTAAATAGTACATTCCAGGCAGCCCCTTCCAGTCAATTGGGACCACCACACCAGAGAGCATCTATTTGCCAAGCCAGGTCTAGACCATGGTACCCAATAACAATTTATATGACTTTATGTTGTTCCCATGTGCTGTTTTAGTATTTAGATATTTTTATATTCAAACAAATTATTCAATGTTTGTAGCAGGGAAATCCTACATACAACTTAAAGCCTCCTGTTCTTGAACAGAATAATATAGAAAGAGTGAAAATGCACCAGAACAATTTAAAATTCTTTATAGCCATCAGAGTGCTCAGTCTTTCATATAGTGGTGCCCCCAAAATCAGCCTTCAGTATGATATTCAGTTATTAATCACCATTATCTTTGAGCTAATATTCACATTAGGTGGCAAAAAAGCCTCACTAATGTTAGGACCTTAGAACTTAACAGCCAGTTAACATTAAGACCATTTTGCTTTAACAACATGTAAGAAACATGGTGAACAACAAGATACCCAGGTCCCAGTTCATTAAAGTAGACAAGTTGAAGAATAGCTTTTAAAAACTTCCAGAATCCTGTACCCCATTGCTGCAAAATGCAGTTACTGAGAGCCACATGTGGCATGCCTCATGACCTGGAATGGCTTAACTGTCATGCAGGGCATCACACACCTTGGGGCAGTATTAAACTCTGTAGGTCATAAAAATGGTGGCTACATCTGTAAAACAGACACATAAAGGAACAGGGATTTAGTGGAAAAACTGTTTTGTTTATCATGGGATTGCAATGATTATTGTCACCTTCAGGTAGATGGATACATGGGATATGAAAAGATAAATAGACACAAGGTGGTGTTTAAAATGACAAATAAACATGCACGATATGCTCTTTCAGCCTGTCAACAAAAATGTGCCTGTTTGCGGATCCCAAATACAGGGGTGGGGATGGGATATGGGTGCGAGGAGAGAACACACACACACACACACACACACACACACCCCTATCTATATCTATATCTATATCGATATCTATATATCTATATTGTTGATAACCTCATTGTAAAGGGACAAGAGAGTCTTGCTGAAGTAGAAATTAGGTGACACTTTTTTTCTTATCAGTCTTTTGACCACTTAAGCTTTGAAAGAGGTTTTCAATTTGGTGGGGGAGAGGGAGAAAGTTTGGTATTTTGATATATGATATGTACGTTCTTATTGAAAAGCCTAGAAATTTTTGTGTCTTAGAGTGGATTTTAAACTCAGATGAGTAACCTGGAAAAACTCGTATTACTTTTTGCCCAAGTCTTAAAAGATTGCATCATCTTGTTTTAGAAATGTCTTTTCTCCCCTTTATGATATTTCTCTAAAATTTGGTTTGAGTGAGTTAAATTACCCACCCCCGCCCAGCATCCTTCAGTGTTACAGCTAATAGTAAGAACATATTTTTCACTTGTGTAAGCTTTCCCATTTAGGGAAGGTGAGCTAAGTTAATCTTACCTGTGGCATCTGGAAGATCAGGAAAGCAGTGTGGCATAGCAGCCAACAACAGGAACTCTAGAAGCACACTTTCAGGACTG
The DNA here is from genome assembly GCF_000001405.40 of Homo sapiens. Taxonomy (NCBI): domain Eukaryota; kingdom Metazoa; phylum Chordata; class Mammalia; order Primates; family Hominidae; genus Homo; species Homo sapiens. The sequence continues at coordinate 65,963,099 of NC_000017.11, read as the reverse complement.
GAATCCTGGCTTGACCTGTTGTTACTCTAGGTGTGTAACCTTGGAAGTATTCTCTAAGCCCTAGTTTCCTGTTCTGTGTAAGTAAGGATGTAATAACACTCTTATACTGGTTTACTGTGAGAATAAATGAGAGAAGACATAAACTTCTGTATTAGTCCATTTTCACACTGCTGATAAAGACATACTGGAGACTTGGCAATTTTCAAAAGAGGTTTAATGGACTTACAGTTCCACGTGGCTGGGGAGGCCTCACAATCATGGCGGAAGGCAAGGAGGAGCAAGTCACATCTTACATGGATGGCGGCAGGCAAAAAGAGAGCTTGTGCAGGGGAACTCCTCTTGTTAAAACCATCAGATCTCATTAGACTCACTATCATGAGAACAGCATGGGAAAGACCTGCCCCCATGATTCAGTTATCTCCCACTGGGTCCCTCCCACAACACGTGGGAATTATGGGAGCTACAAGATTAGATGTGGGTGGGGACACAGAGCCAAACCATATAAAATTCCATTGCACAATACCCAGCGCCTAGTTAGAATTCAAAGTTAACTATTGTTAAATGGCATGCATTTATAAACTGAAGGCTTTAATTTTTTCTTCTATCAACATGCAAAGATTCCTTTTGTTTTGTTGGACCCTTTCAGCTATATAGTTTCCGCCTAAGGTATGAAGAAATGAGATGGTTATCAGTTCTTTTAGGCAATCTGCTAGAAGGCAGTAAAATAATTTTAGGCCATCATGTTTCTCTGTTGCATTGACTTCACTGCAGATTAACTTCTGGTAGACATACATCTTTCTATTTGTACATTGTTTTAAAAAAAAAACATGAGATATAATTCACATACCATAAAATTCACTCCTTTGAAGTGTATAGTTTGGTGGATATTAGTATATTCACAAGGATGTGCAACCATCACCACTATCTAATTCCAGAACATTTTCATATTTTCCTCATTTCATATCCCTTGGCAATCACTCCCTATTTCCCCAGCCTCTCAGACCCTAGCAACTACTAAGGTACTTTCTGTCTCCATGGATTTACCTATTCTGGAAATTTCATATAAATGGAATCATACAATATGTAACTTTTTGTGACTGGCTTCTTTCACTTAGCTGAATGTTTTTAAGGTTCATCCATGTTGTAGCAGGTATCAGAACTTCATTCCTTTTTAAGAATGACTAATATCCCATTGGATAGCTATTCCACATTTTGTTTATTCATTCATCACTTGATGGAGACACATGGTTTTACTCAGTTTTGTTTTTAGAGAAATCTTTGAAAGCAGTTTTGCCTTCATCAGAATACACAATATATGTTTATACCCTTTTTCTCTTGAGACAAATTAGTTTATTGTCAAATTTCTAAAGGGAAGTTTTGTAGGATTTGGATCAAAAAAATTAAAATCTGGATTTTATTTTAGAGGGGGTTAAATATTGTTCTTTCATTCAGGCCTAGCTCTTTTATATTTTAACTCTGAAGCTTCTCTGAACCTTTCTAGGGAAAAAGAGGAGCAGCTAACTCGTGTGACTGAAGTTCAGAGGTTGCAGGCCCAGCAGGCAGATGCCGCTCTGGAAGAGTTTAAGCGGCAGGTGGAACTGAACTCAGAGAAAGTCTATGCTGAAATGAAAGAGCAGGTAAGGAGGCTGCCACACCATCCCTTTTGAAAGTCACTCTCTCAGTAGGAAGGTACATTCTCATCTTAAATATGACAGAAACATTTCACTTTTTAAAAGAGCTGTATCAAAATTAGCCATACAATCGGGTCAGAGATTCAGAATGAGAAAGAGATGTTACCACTTGATTCATCCTTCAAGCAATGCCAGAATGATCATTTAAAAGTCCCCTGTATAAATGTAGTAATGGCAAGCATGTACCTTGCTTTGGAAGGATAGATAATCCTAAGAGAAAAATCCCATGACTGATCAGTTTCTTTAGAGCAGGGGCTCCAGTTAACCATGTCTGTGTTTCTTCATGTTCTATAAATAGTGTCTTATTGATCAGCTACAGCAAATTATTTTCAACTGGCAGTTGTGAAGAACAAAGGCTGTCTCCAATTCTTATATAAGATGGGTAGTTTTTTTTTTTTTAGTTTTTAAAGAAAATACAAAATTTGTAAAAGAATAAAGGGAATTATTACAAACACCTGGGTACCCATCGCAAAGATGCAATAATTGTTAACGTGGTTTATATAAACTAAAAAATTCAGGTGAAGTTTTAGTTTACTTTGTTTTCATGTCTAATCACATTATTCTTTCTTCCCTGGAGAAATCCATTATAATTAATTGAGTGTATACAGTCAGCCCTCTGTATCCATGTGTTTTTGTATCTGTGGGTTCTGCCTCCACAGATTCAACCAACCATGGATCGAAAATATTTGGAAAAATTTGACAATGCTCCAAAAAGTAAAACTTGAATTTGCCATGTGCAGAGGACTGTGTTGAATCCATGTGATAGAAGTGACATGTAGATGTTGTATTAGGTATTAGAAGTAATCTAGCAATGATAAAGTACACAGGAGGATGTGCCCAGGTTGTATGGAAGTACTAGACCATTTTATATGAGGAACTTGACTGTCTGTGGATTTTGGTATCTGGAGGGGGTTCTGGAACCAATCACCCATGGATACTGGAGATGGCTGCATTATTTCAGTTTATTTTATATGCATACATAATGCCCATAGATAATATGTATGTATATATTATTTATGCATTAATATGTTACAGGCATAAATGTTTTTTTGTTTTTTTAAAAATTATATAAATATGAACAGATTTTAAGTACTATTTCTGTTTGCCCTTTTATATCTAATATTATGTATCTGTGTGCTAACCATGCTGTTTTAGTACAATCTTTTTAACACTAAATTTATTTTATCATATGAATATAGTATATTTTATCAGCTCCCCTACTCAAGCATATTTAGTTTTTTTCAGTTTTTCCTGATTATAAAGAATGTTTCAATACTCACTTATTATTTTACACTATAGTTATCTTCCTTAGGAGTCCCAAGCACACACTGGGTGGGAGAAATGTGCCTAAGGAAGGTTTCATGTTTGAATCTGACTGAGGATTGAGCCCTGTGTTACGGGATCCCTAGGGTGTCACTTTTTTGGCCAGAAACCTCTGTGGCTAGTGGCACCTTTGCCTGAGTTTTGCTAAGGCCCACTGGGCTCATTCCACCCACTCAGCCTGATACGCTGCTCTTGGCTCAGGCTACTGCCTGTATCCAACACCTGCCAAGGGTGAGTTAGGCATGGAGCAGCAAGGGGTATGTGAGCAAGCATGGGGTCTGGCCGCTGTGCAGTCAGGTATGCCACCTGCTGCAGTGGGTGGGCAGCTCCAGGTGCCAGCATGGGTGTCAGCTCTCTGTGAGGCTGTGGCTGGACCAGGTATACTGCAAGCAGCTTCCACAACTGTCACTGGGGAATGTGGTGGCACCTGGAAGCTTGGAGATGCCAGGAACCACAGGAACCCAAGGAGGAGCCAAGAACCACACGAACCCAAAGAGGAAGTCATAGCCCTGGCTCGGGAGCGCCCAGGTCTGGGGCTGTAGCTCTTCTCTCCTTCTCTTTGCCTTCAACAAGGCGAGCAAGGAGCATGTTTCAGCCCTGTTTTTGTTGCAGCTCTTTTAGCCCTGCCATTCGACAGGTCCTGAGTTCTTGTCCTGCGACTAGGAAAAATGAGGTATGCAGACAAGTGGAGGGTAAGCAAGACAAAGAGGAGCTTCATTGAGCAATAGAACAGCTCAGAGACACATAGTGGGTAGCTCCTTTCTGCAGCCAGGGTGTCCCAGTGAGTGTTCAGCTCCTAGCAGAGAGGAGACCCTGGAGTGGTAAACCCGTCTCTGCAGACAGGTAGTCCCATCATCTCTGCAGCTCTCAGCAGAGAGGAGGCCCTAGAGTGGGTTACTCCTCTCTGTAGGCAGGTCCTCCTCTCATCTCCCCAGCTCTCAGTAGAGAGGAGGCCATGGAGTGGGTTGCTCCTATCTGCAGCTGGTGGTCCCGATGTCTCTGCAGCCCTCAGCAGAGAGTAGGCCCTGGGATGAGTTGCTCCTCTCTGCAGCTGGTTGTCCTGACATCTGCAGCTCTTAGGAGAGAGGAGGCCCTGGAGTTGGTAGCTCCCCTCTGCAGCTGGTTGTCCCCACATCTGCTCTTCTCTGGCTGAGCCTGGGGCTTTTATGTGCCTCAGAGGGGAGGAAGTGCACACTGATTGGTCCATGGGTGGCCATGGGGAGGCCCAGAAAAGGCACCACGAGTTCCCACTCCAGTCTGTGGGACTTGCAGCCAGGCCTCCCAGCCTTCAGGCCCTCCCTGGCCTGAAGGTGAGGCCTCACTAGGGACCCATCCCCTTATGAGCAGGAGTCTGTCTGCCCCCTGCTGCTGTTCATGGTGCCCAGGCTGTAGGTGTCAAGGGTTGCCTGCAGGCCAGCATTGAGCTGCCATCAGCACCCACTTGGCTTCCCTCCTATGCTCATTGGCAGCCAAAGTCCAGAGGTGGCTGAGGCAGCAGGGGGCTGGCATGCGACAGCACCCAGGCTCAGCCCTAACTTTGCTCCAACATTGGAGTGGGCACGGACAGCAAGGAGAAACCAGACAGCAGGAGCAAGCACTTCTGAGCCAGCTAGGGCAGCAGGGACCTTCCCCAACCCCCAGGAGTACAGAAATGCCTGGATCCACAGCTATGGTATGGTAGGCTGAAACTGCACCATTCATGTTACATATAATGTAATGCGTGTAATATACATGTATGTAATATGCATGCAGTAAAAAAAAGTGGTGATTCCATTTTATACACAACCAAGGAGTTTTTTGCTTACAAAAACAATAGGAAAGCATGTTCTTATATATAAGAGCTCATATAATATATACCACATTTTTCTGGAAAAAATTTGTATGAATACATGAACCAATCCAGAAATGAAGCATAAGACTTCCCACACATAAGGAAACCATCATATGAAAGGATGAGTAGAGAAACCTGGAACCCCAAAGAAGTAGAAACAAATTTAAATAATTGTTACAAATCTACTTAAGAATAGAATTCTAATATTAATTGATTTTTTGAAAAGGAAGGTATATAAAACAGAAAATACAAATGTATTAACAACTTGAATTTGTATCCCTAGATTACATTAACAAGGATCAAAAGTAGATGAATAGCAAGAGTTGGAGAAGCAAAATATACTAAAACTCTTTGTCATAAATATGTGAGACTCATAAGATTCTTAAAATTAGGGAAATGTAGGTAAAAATAATTTTGTAATGTTTAAATATGAGCATTAATAAAATTAACAAGTTGTACATTCTCATAAAAGTCTTGAAAAGTTAAAAAGCAAAGCTTGAGAGGAGAGGCTGCCAAAGGAACAGAAGCAGAAATACAACAAAATGTCCAAAATAAGATAGAGTATATAATTGTAATAATAAACATTAATAGGTTAAATTTTTCTAGTAAAATGGTATTGATTAGAAGACTGAAATCCATAAATATACTATTTATAAAACTAATAACTAAAATAAAGTTAACACAAAAGTTAGAATAAATGGATGATGAAAATATATCACTTATATTCAGAAAAAAAGGAAAGTAGGATTGTAACACTATCATACAAATTAAATCAATACAAGTCAATAAACTGGACAAAGGGATATATTTTTGCATGCTAAAGGCAAGAGTACTCAATCGAAATATGAAAAGATGTTAGGAACACATGGAGAAATGGACATAGATAGTCATGGGATGTTTTCATATATTTTTCTCCATCTCTGACAGGTCAATGGGTAAAATCCAAATGGGGTGTAACTAACAAATTATATGACAGCTATATTTTGACTTTTTCTTTTTTAGCGTTTTATTTTTTTACGTTTACTTTTGTAGATATATGTTTCCATTTTATTCCAATAAGTACAGTAGTCCCACCTTATCCAAAGTTTCACTTTCCATGGTTTCAGTTACCTTCCATCAACCACAGTCCAAAAATATTAAATGGAAAATTCCAGAAATAAAGAATTCATAAGGTTTACATTGTGCACTGTTCTTAGTAACATGATGAAATCTCATGCCGTCCTGCTCTGTCCTACCCAAGGCATGACTCATCCTTTTATCCAGCATATCCATGCTGTATACCCTACCTGCCCTATACAATGCAGCTATATAGCAAAAACCATAGTGCATATAGGGTTTGTTACTATCCAAAGTTCAGACATCCACTGAGGGTCTTAGAACATATAAGGAGGGACTACTGTACCTAGGAGTGGAATAGCTGATCAAGTTTAACATTTTTATTTTTATGTATATATTTTTAAATTTTTTATTTTTTTATTTCAATAGGTTTTTGGGGCACAGGTGGTGCTTGGTTACATGAATAATTTCTTTAGTGGTGATTACTGAGATTTTGGTGCACCCATCACCCTAGCGGTGTATACTGTATTCAATGTATAGTCTTTTAACCCTCACCTCCCCCACCCAAAGTCTTCCCCCTGAGTCCCCAGAGTTTATTGTATCATTCTTATGTGTTTGTGTCTTCATACCTTAGCTCCCACTTATGAGTAAGAACATACGATGTTTGGTTTTCCATTGATTTAGAATAATGGTCTCCAGTAACATCCAGGTTGATGTGAATGCCATTATTTTGTTCCTTCTTATGACCAAGTAGTATTCCATGGTGTGTGTGTGTGTGTGTGTGTGTGTATGTATGTATGTATATATATCATAATTTCTTTATCCACTCGTTGACTTACGGGCATTTGGGCTGGTTCCATATTTTTGCAATTACAAATTGTGCTGCTATAAACATGCATGTGCAAGTATCTTTTTCATATAATGACTTCTTTTCCTCTGGGTAGACACCTAGAAGTGGGATTGCTGAATCAAATGGTAGATCTACTTTTAGTTCTTTAAGGAATCTCTACAGTGTTTTCCATAGTGGTTGTACTACTTTACATTCCCACCAGTATTTGATATAATTTCGATTTTCTTAAATTTACTGAGACTCGTTTTGTGGCCTGTTATGGTCTATCTTGGGGAATGTTCCATGTCCTTCTGAATAGAATGTATATTCTGCAGTTGTTGGGTAGAATGTTCTGTAAATATCTGTTAAGTCCATTTGTTGTAGGGTATAGTTTAAGTTCATTGTTCTTGTTGACTTTCTGTCTTGATGACCTGTGTAGTGCTGTCAGTGGAGTATTAAACTCCCCCACTATTATTGCATTGCCACCTGTCTCATTTCTTAGGTCTAGTAGTAATTGTTTTATACATTTGGGAGCTCCAGTGTTAGGTGCATTCATATTTAGAATTGTGATATTTTCCTGTTGGACTAGTCCTTTTACCATTATATAATGTCCCTGTTTGTCTTCTTTAACTGCAGTTGCTTTAAAGTTTGTTTTGTCTGATATAAGAATAGCTACTCCTGCTCGCTTTTGGTGTTTATTTACATGGAATATCTTTTTCTACCCCTTTACTGTAAGTTTATGTGAGTCCTTATGTGTTAGGTGAGTCTACTGATGACAGCAGAAATTTGGTTGGTGAATTCTTATCGATTCTGCCATTCTGTATCTTTTAGGTGGTGCATTTAGGCCATTTACATTCAATGTTAGTATTGAGATGTGAGGTATTATTCTATTCATCGTGCCATTTGTTGCCTGAATACCTACTGTTTTTTAATTATGTTATTGTTATATAGGTCCTGTGAGATTTATGCTTTGGTGTATTTAGAGGATTTGTTTGAAGATTTAGAACACCTTTTAGCAGTTCATTTAGTGGTGGCTTTGTATTGGCGAATTCTCTCCGCATTTGTTTTCTGGAAAAGACTATGTCTTTTCTTCATTTATAAAGCTTACTTTCGCTGGATACAAAATTCTTGGCTAATAATTGTTTTGTTTAAGGAAACTAAAAATAAGACCCCACTCCTTGCCAGCTTTTAGGGTTTCTGCCAAGAAGTCTGCTGTTAATTTGATAGGTTTACCTTTCTAGGCTACCTGATACTTTTGGCTCACAGCCCTTAAGATTCTTTCCTTTGTCTTGACTTTAGATAACGTGATGACTATGTGCCTAGGCGATGATCTTTTTGTGATGAATTTCCCATGTGTTCTTTGTGCTTCTTGTATTTGCATGTCTAGGCCTTTAGCAAGGCTGGGGAAGTTTTCCTAAATTATTCCCTCAAATATGTTTTCCAAACTTTTAGCTTTCTCATCTTCCTCAGGAACACCAATTATTCTTAGGTTTGGATGTTTAACTTAGTCCCAAACTTCTAGGAGGCTTTGTTCATTTCTTAAAAATCTTTTTTCTTCATCTTTGATGGATTGGGTTAATTTGAAAGCCTTGTCTTTGAGCTCTGAGGTTCTTTCTTCTGCTTGTTCAATTCTATTACTGAGATTTTCCAGTGCATTTTGCATTTCTCTGAGTGTGTCCTTGATTTCCAGACATTATGATTGTTTTTTATATATGCTGTCTATTTCACTGAAGAACTCTTCTTTTGTATTCTGTATCATGTTTTTGATTTCTTTATGTTGAACCTCACCTTTCTCTGATGCCTCCTTGATTCGCTTAATAATTGACCTTCTGAATTCTTTTTCTGGCAATTCAGAGATTTCATCTTGGCTTGGATCCATTGCTGGTGAGGTGGTATGATCTCTTGGAGGAGTTAAAGAATCTTGTTTTGTCATATTACCAGAATTTTTTTTCTGGTTCCTTCTTATTTGGGTAGACTATGTCAGAGGGAAGATCTGGGGTTTGCTGCTGTTCAGATTCTTTTGTCCTATGGGGTGCTCCCTTGATGTGGTGATTTGGAATGAGGCTCCCCCTTCCCCTAGGAATGAGGCTTCCTAAGAGCGGAGCTATAGTGATTGTTCTTGTTTTTCTGGGTCTAGCCACCCAGTGGAGCTACCAGGCTGTGGGTTGGTACTGGGGAGTGTCTGCAAAGAGTCCTGTGATATGATCTGTCTTTACGTCTTGTAGCCATGGATACCAGGACCTGCTCTGGTGGAAATAGCAGGGGAGTGAAGTGGACTCTGTGAGGGTTCTTGGTTGTGTTTTTGTTTAGTGCGCTGGTTTTGTGTTGTTTGGCCTCCAGCCGGGAGGTGGCACTTCAAGAGTGCGTCAGCTATGGTCCTATAGGGAGGATGCAAACTTGCCCTAGGGACACCGGCTTAAGTATTCAGTTTTCTCAGACAGTGGACAGGGCCATAGAGCTCACAAAAGATTACGATTTTTGTCTTCTGATACCAGGGTAGGCAGAGAAAGACCACTAGGTGGGGGCAGCAATAGGCATGTCTGAGCTCAGCCTCTCCTTGTGTGGGGCTGGCTGTTACTGCTGCGGGGGATGGGAGTGTGGTTCCCAGTCGAGTGGAGTTATATTTCCAGGGGGATTATGGCTGCCTCTAGTGAGCCATACAGGTCACCAGGGAAGTAGGGGAAAGCCAGCAGTCAAGGCCTCACCCTGCTCCCACACAGCCCTCAGTCCTGAAGGCCTGTCTGACTCCCACTGTGTCCTTCCAACAGCACCGAGTCTATTTCCAGGCAACTGGCAATCAGGGTTGAGAACTTGCCCCAGATCACGAGCCTCCCATTGAGAAAGCAAGCAGACTCTCAGTGTTTTGTTGTCTCAGGGAGCCTGCAGCAGTGATGTGATCCAGTTCTTTCAAAGGGTCTGTGGATTCTCTCAGCTTTCCTGCTATGTTCCTGTAGTAGTTCTTGGAGCCAAAGTTCACGATGTGAGTCTCCATACACTTCTCTGGCCATCGGAGAGGAGCTGCAAGCTAGTCCTGCCTCCTGTCTGCCATCTTAATCTGTATTTCAACTTTCTACCATTTGACACTACATATTAAATCTCTGTTCTCATAAAACAGTTAAAAGACTTAGTAGACTGTAAGGGAACCCTCAGTATATTTCTAAAACTTAACATGTCTGAGAACACATATTTCTTACCACAATGCAATTAAACTAGAAATTAAATTTCAGTTAAGATTGCTACATTGGACTTCACCAAAACTAAAAACTTTTGCTCTTTGAAAGACATCATTAAAAAAACAAAAACAAGGCAAACCAGAAAATGGAAGACAAGGCTTACAATACATGTATTTCGAAGAACTTGCATCTAAAATGTAAAAGAAATCTTAGAACTCAATAATAAAAAGACAATCCAATTAAAAACAGGCAAAAGATTTGAACAGGCACTTCACAAAAGAAGATATACAAATGACTAATAACCACATGAAAAGATGCTCAATATCATCATCATTCATCAAGGAAATGCAAATTAAAAACCAAAATGAGATGCTACTACACGTTCATTAGAATGACTAAGATGATAAAGACTGGCTGACAATACCAAGTGCTGACAAAGTTGTGGTGCAATTGAAGCTCTTATACACTGCTGATGGGTACATAAAATAGTATAGCCACATTAGAAAACTGCCAATTTTCTTAAAATGTTAAATACACAATGACCATATATGTCAGTCATTCCATTCCTATGTATTTACCAAAGAGAAATAAAGACATGTCTAGACAAAGACTATTGCACAAATACTGACAGCAGATTTGTTCATAAAAGCTCAAAACTTGGGCAACCAAAATATTCCTCAGAAGGTGAAAGGATAAATGAAATGTGGTATGTACAATGAAATATTACTCAGCAGTGAAAAGGAATGAATTATTGATACAACAGCATGGATGGATCTCAAAATCCTGCTGAATGAAAGAATATGCAAGCAGAAGAGTATATACTGAGTGTTTTTTATTCTCTGAGTCCTGTTAGAATTCCCAGTTCTTTTCAGTGAGAAAGTCTTGTCTCATCTTCTGTGGGTGGATTCCAGCTTCAGTTGTTTCACAGTCTTTGCTGTGCTCCTTTGGATCTGTTTGTACTTATGCCACTTATGGGTAAGTCTGAGACTTGGGTGATGATTTAAATCACCCCACCCAATGACTGCAGGCACTCATGGAACATTCTCCAGGATAGCCATATGCTTGGATACAAGACAAGTCTCAAATTTAAAAGGATGGAAATACAAAGTGTGTTCTTTGACCTCAACAATAATAAATTAGAAGTAAACAACAAAAGAAAATCTGGGAAATCCTCACATATTTGGAAAGTAAATAACCCACTTTTAAATAACTAATGGGTCAAAGAAGGTATTACAAGGGAAATTAGAAAATATTTTAAGCTGAATGGAAACAAAAATATGGCATATCAAGATTTATGGAATGCAGCTAAAAGCAGTGCTTAGAGAAAGACTTATAGCTTTAAACACCTATATCCAAAAATAAAATTCTCAAATCAGTAACCTAAACTTCACCTGATGAAACCAGAAAAAGAAAAGCAAAGCAAGCTTCTAAGCAAGTGGAAGAAAGGGGGGGGCGGGGGAAGATTAGAGCAGAAAGCTAAGATTGAAATACATAAAAATATGGAAAATTAATGAAGCCAAGTACTGGTTCTTTGAAAAGATCAACAAAATTGACAAACTTTAGCATGATTGACAAACCATAAAAACGAGGAGTTAGAAATTGCCAAAGTTAGGAGTCAAAGGATAGGATACCACTATTGATTTTCTAGAAAATGAAAGGATTATAAAGTGATATTACTAAAAACTTTGTATACCAACAATTTGTACAACATAGATAAATGGACAAATTTCTAGAGAGATACAAATGATCAAAACTATCCCAAGAATAGAAAATCTGAATTGAAATATAATAAGAAATTTAATTGCCAATTAAAAATATTCTCACAAAGAAAAGTCTAAGACAAATGGCTTCACTGGCGAATTACATCAACTATTTAAAGAAGAAATAATTTTAATTCTTTGAAAACTCTTTCAGAATATTGAGGAAGAAGGAATACTTCTCAGTTAATTCTGTGAGGCCAGTATTACTCTGATATCAAAGCTGGACAAATATTTCACTAGTAAACTATGGATTGATACCTGTCATGAACATAGTCACAAAAGCCCTTCATGAGATTTTGGAAAACGGAATCTAGCAACATATACAGACAATTATACACCACGACCAAGCGGGATTTGTCGCAGGAATCCAAGATTGTTTTAACATTAGGAAATCAATTAATGTTACATATCATATTAATAGAATAAGGGAAAAAATCACGTGATTGTCTTGATAAAGGCTGAAAAAGCATTTGAAAAATTCAAGCACCATTTATGATTTTAAAAATTCTTGGCAAATTAGGACTCGAAGCAAATTTACTCAACCTAATAAAGGACATCTATGAAAACTCCACAGCTAATAAAATTAATGTTGGAAGATTTAATTCTTTTCCTCCTAAGAACAAGGCAAAGATGTCTGCTTTTGCCACTTTTATTCAACATTGTATTGGAACTTCTAGCCAGTGCATCAAGGCAAAATACTACTACTACTACTACTACTACTACTACTACTACTACTAGTAATGTATCCAGAATGGAAAGAAAGAAGTACAAATGTATCAGATATTATGATCCTGTATAGTGAAAATCCCACAAAATCTATTAAAGATATACTAGAACTAATACATGATTTAAACAAGCTTGCAGGATAAAATATGTAAAAATCACACTTTTATATACTAGCAGTGAAATATTTGAAAATGAAATTAAGAAAGCCATTTAATTCATAATAACGTCGAAAAGAATAAAATATTTACAAGTAAACAAATAAAATAAATTGAAGACTTAAGCATTAAAAACAAAATATTCCTAAGAGAAATGTTAAAAAGATCTAAGTAAGTGGAGAGCTATTCTTTGTTTATGGATTAGAAAGCTCAATTTTGTCAAGATGGTAATTCTCCGATAATTGACCTACAAATTCAATGCAATTTCTTTCAAAATTCCAATGTAATTTTTGGTAGAAATTGACAGTAAGAAATCTTTATTTTCACTAGTAAAGTTTAAAAAAAATTAAAACAGCAATAAGCTATTTTCCACCTAACACATAGATAGAAATTCATGAAGGCCTAAGAAAACAGGTAGTGACATGCATTTCTGCTGGGCATGTAAAGTTGTATAACCTTTTTGAAGGATCATTTTAACACTGTGTCTCCATTTACCTGTTGATTCTACTTCTAAGGCTATTTTTTAAAAAATACAGTGTGTGAGATGTGTGCTGATGGATGTGTATTGTGATGTTATTTATTAATGAGGAAAAATTAGAAAATACATGTCCAAAAATTGGAGAGAATGGAGAAATGATTAATTTTTTTAAGTTAAAAAAAGAATATTGTATTTCTGTGGGAGAATTGAAAGCCCCGGAGATAATATAATCTCAGAAACCTTAAGAACCCTATCCAGACAAAATGAGGATGTTACCAGATAAGGATAGCCAGGAATGAAAGATCCTATTTGTGGAATTGGTTCCAGAACTACCCTTTTAATTGGTCCACTCCTCATATCATCTCTGACTGTTTTGTTGAATGCCTGGCTCATCGTCTGTATTCGATCTTACTTCTTCAATTCTGCCAGACCTACTTGAGTCTCCTTCTTCTTTATCTAAGAGTTCATGTGTTTCTGTCTTCTTGGTATTACATTGCTGTGGACTGGTTAAATGATCCAGCGAAGAACCCAATTTGGCGCATGCCTCTAGGATCCCCTCAAATTCCCCCCACATACCTGATTCCTATGTCCCATCTTTCTGAGCAGCCCTCACCAGGCCTGATCTGTCTGTCTAGTGTGCTAGATTCGGACTCCTCGAAAACTAATAGTAACAGCAACCCATGAACAGGAAATTATTTTGGTTGTCTTCTGTTGAAGAAATATTCTTCACTGGTTTCAATTATATGTAGTTTTGCCAAGTGCAGTTGGGTTTCTGAAATAAAGAAAGCACCTTTGGTGTGAGTGTAGTAACAAGGGACCCCATTTAGAACATAATCCTTATAGCTAGGCTTATTCGCAAATCAAGTAATTCTTACATGGCAAATTTGAACAGATGTTAAAATATTAAAATATATATGTCAAACATGGTAAATTGTGTCTTTGATTACAGATTATCAGTTGATTAAAAAAATGTGAATCTGATATAACTCAAATTCTAAAAGAAATCAATCAGCAGTCATTATTTGGATAATCATAATGTGTTTAGATTTTTCCATAGTCTATATTTTTAAGTCTTCCTTTTCTGTTCTTGTTTTGAACCGCTTTTCTCTTCTTACAGAAATATTTTGTTTAAAAGCCAGCAGAGCTGTAGGGCATCTTTTTCCATTTGGAAACTGCTGCAGATTGCAGACAGTGGGATTTTGAATTAAAAAATAAAAGCTTTGAGTTTGTTTTAGAAAGAGAATTGCTGTTTCAAAAATAAAGCCCATGAGACAAAATGTAACAGACTTAAACTTTTTAAAAAATTGCTGCACACTCTTTCTTTCGCTTTGAAGAACATTTATCTCATTTAATATTGCTTAAATAATCTAATTTATACTGAAATGGTGAAATTTATTATCAGTTTAGCTCTCAGCAACTAACTGTGTAAAATGTACATATTTTAATTGTGAAAATGCATTATCGTTAGAATTATTTCTATGTATGTATATATATATATATAAAATCATATTTTTCAAAGAAACAGCGTTCTATATTTACCTATTCTCTGTGAAACACATAAATGACTGAAAAAGACAGCTATGTTCTCTGAAGTATTGGCAGCAATTCTATTAAAGTAAATCTTTTAAATCTTGTATACCAGCAATATGAACGTCAGCTAACTAGTTCCTCCTGGGGCTTCCGCTAGCCACTTGACTTTCCTAATTTATTTTTCTCCTCTTGAAAATACATCCTTATTAAATGCTATTTGCTGCTAAATATCTGGCTTTAAATTCTACTCCTTTTCTTTTTAACAGTCATTAGATATATGATGCTAACTTTATACCTGGAAAACCCACTGGTTTGTCATGAAAACAAAGTTCTGAAAAGCGCTGGTGTTGACGAGTGAGGTTTATCCTGGTTTGTAGCACAATTGAAACTGGCTAGTCAGTTCCTTGCATTCTTAGAGATTTTTAAGTTTTAGTGTATCATCCTATTATTGTTATTGAATTAATGAAAGGAATTCTCAACTTACAAGGAAGCAAGAACACTATCTGGATATGTTTGTGTCATTATGTGTCATTGGATAAGAAATAGACTTAAAGAACAAAACCAGTCATCATACAAACCATTCATTATGACTTGGACCTTTGTCTCATTGTCCTTTTAGGCTTGTATTAGCTCATGTAATTTTAAATCAGCCTTTTAAGACTACTTTTATGATAATAAGAGACCCAATATAAATAGAAGCATTTTCTCTTGGTTAATTATTGATGATAATGTAGAAATGTCTCTATTAAATATTGTCTTTAAGATTAGGTAGCAGAGATAAAATTTTAGAATACCTTTAAACGTTTAAATAGATGCTATAATGATAATTAATGAATTCTAAATGACAGCTTCCAAAGAATATGTATAAGTATTTGGCTTTGAAAAACAAAAAATAAACAAAACACTTAAAAGAAAACTTGTATCTTTAAGTGCTTAATTGGATAGTAAGTGAAGCTTTTTCCTACTAATATTCATCAGTGACTAATCTCTTTTGCAGAAAGAAAATAAGCAAAATAATCATCTACTGAGAATATCAGGCTAGAAAACATGTCATTATGTCTCCACTTGGCTGATTTGTGAAAATAGTAACATTGTTATTTTTTAATACAGGGACTGTTTTATTGACTTACTGGCCAGTCAAAGGATTCAACAGACGGGATTTTTTCTTTCATTTATTCATAAAAAATTTATGAATACCTGCTCTCTACTAGCTACTGTTGTAGATTCTGGGAATACACAGCTTATTTATAGGCATGTTTGTGGCTTGTGTGATAGACCAATGCATAAAGGTGTATGATTATAATAGAAGGTGTAACTAGTGGAGTTCACAGGTCATTAAGAGAGCACGGAGGAGAGTCATCTAAGGTAGCCCAATGAGTTATGCACATATCTGCATTGTGACATCTTTGTGTGACTATGAGTTTCTTAAAATGTTTGCTTGTTAAAATGTTATTGGTAATGAACTTAGGTCACTAAATATAAATAAATATACAAGTAAATTTTGTATACAAATATACAAATACATTTTACAAATACATTTTATTCGTACCTACCAGCACAAATACAAAATAAAACTTGAAGAAGATGCCATTTATAGTAATATCAAAAAGCATCACTTACCCAAGAATAAATCTAACAAAAGATGCACAAGGTCTCTGTTCTGAAACTAGAAAGTGTTGTTGAGAGAAACTAAAGAAGACCTGAATAAGCTGAGGGATATATCATGTGTATGGATTTGAAGTCTCCATGTTATAAAAATGGCAGTTCTTAAATCTATAGAATCACCATAATTATAAAAATCAAAATCTTAAAAATAAAAAAAATTTTAAAAAATCAAAATCTTAACAGTGCCATTTTAGGGGAACAGAGGGGGACTCTGAAGCTGATTTCAAGATGTACATGAAATGCAAAGTGAAGGCAATCTTGAAGAAGAATGCAATTGGAGAACTTATGTTATCAGATATTGAGGATACTGTTAAACCATGGTAATTAATAGAGTGTGATATTGGCACAAGATGACCAGTGGAACAGAAGAAAGAGACCAAAAACACCCACACCTATATGATCAGTCTGATTCATGTCAAAAGGAGCTAGAGCAGTGCAATGGGGAAAAAAATGACCAATTCAATAAATGGTGCAGTATCAAGTAGATAGTCATATGGGGGGAAAAAGAATCTTGCCCCTTATTTTACCCCATTTATGAAATTAACTCCAAAAGGATTGTAAATATACAAATGAAGGGTAAAACGATTAAATTTTCAAACGAAGATGTAGGAACATTTTTGATAGTTGGGAATAGATAAAGATTTTCTAAATAGGAAACAAAAAGGCATAAAAAACAAAATATTTTAAAATTGGGCTTCATTGAAATTAAGAACTTCTATTCATCAAAAGAGACCAGTACAAAGGTGAAAGGGCACTCCAGGTTGGGGAAGATAATTGAAATTCATGTGTTGAACAAAAGACTCATATCCAGAATAGATAAAGAACTGTGAATCAATAAGGGCTGACTTCAAATGGACAAATGGGTAAAATACTTGAACAGATATTTCACAAAAGTTGATTTCATAGTGGCCAATTAACATATAAAAAGGGGCTTAGGGCTGGGCATGGTGGCTCATGCCTGTAATCCCAACACTTTGGGAGGCCGAGGCAGGCAGATCACCTGAGGTCAGGAGTTTGAGACCAGCCTGGCCAACATGGTGAAACCCCATCTCTACTAAAAATACAAAAATTAGCCGGGTATGATGGCAGGCACCTGTAATCCCAGCTACTCGGGAGGCTGAGGGAGGAGAATCACTTGAACCTGGGAGGCAGAGGTTGCAGTGAGCCGAGATCGCACCATTACACTCCAGCCTGGGGGACAAGAGCGAGACTTCATCTCAAAAAAAATAAATAAAAAGGGGCTTAGTTTCTTTAGTCATCAGGGGAATGCAAAAATAAAACCACAATGCTATACTATTACACATCCAATGGAATGCCTTAAATGAAACAGAAAATAAAAAGTGTTTACAAGAATGGTGGAACAATGAAACTGATGTATACTACTAATATGAATATAAATGGGTACAACCATTTTGGAAAACTATTTGACAATATCTAAGAAAACTAAATATATGCGTGCCTTATTCTCAGCTATTCTGCACCTACATATGTGCCCTACTGAAATATGTATGTACTTGACAAAAAGACATGTACTAGAATATTAATAGCAGCATGATTTATAATAGTAAAAAAACTGGAAAATGCCCAAATCCATCAGAAGTAACATGGATAAGTAAACTGTGGTCTAGTCACACAACGGAGTACTATACAGCAATGTGAATGAAGAGTCTACAAATCTACCTAATAACATGTTTGAATTTCACAGATGTAAAGTTGAACGAAATCAGCCACAAAGATCACAAACAGTTTTTATTATATGAATCCATTTATGTTAGAAACAGAACCAAACAAAATTAGTGAATGCAAGTTATTCTTGGATGGAGAGGTAATGACTTCTGAGATACAATTTATTGACCTGAGTGCTAGTTACATGGAGGTATTCAATTTGAGAAAATCATCCATGTTCCCTTTTCTTTAGATTTATTATATTTCAATAAAATGTTTTTTAGAATGTTAATACTTGTCCAAAAGGAATTTATTATTTTAATATGTAAGAAAGTGTTTTGGCCAGGCGTGGTGACTCATACCTATAATCCCAGAACTTTTGAGGTGAGATGATCACTTGAGCCCAGGAGTCAGTCTGGGAAACAGAAGGAGACCCCCTATCTTGACAAAAAATTAAAAAATTATCTGGACAAAATGGCATGTAACTATGGTACCAGTTACTCCAGAGGTTGAGGTAAGATGATCACTTGAGCCCAGCCATTTGAAGTTATAGTGAGCCATGGTCACTCCACCGCACTGCACTCTAGCCTGAGCGACAGAGCAAGACCCTTTCTCCAAAACACAAAAACAAAAAAAAAATAGAGTTTTAATTTCTTTAACTGTGTTTCCAAAATGTTAGTGATATTCTGCAACAATTATGATGTTCATGAAAATAACTGTAATAATAACCCATTTAACTTTATTGCTTTTCTTTTATTAATAAAGAAATATGATTCTTAAGATATATGAAAGCTGATTATCTAAAAGTAGTAGAATAATGAAGTAAGGGGCAGTGCTTTGAGCAGGGAAGAATAGTTAATTCATTAATGGATTTCTAAAAAATGTAATTTGATTTGATTTTAATTCTGGGATACATGTGTAGGACATGCAGGTGTGACATAGGTAAACATGTGCCATGGGGGTTTACTGCACCTTTCAACCCATCACTTAAGGTATTAAGACCCACATGCATTAGCTATTTATCCTGATGCTCTCCCCTCCCTGTGTCTATGTGTTCTCTTTGTTCAGCTCCTATTTACAAGTGAGAACATGCAGTGTTTGGTTTTCTGTTCCTGTGTTAGTTTGCTGAGGATAATGGCTTCCAGCTCCATCCATGTCCCTGCAAAGACATGATCTCATTGCTTTTTATGGCTGCATAGAACTTCACAATGCAACGACAAGTCTCAAAAGTTAAGTAGACCAGGGAAAATAATTTAGATCTTGCTGAAATAAGACAGGCAGAAAAGATTAGAGATAAAAGAATGAAAATAAATGAACAACACCTCTGAGAACTATCAGATTATGTAAAAAGACCAAACCTATGACTGATTGGTGTACCTGAAAAAGACAGGGAGAATGGAATCAAGTTGGAAAACATACTTCAGGATATCATCCGGGAGAACTTACCCAACACAACAAGATAGGCCAACATTCAAATTCAGGAAATTCAGAGAACCCCAGTAAGATACTCCATGAGAAGATCAACCCCAAGACACATAATCATGAGATTTTCCAAGGTAGAAATGAAGGGAAAAAATGTTAAGGGCAGCCTGAGAGAAAGGCCAGGTCACCTACAAAGAGAAACTCATCAGACTAACAGTAGACCTCTCAGCAGAAACCCTACAAGCCAGAAGAGATTGGCGGCCAATATTCAACATTCTTAAAGAAAAGAATTTCCAACCCAGAATTTCTTATCGGGCAACTAAGCTTCATAAGTGAAGGAGAAATAAAATCCTTTTCAGACAAATAGATATGTTAGGCTTGTTGTTTTGTTTAGGTAAACTTTTATGGTGTTAGTAATGTAGTTAAATGTCTAGAAATATTTCTACATTTCCTACCTCTCCTATTTCATACCTTTCTTCACCCACACTAACATACATATAAGACATGTTGTCTTTCTTATATCAACTGATGATTGTCTTTCACAAATGCACTACAGATATCATCAGTTAACATGGTCATTGATTTTTCTTGTTGAGAACACTAGTTCCAATTTGTTCTTTAGCCAGGCACAGAAATAAATGTTTATCTTTCTGCCATTTATGTCTATCTGCCAGCCTGCCTATCTATTCATATCTATGTATCTATCTAGCTACATATGAAAATATTTGAAGGATTATTTCTTACACCTTAAGCCTATCTATTCATATCTATGTATCTGTCTAGCTACATATGAAAATATTTGAAGAATTATTTCTTACACCTTAAATATGTATTAAATACAACAAAATATATTTTGAATTGTGTACTTATATATAATTGCATAATTGTATAATATGAATTGTATATGTCAAATTACTTAGAGTATAATAACACAATAGTACTTTACTGGAGAAAGAGTAATGATTTATTATGACTGTATCTGATGGAGACTGCCAGATGCTCATCCAATATACATTCCTACTTTATTAGTAATAGAACCTTGATTTTACTTAGGGCAACATGAGACACAGTTTTAAAACTATACTCTTACTTTGTAGATGGAGCTGGACATTTAATGTAGTTCAAGTAAGTTGAGATGCAAATAGGATAATTAATTTGCTATCGGCAGGAACTTGCAGGAAAGCCCCCTAAAAGGGGATTCAACTCACCTGATACTTACCCTTTGCCCTTCAGTCTTTACCCTTCACCCTTTACCCTTCCTTTTCCAGATATGCAAAGCTACAGAAACCATTTTGCAACTGCTAGGAGAAGGCTGAATTGCAGTTGCCCTGACATCTTTGAGCTGCCAATGTAGCAGACTACTTCTGAACTTTTTGTAACATAAGGGAAAAAAAAATAAGCACCTATACTATTTAAACCAGCAGTACCCAACCTTTTTGGTACTAGGTACTAGTTTTCTGGAAGACAGCTTTTCCATGGACCTGAAGGATGGTTTGGGGATGAAACTGTTCCACCTGAGATCATCAGGCATTAGATTCTCTTAAGGAGTGTACAACCTAGATCCCTCGCATGCACAGTTCACAATAGGGTTCACGCTCCTGTGAGAATCTTCCTAATGCCAACACTGATCTGACAGGAGGTGGAGCTTAGGTGGTAATGCTCACTCACCCTGCCACTCACCTCCTGCTGGATGCAGGGTTCCTAACAGGCCAAGGACCAGTACCAGTCCATGGCCCTGGGGGTTGGGGACCCCTTGTTAAAGCTATGGATACGTGGGCTTTCTCTTACGTATACCAACAAGTAATTTTTGAAGCACCATATCAGGAAAATCTAATACACTTCAAGCCAGGTGTGGTGGCTCACACTTGTCTGTAATCCCAGCTACTTGGAAGACTTGAGGCAGAAGAATCGCTTTAACTGGGAGTCAGAGGTTGCAGTGAGTTGAGATTGTGCCACTGTACTCCAGCCTGGGCCACAGAGCAAGACACTGTCTCCAAAAAAAAAACAACAAAACAAAACAAAAAAAAACCTAACACACTTTATTATCTTTGAACACTAAACAGCCACAGAAATGTACTCAAGCCCTTTTCTGTACCTTTTTTGGCCACTAGGTTTTAATCTTAGGTTCTCTTGAAGCCTGAGTTACACAATAAAGACGTTTCCTTTATGTATTTCTTTTTACTTGAAGTTGAATGGAATACAGAATATTGCATGATGAAGCAGAATGTTGTGTATCTATGGCAACTGAGAACGCTGTGTTTTTCTACAAAGTGTTTTGTAAGATGATTTTTGAATTTTTGTTATATTGTGAAAAGAGAATGGAATGGGGTCTGGCATTTTCGGTCAGTATCATCTAAAATAACATGCATTTTGTTTTGTTATAATATCAGTTGTTATTTACTTTGAATTTTTTAAAATCTTTTGATACAAAAGCCTTTTAATGTGTTTTAAATTATTTAGATAGAAGATAATCTATTTTTACCAACTTTGAGTACATAAAATTCTTCTATTTTAAGTACTTAAATGTTTAACATTTTAAATATTTTAATGTTTATTATTTATTTTTAATATTTCAACTTGCCCAAAGTAAAAGAAACAAAAACCAATTTTATATGTAGATTTGTCTTAAAAATGCTGAATATATCAGGCCTACCATCCTTGATTTACCTTCTGTTTAGTTCCTGTGTCACTTTTGCTTACCATTTCATCCTTAAGAGATTTTTTTGACCCCAAATAATTTTAATTTTAATTTTTTATATTTTTAATTGACAAATCATAATTGTATATATTTATGAGATACAATGTGATGTTTTGATACATATATCAAAATGCACACATGCACACAATGTAGATGATTAAAACAAGCTAATTAACATAGCCATAACCTCATTTACTGGTTTTTTGTGGTGACTATTTGAAATATACTCTCTTACCAATTTTGAAATATATATTATTAACTATAGTCGCTATGCTCTGCAGTTGATCACTAGAAAGTATTCTTCTTGTCTAAGTGAAACTTTGTACCCTTTGAACAGTATCTCCCAATTCCCTTTTCCTACTCTCGCCCAGCCTTTCCTAACTACCATTGTACTCTCTACTTCTGAGTTCAACTTTTTTAGATTCTACCTGTAAGTGAGATCATGCCATTTTGTCTTTCTGTGCTTGGCTTATTTAACTTAACACAATGTCCTCCAGGTTTATCCATGTTATCACAAATGACAGAATTTCCTTATTTTTAAAGGCTGAATAGTATTCCAAGATATATACATGCCACATTTTCTTTATCCCTTTATCCTTCAATGGATACATAGGTTGATTCCATATCTTGTCTATTGTGAATAATGCTGCAATGAACATGGGAGTGTATATATCTCTTTGAAATTTTGATTTCAATTCCTTTGATTTATGCTGAGTAGTGGGACTGCTGGATGAAAAAATGGTAGTTCTATTTTTAGTTTTTTGAGGAAATTCTATACATTTTCTGTAGTGGTTATACTAATTTACATCCTCACCAGCAGTGTACAAGGGTTCCCTTTTCTCCACATCCTCAGCAGCACTTGTTCACTTTCATCTTTTTGATAAAAACTGTTCTAACAGTTGTGAAGTGATATCTCATTGTAGTTTGAACTGGCATTTCCCTAATTAGTGATGTTGAGCATTTTGTTCCATCAGCTTGTGGGGCATTTTTATGTCTTATTTTGAGAAATATCTGGTTAGGTCCTTTGCCTGTTTTTTAATCAGTTTATTTTTCTTGCTATTGAGTTATTTGTGTTCTTTATATATTTTGAATATCAATCCCTTATAATATGTATGGTTTGCAGATATTTTCTTTCATTCTGTAGGTTGTTTTTTTACTTTGTTGATTGTTTAGTTTCCTGTGCAGAAACATTTTAGTTTGATGTAATTCCATTTGTCTGTGTTTGCCTTCGTTGCCTGTGCTTTTATTGTCATATCCAAGAAATCTTTGCTAAGACTGATGTCAGGAAGCTTTCTCCCTGTATTTTCTACTAGTTTTAGAGCTTCAACTTTTATATTTAAGTCTTTAATCCATTTTGAGTATATTTTTGTATATGGTGTATGATAAAAACCCAATTTCATTTTTTTCTGTATGTGAATAGCCACTTTTCTCAGTACCATTTATTGAAGAGACCATCCTTTCTCCTATTGTGTGATTTTGGCACCTTTATTGAAATCAATTGTCTATAAATGGATGTTTATTTCTGAACTCTATCCTGTTCCTCTGGCTAATGTATCAGCTCTTGTGCCTATACCATGCTGTTTTGATTAATGTAGTTTTTTATTATATTTTGATGTCAGGTAGTGTGATGCCTCCAGCTTTGTTGTTGTTACTTATTGTTCAAGATTGCTTTGGCTATTTGGAGTCTTCTATGATTCCATACCAATTTTCGGATTGGTTTTTCTATTTCTGTGAGAAATGACATTGGCATTTTGATAGGAATTGCTTGAATCTGTAGATTGCTTTGGGTAGTATGGGCATTTTAACACTATTAATTCTTCTGATCCGAGAACACAGGATATGTTTCTACCCGTGTTTTCCTTAATTTTTTTCATTGGTGTTTTATAGTTTTCAATGTATACATCTTTTGCCTCTTTGAATAAATGAATACTAATTATTTTATTTTTATTGCTATTATAAATGAGATTCTTAAAAATTTCTTTTTTGGGCTGGGAGTGCTAGCTCACATCTATAATCCCAACACTTTGGGAGGCTGAGGCAGGTGAATCATCTGAGGTCAGGAGTTCCAGACCAGCCTGACCAACATGGTCAAACCCCATCTCTACAAAAAATACAACAATTAGTTGGGCATGGTGGCGAGCACCTGTAATCCCAGCTACTCAGGAGGCTGAGGCAGGAGAATTGCTTGAACCTGGGAGGCGGAGGTTGCAGTGAGCCGAGATCTTGCCATTGCACTCCAGCCTGGGCAACAGAGCAAGACTTTGTCTCAAAAAAAAAAATCTTTTTTGAATCGTTTGTTACTATTGTATAGAAACACAGATGATTTTTGAATGTTGATTTTATTCAACTCTGCTGAATTCATTTATCAATTCAGTTTTTGTGTGTGTGTGTGGAATCCTTAGGGTTTTCTGTATATAGTTTATGTCATCAGCATACAGAGACAATTCTACTTCTTCCTTTCCTACTAGGATGCCTTTTTTCCCCATTATCTTGCCAAATTACTCTGGCTAGGACTTCTACTAGTATGTTGAAAATAAGTGTGGACATCCTTGTCTAATTCCAAATCTTAGAAGAAGAGCTTTCAGCTTTTCACCATTGAGTAGGATTTTACCTGTGGGCTTGTCATACATGTTGATTATTATGTTATGGTATTTTTTTTTCTTTCTTTTTTTTTTTTTTTTTTATTGATCATTCTTGGGTGTTTCTCCCAGAGGGGGATTTGGCAGGGTCATAGGACAATAGTGGAGGGAAGGTCAGCAGATAAACAAGTGAACAAAGGTCTCTGGTTTTCCTAGGCAGAGGACCCTGCGGGCTTTCGCAGTGTTTGTGTCCCTGGGTACTTGAGATTAGGGAGTGGTGATGACTCTTAGGGAGCATGCTGCCTTCAAGCATCTGTTTAACAAAGCACATCTTGCCCCGCCCTTAATCCATTTAACCCTGAGTGGACACAGCACATGTTTCAGAGAGCACAGGGTTGGGGGTAAGGTCACAGATCAACAGGATCCCAAGGCAGAATAATTTTTCTTAGTACAGAACAAAATGAAAAGTCTCCCATGTCTACTTCTTTCTACACAGACACGGCAACCATCCGATTTCTCAATCTTTTCCCCACCTTTCCCCCCTTTCTATTCCACAAAACTGCCACTGTCATCATGGCCCGTTCTCAATGAGCCGCTGGGCACACCTCCCAGATGGGGTGGTGGCCGGGCAGAGGGGCTCCTCACTTCCCAGTAGGGGCGGCCGGGCAGAGGCGCCCCTCACCTCCCGGACGGGGCGGCTGGCCGGGCGGGGGGCTGACCCCCCCCACCCCCCTCCCAGACGGGGCGGCTGGCTGGGCTGGGGGGCTGACGCCCCCACCCCCCTCCCAGACTGGGCGGCTGGCCGGGCGGGGGGCTCCTCACTTCCCAGTAGGGGCGGCCGGGCAGAGGCGCCCCTCACCTCCCGGACAGGGCGGCTGGCCGGGCGGGGGGCTGACCCCCCCACCTCCCTCCCGGACGGGGCGGCTGGCCGGGTGGGGGGCTGACCCCCCCCACCTCCCTCCCGGACGGGGCGGCTGGCCGGGCAGAGGGGCTCCTCACTTCTCAGACGGGGCGGTTGCCAGGCAGAGGGTCTCCTCACTTCTCAGACGGGGCGGCCGGGCAGAGACGCTCCTCACCTCCCAGACGGGGCGGTGGGGCAGAGGCGCTCCCCACATCTCAGACGATGGGCAGCCGGGCAGAGACGCTCCTCACTTCCTAGATGGGATGGCGGCCGGGAAGAGGCGCTCCTCACTTCCTAGATGGGATGGCGGCCGGGCAGAGATGCTCCTCACTTTCCAGACTGGGCAGCCAGGCAGAGACGCTCCTCACTTCCCAGACGGGGTGGCGGCCGGGCAGAGGCTGCAATCTCGGCACTTTGGGAGGCCAAGGCAGGCAGCTGGGAGGTAGAGGTTGCAGCGAGCCGAGATCATGCCACTGCACTCCAGCCTGGGCACCATTGAGCACTGAGTGAACGAGACTCTGTCTGCAATCCTGGCACCTCGGGAGGCCGAGGCTGGCGGATCACTCGCGGTGAGGAGCTGGAGACCAGCCCGGCCAACACAGCGAAACCCCATCTCCACCAAAAAAATACGAAAACCAGTCAGGCGTGGTGACGTGCGCCTGCAATCGCAGGCACTCGGCAGGCTGAGGCAGGAGAATCAGGCAGGGAGGTTGCAGTGAGCCGAGACGGTGGCAGTACAGTACAGCTTCGGCTCGGCATCAGAGGGAGACCGTGGAAAGAGAGGGAGAGGGAGACCGTGGGGAGAGGGGGAGGGGGAGGGGGAGAGGTAGACGGAGAGACTTTTTTTCTATACTTAATTTGTTAAGAGTTTTTATTATGAAATGATGTTGAATTTTGGCAAGTGATTTTTCTGCATCTATTGAGATAATCATGTGGTTTTTATTCTTCATTTTATTAATGCGTTGTCTAACATTTATTGATTTGCATATGTTGAAACACTTTTGCATCCCAGGGATAAATTCCTCTTGATCGTGGTTAGCTGATCATTTTAATGTGTTGTTGAATTCTGGGTTTTGTTTTTTTATTGCTAGTATTTTATTGAAGATTTTTGCATCTATGTTCATTAGGGATATTGGCCTGTAATGTTCTTTCCTTGTGTCCTTGTGTGTTTTTGGTATCAGGGTAACATTGGCCTTATGATATGAGTTTGGAAATATTCCCTCTACTTCAGTTTTTTGGGAAGAGTTTGAGCAGGATTGATATTAGTTCTTCTAATGTTTGGTAGAATTCAGCAGTGAGCTGAAGCTTCTCTTTGTTGAGAAGCTTCTCTTTTTCATCATGTCCTGAGCTTCTCTTTGTTGAGAAGTTTCTTGCTAATGATTCAGTCTCCTTAGTCATTGCTGGTCTGTTCAGATGTTCTATTTCTTCATGACTCAGTCGTGGTAGGTTCTATATGTGTAGGAATTCATCTGTTTCCTCAGCTATACAATTTGTTGATGTATAGTGGTTCGTAATTCTCCCTTGTTTTTGTGTTTCTATATTATCGATTTTAAAGTCTGCCCTTTCATTTCTGATATTATTTATTTGAGTCTTCTCTTTTATTCTTAGTCAAGCTAATGTTTAGTAAATTTTATTTTTTTGAAAAACCAACTCGTAGTTTCATTGATCTTTTTTATTGTTTTTCTAGTCTCTATTTCATTTTTTTCTGCTCTGATCTTTATGACTTCCTTCCTTCTCCTAACTTTAGGCTTAGTTCATTTTTCCTTTTTTTTAGTTCTGAGGTATAATATTAGGTTGTTGATTTGAGGTTTGTCTTTCTTTTTTTAAAAAAATGCCATTAATTTCCCTTGTAGGACTCCTTTTGCTATATCCCATAAGTTTTGGCATCCTGTGTCCCGTTTTTGTTTGTCTCAAGTTTTTTTTTAATTTTTCTTTTGATTTTTTTGACTTACTGGTTGTTCAGGATTATGTTATTTTCACATATTTGTGAATTTTCCAAGGTTTCTCCTGTTAATTGATTTTTAATTTCATACCATTGTGATTGAAAAAGACACTTTATATTATTTAAATCCTCTTAAATTTGTTAAGACTTGTTTTGTAGCCTAACATAGTTCTGCAGAATGTTTCATGTTGTACTTGAGACATAAGTGTATTCTCTTGCTGCTGGATGGAATGCTGAGCATAATGTCTTTTAGGTACATTTGCTCTAAAGTGTAGTTTAAGTCTGATGTTTCCTTATTGATGTTCTATGTGGATGATCTGTCTACTGTTGAGAGTGTAGTACTGAAGTTCTCTCCTGTTATTGTATTACAGTCTATCTCTTCCTTCATATCTATGAATATTTGCTTTATATATTTAGGTGCTGTTATATTGGGTATGTATATGTTTGTAATTGTTATATCCGTTTGATGAGTGGAGCCCCTTATCACTATATGATGACCTTCTGTTTCTCATTTTACAGTTTTGACTTAAATTCTATGATATGGTTTGGCTCTGTGTCCCCATCCAAATCTCACCTCAAATTGTAATCCCCATAATCCCCACGTATGAAGTGTGGGACCAGGTAGAGGTAATTGGATCATGGAGGTGGTTTCCCCCATGCAGTTCTCTTGATAGTGGGTGAGTCTCATGAGAGCTGATGGTTTTATAAACATCTGGCATTTCCCTTGCTTGTACTCACTCTGTCCTGTTGCCCTGTGAAGGAGGTGTCTTTCTTCCCCTTTGCCATCTACCATGATTGTAAATTTCCTGAGGCCTCCGCAGCCATGCTGAACTGTGAGTCAATTAAATGTCTTTCCTTCATAAATTGCCCAGTCTCATGTATGTCTTGATAGCAGTGTGAGAATGGACTAATGTACTCTATTTTATCCAATTTAAATATATCTACCCTTGCTCTCTTTTCATTTCTATTTGCATGAAATATCTTTTCTATCCCTTCGCTTTTAGTCTATTTGTGTCCATAAACATGACATGAGTCTCTTGTAGGAAACATGTAGTTGAGTTTTGTTTATTTATCCAGTTACTTTATGTCTTTTGATTGGAGAATTTAGTTCATTTATATTCAAAGTAATTATTGATAGGTAAGGATTCAGTACTTCCATTTTGTAATTTATTTTCTGGTTGTTTTGTAGATTCTTTGTTCTTTTTTTCTTCCTCACTTGCTATCTTTCTTTGCAGTTTGATGATTTTCTGTAGTGATATGCTTTGAATCCTTTCTTTTTATGTTTTGTGCAACTACTATAGGTTTTTACTTTGTGGTTACCATGCAACTTACATAAAACATCTTCTACTTATAACAGGCTACTTCAAGATGATAATAACTTTATTGCATATAAAAACTGTACACTTTTATTCTCCCTTAATTTTATGTTTTTGATTTCACAATTTACAGCTTTTTATAATTTGTATCCTTTAACAATTTTTTTTTTTGAGACAGAGTCTTGGTCTGTCACCCAGGCTGTAGTGCAGTGGTGTAATCTCAGCTCATTGCAACCTCCGCCTCCCAGGTTCAAGCAGTTCTCGTGCCTCAGCCTCCCGAGTAGCGGGGACTACAGGCACACACAACTGTGCCCATGTAACTTTTGTATTTTTAGTAGAGATGGGGTCTTACTATGTTGCCCAGGCTGGTCTTGAACTCCTGAGCTCAAGTGGTCTGCCCACCTCAGCCTCCCAAAGTGCTGGGATTACAGACATGAGTCACCACACCTGGCCTCCCTTAACAGTTTATTGCAGTTATAGTTGCTTTTAAAAGTTTTGTTTTTTAAGCATCATACTAGAGATAAAATTGCTTTACACACCATACTTACAGCACTAAAGTCTTCTGAGTATGACTATGTATTACTTATACCATTGAGTTTTTTACTTTCATATGTTTTATGTTATTAGCATATGAAAGTGACTGTTTCTCAGCTTAAATAACTCCTTTTCATAATTCCTGTAAGGCAAGACTCATGGTGATGACCTCCCTCATTTTCGGGGGAAGATGGAGGTGCGGGAAGATTTTACTTCTCTCTTATTTCTGAAGGATAACTTTGCCAGGTAGAGTATTCTTGATTGACAGCTTTTTTCCTTCAGTACTTTGAGTATATATCTTCCCACTGTCTCCTGGCATGCAGGGTTTCTGCTGAGAAATCTGCTGATAGCCATGTTACAACTCCCTTGTATGTGATATGTATCTTCTGTCTTTTGGTTTTCAGAATTCTTTCTTTGTTTTTGATTTTTGATAATTGATTATGATGTGTCTTCGTGAACTGTCTTTGGGTTGAATTCGATTGTAACCTCTGAATCTTCTGTCCCTGGATATTGACATGTTTTTCTAGATTTGGGAAGCTTTCAGCCATTATTTTCTTAAATATGCTTTTTTGGGGGGCATTTCTCTCTCTCTTCTCCTTTGGATCTCCTATTATGTGAAAGTTAGGTCTCTTGATGGTGTCCCATAATTTTCATAAGCCTTCTTTATTCTTTTTACTTTTTGCTCCTGTGACTCAATAATTTTAAATGTCCTGTCTTTGAACTCACTGATTCTTTCTTCTATTTGTTTGAGTCTGATGTTCAAGCTTTTAATAAAATTTTTCAGTTTAGTTATTGTATTCTTTATCTCTAGGATTTCTATTTTTAAAAATAATTTCCGTTCCTTTGTCAAACTAATTCTTTTGTCTGCATATTGTTTTCCAAGTTTTATTTACTTTTCTATCCATATTTTCTTATAATTCTATTGATACGGTGTAGATCTGTGTCCCAAACCAAATTTCATTTCAGATTGTAATTCCCAGTTTTGGAGTCTGGGCCTGGCGGGAGGTGATTGAATCATGGGGGCGGGTTCTCCTGAATGATTTAGCATCATCCCCTTGGTGCTGTTCTCGTGGAAGTGAGGGTGTTCTCATGAGATCCGGTTGTTAAACGTGTGTGGCACCTTCGCCCTCACTCTCTCTTGCTCCTACTCTAGCCATGTGATGCACCTGTTCCCCCTTTGCCTTCTGCCATGATTGTAAGTTTCCTGAGGCCCCTCTAGAAGCTGAACAGACGGTAGCATCATGCTTCCTGTACAGCCTGTTGAACTGTGAGCCAATTAAACCTCTTTTCCTTTATAAATTCCACTCTCAGGGCTTTATAGCAATGCAAGAACAAACTAATACATCCGTGATCTTCTTAGAAGGAATATTCTGAATTGTCAGTCATTTTATAGATCCTCATATTTTTAGGGTTCATTGTTGGAGCTTTCTCTCTTAGTTTCTTTTTGTGGCGTATATTTCCTTGATTTTTTTTGTAATCTTTGTGTACTTACCTTCATGTCTGTACGTTTGATGAATTGGCTTCCTCTTTTGGCCTTTGTAGATGTCCTTTGGTGGGGATGGACACTTTCAATATTTAGTCTAGCCTAAGATTCTGGATGGACCAGCTGATAGTGACCATGAGCAAGCAGATTTTGCTATTGGGTTCTTTAGTTACGAGGGGCTGCTGCCTGTTATATGAAGTCAGGTGTGGCTCCTGGTTGTGCTTCACAGTCCAGTGAGACCATTGGCTAGGCTGCATAATCAAGCACAGCTGCTGGCTGGGCTCTGTGATAACCTCTGATTAGGCAGGGTTGCAGGCTGGGTTCCCTGGCATGGTGGTACTCATGTTTGAAATCTGTAGTTGGACAGGGCTGAAGGTCAGACTCCAATGCTGTCAAGGTCTCTGGGGTTGCTGCTCAGCCAGCCACTCAGATGGGCAAAGCTAGATGCTATGCCCACAATTATGTGTAGTTTTGGGCTTGGCTCCCTGCCTGCACCTCAGGCTGGGCTCCAACACTAGACAGGGGCAATCACTGCTAAGATTGTATTGGACTACATGCTCTGCTCTGCAGATATGCAGGGATCTGGGCTTGCCTCTGAGCCTGGGGAAGTATGCCAAGCTCTGAGGCTGGGTGGCAAATCTGGCTAGGGACTTGAGCTTGGCAGATCTGTCAACTGTGCTTCCTGCTCAGTGATGCTATTTGTTGTTCTCTCTGGTTGGGTGCCTCCACTGGCCAGAATGCAGAGGTTGCTGTGAGCTCCATTTTCCCTTCATTGTTTATAGCTGATCTCAGATGTTCTAGCCCTGCTAATACTCCCAATGTTCCTTTTAAGGCGAGGCAGAAGTGGGCCTCCTGCCAAACATCTTGGAATGCTGGGAAAGCTGGATGTTCACCTCTTTCCCACTGTAGAAACCATGGGCCCAGGGGAATCCTCTCTGTGTGGCACTATGGTGGTTTGTGGGAGAGATGATACAGTCAACGTGAAACCATTTCTATTATTTTTGTAATGTGACTTTTGTTAGTTCTGTAATCCAAGAGCATGTGTCAGCCTCACTCCTATGTTCTGGAATATTCACGAAGGTTTTCTTGTCTGTGAATTGTTGCTAGTTGGATTTCTATGAGATAGACTGGAGCTGTGGAACTTTTATTCTACCATCTTGCTGATGTCCCTCCTCCTCATCCTTAAGAATTTAATACATCTTTACTTCGCATACCATGGCAGCTATTTAATAAATATACAAAAGAAAGACTTGCCATAGTTCTTTTATTTGTGGGCTCATTATCTGCATTACTAAACAAAGCTTACATATTTGAAACATTTCCATTTTATAGAGAAATACACAATGTGCTAGAAGAATAAAGATGTTAAGTCCTAGAGCATAGAGAGAAGGAAGGCATTTATTCAGTTAGTGGGATTAAAGAACACCTTAGAGAAGAAGGAAAACCTGAGTCAACTTTGAAAAGACTGACTGGATGAAAAAAAAAAATGAAAAGACCTACTGATAGTATGATGGGCAAAAGGCCCTAGAGTCAAGAACAGCCATGGCTTGCTTGGAAAATATCAAGGGTACTGGAGTCTGGATTGCCGAGGACAGATTAAGGAGAATCTCACTTGAGGTCCAATATGAAAAGCACTGAAAGAAAGAGAGTCTTGAAACCAAAGTCTTGAGTTAGAAACAAAAAACCAAAGTGTGCTTGACTGTGCTTCCTTTAATCATTCCTTAAATTTATTCTTGACCACAATACTAATTATCTATGAATCAGTAATCTTAGAACTCTAATTGAATTTTACACTGATGACTTAATATTTTTGGGATTGCAATCCTTGGTATTTACAAAGAAATACTTGGGTGCTAAATAGCATGCTATAATCTAGAGGGCATTCAAACTTCAATGTAAGAACCAGAAACTGGAATGTGGTGTTAGACACAGTAGTGGGTGGTAATATGCATTTTGTTCTCATGCAGTGAAACTCGTTGCCTTTCACTGAACATCTTTGTTCCTAGAACCTTAAAGTCTAATCATGTCTGAATAAATGCATTGAAATGTTTTTTTCAAATATATTGTGAAAAACTGTGAAAGAAGCATTTTTCATAGTTCATTTCCTCCAATATTCGTGTCTTAACTAATCTTAGTGCTTACCAAAAGGTAACCTGAAAGAAGGCATTGTGTACAAGCTGAACAAAGTACAAGTAGTTCCATATACCAGTGAAGCAGAATAATAAGTAATATAAAGTAGCCAGTGGTAGAATGGTTGCCACGTTAGCTGGTAATTGCCTCAGACAAAAAATATTGTCTTAAGTTATACCCAAATGTGCAGGGGTTTAAAGACAAGTAAAATACTGCATTGCTTTGAATAAAAGGCACCATTTTCATGTTGTTGACATGGAGAGCTTTTTCATGACTGTAAGAACATCTCTTTCTCATTGCATCTGATCATAACATGGACAAAGTGATAGAAAAAGTTAGATCCAACATGCTTTTATTTATTTTGTGTGTGTTTTAAAGAATTTGGAACTAAACGTTGGAAATTGTAAATTCAGCAAGTCTTGAACCAAGTTGGGTACACTGTGCAATCTTTGTTTTCATTTGATTAGTATTTATTGATTCCCTGTATGTGCCAGGCACTGTGATAAATCGTTGATACTATTTCACTGACGACAGTGAACATGGGGTGACATTACACTGCAGGAGAGACATTACAAACAGCCCTAATGAAGATGTAGATTATATAGTGAATCTGAAGGTGATATATCCTGTGGAACAAAAGGGTAGCTAAGCAGGGATAGGGGGACTAGGTGGACTTAGTGGCTGGGGAATTGCAATGTACAATTTAAAATTGAGTGGTCTAGAAGGTCTCAGTACAAAGGTGATGCTAAACAAAGCCTCAATACTTTGAGAAAGAAACTGTGTGAATATCAGGCAGAACCTCCTGCCCACAAGGTGAGAGCACTTCTGACACATTATAGGCCTGGGCAGCAGGTAGGTGGACTGTGGTGGTGGTAGTGGGATAGAGCAGTAGAGATGAGCTGTGAGAGGTCACTGGGATTGGATTATGTGAGGCCTCATGGGTGTGGTGGAATCTTTGACTTTTCCTTTTTCCGCTTTCTTTTTTAATAACAGCTTTGTTGAGATAAAATTCACATACCAACAATTCACTCGTATGTGTACAATTCAGTGGTTTTAAAAAATGTATTCAGGATGTTATGCAAACATCATCACAATCAATTTTAGAAAATGTTCATCTTCCCCCAAAGAAACACCATACCCTTTAACAGTTACCGTCCCAGATCACCATCTCACCCTAGGCAACCACTAATCTGTTTTCTGTTTCTATGGATTTGCCTATTCTGGAAATTTAATATAAATGGAATCCTACAGTATGTGGTCTGTTGTGACACTTAGCTTAATGCTGTCAAGGCTCATCCATGTTATAACATGTGTTAGTTTTTTTTCTATTTATAATTAATTTTTGTTTTGAGACAGGATCTTACTCTTTTTCCCAGGCTGGAATGCAGTGGTGCAGTCATGGCTCACTGCAGCTACAACCTCTGGGGCTTAAGCGATCCTGCTGCCTTAGCCTCTCGAATAGCTGAGACTGTAGGCCCATGCCACCACGCTCGGCTAATTTTTTTTCTTTTTTGTAGAGACACAGTCTCACTATGTTGCCTACACTGGTCTCCGACTCCTGGGCTCAAGCGATCCTCCTGCCTCAGCCTCCCAGAGTACATGTATTAATACTTCTTTCCTTTTTATGATTGAATAATATTCTACTGTAAGAATATACCACGTTTTGTTTATTCATTTATCAACTGATGGATATTTGGGTGGTTTCCTCTTTTTGGATGTTATGAATAATGCTACTATAAACATTTGTAGACAAAGTTTTTTGTGGATGTATGTTCTCATTTCTTACCTTGGAGTGGAACTACTGGGACACATGTAACTCTATTTAATGTTTTGAGGAATTGTCAGACAGACTGTATTCCAGCATGTCTATACCATTTTATATTCCCAGCAGCAGTGTTGAAGGTTCTGACTTCTCTACGTCTTTACCAATACTTGTTACTATTTGTCCTTTTTTATTATTGCTATTCTTTGGGGCATGAAGTGATATGTCATTCTTGTTTTAATTTGTAGTTGCTTAAAGACAGTGATGTTGAGCATCTTTTCAAATGCTTTTTGGCCTTTTGTATATCTTTTTGGAGAAATATCTATTCAGGCTCTTTGCCCACTTTAAAATTGAGTTTAATTATCCATTTATTATTGGGCTATAAGAGTTCTTTATATATTCAAGATATGTCTCTTATTAGAGATATGATTTGGAAATATTTTATCTCATTCAGCACATACCAAGGGCTTAATTAAATTTTGTTCAATAAATATTAGAATGCCTTAAATTATATTTTCACTGCATTATTGTTGTAATTTTAGAATTTAGTCAATTATATACCAATTTTAATTTCCCTCCTTAAATAATTAAAATATATTAAAATGAATTGATAAATGTCTCATTATTTTAATACATTTAAATTCATCATTATTATTGGTGAGGTGCTTAAAATCTGTCATTTAAACAAATGGACAAATTACAAAAACATGGAACACAATTGTTTGTTTAAAAAATTAATATTTGATTTTTAAATTTTATAGATGGAAAAAGTGGAGGCAGATCTAACTAGATCCAAATCTCTTCGTGAGAAACAATCAAAGGAGTTTTTATGGCAACTGGAGGACATCAGACAGCGGTATGAACAACAGGTTGGTCTTTCATTTTGATGCTGCCATTAAATTTTTAAAATACATATATGATTTATCTTTTAAAAATCACTATCACAAAATATCTGCATAATGAAAATATTACTAAGAGCTGTTGTTACCAATATATTTAAAATAATGTTTGTTTCAATAAAATCTATAAACAGAATTTTAACACTCCACTGAAGTTTATTCTGACTGTTTGTTTTATCTGAATGTTTGATTGAAACATCGATTATAATTGATGAGACTGGGTAGTTTATAAGAAAAGAGATTTGATTGGCTCACAGTTCTGCAGGTTGTGCAGAAAGCATAGTGGCCTCTGTTTCTGGAGAGGCCTCAAGAAGCTCCCAATCATGGCAGAAGGAAGCAGAAGCAGGCACCTTACATGGCAAAAGCAGGAACCAGCAAGTGAACCAGTGAGAGAGAGAGAGAGAGAAGCGAGGAGGTGCCGTACACTTTTAAATGACCAGGTCACTCAAACTCAGAGTGAGAGCTCACTTATCACCAAGGGGATGGCCCAAGCCATTCATGACGGATCCGCCCCCATGATCCAAACACCTCCCACAAGGCCGCACCTCCAACACTGGGGATTACATTTCAACATGAGATTTGGGTGGGAACAAGTATCCTAACAATATCAGTCATTCTTCTATCCTGTCAGAGCACTAGTTAAACCTCCATTTATTTGAGAAATAGGGTTGAGTACTTACTATGTGCCAGGTGCTGTCCCTGGCATGAGGGAGAACAGCAACAGAGAGAACATGCCTCCTCTCTCATGGAGCTTGCTTTTCGATGAGTCATCAGTCTACAAATTAAAAAGTGAAATAATTTTGAAGAGTGAGTTATTATTATTATTATTATTATTATTTGAGAAGGAGTCTCACTCTCTCACCCAGGCTGGAGTGCAATGGCGCCATCTTGGTTCACTGCAACCGCCACCTCTCGGGTTCAAGCGATTCTTCTGCCTCAGCCTCCCAAGTAGCTGGGATTACAGGCACACGCCACCACGTCCGGCTAAATTTTGTAATTTTAGTAGAGACAGGGTTTCACCATGTTGGCCAGGCTGGTTTTGAACTCCTGATTTCAGGTGATCTGCCCACCTCAGCCTCCCAAAATGCTGTGATTACAGGTGTGAGCCACCACACCCGGCCTGAAGAGTGACTTATGAAGAAGAAAAGATGGTACCTTTATAGCCTTTGCCAGGTGGAGGGTGGGAAGGAGATTATAGCCTTGAATAACTGATCAGGGTTTCCCTGACATTTGTGCTGAGTTCTAAAAACTAGGAAGGAGCCAGCCATGAGCTCTGGAGGAATAGTATTCCAGTCTGAGGGAACTGCACGTTCAAAAATCCTGAGAAGAGAGCAAGCTGGAAGTGTTCAAGGAAAATAAATGATGATGAAGACCAGGTTAGCCAGAGTATGGGGAGAAAGGTTCCTGCTGTAGGAGATGAAGGGAAAGAGGGAGGTTAGGACCGGTTTGTGTAAGGAGTTGAGATTTTGTCGTCAGTGCTCTGCCTCTTACTTAGTAATACAAAGTTTTATTTTCTTCTTTTAAAAATATATTTCTGCTTATTCCCAGAATACTTAAGATTACCATTAATTTTTAGCTTGGTTTTGCTTTGGTAAACATGATCCTAAACCTCAGTGGCTTAGAACAAAAAAGGCTTATTTCATACTTATGTCACGTGTCCTTTGAGGATTGACTGCAGCTCTGACCCATGTCATGTCATCTTGAGTCGTTTTTAGAATGAACTATCTGGAACATTGCTATGGGAAATGGAAAAGGAAATATTTTGAGCATTTGCTGTCTTCTAAAATTGACTCAGAAGTAAGTTTACTCACATTTTATTGGCCAAAGCAAACATGGCCTCCCTGGTGTAATCCTCCGCCTGGAAGGAGTATCACAGAGAAGACCATCAAATGGGGTTAGCGTAAAACAATTTACCATGCTGACTACGATTGCAAACTTAGAAAATGTAAAAACGTAGAAAATGCTGGAACTGGATTTTAAAGGCACATTCTTCATCAAGCAGCACAGGCGTTATGATGCTGGACCAGTAGAAAAGGAAATGTAGTCTTAGCAGACAAAATATTCATCAGTGAACAGTATATACATAGACATAATAATTAGATGACATTTATTGTTTTCAGCTTTAAAAACTAGCTTAGGGTTACAGAACAGGACATAGATGTTACCAACTGTATTAGTCTGTTCTCACGCTGCTAATAAAGACATACCCAAGACTGGGTAATTTATAAAGGAAAGAGGTTTAATGGACTCACAGTTCCACATGGCTGAGGGGGCCTCACAATCATGGCAGAAGGAGAAGCAAAATCACCTTTTATGTGGTGGCAGGCAAGAGAGCTTGTGCAGGGGAACTCCCATTTATAAAACCGTCGGATCTTGTGAGACTTATTTACTACCATGAGTATAGTACGGGGGGAAGCTGCCCCCATGATTTAATTATCTCCACCTGGTCCCGCCCTTCACACGTGGGGATTATTACAATTCAAGGTGAGATTTGGGTGGGGACACAGCCAAACCATATCACCAGCCTTGCTATTGTAACAGTAAAGGTTAAGACGGTGTAGGTATGGAAGTGGAAGAAAGGGATGGAGGGGCTGGGAGGGGAAGGGTGAGAGTACTGAGGTATTATCATGAAGTGTGGATTTGAGCAGCTGCCCGTATCATGAAACAAAACACAGAGGCTTTAGTATATTCCTAATTACAGGGTTGACCACTGGAGGAAGTGAGAGGAGTGGAGTAACTAGTAAAATGGTGACAGGAGTGGGAGAGAGCAGCAAGGGAGTGTAAATGAGCTAAATCCCCAT
Organism: Homo sapiens; assembly: GCF_000001405.40. NCBI lineage: Eukaryota > Metazoa > Chordata > Mammalia > Primates > Hominidae > Homo > Homo sapiens. The sequence continues at coordinate 65,924,750 of NC_000017.11, read as the reverse complement.
TTGTCCTAGTAGAAGGCCTATAAGGAATGTCTAGCTTTGGTAAATTAAGAAAGAGCTATGTAGCATATTTTGTAGAGGTAGGGAAGTAATCACCACAGAAAGGAGCACAGACATGTTTTAAAAGAGTTGCCACCAGTACAGGAGTGGGATGGGGCAAGGACCTGTTACTTTTTATTAGAAGATGATCTTTACCATTTTATTTTTAAAAATCATGTGTGCATGTATGCAGACACATATGCACATGTGAATATGTACACTCTATATATACATATTCATATGTAGGATATATATGTTCTATTGTTCCAAAAAAACTAATTCATATAGATTTTAATCCCAAAATTTTATTTCTTAGAACCTATCCTATAGAAATACTTATACATGTGCAAAAAAATGCATGTTCACATATGTTTCGGGAGGATTATTTGTAATACTGAAAAAAGTTATGAATAAAATGAATGATTAAATAAATTATGCTGGCCGGGCACGGTGGCTCATGCCTGTAATCCCAGCACTTTGGGAGGCCGAGGCAGGCGGATCACGAGGTTAGGAGATCGAGACCATCCTGGCTAACATGGCGAAACCCCGTCTCTACTAAAAATGCAAAAAATTAGCCGGGCATGGTGGTGGGCGCCTGTGGTCCCAGCTACTCGAGAGGCTGAGGCAGGAGAATGGTGTGAACCTGGGAGGTGGAGTCTGCAGTGAGCCAAAATCGCACCACTGCACTCCAGCCTGGGTGACAGAGCGAGACTCTGTCTCAAAAATAAATAAATAAATAATGCTAAATACCTACTGTGGAATACTATATACTTATTAAAAAGATTAATATAAATCTGAAGGTGCCAACATATGCAGATTTCTAAGACATATTGGTGAGGGGAATAAAGCGCTTTTTAGAACACTTTGTATATTATGATCCCATTGAAGTAAAATTAAAACATATGTGTCTCAAAGTTAGATATGTAAATTCAGTGAAAAAATTCTGTAAGATTATACATGACTATGGAATTGGCCTGGTATTATGGGTTAGGGTTATGATGAACTGAGACTTTCATTGTATGCTCTAAATAAAACTTTTTTACTTCAAATTTCATAATGATCATATGTTATGCATTACTTGGATAAGTAAAACATTAAAATTATGAATGCTAAGAAACATTAAAATGGAATAATATTTTGGAGCATTTATATTATATATATTTTTTCTTAGAGATGGGGTCTTGCTCTGTCTCCCAGGCAGGAGTGCAGTGGCATGATCATGGCTCACTGCAACCTTGAACTCCAGGGCTTGAGCAGTCCTCCTGCCTTAGCCTCCCAAAGTGCTGGGATTACAGGCTTGAGCCACCGTGCCTGGTCTATATTATATTCTGTAACATTTTAAGTGGGTAATAAATTTGGATTAATGAAATAGAAAATAAATTCAGACAATTTATATGCAATGTAAAAAATGACCAACAAATGAAAAGCCTAAAAGAGAAGAAAAGGTAGACGATAGAGCTGACAGATCATTTTCAACAGTGCCAAAGTATGGATAACTTCAGACTTTCTAACTGCAAAAGCCGGTGCAATGGAGTTATTCTATCAGATTCTTTTTTTTAAAAAAATGGTTTTATATAAAAATGAAGTAGTTAATTTCCGATTAATATGGGATGGCAACTGAAAGTCGTTCTGACACATGCTAAATTAAAAATAGGTATTTCCCCTGAAATACACTGTTATCTGAAGTGCCATGGAGGATGTTTTCCACAACTTTAGTGATGGGGGAAGTTGCTTGGAAACTGGTTTCAGAAACTAGGTTTAGAAAACTAGATGAAGAATTGGAGGCTGGAATTGGGGAGGAAGGGGTGGTAAGAGGGAAACAGAGGTAATAATCAAATGTAAATAAAAATATTAAGGAAGGGCAATGAATGTTACTTTTTATTATGCTATAGTTACAAAGTATAATTGAGGTAATTTTGTATTAAAAACAATATTAGAAGCACTAAGAAAAATAAGAAAAATGTCAGTTCCTCTAAGTAAACTGAGGAAGGAACAGGGGAGAAGGGAAAACCAAATTTAAAGCTCTTTATGTAACACAAATGCTAGTCAGAGGTTATGATACTACAGGATGAGTGTAAGATGTTGCAGAGTTCTCTGTGGGAGTTTTAAAATTATATTCTCATTTTGATGATAATCACATGGGTCACAAATTTATAACCAAGTGTGGCCAAATGATGTCAGCACCTGATCTGCATTTATTTTGTAATTGTTTTGGCACACCACTGACTTTGAAAGTCAGACACAATAAGAAAAAAACGCCAAGGAAAATTGAAATGCATTTGACTAAATAAAAAGTATTTTGAGTTAAAAAAGTAATTGAAGAAATAATTGAAGCAGATATCTTAGGCAAAGAGTAACTCTCCTTATAAAATTAATAAATGTATAATATATAAAAATAATTAGCAGATTAAATATAGTAATTAGCATAAACCATAAGAAAATCATTAATGTCCCAATAAGTGACCTGGCAAAGGAAAGAGAGAGATAAGAAATGAATTAAGTGAACAGCCATGTAGAAACATCGTTACTCTTGGTGTTAATAAAAATGCAAATTAGAATTAACCATGATGTGCCATCTAAAGTCGGTAAAAGTTTAGTGAAATTGGTACTTTTATACATGCTAGTGGCATTACAGGCTTTTTGGAAAGGATTTTGGCAGATTCTACCAAGAGTCATGAAAAACGCTTACACCCTCTGACCCAATTATCCTTAATCTCAAAAATCCTAGTTATTTTTTAGAGGATGGAATCATGGTGAATTCTTTTTTTCTATACCCCCTATTATCCACATTGTGACAGTTTCACTTTTTTAATGTAAAAAAAATATATAAATTTGTCTGGAAGCATGTAAACTTCAAAGGCTTTTCTCAGAATGATAGATTTTAAAATCTATCAAAGTTTTGTCTTTGTATTGATCAAAAATAATACTAACACAATAAGGGATACCGATAAATTCTTTAAAGAATTGATACTATTAATGGAAGCCATACACCATTGCATCCATTTTTCTTTCTTTTTTTCATGAAAAGAGATGATACAAATGTAGTATATAACAGGAATGTAAAAACACACACAAGCGTACCTCAGGTGGGTGCAGATTTCACCTGTTTTTATTCTTTCTATATCTAGAGGTCTATACATTAGAATCAATGCTGAGAATGAAGATCCCAGGTGGTAGTTCACTAAGGAAAGATGAAGGCAGGAGTATGAGCTAGTACATTTTAGGAGAATATTTATTGATGTGACAATATACAAACTTTTTTAGTTAGCTTTTTTTTTTCAGCAGAATATTCTGTTAACTGTAACAGTGTTTCCCCTGACCACTCCAAATTGTTAGGATTTTTTCCTGTGGAAGTTTATCATGACAAACGATAGGCATACAGTAGTGAGCTCTACAAGCCAGCATGAGTACACTAAGAATGAAGCCGATTAAACTAAGCTCATTTCCTTCTTTGAACAGGGCAGCCAGGCTGGTAGATAAGGAAATAGGAGTAGATGTAATATATCTGGCTTTCGTGGAGCCGTCTGACGGTGCCTACATGAAGGCAGTATGGGGAAATATGGTTTGAATATTGGTACCTTTATGTGGTTAAGTGATAGTTCAAAGGGCCATCTCTGAATGATTAGTGTTAACCTAAAGTGAGATTTCTGTGTCTCTCAGTCAGTCGAGGATGATAAGGGATTAAAAAAAAAAAGTTTAAAGTTTCCCAATGCTTAGAGTTCTGAGGAATAGTTAATATGTAGGATTAAAAAAAATGAGTTTTCTGCAGCTTTAAGCTGGCTGGAATTAAGAAGATTACATTTATTGAGGTTGAATATAAAATGCCATGGTTTGGTTTAGAAAATCAGTTGCAAAAGTAGAAGGAAGACAGAAAGCCTCAGAGATAAGGGGAGTGTGGTGCCTGGGACACAGGGGACAAGAGGGCTGGCAGATATGGTCCCAGCTATTGTTTACATTTCAGGTCACATAAGGAATAGGTCGATTTTGGTCACCACATTTTAAGCAGGCCACTGACAAACTCGAACATGTTCAGAGAAGAGTTTTCAGAGTGTAGAAAGGTCTGGAACTATGTCAGAGGGGAATATTTAAAGGGAGGATTGCATATCTCTCTGTTTGTAAATTTAAGGTCTGAATTTCAGGGAGTACTGGGCTTGGTCTGTGTGATAAAAATCCTAAAAGCCCACAGTTATTAGGATCTACCCTGGACCAGGCACTACTCTGCTTGCTTTACACATATTCAGCCACTCCCCATCTTCACAGTAATATATATATATAAAATATATGTATAATGCATATTATATATTATAATTATATATATATATATATATATATATATATATATATATATATATTTTGTTTGTTTGTTTTTAGACAGAGTCCTGGTCTGTCACCCAGGCTGGAGTGCCAGTGGTGCAATCTCGGCTCACTGCAACCTCTGCCACCCACGTTCAAGTGATTCTTCTGCCTCAGCCTCCCAAGTAGCTGGGATTACACGTGGTACGCCACCACTCCTGGCTAATTTTTGTATTTTTAGTAGAGACAGGGTTTCACCATGTTGGCTAGGTTGGTCTCGAACTCCTGATGTCAGGTGATCCACCTGCCTCTGCCTCCCAAAGTGCTGGGATTACAGGCGTGAGCCACTGCACCTGACTCACAGAAATCTTGTGAGGTAGCTACACTGTTTATTGTTTTCATCTTCTAGTTGTAGAAACTGAAGTACATCCATTTGAGTAAATGGCCCAGGGTCCCACAGAGTTCATAGGTGGTGGATTCGGAACCTGAACCTGAGGCCTGCCCTTGACCCCCACTCTAAATGCACTCCCGCGGAGTTCCAGGGGGCAGAAATTGAACCCATACATACATGGTACCATGAGGAATATTTTGAATTGTTTCAAGGTAGTTCTTTTCTAAAGAACTCCTCCTTCAAATGTGCAACAGTTTTTCTTGTGAGAAAGTAAGTTTCCAGTGTGAGTGGGTTGCGGTGTGTTTTTGGAGTATTCTGGAGGGATACTGTGCCTTCCGGGGGCTGTCTTACTGCAGTGGTCTCTTCCAAAACCAAGATTCTGGGACTTTCTGTTCATCTGCCTGATTAGATTCCCAGCCCCTCTTGACAGACCGACTTCTCTGATTCCACCGCTGACTCATTCATTTAGGTACCTGTCTGGCTGGATTTCCCTGTATCAGGACTCTTGCCTACTTTCTCAGTTGCCATTCAAATGGAAGTGTGAATATTTTTCTATTATTTTGTTTTACTTTTCTCTAAAAGGTAAAATTGTCAGTGTTATGATGATAGCATTTCACATCAGGAGGGGATTTAGACGCCGAGCATCTGGGCCCTTGCTTCTCCAACTCAGGTAAGGTGATCCCCGGGGGAGTGTGAGCAAGTGCCAGGGGTTCCTGAGGCTGCGTACATGCTTCCTGGAGTGTTGCATCCACTCAGTTCGATTGTGGGAAAGCAACGTAGTTTTACTATTGAGGTAACATTCCTATTAAAACAAACATAGACTTTCCTGTTTTGTAAAATGCAAAGTTCTCATGAAGAAGACAAAATAGGACATTTCAAAGAAACTTCCAGCTTGCAGAGGCTGCTTCAGGCTATGCCCTCAGATCCCCCAGGGGGGTGCTATTCATTTTCACTGCTGCTGAGAGTACTTTGGTGGAAAAGTTTTAAAAGCACTTATCCGGTCTAATCCTCACATTTTATAACGAGGGAACTGACTGACATTCAGAGGGAATGAATGGACTTGTGCCTCTGGGCCTCAGTTTCCTTCTCCAGTTTTAATTTTTGAGCCCCTCTCTTACAGAAAGCACCGTGCCAGGAACTGTAATGAAGTGAAAACAGCGAAGTAGTATTTTAAAGTATCTTAGCCAAAATCCAGGCATAAAGTGTGCAGATGTGGAAAGAAAAACATCAAACACATGGGCTAAATGCTCACACAAATATCCTGTAAAGCCCAAGCTTTCATCAAGATTTCCTGTTTCTTTCCTGTATAACCCATTGGAACAAAAAGACAATTCTAATTGTCTTTTCACAAACCTCATTCAAGTTGGAAACAAACAACCAACCAGGCATGCTAGGACTTCCTGGACTATAGAGATTTCTTTGGCAACTCCATGAGATCATTCTTTAATCTTGTGTTTTATATCTTTGCTTTCCACTACAAAGCCTTGAAGGAGAAATGTAGTTCAGCAGATAAACAAGTGGCCAGCTTCTCCAGAAAGAATAAGTGCTTATTGTCAATGATTACAAAAAAAACAAAAAACAAAAAACACTGAAGGGCCAACTTCTTACAAGCTGCCATTATTTAAAACTTAAAATATTTTGTTAGCAAACACAGTAGCAAAGACAAAACAAATTCTGCAAGATAAGCAAGTAGGAAATTTTAAGTGAAGGTCAGTTGGGATATTTAAAAAGCAGATAGCACGTGATTCCCAATCCTTGTCCTTTGCAAATATTCTAGTCATTACTTAGCTAGGTGGTATAACCTTCAAGCTTAGGCTTCTTTTATTTTAATTTTAATTTTTTTTTTTTTTTGAGACAGAGTCTTGCTCTGTCACTCAGGCTGGAGTGCAGTGGCGCAATCTCGGCTCACTGCAACCTCCACCTCCCAGGTTCAAGCAATTCTCCTGCCTCAGCCTCCCAAGTAGCTGGGACTACAGGCACACGCCACCACGCCTGGCTAATTTTTTCTTGTATTTTAGTAGAGACAGGGTTTCATCGTGTTGCCCAGACTGGTCTTGAACTCCTGAGCTCAGGCAATCCACCTGCCTTGGCCTCTCAAAGTGCTAGGATTACAGGCGTGAGCCACCGCGCCCAGCCAGGTTTCTTTTAAATGAGACTATTTAGTCTACACTGGAAAAGGAGATGGTGGAAAGGAAGAGAGGGAGGAAAGGGGAAGACACTCACTAGTGTATGTTCCCAAGAAGGTGGAGATACTGGGCAGCTCCCCACATCACGTGGGGAGCTGCTGGCCTTGGATGATGGCCAGGTCTGTCTCCTGTGCCTCGTGAGAAAAGAAGGGAAGGCCAGGTGTGTAGAAGTTTGTGGATCTGCAAAAGGCAGATGAAGACATTCTTATTACTGAGGTTTTTCTTTGTCAGATAGGCGGCAAAATCATTTGCTGAGACTGGAGGAATTACATGGACAGGAGAGCAAATAAAAGTGGGAATTGTTTAAAATTATTTGGGTGATAGCAAGACTGATCCAAGTAGAAAGACTTCGTAAACTTTCTCTTCGGTATTGAGGTAATGTGGTAAATGACCATGGATTTGTGGGGCTCCCTAAAATCCCTTCCAAATGGATTACCATATGACTTATTGATTTCTAGATATGTATGATTTATGGTACATCCAGTATGCTGCTCTTACTCTCTTTTATTCTTGCTTACCTTATCATACTCTTTTTGAAAGTCTTTTTTTGCTTGACCTTCCTCTTCCAATTCCTAATACATTTTTGAACCCCAGCTACATATCAGCCCCTGTGGTCCTCAGTGGTGATCAAGACAAATGCAATCCTTGATCTAATGATGCTTCCTTTCAACTTACTTCTTTGAATAAGCACCAAATTCAGGGAATGCAGCTACACCACAAGTCACAGATTGGTCCTGCAGGCAATGGCAAAGTACCAGATTCCCAGCCATTAGGCTGCCAGACTCAGAGCCCCAGGCTGTGAGGCTATAGAGCCTGGGCCCCTGTGTCCAGGTCCAGTGGTCGGAGCCTAGAGTCATAGAAAGGGTGCTGATATTTAGTGAAAGGCAATTGAAGAGCCTTCTCTTCCTCTTTTTTTTTCTTTTGGCCTGGAGCTGTTCTCATCTAGGTTAAAACAAGTGGCACCTTTAGCTAGAGTGAATATTAAAAGAGCAAAGATGGGCTGGGTGCAGTGGCTTATGCCTGTATTTCCAGTAACTCAGGAGGCCCAGGAGGGAGGATTGCTTGGAGCTAGGAGTGAGAGACCAGCCTGGGCAACGTAGTGAGGCCCCCATCTCTATTAAAAAAAAAAAATTAGACTGGCATGGTGGCTTGCACCTGTGTTCCAAGCTATTTTAGAGGCTAAGGTGCGAGGGTTGTTTGAGCCTGGGAGTTCAAGGTTACAGTGAGCTTTGATAGCACCACTGCACTCCATCTAGCCTGGGTGACAGAGCAAGACCCCACCCACCCATTTCAAAAAAAAAAAAAGAAGCTGTTTTCCTGGATAGTGATATGGACTAACTCATTATTCCTTCTTTAAGTACATTAAAAATATAAAGTGGAACTAATGCCTTCTCAATCATTCATTATTTCACACATGTTTATTGAATTACTATGTGCTAAACACTCTTCCAAGTGCTTGGGATATAACAGTGAACAAAATATAGAGTCTTTACCCTTGTGATGGAAGAGAAAAACACTACCACTACCCACCACCACTACTCCTACCACACATACACACACACACACACACACACACACACACACACACACACACTCTTTTTCAAAACATAATTTAAGGTAGGGTGAGGTAATGATAACTGTTGTGAAGAAAAATAGAGCAAGCTAAAGTGTTTGTGAGTGAAAGGGCTACTTTATAAATGGTTATTATTTTATACAAGGTGTTATTGTAGATAAGATTGTTAGTGAAGGACTCTACTGAAATGATATTCAAATTAAGACCTGGATGAAGTGAAGGAGGAAACCATACAAAAACCTGAGGTAAGGAAAGAACATTCCAGGTGGATGGTTGCAACAGCCATGAGATGGGTTAGTTTGTAGCTGGAATGGAGTGAACTTGGAAGAGAGTGGTAGGAGCCAAAGTACAGTACAGGGTAGATTTTGTCACATCCTATGGACCATGGTGGGAGATTGGATTTTATTCTGAGTGTGTTGAGAAGCCACTGGAGCATTTGAGCAAGATCTGGTTTGCTTTTCTCTTTTTTTTTTTTTTTTTTTTTGAGTTTGAGTCTCACTCTGTCACCCAGGCTGGAGTGCAGTGGTGTGATCTCAGCTCACTGCAGCCTCCGCCTCCTGGGTTCAAGCGATTTTCCTGCCTCAGCCTCCCAAGTAACTGAGACTACAGGCACCCACCACCACGCCTGGCTAATTTTTTATTGTATTTTTAGCAGAGACAGGGTTTCACTATGTTGACCAGGCTGGTCTCGAACTCCTGACCTCATGATCCACCCACCTCAGCCTCCCAAAGTGCTGGGATTACAGGCGTGAGCTACTGCACCCGGCCTAGTTTGCATTTTTGAAAGATCTCTCCAGTTGCTGTGTGGAGCTTTGATTACGATGGAGGCAGGAGAGGATGCAGGGGACCTAGTTAGGAGATGATTGCAGTGGGCTGGTTAGAGGTTACCGGGCTGGGACTAGGGTGGGAGTGGTGGGGGAGACAGGGAGTAGTCAGATTTGGGATCTATTTTGCAGGCAGGACTTGTCAATGGTTGTGAAATAGAATGTAAGGTAAAGAGTGGGCTAAAATGTGACTTAAAAGTTTCCCAACTGAGCAACCAGGTGGATGGTGGTGACAGACACTGATACATGAGTAGAGAGAAGAGAAAGGAACTTCCAGGACTGAGTCTAGGGGCTGCCAACACTTACATATGAGGAAGAGGTGGAGGAAGCAGCAAAAGAGACTGAGAAGGAACAACCAGTGAGGTAAAAGGAAGGTCTAAGAAGGTGGGATTTCCCATAAGCCGTGTGCAGTGTTTCAGGAAGGAGGAAGTGAGTAACCACTTGTTTCAGGTGTTGCCAAGAAGGGAAGTTAGATGGGGACTGAGAACTGACTGCTGCATGGCGAGGTCTTTAGCCACCTCAACAAGACTGGTTTCAGTAGAATGTGGGAACCAATGTCTGAATTATGTGGGTGGACAGACAATGCGTTGTGAGCAGCCGTTTTGAGGAATTTTGAAAGAAAAGGGAGCAGAGAAATGAGTGGTATCTAGAGGGACGTGTGTGGTCAAAGGAAAGTTTTTTTAAAATGAGATAAGCTAAAAACATGTTTGCTTATTGATGAGACTGATCCACTAGAGAAGAAAATATTGATGATGCAGAGAGTGATGGGATAATTTCAAGAGCAGCATGCTTAATTTGGCAAGAAAGGATGGAATCCAGTGTACAGATGAAGGGACTCGCCTTAGGTAGCTGCAAGGCCAGCCATGCGTTCAAGCCATAGGTAAGGCAGGGTCTTTGCAGGTGGACCAGCCAATTTGGTGATGGGGAAGATGAAGCAGCTGTCTTCCACCTACTTGTAATTCTGTTTTTCGAATGCCACCTTGTTTCATTCAAAATGATGAATAATTTACGAAGCATTGTGGTAGGCAAGATAAGGAAAATAAAAAGAAAGTAAAGACACAGTGCTATATATTGGAAGAGTTTATAACCAGGTTGACCTATTTGTCCTTCTAAATTACGAACTGTAGCTGGCAAACTTACATGATTTTTATATTTCATGTTCATTCAAAAGCAGTAACATACTAGATTAAGACACAGACATCTCATTGAGAACTGAATGTGTTGTAGAGAAACACATAAAGTAAAATGAATTAAAATATGCAGTTAAGACATGTTTTTTTCTAAAAATTTTGAACTCCATCTATATGGAGTTCATTAATTTAGTTAATTAGTTAATTAATCTTAATTAAATTTAGTTAATTTTCTCAATTTGTGTGGCTTGAGTTGTCCATTATTGAACCATGAAAAAAAAACCCTTTTGAAGCATTTGACTATCTGGCTTCTTCCTGAGTTTCAACTGAGATCTGGCAGATAAAACCACAGAAAGTAATAGCTCATTTTTCAAAAAGTTTTAAAAACTCAGGATAATTGTCACTCATCACCTACAGGTGCTGGAGAAGTGTTTTGAAGTGTTAAATGGGAAGATAACCACAGGAGATAGCGCCTGCTTCCAGCCTTGCTTCATCTATCAGCTTGCTAATCACAGCTGTGTTTCCAGCCTTCTGCTCTCCCTGTATCATGAGCTTCGGGAGCTTCAGCAGGCAGTAGTCCTGGCTGTTGATGGTTGGCTGGAGAGGAAAAGGAATAAAGAAGCAGTGTATGCTGGCAGGCCCTGGTACCATCTCTAACAGCGGTTATCACAGCAACATTAAACTTTTAAATAAGGAGAACTTCCATGCGTAAACTGAACTGTTGATTGACAGATTTCATGGATGTAGCAAACATCTAATCTGGGAGCCACATGGCCATCCCCAAATGACACATTCTATTTCTGTTCTTGACACACTGCCTGCTTTTTACAATTTTTTTGTGCCTATTTCTATTAAAGTGTTCAGAAAGTAAGACCAGATTGTAGTATTTTCTGTGCTAAAATGTATCTTTACTCTGACTCCAAGGACTCAGAGAAGATTGTATATGTCCTTATTTTATCTTTAAGGGAGCTTTTCTCATATAGTGAAGTATCCAATAGCACATTTTATATCATATAACTGTGACTAAAAAGAAAGATTCCAACATCTTTTAGTGAGGATATAAAATCAGTCTGTGAAACTACTACCTTTGCGGTAGACTGCCCCATTAGCGTAAAATTTCTGCAGCTCTAAAAAATTTAGTAACTTATTTTGACATTTCAAGTGTGCAATTTTGCAGATGCAAATTTTTCAGAGACATAACCTGATGATGTTAAATATATATCTCATTGCATGAAAAATACCAGGGCCTGATGTACCTGTTGCCTGTTTCTTAGTATGCATCTTAACATCATGAGTCTAATGACCTATATATTAGGTTGGTGCAAAAGTAGTTGTGGGTTTTGCCATTGAAAGTAATGGCAAACACAACAATTACTTCCACAATTACTTTTGCACCAACCTAATAAAACTAGTGCTAAATTTTACAACCTAGAAGCAAAGGTTTTCCACAGAGAGCCCTTGAGTAGAACGTGAGAGGAAAGTGTTACCTGGCAAGCCCTGTAGAAAAATCTGTCTATTAATGGCCAATCCTTTAAAGCAATGTGCCCCTTGAACTATTAATTTGATGATCAATATAATTTTGGATACAGTTTACAATGTTTGAACTGTCCTTCATCTTTATTTTTAAAAAATGTGGCATGTTGATAATTGTTTGTGATTTTTACCAGGCAGTAGTTTTTCTGCCACTTACTTCCATGCTACTTCAGCCATGGCAGAACTGCCTTGGCTTACTATGGAGGAAGGGTCAAAGTATCAGAAAAGTGAGAATATGAGAGTGGTTTTGTTGCTTTAGGCCAGAGAAGCCAGTGCATGGGAGGGCCTAGAGGATATGGCCTTTACTAGGGTGCTAAGGTGCACTGGTGGGAGGGGCACTGATAGCACTGAGCCACCTCCATGGTGGTTTCCTCTGTATTCCGGGGCCGACAGTAGGAGATGCTGCTATGGAACTGAGCTGCCTCCTTTCAACAGGAAAGTTGGGTTCCAGAATGGCAGGCACTACATGGGGCACTTGGATAGATGGAAGGTAGACACGATTACTCTACTGGATAGTAAGGCTAGACAGGCCCTTCAGGTGTCTTACCCTGCAGGGATCTGTGGTGATAATGAGCTGTGTTCTGAGAGATAAGATAGAGAGCCAGTGGGAATACTACTTGGCTTGTACAACATCAAGAAAATGTCCAAGACTGATGAGTGAAACTGAAACAGTTTTCCACTTAGGGTGGAAAATCATAGTCCTCTACCAAGTTTCCCGATCTGAGTTGGTTCGCAGACCCAGAACCCGTTTGTTTTAAGAGAGACCACATCCCTTGTTTAAGAGTCTTGTACTGCCACCAGAAGTAAATATTCCCCCCGAAGGGAGCTACTGGCATTTGACATGGTCCTGCACACAAAGAAGAAAACAAAAATTTTACCCAAATCTTACCTTCCGGAAACGACTGCTGTTAATCTTAGGTGAGCATTATTCCAGAAATTTCTATGAGAGATTGATAAATAGAAGGATAAGTAGATATATAGACAAAAACAATTTTCTAGAAACAGGACCATGCTACATTTGCCACTTTTAATTAAAATATTAAATTATATGTGAAATTATTTGAAGAAACAAGGGAAACGGAAAGATTTCTCTCATTTTTTCTTTTTTATTTATTTTTTATAGAGATAGGGTCTTGATACATTGCCTAGGCTGATCTTGAACTCCTGGGCTCAAGTGATCATCTCACCTCGGCCTCCCAAAGTGTTGAGATAACAGGGGTGAGCCACTGTGCCCAGTGGAAATGGAAAGATTTCTAAAATTTAGAAAAACATTTTTTTAACCACATAAGAGATTATTTTTAGAATGTTAGAAATTAAAAATACATTGAAGTTAGAGTAATTTTTAAATTTTGTGGTTCAATTTTGAGGGCATTAGTTAACTCCTTATTAGAGAAAAATTAAACTGCCCATATTTCCTTCCACCTACTTATACCAGTCTATTTTGTCAACCATAGTATTATTTATACATTGTTGAAGTTTATAACATTTATATTTTGTTCCATAACCATAATTCTCACAGTTATATAAACTTAGCTTTTTATTTAAATCAATTATGTGCTCACCACCAGGATTTTTGCACAACTTCATACCTGAGTTCTTATTTTGATCTATTATTGACTACTGAGATTTCATCAAGTAGCTTTTCCAAGAAGGGCTTATAGTTGTATTCACTGTATTTTTGCATGCTTGAGCATCACTATGTGTTCTCTTATTTGTGAAGGATACCTTAGCTGGGCATAAAATTTTTTGATCATCCTTTCTTCCCCTGACACTTTGTACACATCATCCATTGCCTTTTGGTGCAAACATTGGTCTTAAACAGCTTCTCTGGTCATCTCTTGCTTGAAATTTATCCCCAAGTGTTTTTTTGTTTCAAGAGTGGTTTGGGGACTACAGTCCTTGAGTTTCTTTCACGTTTCTTTTCCTCAATTGGAATCTATCTTTCTTGGTCTACAGTGTGTCTTTTTGATATACACATTTATCTCTTCATTCATTTTAGGGAAATTTTCGGATACCACGGTCTGTGTTTACATGGATTTTCTTTTCACGTTTCCTACTTTAGCTTCTCTTTGTCTTTTTCCTGGACCTTTATTATGATTACCTCAAACCCTTTATCTATGTCAATGATTTGATTTTTCACCATGTTTATTCAACTCATTGTTTCTGATTTAGAATCAATTTTGTGATGGAGTTATTTGGGTCCTTGGTTAATTCTGTTGTTTTATCTTGTTATCCTTGCATTATTCTTTCATTACACTCATGTTCTTATTAAGTTCTCTTACAATTGTTTTTGGTTTTTAATGATGGGCCTCTTCCTTACTTTCTTCTTTTCCTCTTCTTTGTCACTAAGTTCACCTTTTTCCTAATGTAATTAATGTTTCTCTAGTTTTCAGATACTTTTCTCCCTCATCTTGCTTGGGCTTAACGTGGGCACCTGTGTCCAAATCTGTTAAATGGACTGATATAATATTCATGAATTCTCTTTGACTACTTTTCAGCCTGTCAGTCCTCCTCTGAATTTCAGTATGAAGGCACAGGTATTTCATTGCCTTTACTTTTTTATGAGATCGTGATAGGGATGGAGAAAAAGAGCTTAGTTGCAGTTCTGAACAACTTCTGTCAGAGAAACTGATACTGGCTCTGTCTTTTAACAATTTATTAATGTCTTACACTGGGGTTTTTCTGTGTATTAGAGAGTGTTTTCTTTTTTCTGTGAACTCTAACTCCTTCCTATATTCTATCAGAGAGAATCAGTCCAAGTTTCCTACTTTCCTAACTTGATTCATCTCTCTCTAGTAGCCATTTTTACTCCATTGAAATTGTCCTCCTATTCTTCCACCCAGGCAGAAGGGGGAAAAGTGAATGATACATCTTCAGTTCATTTTTCTCTAAAACTGGGATACTGGAAAATAATCCTCAGCATAATTTCAACTTACCAGTTCTACTTCTAGGGTATAGGGACAAAAGAGTATGTCTCACCAAACCATGTCAGAATCTTCTCTTTCTTTCCTTGGCTACCTTGTTTTGAAATTTGTGGCCAAGTTATTATTCTTCTTTCCTTGTTTGTTCACTGCCAGTGAATGTTCTCATGTTCTGTATTTAATGTTTGTTTTTGTTCTTTTCACAATTTTCAGTTTTCCCTATTATCTTTACCCAGAATTTCCAGTGCCAAGTATGTTCAGTATGAGGCATTGGTTTCTCTTGGAATATGGTTATTCTCCTGTTGGTAAAATCATTCCAGCAGCAGCTGAATGACCAACTATCAGGGTTTTATAGGGAAGGTTTTTAGATTAAGATTAACATTGTATTAGCTAGCCTCTAAGTCCTTCCAAATTCTTAAACTTTCATATTTCTATTCACTTAAGGGAGAGCAATTATCATTGAGTTGTAGGACAAATATAACCCCAGGGCATCTAACTGTGACTCCCTCTCTTCCTCCTTTTCTAGCCAGAGAATATGGAGAACCACTCTCCCTACTTTCTCTAGCTATAACCCGTTTTTACACCAGGGCTATGTAGAATATAAAGTTTGTAATTTGATTACCTTCAAGATTATTTTGGTTAGTATTTTATACCATCATTTCCCCTTTTCAATGTGTTGTGGTACATCCTTCTATGATTTATGTTTCTAGCACTGGCATTCCTGACATTAAGTTATGTTATTGGGGTATATTAGTCTTCCACATATTGTATATTGAGAAGAAATGACTTTTTCCATCTCCTTTTCTATTTCTTTAAATGATTATTGAAAGTGGTTCAGGCCATATTTGCTAGCACTAATTTCACTGTAAAACAGTTACCAGGACTTAAAATATATATCCCAAGATCCCTAGGGACTTGTATGTCCAGTGGCTCCATCTTGGTCTTTCTTGGGACCTAGAATGTGCTCTTGCCCTTAGGCACTTACATGAAAGTTCAATTGGAATGAAGACGTCATCATCAAGCTGTAGAAGGATTTCGTCTGTTCTGAAATGGAGGCCGATGCTTTTAGGAACTTCAGAACTTCAAAACTTTACTCTTGAATTTCAAGTTCTGCATGTGTTGTGGAGTAGCATGGTGGGTGGAGCAGGACCCTTTTTCTTTTTTTTTTTGAGACAGAGTTTTACTCTTGTTGCCCAGGCTGGAGTGCAATGGCGTGATCTTGGCTCACCGCAACCTCCACCTCCCGGGTTCAAGCGATTCTTCTGCTTCAGCCTCCTGAGTAGCTGGGATTGCGTGCATACACCACCACACCAGGCTAATTTTGTATTTGTGGTAGAGATGGGTTTCTCCTTGTTGGTCAGGCTGGTCTTGAACTCCTGACCTCAGATGATCCGCCCGGCTCAGCCTCCCAAAGTGTTGGGATTACAGGCGTGAGCCACTGCCCCGGTCCCTTTTTCATCTCCTGTTTTGACCTCAAAAATGACAATTTCCTATGAGTCAACCCAGTATTTTCTAGACAATGAACCCCAACCACCAAGCCGTCAACCCTAGCTTCTCAAAGGACTATCATATGCCACCAGGTGCTTGCACATGAGGGCTGACACTACCAGTGTTCCTGGAAGACATGCCAGTCTTCTTTAATATGTTTAGGGTGGGCACATACCCAGTATTGTTATCTGTCTCATAGCTCAATGCTTTTGGATTATGGAACTTGAAGCCTTCCCTCTTTTATTACAGGGAACTCCTTAGCCAGCCTTAATTAAGCAGGGTCCTTGATCATGGTGCATCCAGTTCTCCCTTGTAGCATGTATTATGGGTCCAGATGCCCCACACCCCTTAACTTAGAAGGCTTATTAACCATTTAATATTCATTTTGTGGGTTCTGTCTGCTTTTATGTCCTCTACAATGTCCATAATTTACCACCTCCTGGTCATCATTAACTCCGTTAGACATTATTGTTGGTCAACCGAAGTATCTACTAGTCCAACATGAAGAAGATGTGCTACTTTGTGTTTACCTTTGAGATGTGTCCACAAGTAAAGGACAAATGGAAAGTCCAGATGATTCTTTTAACATTTATTTACATGGATGGGGCTAGGCACCAGTAAAACTTTTTATTTACATATCTACCTTGATGACATTCTTTGTAGTTATGAATACCATCGTCAAGATATTCCCCCAACATTAGGGTTTCTCCTCTGGACCCTACCATTTATCTGGAGAAGACACCCTTGCTAGAAGATGCTGATGGTGCGGAAGCCTAGGAAAAGACCAGAAAGGGCTCATGACATCCAGAAGTTAGCCATGTAGTGTTGGACTTAGCAGACAAGCCTGAGCTATTGCATTTTAAATTGAAAATTATCCTCCTTATTCTCTGTTCAAGCAGGAGAGGTAAAAGTGAATGATATTTAAAAGGCTTTGGCAACCTTGAGATTTGTTCATTAAGTAGAATCATGAGCAATAGGCCCTGGCAAAATATCAAACTAACAATCATTTATGACTATTTATGTTTATGCTTGAAATGTGATAACCGCTATTTCCTTTTTTTCCTGATTTTTAAAAATGAATAAAGTGAAATTTGAACATGGGCATGATCATTGATGAGTCTATAAGAAACTTCAAATGTCTCTGTTTAGAAAGTTACTGTGAAAGTACATTACTACTAGAGTACAGAACAAGGAGGTATCATTACTAACGATCTCACAGCTAGTTCTAGTCATGTGTTTTCTGTTGGGAGAAAATTCTGCAATTCTTTTGCCCCAATTATAGCTCATTTGGTTACTTTTCTCATTCTAGAATATTGTAAAATATTTTGCTTTTAACCAATTTTAAGTCACATCCCTTCTCCCAATATTTCTGAGGCTTTCAAGAAGATCTCAATAGAACTTTCTACCTCCCATTTCCCTTCAGTGTGTTACATGCTTAAATGATTTTGATTTAAGTTTATAATTTTATTATAATGATCCTTGTTGGTATAACGCTGAGTAGAAATAACATGTCCAAGAACTAAAAATATTCCATCTCAGTCATTCATTCACTCAGCTTCCTGAGCAAAATGTCATAACAGCAATACAATATGAAATCTCTCTTTTGTTGGGATTAACATAGTTCTGTGAGACACAGAACAAAGCATACACATTTATTTTAAATAAAGAAAACTTTCTTACTCGGTATAGTATGTATTAGGAGAAAATGTTTATACTATTTTTTCTGAATATTGCCAATAGTAGAATAATATGGGGAAAACCCCTAAATTTTAAATAAATATAAATTCACTATAACACATCACAATTCTGAGATGCAAAATACATTTTGCCTTATTATTTATACATTATTGTTATAAGTGTATATGTTCAAGAGTTTGCATACTTTTCTTCTTCTAAATAACAATACATTTATGGTTAGAAATACATTGTTGATTTTCTAACTCTTTATTATTATTATTATTATACTTTAAGTTCTGGGATCCATGTGCAGAACCTGCAGATTTGTTACATAGGTATACACGTGACATGGTGGTTTGCTGCACCCATCAACCCGTCACCTACATTAGGTATTTCTCCTAATGCTATCCCTCCCCTAGTCCCCTACCCCCCCGACAGGCCCCTGTGTGTGATGTTCCCCTCCCTGTGTCCAAGTGTTCTCATTGTTCAGCTCCCACTTATGAGTGAGAACATGGGGTGTTTGGTTTTCTGTTCCTATGTTAACTTGCTGAGAATGATGGTTTCCAACTTCATCCATGTCTGTGCAAAGGACATGAACTCATCATTTTTTATGGCTGCATAGTATGGTGTAAATGTGCCACATTTTCTTTATCTAGTCTATCATTGGTGGGCATTTGAGTGAGTTTCAAGTCTTTGCTATTGTGAAGGGTGCTGCAATAAACATAAGTGTGCATGTGTCTTCTTTTTTTTTTTTGAGACGGAGTCTGGCCCTGTTGCCCAGGCTGGAGTGCAGTGGCACTATCTTGGCTCACTGCAAGCTCCGCCCCCCGGGTTCATGCCATTCTCCCGCGTCAGCCTCCCAAGTAGCTAGGACTACAGGCATCCACCACTACACCTGGCTAATTTTGTTTTTGTTTTTGTTTTTTTATTTTTAGTAGAGATGGGGTTTCACCATGTTAGCCAAGATGGTCTTGACCTCCTGACCTCGTGATCCACCTGCCTCAGCCTCCCAAAGTGCTGGGATTACAGGCATGAGCCACCGTACCCAGCCATGCATGTGTCTTTATAGTAGAATGATTTAAAATCCTTTGGGTATATACCCAGTAATGGGATTGTGGGTCAAATGGTATTTCTGTTTCTAGATTCTTGAGGAATTGCCACACTGTCTTCCACAGTGGTTGAACTAATTTACACTCCCACCAATAGTGTAAAAGTGTTCCTGTTTCTCCACATCCTCTCTAGCATCTGTTGTTTCCTGACTTTTTATGATCACCATTCTAACTGGCATGAGATGTTATCTCATTGTGGTTTTGATTTGCATTTCTCTAATGACCAGTGATGATGAGCTTTTTTCCATATGTTTGTTGTCTGCATAAATGGCTTTTTTTGAGAAGTGTCTGTTCATATCCTTCATCCACTATTTGATGGGGTTGTTTTTTTTCTTGTAAATTTGTCTAAGTTCTTTGTAGATTCTGGATATTAACCCTTTCTCAGATAGATAGATTGCAAAAATTTTCTCCCATTCTGTATGTTGTCTGTTCACTCTGATGATAGTTTCTTTTGCTGTGCAGAAGCTCTTTAGTTTAATTAGATCCCATTTGTCAATTTTGGCTTTTGTTGCCATTGCTTTTGGTGTTTTAGTCATGAAGTCTTTGCCCATGCCTCTGTCCTGAGTGGTATTGCCTAGGTTTTCTTCTAGGATTTTTATGGGTTTAGGTCTTACGTTTAAGTCTTTAATCCATCTTGAGTTAATTTTTGTATAAAGTGTAAGGAAGGGATCCAGTTTCATTTTTCTGCATATGGCTAGCCAGTTTTCCCAACACCATTTATTTAATAGAGAATCCTTTCTCCATTGCTCGTTTTTGTCAGGTTTGTCAAAGATCAGATGATTGTAGATGTGTGGCATTATTTCTGATGCCTCTGTTCTGTTCCATTGGCCTATATATCTGTTTTGGTACCAGTTCCTTGCTGTTCTGGTTACTGTAGCCTCATAGTATAGTTTGAAGTCAGGTAGCATGATGCCTCCAGCTTTGTTCTTTTTGCTTAGGATTATCTTGGTTATACAGACTCTTTTTTGGTTCCATATAAAATTTAAAGTAGTTTTTTCTAATTCTGTGAAGAAAGTCAATGGTAGCTTGATGGGGATAGCATTGAATCTATAAATTACTTCGGGCAGCATGGCCATTTTCACGATATTAATTCTTCTTATCCATGAGCATGGAATGTTTTTCCATTTGTTTGTGTCCTGTCTGATTTCCTTGAGCAGTGGTTTGTAGTTCTCCTTGAAGAGGTCTTTCACATCCCTTGTAAGTTGGATTCCTAGGTATTTTATTCTCTTTGTAGTAATTGTGAATGGGAGTTCACTCATGATTTGGCTCTCTGTTTGTCTATTATTGGTGTACAGGAATGCTTGTGATTTTTGCATATTGATTTTGTGTCCTGAGACTTTGCTGAAGTTGCTTATCAGCTTAAGGAGATTTGGGGCTGAGACGATGGGGTTTTCCAAATATACAATCATGTCATCTGCAAACAGAGACAATTTGACTTTCTCTCTTTCTATTTGAATACCCTTTATTTGTTTCTCTTGCGTGATTGCCCTGACCAGAACTTCCAATACTATGTTGAATAGGAGTGGTGAGAGTCTTGTGCCGGTTTTCAAAGGGAATGCTTCCAGCTTTTGCCCATTCAGTATGATATTGGCTGTGGGTTTGTCATAAATAGCTCTTAATATTTTGAGATACATTCCATCAATACCTAGTTTATTGAGAGTTTTTAGCATGAAGGGATGTTGAATTTTATCAAAGGCCTTTTCTGCATCTATTGAGTTAATCATGTGTTTTTTGTGATTGGTTCTGTTTATGTGATGTATTACGTTTATTGATTTGCGTATGTTGAACC
The DNA here is from genome assembly GCF_000001405.40 of Homo sapiens. NCBI lineage: Eukaryota > Metazoa > Chordata > Mammalia > Primates > Hominidae > Homo > Homo sapiens. Next base: position 65,903,800 of record NC_000017.11, on the reverse strand, counting down.
AGCCTTGCATCCCAGGGATGAAGCCGACTTGATCATGGTGGATAAGCTTTTTGATGTGCTGCTGGATTCGGTTTGCCAGTATTTTATTGAGAATTTTTGCATCGATGTTCATCAGGGAAAATGGCCTGAAATTTTCTTTTCTTGTCGTGTCTCTGCCAGGTTTTGGTATCAGGATGATGCTGGCCTCATAAAATGAATTAGGGAGGAGTCCCACTTTTTCCGCTGTTTGGAATAGTTTCAGAAGGAATGGTACCCGCTACTCTTTAATCACAATAAGAAAACATTTTGAAACCTATGTTTTAAAGCAAATTTCATTTGTGTTTTGATTCTTGACTTGTCATAAGGGATAAGAATTTCAAATTTAAAAAGAAAACTTCTGAAATTTAGTGCAGTGTGCATGCCTGGAGAAATGAATGCTATAGCTTTAAGATAAGGTAGTCTGGTGATTCATTGCACGAAACAAGATCGATTTGGAGCAGGCTCCTACTGTTAGCTTTTTTGAAGATGGATTCTCACGCCGAAAATAACACAACATATTCTAGATAACAGCAGTTTTTCCCCCTGAAATCCACCAAAACTGAAGAAAAATCCAAGTGACTGTTCTTAGCAGCTGTGTGGCCTGGAGTTCACTGGGGAAGCTGGCTTCCTGCCGTCCCCTATTCATCACCTGCTTCAAAGACAGCCTGGCTGGCTATAGTTTGCAGGCCAGGTAGGGTGCCATTGTGCACAGTCTGGGAGGATTAGTATCAAAGCTGCGGCAACCAGGCCTTGGTCTCGGGCTGCCATTCAGTCTAGCGGGGAGAGGCTAAGACTGGCCAAGGTCACAGTCTCCAGTGTGGAGTGGACTGGGAAAGGATCCTGAGAATAGAATGCTCTTTATGAAATCATGGCGCAAGCTTGCAGCACAGCAGGTGCCCTTCTGGAACACATAACATCTGTTTATGTTGGTATACCGTAGCTGACAACGAGATAATAGAGCTTTGAAATTTATCATTTTATTTTTTAAAAGACAACTGTATATACAAGAATCCAGATGCATATTTAGCTCCGATCTTTTATTTGTAAATCATGAAGAAAGCTGACCGATTTAATTGCTGCTTTTTACATGTGTATATTTAAGCAAAAAGCAAAGCGTACTATTAACCATTTATAACCATTGCTGATCAGTAATACCCGAATTCTTGGGGAGGAAGTGACTAGCATTCGAGATAATTTTTTTCAATGTTCAGACATTTGTGTCAACAGATTGAAGAAGGATTTACTGAATATGCCCAACTATTTTGAATATTAGGAGGTTTGCATAACCACCACCCCAACAAATGAGAGTATTTCGAGGGTGAGGTAATAATGATGTAAAAATAAAAATTTTCAACTTGGACAAATTAGAGAAAAATTAAGCTGTACATGAGTTGTCATGACGACAAGGATGTTCTGTTGATGAACTGTCCTCCTCATTGTCCAATCAGATAGTAGAGCTGAAGCTGGAGCATGAACAGGAGAAGACGCACCTATTACAGCAGCATAACGCAGAGAAGGATAGCCTAGTCCGAGACCATGAACGGGAAATTGAAAACCTGGAAAAACAGCTTCGCGCTGCCAATATGGAGCACGAAAATCAAATTCAGGAGTTCAAGAAACGAGATGCACAGGTAATTATCAATAATATTTGATAAAACGGGTATCTGTTTTTAAAAAGTCATCAGCGTTTAATGTTTTCTTATTATTCTTATTGATGCACGCTGTTTGATCATTTGCAAAACTGACATATAAATGTGATTTTTTTTTTGTTTTTCTCCCCCCCACCCCCCCCCCCCCCCGTTTTGGGATGAATAAAGCCTTAACTACAGAAACCACAGGTAGCCAGATTAAAAATCCCATGGCGCGCTATAACTTGGCCCCCTTTTTTATGATCTTGTCTCAGTTCCTTTCATGATGGATTTTTTTAAGGTATCTGCCCCTTACCCCTCCCTTCAGCCTTAGCAAATCCCTATGAAATATATCAGCCTCACTCCTTGCTTTTTGTTTTAATCTCTGTAGGTAATCAAGCAGCTGTTTTAATATTTGCTTTTCCTTCCTAGTGTTGCTGTTTTCATTAGACTATATTTGATTAGATCACTCAGATGGTAATTGATAAAAATGACTCCAGAGAAGGGCTATTTCCCATCAGGTCTGTTGCTTTTTCCTGCACACACACATGCCTCCTAGCCCACATCTCTGTAGTCCCTGTTGGAAGCCATTTGGCAGAATAACCCCCAGCTGTGGTAGCATTTGACTCCTCAAACTTGTGGATGAAATGTGCACTGTCAGCATGGAAAATTATCTTTATAAATTTCAGATGAAAAAAGAAATCTTATTGGATGTGTATCTTTGTGATACAATACATTCTGTAGAGTATATATAATCAAGGGCCTTTAGTGTATCCTCTTGAGATTGCTGTGAAATTGCATTAAAGAAAAATTTAAGAGCAATTGATAACAATAAAAAGATAATGTTCTTTTCTAATAAAAACATATTGTATACTAGGTCTAAATACCCCTTTTCCCATTGAAATCTAACCATGCTAACCACACCACACAAGCTTCTTCCTGTAGTTATTCTTCCTCCGCAAATAATATAATTTTCAAACAAAACAAACCTTCTGTTATATTATGTCTTTCAACAATCTTGTGATTATCTAAACATAAACACACTACTAATTAAGTAAGATGTTAATTTTTTTGAGTGGACAGCGGGAGGTGGTAAGGCAAAGAATAGGAGTTATTGGTTATTTTTCATTTGACCTTGAGTTGTCTTCTATATTCAGAGAATAACTGATGCAATATGAATATACACAGCACAGGTTTTGTTGTCAATGGTATACATTTACAGTACAATTATTTTCAACTTGTTTTACGCTGGCTTGCTACCTAAAAAGGTAGTCATTGTAGTGCCCATGGTACGAGAATACTTAGGTGGTTCCTGTTAAATCATCGTGTATTATATTTTTGCCACCAGCCTCATTAGAGCCTTTATGAAATATATGCTGGTGTTTTGACTCTTAGCCATTCAATTTATTAGGAATATTGTCTAGTTCATATTCTCTTTCAAATATGATGTTAAACCTTACCATTGTTTTCCCATGGTAAGAGATATGGGTTCTGAGTCAGTGTAGGATTTGTTTGCATAGTAGAATTGTATAATGGATAAAATAAAATACACTAATTTGCATAACTTCCTATTATTTGGGGGCTGCTATGGGAAGCCGATACAAGTGGAGGCCAAATTTAGAGGGAACCTTTGTGATTTTGCATGAGTCGTGTCTGCCATATAGGGTGCGGTTCATCCAATCATAACAAAAGGGAAATTTTAGTTCTATTACGTATAATAAAGCCACAGGGATAGTACAATGAGGCTATTAATTGAATTTCTTCCTATTGAAACATTAAGTATGAGGACTATATGACCTCCTCAAATGCTGTAATTTAGGATTGTATTTCTCATATTTCGTGTCTTTCTTGGAACGTTTTACTAATTGGAATTGCTGTCAAGGGAATGCCAGTAAGCAATGGAAACAGGCTAAATGCATTCTTGCTCAAAAGGAAAATAATTTTGTGTATGTTGTACTTAGTCGTTCTTAGAGAATACAATTTTTTAAAGTTTTAGCAATGAGCTGTACTTTAAAAAATCTTATCATGTGTACCAAAATACTCATAATTTGTATTTATCTTTGGTTATTTACTGAGGATATTAATTCAAAGTTTCCTTCAGGTAAGTCTTAAATTTTCAAAATCTATCTCTTCATGGTTGTGGTCTAAATAATGTAATGTATAATACCTTTTAAGTTCTAAATTCATTCACAAATTTCAAGGAAACAAAGTAGGCATATAATTTTCAAAATAGATCTTTTTCAAATCACTGTGTTGTAGTTTGATGCAGAACAAACGTATTAAATATTAGATTGTATAATTTTTTAATTTGATTTTCAGTTAGAGATTTGATTTTCAGTTAATGTGTGGCTATTCTAGTTTAGCAATGGAGGCCATTTTGTAAAAAGGGCTATTAGAAATACTTAACCAAAAGAGGACCAGTGAAATATCTATTTTGAAATCTATGGCTTTGTTTGCTCTTCCCTTCCACCAGATTCTTAAATGAGTACAGTTTCCTTAAAATCTATTTTTGACTTCTTCCAAATATGTAGTACATTGTATGCTGATTAGAAAATCATTATTATAAAGTATAGTTACCAACCTTAAGGTGAATCGTTCCAACTAGGGGACTCCCTTTTGGTGAATATGTTTTATAATTATTATAGGTTGTTATTCTAATAATTTCTGTTTTAAAGAGCAATGATAAGACATAGAAATGCACCAAGAACAATGAAGTAGTCTCCTCATTTTATTTGGTTCAGTTAGGTAATTATTTTGTCTATATTATATTTTTGTTATAGTACTTTGATTTTCAATGGCAGGATATATTATATTTTGATACTTAAATTTGCTAATGTGCACATTAAATTTTACCACCATCATACAAGATGTTCAGTCTGGTATCTATCTAAGGTCATATGTTTAAGAAAAAGCATTCAGACTGGTAGAAATCAAGACTTGTAGAAATTCATAACCTCATTGTCGAATATTTCTCATTTACCAGGTCTCTCTTATTGAAATTATTTTGGAGAATGATCTCATTGATTCAATCATATTTTAATATGAAGAAAATTTATAAATATAATCTTAGCTTCTTCTGACATGGAAGTTCTACATGTAATTCTTATTTTGCTTTTGAACTATAATATAATGAAAGAATTTCTATAGTTTATCCTGTTGAATTAGAGGAAAAATAGAACATAGGTTCCTTGATCCCTTACTTGTCTTTTTAGGGCCCTGAACCATTTAGAGATTGCTTGATGTTTTACGTTTGTTGCCACAGTGAGTGGTGTGTGTGACTACCGTAGAGATTGTTGCATAGAACCTTTGTGATTCTCCCCAGAGGTGGCGTCACCATCTTAGGACCACTCTGTGACCTGTTGCAGTAGAGACATTTAGGCACCTAGGGTAACCAGCAGCCATTGTGCATCACCATCAGTATCATGCAAATTAAATGCAGCAACCTTGCAGAAGGTCATCAGCCATATCTGAAAAATATATTGAATTTAGCATTTGCATATAGTACAGTGGCTCTTGCAAAACATTGGCACCCAAATGCCTTTCTTAATTCCCTACACTGAGCATCATAAATCTAATATGAACAATTTTTACATAATAAATGGACAGATTATCTTGATTTTGCCATAGTGATTCACATTAAGAGCTGAACTTATCACTGATTCCGAAATGTAGAATTTGTAATAATTCTTTTCTACTTAGAAAAAAGTTTTCCTGGAAAGATATTGATAGGACAATTTTAATTTTAAAAATTGTATCTCAGTTGCATTACCTGATTTTCCATGCATTTGCAAATTTGGGCCCAAGATAAAAATCTCCATTTATAAACTGAGTGTGTGCCTGCATCCAGGGGCTTGAACATTGGCTATCATTCTTTAAAGATTACTCGAAGGGTAAATTTAACAATATGTATAGTCTGAATGTTCTTGTTATACCTACATACATGGCTTTTGGTCTTTGGTAGCATTTTTCTAGTGAAAACATTTTAATTTTTTTATATGCCAGCTACTATCAAAAGGATCTAAAGCAGCATTTTATAATAAACATACACTTAAAATAACTGAAAATAATTAAGCAATAAATTATATTCACCACATTAGAAAATCTATACTGAAGAAAAAATATTACAGTTAAGCGGAAATTTTAGCTCTGCGCTTGCCTGGAAGCCACAGCAAAGAGGGAAACTTTGCTGTGAATTGTATAATTCTAATTATGTAATGACAAAAATCATAGCAGTTCTTTTTTTTCTAGTTCTCAGTTCTGAGAGAAATTTATGCCATTAGACTTAATATAAAGGACATTGACCAATATAATTGATGATATTTTCCATATGTTAAAACATTGGAAATAAAATCTGGTGGGGAAACTTTAGATTCTTTAGTACTTTCATAAAATGTAATTACTAGATTTTATTTTAATGTGCTAAAATTTCATTTTAATTTATTGAGAATATTATTATTCTCAAATCAAAAAACAAAGTGCTTTAAGAAATATAATTTTGTAGATATTATGAGTCATAAGAAAGTATATTTTAAGTCACAGCCTAGCAAATTCTAGGACAGTTGTTTCATCACTGTGCCAGGAATACTTACAAAGTGTCTTTAGGAAGTAGAAATTAGAAACATAGCTGAGATTAGAAATTATTTAGGAGTTAATGCCTAATATTAATTTCCAAGTGTTATTATCTCTTTCTTATATCTGATTTTCTTGTCTCTGAATTTGTTATGAAAAACTATAAAAAGAAATTATAAAATCAAATGATAATTCACTCCAAGAGTAAAAGATACTTACACCTGTATTAAAATGATTCATATCCTACCTGCATAACCAAAATAGTATTTCATCACTAATATTTATCCATTAATGCCATTTGCTTGGTCCTGAGGTAGTATATATTTTTGTTTCTTTGGATCAAACTGGACTGATTGCTTGGAAAAACCAAGCTATGTAAACTCTATTTTTCCCCCAGCCTAATGAAGCTGTTGCTGTTAATGTAACCCTGTTTTTTGTTCCCCTCTTCTCCCTAGTGACACACATGGTCACATCAGAGTGGTGGCCTGGTGTTCCAGCTGTGTACACACCAAGCTGTGCTACTCATCCCCTGATGGACTGAGTTATTTGTATTAGAGAGGGCAGAGTGTGTTTTAAGTATTAAGTGGGCTTTACTGCAATGTACAAAGTTTAATGTTAGGCATTAGAAGGTTGGTGGGAAAAGTTTTTATTATTTCACTTTAATTTTGTAAAAAGAAAATAAGATACTTTTGGTGGACTCCTGGTAAAACCACACATTACAATTCTCTATTTTCTTTAGATGAAGTTTTATCATATTATCTAAGTGCCGTATTTAAGATAGCCCAGGAACTTTCTGTATATATTCAAAATATTGATAGAGTTTTTCATAACTAGGCCATTTAAAAAAGTGTGTGGGGGAGATGCTGTTTTTCTGACACCAAAAGCATAGGTCATACAGAATTTTCCAAATAGAGGGGGCAAAAATTCTCAGCATATTTTGGCTTGGATGCACTGATGTGAAAATCATGTTTCATTAGTATGCAATAATGTTGTGTCTATTTAGTATTACATGTGAATTTAATAATAAATTTGCATTATTTATATATTACTATACAAATTAATAAGTAAAATAATACTATTTCTTAAGTATTTAGTTAGCAGAAAATATAGGAAAATGCTGCTTTAAGTAAAGCTTACATTTTGTGTAGGTCACCAGCTTTCTTTTTCTATTATAATTCTAAAGTTCTGTAATTGTTTTCATCCTGAAGGCATAAAACTAGTGTATATATACCTGTGATTAAACTATTATAAACAATTTAACTTTGCCCTCATCATGGAGAAAATTATATTGTTTAAAAAGCAAAAAATACAAGATGAGGCAAGAAAAATGATTGCTCTAAGAATGATCCATTTGTAGAAGATACAGTGTATCTTTAGTCCTGTGCATATTTTTAAAATGTGGCAGTTACCATGGAAACTACATTCTGTGGTATTTGGTCCACTTTTAGATAGGGAGCATTTCTTTTAAAGACAAACCTTCTAAATAATACCATAAAGTATTCCATTTGCATTAGTAACTTTGTGTCAACTAATAATGATTGTTTTAAAAATCTATCTTTTGTTCTCATTATATTTAATGGATTTCTTTAGAAATATTAAAATTGTTCTTGAAGAAGAGGTAATTAAATATGGAAGAGATTTTAAATAGGGAGTAAAATATGATCACTGCAGTGGTGAGAACTGGGAGGGTTGCAAGGGACCACAAGTCATTGTATACCATATGTTCTGCCAACATGAAGCCTTTAGTTATATCAGGTGTGTAAGTATCTAGCAGTAGGATAGTCAGATAAAGTAATCTAAAGAGATGACCACATCCAACTGTATTCCATTTACAGATAAGAAACCTATGATTCAAGGACAATCTCTTGCCTAAGGTCACAGAACTAGCAAACCAGGGCTTCTTAATCTGAATTTAGTGCTCTTTCTATCATAGTTTCCTCCAAGAAAGATTTTAGATTTTTGGAGAGACTTGGACATGGCAAAAAAGGAACAGGATTATATAGGAATCTTTGCCTGGTGTGGGAGAGAGAGACACTGGTACTCTGCTCCCCTGCTGAGCTTCTCATAGCAGTTTGCATTTCTTTCAGCGATTTGCCATATTTAATGTTGCTTCAAAGTCATAATAATGCTTGAATAATGCTGCTTGATATCCAGTTTGAGTATGTAGTAGCTCCTCCAACAACACTGAGTTTTTATGTTTGTATGTGTTTAACAGCAGCAGTAGCAACAGCAACAACAACAACAACAACAAGTATTTATGGTGTGCTTTCCATGTGCCAAGCTCTCTGCTGGGTCCTTTGCATTGCATTCTCTTATGCAACCCTTTAATACCTTATGAGGATGACATTTCCTATCTAGAAACTCTGTTTTGATCTTTTTACCTGGGTCAGAAGATGACTATATGTATTTTCATTTTACCAATGAAGAAAGATTCAGAAAGCATAAATAAATTGCCCAACTCATAGCAAAGTCCTCTACCCCATATGCCTGCTAGTGTATGAGCACATTGTCTCTGAATTTTATTTATTCTGCATAAATCCATTATATTGCTAATTTTGGATTGTCACTACCTTAATAGATTTAAAATACTGATAGTCATAATTCAAACTACATATATCCAAATCAAGTATTAGCCGGTAGTTTCACTCTTTCTCCAAGACCACAAGCCATGACTATGTCTTTCTTTTGAGGTAAATTAAACTCTAAAGAGATATGCAATCCTTAATATTTTCTTCGGAATATAGTTTCTTCCAACAAGTTTCAGAATTTGTAGAATAGAACAGTGAGTAGTGAGTACATTTTGAAATGGGTTCACTTTTGGTTTCACATTATTGCTGAAATAAGAAGGAGTGCCCAGAGTAAGAATCCACCAAGTTTTTAGGTCAATGAGGCCTACCAGTCTTGATAAAAACAGCGTAGGAATTTGCATTTAGTAGTGGTAAGGTATGGTTTTTTTGTGAATGGTTTATGATCTGTGGATATTTGTTATATTCACATACTAATTTGGAATATTACATATGATCCATTCATTTTATAGAATGAAATTTTAACTCTCAGAGTTCAATGTTTGTTAGTATTTTTTTCCTAAAGGAACCTGAATGAGGATCCTATTGCATGACAGAATCCAATAAAAGCCACTTAGAAATGAGGTCAAGGATTATGAAGTTCAAACCTGGAGATTTTTTCATACCGATACAAGGGTATAATTAGAAAATGTGTTTCTTCTAGACTCCTCAAAAACAATTTATGTTGATGCAGTGTTAGCTTCATCCTAGAGCTATTTTGCTCAAAGTAAAGACTTTTAAGATGAATTCTTTTCTAAAATAAATACTCCAGAGAAAAAGCATTATTCTGCATGCAGAATGTCATTTCCATTGACATAAGGAAATATGCCTTGAGTTATTTTTAGCATATTACTCTTCCTTCTCCTTTTCACCTAGGCCTCGAAGAAATTACTAGGAATATTGGCAGAAATTATCTCTGAGAAAGTATTGGATGAATAACTCTTCTTCCTTAATGTCTTGGAAAAGTCATTTTTGGATTTCTGACTCAATCGGTTCTGTAAGAGACATCCCTGATGTCTTCATTTGTATATTTGTGGTAATTTTTTGTGACAGAGAGGTTGAAGCCAAAGTGCAAGAAATGATGGGCAAAATGGTGATATCATCAAATGTTCAAAGAGCTGGCAAATTGAAGCTTATTAAACTGTCATTTTGTCTCCCATTCAGGACTAATTGGAATCATGCCTACTTGCATGATATGAAAGATATTTAACACCTGAGCTTTTTTCATGACAAAAATGTCACAAATTGGTGTCAGGGAGACCTTAAATGCCTATTTGGAGAAGAGAACACAGCACTGTATGAAAATAATGGTCTGTTTTCGAACTATTGTAATATTTGTGTACAGAAAATATTTTATAAATATTGTCATTAAGTAGAAAGTTTTAGATAATAAAAATGGGCTGAATTGAGCCCCCAAGTATTGAATCAGTAGGTTAGTGTGCAACTTGAGATAATGTTTTTTAGTTGAAACAAATATTAAAATTCAAGGAAAATTATACTTTTTCACTTGTTTTAATAATTATTTTAAATTACGTCTTGATCTCTTGAGTGCTTTTGGATATTTGTTTATTGGGAGGTTGGGAAAAATCATAAGAAATCACAAAGAAACAATACACAATTAGACTTCCAGGGTTTGAAAATGTGTTATTTTTCTGGTTTATTTTTATTTGTTTTGCTTAGGTATGAAGTCAAGTATTAGTCAAGTAATACTGAAAGTATTAGTCACATTTGAATATGAGTTAATGGTGTCCTCAGAGATTGAAGTGTGCTGAATGATGTGACCTGGATCTAGGTCTCTTCCCTTGTTTGTAGGGACAGTTGTAATGCTGCACTAGTCTCGAGGAGTGTGTGTGTCGTTTCACTGGATAACTGTGGCTCTGTGATACAGAAGAGCCTTCAGTGAACAGAGATCCAGTAGTTCAGCCAGGCCCACCATCTTAAAACAAGGGGATTTTCCAGTGGAAAGACCTGAAAGTCGCAGGTCTTTAAAAAGGTTAAAATTAAAGTGGTGATTCATTCATCTTAAGTTTGCTCCTTAAGTCAGTATTTATTACGAAAACAAACCCCAGATCCCTAGGGTCAAGTGGGACCTTACTTATTTCGTTATTTTCAAAGATGTCATTTAATGTACAAAATGCATGTGTTCACCAAATGTTTCCTGAAAAGCTAATTTTTTGAAATGTAAATGTTATCCTCACTTGTTGGCTAAAATGATAGCTCCAGTTATAGTGACATTGACAGGCACAACAAGAGAAGTGGAGTGTGAGGGTTGAAAACTTTTGCTCTTCAATTATCCACCAATTACTGCTTATCCACCAATTACTGCCAAAGCTGTCGTTAGACAAATGCCATGAGTTCAAGAGCTGCAGTGTGTTCCAGGCTCCCCTGTTAAAGCCCGGACTGTACATAGATGTTTCAGACTTGGGGCAAAATTTGGAAATGCGCTCCTGTGATGTCACCTCTCTAACCATTTCTAGTGGCACACAATAAAAAAAAAAAATCATCATCTACTGCCATAATGTTGGTGTTTCGTAAAAACATTATTCAATTCAGGAACAAGAGTAGTAGAGTAAATCTCAAGAAAAATCATAATTATTGTTAACTGTTTTGATTGCTTTTTGAGATCTCATTGTTTCAAATTAATATAGAAAAACATGGAACTCTGTGACTTGGACATTTTATAATTATGACCCTTCAGATAATATGTAAATCAAATTTATTTCCATGTAAGTTTGCTGGCCAAAAATGAGGCAGACATTAACTTTTTTCAACTTCATTTCATTAAGAATTTTGGAGTGCTTACCCTGTGCCGGGCCCTAGGGCTGGGCATGCACACCTTTAGGAGGTGCCTTTCACATCCTGATTTATGTGAATGTTGCCCCAGAGTTGTACAGGGCATGGCCTATATGGCCGTAAGGGTATTCCTGTACCCAGTGCAAGATAGACCAGTACTCTGCTCTAAAGGAAATTACAGTTGCATTGGGGAAGACAGATCATAAGACAAAAACCAAATTAACAAGGAGAGTATCACATAGCAATAACTTGTAGGTGGAGAATTAAAATTGAGAGATATGATACAGTGACAATTGTGTTAGCTGGCCATCAGAGAACGCCTCTCCAAAGAAAAGATATCTCATTTAAGATCTGATTGATAAGAAGCCAGCCAGACTGAGGCAACAATTGGTGCAGAGACCCTGTAGGAAAATAAGTTTTGTGTGTTCTTGAAATGAAAAAGGAGACCTGTCTGGCATGAGCATAGCAGGTATGAGAAAGGGGGCAGGGAGTAGCAGACACAGGGCTTTTTAAGCCCTGGTGAAGAGTTTGAATTGCATTTTAAATGTGATGGGAAGACAGAGGCTGTAAGCAGTAAGGTGACATGATTTGATTCATGTTTTTTACAGATCGCTCTGTTTGTGAACAGTCCTAGATGCCAATATGGCATGCGTATGTGAGGCAGCAGGACTTGCAGATGGGTTGGGTGTGGGGAATGAGGGGAAGAAGAAGTACGAGTAACTCCTAGAGTTTTGGTTTGAGCAGCTGTATAGATGGTGGTGTCAAATACGAGGAAGATTGCCGGGGAACAGAAGCAAAAGCAAGAGGTCTTTTGTTGCCAAGCTAAGTGTGAGCTGCATGTTAAACATCCAGAGGGAAGTGTGTCAGACAGCGAGTTGGATATGCAGGTTGAGATTCCAGAGATGCGAACTGAGCATATAGATAATAATTAAAGCATGGGCCCAGATGCAATTACCAATTTCTTATTGAATATTAAGATAGAGATGCTGGTTCATGGCCAGTCTCTATCATTTACTGGCTCTATAAACCTGAGTTCATATTAGCTAATTACCTTAATACCCCCAATCATCATTTTCCACACCTGTGATATCCATTCATTCATTTAGTGGCATTCATTGAGCTCCTACTATGAGCCAGGCCCCTATGCCGGACCTACGTATATAAAAAAGGAATGGTTTCTCCCTCAAGCTTACAGTCTATGGGGAAACAGGCATTGTGCATCTGTCATAAATGGAGAATACTATAATTCATACCAACAGATATGAGTAAAGAATGTCTTCCTTTAACGTAGACAGAGGACGCATCTTACCACACATCAAAGGCTGCGTGGTATAGGAGACACAGTAACAATAACCCTGGTCAGAAGGACAAGCTCCCCTCGCTCGCACATTGTTATGAAGGCACCCTTTGCTGATGATATCACCGGATTGTTGTGATGATTTAATCAGGCCCTTTAAGGAATGTTCTTTACCATTCTTTGGTATGGAAGGAGATTAATATCCCCTTGGTCCATTTCTACTGTCTAGAAACATTGACTGTACACCTGCCTGTCCACCAGGTATGTAACTGGTGACAATGCCAGCATCTTTCTGAGAATGACAGAGGGAGTATGGAAATAGAAGGTTATATTCTGCGGCCTACTCTAGCGTACTTACCCTTCAGGCCTGCCAGAGTTACAGCAAAGTACAACAAAGTCATAATGAAGCTTTGATCCCAAGAAAAGTAGAGATGGAAGTTATGGGATGTGGGGGCATCAGGTCTGAGGAGGTCATCAGAAGAGGTTCCATTAGAGTAGACATCAGATGCTTTGAGTTTTAAAAAATGACTGAAATGTTCTCTGCAAATTAGAATGGAAAAAGCATTCTAAACAGAAAGAGTAGCATGATTAATATATGAAGAACACGTACCATGTTGAGAAGTTCGGACTGGGTCCGCTTGGCCAGTGATCTCCAGTTTGTGGTTTATACTGTCTGTGCTGCCATCTGCAATGCCTCTACCATTCCTCCACTTTAATATTCCACTTGTTACACTTATTATCCCACTTAGTAATTATTTAGAGCAGTGTTCTCCCAAGTGGGGTTCACTAGGGTATAGAAAGAAAAAACCCAGAACTTCTGTTAATGTGTGTTTGAATTTTGTCTTTAAAAATACTTACTTTGTGCAAATTTGTATAATGTATTTAACATATTAATAGTGTTACAAATTTATATATATACGCGCACTGTATATTTTATGATAGGAGTGTCTCAAAAAAGTTTAGAGACCATAACTGTCAACAATCGAAAGTCACTGCAGAATTTTAAGCAGAAGATGAAGAATTAGCAGGCAGTGAGACTGGAGCCTGGGTGACTAGTTAGAGTCACCCTCGCGAGAGATGATGAGGGCCTTAGCCAAGGCAGTGACAATGGGGAAAGTTGATGTGGCAGTGAGGGAGAGAGAGCAGACCTTGAGTTATGGTTTGACATGCTGTAGGACGTTTATGTGTTGATGCTACTTAAGCAAGCAGAAGTATAGGACTGACTTCAAAGGACAGCTCTCCATCTCTATTGAAAATAAGATTAAAGAATCATGAGCATGGAGGGTAATGGATACCAACAGTGAAGATGAGATCTCCTATGGAGGGAAAGAGAATTAGAAGAAGAGACACACTGCTTAAAGAGAAGGTGAAGGAAATAGAGCTGGACAAGAAGACTAAGAAAGTGGGAAGGTAGGTCAAGAGAGAGAGGCAGGGAACCATGAGAAAGTGGTATTTCATGAGCCAGGAAAAAAGTAACAATAATACCTAACTCGTGGATTATTGTGAGAATTTGGAATGGGCAAATGCTTCTGAATAACCCTGTCAATATTAGTTTATTTTCTCGAGTTGTGAATTGTGGTTATACATAAATGGACTACTACACCAAATGAACAGCAGTCCATGAACACTGGCTGTTTCTCACCTAATTCTGAAGTGGTTGTGGGCTGTGAGATCAGGGAGTCCATTTTAGAGGTGGAAAACGAGATCCAGTTGAAGGAAGCAACTCGGGCCATTACTGACAGACACAGGCATGATTTTCAGGCAGCAGTAAACCGGGCTTGTTTAGTGATATGGGGAGGATCAATACAACACCCAACCAGTCCAGCATCTCCAGTCCTATGGTTGCTCCTGAGACCAGTAAGGTTTCATGTCCACAGAGAACTTTGCCAATTAGGTACTAAGAAAGCCTTCACGCCTCACCTAGGGAAGCAGGGATTAACTGGCAGGATCACCCAATGAAGCACAAACTCAATTCTGACAGGAAAAAAGGAATAGGTTTTGCCTGGGCCTATCTAAGAGCCAAGAGTTTGAGGAGCTGATCAGCGGGAGAACATATCTTGGATCAGCTAATGGGAGATAAGGAGCTTCCAACCACAAGCTGCATGGAAGCTCCTCTAAAATGCCCAGATTCCTAGACTGAGTCACTCGGTTTTAAGAATGCTCCTACCCCACATACTTTACTGTGCCCGGAATCTGTCCATTACATTGCTTGAAGTATCTCTAAGTAGAATTTGTTTGGGCTGAGTAACATTCTGTCTCTTGCTTGCCCTTTTCTTGATTTTAATTTAATGCATTTGCCTTGAATAAGTAACTCATGAATGCATTCCAAAATTCAAAATGGATAAATATATACAGTAAAATGGATACCTGAATAGATAATTCCTGAACAGTATTAAAACTTAAATGAATAATGATATATGGTAAAAAAAAAAGATCATCTTAAAGATGAAATTGAATCTTCTTTCATTGATCTCTTTGTTCCTTCATTTGTTGAACACCTTTGTGTAGCAGTCACTGCGCTAAGAGGAGGTATACAAAAACAAGACAAAGGCCTCCCCTGCAAGGATTCTTAGCAGAAAATTTAGCAAGTGGATGTAGCATGATAAGTAGGATAAAGGCTATCTGCCCTGTACCCCAAGCCAGAAGACTGATTGCCTGAAGGAAACGGGGGAGTCTTCATAGCAAAGGGAAGATCTGAACAACATTGAATTGGGCAGGAAAATAGCTATTGTACGTACCATATTGTGAAATTATTTCTAATTAAATTGCTCTCATCAAGCTGAAATCCATTACACTCAAGAAATGGGAGTTCTGATGTATGGAAAGACTGTAAAGGGAGAAGGAAGAGTGATATTGCCGGAAGATAACCTCCTGGTGGGATGCCCTGGGGGAGTTTTTGGAAGACGTGGACATCTGGAGGTGGGTTGGAGCAAGGCAAGAAAAAAAACAGGGAAGTGCAAACAAGGGGGTAGAAAGACGCTTAAGGCAAACTTTACCTGCTTTGAAATTGTCCCCAGTGTTAGTGATACAAAACTATAGTCACATAGAGACCTGAAAGAGGAAACACCCCCTCCATGAGGAAGGTAAACCCCAAGATGCTCCTGTTTCCAGAGAAAGCCTGAGGGGTGGCAAGAGGACTGCAGGTCAGCTTCTTCAGGATCAGGCTGCAGGGCTCCTGCCTGCTGCAAGATCTGCTCTCTCTGGGTTGGGGGCACTGCCTACTCCACCTCTCTGCTTCCTAGGTCTCTTGCCTGATCTTGCGTGAGAATATTATCTCTCTCCTGCATCCCTGCCTGAGCCCTAGCACCGCATTTGCTGAGCTGCTTCCATGGGTGTGCTTGTAGCACTGGGCTGAAGGTTAGATGTCAGACACAAACAGGTGTATGCTTGCAGGTTTGACCAGTCATGGTCATATAAGATTACAACATAAGGATGGAGACAGTACTTAAAATCTATTGGTCCTGAAGCGGTGGGAAATGTCAACATCCACTTTTAAAAGAATGGTTATTCTCATTAAAATGTGATTTTGTGATATATAAACATTTTCAATCAGAAAATGGCCTAATTTAAAATTTTCTGTATATCATGTAGTTTGAGAAAGGAACAATATTACGTGCTAGACACCTTCACATGCTTTCTGGGAGGAGGCACTTATGTATTGTCTCAGTTTTTACAGGTGGGAAGACAGACCCAAGCTATGCAGCTCTGAAGTGCAAGGGCTAGGATGTGAACCCGAATGTGTCTCACTTCAAAGCCATGAACTCTGTCTCCCCTGCACCTCATCATGGTTATAAGTTACAGGCATATCCATTGGTGGGGAAACCTGTTTTTTTTTTCTTGCTACTACTCACTAGAGACTTGTGGTTAACATTCATGAATATTGTGAGGGCAATTTCACAGAACAAATCAAATTGACATGTTAGAACTATTTAGAAGGGCATATAGTTTGGAAATACTCTAAGTCCCTCCCCCAAATCTTAGAAGAGTGTCCCCCAGCATTTTGCACATAGTATTCCAGCTCGTTTTTTTGAGTAAGCATTAATGTTATATTATAGTTATAGCTGCATTTTTTTCCCCTAAGCAACCCTTTCTCTTCTGAACCCTATGGCAGCCCGCGGTTGTGTAGATTGAGCTCAGGAATGTCTTAAAACATTAATTTGGTTTGACATGACTTGGTGCACAAATTAATTATTCAGGCACATATTGTTCCATGTACATGAAAAGAATGAAACTGTAGTGAATTGCATTTTAACTACCACATGTGAATTGTAATGTTATTAGCAAACAGACTATTAAAGAACAAAAGCTGGCAACATATAGTAATTCCGAATTGGGCCAGTCCCACAAAATTAGCATAAATATGTCAATCAATCAGAATAGTTTTGGACTTCCTAGGAAAGTGTCCCTATTCTTATCTAGCTCTAAAAGAATGTGAAATAAACTATTCATTTAACCAAGTATAAAAATATGCCTGCTATGCCGTTATAATCATGTGTCATTAATCAGAAAATACTGCAGAAACTCTGACAAATTAAAAACACAAGGATGTGTCTGCAAGGGTTTTTTTAGCCATTAAAAAGCTGCTTCACCTCTCTGGCAAGCTCTTTTATGGCAACTTCTTACTCAGTGTACTGACATCTTCAAAGGCTCTGACATCTGTCAGCCTTTGAACTACCATTAAAAAATATTATCCCATTTCCATTCTTTTATGCCCATTTTTTTAATTATAGCCCCTCTTTCAAGTTAGGAACATGGTTGGTTTAAATGATGCTGTCCTTTCGTTTTCAGCCACCCAGCTGCGGTTTGAATAAATTGATGTGGAACCAAAGGCGGGACTTTAAAGGGAAAAGGTTTGATGGACTTGGACTCCGAACCAGATGAGGTTTTATGATGAAAAGGGTTTAATCCCAGCACAGGCATTGCTTCTATCAGTTGAGCAGTACAAAGCAATTCATATATATAGGTTCACGTGAAATGATCTATTTTTTTTAACAGCACAGATCTCTTCAGGACTTGCAAATGTGGCATTAGCTAATATTCAGAGAGCTGATTTCCTTTCATCCACCAGAAGCTTATGATTATAGTACAGTTCTCGAATTGGAAATGAGAGCTGCAACACAGATTTAAAGCTGTGCTGTCTGATTTGTATTCAATATACCTGTCACTGCAGGACAGGCTAGTCTGGGCCAAGCTGGTTCAATACAAGGAAAAACAGTTTCATCATCTGAGAGTCTTAGTCAGAAATATCACCAGCTAATTAAAACAGCAGTCTCATGACTATTAGTGAGGTGTTTGGTTGATTGGTGTCTCTTCAAATTTGACAAGAAAGATTTGAAGATGCAGCTTCTCTTTTATTACATATTCTTCTTGCAGTGTAAATGTGTTGAAGTACATTGCAGGGTAATGAAGCATAGGCAGTTAATTCAAACCGTTTTTTTTTTAAAAAGGAAAACAACATAACTTTAAAACAATGACTTGTTTTGCATTAAAATAGTTCCCCTTACTCTGCTATTGATCTGGAAAAAAGTCATTTATGAAAGCAGATTTCAACATCGTCTTTGCCCTGTTGCTGTTGAATGATAAATATTATCTTCAGCCAAATAGTTAAGTAACTGAATGAGTAGTTTAGGGACATTACAAACCTAGAAGATAAACCCAAGTTCACTTTAAAGTAAAAAGTGATAATTTTTAATGTTCTAAATATAAATCAGTATAAATAATCTCAATCCATTAGAAAATTTTCTCAAGATAATCTGCACCTGCTTTTATATTAGAAATCTGCTATTTCTCAGAATATAAAAATCGTTCTTCCATTTACTTGGGAGGTTAGGTACCATTTAATTGTGCAGACTTAATAATTATACAACATTCTTTTCAAGCTCTTCAAATAGGATTTTTATTTGAAACTACAAACTAGGCCGGGCGCGATGGCTCACACCTGTAATCCCAGCACTTTGGGAGGCCGAGGAGGGTGGATCACCTGAGGTCAGGAGTTCAAGACCAGCCTGACCAACATGGAGAAACCCTGTCTCTACTAAAAATACAAAATTAGCCAGGGTGGTGGCACATGCCTGTAATCCCAGCTACTCAGGAGGCTGAGGCAGGAGAATTGCTTGAACCCAGGAGGCGGAGGTTGTGGTGAGCTGAGATGGCGCCCTTGCACTCCAGCCTGGACAACAAGAGCAAAACTCCGTCTCAAAAAAAAAAAAAAAGAAAAAAAAAAAAGAAACTACAAACTAATATCCAAACTATAGTTGGAATAAATTCCGAATATGTATAGTTTTAAATTTGCAAAACATTAACTGTTGGGAAAAGTCCTATAGATGACTGTCTATAGCCTACCTCATATTCTAGAATGTTTCATAGACTTGTCTTTCCCTCTTTAGAAGAAAACCTGAAATAAGACACTTTTGTATAGGATGTATCAGGAAATATATTTTACCTACTCCTTACATATTTTCTGTAGATATGTAAGAGTTTACTGAATTACATGGAAGAAGTTGGATTTCTCACAGTATAATTCTGTTCACTCTGTAATTCTGTTTTAGTTCCCTCTTTTTTATTACCCTGACTAGCTAGTCTTCATTGCTTTTCACCAGGTAGCTAGATATTCATCACTGCAAATAACGCTTTCATGCTGTCTTACCAAATTATCTGTATCTTCCCAGTTTTCCTCCTGCTTCTTCCACTTCTACTTCTCCACGTTAGTTTCTGTTTTCTCCACTAGCTCCTCTGTTTCACGTTGAACACTGGAGTCTACCCCCACTTTTTTTTCTGTATTCATGTTTCTGTTAAGTGATTACCTGCATTTCAGTGGCCTTAACAACTATATGCTAATAACCTTCAAGTTCCCGTCTCTCATCTGTGTTCTGTGCTCTTGACATCTTCTATTAGCTTGTTCACAAACACCTCAAACTTCATAGGTCCAGAACTGAAGCCTCTCCCTCCCAACCTCCCTATGTACCGTACATTCAGTGCTCAAGGCAGAACTTGGAAATAATTCTTGATTTTTTTCCTTTCTCTTAACCTGTCAGTAAATTCTATAGATTCAGTCCCCCAAATTGATCTCCAATCCATTCACTTTATTCACTGCCACCCACTCCTCTAGTCCAGGCCTCTATGTAATCTTATAACTGATAATCTTGCCTTATCTCTTATTTTTCTCAACAGACATGATGATCTTTTTCAAAATGTACATTGGGTTAGAAAACTCCCCTGCTTAAAATCCTTTCATAGCTTGCACTTAGAGTAAAATATAAACTTCTGGCTGGGCACGGTGGCTCACGCCTGTAATCCCAACACTTTGGGAGGCCAAGGAAGGCAGGCAGATCATGAGGTCAGAAGTTAGAGACCAGCCTGGGCAACATGGTGAAGCCCTGTCTCTACTAAAAAAAGTACAAAACATTAGCTGGGCATGGTGGCAGATGCCTGTAATCCCAGCTACTTGGGAGGCTGGGGCAGGAGAATCACTTGAACCCAGGAGGCGGAGGTTACAGTGAGCCAAGATTATGCCATTGCACTCCAGCCTGGGTGACAGAGCAAGACTCTGTCTTGGGGAAAAAATGTATGTGTGTGTATACACACACATATACATCATATATATACGAAGTATATAGATGAAGTGTGTGTGTGTATATATATATACACTTCATATATATATATATATATGTAAACTTCTTAGCATGAGCTGCAATACCTTGTATGATCTGACCTAATTGTTACCTTCCCAGCATCTTCTTTTGCTGTGTTCTATCAGAGCACCTTGTTTGTGAACTTCATAACACTTTTTTCCATTTAAATTGCAGATTTATTATTCTATTTGTTTGTTCCACCCAGAGACTGAAACAAAAGAGACCTTACTAATTTTCCTCACTTCTGTATACCCTATGCCTAAAAGGTTCCTAGTACAGACTGTGACCTCAGCAAACATATGCATGTGGCTGTATTAATGAAGGCAGATTCACTGATGAATTAGAGCCACAGAAAAGCCAAGGAAGGGCCCCTTGAGGAGTCAAACTAAGAGTTGAGTAGGGTCACAGGGAAGGAGGCTCACGGCTTGCTGTGCTCTCAGAGAAGCCACCAACTTGTTTTAGTGTTTTGGTTTTGTTTGTTTCCTCTTCAGTGGATGGTGGCTTTGCCAGTGTATTTATCATTCTCATCTCTTTGAGCTCTCACAAAATTTTTAACATACAGTGACAAAGACATATGTATAACATAAGCCTATACTTACTGTAATGTCATTATCCTGTGCATGTTTGTGTCTTCCAGAGGAGGGACTATATGTTGTCTGTTTTGAATCCCAATAACCTACTAGAGCACCTGGCCCAAGTGCCGATGCTTAATCAGTGAACGAGGGAACACAAATCAATACATTGAACTATGCTGCAGAGATTGCTTTAGATCTGGGCTTTGCTTGTTTCCATATCATATTTTTTAACCCTCAGATTTCTAAAATATGCAGAGATGGTCATTAAATCTCCAAATAATAATGATTTCCGAGAACCATTCTGGCAATATGATTAAAATGAAAGAATATTTGCCCAACATGTACTACGGGCCTTCTTAGTTTTAGGCACATTGCTAGCTGTTGAAGATGCCAAAATGAATAAGACCCACTTAATCCTAAGGGGCAAAAGGCAAAGAAGCATACATATAAAATTATGTGCTCAGTACAGTATTAGAGACGTAATCAGTTGAGATCAACCGTGAAGAAGGAGATGTAGGCCATTCTGGGAGCAGGCAGCAGGCAGAAGGGAGGTTCTGTTTTTCAGTAGTGCATGCCCTGTGGGCACTGCTCTTGTGGACTTTAGTTTCAGTCAAAACGAGTATAATTTTCCCCCTTTATTACTCCTTTAATGTTTTTCAGTAAGTACAAAATTATTTTACTTCCATATAATTTCTCCCTGTGGAGGCTACCATGTCCATGAAAAGCAGGAACACAGTCAAAAGTCCCATATTTCCTTCTTTGCTAAAAGCTACCACAATCAACCAAGGAGTGAATTGTGCTACTGATTCCGCAGTGAGGGAACAGTAGTATTCCTACACAGTTTTAATTTCTCCTCCAAAGTTTATGTTGAAATCCTCAAAATGCAGTTCAGAATAGAGAATGCTTTTAATTTTGTGGTCTCCTTGTAGTGATTCTTGAGATTGATGTGGTTTGACTTTTTAGGTACTTCTCTGGTACATAAACTAAATTCAGTATTTAGAGATATTTCTCTTATACCATTGGCATGTTGTCATTATGAGGATGAATGTGGTATTTGTGTCATGGGGCACTGCTGTACCACAGAGCCATCACTTGTTCTTTTTATCCATGTCCAGTGGGTATGATGTTATAATTGAGGATAGTTAATTGACAAAAGATTGTCTGAGATCATCTTCAGAAACCTCTTTAGCTCTTTCCAAGGCAATAAATTAACTTTTAAGGGATAAAATAATAAGATGGTTGTTTGAAGCTATGTCTGATGGCCAAGGGGAAAACATGCAACATGAATGTATGTGTATGTGCATACACACACACACACACACACCTGTTTTCTGCTTTGCCTCTGAAGTTAATGTGTAAAACTTGGCTGTGCCTGTTCTCATAAAAATGATGAAAAAGGAAAAATTCATCAGCTATAAAAAAAAAGTAGCATTCCTCCATGTTCCAGAGAGCGTTTGACTTTCCATTCCATTTTTGTGGGGGTTTGTTTGGGTGTTTGTTTATTTGTTTGAGACAGAGTCTCTCTCTGTCGCCCAGGCTGGAGTGCAGTGGCGCTATCTCGGCTCACTGCAAACTCCGCCTCCCAGGTTCAAGTGTGATTCTCCTGCCTCAGCCTCCCGAGTAGCTGGGACTACAAGCGCATGCCAGCATGCCTGGCTAATTTTTTGTATTTTAGTAGAGACAGGGTTTCACTGCGTCAGCCAGGATGGTCTGGATCTCCTGACCTTGTGATCTGCCCTCCTTGACCTCCCAAAGTGCTGGGATTACAGGTATGAGCCACCACACCTGGCCCATTTTTGTGTTTTTATCATAATTATAGGCTTTCTCATTTGAAATTGAGTTCATTTTGGAATTAATAAGTGTTGCTCCTTTATTAGGTAAAGACCCGAGGTTGAACAATCAAAAGATTTTATTGCTTGAATAAAAAACATTCAGACGTTTAACTGATGTTGAGCACTGGCCACATGTGTCCATACTCTGGTCAGAGGTGTGAGCTAGCCCCAGCCTCAGAGCACGTCTTCACACCTCACAATTACAAGGTGGTTCATTGCCTCTGTCAGTTATGTTCTAACTCTAAATCAAGGAACTTAGCAGACAAGGAACTCAGAAAGCAGACAATGCTACCTTCTTTAGAAGAGACCATGAGCCTAACTTAGAAAGGTCTTTGATAGTAAATAGTCATCACATTTTACAAGAAAGAAGTCATAGCTTGCACAGTCAGTTGAATTAATGGAAACTGCCTTCAGCACATTGTCTGCCTCCATAAGATAGCCCCCCCCATTTTTTAAATTTGATGTTTGTTGGTTTTTAACCTGTTTTTAATACATATGTTCTTGAAAATAGTATTTGCTCATAGTAACAGAAATCGTGATGATATCCATTATCATGACTTTATCTCATATTTTAAAGAAGTCCCTGTCTCCATAGTAAGATGAGAAAAAATAAGGTAAGATTGGAAATCAAGAAACAGAACTATTGTTATTATAGGTCATCTAAATAATAGTTTGACAGTTCCTAAATCTATTAACAATTAGGCAAAATAACTAGATATAAAATCAATTCTGTATACAAAATCAACTGTATTTTTATACATGAGTAACAATATACAACATATTTTTTAAAAAATACCGTTTACAATAGCACAAAACCACAAGGTTCCCAGAAATAAATCTAACAAAATATGTGGGCTTCTAAAGTTTCATTATTGATGTGACTTGGTACAGGTTCCTTTCCATGTCTGGAAAATTCCCCTGGATGATTTCTTTGATAATTTTTCTATCCTAGCTTTGTTGTTGTTTATTGTCTTTTCTGGGCTTCTGTCAGTTGTATATTGAACCTCCTGGATTTGCCTGCATGACTTTTTTTTTTTTTTTGCAAATTTTTTTTTTCATTTTGTCTTTTCACTCAATGTTTTTTTAGATTTGCTTTCCCTTATGTGCTGGAATCATATTTTTAAACTTGAAAAGATCTGTTTGTACTTTTCCTATTTCTTTTTCAGAGCATCTTGTTTTCATTTAATAAATATAATAAATTTTCCTCTTTCCAAGTTTATGAATTAGACTGCTTTTTAAGTTCTATTCTCTGAAATATCTCTTTCCTTCAGGGTTGGTTTTTCTGTTTATCTTTCATAGTTATTTGTCTTGGCTTTTCTTATCTGCTCGATGATTCTTGCTTTTGAGTCACATTTACGAAAGGGAAATGGTATTAGTTTCCTATTGCTATTGTAACAAATTACCACAAGCTTTGTACCTGGAAAGAACAGAAATTTGTTAATTTACAGGTCTGAAGGTGAGAAATCTGAAATTAGTCTTACAAAACTAAAATGAAGTTGTTGGAAGCCTTGGCTCCTTCTGGAGGTTCCAGGGGAAAAAAGTATGTTTCCTTGACTTTCCAGCCTCTACAGGCCCACAGCATTCCTGCTTGCAGCCCTATGTCATGTCACCTGTCCTCTTGGTGCTGTCATTGTCACAATGCCTTCTTTCTGACCCTGTCATTCCTGGCCTCGCTGTGATATGGACCCTCATGATTACGATTACCTTGGGCCTACAACATAATTCAGGGGAATTTCCCATCTCAAAATCATTGATTTAATCATATTTGCTGAGTCCCTTTTCACATATAAGGTAACATTTTGGGAAAGGGATGCATTATTCAGTTTACGCAGATGGGATAGTGATTTGTTGTGTAAATGGAGTTTCTTTTCTGTCCCTCCTCCCAATATATCTCTCCCTGAGTGGGAATTTAGAGTGAGTTCTGGTTTTGGGGGAATAGATGTGTTAGAATTCAGGCCCCTTAAGGGCTGGAATGAAGAGAGGCTTTATTCTGGGGTTGTAGAAGCCATACTAGAAGCTGTGGGTTTTCCCAGATTGTTCATTCCATTTTTTTTTTTTTTAGGGAAGAGCCTTCTGTTTTTCACCTGGACTGCCTACAATCTGTAGGTTGGGGTGGGTCCAACCCCTCTGTATGCAGGCTTTTGGGGGCTCGTCCTTATTTTCACTTCTCACTGTTTTCTCCATCTTTATAGTACCAGAGCCCAGAGCCTCTTGAGAATGTGTGATAGCTAAATGGGCTCCTAGATCTGCTGAAGCCTCCCCACTAGTTCCGGCTTTCACAGCATGTTCCATTCCTCAACACCTCGATATTGTCCTATTTTCTCTCCTCCAAAAGTGGTGGAAAGCTGTTCTTAACTGATGAGTGTCCCCCAAACACGCCTGTCCCATTTTTTGTCTTTATGGTTGGCTTTGTTTTGTACATATATCATTTTGTTTTACTCAAGGTCGCTTAGCAGTTCACTAAATTGGTTAAAGGTCACTAAAAGCAGACTTTTAAAAAATGTGTATATTTGCTTCATCATTTTTTCAGCTTCATTGGGGGTATAATTGACAAATAGCTTTATATGTTTAAGATGCATAATTTGATGTTTTAGCATACATATACATTGTGGAATAATCACCACAATCAAGCTAATTGACACATCCGACATCTCACAGTTTCCCTTCTTCCCTCCCTCCCTTCCTTCCTTCCTTCTTTTTTTGCAATGAGAACAGGTAAGATCTACCCTCATAACAAATTTCAAGTATACAAAACAGTATTGTTAATTATAGTCACATTGGTATATATTAGATCTCCAGAACTTATTCATCTTGTGTAATTGAAACAGTATCATTTGACCAACACTTCCCAATGCTCCCTGGAATGAGGAGTTGCCTATTCTGTTCTCTGTTTCTATCAGTTTTACTATTTTAGAGTCCACATATAAGTGGCATCATATAGTATTTGTCTGTCTGTGTCTGGCTTTTTTCACTTGGCGTAATATCCTCCAGGTTCATCCATTTTTGTCACAAATATGAAGAAATTTAAGGGTGAATAATATTCCATTGTGTATATGTGTACATCTCATATCACATCACATAATTTCATGCCTACTAATTTTTAAACTAATGGCCATAGAAATCGACTGGAATGAAGGATAACTAGATATATTCATAGAAATCAGCCTACCATTTTCCTTTGCAGTTTTACATAGTGTTTTTTTACATAGTGTTCTTACATAGGGTTTTTACATAGTGTTACATAGTGTTACAAAGAACCTTATTAAGAGCTTCAGTTTGCATGGTATTGTCTTAGTTTTGGGTTATTCTAGAAATAGAGTCCCTGAGACCATTTATGGCAAATTGTAGGAGTCTGAAGTGAGGGAATGAGGAGAGTGAGACAGAAAAGGGAGAACAACAAATAAAGGGTGCCTCCTTGAGCAAGCTACTACTTTAAGAGTAAGGGAGACTCCATTCCACTGAGGACCCCTGGGTAATCTTTTAGAATGTACACAGAGTTGTCCCACCAAAGAAAGGGAGTCTACAGCACTTAACCCTGGACTTCCAGCTCTTTGTGTTTGAGGGTGCTCCCAAAGGGCATCTGCCCCTGCATTTCCTGGCCACACTTGTTCTTCCTGCATGGCCCTGCACTTCCTGCCTCTTCCTGTACTTCCTGGTCACACCTGCACTTGGGCTTAGCAGGCTTCCCTGGGTTTGGAGAAAGCCCAAGGTGGGAAAACTGGATTAGATTTGAATTGCAGCTGGACTGCAATCAGACAGAGGGCTGGGCCGCAATCAGGCAGTAAACCCCTTACCAAGCCGACTCTAGCCACACACACGTGCAGAGCTTCTCATCTGCATTTTACTGCCTTGAATAGGAACAGATAATCGCAGATTATCTGAAGTTTAAGGCTGGCCTGAGAGGCATGAGAAAGACTAAACAAACAGATGATCACAGAGAAAAAACAAGAACCTCAGGATACAAAAAAGAAGATTTAAGGAAAGCAAAACTGAAATATCGAAAATGATATAATATTCATAAAAGAAGAACAGGCTGCTCTGAAAATGTAACAATCAAAATAAGAAGGGGCTCTTAGAAATTAAATTTTTTTAAAGGCCAGCCAAAATTGATATCAAGAATATTTTTCACAAAACAGAACAACAAGCAGAGACAAAAATAGAGTGTAAAAATATATTTCAAAAATCTAAGACATTGATGATTAATCCAAGATGTTCAAGAAACAGAAAATGTAGTGGAGGAATTAGCTACATAATAATGATAGTGAAGTCAATGAAGTTACAGGGCCGAAGGGTATAGGTCTATAGGTTGAAAAGGTTAATAAGTACCAGCATCACAAAAGAAAAGGTCCATGTCTCCACATATCATTGCTACATTTCAGAACAGAAGGAATAAAAGAGAGATCCCAAAAACTCCCAGAGGAAAATCAGGTCCTCTATGTAGGAACAAGATAGATTGGCATCAGATTTCAAATAATAAATGGTAAAAGAGAAAAATGCCTTTATTAGAACTATGAAAAGGAAAAATTACAAGTCAGACTTCTATACATAAGCCAATATTCAATATTGTATAGAAATCTCAGGTTGGATAAGACGTTACAAGCATGCAAGGATTTGGAAAGTTTATTTTCTGCATTTCTTTGGAGGTTGTATGGATGTTCTTAAATAAAATGGAGGAATAAATATGAAAGAGAAATACAGAAGATTCGTTGAACAGTGGATCTTGTCCAGGAGAAGAGAAGAGAAAAGTTGCACAGTATAGCTGTGCAGTGAGTCTGGAAAGAACATCCAGTCCAGATTGGAACAGAAGTGGAGTGTGAGGAAGAAGACTCTAGATACTATTCATGAGAATTCTCAACAATGTTAGGAGGCAGTAAAAGCAGAAAATGCAAGGGAGAAAGAAGAAAATTAGAAGCCTCAGGAGAAACAAAAAACTGCCAGAAACAAGGTGTAGTTATGTAACATATTATCTGGTTGTGTTTTGAATAATGATTAGACTCTACGTATTAAATTTCACATTTTGAAATCAGTTTATACATGAAACATAGAAAATATACTCATGGTTACAGACACAACATAAATGTTTCCAACTTTAACCAAAGTGCAGGTAACAGAAGTGAAAATTTAGATAATAGGGGTTGTGAGAATGAATAGGCCAAATGAAGTTTAGGCAGTACTAATATTCTCATTGCGTGAAGTGAGGAATTAAAAGATGCTACATAATTTCTGGAAAAATGAAAGTTTAGTTATTCTATTGAAAGTTATAGAAATAACCAATAAGAGAATTAAAAATTGTGACACAACTGTATTTTGAAGTGAAAAAGAGTAAATGGTGTAAGTAAACTAAATATTTTTTATAGCAGAAAATCAATGGATTGTGAATAAATTAATTTATGAAGTACGTAAAGGTATTAAGGTCACGATCATCAGAGTTGAAAACAGATAACTGAAAGAATAAAATGTGTCTGCCTCTGGGGAGTGACTTGCAGATGGGTAGTCATAAGTCATAATGTAATGGTTTTATTAAGGGCATTTCTATACTACTTGGTTTGATTATGTGTATTTTTAAATTAAAACAAACATTCAGTGGAAAAAGTTTGTAAAGAAAACTTTTGGCAATGCATTGGTCTAACTGTTCTTTTTCTATTTGTGTCAACTTTCCTGATATGTTCCAAAGAATTATATTCTGTGGTTTGGACAAATTTCTGACTAAATAATTCATCATCAATTTTTTTTCAGAGAAATTTGGAGATATTTAAAAGACATTTTAGGTCTCTATCTGATGTTTTGGAATACAGCTATCTTGCCTTCTGTAAAACATTTTTTGATACCATCATTTACTATGTTCTTATGAGAATGGTCAGTAAGATATATCTACTGTCAGTGGAACAAAGGTATATACATTTTAGGGTTAAGAAGACAAGGATAAGTATCATTTAGGTAATTACTGTCATGAACAGTTAAGGTAGCATAGGGAAACCATAGATACTTTAACAAAGATTGACACATTTTTGATTACGATGTAAAGAATAATTTACAGGCATAGTTTTGTCAATATAGAGAATACATTAGATAATCCTTGTAATATAGTTGTCTACAATGTGGGTAGTAAGTTGAAGATATCAAATCTAATAGAAGGATTAGGAAGCATGCTGTAAGAAATAGAAACTGCATGGAAAACCAAAATATTAGTGGCAATCAATCAAAGACAGATTGAGTCAAAATTTTCATAATAAATCTTGAACATCCTGTTGAAATGTAATTTTATGATGCAATAAAATTTTAAGAGAGAAGCAAAATTACAGGCTTTAATAAAATGACATTATTTCAGAGAGAAAATTTGCCAATACATGGGAAGTACCTTCATCTGGATGAAACCAACATGTGCTTTTTCCCACTAATGTTACTTTGGATTTCTTTTGTATTGACATGTTAGCTGAATCAGTGTTATTGGTCCAGCTGGCAATTGTTGATAAAGTAAAACAAAATTAATAATGGTCGTTAAAGATTTTGTTAAAAATTTAAGAAAGTGCCCTCGTCACTGGAATCTAAGCCTCTGTAAATAATTTCTATGATATCTAGAGCAATAAGCTTTTGTTAACTAAAAGACAGTGCTGTCTAAAAGTACAAAAAAGTGAAATCAGAAGGTATGGGTGTCAACTCTGATTCCTACTTGCAAGATTTGTGAACTAAAGCAGATACCTTAATCCCATCTTTTTGAGCACCCATTTTTATCATTTTCAATGGAAATGACAATACCTACATATTTATAAAGATTTCAAATAACTCTGTGAAGCTACCTGTAAAATTTTAAGCAAATAAAATATCTGTACACATATGCATACATATAATGGTTTTCTGAAATGTAGAATTGAAATGCAGAGTATTATTTAACTGATGTGGTTTGTATTAAGCAGAGCATTTTAATCAACAGCATCTACTTTATTATATACACTCAATTGTAATCACACAGGACTGGGAAAAATTCTTTCCTTATGACATGAAATTGGTATATGCTATATACCCATATTCAAGGCATCTTTTACTGGACAAAGAACAAAAACCAAACAAAAACACTTTATATAATTTTCTTCTAATAAAAGTAATATGTAGTTTCTGATTTCTTGGATCACATTCTTAGTTAAGTTCCTGCCTCCTTATTGGCTAGTTCTTTGCTTTGGAACTACATGGAATAAAGGTTAGGTCATAAATATAGTCTGTATCCATGGCAACATGCATTTCTCTTTCAACATTTTGCAGGTAGTTATTTTCCTGCTAGAACTTACTTAGGTGTGCTGGGGGATAAATGGATATTTATTTACTAGAATAAATCTAGTAATCTCAGTACTGCAGGGGGTGGCAAAGGGAGGAGAATAGAAGCTGGATAGCTAAGGTAAGCATTAATAGGGACCATTAAATTATTAGGAGAGTCAGATGATGGGTCAGAAACTCAAGTAAGTCAGCTTGAGGTTAATGAAGTCAGATCAAGAGGTCAAGGAATGAACTTCAAGAGTCCAGGTAGTTAAAGCAAGAGATAAAAGAACATAATTACCGAAAGTCAAGAATGTAATCACAAAACAATTTGAGAAACTGGTGGTAACCTCAGTTTAGTGACAAGTGTAAGGTAAGAAATCCAGATCAGAGATGGAGGGTAACAAAAAGGTTTAGTCAGGCAGGTGAGCCCGATGGGACCATGACCAGAGTTCCTAGCTGCCAGCCCATCTTGGAGGCAAGATTCATTTTGGCTTGAGTGTGGGTATGTCCTTCCTTCCCAGGGAATGATCCAATGAGTGGGAGGGAGAGTGCAAGCTGGTGCCTGAAGTTGCATGGGACAGAGAGGATGAAAGGAGTTTCTGGACCTTTTAGGTTAACAAAAAGGAAAACAATCTCGTAAATTATGTACCTCATCTACTATCAGGTGACCTTGTTCTGTACTCTCGGTAAGTACAACATGCAACTAGTAGGCTACCAGTCGTTTTAACAGGCATTGGAAACCCATTGAATATGGACTAGTAGAAGTTACATGGACAAAGCTTTTTAATTGCGGAATGTTTTTAGAAGAGCTGTGAGCTAAATTGGGTAGAAGATTTTGTTATCAAAAATGTCAAGTTCAAAATACATTTGATGTTTATTAGTTTTCAGTGAAAAAATTAATTCACAAAGCTATTTTAAAATGTTAAGCTAATGAAACCACATTTACTTTTTTAGTTGTTCATCTCTAAACTTGCTTACTGCATTTCTCTGTGGGTCTTGAAAATCTATTGGTGTCCATGGTTTTGATCTAGGTAGTTTTTGTTCCTTGGTTTATTTTAAACACTGTTATAATTAGGATCATTGTGTCTGTAGCTAAATGGTTGAATATCTAAGATGAATAAGTTTTCTTAAATTTCATAACTGTCTAGTTTTA
Organism: Homo sapiens; assembly: GCF_000001405.40. Taxonomy (NCBI): domain Eukaryota; kingdom Metazoa; phylum Chordata; class Mammalia; order Primates; family Hominidae; genus Homo; species Homo sapiens. The sequence continues at coordinate 65,872,489 of NC_000017.11, read as the reverse complement.
CCAGATGCAAGAATATAATGACAAGAATTTAACATTATATTTAGTAAGATGAATTCTTAAAACTGGTAGTCTAAATCCCTCTGTAAATTAACTTAAAACCTTTATTTTTATATTATTGTTCTCATGTATGTATGTAATAATCATGTATTATGATTCTAATGTCTATTGGCCAGTTTTTATTATAGAGCTATTTATACCTTTTGAATATACACTTGAATTTATTTAAGAATAGCCTTTTTATGTTAAATCTTATAAAAGCCTCAGCTAAAAGAAACCCAAAAATGTTAATATAATTAAAAGGTAATTTTAAATGTTGAAAAGGGATAAATAACTTAAAATTAACAATTATGTATTTTATATTTTTAACCAGAGGCAAATAATATTACCATGAATTTAGTTAGTGCATTTTTTCTAGTTATTTACTTTGGCTTTGCCCACACAATTTATTTTTATATCAGGTGAATTCATTTTATGAATAGAGAAAAAAAGCAGCAAATAAGAAGGTGATGTACAAAAGTACAAATTATTATAGTAAATTGATTGTTGCATAGTCCCATGGGGTTGCTTCGTTGATGTAAAAGTCATCCAAGATGCTTTGACAGGTGCAGGGATTAAGAGCAAGGTAACTCCACTCTCTACTGACACTATAAACATAATGCAAGGTCATCTGACACTGAAGATATCTTGGGGAGGCCCACCTGGTCAGTAAAGTTGTCCTTTGAGGTCAAGTTGTCTAGCGAGGATACTATGTTGCTGTCCTGGAGATATTCAACACCAATGCATTAATGGCATTAGAGTGATTTCCTCTCTCTGCATGTATTTATTTATTTAATTTAATTAATTAATTTATTTATTGAGACGGAGTCTCGCTCTGTCACCCAGGCTGGAGTGCAGTGGTGCGATCTTGGCTCACTGTAATCTCCGCCTCCCAGATTCATGCCATTCTCCTGCCTCAGCCTCCCGAGTAGCTGGGACTATAGGCGCCTGCCACCATGCCTGGCTAATTTTTTGTATTTTTAGTAGAGATGGGGTTTCACCATGTTAGCCAGGATGGTCTTGATCTCCTGACCTCGTGATCTGCCTGCCTTGACCTCCCAAAGTGCTGGGCGTGAGCCACAGCACAGTGCCCGGCCTGCATGTATTTAAAGTAGTAGTTGCACAGAGTGAACACAGTGCACCAAAACGTGCACATGATGGGAGGGAAATGCCGTTAGAAGTCATGATAAGAAGTCATCATCACCATGATGATTCTGACCGAGGCAGCCACTGGAATCCACTTCACAGGGGGCAGCACTCTCCTTTCTTTCATCTCATTGTTAAAAATTCAACTGTTTGTGTCCCAGTGTTGTAGAATTTCTTATATTTAAGCAACCAAAACTTTAGAATACTTTAGTAATGTCCTACCATTGTTAGCACAGTAATTAGTGTGTTCTGAATGACACTCATAAAATGTGGGTGGGTGGTTGCAACCTTAGTGTGTATCGTGTTTGGGTTGAGCAGCTAATACAGAACTGGCAAAAAACCTAGGTCAAAACTCTGCTTCCCTGGAAAGGGGAAGTACAGTAAGTGGAGAGGGTGTTGAAAACCTTCTCTCCAATTACTTGAATGACATTCTTTATAAAAGTAGTTTTCTAGTGAAGAAGAATTCAGCCTGAATTTTATTCTTCTTCGAAGGCCAAATAGGTTACCTGTCACTCCTGGAAACTCTGTCAAGAAAATAACTTTAGGTGTTTCTAGATGCTGCAAATAACATCTTCCTGACACGTAGTCCTTCTGTTTGTGAGCCCTGATGTTGCACCAGAGTGAGTTATGGATAATGCACCTGTATTGGCTTTTTAATACTGATTTTCTGCATTTTTCAGGATAAGGTTATTAAAAGTGCAATTTGAAGGTATTTTTGTTTCAGTGTCATTCAGTCAGTCTCAACTGGAATGTTTCTACTTTTATAATTCTATTTGAGTCTAGAAAAAATATATAGTACTTCTATTACCTTTAAAATCATTTAATTTATATAATAAATGCTTCTACATAGCTATTTTACGTGTAGTAGATATTTCATTTGCAATTTTCCAAAATAGATCAATGTGCTATGAAACTTCTTTTTCCTTTTTTAGTTTTAACTTAACCTAGGAGCAGATTGTTATGGAGTTTTTAACTCACTTTCTTTAAGATCTATTTTTAATTAGATGATGTGGCTAGTTCTTTTAAAATAAAACTAGAAATTTCAACATCAGTTATGAATCTTTACCGGTATCATTACTCACAAAAAAACAAATGTAGCCATAATGCTTTCCAGTTCATGTGAACTCATAACATGTTTTAATTCTCCTTTTGAAGTTTTCTCCCCTTTCAGATAAGCACATACACTGATTGCTTTTTTTTCTTTGTATTTTCTCTTTCTTTCTTTTCTTTCTTTCTTTCTTTCTTTCTTTCTTTCTTTCTTTCTTTCTTTCTTTCTTTCTTTCTTTCTTTCTTATTCTCTACCTAGAGTACTGTCCTCTTTTGCAGGCAAGATAATTTTTTTTTCTTGACATTAGACCTTTGTAGTGTGCTCCAAACCTGGGTATTAATTGTTCTAAAGTTTTTAACCAAATTAAAGTTTATCGGCCTGGCGTGGTGGCTCACGCCTGTAATCCCAGCACTTTGGGAGACCTAGGCGGGTGGATCACGAGGTCAGGAGATCGAGACCATCCTGGCTAACACGGTGAAACCCTGTCTCTACTAAAAATACAAAAAAATTTAGCCGAATGTGGTGGCGGGCGCCTGCCTGTAGTCCCAGCTACTTGGGAGGCTGAGGCAGGAGAATGGGGTGAACCCAGGAGGCGTAGCTTGCAGTGAGCAGAGATCACACCACTGCACTCCAGCCTGGGCAACAGAGTGAGACTCTGTCTGAAAAAAAAAAAAAAAAAAGAAAGTTTATCTTGCCTTTCCTATATGTTAAGTTCTGTCCTCTCCTTCATCTTGTAGTTTACTAGTGTCATTGTGAACAAAGGTGCCACACTTTAGTCTTGTGTATAGAATTCCTTCCACAGCTAACCTATTCTTTGGAGTTTGGGTGAATTTAAGCCTCTTCTTCATCTTTACAAGTTGCAGAGGAAATATTTTCACCGAACCACAAGATGGGCTAATGATTTCATTTCCAATTACTAGGTCTAATAATAATAGTAGAACAAGAGTTGAAAAACACACATGCACTTCCGATAATACCAAATATGCCTTATTGGCTCTCAGAACAATTTTTGAATCATTTTAAAGGTAATCTGCTGGCTGTATTTCTAAATAGCTCTTGGTCATTTAAGGGATCTTAAAAATATTTTCCACTTGATAAAGCACAGACAATATTAGTGAAGAAAGTTCTATTTGCAGGTTAGAATGCAGCAGGTTAAAAATAGAAAATGTGCTGACCTAGGCATCTGAAGGGCTGGTTTCTTGCCCGGACTTTTATGTGACTTTACCTGCATCCCTTAATGTGTCTCTTTTCTACTGTTACCAGCTACCTGTCTATGCAATAACTTATGAGAACACGTGTTCAAATTTGAGCCCTATAAAAATACTATAAGAAATGTAAACTTTAATTCAGAAACGTACAGCAAAATGTTGCCTCACCTGTAAAATAACTATATAACTTGTGACTTAATTTGAAATCAATCATTTCCAAAAAATGTTAAAACGCATATTGTATAATTGTATAGTAAAATATGCTTTTAATTTTCACTGTTTAGATGAATTTCAGTTTTTAAATGCTAATGAACATATATATAGTTGTATGCATTATATAAATTCAGTCTCCATGAAATAAATTGACAGGTTGAACCTATCCAAAATATTCTTTTTTACTGATACAACAGTATTTTCCTAATATATTCTGTTTTTTAATGTGTATGCTGTCCTTTGAAATCTGCATATTCAATTTCAAAACATCAATTCTATATATTTGATAAATCTCAAAATGCATATTTCTTTCAATGTATTTTTTTTTTTTTTAATTTTGAGACAGAGTCTCACTTTGTTGCCCAGGCTGGAGTACAGTGGCATGATCTCAGCTTGCTGCAACCTTTATCTCCTGGGCTCAAGCGTTTCTCCTGCCTCAGCCTCTCGAGTACCTGGAATTACAGGTGTCCAGCACCATGCCCAGTTAATTTTTGTATTTTTGGTAGAGATGGGGTTTCACCTTGTTGGCCAGGCTGGTCTTGAACTCCTGACCTCAATTGATCCGTCTTCTTCGCCCTCTGGGAAGTGCTGGGATTATAGGTGTGAGCCACTGCACCTGGTCATCAATGTATTTCTTTTATTAAAAAGTAAAATGAGATATTTTATTTTGGTGGAGGAAAAGTTTTAGACAAATAAAAATCTGAAGTTTTGCCTCATTCATAACTTTGACATAACGAACAAGAACCAAATATAACAGAAAGAATATCTCTTCTTTATATTTTAATTTAAAAAATTTATTAATACATATAATATAAACTCATAATAAATATATACTTCGATTTTATGTTATAAATAACAGAAATATGTATTCTCAAACCTAGTCATCAGGGTTTTTTTTCCCCTTCAACATTATTTGAAAAAATAGCCATGGGTGACTTCATTCCCCCTTTACTTCATAAGTTGGCCGCTGCAGACACTAAAAGTTATCTCTCAGTATTTCCAACTTGACAGCAGTCTCAGTGAAATTTTAGGGACATATAACTAAGAACAAATTTGGGGTGATTTATATAAAAACATTAAAATGGGAAATACATAGTAATAAATAAAGCTAAGTTATTAAATAATAAACTCCTTATTATTTAGAATCTAAAGAAAAAGAGGTAAGGAGAATTTAAATGTATAGGCTCCATTAAAGTAAATAGCTAAAAACAAGAATTTTTTTTTCAAAATTACTTAACAGGATATTCATCTGGCTTCTGTAGATTAACCCCAATCTCTTAAACTTTATACATTTATGTGACTTTACATTGATAATTGGTCTTTGTAATAATGACTTTGAATTACTGTATGGTCCTGGAGTATTTTCAAAATCTTCAAAGTAAGATTAGAGTATTGTTACAGGATCCTTGGGGTGTTGCTTCACCAGCCAGAAACCTCTGTGGCCAGTGGCGTCTTTGCCTGGGTTTTGCTCTGGTCCACTGGGTTTGTTTCACCCACTTGGCCTGGCAGGCTGTGTCAGCTTGCATTACCTGCCTGGATCCCACTCAAAGTGGTGAATAGTATGTGAGCGAGCATGGGGTCCAGCTGCTGTGCACAGGCCGGCATGCCAGCAGCGGTGGGGCGGGCAGCTCCAGGTGTGCTAGCTCCCTGCAAAGTTGCAGCTGGACTGGGCATACCATAAGCAGCTGCCATGGCTGACACAGGGGAATGTGGTGTGGCACCCAGAAGCTTGGAGACATCAGGAACCGCAGAGCTTTAAAGAGGATGTTACAGCCCTGGCTTGGGGAGCTCCTGAGTCTGGGCTCCCTGAAGGGCTGCAGCTCTTCTCCTTCTCTCGTCTCTCCTCTCTCCTTGTCATCTGCAATGTGGTGAGCAAGGGGCATGGGTTTGTTTTTTTGGCAGGTCCCAAGTTCTTGTCCTGTGTCCAGGAAGAATGAGGTATGCAGACAAGTGGAGGGTGAGCAAGATGAAGAGGAGCTTTATTGAGCAATAGAACAGCTCAGAGGAGACCCAGAGTGGGTAGCTCCTCTCCGTAGCCAGGGTGTCTAGACAGGTGTTCAGCTCTTAGCAGAGAGGGTAGCTCCTCTCTGCAGGCAGGTTGTCCCAATGAGTGTTCAGCTCTCAGCAGAGAGGGGACCCTGAGGTGGGTAGCTCCTCTTGTCAGCTGGTCATCCTTTGTCTCTTCTGATATGGCTGGGTCCGGGGCTTTTTATGGGCCTCAGAGGGGAGGAAGTGCCTGTGATTGGTCCATGGATGGCTATGGCAGGCCGAGAAAAAGCACCACAGGTTTCCACTGCCATCTGCGGGGACCAGCAGCCCAGCTCCCAGGCTTCAGTCCCTCCCTGGCTTGAAGGTAGGGCTTCACCAGGGACCCACCTCCTGCCAGAAGCCTGTCTGCCTCCTGCTGCCATTCATGTTGCCCAGGCTGTTTGTGCCAAGGGGCGCAGGCCAGTGCCAAGCTGCCCTCAGCCCCGCCTTGGCCTCCCTCCCATGCCCGTTGGTGCCCAAAGTCTGGAGGGGACTGAGGCAGCAGGGGGCTGCTGTGTCCGTGATACCTCGAGGGTGCGCACAACCGGCCAGGCTGCAACAGCACCTGGGCTCGGCCCCAACCTTGCTCCAGGATTGGAGTGGGTGCCGGGAGCAGGGAGAGGCCAGGCAGTGGGAGCAGACATCTCTGACCCTGTTGGGGAAATGGGGGGCCTTCCCAGGCCCCCGAGAGTGCTGAGATGCCTGGGTACGTGGCTGCGTCTGGGTGGCTGCAGTTGCACCCAGGACGGCAGGGCTCCTGCCTGCTTCTAGACCCCTAGAGCACAGGGAGGCCCAGGTCCACAGCCCCGACCTGAGTGACCACAGCTGCACCCAGGAGGGTGAGGCTCCTGCCTGCTCCCAGCTCCCACCGGCTGTGTAGAGCGCAGCACCGCCCTGGGCCCAGCTCCGCCTCAGGGCACCTCTCTGTCCACCCTTCTGTGCCCAACCGTGCTGCTCCGCCACTGTCAGGTGACGCGGCCGGACCCCATCAAAACAGCTCCCAGAGTGGCGGGCTCCAGGGGCCTCCCAGGAGTGGGTTCTGCACACTGCACACCTTCTCTCTGCATTTTCCCTGCAGCAGTGGCAGGTGAGGGGCAGGTGGCCTGGCAACCCCAGCCAACCCTGCCCAAGCAAACCTGATGCTCTTGGGACCGGCTTCAGGAGTCCCCAGCTGCACCTTCAGCCACGTGCTGGTGGGCTCCTGAGACCTATGGGGAGGGAGGTTGAGGCCGTGGCAGAGGCTCCAGGCCTGGAAGTGGGTCCTGCCCAGCTGTGCAAGGGTGTGGGTGGTGCACTAGGTTGCCTTGGGGATCTGGACGGCCCATTGCTGCCATCAGTATTATAGATATATATCTAGCAACTTGCCCTCCTCAATATAGTACGCTTAGTTCTCACTGTATGATACTTACCCTAAGCTAGTTATCTCACTTATATACGAGCCATGCACACCAACTGCAACAGTCCTTCTTGGCTGGGCGCAGTGGCTCACACCTGTAATCCCAGCACTTTGGGAGGCCAAGATGGGCAGATCACTTGAGCTCAGGAGTTCCAGACCATCCTGGGCAACATGGCAAGACCCTGTCTCTACAAATAATACAAAAATTAGACAGTCGTGGTGGCATGCACCTGTGATCTCAGCTACTGGGAAGGCTGAGGTGGGAGGATCGCTTGAGCCTGGGAAGGTGAGGCTGCAGTGAGCCGAGATCATGACACTGCACTCCAGCCTGGGCAACAGAGTGAGACCCTGTCTCAAAAAAAATCCACAAAACACACAAAAAAACAGTCTTTCCTGTATAAAGTAAAATGAAAGGACCAAGTGAATAAAAGGTACATAGATATGTACACACACACACACACACACACACACACACACACACACACACACACACACACACACTTGCTTACCCCTAAAAAGCCCACCCACTGCAGGAGTGGCTATAGTGGCTATAGTAGCACTCTGACCTTTTCTACATGATGTGACCAGTAGAGAAATTAGATGTTCATTTTACATCTTTACTCATCTGGGAGGTTTTTGGTCCTGCGGCATTTACGTCCTTGTAATAATAAAGATGCCGGTGGTGTTGTAGTGCTCTTTCCTTTAGCCAACAGCCATGAGCAGGCACGCCTCAGCCTTTCTAGTCTACGCTCACTCATAATTTACATAAGAAGCACAAGTACATTTGAATTCTGTGACATCGTGCTCTCAGAAGCCTGAATGAAGCAGTTCTGATAATGCCTGACCAAAGGTTAGTCACTTCCATACTGTATCACTAACTAATTGTGTTTGTGACCAGCTGAAGAATGTCGAGGAAGGTGGAAGAATGGCGTCAGGGCTCCAGTTATTAGGGTCCTTGCCCTTTCACTGTGGGAAGAAATTTCCAGTGATGAGGAAGTCAGGAGCTTGGACTGCTTCTCTTGAAATCTAATCCACATCTTGAAAATTCTGCTTCCTTGCTACATCGTGGGTATAAACAAGGCTACAGCTCTTCTGAAAGGGACACTTAGGCACATTAACATAGACAACCCAGCATCTTAAAATATGACTCGAAGAGGTAATGGATAGTTAGGTGGACACATGGAGTGGCAAACTGCCCGAGGATCAAAAATCTGAAAGATCTGAAACCTGTGTCAAATCCAGAGTTCCCAGGAGGCACTCACTTTTTTTTTTTTTTTGAGGAGTCTCACTCTGTCGCCCAGGCTGGAGTGTAGTGGCGCAATCTTGGCTCACTGCAACCTCTGCCTCCCGGGTTCAAGCGATTCTCCTGCCTCAGCCTCCCGAGTAGCTGGGACTACAGGTGCGTGCCCCCTGTCAAGCTAATTTTTGTATTTTTAGTAGAGACGGGGTTTCACCATGTTGGCCAGGTTGGTCTCGATCTCTTCACCTCATGATCTGCTTGCCTTGGCCTCCCAAAGTGCTGGGATTACAGGCGTGAGCCACTGTGCCTGGCCGTGGAGGCACTCATCTTTCTAGGAACACCTCTGCCTCAGACTGTGCTGAATTAAAACCTCCTAATAGTCTGTCTTCTACCATTTTGTTTCTTTTTTTTTTCTTTTTTTTTTTGAGACAGAGTCTTGCTCTGTCACCCAGGCTGGAATGCAGTGGCGCTCACTGCAAGCTCCACCTCCCAGATTCACGCCATTCTCCTGCCTCGGTCTCCCGAGTAGCTGGGACTACAGGCACCCGCCACTGCACCCGGCTAATTTTTTTTTTGTATTTTTAGTAGAGACGGGGTTTCACCGTGGTCTCGATCTCCTGACCTTGTGATCCTCCCACCTTGGCCTCCCAAAGTGCTGGGATTACAGGCGTGAGCCACCGCGCCCGGCCCATTTTGTTTATTTTTAATCATGCCTATGGCCTGAACCCGTCGTGCTCATGACACACCATTCTCCTGCTTCAAAACAGAGCTTATTAGTATTTAATTATTGTATTTAATTTGTTAGAAACAAATTAACCATCTGTCATTATTTCTAGTAGTAACTTTTATCTTTGGAAGGCAAAAGCCATGTTTTCTTTTAAGGTTAAATTCTTTTATGCTTAAGGTCTTATGGGAGTTGTTTATAAAATGAAAGAAAATTCTTTTGCATGTGACATTTACAAAATAATATTAGGAGACTAAAAGACCGTAAATTAAAATAATGTATTTTTTTGAATTTATAAGCTTAAATCCAAGTATGTGTATTGTGTCCAGAATAATGAAAATGGAGGAATAATTTTGATACATTTCATATGATTTAAAATCATAAATTTGGTGGCCTTAATATTAACAATACATAATTAAAATGCCTACTAGAACTACTAATATGTTATTCTGAAGAGAATATATTATTTTTTAATTAACTTTATTAAATACTAAACAAAAGTAAGGAATAATGAAGCCATGTAATATTCAAAAACATAATTAGAATTAAGTGTCTCCTATGAAATATTCACAAAAAAAGCAAAATTGTTGGGCTATGTGCATTTCCATAATAAATAGTAGCACTCTTACAATGTATTAAAAATAATTATTGTCCTAAAATTTAAGAAATTATCTTTTAGAAGCATTCTTCTTGTCAGCTGGGCTTAAAACGTCTGTGTCATCTTTTTAAAATTTTTATCTAGTGTCTGATACATACAAAGAATATGTCATAATTAATATTTAAATACTAATACATACAACAAAATGAACATCATGAACTGACCACTCAAGTTGAGAATTGGAACATATTATTATTATTATTTTTGAGGTGGAGTTTCACTGTGTCACCCAGGCTGGAGTCAGTGGCACGATCTCGGCTCACTGCAAGCTCCGCCTCCTGGGTTCACACCATTCTCCTGCCTCAGCCTCCTGAGTAGCTGGGACTACAGGTGCCCACCACCACGCCCGGCTAATTTTTTGTATTTTTAGTATAGATGGGGTTTCACCGTGTTAGCCAGGATGGTCTTGATCTCCTGACCTCGTGATCCACTCGCCTTGGCCTCCCAAAGTGCTAGGATTACAGGCGTGAGCCACTATGCCCGGCCAAGAATTGGAACACTATTAAAATTGCTGCCTGTACCTGTGTGCTCCTTCCTTTCCCATATTCCTAACCACCCTTCCCCAGAGTTAACCATTATTCATAATTGTGTGTTGATAGTTACCTAATAATGTTTTATGGCTTTATTGTACATATATATATTCTCTGAACAAAATATTATTTTTGTTTGTTTTTGAACTTTGTAAAAATGGTTGCATGTTGTAGGTAATCTGATTTGCATTTTTCATTCAGTATCTTATGTTTAAGATTCACCCATTGTGTTGTGCACAGCTCTGGTTAATTCATTTTGCTGTATATAATATTCCATTGTATCAAGATAAATCAATGACAACTATGACGGACAAGTTGAGTTATGGTACAAATACTGCTGTGTACATTATTGGGCATGTGCCTGGTGTTCACGTGTAAGAGATTCTCAACAGATATAGCTTATGAACGTGTCCAACTTTCCGAGGTAGTGCCAAGTTAACTTACAGTAGGGTTTTATCACGTTACACCCAAATCAATAATGTGTAAGAGTACCCATTGATACACATTCTTGCCAGCATTTGGTATTGTCAGACTTCTTGAGTTTTGCAAATATGGTGATTGTAAAATGATATCAAAATAGCCTTAATTTGCATTTGTGATGACTAATGAAGTTGGGCACCTTTTCATGTTTACCATTAAAATGTTGCCTTTTATGATGTGCCTAGTCATGTATTGTTTTTACTTATTTTCTGTTGGGTTATTTATCTTTTACTTGTTGATATACTTTAGGCATTCTGGATAATATTCTTTTGTAAGTTACATATGTTGCAGATGTTCCCTTCCAGTTTGTGATTTAGTTTTTCATTCTCTTTCTTGTGTCTTTTGATGAACAAATGTTCTTAACTGTATTGCAATCTAATTCATCAATCTTTTCAAGTTAGTGCCCTTTAAGTCATGCCTTTCCTTACTTTGAAGTCATAAAGCCATCTCCCATATTTTTAAAAGTTTGGTCTCACATTTGGTTTCTCATCCACTAAGAACTGATTTAAAAAGAAACAGTCTTATTGAGATATAATTGCCATTCCATACAATTCACCTATTTACACTGTACCATTCAGTGGTTTTCAGTATCTTCAGGGTTGCAAAACCATCTTCACCATTAACTGTGTCACCTCTCTCCAAAAACTCAGACCCATTAATGGTCACTCTTCATTTCCACTCAACACTCCCAGACCTAGACAATCCACTAATCTAATCTATCTCTATAGATGTGCTTGTTTCAGATATTTCATGTAAAATATTGGAATCACACAATATGTTGTGACTGGCTTCCTTCACTCAGCGTGTTTTCAAGGTTCATTCCTACTGTAGCATGTATTAGGTCTGCATTTCTCTTTATTGCTGAATAATATTCCACTGTGTGGATATACTGTATTTCATTTGCGTGTTCATCAATTGATGGACATTTTGGTGGTTTCTCCTTTGGGGCTGTTATGAAAATTGCTGCTATGAACATTCATGTTACAAGTTTTTGTGTTAACATAAGTTATATTTCTCTTGGATATAGACCTAAAAATGGAAATAACTTATTTTTGTCCATTGTGTAAGATAGGGGCTTGCTTTTATTTTTCCCAATATGAATAACTTCTTGTGTCAGCGTAATTTTTAGAATACATTGGCTTGTCACATCCCCACTAAACTGTAATGCCAGCTCTGTCCAGTGTGAGCCTGTTTCTAGGTTCTCAATTCTGTTTCATTGGTCAATTTTTTTCTGTTCTCTATGATAAGACTATACTGTGTTGATTATGATAACATTATGTTAGACCCAAATTTCTTGTAGGGAATATCACACCGCCTGTTCTTTTTGGGGATGTCATGGTACTATGTTTGTCCCTGTACATTTTAGATCCACCTTGTCGAAAGCTCTTCTTGAAGTTTTAATTGGACTTACACTCTAGATTAATCTGCAGAGAACTGATGAAGAGACTTTCATCACCCTGATATATCTCTTAGTTATTTAGATCTTCCTTTTATGTCTTTCAAAAAGCCTTATATTTTTTTCCTTAGGGTTTTGCACATCTTTTGATAGGCTTATTTCTAAGATTCTTTGTTTGTTGTCATAGCTGTAAATGTTTATAATTTTTTTGCTGATGTATAAAAACTGCAGTTGCTTTTTGAACATTGATCATTTATTCAGACATCACGCTAAGCTCTTATTTCTAATAATTTGTACATTCATTTTCATTTTTTATATATACCGTCATGGCATCTATGATTAAAGATAGGTTTTTGTTTTTTTTTTTTTTTTGAGATGGAGTCTCACACTGTCTCCTGGGCTGCAGTGCCGTGGCGCAATCTTGGCTCACTGCAACCTCTGCCTCCTGGGTTAAAGAGATTCTCCTGCCTCAGCCTTCCAAGTAGCTGGAGGCGCCCGCCACCACACCCAGCTAATTTTTTTTTTTTTTTTTTTGTATTTTTAGTAGAGACAGGGTTTCGCTATGTTGACCAGGCTAGTCTCAAACTCCTGTCCTTGTGATCTGCCCGCCTTGGCCTCCCAAAGTGCCGGGATTACAGGCATGAGCCACCGCACCTGGCCCAGTTTTTTTTTTTTATGTTCTTGTCATACACTTGTGAATACAAGTGATGATAGTAGACCTTCTTTTCTTCTTCCTAGTTTAAAAGGGATATTTTAAAACTTCACAATAAAGAATAAATGAAATTTGATGAGTCTTTTGTCAAATACCTTTTATCTGGTTAAAGTGATCTTTTCTATTTCTCTTTTGCTAAGAATTTTTGTTGTTTAATTTTATCAGATGTTTTTCTGTGTATTCAGATAATCATAATGTTTTTTCTTTTCTTTTCTTTTCTTTTTTTTTTTTTTTTGAGATGGAGTCTCACCCTGTCACCCAGGCTGGAGTGCAATGGCGCGATCTCAGCTCACTACAACCTCCGCCTCCTGGGTTCAAACGATTCTCTTGCCTCAGCCTCCCAAGTAGCTGAGATTACAGGCACCTGCCACCCCGCCCAGCTACTTTTTGTATTTTCAGTAGAGACGGGTTTTGCCATGTTGCCAGGCTGGTTTTGAACTCCTGACTTCGTGATCTGCCCGCCTCGGCCTCTCAAAGTGCTAAGACTACAGGCATAAGCCACCGCACCTGGCCAATGTTTTTTCTTTTAATGCATTGATGGAGTAAACTATATTATAGGTTATTTTCAGACGTTACATCAACCTTAGATTACATTCAGTTTTTTCCATAAGATAAAATTAAGGTAAAATTAAAAGCACTTTGAATTGATCTCTGGAATTAGACCTAAGAATTGATCTTCTGGAATTAGACCTAAGACACTTTTGACACTTTTTACATTGGTACTATTTTGGGTGGGGATGAGGTGGTTATTGATGACAGTCCGGGTGAGTGGAAGATAGTTTACTGTATCTACTTTTGTGGCTTATAAATTCTTATCAATGTCAACGTATTTCCTAATCAAAAATAAGTTCATAACATTTAAATTAAAATACTTAGAAATAATTGATAATGAAAATAGTACTTCTCAAATCTTGAAGGATGAAGCTAAAATGAGAGAAATGGGTACACTTAACCTGCCATTTATTTTTAAACGGTTAATTGTTAATGAAGTAGGCAACCAGCTTAAGAAGTTAGAAAAATGAAGCAATTTCTGGTAGGACTGATCAAAGAACAAAGTGCAAATAAACAATATTGGGAATAAAAATAAAGCTATGGTAATGTTATCAATAAAAGAGAGATATTAATAACATTAAATTTTAAAAAGGATATATTCCAGATCATCAGAGATTAAAAAAATAAGATATTAAAAAAGCATTATGCCAATAATTGGAGAACCCAGGTGAAATGGACAAATTTCCAGGAATACATAAAATGCCGCAAGACAAAACAGGAAACTAAATAATCTAATATAATTAAGCAAATTTTAAAAACAGTTAAAAATCTTTCAACAAAGAAAACACTGAGTTCATATAATTTTACAGGTGAGTTCTATAAAAATCTCCCATGGGACAGGTCACTGTAGTCTTTTACAAACTTTTCCAGAGAAGCGAGAAAGAGAAAAATACTCTCAAACCAATTTAAAAGATTGTAATATTGATAGAAAAGATGACTGGTACAAGAAGAGAAATAAAAATTCCAGGCCAACTCACTCATGAACACACACATACAAATCTGGAATTATTAGCAAATCAAGTCCAATAATGTATAAAAATAACGTATGTAATCACCAAGTTGTAGAGAATGCAAGGACATAGAAATTTATAAATGCCAACAAATGTCAAATTTAGGGGAAGAGGAAAAATTCCTAAACTATAAAAATTTACCAAAACTGACTCTGTAAAAGACCGGAAAATGTGAATCATCCTATAACCATCAGAAAAATTGAAATAGTAGTCAAAATGTTTTCCAGATATACAATATCAAGCCCAGATGGCCCTACTGGCCAGTTCCACTAAATATTTAAGAAACAAATAACTCATCTTATACTGATTCTTTCAGAGGATGAAAAAGGTAGCATCATTCAGCAACTGAATTTATGAGACTAGCATAACATCAATTTAAAAATATGCCAAGGAGAGTCCAAAAAAAAAAATCCCTCAGGTCAGTCTCTCAAAAATCATTAGCAAATTATTAGCAAACTGAATCCAGTAATATTATCTTATGGAAAAAATTGAATGTAACCTAAGGTTGATGTAACGTTTGAAAATAACCTATAATATAATTTACTCCATTAATGCATTGAAATAATAAACATTGACCAGGTGTGGTGGCTTACACCTGTAGTCCTAGCACTTTGGGAGGCTGAGGTGGGCGGATCACGAGGTCAGGAGTTCGGTTAGCAAGCCATCAGTATCAAGACAAGACTCTCCACCAGCAAAAAGATTAGGACTTAAGAATGGCTTAGATGATCATTAACCCTTCTTAGCAATAATGTATTTTAAATGAAGGAATGCACATTGTTTTTTAGACATAATGCTCACTGAATAAACTGCAAGCTTGTCCAACCCACCTTATTTTGTTGTTGTTGTTCTGTTTTGTTTTGCTTTAGGCTTTTAGCAGCCAGAAGCCATGGTTTTAAAGTTTCTGTCTTTAGTGATAAGCAGAAAAGAGGGATGAGGAAGGGGCTTTACTGGCCCAACCAGAAACAGAAACCAAGAACCCATGACTGTATTCTCTCCCTCAGACACTCCTGAATAGTCTATAACTTTTATATGCACTGGGAAACCAACCAATTTATGTGACTCACTTTATGGAGATATTTGCTTCATCGCAGTATTCACTTCATTGCAATATTTGCTTTATTGAGGTGGTCGGGAACCAAACACACAATATCTCTGTGATATGCCTGTACTGGAAGGGTGAAATACTAGGGAGCCACTAAATATGACAAATATGCTAATAAATGGGAATTAAATTAAAATTGGGTGTGTGAAAATATAGAACAGTATCTACACAGTGATGACAATGTGCATAACAATACTTTGATTTACATTGACAGAGATTGAAACTCGATTTGGGATGGTCTCACTGCTTTTGGAAAACTAACATTTTTGCTCATTTTTTAAAGATTTTCCTAGTGGGCACAATGTATAATATTTGGTTGGTAGTTACACTAAAAGCCCAGATTTTACCACTATGCAATATATCCAAGTAACAAAACTGTACTTATGCTCCCAAATCTATAAAAATGTATGTATTTTTTAATTTTCAAAAAAAGACATTATGGACTTATGGCTTTTGGATGTTAACTTTGTACTAACCATAGTGAAAATTAGGGGATAGAAACGCACAATAACAAATTAATAAAGTACAATAAATATGTACTCTTCCTTAAGAGAAATTCTTAATACTTTGAGATGATACAGTATGTGATAAAAAGCAGACTTTCAAATCAGCTTGAGCTTGGATAAAATCTTTCCAATTCTATTTTTCTCAGACTCTATTATTTAGATGTTGTCACTTCCTCTGTCCTCCACAAATATTAGCTTTTCTTTTACATTTTCTGTATTATTATCTTTCTCTGCTGCCTCCCAGGGAGTTCTTCAATCTTACCATCCTTCCAATGCGCAATTCTATTCTTTGGCTTTAGCTAACTTGCTCTTTTTCCTATCATTTTCACTTTTTCCTTCTTCTATGACATTAATTGCAGCTTCATGTCTGTAACTTCTTCCATTACACTTTTCAGTATATTAAGTATATATATATTACTATTTGTATGTTTATTATGGACTTTTTTTGGAGATAAGATCTCCTTCTGTCACACAGGCCGGAGTACAGGGTATGACCACGGTTCACTGCAGCCTCCTGGGCTCAATTGATCTTCTTTCCTCAGCCTCCTGAGTAGCTGGGACTACAGGCACACCCCACCACACCTGACTCATTTCTGTATTATCTGTAGAGAAGGAGCCTCACTATATTGCCAAGGCTGGTCTTGAACTCCTAGGCTCAAGTGATCCACCTGCCTTGGCCTCTCAAAGTGCTGTGATTACAGGCATAAGCCAACACACCCGGCCTATTACGCACTTAAAAAATTCTTGTTTCATCTGTTCCAATTATACTGCTTCAGATAATATATGTTATTTAGGTGTCTCTTTTTGGTAGTAGTTTTGCTCCTCAGGTTTATTTACTTTGGCCAGGGAGCCCATTTTCCCCTGGGACTATCAGATATCCTGACTGGGGAAGAGCAGAAGCCCACCTTTAGTCCCTGACCTGTTGGATGAGCTTATAGAAGGACAAGATTATGAACCCCAAGACAGAGCCCTTCATTGCCGTACCACTCCCTTTCACAGTTACTTCATCAGGAAAACCTGCTGGTCGGGAATTTACCTAAGCTCCTGGAAGTGAGTGTCTAATGACTGAGTCACTAGTCCTGGGAGTTTGGAGGGAAGCCTTTGGAAGGGGGAATACCCAGGAAGTTCAGAGAAGTCTGTGCCTGTTTTCTTCAACTCCTCACCCAAGGAGGGCTTTGCTTTCCTTGGTATTGACTGACTGATGTCAACACTATGTTGAGTTCTTGCTCCCAACATGGTAATGGAACAGATATGATTTTACCTGGCTACAAAAGAGAGAGACAAGAGCAGAAGGTAAAGCATTCCTGCAACCCACCTTCTTACAGCGGTTTTCTATTATTTTCTTCCCCAGGCTGTACCCCCTTAGGACTGTCTTTATTCCACCCAGGAGCTTCTCAAAATTTGCTTTTGTTATGTTTATTATTGTTATAGTTATTAGTATCTCAGATTCATGCTTCCTGTGCTTTCTCCAGGATTGATTTTGGGGAAGGGAGCCAGCAACCCATCCTTGTCTGCCATGTTGATATCCCTGAGCTTTTTTTTAAAAAAAGAATGTTCTGCCTCCCAAACACATAACTGTTGTCACTGCTAAAGTCTATCTGTTTTTAGAAGATGTATCCTCTATTTCAGAATCTGATTGCATTGACTATCTCTTCTCTTGGGTTCAAAAGAATCATTATAAAACAAAGAACAAAAGGTAAAAGACTGTTTTCACGGACAATTGATCCACAGCTGATTATTGATACACAGATATCAATCTATGAAATAGAGAAACAAATAGATGTTAAAACAGTGCATAGATTTCCTGAAGAAAAAATAACTAATTTTTCCACTACAGGTTTACAAGGATCAGCCTTTTATATAAAGTCCTCTCACATATTCCTTTGGGACTAGTTCAAGTAAGCTTTTCTTAGAAAGGCAGGATAAAAATGGGACATCCTATCACCTCCAGCCTCGAAGGCTCAGATTTATTACTATAAAGCATTTTCTTTCCTCTAACACAAATGTTACTGTTCTAGATGTCTTTTCCAGTCTAGTGTAGAGAGGCCACAGGGTTAATAGTTGAGCTAATGTATACTGAACACAATCCAAAATAAGATGCCTGGTGCAAAGTAAACACTCAAAATTATAGCAATTATTATTTATCATGTAGAAATCACAAAATTGTTAAAATTAAAAATTGGATGAATATAATATTTATATTGAAAATGAAATAATTCTTGTAGATATTTTGACCAAAGCAACTTCTCATCATTTAGCTTTGTATTCTTATTCCCAGCATCATAATGTGACATTTGGATTCCTGTCACTTTTTTATTTTTCTGGTTTCCAGTCAAGGAAATGTTGGTTTAGGCTGTGCTTGTTGAACATACATTAGGCATGAAATGAAACATTTATCATTGTGTTTTGGGAAATGTTGCATTGCTGGCTAATGTGTTAGTGGCAGTAAGTAAGTGACAGAAGATTTCAACTATGTAACAAGCTTGATATGATAGGCATGTATAGGATATAGCACTGAAAACTGTAGAAAATACAGCATAGACATTTCTTAGCAATCATACATGAAGCTTTTAAAAAATTGGCTACATAACTTGCCATCAAACATTCTCAAAATTTGCAAAGAATTAATGGGAGATAGACTACATTCTTTGGCCACAGTGCAATTAGAAGTGAATGACAAAACAATAACCACTGAAGTCCATTTCCTGAGTTTAATGGTGTCCCTCTCAAAATTTCCTGTCTACACAGAACCGGAAATAGAATTTTTTTTTTTTTTTTAGATGGAGTCTCGCTCTGTTGCCCAGGCGGGAGTGCAGTGGCGCAATTTCAGCTCACTGCAACCTCCACCTCCCAGGTTCAAGCAGTTCTCTGCCTCCGCCTTCCGAGCAGCTGGGATTACAGGTGCCCACCACCATGCCCAGCTAATTTTTGCATTTTCAGTAGAGACGGGGTTTCACCATCTTGGCCAGGCTGGTCTTGAACTCCTGACCTTGTGATCCACCCGCCTCGGCCTCCCAAAGTGCTGGGATTACAGACATGAGTCACTGCGCCTGGCCGGAAATAGAATTTTTGCAGATGTAATCAAGTTAAAATTAGGTGATGCTGGATTAAGGTGGGCCCTAAATCCAGTATGACCAGTGTCCTTATAAAATACAGCACCACAGAGACACAGACACCCAGAGAGAACAAATCCATCTGAAGACAAAGGCACTGATTGGAATGATGCATTTACACACCAAGGCACAGTGACTGTCAGGAAATACCAGAAGCTAGGAGACAGGCATGGAACAGCTTCTCCTTCAGAGTTTCCAGAAGGAACCAACTCTGCCAACACCTTGATTTTAAGACTTCTAGCCTCCAGAACTATGAGAGAATAAAATTCTGTTCTTTTAAGCCATCTAGTTTGTGCTACTTTGTTATGGCAACCCTGGGAAACTAATATGTCCCATATGCTTGGGAATTAAGAAACATACTTCTAAATGGTTCATAAGTCAAAGACAAAAATTATAATGGAAGTTAAAAAAGTATTTTGAACTAAACGATAATGAAAATACCACATATCTAAACCAAAGAGATGGAACTAAATCAGTATCCAGAGAGACATTTGTAGTCTTACATTTATAAATCAGAAAAGAAGAAATGATAAAAAATAAATGAGTTAAGTATCCAAAATAAGAAGTTAGAAGAAAGAATACAAAATAAACCTTAGGAAAGTAGGAAGAAGGACATAAAAATAAAAGCAGAAATCAATCAATAAAAAGTAAAAATCCAATAGGGAACACTGGATGAATTTCAGGAACATGATGATGTTGAATATTTGAAACAGCAAGTTTCAGAAAAATACATGTAATATTCCATTTACATAGAAATTAGAAACAAGTAAAACTAAACAATATGTTGTTTAAAGATCCAAAAGTATGGTAAAATGTTCCAGGTGGTATTTGCCTCTGAGCTAGGAAGGAATGACATGGGAATATGGAATGAAGGAAGTAGAGGAGGGAGGGAGGGAGGGAATGAGGGAGGGAAGGAAGGAAGGAAGGAAAGGGAGGGAGGGAGGGAAGGAAGGAAAGGGAGGGAAGGAAGGAAGGGAGGGAGGGAGGGAGAGGGAAGGGAGGGAGGGAAGGAAGGAAGGGAAGGGAGGAGGGGAGGGGAAGGGAAGGAGGGAGGGAGGGAAGGAAAGGGAAGGAAAGGGAAGGGAAGGGAAGGGAAGGGAGGAGGGGAAGGGAAGGAGGGAGGGAGGGAAGGAAAGGGAACGGAAGGAAGGAAGGAAGGGAGAGGGAAAGAGGGAGGGAAGGAAGGAAGGGAGAGGGAAAGAGGGAGGGAAGGAAGGAAAGAAGGAAGGATGGAGTGCAATCTAAGCTTTCTATTCCATATGTTCATATTTCATTTATTGGCCTTTTGCCCATTGGTTCTTCTTTTGTGACTTCCCTATTGATATCTTCTGCCCATTTTTCCATTTTTAAAAACAAGGTTATTGCCGACATGGAGGCCCAGGTTCACAAGTTGAGAGAAGAATTGATCAATGTGAACTCACAGCGGAAACAGCAGCTGGTAGAGCTTGGTCTTCTTCGTGAAGAGGAAAAGCAAAGGGCTACAAGGGAACATGAGATTGTCGTCAATAAACTGAAGGCTGAATCAGAAAAGATGAAAATAGAGCTGAAAAAGACTCATGCTGCTGAGACAGAGATGACACTGGAAAAGGTAAGATATTTAACTAGTTTTTTAATAGGCAGTTGAAATCCATGTTTAAAATCCATTGCCACCACCCTTATATTTAATCTCCAAAAGGTAGTAGACATGGCATTACTCTTTAAATGTATAAACTCTTCAGTCGAGGAATTTAAGTATCTTGCTCCTATGTCTAAGTACCAGTAAAATAATCTAGGGAATTTCCTAACTTTTCCCTTGGCTTTCATGGAAGGGATTATATGGAATATCCTATTCCATAGTAATTAAATACACGTTGTAATAAAGTGATATTATAATATTGTCCAATATTATTTTGATTAGAAATACTGGGGCTGTATCCCTAAATTTTCCTAAATGGGACTAAGTTTCAGATCTTCCCTCAGTTGTCTAATAAGCATTTCTAGATTTTACAGCTTTTTATAACAGTGTCACATAAATGATGACTTATTTTCCCAGGTTGATATTTCAGTCGAGATAAGAAAAGTCTTTTTAGAAGTATATATTATTGGAATAAATGTCAATATAATGTTTACACATTTTGATTGGACTTATATTAAAGGTGCAATCTCAAATATTCTTTCTTTTGACGTTCAGAAAAAGTATAACTATTTTAGTCAGGTACTAAATGTGAATTGCTGTTTCCAAAATTGCCTCTTGAGTTTCTTAAGACCAGTCTTTATCTTGGGAATGAGAAACTTGCAAAGGGTAACTTAAGAATCATCTAAATTTTGTTTAATTTCTTTCCACCTATCCCTCTTCATCTTCAAATAATGTTGAGCTTTTAAAGAGTATGCAATACCATACTAGCCATTACTACATTGATTTTACATAGACTGAGATCCTAAGGTACTTGCTTTATTGTACTTTAATTAATTTGAAAGTCAGATTTCAGCAGATTTGGCCCTTGATAGCATAGCTATGAACCCAGAAATAAATAGGAAAAAGGACTGTAAATAGGCAGGAGTGAGCCTGACTTCTTGGCAGAACAGCAGGGAAAGTGGTGTGTCTGGAAATGATGAGTGAGAAGAAGAGGGAAAGTGATGAGGCCAGAGAAGAAACCTCAGGGTGTGGGTCCAGGTCACGTAGGTCTGAGTAGGCCAGTGAGAGGGCTTTGCTTTGACTCTCTATGAGTAGAGGAAGTTGGCAGATTTTGAGCATAGGAGTGACATGATTTGACTCACACTTGAATAGGATGTCATCATCTGCTGTGCTGAGAATAGACTGAATTGATGGCAAAGGAGGAAGTAGAGAGAACAGTTAAAACGCTGTTGCAAAAATATAGAGGAAAGGTAATAGAGAGCTGGGTCTAGCCAATAGCAATGAAGGTAGTAAAACCTGATCAGATTTGGGATATGTTCTGAAGGTAGACCTGACAGCATTCACTGTTGGTTCGTGGAATATGCTGGGGGGTGGGAAGTAGGGTGGAACAGTCACGGGCAGCACCAAGGCTATTTTCCCAAGCCAGTGGACAGATGGAATTCCTCTTTGCCGAAAGGAAGAAGACTACAAGACCAATAGGTTGGGCCTCTCGGGACATGTTCAGGCTAAGTGGGATGTTAGTGATAATTCCCTCACAGCAGGATAAAATAATAATGTCTCGATGCTAAAATATACAGTTCAGGAATTAGGGAAATATTCTTTTTTTTTTTTTTTTTTTTTTTTGAGACAGAGTCTCACTCTGTCGCCCAGGCTGGAGTGCAGTGGCATGATCTCGGCTCACTGCAACTTCCGGCACCTGGGTTCAAGCAACTCTCCTGCCTCAGCCTCCTGAGTAGCTGGGATTATAGGCACCCGCCAGCACGTCTGGCTAATTTTTGTATTTTTAGTAGAGATGGGGTTTTACCATGTTGGCCAGGATGGTCTCAAACTCCTGACTTCGGACAATCCACCCAACTCGACCTCCCAAAGTACTGGGATTACAGGCGTAAGCCACCGCGCCAGGCCAGGAAATATTCTTATATGGTATAGTCTCAGACTTTGACAATAGCAGATAAAAGAGAGACTGATGGAAAGGGAAAGTGGTGTTGCCACTTATCTTTTCTGTTAACTCTTACACTCACTTCACCTTGGCTTCAGTCAACTCTTCTAGCAGTTCAAAGTATTTCTAAGTAAATGTTCTTAAATAGCACAGATACCTGTGCACCTTGATTTAAGAAAATTGGATATGCCAAAGTCAGACATATAACACATCCAATTTAGGCCGTAATTTTCCTGCATTATATATTCACATTCCAAATGCCTCTTTTTAATAGGAGATGAACTTCGTGAAATGTAGGTTTATACGTGATGCTAATTTACAGGGTAAAGATAATTTAAAAATTAGTATTAGAAACCTGAATTTTTATATTCCAGAAAGGCATTATCCCAGGCACTGTGGGTATATAAAAAACAGGGGAGGGGGCCACTGCCCTCAAATAGAAAAATAATAGTGACTGCAAGAAAAATACTGCAAGTACACTACACAGATAACTATAATGCAAGACAGTGTGAATTTGGGGAAAATCATTTTCTGCTGAGGAAATCGGGAAAATTAATTGGGAGAGATGTTACTTGAATGAGACATAAGTAACATAAGTAGGATTTTAATTAGTAGATATGTTGGATGGCATTCTAAGTCAAAAGAATAAGGAAAGCAAGAGCAAACAAAACCGTTTCCATGACATAGAGGTTGATCCAGGGGAGAGCTAGCAACCAAGCTAAGATAGCTTCAGGATCATCGAAAGTCTCCAAAGCTGTGATAAGCATTTTTGCTTCATTGGGTAAACAGTGAGGAGTTGCCAAAGGTTTTGGGGAAATGAAGTGTCAAGATTCCAGTGATTCTTAGGAACATCATCCTCTTGGTGTTGGCAAGATGTGGTAGCAGCAGCAGGAGGTAACAAGGACTGGATTAATCCAGGCAGGAGGTCCTTGAGGGCACAGCAGATGTGCGTGAGAAGGCAGTGAGAGTGTCGGCAGTAGCAAGGGGACAAAGAGGACATTTGAAAATCATCATAGAGATAGCACTGATTAGGTTGGTTAAATATAAATCGATCAGGAATGTAGAAGTTTCTGGTCGGAGGAGGAGGAAGCTGAACTGAGTTAAGAACATGTGGAGTTTGAAGTGACACTACACTTTCCCTTGCTGTTGAAAGAATGCTTCTGGATATCCCAAGAGCAGGCAGGATTGGAGACAAACAGCTGTGGGAATCACCCACAGAGAAGGCCTGGCCAGTGGCCTTGAGAGTGAGTGGGACTGTTAAAGCAAGGGGGAAAGAGGCAGGGAGGGAGGGAGAGAGAGGGCAACTGTGAAGGAAGAACTTAGGGGTACAGCTCCATTTGAGAGGCCAGGGAGGAAACAGTTGAAGAAGGGTCACGAAGGTAGAAGGAACATGAGAAGAATGCATTTTTATGGAAATAGAGGAAAAGACTATTTGGAAAGGGGGATTGTCAAGAATGTGACCCAAACTCAGGAAGGATGAGGGTTGAAGAAAGGTCACTGGATGTGAAACCACAAAGTCATTGATGATCTTGGACAGTGCGCTGAAAATGATTGTGTGCCCAGAAACAGGGTTTCAAAAGATAAGTCTGGAAGTGGAAGTGAGGGAACATCCTGTTGTTTGGGAAAATACGATGTTAAAAGAAAGATGTAGTTCCAAAGAGCAGCAGGAGTTAAAGAGAATATATTTTGGGGCTGAACATGGGTTGAGCATTTTGAAGTACACAAAGGGACTAATGGAGAGGAACAGCTTAATGACGTGAAGAATCAGAGATCATTGATGGCTTGTGATCTGTGAGGTGGTGCAGGTGGGAATGGCATCCCCAGCACAGACGCAGCACAGGCCTACCTCAGCCCTCGGCTACAAGGCTGCAAGGGTCCATTGGTCTTTTCCCAGAATGTGCCACACTCTCCCCTGCCTCCAGGTCTTTGCAGCTGCTGTCACCCTCTTCCAGAATGCTTCTCCACATGATTTTTTCAATGGCCAACCTCCTTGACATCATTCTACACTCCTCAGAGCATCCTTCCCCGACCTTTTCATCCAAAGTCTGGCCTACCTATGCCACCTTTTTTTGTCCCATTGTCTTCATAGCTCATAGCATTACCTGAAATCATCCTTTTATTTGTTCGCTTGTTTCCTCCCACCCACTAGAACATAAGCTCTGTTAGCAGGACCTTGTCTAGCTTGTTTACTTCTGTACCACCAGTGCCTAGAAAACCCAGCTCGGGGCAGGTGCCCTCCGGGTATGACATGAATGAGTGACAGGAGGCATGACCTTCACCAATGGAGGAAGGAAGTCAAGCATTGGTAAAGATATAGAGAAGCTCTCTGACAAGACTTGAAAAGACCTTGTAGCTAATAGCATCTGTATTCTTAGTAAAGAATCAGAGTAGTCTGCTTAGGTGAGGAGTTTCAAAAAAAGCGAAACAGGCTTCCAGCTGAACAGTGGAATGCCTTGGAAAGGAAGAAGATATAAGGGAATT
The DNA here is from genome assembly GCF_000001405.40 of Homo sapiens. Classification (NCBI taxonomy): domain Eukaryota; kingdom Metazoa; phylum Chordata; class Mammalia; order Primates; family Hominidae; genus Homo; species Homo sapiens. The sequence goes on along the minus strand of NC_000017.11, from coordinate 65,847,356 downwards.
TGTTCCTATAGAATTGGAGTTCTGCAGGTAGAGGAGGGAGCATGGGTATCCTGCATCTGGAAGAATGGAATGCTCCTGGATTGAAGTGAGAACACAAGGGATCCCAGAATTTAGAAGGGAGGTTTGAGGACAGTTCTTTTAGCTGACATGGGTAGAGGTACTGAGATGAACCAGAATGGAGGGACTTGTTGACAAAAAGGGAGAGTCTGGGGAAAGGGAAGACTCTCTTTTACATAGGCTGGTGTTGAGTGCGATGAGTTCGGTTTTTGTCCAGTTGGTGGAATTCACCAACCTCAGAGTCCATATGATGATATCTAAATGCTGTGCTCACATCGAGTAATTTGTATTTCCAATGATTGATATTTTTACATAAATAGTCAAAGGAGTTTAGCATTTTCAAATGCAGTAAAGACCTGGACTCCGAATTCCCTGAAAGCAGGAAATATTTGTTTCTAATGCCCCAGGAGCTTGCATGGTGCCTTACACACAGTAAGCACTCATTAAATATTAAGTGAGTGAATAAAAGAATGATAATCGAGGCGGGCGAATCACAAGGTCAGGAGATCGAGACCATCCTGGCTAACACGGTGAAACCCCGTCTCTACTAAAAAATACAAAAAATTAGCCAGGTGTGGTGGCGGGCGCCTGTAGTCCCAGCTACTCGGGAAGCTGAGGCAAGAGAATGGCGTGAACCCGGGAGGCGGAGCTTGTAGTGAGCCGAGATTGCGCCACTGTGCTTCAGCCTAGGCAACAGAGCGAGACTCCGTCTCAAAACAAAACAAAACAAAACAAAACAAAAAGAATGATAATCTACTGAGAAATTCAAGATAGCCTCTGTGCCTGGTCATGTGAATAAACTGTTATTGATTTATCCACATTTGATCTCAAATCATTATAAATACTTTGGGTAGGATATGATACATCTTTGTATTCAAATATTTATATGTTCTTTTAGTGTTTTGATTTCCTTCATATCACTTAATAAGTTAAAAACATAGCATTAATCTTTATTGAGACATACTTTGAATTTTTCTACACAAATTTTTTAAAATTTGAGTTTTTACTGTGAGTTTGAATAAAACTAACAAGCTGCTGATTCTTTTGTGAGTCTGTTATGTCATTCTGCCAGTTGCTTGAACTCTTCTCACAGTATCTTTTTAAGTTGGATGTTTTTATCGTATTTAAATAAATCTGAAATTTAAAATATTTGCCAGCAGTTTAAAACCCAGTCAAGAATTCAGAGGTTTAGAAGTTCATTTTCTATCATTGAGTATAAAGTTGAGGTTCAAAGAGGAAAGGACAATAATACCAGAATAATAAATAATCTCAGTGTGACATTCTATATGGGTCTGTGTTGTTTCAGTAGCACTTACGATGTTAAGGTTATAAAAGAATTCCTAAGTCCACATCCTACCTGAGTTTCTGTCAGCAGCAATTTAGACCCAAATGATATCTTCAATGATTTTGAGTTAAGAGAAACATGAAATACCTCCACAAGGTCAAAATGCTTCAAATAAAGAATCCAAGAGAGTAAATGATTGACATTTTGCAAAGTGAAAGCTTCTTTTGTGGCCTTTTAAAATCTTTTCAAACCTAATTGAAACAAAGTCCATAAAATATGAACTTTTGAAAAATTAAAGAACATTACTAAGTGATGATAGTGTGTAATTTTCAGAAGTTTGATTAAACTTTGGTATCTAAATTGGACAATGGTTTTAGAAACCTATTCAGCTATTTTAAAAATAACCTTCCTTGAAATAGAAGATATTTTAGAAAATAGGGAAAGTGGAGAAAGGTGTAAAATTCCCTGTTCCTACCACCACTCAGATATAATAGTAATAATTTAATGTATATGTAAAATAGCCATACTAACTTAGCTGCCCAAGATCAAACTAATTAATTTGATCTCTTGCTTTTTAAAGCATTATACTAAGAATATTCCAATGTCATTTGAAATTCTTTGAAAATATTGTTTTCATTGTTTCATGATATCCTGTTTTATGGGTATAACAAATTTTGTTTTGTTTTGTTTTTTTTGAGATGGAGTTTTGCTCTTGTTGCCCAGACTGGAGTGCAATGGTACAATCTCGACTCACCACAACCTCCACCTCCCAGATTCAAGTGATTCTCCTGCCTCAGCCTCCCAAGTATCTGGGATTACAGGCATTGTGCCACCATGCCTGGCTAATTTTATATTTTAGTACAGACGCAGTTTCTCCATGTTGGTCAGGCTGGTCTTGAACTCCTGACCTCAAGTGATCCACTCGCCTTGGCCTCCCAAAGTGCTGGGAGGACAGGCGTGAGCCACCTCATCCGGCCTTTGATATAACATAATTTTTTTTTTTGAGACAGAGTCTTGTTCTGTCGCCAGGCTGAAGTGCAGTGGCACAATCTCGGCTCACTGCAACCTCTGCCTCCCAGGTTCAAGCGATTCCCCTCCTCAGCCTCCCTAGTAGCTGGGACTAGAGATGGGCGCCACCATGCCCGGCTAATTTTTTGTATTTTAGTAGAGACGGGGTTTCATCATGTTGACCAGGATGGTCTTGATCTCCTGACCTCGTGATCCGCCCACCTCGACCTCCCAAAGTGCTGTGATTACAGGCGTGAGCCACCACGCCCAGCCAGATGTAATTAATTGTGTTATTTCTTTATTTTAGAACATTTAGGTTTTTTTTTTTTTGAGATAGAGTCTTCCTTTGTAGCCCAGGATGGAGCCTGATCTCGGCTCACTGCAACCTCTGGCTTGCGGGTTCAAGCGATTCTCCCGCCTCATACTCCTGAGTAGCTGGGACTACAGGCATGCGCCACCACATCCAGCTAATTTTTGTATCTTTAGTAGGGACAAGGTTTCACCATGTTGACCAGGCTGGTCTTGAACTCCTGACCTCAGGTGATCCGCCCACCTTGACTCCTAAAGTGCTGTGATTATAGGCATGAGCCACTGCACCCAGCCAAACTTTTAGATTTTATTTTAATTGTTTAATGTGGAGATTGGCATCATCATACATAAACTTTTGTTGACATTTTCAATTTCAATTTTTTTAGGTTAAAATCCTAGTAGAATTAACAGGTCAAATTGCATTTCAGAAAGTTTATACTAATGTATATTTACTTCAGTAGAGTATCTACTTAGTCTGTAGATTTATTAGTAGTTTTACCTAATTTGTAGTACATGTTTGTGAAAAACAGTTGTTTTAATTTGTATATTTAAGTGTGAGAGATTGAACATTTACAATGGATTTACCTGTTATTTATTTATATTTCATTTTCGGGAAATTGCCTGTTCATGTCTTTTTCCAGTTTTTCTTCCTTTAGGGTCCTAATGTTTTTCTCATCAGCTCATCTAATAAACTCCTTTTATATTTAGAATGATAAAACCCTTATCTTTGTGGCAAATATCTTTGGCATTTGCCTTTTATGATTTAATTTTATGATACACAAACATTTTATTTAAATTTCGTCTAATCTGTTCATCTTTTCCTTTGTAAATTCTCCACTATAAATAGTTGTTTTCAGCTTCATGTTTTGATATTTATAAATATACCAACACATCAAACGTTTTCTACAATGTGCTCTACTCAGTAAAAGGCTCTTAGCATTTTGACATAGCATTTACCAGCTTGGGTTCCTGGTCTGTAATTTTAAGTGGTGTCTGAAGGATTATACTGGAATTCTGCCAGCCTGAAATCATGAAAAGGCTTTGAGCAACAATTCAGCATCTTTTTCAAATTTAAGAAAAGCTCCATATGGCATAATTATTCAAAGTTAAGGTCATAGAAACTACTTAAACCTTTAAAATTTATAATTAAAGGATTAATATTAACTTATGAAGACATTGTCATTTTGGCTTAAGATGGATTTCCAACCTCACTTTTGTTCTTTTTACTTTTATCTTTTCCATGACTTTTTCCTTTGCTAAAAAACGTGAAGTTTTATATCCTTAAACTTTAAATTAAATGTTATCCTCAGGTTAGAATTATAAAATTGATTGGCCAACAATATCCCGTATATTTTTTATTATGTTCCACAAATATTGGTGAACCTAAAGTTGTCATTTTCCTCTGGATATATAAGCTATAGCCTGGTGTAATAGATAATGGCACCTGTAAATATAACAATAATTTAATTTACCAGGTAAAAACATACACAAATAACTTGGAAAACTTAGGATGTGTACATAATTTGAATGCGATGAATTGGTGTTCATTTATATGAAGGTTTATATTAATGTGCTTTTGAATGACCTAAATTGTAAAGCTTTCTTGACTATGACAGGGGTTATAATCTTGTCTTATACAAAAACTAACACTTTTTATAGGATAATTTTTTTATTTCAACTTTTTAGATTCGGGGGTACATGTGCAGGTTTGTTACATGGGTATAGTGTGTGATGCTGAGGTTTGGAGTACTATTGTAGGATAAGTATTTAAAGAAATAAAAAATTAAAAAGCCAAAAAAAACCTTAAAAAATAATTATTGGCATAATTAAAAAGAAAAACTAAGACTTTTGTTGTTACTTTGACAAAATACACAAATCAAACCAAATCAAATATTTTAAATGTATTTATGTATCTCCTATGTAACAAGAAGAAATTGATGTTCCTTAGACCCTTTTTTACATGAGCCCCAGCTCTCCTACTTTATCTGGTTTGTATGTGAGGCACTCGTATCACAGTGAGTCCACTAAACAAGTATTAGAATAATATCTGGAGCATCTGTTTATTAACAAAATAAGCAGGGGTACCTATCATCATTAATGCTTGAGTATTTACATGTTCAAAGGTCTATCATCCTTACCTGAGAGGGACTACAAAGCTCAATGTCAGTGTGGAGTCATGGATGTAGATGGAAATAGACTGCTCCCTTCTCAATGGCTTTCACAGTTTCCCGAATAATCTTTTCCTCTTTCTCCCTCTGCCTTCTGCTGCACATTAAAGAGCACTTTATTTTCTGGCAATCCAGGAGAGCAAGTCAATAGCTTAACTTCAAAGTCTAGTTGTCTGAAGCTAGAAAACTATGTTTTACTTGGAGAAAATTAAAAGAGAGTATATTTTATGTTAAGGTTATTTGAAAATAAAACCTAGAATTATAAATGAATTAGTTTAGTTTTAAAGTAGGCATTTAAAAATTACAAGATTAATCCTCCTTTGTCCTTCTGTAGCCTAATTTTTAGTATTCTAATAGAACCATTAAAAATTGGAGTTCTGTATTCCTCAGAGGTTATTGATTTTGTCTTTTTGGATGCCCTGTGATGAAAAAAATTCTATTTAGAATAAATGAAAATGCCTTAGATCAATACAGCAAAAGACAGTGACTCGACTTGGGAAGTTATTGAAAGTAGAAGACCTTATTTGCTATCATCAAAGTTTTATATTTAAATGGAGAGAAGTGGAAGTGAGTAAAATAAGCAGATATTTGTGCCCTAAGTCTCGTGTGTGTGTGTGTGTGTATGTGTGTACACACACACACAGTTTAGGTCTGGGGGGACTTTTTTGGTTTGTTTTTTGTTGTATGTGTGTTTGTTTATGATTAGTGCTGATAATTATGCAAACTTTTAAAAAATTTATGTTGATATGTAAGAATTGTACATATTTATCAGATGTATGTGAGATTTTTATACATTCTTGCAAAGTGTTGTGATCAAATCAGAAAAATTAGGATATCTAACACCTCAAACATTTATCTTTTCTTTCTGTTAAGGAGATTTCAAATCTTTTTTTCTAGCTATTTTGAAATATACAATAAATTATTAACTATAGTCACCCCACTGTGCTGTCAAATACTAGAACTTCTTCCTTACGTTTAACTGTATTTTTGTATTCATTAACCAACCTCTCTTTATGTCTTCTCCTCTTTACCCTTCCCAGCCTCTGGTAACTGTCATTCTACTCTCACCTGCATGAGATCCACTTTTTTAGCTCCCACATATGAATGAAAACATGCAATATTTGTCTTTCTGTGCCTGGCTTAATTCACTTAACATAATGACATCTAATTCTATCCATGTTGCTGAAAATGACAGAATTTCATTCTTTTTATAGCTGAGTCATACTCTGTTGTGTATATATCGCACATTTTCTTTCTCCACCCCTTTGCTGATGTACATTTATGTTGTTTCCATATCTTTGCTATGGTGAATAATGCTCCAATAAACATGGGAGTGCAGATCTCTCTTTGGTATACTAATTTCCTTTCTTTTGGATATATATTCAGCAGTGGAATTGCTGGGTTATATGCTAGATTATTTTTAGTTTTTTGAGGAACCTTTATACTGTTTTCTATAGTGACTATACTAATTTGCATTCTCACTAACAATGTATTAGTGTTCACCTTTCTCTGCATCCTCATAAGCATTTGTTTTTTGTCTTTTTGATAATAGCAGTTTTAAGTGGATGAGATATCCTCTCATTATTGCTTTGGTTTGCATTTCTCTGATGATTAGTGATATGGAGCATTTTTTTCACATGCCCTGTTGGCAATTTGTATGTGTTCTTTGGAAAAATGTCTGTTCAGATCATTTGCCAATTTTTAAATTGGATTATTTGTTTTTTTGCTGTTGAGTTCCTTATAAATTCTGGTTATTAATCTGTTGTCAGATGGATAGTTTGCCAATATGTTCTCTCATTTCTTTTTACTCTTGATTGTTTTCTTTGCTTGCAGAAAGTCAATACTAATGTATATTTACTTCAATATTTTTCAAGATTTTTATCTTGATATAATCCCATTTTTCTGCTTTTGCTTTGGTTGCTTGTGCTTTTGAAGTCTTACCAAAAAAAATCTTTGCCTAGACCAATATCTTCTTCAAGTAGTTTCATACTCTCAGGTCTTACATTTAAGTCTTCAATCCATGTTGATTCAATTTTTGTATATGGTGAGAGATAGGGTCCTGGTTTCATTCTTCTAAATATGGGTATCCAGTTTTGCCAGTACTGTTTATTGAAGGGACTGTCCTTTCTCCAAGGTATGTTCTTGGCACCTTTGTCAAAAATGAGTTAGCTGTAAAGGTGTGGTGGGTTCTCTATTCTGTTCCATTGGTCAGTGTGTATATTTCTCTGCCAGTACCATGCTGTTTTGGTTATGATAGCTTTGCAGTATATTTTGAAGCCTGATGGTGCAATTCCTCTAGCTTTATAACTTTTGCACAAGATCACTTTGGCTATTTGGGGTCTTCTGTGGTTCCATACAAATTTTAGAATTGTTTTTTATATTTCTCTGAAGAATCTCATTGGTGTTTTGATACAGATTGCAATCAACCCGTAGATTGTTATGGGTAGTGTGGGCATTTTATCATTGTTAATTCTTCCAATCCATGAGCATGGAGTATCTTTCCATTTTTGTGTTCTCTTTAATTTCTTTGATCAGTGTTTTAAGTTTTCAGTGTAGAAACTTTTACTACTTTTGGTTAAATTTATTCCTAGATTTTTTTTATCGCTGCTGTAAATAGGATTGCTTTCTTGATTTTTTTTCATGATTGTTCACTGTTGGTGTATAGAATTGCTACAGATTTTTGCATGTTGATTTTATGTCCTGCAACCTTACTGAATTTGTTTACTGGTTCTAACATTATTTTGGTGGAGTCTTTAGGTTTTTCTTAATATATGATCATGTTGTCTGTGAATAAGGATAATTTGACTTCTTCCTTTCTAATTTGGATGCCCCTTATTTTTTTCTCTTGCCTAATTGCTCTGACTAGGACTCCCAATACTATCTGTGTTGAATAGAAATGGTGAAAGTGAGCATCCTTGTTTAATTTCAGATTTTAGAGAAAAGGCTCTCAATTTTTCCCTTTTCACTATGATGTTAGCTCTGGGTTTGTCATATATGGCCTTTACTGTTTTGTGAAGTGTTTCTACTATACACGGTTTATTGAGAGGTTTTTTTTTTTTAATCATAAAGGGATGTTGAATTTTATTGAATGATTTTTCAGCATCTACTAAAGTGACCATATGGTTTTTGTTCTTGGTTTCGTTAATGTGATGTATCACATTTACTGATATATTTATGTTGAATCATCCTTGCATCCCCAGGATAAATCCCACTTGATCATGATGAATGATCTTTTTAATGTGTTGCTGAATTCAGTTTGCTAGTATGTTCCTGAGGATTTTTACATCTATGTTCATGAAGGATATTAACTTCTAGTTTTCTTTGTGTGTGTGTATGTGTGTGTCCTTGTCGGGTTTTAGTATCAGGTTAATGCTGGTCTTGTAGAGTAAGTTTGGAAGTATTCTCTCCTCTTCATTTTTTTGTTGACTTTGAGTAGAATTGATATTAGTTCTTCAAATGTTTGGTGGAATTCAGCAGTGAAGCCCTCAGGTTCTGGGTTTTTCTTTGATGAAAGATTTTATTACTGCTTCAATCTCATTATGTATTACTGGTCTGTTCTGGTTTTCTATTTCTTCATAGTTGAATTTTGGTATGTTGCATGTGCCCAGAAGTTTATCCATTTCTTCTGTTAATAGGCTTTCCATTTTGTTGGCGTGTAGATGTTTATAATAGACTCTACTGATACTTTGTATTTCTGTGGTATCAATTTTAGTGTCTCCCTTTTTATTTCTGGTTTTATTTATTTGGGTCTCTTCTCTTTTTTTTCTTATTTAGTCTAGCTAAAGGTTTGCCAGTTTTTGCTTATCTTTTTTAAAAACAACTTTTTGTTTTGCTGATTTTTCTTTTTTTGGTTTCAATTTCAGTTATTTTTGCTCCAATCTTTATAATTTCATTTATTCTACAAATCTGGGGTTTGGTTTGTTCTACCTTTTATATTTCCTAGAAGTGCAGTGTTAGATTGTTTATTTGATGGCTTTCTGCTTTTCTGATGTAGGCATTTATTGTTATAAAATTCCCTCTTTGAACTGATTTTCCTGTATCTCATAGGTTTTAATGTGTTGTATTTTTATTTTCATTTGTCTCAAGAAATTTTAACATTTCTCTTTGAATTTCTTCATTGATCCATTTCTTATTGAGGGGTCTGCTGTTTAATATCCATGGATTTGTACAGTTTCCAACATTCCTTCTGTTATTAATTGCTAGTTTTATTCCATTGTGATCAGAAAAGACGATATGATTTTGATTTTTAAAAATTTCTTAAGACTTGTTTTGTGACCTAATATGTAGTCTATACTGGAGACTCTTCCATGTGCTGTTGAGGAAATGTTCTGTAAATGTCTGCAGCAGTTGGGTGGAAAATTCTGTAAATGTCTTTTTTTTAATCCATTTTTTATTTGTGTTTTTTAATTGTATCATTGTATTTTTTTTTAATTTTTTTAGTATTTATTGATCATTCTTGGGTGTTTCTTGGAGAGGGGGATTTGGCAGGGTCATAGGACAATAGTGGAGGGAAGGTCAGCAGATAAACATGTGAACAAAGGTCTCTGGTTTTCCTAGGCAGAGGGCCCTGCCGCCTTCCGCAGTGTTTGTGTCCCTGGGTACTTGAGATTAGGGAGTGGTGATGACTCTTAACGAGTATGCTGCCTTCAAGCATCTATTTAACAAAGCACATCTTGCACCACCCTTAATCCATTTAACCCTTAGTGGACACAGCACATGTTTCAGAGAGCACGGGGTTGGGGGTAAGGTTATAGATTAACAGCATCCCAAGGCAGAATAATTTTTCTTAGTACAGAACAAAATGGAGTCTCCTATGTCTACTTCTTTCTACACAGACACAGTAACAATCTGATCTGTCTTTCTTTTCCCCACATTTCCCCCTTTTCTATTCGACAAAACTGCCATCGTCATCATGGCCCGTTCTCAATGAGCTGTTGGGTACACCTCCCAGACGGGGCGGCAGCCGGGCAGAGGGGCTCCTCACTTCTCGGACAGGGTGGCTGGTCAGAGACGCTCCTCACCTCCCAGACGGGGTGGCAGCGGGGCAGAGACACTCCTCAGTTCCCAGACGGGGTAGCGGCTGGGCAGAGGTGCTCTTCACATTTCAGATGGGGCGGCGGGGCAGAGGCGCTCCCCACATCTCAGACGATGGGTGGCCCAGCAGAGACGCTCCTCACTTCCTAGACGGGATGACGGCCAGGAAGAGGCGCTCCTCACTTTCCAGACTGGGCGGCCGGGCAGAGGGGCTCCTCACATCCCAGACGATGGGCGGCCAGGCAGAGACGCTCCTCACTTCCTAGACGGGGTGGCGGCCGGGCAGAGGCTGCAATCTTGGCACTTTGGGAGGCCAAGGCAGGCGGCTGGGATGTGGAGGTTGTAGCGAGCCGAGATCACGCCACTGCACTCCAGCCTGGGCAACATTGAGCACTGAGTGAGCGAGACTCCGTCTGCAATCCCGGCACCTTGGGAGGCCGAGGCTGGCAGATCACTCGCATTTAGGAGCTGGAGACCAGCCCGGCCAACACGGCGAAACCCCGTCTCCACCAAAAAAATACGAAAACCAGTCAGGCGTGGCGGCGCGCACCTGCAATCCCAGGCACTGGGCAGGCTGAGGCAGGAGAATCAGGCAGGGAGGTTGCAGTGAGCCGAGATGGCGGCAGTACAGTCCAGCCTCGGCTGGGCATCAGAGGGGGAGGGGGAGGGGGAAGGGGATGGGGAGAGGGAGAGGGAGAGCAAATGTCTTGTTAGGTCTATTTGGTCTAGAGGACAGTTTACCTTGAATATTTCTTTGCTGATTTTCTGTCTGGATTATGTGTCCATTCTGAAAGTGGAATGTTGAAATCTACTACTATTATTGCATTGCAGTCAGTCTCTCCCTTTTGGTCTGTTAATTTTTGTTTTTTTATATTTGGGTGCTATAGTGTTGGGTGCAGGTATATTTACAATTATTATATTATCTTTCTGTATTTATTTGTTATATAACATTCTTTGTCTCTCTTTTTACAGTTCTTAAAGTCAACATAAACTAATATAAGTGTAACTATTCCTGCTCTTTTATGGTTTCCATTTGCATGAGATATCCTTTTCTATCTCTTCACTTTCAGTCTGTGTGTGTCTTTATAGGTGAAGTGAGTTTCTTGAAGACAGCGTACAGTTGAATCTTGTTTTCTTTTAAATCCATTTAGCCATTCTGTGTCTTTTAATTGGAGAATTTAACCCATTTGCATTCAAAGTTATTATTGATAGGAAAGAGTTTACTGCTGCCATTTTCTTACTTGTGTTCTGATTGTTTTGTAAATCCTTCCTTCCTTTTTTACTGTCTTCCTTTGCGGTTAACTGATTTTCTTTGGTAGTATGTTTCGATTCTATGCTATTTTTAGTGTATCTATTGATTCTGTGCTATTTTTAGTGTATTTACTTTGCTTTGTGGCCACCACGAGGCTTACAAAAAACATCTTTTAGTTATAAGAGGTTATTTTAAACTGATAGTGACTTAACTTTGAACACAACCAAAAGAAAAATAAGAAAAAAACTGCACTTTAACAGCATCCCCTTCACCACATTTTTGACTCTTTGATGCTTCAATTTGAATCTTCTTATATTGCCTCTTAGCCAATTATTGTAGTTATTATTTTAAAATAGTTTGTCTTTTAGTCTGCATGCTGAACACATAGTGGTTTAAGTGCTTCCATTCCAGTATTAGACTATTCTGAATGTGTCTGTTTTCTTGTTTTTCCAAGTCAGTTTAATATCTTTAGATGTTTTCTTGTTACATGTTAGCATTCATTTCTTTCTTGCTGATTGAAAAACTCCCTTTAGCATTTTGTGTAAGACAGGTCTGGTGTTGATGAATAACCCCAGCTTTGATTTGTCTGGGAAAATCTTTATCTTTCCTTCATTTTTGAAGAATAGTGAAGTTGGGTATGTATTCTTAGTTGTCAGTCTCTCCTTTCCACCCCCAACCCCTAAACTTGGAATATAGCATCCTACTCTCTTCTGGCCTTCAGGGTTTTTGTTGAGAAATCCATTGAAAGCCGTATTGGGGCTCCAGTGAATATGATATGTGTCTTTTCTCTTGCTGCTTTGAGTATTCTTTTTTTGTCTTTCATTTTTGCTAATTTGATTAGTGTGTGCCTTGGGGATTTCCCCTTTGGGTTAAATTTGATTGATTACTTCTTCCTGTGCGTGGATGGTATAATTTTTCTTGGGATTTGAGAAATTTTCAGTCATTTTTTAAAAATATGCTTTGTGGGCCTTTTTCTGTCTTGGGAATTTCTGTTATGTGGAGATTCATTCACTTGCTGATGTCCTATTAAGTCTTTTTTTTTTTTTTTTTACTTTTATTTTGGGTTTGGGGGTACATGTGAAGGTTTGTTGCATAGGTAACATCATTTAGCTACTACTTACAAGTGAGAACCTGTGGTCTTTGGTTTTCTGTTCCTGTGTTAGTTTTCTAAGGATAATAGCCTCCATCTCCATCCATGTTCCCATAAAAGACATGATCTCATTCTTTTATGGCTGCATAGTATTCCATGGTATATATGTATCACATTGTCTTTATCCAGTTTGTCATTGGTGAACATTTAGCTGATTGATGTCTTTGCTATTGTGGATAGTGCTGCAGTGAATATTCATGTACATGTGTCTTTAGGGTAGAATGATTTATATTCCTTTGGGTATACACCTGGTAATGGGATTTGTGGGTTGAATGGTAGTTCTGTTTTCAACTCTTTGAGGAATGGCCATACTGCCTTCCACAATGGTTGAACTAATTTACACTCCCACAGACAGTGTATAAGTGTTCCATTTTCTCCACACCCTTGCCAGCATCTGTTATTTTTTGACTTTTTACTAATAGCCATTCTGACTGGTGTGAGATGGTATCTCATTGTTGTTTTAATTTATATTTCTCTAATGATCAGCAATATTGAGCTTTTTTTCATATGCTTGTTGCCACATGTGTGTCTTCTTTTAAGAAGTGTCTGTCCATGTCCTTTCCAACTTTTTAATGGGGTAGTTTTTCTCTTGTAAATTTATTTATGTTCCTTATAGATGCTGGATATTAGACCTTTGTTACATGCATAGTTTGCGAATATTTTTTCCCATTCTGTAGGTTGTGTGTTTACTCTGTTGATAGTTTCTTTTGCTGTGCAGAAGCTCTTAAGTTTCATTATAGCCCACTTGTCAACTTTTGTTTTTGTTGTGATTGCTTTTGGTGTCTTTGTCATGAAATCATTGCCTGTTCCTATGTCCAGGATGGTAATGCTTAGATTGTCTTCCAGGGTTTTTATAGTTATAGGTTTTACATTTAAGTCTTTAATTATTCTTGAGTTGATTTTTCTTTTTATTTTAAGGAAGGGATTCAGCTTCAGTCTTATGCATACGGCTAGCCAGTTATTCCAACACCATTCATTGAATAGGGAGTCTTTTCCCTGTTGCTTATTTTTGTCATCTTTGTCAAAGATCAGGTGGTTATAAATGTGTAGCCTTATTTCTGGGCTTTCTATACTGTTTCATTGGTCTATGTGTCTGTTTTTGTACCAGTACCAGGCTGTTTTGGTTAATATAGCCCTGTAGTATAGTTTGAAGTTGAGTAAGGTGATTCTTCCAGCTTTGTTCTCTTTACTTTGGATTGCTTGGGGTATTCAGGCTCTGTTTTGGTTTCATATGAATATTGAAATAGTTTTTTCTAATTGTGTGAAAAATATCATTGGCAGTTTGGTAGGTATAGCATTGAATTTATAAATTGCTTTGGCCATTTTAATGATATTGGTTCTTCCAATCCATGAGCATGGGATGTTTTTCCATTTGTTTGTGTCTTCTCTCATTTCTTCAAGCACTCTTTTGTAATTTTCATTGTAGAGACTTTTTACCTCCGTGGTTAGCTGTATTCCTAGGTATATTATGTATTTTATTCTTTTTGTGGCATTGTGAATGGATTGCTTTCTGATTGGGCTCTTGGCTTGGCTGTTGTTGGTGTACAGGAATACTAGTGATTTTAGTACATTGATTTTACATCCTAAAATTTTGCTGAAGTTTTTTATCAGCTGAAGGAGCTTTGGGGCCAAAACTGTGGGGTTTTCTAGATATAGAATCATGTCTGCAAACAGAGAAAGTTTGACTTCCTCTTTTCTTATTCGGATGTCCTTTATTTCTGTCTCTTGCCTGATTGCTCTGGCTAGGACTTCCAATACAGTGGTGAATAGGAGTGGTGAGAGGGAATTCTTGTCTTGTTTTGTTTTTCAAGGGAAATGCTTCTGGCTTTTACCCATTCAGCATAATATTGGTGGTGGGTTTGTTATAGATGGCTCTTATTATTTTGAGGTATGGTCCTTTAATGCCTGGTTTATCGAGAGTTTTTAACATGAAGGGGTGTTGAATTTTATTGAAAGCCTTTTTTTGCATCTACTGAGATAATCATGTGGTTTTTGTCTTTAGTTCTGTTTATGTGATGAATTGCATTCATTGATTTGTGTAGGTTGAACCAACCTTGCATTCTGGGGATGACGTCTACTTGATCGTGGTGGATTAGCTTTTTGATGTGCTGCTGGATTCAGTTTGCCAGTATTTTGTTGAGGATTTTTGCAACAATGTTCATCAAGTATATTGGCCTAAAGTTTTCTTTTTTTGTTGTTTTGTCTGTTCCAGGTTTTGGTGTCAGGATGGTGCTGGCCTCATAGAATGCGTTGGGGAGGAGTCCCTCCTCCTCAATTTTTTGAAATAGTTTCAGTAGGAATGGTAGCAGCTCTTCTGTGTACATCTGGTAGAATTTGGCTGTCAATCCATCAGGCCCTGGAGTTTTTTTGTTTGTTAGGCTATTTATTACTGATTCAGTTTTGGAGTTTGTTATTGGTCTGTTCATGAAATAAATTTCTTCCTTGTTCAGCCTTGGCAGGATGTATGTGTCCAGGAATTAATCCATCTCTTCTAGGTGTTCTAGTTTGTATGCATAGGGGTGTTCATAGGAGTTTCTGATGGTTATTTTTATTTCTGTGGGGTCAGTGGTAACATTCCCATAGTCATTTCTAATTGTGTTTATTTGGATCTTCTCTCTTTCTTCTTTATTAGTTTAGCTAGTGGCCTATCTGTCTTTTTAGTTTTTTTTTTTTTTCCAAAAAACAAACTCCTGGATTCACTGATCTTTTGAATGGCTTTTTGTGTCTCAGTTTCCTTCATTTCAGCTCTCGTTTTGGTTATTTCTTCTCTTCTGCTAGCTTTGAGGTTGATTTGTTCTTGCTTCTCTAAGTCTTTCAGTTGTGATGTTAGGTTGTTAATTTGAGATTTTTCCAACTTTTTGATGTGGATATTTAGTGCTCTGTATAATTTCCCCCTTAACACTGCCTTAGCTATGTCCCAGAGATTCTGGTATGTTGTATCTTTGTTTTCATTAGTTTTAAAGAACTTCCTGATTTCTGCCTTAATTTCATTATTTACCCAAAAGTCATTCAGGAGCATGTTGTTTAATTTCCATGTAATTACATGATTTTGAATGATATTCTTAGTCTTGCCTTCTATTTTTATTACACTGTGGTACAACAGTGTGTTTGGTATGATTTCGGTTCTTTTGCCTTTGCTGAAGATTGTTTTTTGTCCAATTATGTGGTCAATTTTAGAGTATGTTCTATGTGGCAATGAGATGAATGTATATTCTGTTGTTTTCCCTATAAATCTTGTAAGCTTTCTTCACTCATTTTCTTTTTCCTTTTTCCTTCTGTGAGTAATTTTATATGTTCTGTCTTTAGGCTCACTAATTCTTTCCTATGTTTTGTCAAGTCTGCTGTTGAAACTTTCAAAAGAGTTTTTCAGTTCTATTATTGTATTATCTTTTCTAAGATTTCTATTTGGTTTTTTATTTATTTCAATTTCCTTGTCAAATTTCTCACTTTGTTCCTGGATTGTTTTCCAAATTTCTTTTAGTTTTCTATCCATGTTTGCTTGTGATTTTCTGAAATTTGTTCTTTTTTTTTTTTTTTGAGAAGGAGTCTCACTCTGTCGCCCAGGCTGGAGTGCAGTGGCGCGATCTTGGCTCACTGCAAGCTCCGCCTCCTGGGTTCTGACCATTCTCCTGCCTCAGCCTCCTGAGTAGCTGGGACTACAGGTGCCCACCACCACGCCCAGCTAATTTTTTGTATTTTTAGTAGAGACGGGGTTTCACTGTGTTAGCCAGGATGGTCTTGATGTCCTGACCTCGTGATCCACCCGCCTCGGCCTCCCAAAGTGCTGGGATTACAGGCATGAGCCACTGCGCCTGGCCTGATTTTCTGAAATTCTTTGAAAGTATTATTCTGAATTCTCTGATATTTCACAGTTTGTCAGCTCTTCTGAGTCTATTGGTAGTTTCTTTCAGTGGTGTCATATTCCCCTGAGTTTTCACAATCCTTGCATCTTTATGTTGGTGGCTGCACATTTGAGGAGACATCCACTTTCTCTATTTTATGCACGTATTCTTTGGTGGTATCAGACCTTTACTACTTAGCATCAGAAGTTAAATGCTGGCCTGTTGTTACTTCCCATTCTGGGGAAGACTTATAGTGAGCATTAGAACTAAAACATTGCAGTGGAACAAACTCATTGCCCTGCCAATTTTTTCTGGTCTGGGGAAGATTTATAGTTGACTCCAGAACTTAAATGCTTCTCTGAAACAAAATCACTGCCTGCCACTGTTTTCTGGTCTGGGGAAGACTTATAGTGAGAATTGGAAGTTAAACATTACCTTTGAACTACCTTGCTGACCTGCCATTGTTTCCTAGTGTAAGGAAGACTTAAGCAGGCACCAGAACTTAATCTTAACCTTTTAGTTGTTTCTGGGTCAGGTCAAGGCTCCATAGAGCAGTTGGGGTTTGTGGAAAAATCTAGCCAGGAATTCGAGCCTTCCCACAGATTCTGCCCCACTGCTGCAATAGAGCAGCAAGCAGTCTCTTTAATATGGCTTCCTCACTGATTGAAGTACAGAGTAGCTGCCAAGATCCATGCACTAGTTCAAGTAATCAGTGCCGGCTGTTTGTCCCCAGTTCACCCCAGTTTGGTTCAGTATTCCTGGCATTCCCATTAGTTCCTGTGGGACAAGACCAGAATGGTCTTCCTGTGAAGATTCCCAGACTGTGGAGGAGATCTAATGTCTACAACCTCTTACCTTGGAAACTGAATCTAGAGAAATTTTGTGTGAGGGACATTATGATGGCTTGTGGGAGAGGGCAGCATAGTCCAACATGAATATTTCTCTTACCAGTCATGGCTTCTCTTGATTCTGGGGGCCCAGGGAGTTTCTCTGCTTTCCTCCAAGTTCTGGTGAACTCAGGATGGTATTCTTGTCTTTGGATAGTTTTTAGTTATATTTTTTGGCAGGAGTGATGCCAGACAATCTATTCCACCATCTTGCTGATGCCACTCCCAGTCTTTGCCTGTATAAATCTTTTGATCCTTTCAACTTCATGGCTAAGTTTGTAATAGCCTAATTGGACAGTGCATCTGTTTTTTATAACACTAAAGTTAATAAAATGAAAAAATATATTTTACTGGGATCTTTATCAGTGATGAAATGATTACAAATAAGAACAGAAATAATTACTTATGGTACTACTTTGATATCTTACCATTAATAGGGTGTCTATACATTTTAATTTGACCAAAACATTCTCACTTTTACCTGTTGTCCCAGTATCTTGTGTGACTTAGCATTTCCTGCTATCCCTTTCACTGTTAAATATGTCCCAGCTTTCATGCTAAGTTGAGTACTTTTTATGTAAACGATGTACCTTTTCTTTTTTTGTTTTCTGTACTTTAATTATTGAATATCATTGTAGTCACTATATATATTTTAAATGAGTGCTTTTTTGACAGTAATACCAAATTTAGCTTATAGATAGCTAGACTGTAATTATTTTAATATTCCAAGCAGCCTTTCTGATGTTTATTCCACACCACATCAACATTTCGAATAGCATTTTATGCACTTAGAACCAAACTTATTTTCTCTTTATTAAGAGACTCAGGGATGTTGGGATAAAGGGACAGAGCCTCTTATTTCACACTCCCGCCTCCTATGTTTAGACCTTCTTTGAGGGGAGGACAATAGAATGAGCTGATGGGCATAAAGCTGCATAGATACATTATGGGTCTAGTATAGTGGAAGGGTTCTGTGTTGAGAGTCAGGTCTGGTTCTAACTCATATTCATAATGGAAAAAAAAATTCTCTATGGGCCTGGTTTGCCTGATCCAGCTTTGTGCAGATTAAATAAATTAAAAATTGAAAGTGGTTGAGTAATTTAACTAAATTGAATACATTATGAGACATGGTAAAAAAATAAATAGAAAGTACATGACCACTAAAACTGCAGTTGGCTTAAATAAACCTCTTCATTCTCATAAGTAATAAAGAAAATGCTAATTAAGACATACTATTTTTTAATATATTGAAAAAGTAAATTAGTTTAAATATTACCAAGCGTAATTTTAAATTAATAATACCAAGATGCCTAGGGTGCAGTGCATAAACACTCTAAAATGCTATTGTTGAGAATATAAATTGGTACAACCTTCCTGAAAGCCTGTGGTTATCTATACTGTGAACCTTAAAAATATCCCTATCTTTTGACCTAGTAATCTATTCCTTAGTTAGCATAATATCAGTGTCAAAACTGAAAAAAAAAAACTCTCTAAAAACATATTAATCTCACTTTTGAATATTGTAAAAAACTAAATATTAAGCAGGAGAATCTAGTAGCATATTTAAAATATTGTACATCATAATCACATGGATTTTATTCCAGGAGTGCAAAGATGGTTTGATATTAGGAGCACTATTATTAATAATATAAATTACTATACTGATAAATCAAAAAAGAAAAATTATTTGTGATTCTTTATATACTAGTTAGAGTAAGCCTAAGTTGCTGTAAGAGGGAACCCCATAATGCAGTGGAGAAATGAAATAAGAAAGTTTATTTCTGTTTTGCGTAAGAATCCAGATGTATTAGGATGGCCCAGGGCTAGGATCAAATGGTTCTCTTTCATGAGGTCACTTAGGAACCTAGGCTGACTAGTGAGATTCCTCAGTCATCCTCAACATACTGTCTCCATCTCTGCTTTAAAGGCTGCTCTTCTGATGGACACCATTTCTTAACCAGCAGGAAGAGAGGAAAAAGATGAGGAAGACAAATATTTCCTTTTAGGGAATTGCCATGGAAGTTGTGCATATCATTCTGACATTTTACTGGAGAAAACAGTCCCAGGGGCACACCTGGGGAAGCAGGGACCTATTTGCATGCACTGTGCTAAAAGTTGCAGGGAGACTATTTTGAAAAGAAATGAAGAACAGGTACTGGGGAACAGTTAACAGACTAATGGCACACACCCATTGCTTTCAGCATTTTGTGCTTAATTTTTGTACAATGGCCCTAGGCACTTAGGATATAGCAGTGAGCAAAATGGCATATATTCCTGTCCCCTCAGAGCTCATTCTAGTAGGAGAGATACATTGTTAGCCATGAACATGCTGCATAAGTAACTTATATAGAATTTTTTTAAGTGTCAAAGTGCTATTGAAAAGGAAATGATAGAGAAGATTCAGGGAGACTCTCGAGTACCAGGGCTGGTACCATTTATATAGTGTGGCCAAAGCTGGCTTCATCAAGAAGGTAACATTCAAACAAATTTGAAGGAGTCGAGTGAGGCATGTTGATATTCGGAGGAAGAAATTGCTGATAGAAGGAAGAGCTAGTGCAGAGACCCTAATGCAAGAGCATGGCTGGCATTGCTAGAGGACTTAAGGAAGCCAGTGTGACGAGAACATAGTGGACATGGGGGAGTTGGAAAAGACATTAGAGGCATTCCAAGGCCTGGTCATGTAGGGCCTTTGAGGCTGTTCCAATGACTTTGACTTTAACTCTGAGTAATGAGAGAGTAAGAGGGTATTATGCCATGAAGGGACATGATCTGACTTAGGCTTTAAAAGATCATTCTAGCTGCATGAGAACAAAGGTGGGAAACCAATGAGAAGGCAACTTTGGTAATCCAGATGAGAGGAAATGATGGTGGCTTAGACCAGAGTGGTAGCTGGGGAGGTGATCATATTCTGGATATATTTTTAAAATATACTTTAAGTAAGAGTAAATATGATTTTCTGATGGATTTGATAGGGGTCATGAGAGCCAGAAAGTAAGCCATAGATAAGCTTCGTGTGTTAGTCAGGGTTCTCTAGAGGGACAGAACTAATAGGATAGATGTATATATGAAGGGGAGTTTATTAAGGAGTATTGACTCACAAGGTGAAGTCCCACAATGGGCCTGTGGCAAGCTGAGGAGCAGGGAAGCCAGTCCAAGTCCTAAAACCTCAAAAGTAGGGAAGCCAACAGTGCAGCCTTCAGTCTGTGGCTGAAGACCTGAGAGCCCCTGGCAAGCCAGTGGTTTAAGTCCAAGACTCTAAAAGCTGAAGAACTTGGAGTCTGATGTTCAAGGGCAGGAAGCATCCAGCATGGCAGAAAGATGAAGGCCAGAAGACTCAGCAGGTCTGCTCTTTCCACCTTCTTCTGCCTGCTTTATTCTGTCCATGCAGGCAGCTGATTAGATGGTGCCCACCCAGATTGAGGGTTGGTCTGCCTCTCCCAGTCCACTGACTCAAATGTTAATCTCCTTTGCCAACACCCTCACAGACACACCCAGGGACAATACTTTGCATCCTTCATTCCAGTCAAGTTGACACTCAGTATTAATCATCATAGTTACACACAGGAAAACATGGAAAAAATATGCTAGTTCATTTCTCTGTGAGATGGGATATGTGAATTTTGAATTGTATTTTTCTGTATTTCGAAATGTTCTCTATTATGCACTTTGTAAGCTGAACAGTGATGCACAGAAGTCAACCTTTCGTCATACTGTTGCCTTGTCCCTAAGTCCTAGGGCATCTTTAGCCTGCTTCCTATTTTCTGCCCCTGGGAGACCAGAATCACAAAGAAGGTGTGCTGGCCCTTTAGCCCTGGCATCACATTAGCTGACATCAGGAACTGAGCCAGGCAGTGTGGTTGTGATGTCACTATCTCACCTCACCCCCACCTAAGAGATTGTGGTGGGGAATCTCAGACACTCTAACCCTCTGGGCCCAAGTCACCTTTCTATCAGGGGAGGGAGGCTGTGCTCTCACTGGCTTCTTGTTAGAAGTTCTGCCTGCCCTACAGCCTGCACTGAGGGCTCTCATCACTGCTTCTGAGATCTTAATGGGGGTCAACGAAGATGTGGGCTTCTCTGAGTTTAGACCATCCATCTGCCAAGGAAAACCAAGCCCTGAGACTGATAGAGATGAGAGAAGAGAATGGTAATGTCCCCAAGACAGAGCAGGCAGGAAGTTTGAAGCCTCTGAGGGATACAGGAAAATCTAACCTCAAAGAGAAGAAGGTAAGAACAAGACAACCTCTGTCCTCCTGACATAGGGATCTTGCTGAAAAAATAAATCTCATTGCTGAGCTGAGTTAGGCATTGGTAATTCATCTCAAGGAGATGAATTTTGATAGGGCAGGGATGATGGAACAAACTGCAATCACATTGAACAGAAATAAGGGCCATCATCTAGATATGCTGGACTGCATGCCCTGGGAAATGCAGGGAGGTGTCTGACATCTGGGGGCAACAGGCAGAATCTGGCAGAACTTTCTGGAAGAGGTAGATTGTGAGCTAATGGCATTTTCTCCCTTGCTCAAAAGCTTACAAAGTGCTGTAGCCCAAGAAAAAGTGAAGTTGCCACAGCTTCCTAGTTGTCTGGCCAAAGATTTGCATAATTTCATTTCCCCTCTGTACCTTTCATTGTTTTTCTTTCTTATGTATTTATTTTAATTAATTAATTTTAAGTTATGATAACTATTTTTTTACTGTACAGTTCAGTGGTGTTAAGTACATTTAAATTGTTGTGCAACCATCACCACGATCCGTCTCGAGAATTTTTTTTTATTTTGTAAAACTAAACCTGTGCCCACTGAACAGTAACTCCCATTTTCTCTCCCTCTAGCCCCTGGCAAGCATCATTTACTTCCTGTATGTATTTGATGCTCTAGGGCAGGGGTCCCCAGCCCCTGGGCTGCAGACCCGTACCTGTCTGTGGCCTGTTAGGAACCAGGCTGCACAGCAGGAGGTGAGTGGCAGGTGAGCTACTTCCTGATGATCTGAGGTGGAACTGTTTCATCCCAAAACCATCCTTCTACCCTCATCCTGTGGAAATGTTGTCTTCCATGAAACCTGCACCAAAAAGGCTGAGGACCATTGCTCTAGGGTACCTGATATGAATGGAATTATATAGTAGTAGTTCTTTTATGACTGACTTATTTCACTTACCATAATGTCTTCAAGTTCATCCACATTGTAGCATGTGTCAGAATTTCCTGTTTTGTTCAAAATGAATAATATTCCATTGCATGTGTATACCACATTTTGTTCATCCATTCATCTGCCAATGGACAGACAGTTGGATTGCTTCCACCTTTTGTCACATTATGAATAATGTTTTTGTGAACATGGATGTGTAAATATCTGTTCTAGTTTCTGCTTTCAGTTCTTTGGGGTATATACTCAGAAGTAGGAATTGGTCGATATAATTCTGTTTTTAATTTTTCAGGGAACTGCCATATATTTTCCATAGCATCTGCATCATTTTACATTCCCATCGGCAGTGCACAAGGGTTCCAGTTTCTCCACATGATTGCCAACACTGTTTATAATAACCATTGTAATGGGTGTGAATTGATGTCTTCTACCTTTCTTAACTGTCTCTCCCACCACAGATAACAGTCTGTGCTGTACCCACTCCCAGACAACTCTGTTTTCCATAAATAGGCTGTAAACAATCTCCGTTTGTGGCTTCACACACATTTTCCCCTCTGCCTGGAAGACTTGGTAACTCATCTTTCTTCCTCAAAGATGTCCCTGCCTTCCTCCTTTCCACACCAACTCAGAAGCAGTCAAGCTCTTTCTTGTATTCCTCTAACTCTTCATTTATTCCTCTTTTTAAAACAACTATAACTTATATAGGTTATGTGCAGTTCTGCAAGTTTTGACAAACCATCACCACATCAAGATGAAGAACAGTTCCATCACCTCAAACATTTCTCCAGACCTTTGTCATCAGCTCCACTTCTTTTCTCATGTCCCAGCTCCTAGTAATCACTCATGTATTTTCTGTGACCATAGGTTCTCCTTTTCTGGAATGTCATGTAAATATTCAGTAGTTAGCTTTTTGAGTCTGGCTTCTTTCCCTTTGCATAATGCATTAGAGATTCACTCATGTTGTTGTGTGTCACTGTAATCTGTTCCTTTTTATTGCTTAGTAGTATTCCATTGTATGGGAGTACAAAACTTATCCATTCTCCAGCTGGGAAATATCTGGGTTGGTAAGCATTCACATAAAGATTTTGTGTGAATATGCACTTTAATTTAACTTGAGTAAATAGAAAGAAATGAGATTGTTGAGCTTTATGTTAAGTATATTTTTAAATTTTATTAGAAACTGCCAAACTGTCTCCCAAAGTAGCTACATAATTTTGCACTCCCACCAGCAGTGTATGAGAGTTCCAGTTAGGTTGCACCCTTCATATTGTGGAGTTAATAATGTTATTTTAGTCATCCAAATACACATTTCTCACCATTCATGCATTTCCCTAATGACTAATAATGTTGAGCACCTTTTCCTGTGTATATTTTGTCATCTGAATATCTTTTTTGGTGAAGTATCTATTGAAATCTTTTTCTGATTTTTTACTGCTATTTTCTAATTATTAAATTTTGAGAGTTATTTATGTATTCTGGACTCAAGTTGTTTATAAGATATGTGATTTGCAAACACTTTCTCCCAAATCAAAGAGCAGAGATTCTTAATTTTTATGAATTCTGACTTACCAGTTTACTCTTTTATAGATGATGTTTTTGGTGTTGTGTATAAAAAATCTTTGCCTGACTTAAGGTCACAAAGCTTTTCTCCTGTTTTCTTCTAGAATTTTACAGTTTCAGGTTTTACTTTTTGGTCTGTGGTCCATTTTGAGTAGATTTTTGTGGATGGTGCAATATATGGATTAAGATTCAATTGTTTCTGTATTGTTTGTTGAAAAGACTATCCTTTCTCCATTGAATTGCCTTTGCAGCTTTGTTGAAAATCATTTGACCACATATATGTGGCCTACTAGTGGACTTTCTGTTTTTCTTCTATTAATCTATATGTCTATCCTTTTACAATGCCACACTATCTTGATTACTGTAGCTTTTATAGTCAGTCTTAGAGATAGGTAGTATAAGTTGTCCAACACTGATCTTTTTCAAGATCATTTTGCCTATGATGGTTTCTTTGTTTTTCTTAGAATCAGCATAATGAATTCTACACAAAATCCTACCGAGATATTTTTAAATTTGTGTTTAATCTACATTAAGGTTGAAATCTTAATGAAATTGAGTTTTCTGATCCATGACCATGGAAGATCTTACCATTTATTTAGGTTTTCTTTAATTTCTTTCATCAGCATTTATAGTTTTCAGCATCTAGAGGTTGCACATATTTTGTTAGATGATATTGAATCATGATTTTATCTTCAATTCCCAATTGTTCTTTGCTAATATATAAATATAATAGATGTTTTAATGTTGATATTATACAGTGTGACCTTTCTAAACTCATTTATTAATTCTAGTCACTATTTTTGGTAGATTCCTTGGAATTTTTCTACATATATAATTAGCTGAATACCTGTTTCTTAATAGTTTTCCCTATGAAGGATTAATTTTAATTATGCCACATATGTCAACATATTTTATTTTTCACAGTGGTATATGTTATTAATAAACTGGTGAATTTTGGAAAATGACTCCTCAAAACAAATCTAACCTATGAAGAATCAAATGTACCAGGGAAAATACATGAGCATTTGTAATTTTTCAGTTTATAATCTGTCTTCTGTGTCTGTAGGTTCTGTACTCATGGGTTCAACCAACCGTGGATCAAAAATGTTTTTAAAAATATAAAAATAACAATATAACAATAAAAAGTAATACAAATGTAAAAACAATACAGTATAACAACCACTTACATAGCATTTACATTGTGTTAGGTATTTCAAATACTCTAGAGATGTTTTACAGTATACGAGAGAATGTTGATAGTTATATGCAAATACTCTGCCATTTTGTTTAAAGGTGCTGAGTATCTTTGGATTTTGGTATCACCGGAGTCCTGGAACCAATCCCCTGTGGGTACCTAAGGAAGACTGTACTTTGTTGTGTCCTACGCCATACATCTGATTTTTTTTTTATAACAACAATATAAACCAACATGGATAGGAAAAGTGATCTATGTTTTTAAATACCTATTTTTAAGATACAAATTATTCTTCATCCTACTGTAGTAGGATGTAGTATACTACATTACTCCCTGTAGTAATCATTCTTTTAAAAATAAAATGATATAGAAATATTTTAAAATAATATTATATATGCATGTATGCTAAATATTCCATTGAATTGGGAATTTTGACTACTTAAATATTTTAAAAATTTTGCAAATCATTTCTTTTTCAATATCAGACCAAAATATATTTTTCCCCACACATATTTTTTAAATTGGTTTTAAAAAAGCTTTTTAGAGCATTGTTTGTGATACCTTCTTAGTGAATTAGTGACATTTTAAACGTTTTTTTAAAGAAACAATATTAGGCCAGGCACGGTGGCTCATGCCTGTAATCCCAGCACTTTGGGAGGCTGAAGTGGGTGGATCACCTGAAGTCAGGAGTTCGAGAACAGCCTGGCCAACATGGCGAAACCTCATCTCTACTAAAAATGCAAAAATTAGCCGGGTGTGGTGGCACATGCCTGTAATCCCAGCTACTCAGGAGGCTGAGGGAGGAGAATTGCTTGAACCTGGGAAGCAGAGGTTGTGGTAAGCCGAGATCGCACCACTGTGCTCCAGCCTGGGCGACAGAGCAAGACTCCGTCTCAGAAAAAAAAAAAAAAAAAAAAAAAAAAATATATATATATATATATATATATATAATTATATATATATATATAATTATATATATAAGTTTAATAATTTGATAATTTTTTAAGTATTGGAAGCCCCAGATTGTGTAGAAAATCCCGTTAAGTTCCATGCATTATATTCCCCTTAAACAGATTTTATTTCCTTTAATTGGTTGGTTACATCAGTAGAGTATATTTTGAACTTTGTGTTCTACATATATGTATATATATACACATAGTATAATATAAACAAGCCTGAAATAGATGCCAAAAACAGTTACTAATATACAAACACATACATATTTCCACAATTTAGAGTACACTAATCAATTTCAGTAATTACATAGCCTGTATCACTGCACTTATGGCTAAAAACACTGGTTACCCAGCCAGGTGTAGAGCATTGTACAACATTTTTTGTTTTTTTTTTTCAGAATGTATTACAAATTATTATTTTAAAAAAGGGCTACATTTTAAGTGTGTGCAGATGTGAGTTTTGGCTTACATAACTGTTTTTAATATTCATCTATGGTATTTTCTTGGCAAAGAAAATGGACATTTGTTCCCATTGCATGACTTTAACAGATCAGTAGACATCCTAGGAATACTCTAAGGAAGCAACCCCGGGTCATGGAAAATATCTCATCAAACATCAGTATCTTTGAATCTTATTTGTGACAATTGCTTATGTTATTGTACATTTCATATTAATATTGAATGCGGAATTCTAACAGTTTTCAATGACCTTTTAAAGATTTATAATTTAGGCCTATATTTCTATAAATTTAGGCCTGTTATTTCTATGGATTCTGGTGTTTATTCAACCCCAACTACCTTATGAAGTTGAAGGAAGTATCATACATTTTACATTTTAGAGACTTCCTGAGAATAAGAAATTATCAGAATTGCCATACTTAGATTATAGCGAATGGCCCATTCAGTCCTGTATTTGATGTCTGATTTCACAGAGAGGCTGTAAAATGGATGATGTGAACTTACAAATCTCTAGTTTCCTTAAATAATTTATGAGTGAATGAGTCAACATGTATTTAACAAGCATTTACTGTATATTTAGGTCAGTGCTGGGGAAAATCATGAAAAGACATGTAACTTTGTCACTGCATTCTGGGAGCTTTTCTTATTGCAGTGACAATGAGAAATACAGGTAAAAAAAGAACTAGAAAACTATCTAGTCATGCATGGTAAACTTCTACTTTAGGGTACAATGCTGGGAGATCTGAGGTCTGTAGGAAGCGGGATCTTTTATGGAAGAGAGACAATATTTGAATTGGCACTAGATATGAAGAATTTTCTGAGGCAGTCAAAGGGGATAACACGAGGAAGCTATGAGCTTAGGAAAAATCGGAAGAATGTCAGACGGTAATTGTTTATGAAAATCCCACTTATTTTAAAAAGATTGAAGATGCCTTTTTAACATTTTTGTTTTTAAACTTTTATTTACACTTACTGAAATGTTACAAAAATAGTACAGGGAATTGCCATATGTCCTTCACCCAGCTTCCCCTAATGTTAACATCTTATTTATCTATAGTACAATTGCCAAAACCAGGAAATTAACAGTGGCACAATCTATTAAATAACTACAAATCTTATTTTAATTTCACTAGCTTTTCCATTAAAGTCCTTCTTGTTGTTCTAGGACCCAATGCAGGATCTCACAGTGCATTTAGTTGTTATATCTCTTTATTCTCCTTCAATCTATGACACCTCCCCTGTCTTTCCTGATCTTTCATGACTTTGACGCTTTTGAAGTGTGCTAGCTGCTGGTTATTTTGTAGAATTTTCTCACTTTGTTTATGATTAGATTGAGGTTATGCATTTCTGGCAAGAATAATGCAGAAGTGATATTGTGCCTTTCTCAGATGCATTATATCAAAGGATGCATGGTATCAAAATATCTTGTTATTGGTGATGCAAACATTGATCACTTTTTAAAGATGGTATCTGCCAGGTTTCTGTGCTGTAAAATTAATCATTTTTCATTTCTAAGAGGTAAAATATCTTGGGAGACATAGTTTGAGACTATGCACATATTCTTAGACTTTTGTTCACTAATTTTGTCTGAACCATTGGTGAATCTTACCTGAAATAATTACCTGTTCTTTTACTCACAGTTACTTTGTCATTTTTCTAGCTTTAAGTTATGCTGAGGGTGTGGGGTTTTTGGTTTTTATTTTTATTGTTTCATATCATTAGGAGAGAAAATATTGGAAGCTCAAGGTTGCTTTTAAAATGCAAGATTCTTTTAAAGTAAGGAATCACAGCTAACAGAAAATAAAAGAAAAAATAAGGTGAGGCTAGTGGTAGTGTTCATGAAAACACAACACACTCTAAGCGTTGGATAAATTCTGCTGAAGGACCTATATTTGACTCCACATTTTTCAGTAGCAAATGTCAATTTATAAAAAGCATCACAATTAAAACAAGATTCAGTGCAATAAACTTTTAAAAGTCATTATTTCAAAAATTAGTGGATTGAAATCTTTAGAGAAAAAATTACAAGAGATTCTCACCAAGAGGACAAGTGTAATATGGTTAATTAACATCTTCAGCAACATCCTCATGAAACATATTTTTTTCCCTTAGAATGGAGGTGTAATAGGTATTATTTTGATTTTAACTTTTCTAAAAATAGAGTGACTATTAGTGTGAGACATAATGTATTAAAAGTCAATCTGAACACCAGAAGTTCTTTAAGAAGTCACAAACTGTATTGTTTTGTGAAATCATTTTGTGATTAAACAAATTAATGAGCAGATAGTATTTACTTGAACAAAAATTGAATTCCTGCTATTTGAATGCTGCTGTGTTAAATAACCAAAACCCTGTTATAGAGTATTTTTTTCTGAAGTAGAAATCATTTAGTCTCAGACCATCTAAGGGGGTCCCCAAATAACCTTATTACAAGATAGTTTTATAATAATAAACTTGAGGAGAAAGTTATCACAAAATTGAGACTTGCCAAGAATGTACCTTATTTGTTGTAATTTTTGAAAGATTTTTGCTTCAGGTTTTGCTTCTGATGATCATTCACTGGAACTGAATCCTGAGGAAGGATGGTGGGGGAGTAGTAAGGAAGGGGCTGAGATATTATTTGCTGATGGTGCTATCTTTTGCTAGTTTTCTATTTCTAAAGAGCTAAAAATATTGAAGATTTTGATATCTTAAAATATGTGGCTTTTGGTGTTCTGCAACGAGGGCTTTGTTATTTTAACAAAAAGTTTTTAAAAACTCTTTTCATGGTAGTTAGGTAAAGGGCTGCCTACCTGAGGAAAGCAAAGTAAATATATTTGTATATTTAGAACCACTTCAAGTGAAAGAAAAATGTGTAATTACTTCCTTCACTGTAAGTCACATTGATATCTGACCTTCTGGGTTACTTTGTAAATTGCTACAAGACCAGTTTAGTTCAGTTAAACTTCATGTTCAAGTTTAGCATTTATTGAGTAATGACAGTGTAAACTGGGCAGCGTGTTAAGTGTTGACAATACGAAGAAGAAAAGGCGTCATAATTGATCAGGACCTAATGGATGAAAATATATTTTAACACAGGTTTTTAAAAAAATGCAAATTAGTTTATTTCACATAAAATATAGCTAAGAATAAAATAACCCCAACATAGTAGCTCAAATTAAGTAAAAAGCTTACCTGGGGTAAGCAAATTACGTTTGTCAGGCTCTGTAGAATTTCCATGTTATCTGCATTTACTAGGTTATAAGCTGAAAATAAAATACTATAAAAGTTTCCAGAGTGGTGTTTCAGCATGATTTTTAACTGCTCTGTACCATCTTTTTAAAATATGCCTCATATGGCCAAGGAATTAGACAGCACTTTGATAAAAAATCCAGATGTTGGAATTGGTTTATTTTTGAAGTACCCTGTGAGATCTAATGAATAGAGCCAAAACAAAATTTGTCCAATTTTTATAAACCTAATTGTTATTGTTCAAGAAGCTAGAAATAAATAGGACAGTTTTTGAAAGACAATTTTTGGAGGAATCAGATTTTTAAAAATCACAGGAACAGGAACTTGCATGAACATGAAGGGAATCTGATTTTTGCTTTGATCTGATCTTGCAAGAAGGAAAGAAGAAAGTTATTTAGGAAATGATTTTGTAATCTTTCTCCGTTAAATAGCTATTGGTTGTTTCAGTCCCATATTTTAGCACCTGTTTTGAAACGTTTTTAACTAGACAGTACTTTGATTTTGTTCTCATAACCTAAATGGTTTAATTAACCACCAAATTAAATGAAGAACATTAGTCAATATGCTGAATATCTATGTTTGTTAAATAATAAGTAGCAATCTCCTTATACCTGGGTTTTAAAAATAGCCCTTAATATTATACTTCATTTAAAATTAATTTTGTATAATATATACCTATATAAATCATCACTCATATTGTTTGTTCACACACAAAATATTTTTAAGTGAGGCAGAAAAAAACAAAGGTATGTAACATTTTAGTTTTTGCTTTCACAGATACTTATTTGGCAATCTCTGTATGCAAGTAACTGCTAGCATTTGCTGGAAGAAAGAATTATAAGCAACTGCCTCCACAATGTTTTTATGGAATTAGTTTAGGAATAATGAATAAACAAGTGCATTTTATACCAGGTGACTTCACCAGTGAATTCTACCAAACATTTAAGAAAGAAATAATGCCATTTCAACACAAACTGTTTCAGAAAATAAAAGAGAAACATTTTCCAAGTCACCTTATGAACTTATCATTATCCTGATAACAAAACTAGATATTAATATTGCAAGAGAAAAAGAACTACAGACTACAGACACACACAAAAAATCACTTAACAAAATATTAGCCAATCAAATCCATCAATATATAAAAAGGATAGCACATCAAGGTCAGGTAGGGTTTATCTCAGGAATGCAGAGTTGGTTCAAAATTTTTAAAAAATCAATGTAATTCACTATATTAAGACTAAAAAAGAAAAATCATATTATATCAGTAGATGTAGAAAAAGCATTAAAAGTTTAACACCTATTCAAAGAGCCAATAAAGAACAGATGGCATAAGAATGATACAAAAGACTTTGGGGACTCAGGAGAAAAAGGTGGGAAGGGGGTGGGGGATAAAAGACTACAAATTGGGTGCAGTGTATACTGCTCAGGTGATGGGTGCACCAGAATCTCACAGATCACCACTAAAGAACTTATTCATGTAACCAAACACCACCTGTTCCCCAATAACCTATGGGAATAAAAAATTAAAATTTTTTTAAAAAACAACTTAGACTGTAGTGATGGTTGTACAACTTTGTGAGTATACCAAAACTACTGAATTGGACATTTTAATGGGTGATTTTTATGGTATGTGATTTATATTTCAGCAAAAATGTTTTTTAAAAACTTTTTTAAAAAGAAAAGACACCAGAAAAAGAAAAACCAACAACTAAAATCATACTTAATGATGACAGACCATATTATTTTTTCCCAAGATTGGTAACAAGGAAAAGACATCTACTGTTACCACTTCTATTCACTTTATACTGGAGGTCGTAGGAAGTGCAACAAGGCAAGAAAAAGAAATAAAAGGCATACAAATCAGAAAGGAAGAAGTAAAACTGTCTATTTGCAGACATGTCATCTACATGAGATAAAAGGAATCTGCAAAAATACAAAACTACAAGAACCAATAACTAAAGTTAGCAAGGTCATGGTGTACCAAGTCCATATGCAAAATCAGTTATATTTTTATGTATTTGCAATGAATGTTGGAAATTGAATTTTTTAAAATCAGCCATTTACAACATCATCACAAATATGAAATACTTGTTTAACAGGATATATCCAAGATCTGTGTGCTGACAACTAAACTTTTGTGGCATAAAGTAAAGATGTAATTAAATGGAAGGAAATACCAAGTTCATGGGCAGGAAGACTCAACCTTGTAAGAATGTCATTTCTCCCAGATTGATCCTTAGATCAAGTGCAGTCCTCATCCAAACCTAAGCAGTTTTCTTGTTGAATTTGACAAGCTGGCTCTAAATTTCATTACAGCATTGTCAAATCAATTTTGGAAAAGAATGGAGTTGGGGAAATTACACCTCCTGATTTCATGACTAACCATAAAGCTATAGTAATCAAGAGAATGTGGTATTGGTGTAAAGATTAACATATCAACCAGTGGAACAAAATAAAGAGTCTTGAAATATACCTACACATTTATAATCAATCAATTTTTGACAAAAATGTGCTAAGATAATGAATGGGGGAAGGATAGTCTTTCCACAAATAGTTCTGAACAATTGGGTATTCACATGGAGATAAAGAAGACCTCAACTTTTACCTCACAGTTACACAAAAGTTACCTTGAAATTAATTGTAGACCTCAACATAAATGCTGCAAGTATAAAACCCTTGGAAGAAACATAGGGCACCTTAGTGATGTTGATTTAGACAAACATTTCTTCAATTGGACTCAGAAATTATGAACTATGGAAGAAAAAATTGATAAATTAGAAATCATCAGAAATAAAACTTTTACTCTTCAGAAGACACTCTTAAGAAAATAAAAAGACAAACTAGTCTTGGAGAAAATATTTGCAAAATATATACCTGAAAAAGTATTTTTATACAGCATATATAAAGAACTCAATAAGAAGAAAACATACTTTTAAAAATCAGAAAATGGTTTAATAGGCTCTTCACCACAGAAGATAGACTGTGGTAACTGAAATTTTAACTATGTTGGTAGGGCACTGAGTTTGTTTAAACTAAACCATGAAAACTGAAATTTGTGCCAATTGGAACTGCCTTTATTTAGCAAACATAATCACACAACTACTTTCAAAGTTTATTAATTTTATAGGTTTGCAATTCCTCTGAGGGTTTGACAGGGGACACATCCTGTGCTATCTTTGGGGAGAGCACCACTCTGTGTTGGACATCCAGTATTAAACACTCCTTGCCTTAATTATCCTTACTAATAATACAAATGGCCAACATTTATTGCACTGTGTCAAGCATTGTTGTAAAGGTTTATTGTCTCCTCACTACATCTCTGTAAATTAAGTGCTTTTATTCTTTTTGGATGCTTAAATCGTTTGAATAATTTGGAGAGACAAGATTCAAACAGTTTGACACCAGAACCTATGCTTTTAACCACTCACTCCATTATCCACATGGTAACAATATGCCTGATGACTGTGTTGAAAAGGGAAATAGAGAAAGCTATGAGAGCATACAGAGCAGACAGCTTGGTTTTGGGACCAAGAAAGGGCTTCACTGAGGAAATAATGCATACGCTTCTTCTTTGGTGAGAATATGTTAGACACACATTCCACAAGAGATGTGAGTTCTAGCAAAGCCCCTGTCAATAACTAGCTAAGCAGCCCTAGACAAGTAACCTCTCTGAACAGATTCTACTCTTGCCTTACATGGGTACTGTCTTTTTAAGCTTTCACTTTTCATGTCTTCTCATCTCTTTTCTATTATGAGAAAAGGGCACCTGTAGAGGATATAGGTATTTATTATCTGAGTTCAACTATGTTTGCAAATTCTTACTTTGTTTACTACCCTCTCTTCTAATTTTCACTCCCAACAGATTGATCAGGAAATACAAGATTTTAAAATAGAATTGTTTGTGTTAAACGTTGACATTGTCAATGTCATAAAAAAAATGAACGATCTTCTCTGTATTTTTTAAAGTCAGATACAACACAGATTCTTAATTCCACACTTCCTTGTGCTCAAATAAATTCCTGAAAATAATTGGTGTAAATTAAACAATAAGCAATATACAGGTGTATTGGCCTAATGGAAGAAGATACTGATTGTGTGCTTTCCATGTGTAAAGCACTTTCACGCACCTTATCTACTTTAATTCTCCCAACTCACTGAATGCTTTAGAATTGTAGGCGATACTGAGGCTCAGAGGAATTACACAACTGGCTCAGAGTTACACAGCTACAAGTTGCAGAACCAAGATTCTAGTGTGTCTTTCTCCAACACCTATGTCAGGAATGTTGGCTTCTCATGCTATTTCCAAGCAAATCCAACCATCTGTTGGCTCAGATAGGTCACTATGAGCAAAAGATAGAAGCAGCTCCTGTTTCACAAGATCATTGGTTTTATGAACCAATTCATGCTTGTTGCCACATTCCTCATTTCCCAACGAGGCTCTGATTGGGTTCCTAATTCCTCATTGCCCACACCTTTTGTTCACAAGTCCCCTTCCCTGTTTCTTGTTTCTACGTTGATGAGTTTCCTTGAGTATTTGGTACTTGACTGATCTTTCAGCTCTTATTGATCACTTTGGACTTGATCTTAGATCCATTTGACTTAAAGAATCCTCTCAGTATGCCTTTTCTCGAAGAATTATTGGTCCTTGCCCCTGGAGAGACACCAGACCTTTTCTTGGTGTTTCTGTATAGGATGACAAGAAGTGTAATCTTCCCATCATGCCCTGCTAGTCAC
Source organism: Homo sapiens (assembly GCF_000001405.40). Classification (NCBI taxonomy): domain Eukaryota; kingdom Metazoa; phylum Chordata; class Mammalia; order Primates; family Hominidae; genus Homo; species Homo sapiens. The sequence goes on along the minus strand of NC_000017.11, from coordinate 65,813,081 downwards.
CTGGATTCAGAGGAAATGCTCACTCATGCATACATTATCTTATTTGAAATAATGTTTTATTCTAGATTGTTTCTCTCTGCTTTAATTTGCACTGTAGATTTTTACTTCTGTATGAATATTTTTCTGCTCGATAATGGCTTTGGAAGAGCAATGTTTGCTTTTGTTTTCAATCCTAGAAAAGTTCAAAAAAAGCTTTTATTCTATATAAACTCTAAAGTGTATATATTTTAAACGTGTTACTTCTTTTTTTTAATTTTGCATTGGCATCTGTAGAAATTTTTGTCAGTTTAAACAACAATGCTTGAAAGTCACTTTGACTTTTCAAGCTGCCAGATTGCCTTATCATTGTCTTTGAGAGATTAGGGATGCTTTTTTAGAAGGTTGCCTTTTATGTAAATAAAACTGAAGTTTTGTTGTTCCATTGTAGTATTTCATTTTAATCTGGTTGTTTTCTTGTGGAGATAATATATAACAGGATCCAAAAATAGTTCAATAAAAGCCTTCAATTATAAACGGGCTGACTTGTTGGATTGCTTCAGGTGCCCTTGTCAGCTGCTTCAGACTGCAGATTTTGATGAATGTGGAAAAATTTTCTTGGAGCTCTTAGGGTCGTTTTGGAGCAATGAGGTTTAAGCCAATTCTATTCCTTTCTTAACTGAATCATCTACAAGGAGGAAAAGGCCATTTTCTTCCCCATGTAAATATCCTGGAGAAATATCCCAGAGAAAATGAAAAATCAAGGGAAAGTAAGATACTTTTCAGCAATAAAAAATTCTTTAGGCCGGGTGCGGTGGCTTACGCCTGTAATCCCAGCACTTTGGGAGGCCGAGGCGGGTGGATCATGAGGTCAGAAGATCAAGACCATCCTGGCTAACATGGTGAAACCCTGTCTCCACTAAAAATACAAAAAATTATCCAGGCGTGGTGGCGGGCGCCTGTAGTCCTAGCTACTCAGGAGGCTGAGGCAGGAGAATGGCATGAACCCGGGAGGTGGAGCTTGCAGTAAGCCGAGATCAAGCCACTGCACTCCAGCCTGGGCAATGGAGTGAGACTCCATCTCAAAAAAAAGAAAAAAAAATGTATTTTAATACATATGATTAGGATTGGAAAGCAGCAATGACAGAAAATTATGTATTAATTATGGAAAGAAAAAGAGAATAATTTACAGGTATTTAGTAGTAAAATACCACTTCAATTTAGAGTTGTAGACCAAAAATGAGGCATTCTGTTATTACAGAAAAGCCAGGCTCTTTAGTTTTCGGTTCTAAATAGGAGATTTATAAAATTAAGAAAAGCAATTTTTCAAGAAATTTTCATTTAAATAACACTTCACTTGTAAAAATTTAGATATTGCTTCACACTATCTCATTCACAGCGCTTCACTTTCATGGCTATAACTTGTATGTGATAAAACTAGCACAGGAAGAACAAAGCATGTCCTACCCTAAATCATAATTGCTCATAGCCAATATGATGTTGGATGGATTAGCCCATGAATGAGATTATTACAACTCATTGGCCTCTCGGTTTCTTGAGCTCATCAGTTCTCCACCTCAGCCACCTGTTCAGGGGTATGACTAGAGTCTTTAACAATTCCAGTAACTGTACCACCTTGAAAATTTTGGTTTCTGGCATTCCATTCTCTCTGCCCTCCCCAACCCCCACATTTCTAACTCAGTTAGGTTAGCGTCCTCACACTAGCAGTTTTTTGCCCTGTGGGACTTACAATCGATTAACATCATTTTCCACTTTCCATTAACTTCTTCATGTTTTCACTTCTCAGCTTAGATTTCATGGTCCATCAGAGTAACCACTTCCTTGAACTACTCTCAGCTTCCTTGCCCCTATTTACCTCTACCTTCCTCATTGGCAATCCCCAACCCTGGCTACACCAAACACTCATGTACTCTACTACAGTATCTAAACACTTGACCATGGTTCAAGAGAAGACACTTATGTTAACTATCTTCCCTTGAACGTAAGGCCAAAGAGCCCTCAGCACTGCAATGTTAATTCATTTTCCCAGTAGAAAATTTCATCTCCGTCTATTCTTCTCAAACCTCCAACACTGCCTTTTCATTTCTGTTCTGAGATGATGACCTCGATTTCACTGGAAAAGTGGAGGCAAACAGAAGAGAACCACTTTATCTGCCCATCCCAAATCTACTCTGCAATTGCATCTATATCCATGTTCCACCTTCCCTCCTTTAGGGTAGATGGATTTCTTCCTTATGGAAATGTGTACCTCTGTCTAAGGTCTTCACTAGTACACTACACTCCTCATCCTTATTCAAGGGTTTTTCTCCTATAATTATCCACCATTTCTCTTATATCAATATTTTTCTCTCTGATACATTATTTCAAAAATATAAAAATATGAAATAATATGTTAAAGAATTCTTTGATCACGTATGCCAAATTATTCTAAGTTATACTGTGGTAGCAAATTGACCCCCACATCTCAGTGGCTTCACTCAGCAAAGATTTGTTAAGTGAAACCATAAGAAAGTGCTGTTTTTATAGATCTAAACTGGTTAGTTATCAATAATTTAATGTGATTAATACTTTTTCAGATTGTAAGTTCAATGTTGGTTGATAGAAAGATTCCATTATCTTGAACACTACTGGTCACCGATGGCTAGAGGAGACAGGATATGAAGAGCTCACACCCAATTCTTTGTACTTTGGCCCAGAAATGACCCATATTCCAATCACAGCCCATTAGCCAGAACTAGACAAAAGGCTCCACCTACCTGCAGGGGGCTAGGAAATGTGTGTGGGGAAGGGGAGATGCAATAGGGAGGGGGGTATATATTCAACTACCAGTAAATGCTCTGTTGCAATCCAAATCTCACTTCAATCACTGTGCCACGTCTTTGTTTATCTTTGTAACCAGAGTCTTCAAAAGGTCTTTCTATTAATACTTAATTATTCTACTGCCTTATATTCTCTTCTTTTATTCATGGCAATGAGGCTCTTCGCCACTTCAATATGTTGAAACATTTGTCCAATCAACAAGTGATCTCTGCACTAAATGCAGTGCTCTGTCTTTAGTCTTCATCACAGTTGACTTCTCAGAAGTTTTGACACCATTGATCACTCCTTCTCTGATAGGTTTTAATCACATTATCAGTTAGGAAGAACATCGTGGTCTCCAGGAATTTCTCCTAATTGGCTAGCTGCTCCTACTCCATCTCCTTTAGTAACACCACCTTATCTTCCCCCCCCCACTTCCTTTACTCAGTCCCTAACTCATCTTGTGCAGTCTCATTGCTTTAAATGCCATCTATATGCTGATGACTTCCAGTTTGTATCTCTAGTCCTAGTCTCTTTCTGAAGTTCCAGGCTGGTATTCAACCTTTTCCTAAACACCTTCCTTGAAATTCTAATAGATGTCTGGCACTTAATATTTCTGAAACAGAGCTCTTAATTCTTCCCCAATATTCTTCATATCATAACTAGTACTGAGTCATACTTGACACATTTCTTTCTTTCACGCCTACATTCTTCCTACCAAAAATTCCTGCTGCTTCAAATATATCTTACATCAAACCACTTCCCATCACGTCTGTCATTACCACCCAAGTCTAAAATAAATCTAAATTGACTCTTCACTGGACTGTTGCAGTAACTCCCACCTGGTCTTCCTATTTTCATACCTACTTCCTCCAACAGTTCATTTGTACAACAATCAAATCTGTTGGAAAATAAATGAGATTATATAATTCCATGCTAAAAACCCTCCAATGGCTTCTCATCAGTATTGAAACAAAATGGAAATCTGGCCCCTGCCCATCTCTTCAGCTTATCCCCTACTCCTCTCCCCCTCAGTTACATGGATCCAGCATGTGGTTTTCCTGCCTTTTGTAAGTATTTCAAGCTTGTTCCTACCTAAGGCCTTTGAAGTTATTTTTTCTCTTTGTCTGGATTTCCCCCCTCAGATCTTATCTTAGTCCATTATGTGCTACTATAACAGAACACCACTGAGTAATTTATAAAGAATAGAAATTCCTTGGGCTCATGGTTCTGGAGGATGGGAAGTCCAAGATCAAGGTGCTACATCTGGTAAGGGCATTCTTGCTGTGTCATAACATGGCAGAAGGCACATGGTGAGAGAGAAAAAGAGGAGGGCCAAACTCAATTTTGTATCACACCCACTTCTGCAATGATGACATTAATCTATTCATGATTGTATTGGTTCATTTTTATACTGCTATAAAGAACTACCTGAGACTGGGTAATTTATGAAGAAAAGAAGTTTAATTGACTCACAGTTCTGCAGGCTTAACAGGAAGCGTGACTGGGAGGCCACAGTTCTGCAGGCTTAACAGGAAGCATGACTGGGTGGCCTCAGGAAACTTACAATCATGGTGGAAGACTAAGCAGAAACAAGGCACATCTTCCCATGATGGAACATGAGAGAGAGAGAGAAGGGGGAAGTGCTATACATTTTTAAACCATTAGATCTCATGAGAACTCACTATCACAAGAACAGCAAGGGGGAAGTCCACCCCCATGATTCAATCACCTCCTACCAGGCCCCTCCCCTGACACGTGAGGATTACAATTCAAGATGAAATTTGGTTGGGGACACAGAGCCAAACCATATCATTCTATCCCTGACCCCTCCCAAATCTCATGTCCTTCTCACATTTCAAAACCAATCATGCCCTCCCAACAGTCCCCCAAAGTCTTAACTCATTCCAGCATTACCTCAAAAGTGCAATTCCAAAGTCTCATCTGAGCTAAGACAAGTCCCTTCCACCTATGAGCCTGTAAAATCAGAAACAAGTTAGTTACTTCCAAGATACAATGGGAGTACAAGCATTGGGTAAATGCTGCCATTCCAAAAGGGAGAAATTGGCAAAAAGAAAAGGGCTAGAGGACCCACGCAAGTCCAAAACCCAACAGGGCAGTCATTAAATCTTAAAGCTCCAAAATAATCTCCTTTGAATCCATGTCTCATATATATGGCATGCTGATGCAAGGGGTGGGCTCTCACAGCCTTGGGCAGCTCTGCCACTGTGGCTCTGCAGGGTACTGCCTCAGCAGCTGCTTTCATGGACTGGCATTGAGTGGCTGCAGCTTTTTCAGATGCAAGGTGAAAGTTGTCAGTGGAACTAGCATTCCGGGGTCTGGAGGATGGTGGCCCTCTTTTCACAGCTCCACTAGGCAGTGCCCCAGTGGGGACTCTGTATGGGGGCTCCAACCCCACATTTCCCCTCTGCACTGCTTTACTAGAGGTTCTCCATGAGGGCTTTGCCCCTGCAACAGACTTCTGCCTGGACATTCAGGCATTTCCATACATCCTCAGAAATCTAGGTGGAGGCTCCCAAACTTTTGCCTTCTGTGCACACACAGGCCCAACACCATGTGGAAGCCACCAAGGCTTGGGACTTGTACCCTCTGAAGCAATGGCCTGAGCTGTATGTTGGCCCCTTTTAGCTACAACTGGAGCCAGAGAGGCTGGGATACAGGGTGCCATGTCCCCAGGCTGCACAGAGCAGAGGGGCCCATAAAACCATTTTTCCCTCCTAGTCCTCCAGGCCTATGGTGGGAGGGGCTGCCACAAAGGTCTTTAACATGCCCTGGAGACATTTCCCCATTGTCTTGGCTATTAACATTTGGCTCCTCTGTGCAAATTTCTATAACCTACTTAAATCTCTCCCCCAAAAATGGGTTTTTCTTTTCTACCACATGGTCAGGCTGCAAATTTTCCAAACTTGTATGCTTTGCTTCCCATTTAAATATAAGTTACAATTTCAGAACATCTCTTTGTTCATGCATATGAGCATACACTTTTAGAAGCAGCCAATCACATCCTGAATGCTTTGCTGCTTAGAAATTTCTTCCACCTGATACCCTAAATCATTTCCCTTGAGTTAAAGTTTTAGAGATCTCGAGGGCAGGGGCAAAATGCAGCCTGTCTCTTTGCTAAAGCATAGCAAGAATGACTTTTACTCCACTTCCCAATAAGTTCTTTATCTCCATCTGAGACCACTTCAGCCTGGACCTCATTGTTCACATCACTGTCACCATTTTGGTCAAACCATTTAACAAATCTCTATGAGGTTCCAAACGTTCCCACATCTTTCTGTCTTCTTTTGAGCCCTCCAAACTGTTCCAACCTCTGTTCGTTATCCAGTTCCAAAGTCACTTCCACATCTTCAGGTATCTTTATAGCAGTGCCCAAATCCTAGTATCAATTTTCTGTATTAGTCCATTTTCACACTGCTACAAAGAACTGAGACTGGGTAATTTATGAAGAAAAGAGGTTTAATTGACTCACAGTTTTGCAGGCTTAACAGGAAGCATGACTGGGAGGCCCCAGGAAACTTACAATCATGGCAGAAGGTGAAGGGGAAGCAAGACACATCTTCCCATCCATGGTGGAACAGGAGAGAGAGAAGGGGGAAGTGCCACACATTTTTAAACCATCAGATCTCATGAAAACTCACTCACTATCACAAGAACAGCAAGGGGAATTCCACCCCCATGATTCAGTCACCTCCCACCAGGGCCCTCCCCCAGTATGTGGGGATTACAATTTGTGATGAGATTTGGGTGGGGACACAGAGCCAAACCATATTAATGATATTAGAGCCCTCATGATCTAATCACCTCTTACGGTTCCCACTTCTTAACACAGTTGCATTGAGGATTAACTTTCCAACACATGAATATCGTGGGACACGTTCAAACCATAGTGGATCTTGTATTTTCCAATGACTACCTACTCTCCACCCAAATGTTAGAATATCCCCCATCACTTTCTATTATTGTACACTACCTTTTTTCTCTACACTACTTCTCAATCCTTATGATTTATTATTACTGTTTTTGTTATTGTTTTACTTGTTTATGCATGCTTGTTTCCCCTGGGCACATGCCTGGCATGTTTTAGGCACCAGTACAAGTGTGTTGAATAGATAGATGGATGAATCTCTAATGTTTTCCAACTATAGCACCCTAATTGAGACTGGAAAGATTCTGTCAAGAATAATTCTTGGGTCTTGATTTCACCAAACAGTAGTATTGACACAGATACTTATAACCCTCTGGAAACAGAATAGGACAAAATAATAAAATATTTTTTTCTGCTTTTGTGTCAAATATTATTTGAATGGATCCATAATGCAGCTTAAAATTCTGAAAATAATACAGAACTGGTAAACATTTGAAACAGGAAAACTAAAGTGATAAAGAGAATGAAGGTGTTTCCATATGAAGATTTTTTTAAAGTTTTGATTTTAGGCAGAACATTGAGAGATTCTATGGCAAAATTTGCTAAAACCATGGATGGATTAATTCAGATTATTTTTTCAACAAAGCACTGCTTAAAAGAGTTTTAAAGAGATTGTTTCAAGCCAAATAAAAGGAAGTACAGGAATACCTCATTTATCAGATATTGTCCAGGAATAAAATGTTCCGCAAGTCAGTTTCCAAAAAACTAAAATGTAATCTCAATATATGTGCCAAAGCTTACCATTTTGAAGGATATTTTTCTAGCACGCTCTACTTACTCCTCTACTCTTTTAAACGAAAAATGCTAAAGACATCAACTCAGAGTCATCATTGAGAATGTTTTGATACCACATAAAAGATTCCCTACAATAAAATCTACCCCACATTGTTATCCCAGTTTTCTCTCCTTTTTATAGTTCTTCCGTCTCCTCCCTTTTCTTTCAGTTGTTACTTTATGCTTTTGGCAGCTGCTTTTAATTTGTTGACTGAGTTTATACAACAAGTAGCATGAGCAAGGGACTAAGGGCAGCTCCTAAATAATACACACCATTGCCACTGGAACTCTGATCTCTGGGCAAGTGAGGTATTACGGTAGTCATAGAAATAGTAAAATATCATAAAACACATGAAAATGATGATGTTAATGAGGACACTTATGACTCTTCCTGCCACTATAAAGATTACTTGTAGGCCAGGTATGGTGGCTCCTGCCTGTAATTTCAGCACTTTGGGAGCCAAAGTGGCCAGGTCACTTGAGCTCAGGAGTCTGAGACCAGCCTGGTCAACATGGCAAAATCCCATCTCTACTAAAAATACAAAAATTAGCCACATGTGGTAGTGTGCACCTGTACTGCAATCTACTCTGGAGGCTGAGGTGGGAGGATTGCTTGAACCCAGGAGGTGGAGGTTGAGACACCACTGCATTCCAGCCTGGGTGACACAGTGAGACCCCGTCTCAAAAAAAAAAAAAATTAATTGTACAGAGTTTGTCCTTTGCTAGATGGACTGTGGCCCTCACCTAACATGGTGATATTTAATATTGTTAATATCATACTGAGGATATGATTCATATTTAGAATGACCACAGGTTCCAGTTTCAATGCTTATTTTTCAGTATAATTCTTAACATTACTTTTATTCTCAAAATTTGTCTAGTTTTGAAAATAAATTTTATATTTACCCTCTATATAATGCATTTTAAATAATTCACAAAGCAGTAGTAATTTTTTCATTCAGTTTCTTATTCTGCCCAGAATGCAGCAGACTGGAATTAGAAATTAAAACTCAGAGAAGATACTTTTTAAATGATGTCATCAGAAACACACTTAATGGAAATTATGATTAATGTATTAAGCAAAATGAAATGTCAATTAAGGAAATTTCTCCTAATATCTCTTCTAGGAGAAATTTTGTGTCGATATGGGGCTTCAAACATACGTGTTGAGTGAGTAATTAGATGTATTCATCTACATTTGAAATGGATAAATGACTGAAATTTGTTCTTTTGAAAAGAGCTTTATAGACATAGAATACAAAACAGTGTTATGAGCGGCTCATCTAATTTTAATAATTCAGAAAAATTTTCTTTTATATTTGTGAATCAAAATACAAAGCTTCTCTTGTGTTTATTTAAATTAACATGTCTTTTGGCTTAGGGAAACCAGACGAAACACATTTTTAAAAATTAAAAGTAATTAATCCCAACTCGTTTTTTAAAACATGCTGAGAGGTTATTGAAAGTTAGAAAATTCTTCTGGATGAGGTTTCATTTAATGTTGTTTCTTTTATCTATGTTAAATAAGGATCTGTTCTAAAGAAATGTAATCCTAAGATATTAACAGCTATTAGCTTGAGGTTAAACTTGTGCTACACACACACAGTGGATTTGTCTACATCTAGGATATATTGAATAGTCCATCATTATAAACTATTTTTAAGTTTATTAAATTTTGCTGTGTAAAAAATAAGAATCAACAGAAATGCTCATGATTCATAAAAATGCTCTTTTGACTAGGAAACTACAAAAACACAGTAAGACATTTAATTTAGCAAAAGTTTGCCTAAGAGCAGTCAATGCATGAACATGATGCACTTAGATATTATAGTACTAGAAACTTCTAACGTGGATGATCCAGAAATTATCTTCATGAAATTATCTATTGGGAGGGAGTAAAGAACAGGGGTTTTACCTTTTAAGATGGCATGTGATACTTGATTACATAGTGCAGTCATTTATATTTTGAGAAAATAATGTAACACCTAAGGTATTTGGAGAAAGGACTTCCTTGCTAGATGTATGTTCATTTTATATCCACATTAATTACATCTTGAAACTTTTTGATATAAATTTGAGATACTTTTGTTTTAAGCACATATTTAAAACTATTTTCCACTTTAAAATGATGCATGGTAGAGAAATGAAAGGGGATATTGATATATCTCCACTCTAATCTTCATTTCTTCATTTATTGTTTTAGTTATCTAATGTTGTATAACAAAATCACCACAAAATGTGTAGTGGCTTCAAACAGCAATATTATCTCTTACTGTTTCTGGAATTTGGAGGCTCGTTAACTGAATGGTTCTGGCCTTGAGTGTCTCATGTGGTTTCAGTCAGACAGTAACTGGAACTGAGGTCATATTGAAGTCTTCTTCACTTACGCTCCTGGTACTTGGAGAGAGAAGATACATATAGCTGGAGCTCCTCTGGCATCTCTATCTCTATGTAGTCTGTCTACATGACAGCTTCAGGGTACCTGGATATCTCACATGTTAGCTCAGTACTCCATGGCTCATGTCCTGGGACAGAAAGCCAGGTGGAATTCATATCACCTTTTAGACTTAGCCTTAGATTTCAAGTGGTGTCATTTCTGTCACATTCATTTGGTGAAGGCACTTGTAAAGGTCTTCCCACATTCAAGAGATGAGAGCTCCTTGACTCCACCCCTTGATGGAGCATCGACACTATATAGGGAAAAGAGCGTGTGGGAAGAGGAATATATTGATGCGGCCATCTTTGGAAAATACAATCCTGCTACACAGATAAAGCATTTGGCTGAGTATAATGAGTTAGGCATCACGATGAGTCCTAGAATAAGATGATAAATATATACAATTCCTGCTCACAAGATGCCTATAGTCTAGTAAGAACATCCATGTAAATAAATGCTTTCCATGGGGTATGTATAATGTGATAAGATAATGATGAGCTTGGTGGAATGTTGTAAGATTTGATAGGAGGTGTTTTAGTGAAGAATTGAAGATAAAGGAGTAGTCTAGCGTGCCTCCCAGTTTTCTAGTTTGTGTGACTGAGTGGGTGAGTGGTTTAAGACCTGTTGAGCTAGAGACATCTGTAAAACATACACATAGAAATGACTATTGATCATTTACAAATACATCTTCCAGGGAAAATGTTTATGCTGAGGATGTAGTTTTGCAAGTCAATAAATTTGGGGTAGAATTTTAAGACCTAGATGTGTATGATATTGCCCAGAGAAATTTTGTGGAATAAGAGAAAAGGGGAAAGAATGTAACCCTGTAGCAAACAACAGTGAACAAGTGTACTGAGAGGATGTCAGGGAAAATGACAGAGTAAAAGCCTCCACAAAGTCTCTTTTCCATAAAAGCAATGAGAAAACTGGAAGACTTATTGTTTGCAGGCATTTAAAGAAACCTCTACCCAATCATTAGCTGACCACTAACTAGCCAAGCAGAAACTTCAGCTGCCACACATGACAAAGAACACAGACTTTACAGCATTTGTTCAGAAAAGTCACTAAATAAACAGTATCACCACCACTATTACAACAAAAGTCCCCATCAACAACAACAAACCCTGGGGGAAGGAAGAGAATCTGATTTCCAGAGTTGCCATACTAAAATATTGAAAATGTCCAGTTTTCTGCAAAATAATTATGAGACATGCAAAGAAACAAAGTGTGGCATGGGCACACTTTATTTCCCGTGGGCAGGGGGAAAAATAATAGAAACTGTTCCTGAGGAAGCACAGATGTTGGATTTAATAGACAAAGACTTTAAATAAGTTACTTGAAATATGTTCAAAGAACTAAAATATTATGTCTAAAGAAATAAAGATTAACAGCTAATTTCTCTTTGGAAACCATGAAGGTCAGAAAGCAGTGGAATGAAATACTAAAAGCCCTTAAAGAAAAACACTGTTAACCAAGAATTCTACTTCCAGTAATGTCCTTTTAAAATGAAGAATATTCTCAGATAAACACAAACCGAGATAATTTGTCAATAGCAACTTGTGAGACCTAAATGTAAGAACTAAAATTATAAAACTTATAAAAGTGTAAAACATACCAGAAAATGTTTATGACCTTGGATAAGACAATAATTTCTTAAATATCACAACAAAAGCAGAAGTGATAAAAGAGAAAAGAGGTAAATTGGACTTCATCAAAATTAAAAACTTTTGTACTTCAAAGAATACAGCAACATCAAGAAAATGAAGATGGCTGGGTGCAGTGGCTCATGCCTGTAATCCCAACAGTTTGGGAGGCTAAGGCAGGAGGATTGCTTAAGTCCAGGAGTTCAGACCAGCCTAGGAAACATGGTGAAACCCCGTCTCTACAAAAATTAGAAATATTATCCAGATGTAGTGGCATGTGCCTGTAGTCCCAGCCACTCAGGAAGCTGAAGTTGGAGGATAGCTTAAGCCCAGGAGGCAGAGGTTGCAGTGAGTGCACCAGCGCACTACAGCCTGGGTGACAGAGTGACAAAAAAAAGAAGATGAAGAAGACAGAAAGAAAGAAAATGAAGACAACCCACAGAATGGGAGAAAATCATCCAGCTGATAAAAACCTAATAGACTATATAAAGAATTTTGCAAGTCAACAACAAAAAGACATAATACAACTGACAAATGGGCAATGGAGTTGAATAGACATTTCTCCAAAGAATGTATACAAATGACCAGTAAGCAGATCAACACCACTGATGCTCAACACCATTAGTCATTATGGAAATGCTAACCAAAACCACAGTGAAACACTAGTTCACACCCCCTAGGATGGCTGTATTAAAAAAGACAAACAATAGGAAGTGTTGGAAAAGACATGAATACACATTGGAATCTTCGTATTTTACAATGGGAATTTAAAACAGCCCAACCACTTTAGAAAACAGTTTGATGGTTTCTCAAAAAATTAAACTTAGAATTATAAAATCCAGCATTTCCTCTCCTAGGGGATATACCAAGATAATTGAAAATGTAGGTTTGCATTAAAACTTGTGCACAGATGTTCAAAGCAGCATGATTCATAAATAGCCAAAAAGTATAAGCAACCCAAATTCCCAGTCACTGATGGATAGGTAAACAAAATGTGGTATATCCATAAAATGAAAGATTACTCAGCTGTAAAAAGTAATGAGTTCCTGATACATACTATGACACAGATAAACCTTGAAAATACTATGTAAATAAAAAAAATCTGGACACAAAAGCACACATATTGTATTATTACATTTATATGAAATGTTCAGAATAGACAAATCCGTAGAAACAGAATGTGGATTAGAGTTTCAGTCGAGGGAAATGGGGAATGATGGCTATTGATTTCCTTTTTGGGTAGTGAAAAAAAAAATCAGAATCAGATTGTGGTGATGGTTGTACAACTTTAAGAATACAGTAAAAACCATTAAAATGTATACTCTTAAAAGGTGTGTTTTGTGGTAAATGAGTTATATCTCAGTTTTTTAAAGAGATGGCTATGGAAGAAAAGGCAGTTAGTAATATTGAAAAAGAGTCTATCAAGAAGCAGAAGAACATGTGAGAAACTGATTTCATGTTCAGAGGACAAGTTTCTTATTCTTAGTTTCCGAGGAATTATGTATGACTCACCTGTAGTTTATATAAATCTCTTAATACATCATCTTGCATTTTTTCTAGATGTACTCTGAGAAATATACCCAAACTTAAAAAATTTTAAACATAAAACAACTATAGAAAAATCCATTTGTGAATGTGACAGTGTGTGGGTGCCAGTGTGTGTGTGAGCAATGGTAGAAGGGTAGAAAGGTAGATGGTGCATAAAGGATTATTACCTTTTGTTTAGTTATTTCCTTTTGTTCAGTTGTTTGACTTGCGTCAATGTGGCTTTCTGTTTCAGAAAGAGGCACAAGGCTGAGATAGCCCCTTTTCACTGCCTTTGCCTCCTCAGAACTGTAGTTGCTTTAGGACTTGCCTAAGGGCAGCAGTGCTCTTTGACTATTGCCACAGTTGTCTCCTCTGCTCTTCTGGATCATTCTCCACAGTGCCAGAGGATTCATCTTCCCAACTGGACTTCTATTCATTTTATTCCCTGCTCACAGACCTCTTCCCCATCCCACTGCATCCAAAATGAAATCCAGTTTCTTGGCCTGTGACCCCTTGATTTGACTAAAACCCTGAATTGTTGACCCTGAAGCCCCAGAATTGAGTGGGAGACAGACATGAGATATAACCAACAATGAGATGTATGTGGGTAAGGTAGAGGATCCGGTGCCAGCTTACATTCCCAGCTCCGTATCCCAGCATTGGAAGCTTCTTTAAGCTGTCAAGAGGAAAGTGTTTCTATTGGTAGATATTCTTGTTAGCCACAGATTTGTTTCAGAATTGGAGGGGAAAGAAAATACACCTTATTCAGGAAATTTTTTGCCTAGAAAATATTTTCTCTTAATTTCACCTCAAAATAAAAGGGAAGTAACACTAGAGAATTAAATACTACATTATCATATACTTAAACCTTTTAAACCAAGTGGAAGGGAACAACTTTTGAGTCTAATTTAGGGTAAAATATGTGTATTATACCTTTGACCAGTCAAGGAAATTCAAACATTTGGTTTCTGCCTCTTTGGCTAGTAAATGAGTTAGTTCATTTTTTGTGTATTTTAATATTCTGAAGGCTTTCGGTCATTAATAAAAATTAAGATTCACTAAAGCACTCCGGAACAAATTCTGGTTCCTAATGCATTTTCATGTAGAATTTTATTTGCTCTTAATTTTTTAGTGGATTGAAAACCATGGTCACATAGTTCATCAGAAAAGCACTTCAAGGATGTCAGTAGCTTTGGATTCTAAAGCAATTAACTATAACCTTTCTAAACAAGAGACAGTAAAAATTCTCGGATTTTTCCAAATTCTGTTCTGCGATTATAGTACTGGAGATCAGTGCTTGTGACAAATAACAGGTATTAAGCATGTCATCAGGCTGGTTTAGAATGCAAGCAAGGTGATGTGCAAATCTAAATGAAATTGAATAATGAGTAGAACATAGGAGAGTAGGGAGATATCCCTAGAACCTAGGTCTACTATAACTTTAGTCCGTGAGTCAGTCTTTTAAAATAACCACACAGGGGTACTCACAACATTGAATTTTTGTACAAAAATGGGGAACCAGATTATGATGCATGGTGGATCTTACTGATGACTTCAGAAAAGGTGCTTGAGTATTCTTAGAAGCCAGCCAGCCAGCTAGCCTTTCCCCAGTATACACTAATTCAGATAAAGAATATTTCACTCAGATACATATGAGAAGATAATAGGTTTCAAATTTTTGAAGTTATAAATATATAATGTGTTTTTTTTATGACTAAATACCTGGAGAGGAGATCAGGAGGTAACTCTCCATTGATCAGGGTCATAGGCTGACAATTCCTAAAGCTCTAAGGAGTGTAGAGGGCTGGGGGCATTTTCTTGAGAACCATAGTGATGGAAAACCAGTGGGATTCCAGAAGGGACCTTGAAGCTCTGCAAACTCAGCTAGACCATATGACTGAGGCCCACACTCATATACCACCCAGTCATCTCCAGGGGGCGCTATGCAAGTAAGATGCCAGCATCTCCCACCAGTTTCCACTTTAGCCAGTAGCATCAGAGACCCTCGCATGCGTGTGCAGCCTCCCCCACTACTAGAACCACAATGATACTCTACATGAAGGGTCCCTCCACTGATTTATCAGGGTCAAGAACAAGATTAAATATGATTGTCAGGCAAAAGAAGATTTTCACAAGTGGATAGAAGAGGTGACTAGCATAAGCACTGAACCAGCTTTCAACTGGGCTTAAAAAATGACTTAATCCTCTTCAAACTTAACCAGATTCAATGAAGAAAGTCAATGAGCCTTCCTTGAACTGCCGTGTCTTCCTTTCTAAACTATTCAGGTGTGTGGTATGAAGCTACTGGACATTTTTATAATCAAGTGATATTTTGAAACTGGAAACATGACTCATGTCTGTCAGCATGACATTGGAGTCAAGGTCATACAGGAAAAGCAAGACATTTTGATGAAGGAAAATCATAAGCTGAATTTGCAGATAGGATAAACAAACATGCTAGTGAGGTAGGTATGACAGCCTAAGAGATCAGCAGGTATCTTTATCCTCCCAAATGGTAAACAAACTGTTTAAGTACTCAAGAATAAGCTAGCAAACAGGCAGTAACAAATGAGCCAGGGTTAGATGCTGGTACTGGGTACTAGAAGATGCATCTATGTCCAGAAGCTACCATTGTAATCAGTGGACATCTCAACAATCCCTTTGCAGATGAATATCAACAAGTTGTGTCCGGGCTTGGGTGGTGAGTGTATGACTCCAGATGTTATGCTGCTCCAGCAGAACCAGTCACTCTTGTGGAAGCCAAGGAATGGGAACAGAAGAATATGAAATCTGTGGTACTGATCATCAGTCTTAATATCCAAATGAATATCATGGTACATACCATGATGGCTATCAAAGATGGGTTTTGTTGTTGTTGTTGTTGTTGTTGTTGTTGTTTTTGAGACAGAGTCTTACTCCATCACTCAGGCTGGTGTGCAGTGGCACAATCACAGCTTACTCCATCCTCGACTTCCCCAGGCTCAGGTGTTCCTCCTACCTCAGGCTCCCAAGCAGCTGGAACTACAGGTGTGCACCACCAAGCCCAGCTAATTTTTTTTCTTGTCTTTTTTTTTTTTTTTTTTTTTGTAGAGATGGGGTTTTACCATATTGCCAAGGCTGCTCTTGAACTCCTGGACTCAATCAGTCCACCCACCTCAGCTTCCCAAAGTGCTGGGATTACAGGCGTGAGCCACCATGCCCAACCCAAGATATTATTAATATAATGAATGACCAAGGCACCAATATTAAAGACACATACATTTTTACAATATTCGACTTTAACTGATATTTTCAAACTGTATGAGGTGTTTGAGGCATTTTTGTTTTTGTTTTGCTTTTAGAGTCAGGGTCAATCAGAGCTCACTGCAGCCTTGAATTCCTCAGCTCAAGGGATCTTCCCGCTTCAGTGAGGTTTTTTAAAAAATAGAGTTTAGTATCTGATTTCTACGTAGAAGAAATTTAAATGTTTATATTGCTTAAGTATTGTTTGCTAATTTTTAAAGTAATGATCAATGAGTACAAAAGAAAAATACCCTCATATACAGAGTTGATGTATTATCCTACCTGCAACAGATGAGCCCCAGGCCATTCTCTCAGTTCATTCGGCAGGCTGCAGTGGTTGATTTTGCACAAAGAACTGTGCTAATCTTATAAGGGTTTCAGAGAAGGTTCCTGTGTTCTGAGGAATCGTAGTCTAATAAAGGAAGACAAACATATCTACATAACTGCTACAGACAAACTGTTACAGAAGCCATCATTAGAGGTACACAGGGCTCATGTAATCAAGGGGAAAGCAGAATTCATCATTCTCAGTGGTGGAATCTGAGAAAGCTTGGGAGAGATGTAACTTTAACTGGTTCTTCTAGGATGGGCTGGAACAAGTGGCAAAGGCTTTCTAACTGTTGGGAGCACTCGAGGAAGAATATAGAGGCCCAGAAAACATTCAAAGGGCAGACCCCGTGTGGCCAGGGCAAACTCTACCTGAAATGGGTAAATGAGAGCTAATTACCGAAGTGTGAACAGTGTTAAATGCCTTACTCAGGGGGTTGGGCCTTATTTTTTGTGGATTAGGCACCATTGAAGATTTTTTAGTGGAATAAAATGGTAAGTTTTATTTTTTATTATTTATTTATTTATTTATTTCGAGACAGAGCCTCACTCTGTCGCCTAGGCTGGAGTGCAGTGGCGTGATCTCAGCTCACTGCAACCTCTGCCTCCTGGGTTCAAGCGATTCTTATGCCTCAGCCTCCTGAGTAGCTGGGATTACAGGTGCGCACCACCATGCCCAGCTAATTTTTGTACTTTTGGTAGGGAAGAGGTTTTGCCATGTTGGCCAGGCTGGTCTTGAACTCCTGACCTCAAGTGATCCTCCTGCCTCAGCCTCCTGAACTGCTGGAATTACAGGCATGAGCCACTGTGCCCAGCCAAAATGGTGAGTTTTAGAGAAATAATTCTAGTATAGTACTTGTAAGAAACCAGGGGTAGTCTAGAATTTTGGAGTCTGAATTCCTGCTTTATAGCTTACTGTTCTTTGACAAGTTGCTTAAACTCACTGAGCCTCAGGTTACATAATTGTAAAATGGGGTAATACCTCTCCTGTAGAATTGTAATTGGTGAAGTAATTATGCAAAGCCTTGGCACCTAGTAAGAATTCATTAAATAGTAGCTACCCCTTTAATCATAATAACCAATTTTTAAGAATCTCAGTGGTTTAGACAGTTAGTAGTGTGATCATGAGCTGGTGTTTCAGAGTGAGACTGGCTGACCTGGCTTCAAATCCTACCTCCCACTATTATGAGCTCTGTGACTAGGACAGCTTACCAAGTGACAGTGTTGCCATCTATAAAATAAGGATGACAATCCCAGCCTCATAGGTTTTGTGTTGATCAAATGAGAGAGTATATATTAAAGGGCTTTATATGCCTAGCACTTAGTTTATTCGTTCTTTCAACACGTTTGTTGAATACCTGCCTTGTGTCAGATACTGTTCCATGTACTTGGAATATATCAATGAACAAAACAGATCACAGTCCCCACCCTTGTGGATCTCACATTCTAAGTGACCACTGTTATTGTTGAAAGGGAACACTGGTTGAAAGACTATTGCAGTTGTCTTGGGAAGTGACACAGGTTTTGGACTAAGGCAGTGGTGGTGGAAGGGGAGACGGTAGAAGCCGCAGGTGCGATTCCTGACTGGGTGTGGGTGGAAAGGAAAGGGAGACTTGAGGAGGGTGTCCAAGGTTGTCATGCCGTCCATCAACCTACAGAGGGAGCATAGAGGAAAGGTACATTCGAAGGAGAAAATGATGGAGTTCACATGTTTAATGCCATCAGGATACCCATTTGGAGCTTTCTAGTAGGCAATGGGAAATATTTTTCTGAAATTAGAGAAGTTGAGAGTTTCGCCAGGGGGAGTTTCCTGTAGGTAATTGGTGACCCTCAGTAAACCAATTTCAGTAAAGTGGTGGGATGTGGAGAAATTAGAGAGTAGAAATTGTAGGCACAGACTAACCTTTAAATGCATTATAGAGGGAAGGAAAGGAAAGAAGGAGAAAGCAGCTTGAGAAGTAGCTTATTCTGTCTTCAGATTTGGCAAAGGAAATGAGCCAGTGGAAGGAGAAAGATTGAAGCTATGAAACAGATCATTTGTCTATTCTTTTAATGAATATTTATCCTTTTTCTATGGTTTGCGAAATATTTTGTCATGGGGATGCGTACAAAGATGAAAATGATTATTAAGAATATGGCCTTAAGTGAGTTTACCCTACAACAGAAGACTATACATGCCAATACAGCTTTTTATTACTCCCCATCGGAGTGTAACTTCTATGACAACAGAAATTTTGCCCGTTTTGTTCACTGCTGTATCCCCAGTGCCTGGAAGACTACCTAGAATATAGCAGGCATTCCATAAATGTTGAATAGACAGAAGTTTCAGTGGAAAGAGAATATCTGAATTATTCAAGAAAACTATCATTCTTTTTGTTTCATCAGGAATAGTTCTTTTCCATAATCACTGCTTCGTAGCTATGGAGAGTAGAATGGGGGCACTCACAGAGAAATAAGATATAGGTCAAACTGAAGGAATAAGAGAAAGGTAATGAAGTTAGGATTATTGTACAACAAAGATTATCCTTTCCAGAAGAACTTTTCCAGGAATACACAAATGCTATTTTTCTGTAGAACAATTATTGGAGCAGAAGAATATATTAACAAACCTAGAGGGTACAGATTTATCTCAATTTTAGATCCAGTTTTCATAAATGATGGACTAAGTAAGGCTGAGAAATAAAGGAAAATGTGTCTATGTTCAAAGTATTAGCAAAGCAGATTTAGGTAAGTTTGCCACCTGTTGCCTCAAGGGCAGAGAGAGAGAGAATATGTGAGATAAAGTGTGAGTTCTTGTAGGAATTAGAGGAAGACATTTTTAGTTTTTATTTTTTGTTTATTTTTTCCAACTTTTAAGTTCAGGGGTACATGCGCAGGATGTGTAGGTTTGTTACATAGGTAAACATGTGCCATGGTAGTTTGCTGCACAGATCATCCCATCACCTGGGTATTAAGCCCAGCATCCATTAGCTGTTCTTCCTGATGCTCTCCCTTCTCCCACTCCCCACCTTCCAACAGGCCCCATTGTGTGTTGTTCTCCCTCATGGGTCCATGTGTTCTCATCATTCAGCTCCCACTTATAAGTGAGAACATGCGGTATTTGGTTTTCTGAATAAATGAATGGGTAAATAAACTGTACTACCCAAACAATGGAATATTATTCAGTGCTAAAAAGAAATGAGCTATCTTCACCCTCCACTCTCTTACTCTGGGTTATTATTTCATATTTCATGCATCCCTCTGTTACTCCGTTATTGGTCTATATGTTTATTGTGTGTGCCCCCTCCCTCGCCCCCCACCAGTGCAGGGTAAGCTTTCTGTAGACAGGAGCTTCGATTTGGACATGGCTACATCCTCAGTGCCCACTAGGCGTCCAGCTAAAAAGAGGTGTTCAATCGTGTATTTTCTTGATTACTAAAAATGAATTAACAGTACCTTCTAGATTACTAAGGAAGTTATATAATCTTTGGTATAGGCAATTTCCTCCATGAAATATTTTTTTTAAATACCCACTACTAAAACATATCAGTGCCAGCCATATGTTCTGACTTAACAGTACCCTCTTTTGGTATATAGCTTCTATTCCTTTTTTCAAACATCTAAGTTCAGGGGTACATGTGCAGGTCAGAGAAAATTCAGCTCTAGCAGCTTCAGAGACAGGTCTTGATTTCACCTAATTCTGATGGTTCTCTATACAGTACCTAATTATCTAATCTCTGCTTTTTATGTAACATAACACAACGTAAATTTACTTTTTTTTTTAAAGAGTTTTTAGCTTCCTGTATGATGTATTTCTTCACTTACTTGAAAATGGAGAAATTTAGTACTTTTCTTTGAGAAAGAGACATCGGTATGTAACTTGTTCTGCATTGTTTTAATGAGAACAAAAACAAAATGTTCCCGAATTACTTGCTTGCAGCTACAAAGCATGTTTAAGGAATAAAAATCTCCTTCATTAAATGCATGATGAAAAAAAAGAATTGTTTTGAAGTTCTTAGGATCAGCTTGTATAGGCTTCATTGTAAACTGATACTAAAGAGTCCCCATTACGATCTGTGTATTTTGGTGCCAGAAGGTTTTTTTCTTATGCTAAATTATTAAGTTCTGTCAGCTGCTGTGCTGTCATATAGAGATATAGTAAATCACATTATATTTTGTCATGGATTACATGGAGCAATAAGTTTGGGAATAAAGATCAAAGTAGTTCCACAATCACATCTGAGTGTAGGAGCGCTGTTTAACTTGTAGAAAACTGATTTAGGTAAAGCTGCGGCAGTTCTTGTGTGAATTGGAAATGAATTTGGATATTTGGTTGAAAATGAATGAGGATCAAATCCCAAAATGACTTTCCATTTTTGTATCTAGTTCAGAGAAGTTAATTCCAACACCTAGCTGCATGACTTGAATTAGATAAATAATTACATGCTGAGAGTTGCGGACTCAGTGAAAATTGTCTTTATGTATTTTAATTGCTTTTGTGATTAAACAATATATTTCATTGTATTTTATTTGGGTTTTTTTAGGGGGAACCACATAATTAAATATTCTTGTAGCGATGCTGTCTGATTCCTTAGAGCTGAGCTCTTTGGTTTTTACTGCATTTAAAACCATTAAAGTAAGCCAGTTTAAGCACACTAAGCAGTCTTGATTACCTAGATCTTGATGGTTATTATCTTTGTTCTGTGTTACTATAGAAACTCTTTAGGGGTTATCAAAGTTGATGATATTCATTTATTTAGAATAGATAATCTCAACTGGTTGGGTTCTTTTCAGAGAAAAAGTTTTCATAGAAACTAGATAATATGGCAGAAGTGGTTAGCAGAAATCATGTGTTTTGTATCAATTACTGTCCTTATACTTTTACTTAGGGAAGTGCCCTCTGTTTTGTCCTCATTAGCTAGAACAGTGGTTCTTCACCTAAAGCTGATTATCAGAAGCAACCAGGGAGCTTTTAAATCAGATTCCTGGGCCACAAGATCCTGGTGGCTGATTCAGTAGAAAAAGCTCAAAAGCGTTTTTCTCCTGTTACTCTGGCATCATCTTTCCTACTTTCTTTCTTCATTCTAATCCTGTTTGGAGAAATATTTTTAAATGCTATAGCCCATTAACAGACATTTAAGCTTTACAAAATTATTTCTCAAGGTTTTGGTTTCTTGTTTTATTTTTCATCCCCTACTGTCATCCTTTTATTGATATTTTTCCTCTCGTGAAATCTAAAAGATTTACACTAATGCTGTAATAAATCAGTCTGACATTAGACTTAATCAAATCCCCCCCAAAATCATATGAAGATTAAGCCTCCCCCCCATTCCAAATGGGATCAAAATAAAGTGTAATTGGGATATAGATAGGGTAGCCTGCAGTGCTGATTTTGGTCTGAAAGGAAATAAAATGCCAGTTGGTGCCTGTATGTCAGGTACATCCCCAACGCAAGGGTGTTAGACTAAGATGGAAGGTTTAGCAGTGATTCTGCCAAGGCCTAGTTAGAAGAGACTGAACAGTTTGAAGAACTTAGCAGAAGATCACAGAGATTCTATTTACAAGCCCCAAGCTCTTCTAACAGGCTTTTCCTCAGGTCCTCTGATAATGTTGAGATGCCTCCTAAATCTAAGGCCCCTGGGTGGGAGCCACTATGTTAGAGCATCACTGTGAAAAGCCAAAAGCAAGCAGAGCTTTCAGAAAATGGCCTGAGCCCTGTGTTTAGAAAATATAGGTCCTAATTAAGGCTATTTCCATGCGAGGATCGAAGGAGCTGAGGACTGGAGAGGTTAAGACTGAAGAGAGAATGATTTAGAGCACTTAGACTGGGCCCAGTCACTGAAGCCAGCTGGGCCCAAGCTGGTGGTTTTTGAGGACTGCTGCTTCAAGAGTATAGAAATGCAGCTTGCACATTCAGCACCTGCTGGGCCTCGACTGAACTGACCCCTGAGGAGCCCTTGTAGTCATGATCTGCATCTTCCCTAGTTACTGCTCACCTTTTTCCTTATTCCCCAGGCTTCTACCTGGGTCCTTGGTCTCAGTTCCCATCATAGATCCGTGCTGGGATTTGAATCAGGCCCTGATCCCTAGCTTGGTTTATTGGAAACCTTGATCCCTTATAGTCTTTGCTTCTGATTCTTCTTATAAAGCCAAAAATGGCTCTCTTTCCTTTAGGACACAAATGTCAAGAACTACCCCTGTCTAGAAGCTCTGCCTTCCAAGTCCCATACTGCATTCTCAAATTAAGCACTTTCAGTAGCAAACTGTCTAATCTACTCTTGCCCAGGATTTAAGCTGCCAGCTTCTTCTACAGGCAGGGAAGAGGCAAGGCTACCCATTTTGTTTTCCTCTGTTCCTTTGGTCAGTTTCAGCTGCTACTCCCTTCCTGTGAGGCACACTGAGCCTGTCAGGCAACAGTTAGGATATAGACTTGGAGTAGAAGGGTGGGCTATGATCCAGTTCTCTCAAGGAAGCTAAATTTGCATCCTATTATATGCTAGATGCTTGGAGTTAACATGTACAACATATTCCCCCTCCCCTTAAAGAGTTGTCAGTCTAGTTGTATAGATAATTTTAATATAATAAGCAATAAAATAATTGTGTATAGGCCGATAGAGAAATGTGACTTGGCCCAAACTGAGATTTCTTGAGGTTTTGTGGAAGACTTCCTGATGTTCAAATGATTATTGCAAGATGATTAAGATCCTACCAAGGAAATGAATGATATTCATGAAAAAAAAAATGGGACAAAAACACAGGGTGTGAAATAGCATATTCAGGGAACTAAAGTCTGGTGTTCACAGAGGCATAAAAGGTAGAGTGGGAAGTAGAGAAACATGAAGCTGGAGAGGTAAAGTCCTGGCCCTGAATGGTACTGTATGCCCCATTAAGGAACTTGAACTTTAGTATTTGCTAAGAAGCAATGAAAATTGCTTCTTTAATTACAAAGTGATATGATCATATTTATACTTTAGATAGAGTATCAGTTGAAAGATGGTGGGTGGATCTATATCAGACAGCAAAAATGAAATATCTAGAGTGAATAGGACAATAAGTTAGAAGGCTACTAGAAAAATTCAGGAGAGAAAGGTGAAAATCTAGAAGTAAAAGTTGGCAGGACTGTCAAGAGCGAGAGAGAGGGATTCTAAAAAATTCTACTAAGTTTCTTATTTGGGTGTCTAAATGTAAGTGCCACTAACTAAGATGAGAAGGAACAGACTCAAGAAGAAATGATCGAGTTCAGTTAGTTGAGTGCCTTTGGGACATCACAGAGAGGTGTCTGGATCTGGGTACCAAGGCTGTAGTGGCTAGGGATGAATTTGGAAGTCATATCAACAAAAAGATGATTTACTATCGGAATGGATTAAAAAGGGAGAGGTTGCTATGGTAAGGAAAGGGCAGATGGAATGGGGCAATTATTTAAAACCAGCTATAGATCGATAAGCAATTGTCAGAGAGGTCCCTGGAGAACCAGGAGGAAATAAGGACATAGATGCCATAGGAGTTAGAGGTTTTAATTAAAAATCAGTAATTCGGCAAACGCAAAGTTTGATCCTTTGAAAAGACTAGTAAAATATAAACTTTTTAGAAGACCGGTCAGAAAAATAGGGAGAAGACACAAATAGGGAAAGGAGGAAATAGGAAAAATGACTGCTGATTGAGTCAAAAAACATAGAAAAGATAATTTAATGAATAACTTTATGCCAATAAAATTGAAAATCTGGATAAGATGGAAACATTTTTAGAAAACGTGATTAAATGAAAGAATAGAAAACTCTAATAGTCCTGTAGAAATTAAATAAATATAGCATTTAGTTTTAAATATTTTATTAAAGAAAACATCAGACTCAAATGATTTTGGTCAAGTTCTTACCAAACATTCAAGGAACAGAAAACTCCAATAATAAACAAAATCTGTGACAGGAAAAAAAGAAGTAATATCCCCCATTTATTCTAAAGCCAGTGTAGTCTTGATATGAAAGTCAGCCAGGAACAGTAAAAAGCAAATTACATACCAATCTTACATTTAATTTTAAGTGTAAAATTCCTAACCAAAATTTAGAAACAGAATCTAGCAGTACATAAAAATGTTTATACATTTCAACCAAGCTGGACTGAATGCAAGAATGCAAGGGTGATTTCATGTTAGAAATCCATTAATATAATCCATCACGTTGCCACACTGAAAGGAGAAAAACCATGTGATCATCTCAGGTAAAGAAAAGCATTTGGCAAAATTCAACTCATATCTGTGATAATCTTAATAAGCTAGGAATAGGAGGGAGTATCCTTACCCTGATAAAGAATATTAATCAAAAACTTAGAGCAAACATCATTTTTAGGGTGAAATGTTAGAAGGATTCCCTTTAAAATCAGGAAAGGAGAAGGGTGCCCGTTAATCACTGCTGCTGTTCAACAGTGAAATACAGATGCCATTGGTCACAGCTATACAAGAAAAAGAAATAGGATACAAATTAGAAAGAGGGAAGCAACCTGATATTATTCACTGATGATATGATTGTCTGTACATAAAATCTATACATAAAACCTAAGTGGATCAGTAAACTATTGGAAATAATAAGACAGTTTAGCAGTTGTCTAAATATATAATCCAGCAAGAAACAGAAAACATAATTTAAAAAATGATTCTGCTAACACAGCAAAATAGAAAGTGTATAGGAATGAATCTAAGAATAGCCGTATAAGTCCTATTTGGAGAACTTTTAACTGTTTTAAAAGAAATTAAAGAAGACCTAAATCATGGAGAAATATACCCACTAAATCTTGAATACCTTAAGTATCTTAAAGATGTCAATTGTCCTCAATTTGACCTATAGATTTAATGCAATTCCTTGGATTTATCTGACAAAAATAAATCTAATTTTTAAAGACAGGATCTCACTGTCACCCACATTGGAGTGCACTGGTGCGATTATAGCTCACTGCAGCCTTGAACTCCTGGGCTTAAGTGATCTTCCCACCTTAGCCTCCCAAGTAGCTGGGACTACAGTTGCACACCACCATGCCCAGCTGAATTTTTAAAATTTTTTGTAGAGATGGGGGTCTTGCTTTGTTGTCCAGGCTGACCTTGAACTCCTGGCTTCACGCAGTCCTCCCACCTCGGCTTCCCAAAGTGCTGAGATTACAGGTGTGAGCCACTGTGCCTGGCCTAAGGCCCAAGAGCAGCCAAAATTATTCTGAAAAAGAAAAAGTCAAAAGTATTTCCCTCCTACCACATACAAAATCAAAATTTGTTGCAAAGGTATGGACGTTAGTAGTTTGGCACTGGTACAAGTATAGATAGACTGACCAAAGAAACAGAATAGAGAGCACATAAAGCCATATATTGATATATATAGATGATATAGATGTAGTTATGGAAACTTGGCATAATATTCTTTTGTTAAGCTCTTCATTTCTGACACACGCCATAGAAATTTGGCATGTGTCAGAAATGAAGAGTTTAGTAAAAGAATTGGCTAAGGCCAGGTGTAGCAGCTTTGCTTATAATCCCAGCACTTAGGGAGACGAAGGCAGGCGGATCACTTGAGCCTAAAAGTTTGAGACCAGCCTGGGCAACATAGTGAGACCTTATCTCTAGTAAAAATAAAAAGGTCGTCGGGTGTGGTGGTGCATGCCTGTGGTCCTAGCCACTCAGGAGGCTGAGGCAGCAGGATAGCTTGAGCCCAGGAGATCAAATCTGCAGTGAGCTGTGATTGCACCACAGCATTCCAGCCCAGGTGACAGAGTGAGACCCTGCCTCAACAACAACAGCAAAAAAAAAAAAAAAAAAAAGAATTGGCTAAAGACAAAACAGCATTTTACAGAGGTGTAAATATCAGTAGCCCATAAATACATGAAGAACTGCTCATATCGTCAGTAACCAAGGAAATGAAAAATAAGACACTAATGAAATGTTATATCTAATAGACTGACAGAAATTAGGAAGTCTGGCAAGAAAAGAAAAGTCATCCCGATCGGAAAGGAAGAAGTAAAATTCTATCCTCCAATGACAAAATCTTGTGTACAGAAAAATTCTCAGGAATCCTACCAAAAAAAAAACCTGTTTGAAAAATAAGAGTTTACCAAGGTTGCAGGATATAAGATCAATATAGAAAAATCAATTGTATTCCAATACCCTAGGAGTAAACAATCTGATAATGAAATTAAGAAAACAAATTCATTTAAAATAGCATGAAATAATTAAATACTTAGGAATAGAATTTAACAAAAGAAGTGCAAAATATGTATCTTGAAAACTACAAAACATCAATGAAAAAATTAAAATCTAAATAAATGAAAAGGCATTCATATTTACAGATCAGAAAACTTAACGTTGTTAAGATGCCAGTATTACCCAAATTGATATACAGATTCAGCACAATCCTACCGAAATCCCAACTGCCTTTTTTAGTATAAATTGACACACTGATCCTGAAATTTATATGGAAATTCAACAAATAGTGCTGGGACAACTAGATATCCATATGCAAAAGAGTAAAGCTCAACCTCTACCTCACAAGATACACATAAAAGGACCTCAAAGTGAATCACAGACCTAAAAATAAATGGTAAAACTATAAAACTTTTAGAAAAAAGCAATATCAGAGAAAAATGCTATGAAACTCTTAGAAGAAAACATGCAAGTAAATTTTCATGACATTTCAGGATTAGGCAAAGAATTCTTAGATATGACACTAAAAGCACAAATGACAAAGGAAAAAATAGATAAACTGAACTTCATCAAAATGAAAAGCTTTAAAGGAAACTTCCAAGAAAGTAAAAGAACAACCCACAGATAGAAGGAAATAATCACAAATCATGTATCAGAACAACAATGAGATACCACTTCATACCCATTAGACTGGATGTAATCAACAAGACAGACGAAAGTTTTGGCAAGGATGTGGAGAAATTAGAACCTTCATACTTTGCTGGTGAGATTGTAAAATGGTGCAGTCATTTTGGAAAATAGTTTGGCAGTTCCTCAAAAAGCTAAACATAGTTACCACATGACTCAGCAATTCAACTCCTAAGTACACACAGGAGAACTGAAAAAATATTTCCCAAAGAAACTTGTACAAGAATGTTTACAGAAGCATTATTCATAGTAGTCAAAAAGTGGAAAAAACTCAAATGTTTGACTGAGGAGTGGATAAACAAAATGTGGTATATCCACACAATGGATTTGACTAGGAAAAGGAATGAAGTACTGATACATTCCACAACATAGATGAACATTGGAAACATGCTAAGTGAAAGAATCTGGTCATGAAAGGTCATATGTTGTATGATTTAAATTACGTGAAATGCCCAGAGTGGAAAAATCCCTAGAGACAGAAAATAGATTAGTGGTTGCCAGTGGCTCAAAGGATGGGAGAATGGGAAGTGACTGTTAATAGGGATGGGTTCTTTTTTTGTTGTTTTTTGTTTTTTTGAGGTGATGAAAATATTCTAGAATTTTGTCGTGGTGATAAATGTACAGATCTATGAATATACTAAAAACCACTGAATGGTGCAGTTTTAAATTATGAACTTTATGATATGTGAATTATATCTTACTACAGCTGTTATTAAAAATAGAAAATCTGGCTGGGTATGGTGGCTCACTCTGCAATCCCAGCACTTTAGGAGGCCGAGGCAGGCGGATCATGAGGTCAGGAGTTCAAGACCAGCCTGGTCAATATGGTGAAACCCCGTCTCTACTAAAAATACAAAAATTTGCCAGGCATGGTGGCATGCGCCCATAGTCCCAGCTACTCAGGAGGCTAAGGCAGGAGAATGGCGTGAACCCGGGAGGCAGAGGTTGCAGCCAGCCAAGATCACACCACTGCACTCCAGCCTGGGCGACAGAGTGAGGTTCCGTCTCAAACAAAAAGAAAAAGTAGCAGAGCACCCCAGTCTTGGGGACATGCCAGGAAGAAAATTGCTTCCCCAGTAAAGAAGCTGAGGCAAATAGTTCTTTTGGGTTTAAAGTGGAAAGATGAATAAGAAAGAGTAACCAGAATCTACTGTAAAAGACTGTTTTGGTAGGTGTCTTTTCTAACAGTCTGACCCTGCAAGTTTATAAGCTCAGCTGTAGTAAAGTCACTTCTGTTATATCTTGTTTCCACTTTAGACCATGCAAAAATGCAGCCATGCCTTAGACCTAACATTACTCGCCTAGTTCACCTCCAGGATTTCAGTCTACCAAATTCTCCTTTTGATCGCTCTTGCCTTGCATTTTATTTTTCCCATTTTCTCACGCATAAAGAACCTAGTGTTTGTCTTCATTCCAGTGCTGACTCACTACTCTCTGATCCATTGCCATCTTGCACTTGCATCACTCCTACATTGCTAAACCTCAGTCCTATTTAATCTTTATTGTCCACTTTATCTACATGTTATAAAATAATACCCAGGAAAGTTAAATGATTTGCCCATGGTCACACCACCCAGGTTGGTTTAACTTCATAGCCCATGCTGTTAACCACATGCTTTACTGCTTACCACCTGGCAACAGTTGAAATAGTCGATCAAAGGAACTTTATGTAATGAAAAAGATGGTGGAAGTAGATTTTAGGGTCTGGGTGATGGGAAATTCAACTATAAAGCAACAGAGCCAACTGGACACCTTATTTTTGTCAACTGAACGGGGAAATAAGACATGTTTTGTATGGGCATCATACTTATTGCTTTCAAACATTTTGAATATTATATTAAAATGAAGTGGCGAAGTAATTCAGCCTTGATGTAGATGATTCTGGAAAACTAGATACACTCTAAGTCATTTTATTTTATTTATTTTTATACAACAATTTTCTTATCCATTTATTGGTTGATGTACATTTGAATTGTTTCCACCTTTTAGCTATTGTGAATAGAAGTGTTATGATAAATTGTGTACAAGTATTTGTTTGAGTACCTGTTTTCAGTTCTTTGGAGTATTTACCTGGGTGGTAATTGCTGGGTCACATAAGAATTCTATGCCTAACTTTTTGAAAAACTTCCAAACTGTTTTCTACAACAGCTGAAACATTTTACATTTTTGTCAACAATCTAGGAGAGTTCAAATTTTGACACATTCTCATCAACACTTGTTATTCTCATCATCATCATTATTATTATTACTATTGCCATTCTACTGGGTATGTAGCAGTACCTCAATGTGTTTGATTTGCATTTATTTAATGACTAATGATGTTAAATAACTTTCAGGTGCTTTTAGCCTTCTGTGTATCTTGTTTTGAGAAATGCCTATTCAAGTTCTTTACCCATTTTTTAAATGTGAATTATTCTTTTTTTTTAAATATTTTCTTGAAAAGTAGTAAACTTTTAGTGCAGATAATGTATGTTGTCTTAAAAGTTTGCATAGTCTTATATTTCTTTTTCAATTTTATTTTTATTTTTTTTTCAACTTTTATTTTAGATTCAGTGGGTACAGGTACAGGTTTGTTACCTGGGTATATTGCGTGATGCTGAAGTCTATGGTACAAATGATCCTGTCACCCAGTTACTGAGCATAGTACTGAACAGTTAGTTTTCCCACCCCTACCCTCTTCTCCCTCCCACCTCTAGTAGTCCCCAGTGTCTATTGTTGCCATCTTTATGTCCATGAGTACCCAATGTTTAGCTCCCACTTATAAGTGAGAACATGTGGTATTTGCTTGGGCTAATGGCCTCCAGCTGTATCCATGTTGCTGCAAAGGACATGATTTCGCCCTTTTTGTGGCTGCATAGTATTCCATGGTATATATGTACCACATTTTCTTTATGCAATACACCATTGATGGGCACCTAGGTTGATTCCATGGTTTTGCTATTGTGAATAGTGCTGCAGTGAGCACTCATGTACATGTGTCTTTTTGGTAGAATGAATTACTTTCTTTTGGTTGTATACCCAGTAATGGGATTGCTGGGTCAAATGGTAGTTCCATTTTTAGTTCTTTGAGAAATCTCCAAACTGCTTTCCACAGTGTCTGAATTACTTTCCATTCCCACCAACAGTGTATAAGCATTCTCTTTTCTCTGCAGCCTCACCAACATGTTTTTTGACTTTTTAGTAATAGCCATTCTGACTGGTGTGAGATGGTATCTCATTGTGGTTTTGATGTGGATTTCTCTGATTAGTAATATGGGGCATTTTTTTTCATATGTTTGTTGGCCACTTGTATGTCTTCTTTTGAGAAATGTCTGGTCATGTCTTTTGCCCATTTTTTATGAGGTTGTTTTTTGTTTGAGTTGTTTAAATTCCTTATAGATTCTGGATGGACCTTTGTCAGATGCATAGTTTGCTAATATTTTCTCCTATTCTGTAGTGTGTCTGTTTACTCTGTTGGTAGTTATTTTGCTGTGCAGAAGATCTTTAGTTTAATTAGGTTCCACTTGTCAATTTTTGTTTCTGTTGCAATTGCTTTTGAAGACTTATTCATAAATTATTTCCCAAGGCCAAGGTCCAGAATGGTGTTTCCTGAGTTTTCTTCTAGGATTCTTATAGATGGAGGTCTTACATTTAAGTCTTTAATCTATCTTGAGTTAATTTTTGTATATGGTAAAAGGGATCCATTTTCATTCTTCTGCATATGGCTAGCCCACTATCTATATCCCAGCACCATTTTTTGAATACGGAGTTCTTTCCCCATTGCTTATTTTGGTTGACTTTGTTGAAGATTAGATGGCTGCAGATGTGCATCTTTATTTCTGTGTTCTCTATTCCATTCCATGAATCGATGTGTCTGTTTTTGTACCAGTACCATGCTGTTTTGGTTACTACAGCCTTATAGTATAGTTTGAAGCCAGGTAATGTGATCCCTCCAGCATTGTTCTTTTTGCTTAGGATTGGTTTGGTTATTTGGGCTTTTTTTTTTGTTCCATATGAATTTTATAACAGTTTTTTTTCCAATTCTGTGAAAAATGACATTGGTAGATTGATAGGAATAGCATTGAATCTGTAGATTGTAAAATGCCTTGGCAGTATGGCCATGTTAATGATATTGATTCTTCCAATCCATGATCATAGAATGTTTTTCCATTTGTTTGTTTCATCTATGATTTATTTTAGCAATGTTTGTAATTCTCCTCGCAGAGATCTTTCCCCTCCTATTTTTGTGAGTATGTAGCTATCGTAGATGAGATTGCATTCCTGATTTGGCTCTCAACTTGGATGTTATTGGTGTATAGAAATGCTACTGATTTTTGTACATTGATTTTGTATCCTTGAGTCTAGGTCATTTTAAATTAGAAACAGCTAATGCTTAAATCTCAAGAACGTCCTTTCAGCAGCTATTCTAAACTCAAAATAATCCAGTATAGGAAATAGAGCTTTTGTTAAGTATTGAGACCACTGTTTTATATTGAACTGTCTACAAATCTGACATAGCATAGCTTAGTGCAAATATATTTTATAAACTTTCCAATTAATATACATTACTTTTTTTCTTACCCAATTGAACCAAAAAGTAAAAAATTTTAAAAACAAAAAATAAGACATTATGAGCATGCCAAATTGGGGCATCTAATGCCTAGATTCAAAGCTTATAATTCAAATAATTTATTACTTGGCTGATTCATGTCATTTGATCATTGAACAATGTCACTATTTTTTAAATCTTTGAAGTCAAAATTTGACATAGGTGTTCTATCTGCTTCCTAAGAGTACTATACCACAGAATGGCCACTCATGTAAATTTTGTGTTAAGTATATTTAAAGTATACATTATGCTTATTAAAATTTGTTAAATACAGTAGTCAGTTTCCTTTGACATTTGTCAAATCACACATTAGATTTTAGTATAAAGTGTAACAGTGTCAAAGACTTAGAAAAATATTACAGAAGGTAGAGATTTTAAAAAAAATTAATTGACCCCATTTACATTTGGTCTTTGAGGATAAATTATTTTCTGCACATCAGAGAATAGTTGCTTCTTCCCTAGAGCAAAGTAAAGGTTTTTTTCTCCCTCATTCTCTTAAAGTTTGTATTTCAGCCCAAGTAATAAATGAGTTTCAGTTTCTGCGGCCTTTGCTTCAGAGAGCTTCTCTGAGGGTGAGCTTTGAAATATGATTAGATCTTAATTCTTTAACTATTTCCATAAGCTTGTTTCACAGTTTGCTTTCTTATTCAGTGAGCAGGGTGGGGAAATGCATGTAAATCTTATGTGATCATTTATGGGTGTTAGCCATGTAAATATATGTTGCAATGGTGAGAAAATTAGTCCTGAATTATAGTGAGAGAAGAAAATCAACTGTCCCATGCTATTCCTTAGGTTAACTGCCATTAAATAAATATTATAAAAGTCCACAAAACTGACCACAGTTACTAACTCTGTGTGGACAGGGAATGTATCCAGTACCAATAGACATATTCAGAAATAGGACCAAATTCAGGAATATATGGGCATTTCTTCTTAGAATGGATTCATCAGTATTTAATGAGAAACTCAGTAGGTCCAGTATTTAATGAGAAACTCAGTACTGAGTTTAATGGAAAACTCAGTAGGTCCAGTATAGGAAAAAGAGCTTTTGTTAAGTATTAGTAAATAGGGGTATTGATAAGCATACACTACAACACTTCTCAAAAACGGTCTTGTTTATTCCTTCTTTAATAAAGTATGTGGCTTTCCTATGGGATTCTTATAAAATGAATAGGCAGTGACAAAAACCTGAGCACTTGTAGTTCCTAATTATTAGCTTCTGTTTCTGGGTAAAGCAACCATCTAACATGATTCAGTCAATTTTCTAGAAACGAATTG
This sequence comes from Homo sapiens, assembly GCF_000001405.40. Taxonomy (NCBI): domain Eukaryota; kingdom Metazoa; phylum Chordata; class Mammalia; order Primates; family Hominidae; genus Homo; species Homo sapiens. The sequence continues at coordinate 65,779,640 of NC_000017.11, read as the reverse complement.
AAACTGAGGAGTCACTAAATATGGATCAGTGACATTTGCAGATGTTTTGCTATTTAAACTAGTTTGCCATTTTCTTGAGTTGGGATTTATATGTAATGATGAAAAAGGACAAGAATTCTTGAATTAAAGTACCCTTTCCTGTGATGATGACATCAAACTGAGAACTTGTCCTTGACTTAAGATAAGATTCAAAAGTCTTAGGATACAACATCAAGAATAAGAACAATCTTATTCATACCTGACACTTAGTAGATAGTACACAAATGTTTGCTCACTTCCTACCACTCTCCTGTCTCGATTACTCTTTTCAAGAAGGGGCTTTCAAATTAGAAATGTGATAATCAGAAGTGTTGTAAATGACAGTCTGCCTACTACTTAATAGTAACTTGCTAGGAACAATTATTAGCTTTTGTGTTTTCAACTAAGTTAGTAAGATTTTATTGTTTAGTACAATGTTTGGGGAAGTTATAACTGCAATGTGAGAGTTTTTTCTTTGAATTGATATTAAATTATGTCTTTAAAAGGTTATTTTTTATCATCAACTTTCTTTAAATATTTGAATTATTTTTAAATGCCTTAAACTATTTATGGCATATAAAACAAATTGTTTACCAAGACAAAAAAATGCCTTTTTTTTTAAAGAGATAAGGTCTTGCTCTGTCACCCAGGGTGAAGTATAGTGGTGCAATCATAGCTCACTATAGGCTCCACCTCCTGGGCTCAAATGATCCTCCTGCCTCAACCTCCCAAGTAGCTGGGATTAAAAGTGCAAGTCACTGCACCCTGAAAGATGCCTTTTTTTGGGTAAATTTATGTCCAATTTTCATTTTACCCCAAATTCTCTTTTATCTCCACTTAGAAGAAATAACAAAAAATAAAAAGTATAGTAAATCATATTTTTCTATACTTAGAAACTTTTTCACTTCCACCTCTCCCTCTGCCTTACCTTTAATATGCTAAGTGGAGATAAAGAAATAGCCATCTTTTTATCTAAAAGCTATAAAAATCTCACCAATTCAGCCCATACAGCCTTCTTTTTTTAATTAATTCATTAAACAGTATTTTTCAAGCAACTACTAAGGGCTGAACAATGATGCCAAAGCCACGAGCTGTGTTAATAACCTATTCAGAAAGAAGACACATTTTCAAAAGACTATAGAACAGCCATGCATGTTACCAGGACTCTAAATACTAAAGGGCAAAAAGTAAATCACTTCTAAGGGAAATAAGCAAAGAAAACAATGTTAGCATATGAACTAGTCATGGTATATTGGTAGGATTATGGCAGAGGGACAGAGACTGCAAAGCAAAAAAGTGATCTGGAAAAGCCCCATTAATCCATATTAGAAAACATTCATTCATTCCTCCATTCATTCAGCAGTTATTGGTTGTGTTGTGTGTTGGTCTTGGGATATATCAGTGAACAGAACAGACAAAAGATTCCTGTCTTTGAGAAGTTGATCTCCAACAGGATAAAGGTGGTGTTTGAAAGAGACATGGGCTCCTTATCACGAAGGACCTTGAGTACCAGGGTGGGGACTGTGGACTTGGTAAGCAGGACTGATCCTTCGGCAGGACAGTCACCATAGAGGTCCAGGGCACATTAGAGATGGGCTAATGATTGAGGTAGGGAGACAGGTCAGGAGAATACTGTCAACGTGAGACTGAGAAATAACTGAATTGGGTAAGGCAGTGGAAATGTGATGGACCAATGAACTGAAGAAAAAGTAATGGTTTTAAGCCTATTGGTGGGGCAGAATGGTGGTTCCAGTGTGTCATAGGTACAGTGCCATTCAAACTTCTTTGAGTCATTTAGTCCTTTGAAAATATATGCTGAAATATTTAGATTCTCTTCCAGAAAAAAATATAGGATATATGTAAAAAATTTATATATGAATAAAATATAATAAACTAAAATAAAAGGTTTGAATAAAACTTTAGGGAGTGGTCTATGGACTCTTAAAGCCTAGCTATAGCTCCAGATTAAGAATATTCATGAAGGGGAGGAGAACTTCAACCACTAGACACATATTGAGTACTACGATAAGCACCTGCTTATTGATCACTGGCCTTGGTGTGTAGGGTGTGGGTAGTGGGATGATAAATGACTATAGCACAGCTCCTACCCTCAAAGTACTTAGAACTGTTGAGATGTGAAATTGTTATGTTCTCAGGGGGACAGCTTAGATGGAAGCGGCAAGTCAGCAGGTGGCAAATCAGAACAGAAGGTCAGGAAATATGGCCAATAAACCAGGGGTGTATTCATTATGATTAGAATCACCAGTGAGTCACAGAAAACTCCAAATCTAAATAGTGGCTTAAACAAGAGAGTTTATTTCTCTCACATTCAGGTCACAGTCTGGCTTACCCTATGCCATCCCTGTGGTGCAGTCCTCAACTTTGTGGTCCAAGCTTGCATTAAAGCCTAGGCATCAGAATGAGGAGTGGGAAGTGGACAGAGAAGAATCCAAGTTCACCTACATGGCGCCTCAAAAGGAAGTTTCCAGAAGCTGCCACACAGTGCCTCCATTTACATGCCACCTAAATGCGGTCACATGACCACGTCCAGCTGCAAAGGAGGCTGGAAAATGTAGTCTTTATTCTGGACAGCAGATGCCCAACCAAAAATTTTATTCTTATGGAAGAAGGGAGAATAGGTGTTATGGAAACAACTAGCATATTCATTCTCAGAAATAAATACAAATTAAAATAAGAAACTATTCTTATTACATTGGCAAAGATTGTATTAATTGAAATACTTAATTCTTACAAACATATAGCAGAATGGGCACCCCAGACAATGATATATATGAGTGTAAATTGATACAGTCTCTCTGGAAAGCACTGTGACAATATTTATAAAAATCTCTAAAACCATTTCTATCCATTGACTTAGTCATTTCACTTTCTGGGATTTATCTTAAAAATATAATCAGTGGTGCAATGAAACATTTTTATGTGCAGATAAATACCACAGTTTTATTTATGATTAAGTATTGGAAATAATCTAAATATCCAGCAATAGAAGAATGGTTCAATAAGTCATGCTATCTCCTGTCAGTATCTCAAATAAAAAGAGAAAGGTGATCACATACTAACTATAAAAAGGGGCAGCTGGCCGGGCACGGTGGCTCACGCCTGTAATCCCAGAACTTTGGGAGGCCAAGGCGGGCAGATCACGAGGTCAGGAGATCGAGACCATCCGGGCTAACATCCATCTCTACTAAAAATACAAAAAATTAGCTGAGCGTGGTGGCAGGCACCTGTAGTCCCAGATACTCGGGAGGCTGAGGCAGGAGAATGGTGTGAACTCGGGAGGCGGAGCTTGCAGCAAGCCGAGATTGCACCACTGCACTCCAGCCTGGGCGACAGAGCGAGACTCCGTCTCAAAAAAAAAGGGGATGGGGGCGGGCAGCTATGCCGGTCAGGCACAGTCCCTTTGAATAGAGCAGATGGTAGATCTTGTACAGGGTTTGGGGTGGCATAGAGATGGAGGTGGGAGGTCCTTTCGAAGCCACGGCTTGACATTGTGAAGTAGAAGTCCAGCGACTTGTGTGAGACTGTTGCCGATTGGTTGGCCTCAGAGGTATGTTTGCTGCAGCGAGTTCATCTCTGATTAGCTGGCTTTTCGAAGTCAGGGGCTGACACCTCTTGGTTGATTACGAAAGTGTGTTCACCAAAGCCAGTCGTCACTGATTAATTGAACGGATTTAAAACCAGTTCTGATGGCTACATGTTACTGTGGCTACGGAAGAATCAGTTTTTTCCTGAATTTATGGGAACATTTTAAAAGTCTCAACTCACATGATGAAATAATAAGCTTTTAAGAATTAGGTTTTGCTGGGCGCAATGGCTCATGCCTGTAATCCCAGCACTTTGGGAGGCTGAGGCGGGTGAATCACTTGAGGTCAGGGGTTAGAAACAAGCCTAGTCAACATGGTGAAATGCCATCTCTACTAAAAATACAAAAATTAGCCGGGTGTGGTGGCACATGCCTGTAATCCCAACTACTCGGGAGGCTGAGACAGGAGAATAGATTGAACCTGGGAGGCAGAGGTTGCAGTGAGCCAAGATCGCACCCGCTGCACTCCAGCCTGGATGACATAGCGAGACTCCATCTCAAAAAAAAATAAAATTTAAAATAAAATTTTAAAAATTAGGTTTTGAAATAATTTTAATTACATGAGAAAATGTTTATGATATAATGCAAAGTGGGGAAAACCGTGATAAAAATGCTTGTGCTTTCCTGCCGTCTCTACTTCCTCAACCCCCTTCCCCTGCGTGCAGAGGCAGCACTGATCTGGTGAGGACATTGTCTCTGCCATGCTTGAGGGTGAGCAGGGTCCCTGGTGTCACACTTGCATGGCCCTAGCTTCCTCTGACTCCGTGTCCCAGCTGTGAGGGTATGACAGGGCTGGAGTCTTTCCAGGCAGGCCCAGTTGGCTCGCTCTCTCTTTAGGCCTAAGTGAGCTTGCTACGGCTTCAGGTTCCTCTCCCCTATGTTGACCAAAAGATGGTCAAATGCTGATTTTCAAGCTTGGGAGGAGGGAGTCTTGACCTCATGGGGCTCAGAAACTGAGCCTCATGTTCCCGCCCACTCGCCACATCAAGGGTATTGAGCACAGAAGCAGCCTGTAATAAAGCAGCTTTTTGTGTCTCCGCTGCTACTACTCCTTTCCTGCATGTCTCCTTCGTGAAGAGGAAGCAGAGCAGCAAACCAGGATCTGAGCCAAATACCACCAAAGCCTCGCTGAACCCTTCCTGCTGATATGCTGTGAAGGGTCTGGATCTCAGGCCATAAAGTCAGAGGTGCCTGCTTCACTGGAATCCATTTCTGTTTTGAATCACCATTTGGCTGTGCAGCAGAAACTTGCTACTTGCCTTTCATCACCTCAGGCCTCAGTCACTCCCCTGGTTCCAGGATGGCATGTAAGCCCCAGTGGCTCTATCATGCCATGGGGTAGGGCCTCCGATCCTGGATGTCACCTACGCACCCAGCACCCACGGAGACATCGATTATCCCCACTAATCTTTGGTTGGACATTATTTTGGCTACATCCGTGCTGCTCTCAGACACCCAGGAAATGTTGTATTCTTCCTGTGTGTGGTCAGGGGGCAGTGGGGAGCCCACAGGAAACGGGTCCTGCAGTCTTGTTGGCCAGCTTGAACACACGCTGCCAAGCTCATCCCTGCTTGTGTCTCTCTGCTCTACAGTGTGGCCCCACAGCCTCTCACCTCTCCTGACCTGTCTGTGAACACCAGCTCCTTCTGCTCTCAGAGGACCCCTGACCTATATGGGGCTTCTATTGTTTCCCCATCTCCCAGGCTTAATGGAGAAGGCAGGGTAAGAAATAGGGTCTTTTCTCGGGAACAAAACCGCAGGTAAACATTTTCTCCTTCATTCCCGATTATGCCCCATCCCTCTTTTCTAGTCTGGGGGTGAGGGAAGCAGGGAGATAAAACCGACTTTCAAGTAGTATTCTTATTCCCCGCCCTGGATCCAGTCAGCCCTGGTTATCGTTTAAATCCAAAAATGGACTTTTTTTTTTTTTTTGAGATGGAGCCTCACTTTGTCACCCAGGCTGGAGTGCAGTGGTGCAATCTCAGCTCACAGCAACTTCCACCTCCCGGATTCAAGTGATTCTCCTGCCTCAGGCTCCCAAGTAGCTGGGATTACAGGCGTGTGCCACCACACCTGGCTAATTTTTGTATTTTTTTAGTAGAGACAGGGTTTTGCCATGTTAGCTAGGCTGGTCTTGAACTCCTGACCTCAGGTGATCCACCTGCCTCGTCCTCCCAAAGCACTGGGATTACAGTCGTGAGCTACTGTGCCCAACCTCCTTTGCTTTTTCTATACTTTCCCACGAGGCAGGGAAGGTAGAATGACAAGCTGGGCAGGGCTGAGTAGAAGAAAATATCAGGTTTAAGACTTCAGAAATATCCAGGTAATGTGCAAAAACATTGCACCGAAAAATCACTAGCTACATGCGGTGATAGATTACAGGAGATAGTCACCATATGTATTTCTTTCTATTTCTTGGTTTTTCTACAATGAGCATTTATTTACTTAAAAAAACCCATCTTTATTGAAGTATAATTTACATTTGGAGACATTCTTGTTTTGTGTCCAGTTCAATGATTTTTAACAGATTTACAGAATTGTATACCATCACCACAATCTGAATTTACTTTTATAATCAGAAGAAAATGAGTATTATAAAAAAATGGCCTCTTATTACAGCAGTAAAAAGGTTGTTGGCAAGTTGAATAGAAGGGACAGGGTCAAATTTCAGGTCATCAAGGAAAGACTGGGTAGTCACCAAGGAGCTCAGTAAATATTTCTTGAACTAATAAGGAAACGAAAATGAAGGCAGGGGGTAGATATTACCTTTCAAGAAATGTGCCTGTGAAGGAAGGAAAGAAGCTTGCAGCCTCAAATCTACCTACCATGCTTCCTCAAGCGTCTGTACCTTTGCACGTCACTCCTGTCATCTGAAACTTTCTTCTCTTTCAGTCACTTGATTCGTTTTCATCCCTGGCTGCATAGCCGTAGACAAGTTCTTTATCTGCTGGGTCTCTCGGTTTCAGTGAGGATAATAGTGCCTACTGCAGAGTTTTTGAGAGGTTTAGATTCATTCATATGTGTAACACATTTAGCCAATATGTGTCAATAGATCAAGAGAAAAGTAAACAGTTATTTTGTTGTTGTTGCTATCATTGTCATTGTCATCATCATCATCATTATCATCATTACCCTTTAATATTCACCTCCTTATGGAAGTCTTCTCTCATGTAGGGTATCTCATATTTTTTCCTTAATAACACCCTGTGCAGATCTCTTTCATGACACTTATTATGCAGTATTTTATTTATTCACTCATCTGTCTCTTCCCTCCCCAACTGCATTAAATCTTTTACTTCTGTAAACATACAGTGCCTAACCCGGAGAAGGTCCTCAAAGTAAATGTTTGCAAAACTAACACAGTGCAGAGGGGTATATCAGGGTTTCAGAAGGGGCTGTCTGTGTGTGTGTGTGTGTGTGTGTGTGTGTGTGTGTGTGTGTGTAATAAATAGAGGGGTCTTTGAGTTTTCTAATTCTTGAGTCACTTTGAGTAATTTCTAACACTTAAGAGATTTATCCATTTTGTTTAAATTATCAAACATTTGTAAATATGATGTTCATATTTTCTTATTACCCTATTAATGTCTACAGAATCTGATAGTAATGTCCCCTGTCTCTATTTCTGATATTGGTAATTTGTGTCTTCTTTTTCAGATCTATACATCTAGAAATTTATCAATTTTATTGTTCTTAAAGAACCAGCTTTTGGTTTCATTAATTTTTCTCCATTGTTTTCCTCTTTTCTAATTCATTGATTTCAACTCTTATATTTATTTTCTTTCTTTTGCTTACTTGGTCTTTAATTTGCTATTCTTTTTCAGGTTGCTTCAATTGAAAGCTTATACCACTTATTTTTCAACTCCCTTCTTTGCTAATAAAAGAATTCAGAAGCTAAAAATTTCCTCTAAGTACTGATTTAGCTGCATTGTATAAGTATATGCTTCCATTTTCATTCATTTCCAAATATTTTCTAATTTCCTTTGCAATTTTTTTTTCAGGGACAGGGTCTTGCTGTGTTGCCCAGGCTGGAGAGCAGTGCCACTATCACAGCTCACTATAAACTCAAACTCCTGGGCTCAAGCAACCCTCCCACCTCCCAACTCCCAAGTAGCTAGGAATACAGACATGTACCACCACACCTGGCTAATTTTTAAATTATTTTTTTTCTTAGACATGGGGTCTCACTATGTTGCCCAGGCTCATCTTGAACTTCTGGCCTCAAGCAATTCTCCTGCCTTGGCCTCCCAAAGCACTGGGATTATAGACATGAGCTACCATGCCTAGCCATGATTCTTTCTTTGACTCTAATATTAGTATATGTCTATCTTTTACTTTACAAAAATTAAGATAAATTTCTGTTATGGATTTCTAATTTAATTTCTTTATGGTCAGAGCATTTAGTCTGTATGAGATCAATCCTTTTTAATTTACTGAAATTTATTTTATGGCCCAGAATATGGTCTATCTTGATTAATGGTCAAGTAGGTTGATAGCAGTTTTTGAATTATCTATATCCTCACTAATACGGTCTACTTGTCCTATCACTTCCTGTGAAAGGAGTTTTGAATTATCTTCAGTTGTCATTTGTGAATTTGCCTATTTATCCTTTCATTTCTGTCAGGTTTTGTTTCATGTATTTTGAAGCCCTTAAAATTAGGTACATACATATTTAGGATTGTTAGATCATTTTCATGAATTCAATTTTTATCATTGTGAAATGCCCCTCTGTATCTCTACAGAGATACAGAGCAGCTTCTTTGTTCTGGAATCCACTTTGTTTGATATTCATATGTTGACTCCACTTTTCTTATGATTACTGTTTGCATGGTACATCTTTTGTCATCCTTTTAATCTTAACCTTTTTTAAAAGATTTTTAAGCATTTATCGTGAAAGCACCATGTAGTTAAACTTTTTTTTAAAAACACAGTGATAAGCTTTGCCGATTAGTTGGAATTTTTAGGCTACTTATATTTAACATAGTTATTGATATTGTTAGGTTTTAATATACCATTTTGCTATTTCTTTTATATTTGTTTCTTTCTCCTCTTTTCCTACCTTTTATTGAATTATTTCTTTTTTTTTTTTTTTTAAGACGGAGTCTTGCTCTGTTGCCCAGGCTGGAGTGCAGTGGCTGAATTAATTATTTCTTAACATTTTATTTTATTTCTACTATTAGCTTATTAGCTATACCTCTTCACTGTTGGTTTTTATAGTTGTTGATCTAGGTTTTATTATATACATCTTAATTACAGTCTGTCTTCACCTACTGTTGTACCAGATCATATAAAATGTAAGTTTCTTAACAGTATACTTCCATTTCCACATTCATATTCTATGTTTCTGCAAGTATTATAAACCTCGCAATTTGTTATTATTGCTTTAAATATTCAATTGTCTTTTAAAGAAATTTTAACGTGAGAATAAAAAGTAATTTATATTTACACACTTTTTTTATGTCCAGTACTATTTGTTCCCTTGGTTTCATCCAGGTTTCCATTTAGTATCAGGTCCATCTGCCTGAACGACTTATTTCAACCTTTTTTGTAGTGCACATCTACTGGTGACAAATTCTCTCCAATTTTTCTTTGAATATGTGTGCTTTTCACTTTCAGTTTGGAAGGATAGTTTCACTGGATATGCATTTCTAGATTAACAGATTTTTTTTTTAATTTCAGCACTTTAAAGATTCATTGTATTGTTCTCTGACTTTTCAGATGAGAAATCTTCATTGATTCCTGTCTTTTTAATGTATCTGTTTTCTCTGGCTTCTTATAAGATTTTATATTTATTTCTTTTCTTTGCAATTTTATTATGTTATGCCTTGATATGGTTTTCTCTGTATTTATCTCATCTTTTGTTTGTTTGTTTGTTTGATGATCTTTTGGACTTGTGGTCTTAGAGGTTTTTTTTTTCATTTTGGAAAATTTTCAGCCATTCCATCTGCAAATATTTTTCCAAACCTCTTTCTCTTTCTGGGATACAACTACACATATGTTAGATGATGTGATACTATCTCAGAGATAACTGAGATTATTCAGTAAACTTACTCCTTGTCTCTCTGGGAACCATTTGGATATTTAAAATGTTATTTTTAGCTTAATTTCCAGTTTCTGCCCTGGCATGTAAGGTGCTTGGAAGTTGCCATTCATCCTAACAACAAGTAAAAAGCAGGAAAAAAACTGATCAGCATTTTTTATATTTATCAGAGAAGTAAACTCACAGGGAAAACTGCTGCTCCCAAATTTGGAGAGACAGTTGATTTTTATGTATGGCGTAAGATAAGGGTCCAATTTTATTCTTTTACATGTAGAAATACAGTTTTCCCAGCACTATTTATCGAAGAAACTATCTTTTCCTCACTGTGTTTTCTTGTTGCCCTTGCTGAAAATTAGTTGGCCATATATGTTTGGATTTATTTCTGGGCTCTCTATACTGTTCTATTAGTCTAGGCATCTGTTTCTATATCAGTACCATACAATTTTGGTTGCCACAGCTTTGTAATACAATTTTAAATCAGGATTTGTGATGCCTCCAACTTTATTTTTCTCAGAATTGCATTGGCTATTTGGGGTCTTTTGTGGGTCCTTATGAATTTTAGGTTTTTTTTTCTATTTCTGTGAAGACTGTCATTGAAATTTTGATAGGGTTTGCATTGCATCTATATATTCCTTTGGGAGTAGTATGGACATTTAAAAAATATTAATTCTGCCAATCCAAGAGCATGGAATATCTTATTTCTTTGTGTCCTCTTCAATTTCTTTTATTAATGTTTTATAGTTTTCAGTGTACAGGTCTCTCCTTGGTTAAATTTATTCCTATTTTATTTTTTTGATGTGATTGTAAATGAGGTTGTTTTCTCAGTTTCCTTTTTGGCTACATTGTTGTGTATAGAAATGTCAGATTTTTATATATTGATTTTATATCTTGCAACTTTATGGAGTTAATTTATTAGATCTAATAGGTTTTTGTGTGCAATCTTTGGGATTTTTCACATACACAATCATGTCATCTGCAAATAGACATAATTTTACTTCTTTTTTATCCAGCTTGAATACCTGTTATTTCTTCTTACTGTCTAATGGTTCTTGATAGCACCTCCAGTACTCTGCTAAGTAGAAGTGCTAAGAGTTGGCATCCTTACCTTATACCAGATCTTAGAGAAAAAGCTTTCAGTTTCTCCCCATTGATTATGATGTTAGCTGTGGGTTTTACTCAAATAGGCTTTATTATGTTGAAGAACTTTCCTTCTGTATCTAAACTGTTAAAAGTTTTTATCAAATCAGACATCGAGCTGTATTGAATGCTTTTTTGTCAACTGATATGATCATGTGGTTTGTTAATGTGATATATCACACTGATTGATTTGTGTATATTAAACCAGCCTTGCATGTCAGGGGTAAAACCCACTTAATCACGATGTATTGATGTGTTGTTGAATTTGGTTTGATAATATTTTATTGAAGAGTTTTGCATCAATGTTCTTCAGAGAGGTTGGCCTATAGTTTTCCTATGTTGCTTTTTCTGGCTTAGGTATCAAGGTAATGCTGCCTCATAAAATGTGTTAGGAAGTAGTGTTGACCCTTGAACGACACAGGTTTGAACTGCATGGGTCTACTTATCTGCAGATTTTCTTCTGCCTCTGCCACCCCTGAGACAGCAAGACCAACTCCTTTTCCTTCTTCTCAGCCTACTCAACATCAAGATGTCACGGATGAAGACCTTTAGGATGATCCACTTCCCACTTAATGAATATTAAATATATTTTCTCTTCTTTATTATTTTTATAACATTTTGTTTTCCCTAGCTTACTTTACTGTAAAAATAAAGTGTAGGATAAATGTAATATATAAAATATGTGTTAATTGATTGTTCATGTTATCAGTAAGGCTTCCAGTCAACAGTTGGCTATTAGTAGTTAAGTTTTGGGGTAGTCAAATGTTACATGCAGATTTTTGACTGCATTTGGGGGGTGGTCAGCACCACTAACCTCCATGTCGTTCAAGGGTCAGCTGTATTATCCAGCTCTTTTTTATTTTGGAAGTATTTAAGAAGTGTTGGTATTAATTCTTTTTTGAAAGTTTGGTAGAATTCAGCCATGAAGACATCTGGTTTTGGGCTTTTCTTTCTTGGGGAGATTTTAAATTACTACTTCAATCTCTTCATTTGTTGTTGGCCTGTTCAAGCTATTTCTTTCTTATTCAACCTTCTTCAGTTATATTTTCCTAGGAATTAATCTGTTTACCCTAGATGATCAACTATGTTGACATATAATTGTTAATAATAGTTCCTTATGATCTATTTTGTTTCTGAGAACATCTTTTGTAATGTCTCCACTTTCATATCTGAGTTTATATATTTGAATCTTCTCTTTCTTTTTTTAAGCTGGTATAACTAAGAGTTTATCAATTTTGTTCATTTTTTCAAAAACCAACTCTTAGTTTTATTGTTTTTTTCCTGTGGTTTTTCTATTCTCTATTTCTTTTCTGATATTTATTAATTTCCTTCCTTCTGCTAACTTTGGGTTTAATTTGTTCATTTTCTAATTCTGTGAGGCTTAATGTTAGGCTATTTGGGATCTTCTTTTTAAATGTAGACATTTGTTGCTATAAACTTTCCTCTTATGGGACATTTATGCTTTTGGGCATCCCATAGGTTTTGGTATGTTGTGTTTTCATTATCATTTGTCTCAAGATCGTTTTCAGTTTTTCTTTTGATTTCTTCTTTGATCCATTGATTATTTAGAGCCAGTTGTTTAATTTCCACATATTTGTGAATTTTCCAAAGTTAATTCTGTTATTGATTTCTAATTTTATACCATTGTGGCCAGAAATAATACTTGACATGATTTTGATCTTCTTAAATTTAAGACTTGTTTTATGGCCCACCATGTAGTCTGTACTGGAGAATGTTCCATGTGCACTAAAGGAGAATGTGTATTTTGTTGCTGTTGGATAGAAAGTTATATATAGCCCATTTTGTCTAAAGCACAATTCAATGTCAGTATTTCCCTTTTAATTTTCTGTCTCATTATCGGTCTGTTGTTGATGGGGGATATTGAAGTCCCCACTATTACTGTATTGCTATCTGTTTCTCCCTTCATGTCCATTAATATTTGCTTTATATATTTAGGTGCTCTAATGGCTAATGTCTAGTGTGCTCTAATGTCTAATATATATTTACACTTGTTATATCCTCTTGATGAATGCCCTCTTTATCATTAGTGACTTTTTTGTCTCTTATGAAAGTTTTTGACTTGATGTCTATTTTATATCTAAATATAGCCACTTCTGTTCTCTCTTTTTTTTTTTTTACCATTTGCGTGCAATAGCTTCTTCCATCCCTTCACTTTCAGCCTATGTATATCCTTAAGGCTAATGTGGGTCTCTCATAGGAAGCATATAATTGGATCTTGATTTTTTGTTCATTGAACTACTCTGTGTCTTTGGATTGGAAAATTTAATCCATTTGTAATTATTGACATTTAAGGACTTACTACTGCTATGCTGTTTATTGTCTCCTGGTTGTTTTGTATATCCTTTGTTCCTTTTTTCCTTTCTGATTTGCCTTCATGATTTGGTGATCTTCTATAGTGTTAGGTGTTTATTCTTTTTTCTTTATTTTTTTGTGTATCTGCTATAGTGTTTTGCTTTGTGGTTACCACAAGGCTTACGTAAAATGTCTTATAGTTATATAATAATTGACTATTTTACACTGATAACAACTTAATTTTTTCCACATACAAAAACTCTAAACATTTATCCTCCACCCTGCTTGATCTAGTCTGCTGTTGAAGCTCTCTATTGCATTTTTAAATTTCATTCATTGAATTCTTCAGGTCCAAGATTTCTGTTCGGTTCTTCGTTATGATACCTATCTCTGTTGAATTTCTCATTCAGATCATAAACTGATTGATATCATCAAATTGTCTCTCTATATTCTCTTGTAATTTTTTTGAGTTTCCTTTTCTTATTTTGAATTGCTTTACAAACAATTCATACATTTTCTTTTCTTTGGGGTCAGTTACTAAAGAATTATTGTGTTCTTTGGTGGTGTCATATTTCCTTCCTTTTTCATGTTTCTTGTGTTTCTGAATTGGTGTCTTCACATCTGATGAAACAGTCACCACTTCCAAACTTTACAGAGTTACTTTCATAGGAAAATATTTTCATCTGCAGATAGACCTTAATGTGCTGGTTGAAAAGGGTGTGCTGGCCCTGCTTCTGGATAGATGCAGTGGTCAAGCCTCCATGCAGCTTCTTCAGCTGTGATCAGTATCACAGATGACTGTGGGTACCTCAGTGCCATAGGCTATAAGAGTTTAGGGAATCAGTGGCAGCAACATATTGTGAGAGTTCACAGTAGCACAGGCTCTTGGGGTCCTTCTGTTTAAATGTTCCCCACAATGGAGAGTCTTAGCTGAGGGAAACTCTCTTGGTATTGGGTCTAACATGGCTTGCAAGCAGCCATAGCAGTGTTGGGCTTTTGTGAGTTTTGCCCCCAGGAGCTTGACCAGGTTCTCGTCATGAATATTGTAGAAAAAAATCATTTGTGCTTCTGGCAGGGGAAGGAGAAAAGTGACCATTGTGAAATACACCAGAGCACTTTGTTGCACTTAACAGAGCCTACCAAGAAAAACTGTTTTACAAGCACCTAAAAAAGGAAGGAAATATGACACCACCAAAGAACACAATAATTCTTTAGTAACTGACCCCAAAGAAAAGAAAATGTATGAATTGTTTGTAAAGCAATTCAAAATAAGAAAAGGAAACTCAAAAAAATTACAAGAGAATATAGAGAGACAATTTGATGATATCAATCAGTTTATGATCTGAATGAGAAATTCAACAGAGATAGGTATCATAACGAAGAACCGAACAGAAATCTTGGACCTGAAGAATTCAATGAATGAAATTTAAAAATGCAATAGAGAGCTTCAACAGCAGACTAGATCAAGCAGGGTGGAGGATAAATGTTTAGAGTTTTTGTATGTGGAAAAAATTAAGTTGTTATCAGTGTAAAATAGTCAATTATTATATAACTATAAGACATTTTACGTAAGCCTTGTGGTAACCACAAAGCAAAACACTATAGCAGATACACAAAAAAATAAAGAAAAAAGAATAAACACCTAACACTATAGAAGATCACCAAATCATGAAGGCAAATAAGAAAGGAAAAAAGGAACAAAGGATATACAAAACAACCAGGAGACAATAAACAGCATAGCAGTAGTAAGTCCTTAAACGTCAATAATTACAAATGGATTAAATTTTCCAATCCAAAGACACAGAGTAGTTTAATGAATAAAAAATCAAGATCCAATTATATGCTTCCTATGAGAGACCCACATTAGCCTTAAGGATATACATAGGCTGAAAGTGAAGGGATGGAAGAAGCTATTGCACACAAATGGTAAAAAAAAAAAGAGAACAGAAGTGGCCATATTTAGATTTAAAATAGACATCAAGTCAAAAACTTTCATAAGAGACAAAAAAAGTCACTAATGATAAAGAGGACATTCATCAAGAGGATATAACAAGTGTAAATATATATTAGACATTAGAGCACATTAGACATTAGACATTAGAGCACCTAAATATATAAAGCAAATATTAATGGACATGAAGGGAGAAATAGATAGCAATACAGTAATAGTGGGGACTTCAATATCCCCCATCAACAACAGACCGATAATGAGACAGAAAATTAAAAGGGAAATACTGACATTGAATTGTGCTTTAGACAAAATGGGCTATATATAACTTTGTATCCAACAGCAACAAAATACCAAGAAAAATGGTTTTACAAGCACCTAAATTATTGGGGATTTTTCAGAGCCTAACCAATCTGGGGGAAGGGAGATAACCACCTACAGCCAACTCTAGCCTTCTATATGGGGGATGGAAAATACACAAGTCCAGATCCCTCCATTCTTGAACCATCCTGGTTGAGCTAGGAGGGGGAGAAACTGAGAAGCACAGTGACATTTACAGCCCAGAGGCACAGGCTTACTAAAAGACTGACCTAGTTATAGGACTGTAGAATACTTCCTCTTCCCTAACACGTTACCACCACATGATTAAAGCCTTTTTCACTGCAGTTCCATATACCCAATACATCATGTCCAGCTATAAGGAAAAAAAAATTACAAGGCATACAAAAAAGGCAAAAAACACAGCTTGAAGAGACAGAGCAAGCATCAGAACCAGACTCATATATGACAGAGATCTTAAAATTATCAGACCAGGAATTTAAAACAGCTACGATTAATGTGCTAAGGGTTTTAATGGATAAAGTAGATGGCATGCAAGAAGAGATGGGCAGTGTAAGCAGAGAGATGGAAATTCTAAGAAAGAATGAAAAAGAAATGCTAGAGATCAAAAACCCTAACAGAAATGAAGACTGTGATAGACTCATCAGTAGACTGGACACAGCTGAAGAAAGAATATCTGAGCTTGAGGATATCTCAGTAGAAACTTCCAAAGTTGTAAAACAAAGAGAAAAAAAAAGACTGAAAAAAAACAATAAAATATCTTTTGTAGTTGAGACATCTACAAAAGGTGTAATGTACACATATGGGAATAAAGGAAGGGGAAGAAAGAGAGAAAGGAACAGAAGAAATATTTAATGAAATAAAGACTGAAAATTTCCCCAAATTAATGTCAGACACCAAACCACAGATCTGTAAGCTCAGAAAACACCAATCAGCATAAATGAAAGAAAAAACATGCTACACACCTAGGCATACCATATTCAAAATGCAGAAAATAAAAAATGTTTAAAAAGTATTGAAATCTGCCAGAGGGAAAAGAAAAACACCTTACGTATAAAAAGGAGAGGTGAGAATTACATCAGTTTTCTAAGAAATCATGCAAGCGTGAAGAGAGAGAAGTGAACAATCTCAAGTGTTGAGAGAAAACACCTCTACGAATCTAGAATTCTGTACCTCGAAAAATTATTCTTCAAAAATGGAGGAGAAATACTTTCTCAGACAAACAAAAATTGGGGGAGTTTGTTGCCAGTAGACCTGCCTCACAAGAAATGTTAAAAAGAAGTTTTTAGATAAAATGAAAATGATATAGGTAAGAAACTTTGATCTACATAGAGCATCAGAGAATGAATAAGTGAAGATAAAATTAAAACTTTTATTTTTCTTCATAATTGACCTAACAGCAGTTTATTCAAAATATTAACAGCAACAATATTCATATATATTTATACAGACATATATACTTACATAAGCTTACATATATGTGAAATGAATGACAGCAGTAATACAAAAAATAACAAGGAGTAAATTAGGATTATTTCATTCATATAAGGTACTCCCACTATCCATGAGATGATATAGTGTTATTTGAAAGTGGAATTGGATTATTTATAAATATATATTATAAACTCTAGGGCAACCAGTAAAAAATATGTTTTAAAAAAGAAGCATGGAGAGAAAATGGAATATGCTCAATTAAAACCCACAAAATGCAGGAAAAACAGTGTAAGACAAAAATAGGAAAACTGAACCAGGACAATGAATAGAAAGTAGTAGCAAATATGGTAGCTATGATCTAACTATATCAAGTAATCACTTTGGATGTCAATGGCCTAAACATACCAATTAAAAGGCAGAGATTGTCAGAGTGGATCAAAAAATAAGACCCAACTATATATTGTCTCCAAGAAACCTGCTTTAAATATAAGACATATATAGGTTTAAAGTAAATGGATCAAAAAAAATATATACCATACTAACACTAAGCAGAAGAAAGAATTAGTAGTTATATTAAATTCAGATACAGTGGACTTTAGGACAAAAAATTATCAGGGATATGGTAGCCATTACATAATGATAAAGGGTTTAATTATCCAGGAAGACATATCAATCCTTAACAGGTGTATATGTACCTAACAGAACATCAAAATACGTGAGGCAAAAAAACCAAAAACGAACAAACAAAAACTATGTGAGGCAAAAACTGATAGAACTTCAAGGAGAAATAGATGAATCTACTATTATAGTTGTAGACTTTAATACCCACTATCATAAATGGACAGATCCAGCAGGCAGAAAAATCAGTAAGGACATAGTTGAATTCAACAACACCATCAATCAACTGGAAATAATGGATATCTTGGACTACTTCATCCAACAGCAGCGGCATACACATTCTTTGCAACCTCACATGGACCATTCCCCTAGATAGACTACATTCTGGGCCATAAAACGTATCTTAACAAATTTAAAAGAGTAGAAATCATACAATATCTGATCTCAGACCACAATGGAACTAAACTAGAAATCAACAGAAAGATAGGTGGAAATCCCCAAATACTTTGGGATTATATAACACACTTTAAAAATCACACGGGTCAAAGAAGAAATCTCAATATAAATTTAAAAATATTTTGGACTAAATGAAACCAGAACTTACCAAAATTTATGTGATAGGGAGAAAGCAGTGATTAAAGAGAAATTTATAACATAGAATGCATTTATGAGACAAGAAGAAATATCTAAAATCAATAGCCTAAGCTTTCATTTGGGAAACAAGAAAAAGAAGAGCAAATTAAATCCAAAGTAGCAGAAGAAAGGAAATAATAAAAATAGGGCAGAGCCAAAGGCAGTGTCATGTACCTGTAATCCTAGCTACTTGGGATGCTGAGGGATTCCTTGTGCCTAGGAGTTTGAATCCAGCCTGAGCAACATAGTGAGACCCTGTCTTTAAAAATAAAAATAAAAATAATTTAAAAAAAGTTTAAAAGAATTAGAGCAGAAATCAATGAACTTGAAAACAGGAAATCAATAGAGAAAATCAATGAAACCAAAAGCTGGTTCTTTGAAAAGATCAATAGATTTGATAGGTTTTAGCCATGCAAACTAAGAAAAAAAGAAAAAGAATATAAATATCTAATAAAAGTAATGAAAAATGAGGTATCACTAAAGAGCCCACGAGTATTGTAAGGATTATAAATAAATACTATGATCAATTATATGCTTATAGATTTGATAACCTAGACACAATCTGCCAAAAACACAATCTGCCAAAACTCGCACAGGCAGAAAAAGATAATCTGAATGGATATATATATTAAGGCAATCGAATCAATAATTAATGACCCTCCTTTTCCAAAACAGAATACACCAGGCCTACATGGATTCAATGGTAAATTCTGCCAAACTTTTAAGGAAGAAATTATACCAATCCTCTACAATCTCTTTCAAAAGATAAAAACAGAGGAAATAATTCCTAACTCATCCTGTGAGGTCAGCATTACCCTGATACCAAAACCAGACAGAAGCATTATAAGAAAAAAAATCTATTAACCATTATATTCCATTAACATAAATGAAAAAATCTTTAACAAAATATTAGCAAACTGATCTAACAATGTACAAAAAGAATTATATACCAGAGCCAAGTGGAATGTATCCCAGTTATGCAGGGCTGTCTCAACATTTGAAAATCAGCGAATGTAATCAATCGCATCTGTGTGATCATATGATCATATTAATAGATGCAGAAAAATCATTTGATAAAATTCAGCAGCCACTCATGAAAAAAAATCTCAGCAAACTAGGAATAGAGGTGAACTTCCTCAACTTGATAAAGAACATCTACAAAAAACCTACAGCTAACATTGAACTTCATGGTGAGAAAGTAGAAGCTTTCTCTCTAAGATCAGAAACAGGGCATTGATTGTGATTCCCCTCTCACCACTCCTTTTTAACATCAAAGAAATCTTAGTTAATGCAATACACAAGAAAAGGAAATAAGAGGTATACAGATTGGAAAGGAAGAAATAGAACTCTCTTTGTTTGCAGATGATGTGATTGTCTATATAGAGAATCCAAAAGAATCGACAAACTCTTGGAACTGATAAGTGATTATAGCAAGTTTACAGGATGCAAGGTTAATAAATAAAAATCAACTGCTTTCATTTATACCAGCAATGAATAAGTGGAATTTTAAACCAAAAACACAATACTATTTACATTAGTACCCCCAAAATTAACTACTTAGGTATACGTCTATAATAACTGTCCCTGACTTACAAAGGTTCAACTTCATGATTTTTTTGACTTTACAATGGGTTTATCGAGGTATTAAATGCATCTTCTACTTAAGATACTTTGTACTTACAACAGATTTATCGGGGTGAAATGCCATTGCGTGTCAAGAACCATCTGTATGTATGAGATTTATATGATGAAATCTACAGAATTCTGATGAAAGAATCAGAGAAGAATTAAATAAATCAAAGAACAACTAAATGAGCGCTTACCTCATTTGTTTCCCTTCTCTTTGGGTCACAATCCTCTGCTTCCTGTTGCCTGATATCCTAAAACAGTTTCTCCTTTGTTTTGTCCAGTTTTCTCATTGTTTACTGTGGCAGTTACTTCATCACAGCCAGGGCAGCAGTCATGAATTTTACTGTTTTACAAATTTGCACATTTATTTTGAAGTAAAATACAGATTATTTTCAAGTTTGAATGTTTTGTAAATATTTAAAATTAAATACAAATATTTGTTATAAATTTTCTAAATATTTTTGCTGGTAGGATGGTGCGGAGTTTTACCAGGCTGGCCATAACTGGATTCATAGTGTTACATGAAAGGGGACTCCATCCAGACCCCAAGAGAGGGTTCTTGGATCTCGCGCAAGAAAGAATTCAGGGTTGAGTCCGCAAAGTAAAAGCAAATTTATCAAGGAAATAGAAGAATAAAAGAATGGTTACTCCATAGACAGAGCAGCCCCTAGGGTTGCTGGTTGCCCACTTTTATGGTTATTTCTTGATTACATGCTAAACAAGGGGTGGATTATTCATGCCTCCCCTTTTTAGACAATATAGGGTAACTTCCTGGCATTGCCTTGGCATTTGTAAACTGTCAGGGTGCCAGTGGGAGTGTAGCAGCAAGGACGACCAGAGGTCACTCTTATCACCATCTTGGTTTTGGTGGGTTTTGGCTGGCTTCTTTACTGCAACTTGTTTTATCAGCAAGGTCTGTATGACCTGTATCTTGTGCCTACCTCCTCTCTCATTCTGTGACTTCGACTGCCTTAACCTCCTGGGAATGTAGCTCAGTAGGTCTCCGCCTCATTTTACCCATCCCCTATTCAAGATGGAGTTGCTCTGGTTCATACGCCTCTGACAATAGTGTTCCAAGAAGGTTCAAATAGATGCCTACAAAGCTTTTGAATAGAAAGTAGTAGTGCATAATTATCTGAGCTTTATGCCATGTTTCTAGGATCTGGGAAGCATTCTTGCTTTCTTTCAGCCTAAAACAACTATTTTATTCAGAAACTTATGCTATTATATTTTAAAGATATTTGAAGATTTTAAAGACATAGCTATTATATTTTAAAGCTATCATAGTAAGATCTGGGCTTGCCTTAAATATAAATATTTTAGACAAATCTCCTAATTTTCTTCTCTCCAAATCACTTTCCTGGAAATCATGAATGCCTGAACCTTCACCATTAATGATAGGAAATGGAAAATGAAGGAATGAAGGACTTTTTAAAAATTGAGGCATAATGCAAAGAAAAGGGTAGCACATTAAGATAATTACAACCATGGACACTTTTGTAAATTGGTCGTATTTTTCCCCCTTTCTAATTGAGTTTTAAACCCAAGCTTTTGTTAGGAATTAAAAGTGAACCAATACATTGGGCTCTTTAATAAGGAGAATGATCTGAGGAAGCAGCCCTAGAAAAACAGATGAGAACTGAATACTGTCTGGAGGAGGACGGGCACAACCAATCAGAAATGGCAACAGTCAGAAAGAACCAAAGATGAAAACAACGACCACTACTACTACTATGACTACTACTATTTCTACTACTACTTTGCAGAAGTAGCAGAAGAAAGGAAATAATAAAAATAGAGCAGAGCCAAGGGCAGTGTCATGTACCTGTAATCCCAGCTACTTGCGATGCTGAGGGATCCTTTGAGCCTAGGAGTTTGAGTCCAGCCTGAGCAACATAGTGAGACCCTGTCTCACTATGTGGTTCCCAAATTGTGGTTCCCTCCTCTTCTGTTATATATTTGTTCAAGTTATGCTGCTGGTAGTTGTTTAAAAATTGTGTTTCTATATACAAATGATAGCTATAAAAATAAGACTTGGTTTAAAATAACTAAGCCTTCCTTTAAGCAGGGAAATGAAATGTACACTCAGTACCATCTTGATACTAAAGCTATTCAAAAAATGCTTTAGGGACAGTTTGCCTGATAAGTTAGCCATGAATTTTCAACCATGATAAACCAGAGCTTTTTAGATTTATATAAGAGGGGTTCAGGAATTCAGGCAGCTATGATTTACACTGAAGAAAATATTAATAGTAAAAACCACAAAAGTTGATCAGTTAATTTTATTCCTTTGGTTACTCGTATTCTCTAAAGTATTGATTCTACTCTATTTAGCTGTTAGCAAATTCCAGAAGTGCTTCTGTACAGACTGGCCTCATTTTAAATTCAGCATTGGCAATTTCAAGTGGGTCCTGATGCTTCCTGGAGTCCTGGGACTCATACTGGATTTCTCTGTCTTTTCCCTTTCCTGCTTTTTTTAGATGACTATTTTATGCCTTCCTTCACTTCTGAAATTTCCCAAAGATGTTTTCTACCATCCTCATGCTCAGCTGATGAATCTTTCTTCCTACTTTGCAGAGATAATGAGAGCAATCAGAAGCTCCCATCATTGTTCCTGGGGGATCATTTGCCTGCACTTCCAGCAGAGGCCATCTCCTCCCCTCGTCCCACCCTGTAGTAGCTGGCTTGGGCTGCCATAACAGAACACCACAGACTGGGTGGCTTAAACCATAGAAATTCATTCTCTCACAGCTCTGGAAGCTAGAAGCCCAAGATCAAGGTGGTATCAGGATTGCTTTCCTGAGGCCTCTTGCTACATTCTTGCTGTTTCCTTTCCTGTGTGTGCATACAGAGAGACAGGCAGAGAAAGATGGGTGTCTCTTCCTCTTCTTATAATGACACCTATCCTGTTGGAGTAGGGCCCCACCCTTATGACCTCATTTTGCCTTAATTACCTCACCAAAGGCCCTATCTCCAAATACAGTCAAATTGGGGTTTAGGGTTGCAACATAACATAGGAATTTGGGGAGGACACAGTTCACTCCATGACATAGCCCTCCCCTTAACTCAAGGACATGTCTCTAGGAAAGCTCTGGCATCATCTGGTTTTTTTCCTCCCTCTCTACTGCTAGATCTTTCCTATCAGCCTACAAACATGCTGTTAATTTCCTCAACTTACCAAAAAACAAAACAATTCACCTCTCTATTCACCCGCTTCTTGGGCAGCTTCCATCTCATTTCTCACCTTCCCTTTTAATAAAATTCTGAACAAATTCCAATGCCTCTCCTCTCTGAATTTCCTTTAATCCAGATTTCATGTCTCCCACTACAACAAAATTTCTTTTATCCTTATCACCAGTGACCTCCATGTTGCCAAACTACTGTGATCAATTCTCAGGCCTCACTTTCTATGGCCTCTCTGTAGCATTTGACACAACTGAGTAGTCCTTGAAACACTTTTCTTCAGTTGGCTCAAGATTCCGTATTATCCTGATTTCTTTTTTTTTTTTTTTTTTTTTTTTTTTTGAGACGGAGTCTTGCTGCATCACACAGGCTGGAGTGCAATGGCACGATCTCAGCTCGCTGCAACCTCCACTTCCCAGGTTCCAGTGATTATTCTGCCTCAGCCTCCCAAGTCGCTGGGATTACAGGCTTCCGCCACCACGCCCAGCTAATTTTTTTGTATTTTTAGTAGAGATGGGGTTTCACCATGTTGGTCAGGCTGGTCTCGAACTCCTGACCTCAGGTGATCCACCTGCCTTGGCCTCCCAGAGTGCTGGGATTACAGGCATGAGCCACCAGCCTATCCTGATTTCTTGACTCTGTGGCTATTACTTCTGTCTGTTTCCTCCTCATGTCCCAGCCTCCTAACATTTGCAGGCCCAGGGCTGAGTATACTTAGACCTCTGCTTTCTTGTGTATACTTGGGATCTCATCCAGTATATACACTGGATATCTTGGGATCTCATCCAGTAGCATGGTTTCACACACCCTATATAAACTGATGACTTCTGAATTCATAGTTTTAACCTAGACCTTAAACCATAAACTCAAGACTTGAATACCCAGATACTTCAATACTGCACATTTAATAGGCATCTCCAAGTTTAATAAGTACAAACTTATTAAACTTCTCTGCAAACCCTATTTCACCTGTAACTTTTCCCATGTTAGGTAATGACAACCTCATTCATCTAGTTGCTTAGGACAAAAATCTTGAAGTCATCCTTGACTCATCTCTTTCCATTATACGGTATGTCCAGTTGGTTCTACTTTCTAATTTTTCTCCAATCTGACCCCTTCTCACCACCTCCTCTATTGCCATCCTAGATTATTTGCAGTACCCTCCTAACTGTCTTACTTGCTTCATTCTTGCCCCAAACAAAAGCTGGAGTGGCCTTATTAAAACCTATGTCAAAGGATATATTTCTCCTATACTGAAACCCTGAAATGGTTTGGGTGTGTGTCCCCGCCCAAATCTCAGGTCAAATTGTAATCCCCAGTGTTGGATGTGGGGCCTGGTGGGAAGTGGTTGGATCATAGGGGCAGATTTCCCCCTTGGTGCTGTTCTTATAACAGTGAGTGAGTTGTCATGCAATCTGGTTGTTTGAAAGTGTGTATTACCTCTCCACCTCTCTTTCTCCTGCTCTGGGCATGTGAAGATATGCATGTTTCCCCTTCAACTTCCACTGCGATTGCAGGTTACCTGGGACCTCCCCAGCCATGCTTCCCGTACACCCTGCAGAACCATGAGCAAATTAAGCCTCTTTTGTTTATAAATTAACCCAGACTTGGGTATTTCTCTTTTTATTATTTTTATTTGTATTTTTTTTTCTTTTTCAACTTTTATTTTAAGTTCTGGGCTACATGTACAGGATGTGCAGTTTAGTTACATAGTAAACGTGTGCCATGGTGGTTTGCTGCACAGACCAACCCATACCTAGGTATCAAGCCCAGCACGCATTAGCTATTCTTCCTGATGCTCTCCCTCCCCGCAACCCCCAACAGGCTCCAGTGGGTCCCGCCCCCATGTGTCCATGTGTTCTCACCGTTCAGCTCCCACTTACAAGTAAGAACATGCAGTGTTTGGTTTGTAGCAGTGCAGGAATGGACTAACACAAACCCCTTCAGTGGCTCTGTTTCAGTGATCTTAAAAGCCGAATTCCTTACAATCACGTTCAACACCGTGCAGGACCTGGTTCTCTCACAGCCCTGTGTTGTCTGAAGGAGCCAGTGCTCCACTGGTTGCACTGATCCAACCACACTGACCTCTACACTGTATTGTATTTTATTTTATTTTATCTTATTTTATTTTATTTTATTTTTTGCGACAGAAGCTTGTGTTGCCCAGGCTGCAGCACAGTGGCACGATCTCAGCTCACTGCAACCTCCGCCTCCCAGTTCAAATGATTCTCTTGCTTCACCCTCCCAAGTAGCTGGGATTACAGGCATGCACCACCACACCTGGCTAATTTTTGTATTTTTTGTAGGGACAGGGTTTCACCATTTTGGCCAGGCTGGTCTCGAACTCCTGGCCTAAAGTGATCTGCCAGCCTCAGCCTCCCAAAGTGCTGGATTACAGGTGTGAGCCACTGCTCTTGGCCTCCATACTGTGTCTTGAACATGCTGTGCATGCCTCTGCCTCAGGGCCTTTGCATGGGTTCTTCCTTCTGCCTGGAATGCTGTTTCCCTAGAGGTTACCCTCATCTCCTACAGGTCTTTGTTCATACGTCACCCTCTCAGGGAGGCCATCTGTTACTTCAGTATTTTTAAAATTATAAAGTACCCCCTAACTTTTATCACTTCCTCTCTCTCTTTCTTGATTGATACTTCTCCATAGGCCTTGCACCATGTAACTTTTCAAAGTTACTTTGTTTACTCTCTAGATGTTTCATAAAAATGGAGAGAGATTCTTGGCTGTTTTGTTCATTGCTGCTGTCCAGCTGCCTAGAGTGGATGAATGAATTGGATATTTAGTTATAAAGGAGCTTCATTGGGTTTGTGAGATTTGGGGGCTGGCCATAAACTCATGAAGAGTAGCTCACACCAAGACACAGGCCTTCCTGCACTAACTATTATCCGTGACTCTAGCATTTTTAGGGAAAAGTAACCTCATCTTTATGACACTAGAATTAATTTTTAGATTTTCTAGTGGGTGAATATTTTTAAAGCACTTAGAACAGTGCCTGGGACATGGTATGAGTTCTATTAAGCGTTTATTTTAAAAGCAACAAATACTTTATTAAGCATTTTGTGACAAAAAAAAATAGTGACAGAATGTGAGCCAAGACAAATAAACCTCAAGAGGTTCAGAGTAGCCCTAATTCTGGTGGAGAGTGGCTTTAATCATAATAGAGCTGGAGTCAAGTCTGATGACTTACTAGAAAAATAGCAATAGTCACATGCCCTCTCTATTCTGGAAGAAACAGAACTACCCTGTGTACTCGATGGGATTATAGATACAAAGAGATTTATGGAATGAACTCTAAAGAATTGGTTTTGAACTTAAGTCCGTAAAAAAATGGTTATGAAAAGAAAACTTCAAAGGTATGGACTGAGGCGATAGAAGAGGCAAAGGGCTTGTACGGCATCCACTCATTCATTAGATGGACAATTATGCCCCAAACACTATGTTAGGGGCTAGGAGCTGCCTTCTAGGATCTCATTATCTAGTGGGAAAAAGACAGGTTAACCAACAATGACTAATTCAGCCTTAGTACTACCATAGAGGTGAGCCTGGAGTGGGCTGTGAGCACGGGATTGCTTCCTCACCCTATTTGTGATATGAAAATAAACAAATCATTTGCTTCCAACTAAAGGTAGTGGACAGAACTCACCTGTTTTTATCTCTACTCCCTGAGGAAGTCCCATCAAAATGAAAGTAAGGAAATTGAAAAAGGCATGAACCAGTGGTTTTTAACCTTGGCTGAACTTTTGAAATAGCAGCAGAGATTTTTAAAAATCCTAGTGTCCAGCCTGTAGCCCAGATAAATTGAATCAGAACCTCTGCAGATGAGACTCAGGCATCAAGATTTTTATACTATATATTTTTTCAAAGAAAATAAGAGACAACCATACACATAAGAAATCAATAGCATTGAGAACTTGAAAAAGGCTGGGCCTGAAATTAACTTAGCAGAACTAATAATCCTAAAAACTGAACAATTTCTGGGGGAAGGAAGACCTGAAGGATACCCATTAGAAGCAGCAAGATCTTTCCTGTGGTAGAACTTTGGGAAGGTTCAGGAATTGGAGAGACTGGGTATGGGGTGAAGTGAAGAACTGGAAGATTGGTTGAAAGTCTGCATTTGGGACAGATGGCCCAGATTTTATCCCAAGACTGCCCCCATCCCTATCCCTGGTTTGTTCTCTGGAGAGGTGGAATGAGAAAGGGCCTCAGGTACAGTTGAGGAGAAATGTGAGGCTAGCCTTGCACGAGAGTCACTCTCCTGAACACCTTGATGCCCTTCTGAAAATACTGGCCATCAGATTTGTGCTGCCTGGCAGGAAACTGGAGGATGCAGCTCTGGGCAAACTGATCCAAGAGGGAAATCCAGTCAGATGCTGGCATGGGAGAGTCCAGGCCCCTTTGTAACACACCCTGCAGTGATGCCCACCCATCCACAAACCCATACATATATGCAAGATTCTTCTATCCAGCTTTGGAGACCTCACTTTGAATAAGAAAGGACATCAAAGATCACCAGATATTTGAGGAAAGTATCTAAAGTGAAAGACAAAGACCAAAACAGACAGGTGAAAGTAAATAAACAAAGGGAACTCAGAAACACACACACACACTCTACTGAGCAGAAAAAAATTAAAATATATGTGTAGATAGATAGTTATAGACATATAGACAGATGATGGATGGATGGATGGATGGATGGATGGATGGATGGATGGATGGATGGATGAAAGGAACAGTAGATAGATAGATAGATAGATAGATAGATAGATAGATAGATAGATAGATAGAAGGACTGTATTGCAAGGCATGACGCAGTGCTCTCACTGGTGGAGCACCTGTGCTCTGCAGCCAAAGTGTGAGTTTGTGTCCTGGCTTCATCACTTCCTAGCTGTGTGATGCTGGGCAAGTTACTTACCCTCTCTGTGTCTTCGTTTTCTCATCTGTAAAAAGAGGGATGTTAATGATGATGCTGTTCAAAGAACAAAAAGGAACTGTTGGGAATTATGAATATGATGGCAGAATATAAAGTTTTAGGTAAAAGTTGAGGAAATTCTAAGAATAATCAAAAAGACAAATGGAACATAGAAACAACAAGAAAAAGAGACACTAAATCTAAGAGGTACAAAATCAGAGTTGCAGGGAGAGACATACTCAGGGAGAGAAACAGACGTACAGAGAGACGAGAGAAATCATGAGAGTAATGACCAGCCTTTCCCAGTAGTAAAGGACACAAGTTCAGAGTGAAAGAGCCTCTTTAGTGCCCGCATGATTGATGGGGAAAAGACACAGTCTAGGGCACGTCACTGTGACATTTTTAAACCTTGACGATGAAATAAAGATCCCAAAAGTTTCCAGAGAGCAGAAAACAGATCACATAAAAAGAATTGGAACTTGAGTGGCAGAGGGGATAACCAAGTTCTAAGCAATGTGGACTGATTGTGGAAAGGCCACCCTATTTCCAGGACATAAAACTTAAAACTTGTTTGATTTAGATACATTTGTCACTGTAAAAATTAGCTCTTATGTATTTGGCAGAGTAGGGGCTCACCTCTGCTCAGTGATTCTCAAAATCCCATATCTCCTTTGTCCAGAAGCATCTATTCCTTTTATTTTTTTAATTAAGGTGAAAAAGTATTAAATTTACCTTCCTTTCTTCTTCCTTCACTTCCCTCTCCCTTTTCCTTGCCCCTCTTGTTTCTTCTCTCTTTCCCTTACTTTACCTTCTGAGCCTTCATACTTTTGCTGTGTCTATTTCTGTCTCTCTTTCTCCCTTTCTCTTTCTATCCACAGAAGTCTTATGTTTGTCTAATAATTGGCAGAAGAGATCTTTTTTTTTTTTTTGCTTTTTAAGTGATGAATAGTTGGCGTAACATCAAAGACAAGCCCTGTGGTTTTCTGGCTGCCCCAGAAGGGCGGTGCAGCTGGCAGGCATCCCAGCTGCCTGGTGATAGGCATGTGGAAGAGATACCAAGCTCACAGGTCACTGTGTATGTGTTCATGTACATGTGTTTTTCAGGCCAACAGCAAGCTGAAGCAGATTGAGAAGGAATACACTCAGAAGCTTGCCAAATCTTCACAGGTAAGCAACATTAAAAGACACAAAACAGGGTAAAACCAAAACAAAAATGAAACCTCCACATAAAAGCCTTGGCACTTTCAAGTTAAACTTCATTCTTTTCAGTTTTTTTTTGTGGAATGGTATCATATTTTTATGGGTATACAAATAAACAATATGGTTTTAATATTTCAGTCATTAAAAATCAAGAAAAATTAGGCATATTTAACCATTTGAAACAACACACACATGCACACACACACACATACACACACTCTCAGATGTTGTAAAACCAGCCTATACACTTGAACAAGCCCAGGCTGAAACATACTTCACAAGGACAGGAGATACACACCTACATTTGTGATGTAAGCAGTTTGGTACTATCTGTGCTTTTTTGGTAATACTCCATTTTGCTCTACCAAAGGCTTCTTCAAACAAAATTCAAAATGACAAATAATTCTAGGTTAAGTCTGCGGCTCAACTGTTGACTCTTTTTAGGACAAAGAGAATTCTAAGTCCCTACATCCATAACTTGCTATTTGTACTTACTGTTGTAGTTTTAGTATAAGAAAGGCCAATAATTGAATGCCTGTCTCTATTTGAAATATGATGCTCAGAGTACTTTTTCAGCATAAGTTATTATAGTGATATCCAGTAGTATCATTTAAGGAACTCCAAGTATTCCTTACTTGTATAAGTGATTCTAGAACAAATAAATACTACTTATCTTTACTTTGCAGGTAGGTAAGTTAAGCCATTTGGTTTTGTGAGCATATCTAATGATTGTTAAAATCAGCTTGTCTTCATATTTTTATATATATATACAGT
Source organism: Homo sapiens (assembly GCF_000001405.40). Lineage (NCBI taxonomy): Eukaryota > Metazoa > Chordata > Mammalia > Primates > Hominidae > Homo > Homo sapiens. The sequence goes on along the minus strand of NC_000017.11, from coordinate 65,749,854 downwards.
GGTATTTGGTTAGTAAACTAGAATTTACCATACTACCACATAATGCCACATAATAGTAGTAACAACAACAACAAAAAGATAATAATATCTAATGTTCATGGGGCACTAACCATGTTGACTCATTCAGTCTTTCACAATAACTCTGGAATTAGGAACTATTACTGGTGCCATTTTTCCATTTGCGAAAACTGAGATTTAGAGAGATAAGATCACACAAGTTGGCAAGTGACTCAGCCAGGACCCAGTCTGGATCTGACTTCAAAGTGGAAGTTCTTAACCTTAACACTACCAGCCTGGCCCAATCCCTTCCTTTTATTTTATTTTATTTTATTTATTTATTTTTTTTTGAGACAGAGCCTCGCTCTGTTGCCCAGGCTGGAGTGCAGTGGTGCAATCTCGGCTCACTGCAAGCTCCACCTCCCTGATTCACGCCATTCTCCTGCCTCAGCCTCCCGAGTAGCTGGGACTACAGGTGCCCGCCACCACGCCCAGCTAATTTTTTGTATTTTTAGTAGAGACAGGGTTTCACCATATTGGTCAGGCTGGTCTTGAACTCCTGACCTCAGGTGATCCTCCCTCCTCATCCTCCCAAAATGCTGGGATTACAGGCATGAGCCACCGCACCTGGCCTAAAATTTCAGTTCTACTAATTCACATCCCATTAGAAAAGCAAAAAGTCTTTGTCCAAATGAAGAGTCGTATATGTTTATGTAAGAAATGATGATTATGTCTTGATTGCCATTATTCCAGCCCTTCCTTGAGGAAGGAACATGGAGAAATATCCTTTTAATCCACTGAAAAAGATTCTTGCAATCAAAAGAAATCTATTTAGGCCAAAAGTTAAAGTTTAAATTAAAACATTAAAAATCCCCAGTTGGCATATCCTAACATCCTGCTTATTTCGCTTTACGTTAAATGGGGGAAGCAGACCGAGAGTGAGATATAAGATAGCTAATAAAAATGCCTAAATAATGAGAGTGTAAACAGGAGTATTTATCTAAAGGAATGTATGAAGAAGCCTGATTAGTTGATGTTAAAACAAATTAAATGTAAGTTAATGCAGAAGAAAGCCTGAGCTCTGGAGTCCAGCACCCCTGGATTTGAATACCAGCCCTACCACTTCCGTGACCTTGAGCAAGTTACCCGCCCTCTTTGGAATTCAATTTCCTCATTTGTCAAATGGAGGAGCAGTACTAACCTCATAGGATGGTTTTAACTATTAAGTAAAACAATGCCAAAAATGTGTTCAGTATAGTACCTAGTACACACTAAAGCACTTAACGAATGTGAATTATTATAGTATCAGCACTAAAATTGCCATAGAGAAAGAGGAAAGGAGGCAGGGAAGAATGAAAAAAGGTTTGGAAGGTGGAACAAATTATTGCTTCAGACACCATGTTTTTGGGTGTTCACAAGGTGATAAAATCTCCCTGAAAAGCTTGGAGAGGCACAGGGTTGCTAACTGTTTTCCCAAGAAAAGACTTGAAGGTGGAGAAGGAAAAAGCAACTAGTAACAACTATCATATACTATTACCATCATTTCATTAATCAAGGGACAGCGCAACACCAAAAAATTCTTAGAAAGGATGTAATATAATCAAAGATAGTCCATCCTTCTCATAAAAGTTAGGATGATAACCTTACATTGATAATATTTTGTTTGCCAACTTCTAAATATTTATATCTGTGAACTGGCATTTGAGAAGCATTAGTCTACAATGCCAGTCAGTTCAGAGAAGCATGTCAGATTATTTAAAAATGAGCATTATAAAACAAGACTGTGGATTGGATCTCTCCATATTTAAGTGATAGTTTGTTGGAATCTCTAACTCATATCTCATTAGGCTGATGAGAACACTAAAAGCAAAGTGCTTAACTCTGTTGGGTTTTTAAAAATCCCTCTCTGAAAAAAAGAAAATGAATGCATTAGTAATGAATGTGTTGGTACCTCAGAGAGCATAAGATTAAATTTGGAAAATATTTTAAAGATTTTCCTCCTTTAGAGGAAGCTGCTTACTTTTCATGATTTTATCAAGCCTGTAGGACCTAATAGACCGTGTACACTGAAACTTTGGCACACCTGAGACCTGTGCCCCGTTCTGAGATCTGCAGCACTCACCCTCGCCACCACTGCAGTGTTTGCATCATCTCTGGGCACGCCCCCAAATATCATTTCCATCAGAATCACATTTTTTTTTATCTTAAGAAAAGAATGGAGACGATGCATACACTGCAGTGGTGGTGAGTGCTGGAGTTTAGTCCGCTTAAAACATTGAAATAATAAGTGATTATGTATTAACCTTGCCTCTTCAATATTAATATAGTTTTCCCCACTCAGCCTAGTCACCTAGTGGCCATTTTTCAAGGAAAGATACTGCCATTTTGCCAGAATGTCCATAGTTAGAAACATGGGCAGGACTGAAGTTGGAATGTCAGTTGAGCTTGCCTGCTGCCAAGGGACGAGTGTCTCCTACCACTGTCCCACACTACCCAATGCCTGATGCATATTAGTACCTGGGAATATTCCACATGACCCCTGTGCCCATCTCTATGCCAGCCTCCTGGGGGCCAACCCAGAATGCACAAGGCATCCACTTATTTTGTGAGGAGCGTCAGTGTTCACCTAACGTTCCTAAGCATGGCTTCTTAAGTAGCTTGTCTTCTTTATTGTATTATATTTTAAAGAAGAGTTTTATAAAAGTCTCAAACTGTACTACAAACTGAAAAGCAATAGAATGAGTTGAAGATGAAATCCTAACCCCTATTTAGGATCCTGTTTTTGTTTTTTTTTTAAGACCACTAACATTTTTGCAAAGCGTTAATTGCTTAACAATTATTATTAACTATTATGACTTTCATGAGTTCGGATGCTTACACCATCAGCTCAAAATAGCTCTCCTTTTTGTTTCTGAAAATACTAATTTTTAATATCCATATGAAAATTCTCTAATCTGCTTCTTTCATTGAAACTAATACAGTATAAACATTTAGTTGAGTGCTAGCATTTTGTTCTATGGTTTTTAATTATGATTCAATCAAAACTGGAGGGTTTTGATTATGATTGTATATATTAGCTTTCATTTTTCTTAGAAACTTTTAACATTATTATTCTATGAGAAGGGTAGGTTATCTGAATTCAATTTGCCAGGTGATGGCTTTTTATTACTTACCATGATTATAGTTCTACCACTTAAACTGGGTGCCAGTTATTACATACACTGAGCTAAGGAGAAAGTAGTCCATTTTCTTATACTCTGGGTCTACAACCAGTAGAGTTTTGTTCCTTACCTGAAGCATGTTAATCTGATTATTATGATTATTTCTCAATCTTAAAGTATTAAATCTTGTTTTTTTAATTATCCTTATTTTAGTTACTGTTCCATATCCGTATCACCTGTGAGTCTTTTAACCAAATAATTTATCTATTTATCTAGCCAAGTGTTTCACCTGAAGTGTTTTAACATTCTGCCCCTTATATCGCCTTCCTAAGTTTTAAAAATATCTTTCCAAAAATAATCTCATTATTTTCCCCAGAGGAATCTCTCCTTATTCCCCCAAAGAATGTAAGGTTTTATTTTCCACACAAAAGCAAGCACGTCCTTCTTAGAACATCCTGGACTTCACTTGTAGTCCTTTCCAAAACCTGCATTTTTTTCTTTTCTTTTCTTTTTTTTTTTTTTTTTTTTTTTGAGATGGAGTTTTACCCTTGTTGCCCAGGCTGGAGTGAAATGGCGCAATCTTGGCTCACTGCGGCCTCCGCCTCCCGGGTTCAAGTGATTCTCCAGCCTCAGCCTCCCTAGTAGCTGGGATTACAGGCATGTGTCACCACACCCAGCTAATTTTTTGTATTTTTAGAAGAGACGGGGTTTCGCCATGTTGGCCAGGCTGGTCTCGAACTCCTGGCTTCAGGTGATCCGGCCGCCTCAAAACCTGAATTATTTTGTCCTAAATGTTCTGAAAATGAGAAATGTCCCTGTTCCATGGCCTTTGACCGTTTGAAGTATCCCAGGATATTTTTATCTTTATTCTTTGGTCAGTTACAAGCTAGTCTCAATCTTAGTATTTTTTAAAGAAAAAATTACTTTGTACTTTAAAAATATATCACATGACTGCAGTTGTGGATATATGAATCTATACATGTGTTAAACTGCGCAGAACTAAACACACACACACGCACCCTCTCTCTGTCATTCTCTGCCTTGCCCTCCTTCTCTCTCCAGAATTAAACCCACTTCTACAAAGTTATAGTTTACTCAGCTTAAAACATTGAAATAGTAAGTTGTTTTTTACTATTTGGCCCCATGTTCTCATAAAAGATCAATCTTAAATTTCATATTAGGCCAAGGAAATCTGACTCTTTTTTATCCCTGGCTCCTCTGGCTCTGTGACTGTGAGTTGATTGTTCTCTGCATCAATTTTTGACATTTACTATGAGAATTTAACCTTTCCTGTTTCACAGAAGTGCTATGAGAATTAATTGAATTGATGCCAGAATGGAAACAATATTTAATCAAAATTCAGAAAATGGATGAAAACATCTTCATTCTCAGTAAATGAATGCCTCCACTCATAGCAGAAGGCTGAAGTTTGCATGTAATAATATTGACATGTTGTTATTATATATTTTGTCATTTCACAATCGGCTAAATATTTGATTATTGACAAATTCCAAGTGTCAAACTTTGGTATAGTGAATTTGCTCACTTCTCAAAGCATAAATACTCCATATTTTATTGTCAAGATGCTATTATTTATGTCAGTAGTAACAACTAGTATTTCTATAGCATTTGGCCTCTGGGGGACTCCAGACAGTTTCTATTTATTGCCTTATAATGCTGTAATCTTGTTTTGTCACCAAATAATAGTTGGAAAAACTGAGCTTCAAGAAAGATAACTTGTCCAGAGTTTCTCACCAACTGCCCTCCCCTCTGCTTAGGACCAAAAGAATTATATTCTAACGTGGGTCTAATGTTGTTTCTTTTATTAGAAGAAACAACTATTTCCTGCTTTTAAAAAGTCATCACTATTGAATTTGCAAGGAAATGGATACATCCAAACCAAAGGAAGGACAGTGCTCTCATAAGGCCAATTAAATATAAAAGTTTCTCATCAGATGGTTAATTTGAGAAGTTAGAAGAACGCTGTCTGGAGAGAACAGATTCTTAAATGCAGGGAATACTACAGGAGTGAATGAAAATGGCACCATGTAAACCAAAATAACTATCCATGAGTTAGGAAGAGGACAACCTATTTGGAAGTATAAACTTCCCTGCAATACCAAAACCTTGTTTTAAAGAAACATAACGGAGTGGCCAAGCATGGTGGCTCACGCCTGTAATCCCAGCACTTTGGGAGGCCAAGGCGGGCAGATCACAAGGTCAGGAATTCGAGACCAGTCTGGCCAATATGGTGAAACTCGTCTCTACTAAAAATACAAAAATTAGCCAGGCCTGGTGGCCTGTAGTCCCAGCTACTCAGGAGGCTGAGGCAGGAGAATCACTTGAACCCGGGAGGTGGAGGTTACATTGAGCCGAGATTGCACCACTGCACTCCAGCCTGGGTAACAGAGCAAGACTCCGTCTCAAAACAAACAAACAAACAAACAAACAAACAAACAAAAAACACAAAAAAACCCATAAAGTCGGCAGGTTAAAGGACCCAATTAGTGCAGTGATTGGTCTGACTGCATGGTTCAAATCCTGCCTGTCTCTTTAGTTGGATGTCATTTTCAACAACGTAAGGTATTTGTCCTCTTTCTGTGCCTCTGTTTCCTCATTTATAAAAGATAGGCAGGCCGGGCACAGTGGCTCACGCCTGTAATCCCAACACTTTGGGATGCCGAGGTGGGTGGATCACCTGAGGTCAGGAGTTCGAGACCAGCCTGATCAACATTATGAAACCCCATCTCTACTAAAAATACAAAAAATTAGCTGGGCATCGTGACGGGCACCTGTAATCCCAGCTACTCGGGAGGCTGAAGCAGGAGAATCACTTGAACCCAGGAAGTGGAGGTCTCAGTGAGCCAAGATCACGCCATTGCACTCCAGCCTGGGCAACAAGAACGAAACTCCATCTCAAAAAAAATTAAAATTAAAAAAAAAAATAAAAGGCAATAATAATACCTGTTTCACAGTAGTAAATGACATAAGAACTTAAAGTGTTAAACACAATACACAAACATTAGTGAATTCCCAAAAATTACTGTATAGAATTAGGTGACTGAAGAATAAACTCTGTTCATTATTTTCTTTGGTTATTACAGTTCAAAGTATTATGAAAAGCAGAATAGCTTTTCTCATTCTAATAAGTATATTTCTCAGTAAAATAAAATCTGACACTTTTCATATTTTTGAGATCACAGATGTTCTTTCTTCTGATGAGTAAATATTGTGGAATGTTAGAGTGGAAACGTCTTCCAAGTATATTTGGTTCAGCAGTTGTTCACCATTCACATTTTTATTAAAGTCTTTTATTGTGTGGTATTTCATGCATTATAGTGTGTGATATGTTAATTGAAAATATTTAATTTGTGGAATAGAGTTTTGTCAAATCCATTCTTTTGTTAAGCATCAATACATATAAAATAGATGCCTCTCCCAGAAGAATTTGAAGTTATAGCATGCTGTTTTCATTTTAGATCATAGCAGAACTTCAGACAACCATTTCCTCTCTGAAAGAAGAGAACAGCCAGCAGCAGCTTGCTGCAGAAAGGCGGCTCCAGGATGTTAGACAAAAGTTTGAAGATGAGAAGAAGCAGCTGATTAGAGATAATGACCAAGCAATCAAGGTAATCTGAAGACTTCAGTAACCAGTGGTACCAGCTGCTTTAATGTAATTAAAAGGAGGGCTGAAATCCCAGCAGTGGGCAGATGAATGCGGGTATCTGGCTTGTTCACACAGCCTGCAGTAATTCCATTCACTGGACTCTACCTTTGATGTATCCAGTGACTCAGGCTGACTTCCCTCTAAGAGATCGCATGCCAGCATAAAAAGTCATTTTTGGCAAGCCCAATCCATTCACATTGAACAAATATTTTAAAAATACTCTGTCCTTTCTCTTGAGAACCACTTTGGAATTGTCTCTTGAAATTAGAATGACTGTTTGAGCCCAGCACTGCTGGCTGTTAAAGTCAGAAGTCAGCTTCCAATTTGCATTCTGTTCTTTGCCCACATCCTTTCATTATGTATTCGCATAATGAGAAATAACCTGTTCGATGCTTGGAATGCCAACCATTTGATGTGCTTTGACACAGTACAGGATAGATGTGTTGCTGCTGAGAAACTAGGTTGTTTCCAAATGACTTCAGAGAATCACACCCTTAATAGCACCAGAAAATTCTCTGGACCCCGATTCTTTCAGTGATAGGCAGTTAGATCTTCAAGTAGTTTTTTCTTGGCTTCATAGCAGTGAATATTATTGTATGTGTCTACATCATACTGGGTTTAATGTGTGAGGATAAGCATCTGGAAACCTTTATAAATAAGGTTTAAAAGAGAACAAAAAATTTTTAAAGAATTCCCAGCAAAAGATTATTTTTCAGCGACTTTAGTTTGACATAACAATACTTAAAGCGTGTGGAGTAATCATACAAAGCAAAGAACAATAAAAGAAAAATTGGGGTTTTACAGCTGCCCTTTCCTGCCTCACCTCTGCATCTTCTTTTTCTATAGCCTGTTGCAGGCAATCTGAGTAACGTTGGGAAGAGTTAGTGTTAATGTCAGTTGCTTTTTATATATTCCCTTTAAGCTGAGACAACACTAGATAGAATAAAAAGCCTTAACAGATGGATAAAACCTTCAAGGCCATTACATCCGGCCTCTTCACTTTACCATTGAGGACTTTTTTTTTTTTAATGACATTTTTCCTATGTATTTCCACCTGCAAGCTTATTTCCCCTACCTGTGTTATAAGACCAAAAAAAAAAGAGAGATTTTTTTTTCATATTCTGGTGGTTTAAAAACATCTTTCAAGTTTTTTTCATTTACAAATGCACAGGAAGTGCCTCCATTGATCTATATAACTGTTTTGCTTCACATAAACTGCATTGCATATTTTGTTTAAATTGTTTTAGTTCTATAAAATTTAAATATTAAGTGCATTTCTGTTTCACTTTATGTCCAAATACCAAGTAGTAGGTAATATCCAAATTTTAAATGAGCAATCAAATCTAAATATAAGCAAAAATGGAAAATATGAATATACTCCTGACAGCATAGTTCTGGTATTGTTTCTTGATGATTAAAAAAATCTTGAAAGAATTATAATTAGTACAGTTGCTCATTTTAAACTAATTCTTACAGTTTTAATTATTTAATTTTTAAATTACTTAATTTTTAAATTATTTAATAATAATTTAGTTATTAATTCTTACAGTTTTATAATATATATAAAAACTATATGTACCATATGTTACCTGAAAAATATTAAAATTACAATATAGGTAAGATATAGCTAAGTTTTGATTCACTCACTTAGATTATACATAAAGTAAATGACATTTCTTTTTTACTAACCTATATTAAAGTTGCTAAGGTAATTGATTCATTAGTGTTTATTGCCTTGGCTCTTTTTTTAAGGCTGTATCACAAAAAATACTGTGAATAACAGCTGATATTTACTCATCACGTACTATGTTCCAGGCTCTGCCATTTTCATTCATCTCATGTTCCATTATCTCATTTAAGCCTTATGGTAATCTTCATGAGGAAGGTATTTCTGTCATCCCCATATTACAAATGGGGAAACTGTGACTATGAGGTTAAATAACTAGCCCAAGATCATCCTGCTGAACAGTTGGCAGAGGCAGTTTCAAGCCACAATCTGTCTTACTTGAGAGCCTCAACTATTAACTATTATACCATACCCCAGTGTACTACATTCTGTCCATGAAAATGAGTCAAATGACCAAGTGCCAAAATGAACCTAGATAGATATTCTCATTCTATTCTTCTCTCTGCATGAATGATATAACATTTTTGCAACAGGTGTTTGATTTGGACATTCTGATTATATTTAAGTGTTTTGTACACATAGATTTAGGTACATGAATAGATATTGATACTCAGAGAGAGGCACAGCCACTATGAGGCTTGATTTTCTGGGACCAAATACATTTGTCTGCAGATATATTCAATAATGCCATAAAAGTAGCGTGCATGCTAATTGTGAGACATACTTCACTCCACTTCTGGGTTGATGATGAACTGACCTCTTTCAAGCTGGTGATCAAGAATGGAGACAGAGAGTAAACCTAGTACTCATTCTGTCAGAGCTTATAATAATGCTTCCTCAGATAAATCATTAAAGTAATTCTAGAGAAAATTTGAGGTATACTGAAACCCACTTAAAGGGTCACCAGTCAGGTGCAATATAACTTGATAAAACATTTCTTGAGGATAATTTGGCAATACCTATCATTATTAAATTGCCTGAGAGATATACCTAGCCTTTGACCATTTTCAGAATTTGCCCAAAGGTGGCAATTAATAATCGCACTAAGCTTTAGCTAATCAAAAAGATGCTTGTTCTAGCTTTCATCCTTTCAGTCAATAGTTATTTATTTAGCTCCTCTTATGTGACAGGTACCTGCAACACCAGCATTCTCTATATCCTTTCTATATTTTTAACTATAGCAAATACACTGAAAACTGTGCACTATAGGAAATGACGTTGGAGAGCATATATAAGGATATTGAAAATGTTCACATGATATTTTTCAGTGAAAATGCACATCCCAAAACATATAGATATGAGCTCATTTTTGCAAAACAAAAGTATAACTCAAGAGAAAAAAAGACTACAGTTATATCAAAATTTTACTAATGGATATCTCTGAGTGGTAGAATTTATGATTTTTTAATTTTATCTATATTTAAACTATAATAGCACTTTTGCACAGAGAAGCAATAAAAATTGTTTGGTAAAAAGGGAAAAGCTACCAGCCTGAAGAAATCCATTGAACATTATGGGAATAGTGGTAGGTGAGACTAACAGCAGGCATGATCCTCACTGTCCAAGAAACAACAGATGAAGTAAGGTCTTTTAGAAAACAGAATTCCTTTAGTGTAAAAAGAGTTACACAAACGAACAAAATTCGTAAGAGTAGATTTTTTTTTTTTGAGATGGAGTCTTGCTCTGTTGCCCAGGCTGGAGTGCAGTGGCACGATCTCAGCTCACCGCAACTTCCGCCTCCCGGGTTCAAGCAATTCTCCTGCCTCAGCCTCCCAAGCAGCTGAGATTACAGGTGCCCACCACCACGCCTGGCTAATTTTTGTATTTTTAGTAGAGATGGGGTTTCACCATGTTGGCCAGGCTGGTCTCAAACTCCTGACCTCAGGTGACCTGCCCACCTCAGCCTCCCAAAGTGCTGGGATTACAGGCATAAGCCACCACACCTGGCAAGAGTAGATCTTTTATGCTGTAACACCCTATCTTTTAAAAATCAAGAGCAAAAAAATCTTCTTTATCACTTATTTACTGCCTTAGCTCACTCCTTATGTTCAAAGTCACACCTTTCAAAAGAATTATCACCACTGCATACTCCAAAAACTTGATGGCTTAGAGCAACATCTATCTGCCCATAATTCTTTGGATCAGAAATTTGGGCAGGGATCAGCTGGGTGGTTCATCTGCTCAATGTGTGGCATTGGCTGGGGTGCCTCATGAGGTTACATTCAGCAGAAAGCTTGGCTGGGGTTGGAATGTCTGAGCTGGTTTCAGGCCCATGCCATATGGCCTTTTTAACAGATTAATCAGACTTTTCACCTAGTAGCTGATGTCAAAGAGAAATAATTAAAAGGGGTAAAAGCAGAACCTGTATTTCCATTAAGCCCTGCCCTAGGAAGAGTCACAAAGTCACTTCCACCACATTCGATTGATCAAGATAGGTCATAGGGCCAGCCCAGAATCTAGGAGAGGAGAAATAGTGGCCAATCTAGGAGAGGAGAAATAGTGGGAGGAATGGCATAGAATTTGAGGCCATTTTAAATCTACCACAGTAGTCTATACTAAAGGTCCGGTTTTTATCTCCCATTTATTCCTCAACTATACAAAATAGTACAAAGAGGAAAATATCTATATTCCTACTACCTGTAATCAACATTAATTAACATTGCGGCATATTTGCATCCATGTTTTTTTATAAAGAAAATCTATTCTCTTGTTTTTGAAGTAGTAGAAATGTCATATGCTCATTTATAAATAATTTAAAATGCAAGAATAAAAAACTGTAACAGTTTTTAAAGTCACCCCAAATCCTATCACCCAGAAATAACCACCATAGAATTAAGGTAAACATTATTTCTGATATCCTACTATGTATAAGGGAAAAAGAACAGAAAGCCGAGTAGGCTTTTGAAATGAATACTATTGATTTTTTTTGTTGTTTTAGAAAAATCTTTAATTTTACTTTAATTCAACAGACAAAAGAAACTAGAGTAAAACAGAGGAATTGTTGAATTTTTGGACAGAACATGTTGATTTTGGCTGAAAAATGTGTACTTTTGCACCCTTATACTTTCTGCCGTAACCCTTCCCTGCCACCTCCTACCTTGGATAGTAGTAGTATTTTCACACTGTCCGGGTTTATGATATTCACAATTTTTAAACCATATCCTATAGTTTAATTCTCATGCTATATTTCAATCTATGCAGTGTTTATACTAGGCCTTTTACCATAGTGGCGCCATTCCCACAGTTTTTACTTTGATTTGTTTCTTAATTGATTGGATGGTGCTGTCTTCCCTGAGTTTTTTCATGTTTAAGAATGTCTTCTGGCTAACCTGTATGATTGAATGGCATGTTACATGGGTGCGGTGTTTCTGTTCACATTTTCTTCCTATGTGTAAACACGGCTCATCGAGCATTTAAGGTTGCTATGAGAAGCCTGGGCTAGACAGACCAGCAGACATGACCCCGCAGACTTTTCTGTCTGCAGACCAACAGACATAGACTGAATGCACCTCCTTAGAAGTGATTTGCATTTTCTGAGGCATTCCTGAAGAAGTCTTTCTTTCTCATGTAAGTTTAGTAGATTAACCAGGATAAATTCAGTAAGCGACTGAGATATGTCTACATGTTCAGTATTCAATAGCAAATGGTTCTGAAGCATAGTGGTTCTCCTTGTAAGTGAAACTGACTTGTAGTGTCTCTGTGTGTTCTCTGACCTGAGGGAAGGGGAAGGCAGAGCTGGCGCACAAGCCAGCATGCATCTGGCTGAACTGACTGTTCTCACTTTGAGATTATGTTAAGTGTGTTTCAGGGTTCACACTACCTACATGGAAGCGGCATCTTCTATTCCTTTGAGTTTGTAATGATCCCAATTTGGTGTACATCTCTGAAGTCCTTTCCTCAGAGGTAGCCAGCCCTGATATTTATCTGTTTTTCTACCACATCCGTCTCCCCTACTGTCAGCCAGAAGAGGAAAAAATGAGGCTGCCATGCCATTTGCTTCTCTCCAGATTTGGTGATAGTATTGAAAATTCTCAGAATTTTGACTCATAACAACATAATGATCCTAGGGGCATGGGCAAGTTTTGAAGTTGAGCCCCTGTGCAACTCTTCACTGTGCTCCAGAATTACATTTCTTTCCTTGACCCCAGGTTTTTGATGGTTTTTTGTATGATGTCTACCTTACCACCCGATATTGTTCTGTTGGTGCATTTTTGCTAGCTTTTACTCTTCTTTACTCATTTTATTTGGTGTTGGGAGAGGAACATTCAATCTACTATCTAATCTTGAGAAGTCTATTTGACTTCTTTATAACATTTAACAAGGATCTTCTGCTGCTCAGATATTACCACAATAATGCTGCCTAACAAACACTTTTGGAGACTCAGTGACTTTCACTCACATTTATTTTTCTTGGAACATGTCTGCGGGTCGCTGTTGTGGCTCAAATTCAGAATGTGCATTGACTGACTGGGTTTGACTCCAGGCTTTAGATCAGATTCAGGCCAGCTCTAGATGTCTGTACAGTCAGCTTGGACTAGTAGTTGTCCGGAATATCCTGTTAATGGTAGATTACAGAAGTGCAAGAGGATGGGTTGAAAGAAATCCCTGCATCCTCAGCCTCATTTCTGTCCACGTCAATGAGGCAGGGAAATTACATACTAACTCTAGTTAGAAGACCGTGAACATCTGTGAACAACGATCTAATCTGCACATGACTAGCCTCTAAAAACTTCCTTAGCTCTATGGCAGCACTTTCCTGGGGCATCTACCTTTCGGAACCCCTCTTTCCCATTCTTGTTCCCATCTCCTCTTTTTTGCACTGAAATAATGGTATTAGTTAGGGCCTATTTTGTTTTCTCTATATACACTGGATTGTCCCTGGACAATCTCATCCCTTCATGTTAACTTCCAGACAAATGAATTTTGAATTTTCATCACCATTCAAACTTTTCTCCTGAGCCCTCAATCCGCATTTCTGACTACTACTGGGCATTTCCATTTGGATGGACCATAGACTGTACAATCTAGAGCTGTCATAAACTGAATTAATCTTCCTCTTGCTCTTCTCCCAGCCCCAGCCTGCTCTTCTTCTTGTATTGGTTATCTGAATTAAAGTACCACCGTCATCCACCTACTCACGGAAGTCAGATTCCCTAGAAATCCCCCTGAATTAATTCTTTCCTTCCCTTACCTCTCATAGGTCAGTTCCTAGAGAAAACTCCTAAATATCTCCAAACTCATACCCCATTCCCCAATCACTAGATCCTACCTTCTAGGTCAGATCATCATCATCTTTGACCTTGCCTAGCACAATCACCCTTATCTAGAATCACTGCCAATAACTCGACCCTCTCAAATCTATGCCTCACACTACTGATAAGGTAACTTTTCTAAAACGCAAATATGGGCATGTTGTTTTTTCTTAAAATTCATCAATGGCTTTCCATTACCTACAGGATAAAACCTATACTTGTCAATATGGCATACAAAACACTTTATGATCTAAACCAGCAGCTCTTAAGGTATTCTCTGCAGACTCCGATGAGTCCCTGAGACCTTTACAATGGCCCCACAAGGTCAAACTATTTTCATAATAACACAAAGATATCACTTTCCATTTTTACTATATTGATACTTGCATAGATGATATAGAAGCAGTGGTGGGTAAAACTGCTGGTGGCTTCACACAAAACAAGGCTTTAACATGAAACCATATGACTAGTCATTATTTTCTTCACTACCATGTACTTATGGTTAAAAATAAAAAGCAATAAAATATACAGATGGTCCCTGATTTACAGTGGCTCAACTTACAATTTCTCAACTTTACGATAGGTTAATCAGGATATTAAGTACATTTTCACCTTAACGATATTTTCTACTTACATTGGGTTTATTGAGACTTAACACCATCTTAGTTGAAGAGCGTCTGTATTGATTTTGTTAAATCTCAAACCTCGAGGATACATCTCTTTTAACATTAGTAGGAAGTACACATGAAGCACTTCTGCTGCATACTGAAGTAGGATGGCTGTCTTAGAGAAAAGTAGTTCTGTGTCTGTATGAGTATGAGCTGAACTCTAGTCACTCTGAAAGAACGATTGACAGGCAAGCTATGCTTATTCACAATTGAGTATTTGGCAGATGTTTTCTTGAAAATGAATGAAATGAAACAAGCCTGGCATTTCAAGGATAACAACTGACTATATTGTTGCTAATGATAAAATTTAAGCTTTCAAGCCAAAATTAGAATTTTGGAAAACTAATACCACCACTGTGAGCCTGACAGCCTCACAATACTTACAGACTTTTCTGATAAGATCAGTGATATTATCAGTGATGTGAATGGGAAGAAAGGGGAAGGAAGAGAATGAAGTGTATCAACATTTGGAAGATTTGTATAACTCACAGAACCATGTTTTCCAAATGACAAACACCTGATGTTACAAAACCATGCCTGAGTAAAAGATCCATTCAAAATACAAAAGAGACCAATGGATGTTAGTGTAATAGTATGAAAAGCTCACTGATAGAGTTTCAGATTCCACATTGTAACTAACTTTTAAGAAGCTACCACTTGTCAAGTTTTGGCATATTAACAAAAATATCCACAGTCATCTAAAAAGGCTGCTAAAATACTCCTCCCTTTTCTAACTTCTTATCTGTGTGAGACTAGATTTTCTTCCTATTCTTCAATCAAAATAACATCTTGCAAGAGATTGAAAGCAGAAGCATATTTGAGAATCAGCTGCCTTCTATCAAATCAGACATTGAAAAGATTTGCAAAAAATGAAACATAGCTAGTTGTCTCACTAATTTTTTTTGCTTTGGAAAATAGTTATTTTTCTATTAAAATATTATATTTATGTTTACACATAATGAGTTTATTACTATTTTAATGAGTAAAATGTTTTAATATTTCTTAGTTTTAATATGTAAT
The DNA here is from genome assembly GCF_000001405.40 of Homo sapiens. Lineage (NCBI taxonomy): Eukaryota > Metazoa > Chordata > Mammalia > Primates > Hominidae > Homo > Homo sapiens. Next base: position 65,734,462 of record NC_000017.11, on the reverse strand, counting down.
ATGATAAACTCAGTAGATGTAATCCACATATACAAAACCTCTTTGGGGTTGTCAGTTTGTAAGAGTGGAAAGGAATCCTGAAACCCAATACTTGGAGAACCACTTGTCTAGACATCACCCTCCAGTCTCCCTCATCAGCTGCCAGTGCTCAACATAGATGCCATGTTCTCTATGATCCCATGCCCCATGGGAAATGCCCATGAGTTCTTTGTAAAGTATCCTTTCCCTTTGACTTAAGGTCATCTTTTCTGCGAAGCATCAGAGTGAGAAACTCGTGCCAACCTCGTTCATCCCTCTAATGAAGTGTTTGCTGTATTACAGTGCTGACCCACAATCCCTCACCCAGTCCGAATCTGCAGGTTCTAGGAAAGTGGTGCTTGTGCTGTATCTGCAGTGGGTCCTGGGACAGCACAGTCTACTCAGACACATACAGGAACAGTGAAATGTGTGAGTGTCCCCAGTGAATGAGACAAGTAGAGATTATAAGTACCCACCCAACATCAGTCAGGTTTTGTTCCCAAAGAAGTTAACTGCAGACTTTCAAAAAGAATTTGTGTTTTTCGGAGGACTTTTGGATTTCAGGATTGCAGATAGAACATTGTGGACCTGTATTTAGATGAATTGTCTTTCTCACCAACTAGACTGTGAGGTTTTTGAGAGCAAGCTTTAGTGCAATGTTTGTTTCGATGGAAGTGCTGGAAATACACAGAATAAATGAATGATGTTCCCTCATAAATCATAAAAGGTTCTGATAACAAATAGTGTCATTTATTCTCATGTCATTTTATTTTTAGTGGCAGCAAGCTCATAAATATTTTGTAATGGTATAGCAGATATGGGGAGAGAACTCAGATCTTGTGGTAACCGTCATATATTTTGCCTAATTATGCAGATTCTAAAAAAATATCGTGCGCCTTGTATATACAGACACACCTTGTTTTATTGCACTTCATTTTATTGCACCTCATAGACATTGTGTTTTTTACAATTCAAGGTTTGTGGCAACTCTGTGTCAAGTCTTTTGGCACCATTTTTCCAACAGCATGTGCTGTGCTCACTTTGTGTCTCTGTGTCACATTTTGGTAATTCTTGCAATATTTCAGACCTTTTCATTATTATATCTGTTATGGTGATCTGTTATCAGTGATCTTCGATGTTACTATTGTCATTGTTTTGGGGTGCCACAAACTGCACCCATGGGAGACAACAAACAATAAGTGTTGTGTGTATCCTAACTGCTCCACTTCCTGGCCATTCCCCCATCTCTCTCCATCTCCTTGGGCTTCCCTCTTCCCTGAGACACAACAATATTGATGTAGGTCAATTAATAATTCTACAATGGCCTCTAAGTGTTCAAGTGAAGAGTCACACATCTCTAACTTTAAACCAAAAGCTAGAAATTACTAAGTTCAGTAAGGAAGGCATGTTGAAAGCCGAGACAGGCCCAAAGCTAGGCCTCTTGTACGAAATAGCCACATTGTGAATGCAAAGGAAAAGTTCTTGAAGGAAATTAAAAGTGCTACTCCAGTGAACACATGAATGGCAGAAAGCAAAGCAGCTTTGTGGTGATATGGAGAAAATTGTAGTAGTCTAGTAGAAGATCAAACTAACCACAACCTTTCCTTAAGCCAAAGTCTGATTCAGAGCAAAGGCCATAAATTTCTTCAATTCTGTGAAGGCTGAGAGAGGTGAGGAAGCTGCAGAAGAAAAGTCTGAAGCTAGCAGAGGTTTGTTCATAAGGTTTAAGGAAAGAAGCCATCTCCATAACATAAAAATGCAAGGTGAAGCAGCAAGTGCTGAAGCTACAGCAAGATACCCAGAAGATCTAGCTAAGGTCATTGATGAAGGTGACTACACTAAATGACAGATTTTCTGTGTAGATGAAACAGCCTTCTGTTGGAAGAAGATGCCATCTAGGACTTTTATTACTAGAGAAGCTTTAAAACTACAAAGGACAGGCTAACTCTCTTGTTCAAGGCAAGTGCAGCTGGTGACTAAGGCCAGGGCTCATTAACCATTCCAAAAACCCTAGGATGCTAAAGAATGATGCTAAATCTAATCTGCCTGTGCTTTTTCAGTGGAACAAGAAAGGCTGCACTGCAGCTTGGTTTACAGCATGGTTTCCTGAATATTTTAAGTCTGCTATTGAGACCTCCTGCCCAGAAAAAAAAGATTCCTTTAAAAAAAATTACTGCTGATTAACCATGCACCTGGTCACCCAAGAGCTCTGATGGAGATGTACAAGGAGATGAATGTTGTTTTCTTGCCTGCTAACACAGCATCCATTCTCCAGCTCATTAATCCAGGAGTCATTTCAACTTTCAAGTCTTCTTATGTCAAAAATACACTTCATAAGACTGTAGCTGCCATAGATGGTAATTCCTCTGATGGAACTGGGCAAAGTAAATTGAAAACTTTCTGGAAAGGCTTCACCATTTTAGAGCCATTAAGAACATTTTTGATTCATGGGAGGAGGTCAAAATATAAACATTAACAGGAGTTTGGAAGAAGTTGATTCCAACTTTCACAAATGACTTTGAGGAAGTAACTGCAGATGTGGTAGAATAGCAAGAGAACTAGAATTGGAAATGGAGCCTAAAGATGCGACCGAATTGCTGCAACCTCATGACCAAACTTGAATGAAGAGTTGCTTCTTATGGGTGAGCAAAGACAATGTTTTCTTGAGATGGAATCTAATCCTGGTGAAGATGCTGTGAACATTGCTGAAATGACAACATAGGATTTAGAATATTATATCAACTTAGTTGATAAAGCAGTGGCAGGATTTGAGAAGATAGACTCCCATTTTCAAAGAAATTCTACTGTGGTTAAATCAAACAGCATCGCATGCTACAGAGAAATCTTCCGTGAAAGCAAGTCAATTGGTGCAGTGAACTTTATTTTTATCTTGTTTAAGAAATTGCCACAGCCACCCCAGCCTTCAGCAACCACCACCCTTATTAGTCAGCAGCCATCAGCATCAAAAGCAAGACCCTCCACCAATAAAAAGATTAGGACTCTCTGGGGGCTCAGATGATTGTTAGCATGTCTTAGCAATAAGAAAGTTTTAATTAAGGTATATACATTGTTCTTTTAGACATAATGCTATCGCACACGTAATAGACTATAGTATAGTGTAAACATGACTTTTTTATATGCACTGGGAAACCAAAAAAATATGCGAGACTCTCTTTATCATGGTATACACTTTATTACAGTGGTCAGGAACTGAACTTGGAGTATCTCCGCGGTATGCCTGTATTATCTAAGAACACAATTTGTATACTCCAGGGGCAATGCCCACAAAAGGCTGTATGCCAAAGCCAAGTTATCTAAATGTGAGTTGGCACTATCCACTGAGCTCACAGAAGTTCATTTGGGGAAACGTTAGAAATAGTTCTTTAAAGAGACTGTGGAACATTCTTCTGGCATCACTGCACCACCAGGGCTAAGTCCTTTCTTTGAAGCTAGCGTATTGAAAGTTTCTCACTGTGAAGCCAGATGTCCAAGCAGAGATTTCATGTCAAGAAGAAATGTTGTAAAATTTTTGCTTGCAGGCATAGAAAAGAGATTTTACAGCATTGATGCTTCTCTCCCTTGGCTACTGACTGGAGTTCACAAGACAAGGTCAGCTGCCAGTAGGACATCTAGCAATCTGGTCTGTGTTACCAGAAGGGCTTGGTTGGGGGCGGGGGGTGGGGGTTGTAGAATATTTCATAAGATTGGGCAATTCTTACTGTCCTAAAAGCTTACAGGAATCAATTTCCCAAGGAATAAAATTACAAACCTCATTGTGGTGTTTTAGTAGCATTGAGAAACAGGAAGAAATCTCGATGCCTAGCATCAAATGGCATTGTTTGGGACCTGTTCATTACTTAATTCCTGTCTCCCCTGTATGCACGTCCGTAGGGCACAAGGAAAGTGGCATTTTCTTTGTGCCCTCCTGAATTAGAATTAATAATGCTAAGAATAGAAATGTATTTTCCATCCCACCTAAGAAGGTTTGCCTGCTCACTCAGAAAGAAAGACAGAGCCATTCAGTCATAGTAGCATAAAGCGTAAGTGCCATTTTTCAGGAAGAATGCTCTGGAAGATAGGCTTGGATATGCTGTGGCTGTGAATTATGACCTTGCTTCCTAGAGCAAGGAGAAGCAATAGCAATAAATGAGCGGAGAAGAAAGGAACAGTTCTCTCTCAAAAGTTTTTTTTACCCCAAAGCTTCCCTCCGATTCTATTCTCTGGCAGTTTTTATTTTATTTTAAAACTAGTCAAATAAGATTCTTTGTTCAGTGGACAAAATCCTTCAAGTGCTATGAGAGATATTTTTAGCCCCTGGAACATTGCCTTGTGTACGTTAAGGAATCAATTAAGGTTTGATGAGCGAATACACGAATATGTGAGTAGGAAGAGTGTGATCAAAAGAACACAGGTGAAAGTAGATTCCTCTTCACCAATGGCTAAATTGTACTCTTTGGAAGTCACTAGGTGACTATATATGGTTAATTGGTTTTTCTGTTTGTTTGTTTGTTTGTTTGTTTGTTTGTTTGTTTGAGACAGGATCTCGCTATGTGGCCCAGGCTGGAGTGCAGTGGCACGATCTTGGCTCTCTGCAGCCTCCAACTCCTGGGCTCAAGCGATCCTCCCTCCACAGACCCCAACCTTAGTAGCTGGGATTACAGATGTGCGTCACCACACCCAGCTAGTTTTTGTATTTTTAATAGAGACAGGGTTTCACCATGTTGCCCAGGCTGGTGGTTAATTGTATTATTGCATGGTCCAAAATGAAGTACTTTGGTTAGTAAACTATTGGAATATATATGGATAATTTTAGTTTTTTAATTTTAAAAATTTAACAAAAAACTACTTGGACATTGTTAATCTTTAATAATGCTAAACTGTATCGGAGATAGTTCAAAGGCAGTATAATGAACGTAATGATCATTGAATGACATAAATGTAAGCCTTAGCAACCAAAATTACTGAATGATCAATTTAATATGTATTAGATGGTGCAAAAGTAATTGTGGTAATGGCAAAAACCGCAATTACTTTTGCACCAGCCTCATATATGCTACATAGGTGTATATGCACATATTTATGTATGCAGTCATATGTCACATAACAACATATCAGTCAAGATGGACTACATAGATGATGGTAGTCCCATAAGATTACAATGAAATAAATGATGAGAAAACCTTACCACCTAGTAACTTCTTAATTATCCTGACCCTTTGTAGGCCTAGCCTAATGTGTGTGTTTTTGTCTTATTTTTAACAAAAAGCTTAAAAAGTAAAAACAAAAAAATTAATAGAAGAAAGCTTATGGAATAAGGATATAAAGAAAAACGGAATATGTACAATTATTATCTGTCAAATAAAAATAAATTTTTAAGAAAGGAAAAAATATTGTATAGCTGCACAATGTGTTTCTGTTTTAAGCTATGTTATTACCAAAGAGTCAAAAAGTTTAAATTTTTTTTTAAGTTTATAAAGTGAAAGTGTTCCAGTAAGCTAAGATGAATTCATTATTGAAGAAAGAAAATGTTGTTTTATAAATTTAGCATAGCCTAAGTGTAGAGTATCTTAAAGTCTACAGTAGTGTACAGTAATGTCCTAGGCCTTCACATTCACTCACCACTCACTCACTGACTCACAAGTGCAACTTCCAGTCCCGCAAGCTCCATTCATGGTAAGTGCGCTATGTAGGTGCACCATTTTGTATCTTTTATACTGTATTTTTACTGTACCTTTTCTTTGCTTAGATATATTTATATAATTGCCTATAGTGCAGTAATGATACAGTAATGTTACAGTATAGTAACATGCTGTACTATAGGCAATTATACCACAATGGCATAAGGTGCAGGAAATGTACTTGAATACATTTACTCAAGTACCACTGGTACAACAGTTCTCTTTCTCCCATGTCCTTGATGAAATTGACTCACAGCTCCAGGCCCTATAGTCATAGCTAAGCCCAACAAGCAGAGTGTGGTCTCTAGACAAGTGGATAGACTGTATGGCGTTGTTTCTCTTGCAACCCTTCCTAGCTACCAACCTCTTGTTCTTTTTCTGATGTGTATATGATTCAACTCTTCCATCTATTCTCTTAAAGTCCCTTTTGTAATCCCACCATAATATAGAAAATTGACAGAGTAACCTATCGCCTCTTCTCCAAATTCCACAGTGTTTTTCTACTTCTAATCATCCTCTAGCTCTATGCAGCATTTGACTATATTGATTGACCAACAATTTTCCTTCTAAAACAGGCATTGTCAAGCTTGTTCTGTAAAGGGCCAAATAGTAAAAATGTTAGGCTTTGCAGGCCATATAGTCCTAGTTGAAGCTATTTAGCTTTTAACGTTGTGGCCTGAGAGCAGCCATAGACAGTATGTCAACAGATGGGCATGGCTATGTTCCAATAAAACTTTATTGACAAAACCAAGGTAAATGCTAGATTTGGCCAGCTGGCTGTAGTTTGCCAACCCTTATCTTATCTTAGCTTATATGATACTTCTTTTACTTGTCTTTCTTCTGCTAGTCTCTCTTCCTCCCAGTGGGTGTTCCTCGAGTCTATGTCCTGGGCTTTGCTTCTCCTTTTCTTTTCCACACTAAGATCATCTCCTCTGTGATGTCAGCTGTCACTTCTATAGAGATGATTCCCAGAAGCCCTGGCCTGATTCCTAGCTGGGTCCTATATGTTGCACTGCCTGTAAATCATCTTCTTTTGAAGATGCACTACTATTTCAGAGTCACCATCTACAACATTGAGTTGTGATCTTCCCTTCCAAATTGGCCCTTCTTTCCAGTCTATCAGGGTTACCTCCAGTCTTTCTGTTTCCTGTTAGAAACTTTGAGTTCATCTTTGTCCTTTCTTTCCTTCATCCCAATTTATCTCAAGTCTCTCACCAGAGTCCTTGAATGTATTTCTTATTCCTCTGATATGACCCTATTTGGAGCCCTTCTCAACTTGCGATTGATTTAAAACAGCCTCCTCTCAGCCGATATCCCTGCCAAAAGGCTCTCAGCTTCAGTCCAGTGTGAAGAACTCTGCCAAAGAAATCTTAAATCACTGTGATGTCCTTGTCTTACAAAGAGGGTTTGGAAATCAATAGGAAAACTAACAACCCAGTGGACAAAAAGAGCAAAGAACATGAAAGCAGAATTCATAGAACATCAATGTCCAGCAAACTTATGAAAAAAAAAATGCTCATTCTTACTCATAATCAAATAAATGTAAATCAGAAGTCCAAAGTTTTGAAGAGACTGACTGCCACCCGACCAGTATAAGTTTTCATTTTGAAAACGTGGTCAATGATGAAGATACAGGGAAACCAGCAGGCTCGTGCCCCATTTCTGGGAGTATAAACCAGTGTGGCCTCTGTGGAGGGCAGTATGGTCTTATCTACCAACATTCAAATGCACATAACCTTTGGGCCAGCAGTTCCCCCTGACAGGAATCTATCTCTGGATATACTTGCAAGTCTATACAATATCTTTGCAGGATTGTTTGAGCAAAAAGCTGGGGAAAGCAAATTATGACACATCCACACAATGGAATATTATGAGGCCATTTTTAAAGAATGAAGTAGATCTCTTTGAAAATGAGGCAAGATTGCTAATATATAATAAATGAAAAGAGTGCAGCATGTCATATACATAAAAAGATGTCCTGAGTAGGTCTCCAGATGGGTAATAGTGATTATTTGGGGGCAATAGGACTTTCCATTTTTTATTTTATATCTTTTGATGATGTCTTAATTTCTGAAAACGTCGTATGACTAAATTGAATTTAGAGGGTTGCTTATAACATCATGATCAAACTCTTCTGCTTAGCTTTCAGAGCCCATCCAGGTTTCTCACTATTCCTTGACACACACATTCTCTTCCAATCAAGCTGGTTCTCACTATCCACAAGCACCTTGCCAGCCACGCAACCTGCCTTCTCTCATGCTGTTCACCTTCCTCCTCAGCAGCATCTTTAACCCTCAGACTTGTCAAGTTTTATCATCTCAAGGTCTTATCTCCCTCCTCCATGAAGCTCTGCTGATTGCCCCAGTCCTCAAGAACCTTACACTTTCATGAGGTCCTGTTATTAATCCTTAATAATAATTTTTTTTTTGAGATGGAGTCTCGCCCTGTCACCCATGCTAGAGTGCAATGGTGCAATCTCAGCTCACTGCAACCTCTGCCTCCCGGGTTCAAACGATTCTCCTGCCTCAGCCTCCCAAGTAGCTTGGATTACAGGCACCCACCACCACACCCAGCTATTTTTTGTATTTTTAGTAGAGACGGGGTTTCACCATGTTGGCCAGGCTAGTCTCAAACTCCTGAACTTGTGATCCACCCACCTCAGCCTCCCAAAGTGCTAAGCCACCATGCCCAGCCAATAATTATTTGATTATTTCATGCCTCACACTTTTCGTTTCTTCATAACACCCACAGTACTGGGTGCTCAAACATAAAGACTTCATTGATTTAAAGAATATAATCCCTGGATACTGGCCTGACATGGTGGCTGATACGGCTTGGCTCTGTGTCCCCACCCAAATCTCATCATGTACTCCCATAATCCCCACATGTTGCGAGAGGGACCCAGTGGGAGGGACCTAGTGGGAGATAATTTGAATCATGGGGACAGTTTCCCCCATACTGTTCTAGTGGTAATGAATAAGTCTCACAAGATCTAATGGGTTTATCAGGGGTTTCCGTTTTTTCATCCTTCTGATTTTCTCTTGCCACCACCATGATTCTGAGGCCTCCCCAGCCATGTGGAACTGTAAGTCCAATTAAACCTCTTTTTCTTCCCAGTCTTGGGTATATCTTTACCAACAGCATGAAAACAGACTAATACAGTGGCTCACACCTGTAATCCCAGCACTTTGGGAGGCCCAGGCGACTGGATCACTTGAGGTCAGGAGTTCCAGACCAGCCTGGCCAACGTGGTGAAACCCCATTTCTACGAGATACAAAAGATTAGCCAGGCGCGGTGGTGCGCACCTGTAATCTCAGCTACTCAGGAGGCTGAGATAGGAGAATCACTTGAACCCAGGAGGTGGAGGTTGTAGTGAGTTGAGATTGTGCCACTGCACTCCAGCCTGGGTGACAGAGTGAGACTCTGTCTCAAAATATATATATACACATATAATCCCTGGTTACTAAATATATTAATTTATTTTATACCTATTATTGCTTGTTTTCAAGGCAGCTTTAAACACATCAACACCAACCTTACTGTTAAAAGAAGTAGGGACCCCATATCCCCACCCCCACAAAATGTTAGTTCTTGGATTAGTTAAATATCTAAGCCTTCAGTTTAACAAACTCCTCTTTTAAGATTCAGACATCCTTGATATATTAACATATTAAACCACTTGAAGTAATTCACACTCTAATGTGAAACTGTTCAATCAGAGACTTTGTTCCTAACAATTAGATGAGATCATCTCACTTGAAGGAGTAGGAGGAGGTATTTGGGGCAGGAAGGGAGAAGAAGAGGGCAAGGAAGTCATTTAGGAACCTGAGGAATAGAGCTTGAAGGTGTCTGCAAGTGGGGAGCGGGCAGCCTTGGGGGCAGCAGGAGGGGCTGTGCAGTGGAAGAGGGGTAAAGGGGCTAGACTGAAATGGCAAGAATTACCCCTAGGGCAGGACTAGGCTGAGAGCCAGCCTGTTGGTGGACTTCATTTCAGATCATCTTTGTTGCTGTAGAACTTTAACACCTGACTTCAGAAGTCTTTCGGACACTATTGTGCCTGATCCTATATTTACATGTATAGGTTGAGACATATGTATAATTTTTTAAAAGAAAGTAGAATGTATGCGTATGTTGTACATGTGTGTAAACATTTCTAGAAAAAGAATGAATATATGCATATATAAGTATATTTTCCAATAGTAGTTATATGCTACTGAGAGAAAAGTGAAGTTATGAATAAACAGTTGTATTATCATAACTGATTCTGCATAACTGTGCCTTATAAATCATGGAACAATTTAAAGACATTTCTAGCGCATTCTATTTTACATTTATATAGTTATTTTTAAGGGACTTGTTGCTACTGCATCAGGAAATCTATAATATCGCATGGTAAATTATGCAGTTTCTAAGGAACTGAACCAAAATCAATAAATTAAGCAAAATAAACCTAGTAGTACACATATATCATGTTTTTCAAGTGTATGTAATTGGCAAAAATTAATGTGATGCTGTCCTGCCACCCAAAAAGACCAGGCTGTTATTTCCCGAGTTGTCAATGGGAGGCTATTGCTATAATAGCAGCAGTAGTAGCAGCAAAGGCAAAAGATTTGGAGCAAGAAGGCCGGGATGGTTGGTGGGTTACAGGAATGCTTTAATGTTGGAAACACAGAGGAAAAAGTGGAATTAAAAAAAAGAACAACCCCCATTTTTTCAAGAGAAGCAGAACCCTTCAGCTTTTATGTCTCTGTCACTTGCTGTAGGATTCTTCATAAAGCCCTCTAACCACCTAAATAAATATTCATATGGCTGCTCAACATCTCATTAATAAAACAGGATTTGGTGGTAAAATATTTCAGAGTAACAGATGATTTGCATCTCACCCTTGTTTAACTTTAAATCTCAAGCAATTAATAAATTAGACTCGAGAGCTTTTTAAGAAGTAACATTTTACATGTACCACAAATTGCATTATTTTTATGTGTAAATAATGATGAAAGGGGAGATTGTTCCTTTGATGTCTATAAACTACACTGTAAAATATGCAGAAACATTCTTGAGTTTAGTTGGAGCCAAAACAAATAGACTAGTTCATAAAACAAAGCAGCAGCATTCTTAGAGACAAGCATTATTTTTCTTTTCTTCCCAATTACTTTTTTCCCATCTTTTATATTCTTGCCGTTTCTAGTAGCAGATTCATTCCAAATTCGCAAGTGATGTTAGCCTGTATTCTCTCATCTGGAGAACTGAGCTCTTCTCAGGTTCCTCCCAATAAACTTGGCTTCCTGTACAACGCTTACAAGACCTCAACTGGACTGCCAGTTTTAATACAGTGAATCATTTTTGTAGGTAGTATTTCATTGCTGCCTAAAAAACTAATTATTCCATATTTTAGCAAATATTGATGTTCTTTGGAGAGATATATTTACTTTCCTCTCTATTTTCCAAGCTGGCTTATCTGATTTCATTTTGTTTTTAAAAATAGCGTCAGCAAATTCTTGTTTACAAAGTCTCCGAGTTTGGCCAGTTTTTTTTCTTTGGCATGGTTAATAAATAGCATCTCATTGTAAGTTCATGTCTACCTACCATGGAACAGAACACAGAAGCAGTTTGGGCTCCCTGTTTGAATATAAAACAAGTGTGTCATTAACATCACAAGATGGATTGTGTTCTACATCTGAAGCACATGTATTCTTCGGAACACACTGTATGGTGTTTGGTTAGATACTGTGTAGATAGGCTTATTTGGAGAAGCTCAGAATGTGCGCTTGACCTCAAATCCCTCCCAGCTAGACAATGGATATTCTTCCATGTTGTGGCCTCTGTTTCAGCCTTGCTGTTCACAAATCTACCATTTCACTTCTTGACCTAATGCTTTTTCACGAAGACTGATCCTGAGCTCCGATCACTTCAAATATCAGACTTGTCTTTCAGATCCTATGCCCCATTTTTTCTAGCTAGGTTTTTATTCTGATCTTCTTTTCTTCTAAATGGCAGTTTTCCACTTAAGCTCACCATCACTCTGTTCTCAAACATCGTGTTCTCTCTCATCCGTTCTTCTTCTGTTCTTAACAAAGCTTAATAAGCAGAGTATTAACTATACTGGATTCATGTGAATCTGTTTTCTTTTATACCAGCTGAAATCATAATTCCATGTTATTTCATTGATTAACAGAATCTTGAAGCTGAAAAGAATCTTTAAAAAATTGGCTCTACTGGCCAGGCATGGTGGGTCACGCCTGTCATCCCAGCACTTTGGGAGGCCAAGGCAGGCAGATCACCTGAGGTCAGGAGTTCGAGACCAACCTGGCCAACATGGTGAAACCCCGTCTCTGCTAAAAATACAAAAATTAGCTGGGTGTGGTGGTGTGTGCCTGTAATCCCAGCTAGTTGGGAGGCTGAGGCAGGAGAATCCCTTGAACCCAGGAGGCAGAGATTGCAGTGAGCCAAGATCACACCACTGCACTCCAGCCTGGGCAACAAAGGGAGACTCTATCTCAAAAAACAGAAAGAAAGAAAGAAAATTGGCTCTATTGACCTCCCAGTCTTTCTACCCTCATCCCCCACTTCAAAAATGAAAATCTTAAGCCCACCTGAGGGTAAGTGCCTGGTTCTTTTTAGGCAGCTCTTAGCAACACCAAGTCTCAAATCCAGAACTTCTAAGCCTGGTCTTCCCCTCCTACTCCACATAGTCAAATGCGCAAGAAAATGAAAACACTACTTTTACTTTAAAATATATGTGAGCTGCTAAAATGGATGGAGCATCTTTCTCACCTCTACTGTGGTTCCTTGCAATTCAAGCAGAAATTTCCCTTGGCTTTTAGAGTGGGGCTCAGCAAAGCCATTTCTCATGTGGGCAGTCTGAGAAATGTTTCTTTCCTTCAATAGTTGGCTTTGTTGCTTGCTGTGATTTTTTTTTTTAATTATGCTAGTGGTCCTTGCAAACAAAATGTCTAAGGCCAATTTAGAAAAGAGGTTATTATTTGAAAAGGCATCTTTTTAAACACTAACTAATTTAAAGAGCGTTCCAAAGGAAGGAACTGTTGATCAATAACGATCTCTTGCAGCCTCATAGATGTGGAAGCTCAGCAAAGACACTTATGCCAAGATTTATTTGCAAGAAGCCTGAGGAATTTGTTTTCTAAGAGGAAGCCAGTTGTTTTGAGAATCCATTTAGTTCAAATGATTTGTTTCTATGATGCTAGATGATCAATATATAAATAAAAGAGATCAATACAGCAGCATTCTTTATTTTTGGAAGGATACCAGCACAGTGGTATGAAGATGTCAGGCTCTGTGCTACTTTAAGTAATTTTTCAACCTTTGCCAAACTATGAAGTATTACCTGGAGCCCAGTCTTTTTAAATGCTACCACTGTTGCATTTTTCTTAAGGCTTAAAGTATCCTCTTAGATTATCTTCCATGTGTTGCGTTAAAGAGAGATATAGAACTTAAAGCCTGGGCGCGGTGGCTCATGCCTGTAATCCCAGCACTTTGGGAGGCCAAGGCGGGCAGATCACAAGATCAGGAGATCGAGACCATCCTGGTTAACACGGTGAGACCCCGTCTCTACTAAAAATACAAAAAATTAGCCAGGCATGGTAGCGAGCACCTGTAGTCTTAGCTACTTGGAGGCTGAGGCAGGAGAATGGCATGAACCCGGGAGGCGAAGCTTGCAGTGAGCCGAGATCATGCCACTGCACTCCATCCTGGACAACAGAGCGAGACTCCGTCTCAAAAAAAAAAAAAAAAAAAAGAGAGAGAGAGAGAGATAAAACTTAAAAGCATGGATTCTGGAACCAGGCTGCCTAGGTTCAAATCCCAGACCCACCATTTAGAAACTATGTGATCTCAAACAAGTTATTTAACCTCTCTGTGCAGCAGTTTCCTCATTTCCAAAATGAGAGAAACAATAAAGCCTGTCTCATAGGAATTGCAAGAATCGAGTGAACTAATGTTTGAAAAGCATTGGAATAGTGTCTGCTACTTAATAGGTCCTACATATATTTATGTAACTGTTAAATTACTGAAAAAGGCCCTATTCAATAAGTGTTGAGATATGTTCAAGTGTAACCCATATTAAATAAATCTATCTTAATCCCGTTTCCCTTCTAGCTTCTGTCTGTACTCCATCCCTGCTCATTTCTTATTACTTTACAGTCCAGCTTCTGTTGCCATCAATCCACAGAAACTGCTCTTCCGGTTGCCAGTGACATCCTTGCTGCCTCTGTCTTTACCAGCTTGACTCCCCTGAAGTATCTGACACAATGGGATGCCCTCTGCCTCTCTGACAGCTCTTTCCTAGAAACCTTCACGGCCCCTCTTTGTCTCTTGCCTTGAAACCCTGTTGCTCCACAGGGAAACTGTTCCTGGCTTCCTTTTCTTACTAGGCTCTGCAATCTCTCTTAGGCAACCTCAGTCACTACCACCTATGTTCTGACAACTGGCAACTTTCTATCTCTAGCCCAGATCTTTTAGATCATAGTGTGTTCTAGCCCTTTCCAAAACCTCCCTGGATATCAAAACAGATGACATGTCCTACTGAAAACTGAAACTCTCCATGTCCAAAATGGAAATAATTATCTGAACCCCCTTAAACCTGCTGCTGCCGTTCCTGTGTTCCCAAATGCGGTTCATGTCAGTGTCCACCCATTTGATCCAACCCTTCCTTTCCTCCTCTCTTTCATTGCCATGAGCAGTCCATCACCCAGCCCTCTGAGCCTCAGCTTGGCTAATCCTCTTCTGTGCATTCACAAGGCCCTTCCCCTAGTTCAGGAAAGTACTAGCCCTCCCCTGCTTCTGAACAGGCTCCCGCCCCCAGGCTTGTCCCCTTCCAACCTCTCCTCCACACCACATCCAGAGTGATCTTTCTTCACTGGGTCCCCACGGCCCTGAGGATGCAGCCCAGATGCGCTCGCAAGGCTGCCCTGCCTGCCCCAGTCCTCTCTGTCTCCTCTTCCTTTCCTGCTGCTCACACCCTCTACCAGTGCTGATCTTTTAAAAAATCTTCAGTTAGGATGAGCTTTCTCTCATCTTCAGCCTTTGGCATATGCTGTTTCTTCTCCCTTCTTCTGGCCAACTCCTACTCTTCCTACAGGTCCCATCTTGGATGTCTCTGTTTCTAGACAGATTTCCTGGACCATTCCAGCCTCTAGGACTGGTTTATGTTCTTTATTTTATTTTTGAGACTGAGTCTCACTCTAACACCCAGGCTGGAGTGCGGTGGCATGATCTCAGCTCACTACAACCTCTGCCTCCAGGGTTCAAGTGATTCTCGTGCCTCAGCCTCCCGAGCAGCTGGGATTACAGCTGGCCACCACCACGCCGGGCTAATTTTTGTATTTTTAATTTTTAATAGAGATGGGGTTTCAACATGTTGGCCAGGCAGGTCTGGAACTCCTGACCTCAAGTGATCTGCCTGCCTGGTCCTCCCAAAGTGCTGGGATTACAGGCATGAGCCCCTGCGCCCGGACTAATGTTCCATTCTTTATTCACCTCTTGTGCCCTTTGGTTCTCCTGCTGTAGTAGAGCCAGATGCAACGGACTGGGTGCTGTTGCACCTCCCACTGGCCCCTAATCCTGGCAAGAACAGGGCTGTTCACAGCAGAGCCCCGTGCCTAGTGTTCACTGTCAAGTAAACCCACTGTTGTGTGAAAGGCATGCAACAAGAAAGAGTTCCTTTCAGAAAGCACTTTCTTTCTTCAGTGATGTGACAACACATATGCAGAGAAAACAAGAAATTTAACTTCTTAAGTATCCCCACATCCTCGATTTTCCATGCTTGGGGGTGAGTCCTCAGATCTGTTTTCCCACTTGCCTTTTCTTTCCCTTTCTCTCTACCTCTCTCTGATGCAAATTATTTATAGTGTTTCTCTGAAGGTTTCACGTGGAAACATCTGACAAAATTTTTAGGGCTAAGAGAACAATCACACTTACAGGCTTAACCCCAAGATAAGAACACTTTCTGGTCTGTCCCTTCTCAATCGTCAGTCCCTAAACTATCTAGAAGGTCTGCAATGTTGGATTTCCCTTTCCTTTCTTCTTGTAATGTTTATCCAAGTTTTTCTTTCATCCATGTTAAGGCCATATTATTTCATGACATAAAAATCCCTTTGATTTTATCAATAAGCATAAACAAATAGATCACAAAAAGAAAGAAAGCTAAACTAAACCCTCCCAAAATAAAGTCAATAGAATTTAGGAGATACTCATTGAACTTCCACTGAAATAGACATTAAAATTAAGGGGCTCATGAAAACATAGTATTGTAATGGGATGAGTTGAAGGAGGTACTTTGCAAAAACCCCATCATTGATTATATTCTACAGAAAAAATAGTAAATTTTTTTTTTTTTTTTGAGATGGAGTTTCGCTCTTGTTGCCCAGGCTGGAGTGCAATGGTGCAACCTCGGCTCACTGCAACCTCCACCTCCCAGGTTCAAGCAATTCTCCTGCCTCAGCCTCCTGAGTAGTTGGGATTACAGGCGCCCACCACCACACCCAGCTAGATTTTTTGTATTTTTAGTAGAGACGGGGTTTCACCATGTTGGCCAGCCTGGTCTCGAACTCCTGACCTCAGGTGATCCATCTGCCTCAGCCTCGCAAAAAGCTGGGATTACAGGCGTGAGCCACCGCGCCCAGCCAAAAATAGTAAATATTTGATTGAAATTTAAATAGTAAATGCAACTTCCAGTTAAAATATAGCAAAATTTCACTTTTATGCCCCCGTGCTTTTGTTTAGTTATATATGGATAGTTGAAGAGACAAGTCAAATTTTATATTAATAGAGAAAAGTTATCAGAAAAAAAATGTACAGGATTTTTTTTGTTGTTCCATTTGGTTTTTAATGAGTGAGCCCACCACCTTAAATGACTGTCAGTGGACGGTTCAGTTCAGTTGGCTTCCCTGCTTTTGTGTTGCTTATTTCTTCCTGGCCAAGAAGTCAGGGACCCTTTTAAACATTTTCACCTTCAGCCACCCATGCCTTCACTTGAGCACACATTCTCTACCTGCTGGCTTTCCAAGAAATCATGAGTGGGAAAATTAAAACTCAAAAGCTGTGAGAGTTTGGGATACAGGGTTTGAGAAGAAAAACAAACATTTTGCAAAGCAGTGCTTTGTATTTACTGTATAGCATCCATAAAGTAGGCCCACTGTGCTGGACACTGAACTTCGTGTTCAAGTGTCAAATATCTGCCTTTTGGTTAAGCCCTGGAACCAGAAGGAAGAGCTAGGATTCAAAAGCTAGGGAGGAAAAACCAACCAAAAGAAAAGATAAGTATTAAGGATAGTCGTCATAATATGGCAGTTCTGAAAACCAGCAAATAAGTTTCAAAACCTTATTTTTGTCCTATTTCTAGTATTTTTTGTGGGTGAGGGGCGGAATCTTCTCTCTTCTGGGACTGACTTGTTTTTGTGTTTGTGAGATCATTCTAGATTAAAGACAGGACATGTGTGCTGAATACCGCCCATCTAGCCACTTGCGTGAGGCCCACAACAGCCTTTAAAAGGCTGTTTCCAGGGGCAAGGAACCTTTTTAAATTCATAGCAAAGACTTGTAAGTGTGATGTGGTTACATGTCCTGAAATATACAGATTTATTTAGCTGAGCAAATTATATTTCCCAATGAGAGCCCAGTCATAAAAGTAGCATTTTTCTAGGAATTTTAAAAAATGGAACATGTAAATAGAAATTTTATTGCAGCTGAGAATGTCTTCGGGTTTGAATTGTTTGCACCATTGTTTACAGACTCCTGGCTTCTGAAGGTTCTAAATGCAATTTCATATTTAAAGGGGATGGCAATAATAAATGATTTCTAGAATCCAGACCTGTAGTCAGGAAAGCATGACTCCCAGCCTTCCATTCCTGTCACTTTCTTGCCCCAGCCTGTTCCTAGCAAGGGCCTTGGAACCCCTTTGTCCCTGAAATGCCCCTCTACAGCATCATGCACTTCAGTTGTTTTTTTTCCTCATAGTCTCCTGGTTCCTTTTCTCATTTTCATTATTATCCCCACATTTTGAATTGATTACGCTACCAAGACTATTGCAAGGAAGGATGTGTTCCTTGTATCCCAGATGGAAACTTTGAACACATTTTCCAACAGAAACATTATTATAAATGGTGGATGAGTCTCACGGTACAATTCGCACAATATAGTATTTCAGACACATAAAGGTTAAATAATCTTTTTCAGATTCAGGTCTTTCCCTAAAACTTTGACTTGACTCCAAGTAGTCCCTCCCCTGCCCCGCTCTACCTTCCCCGCTCAGTCTCTTTCAACCATCGAACTCTTAAAAGCATAGGGCTGGCTGGGCACAGTGGCTGACGCCTGTAATCCTAGCACTTTGGGAGGCCAAGGTGGGCGGATCACTTGAGGTCAGCCGTTCGAGACCAGACTGACCAACATGGTAAAACCCCATCTCTACTAAATATACAAAAAAAAATTAGCCTGGCATGGTGGCGGGCACCTGTAATCCCAGCTACTCGAGAGGCTGAGGCAAAAGAATTGCTTGAACCTGGGAGGTGGAGGTTGCAATGAGCCGAGATTGCGCCACTGTACTCCAGCCTGGGCGACAGAGCGAGGCTCTGTCTCAAAAAACAAAAAAAAAACAAAGAAAGAAAAAGAGTAGGGCTATGCCTATATTCTCTGCTTTTACCATGCGTTCGTTTCTTATTCTTTGCTTTATATCCAGTGCTCGGTTTGGTATAAGTACTCAGTACATTTTTGTTGAATGAAGAAATTGATTTGTTTATTTACATCTATCAACCAATAAAACTACATGCTTAGAAGTAATCAACTTCCTCCTACATATTTTTAGTATTAGCAACAGTAACAGTAGTACTGTAGTAGTCGTTGCTGTTCTTGTGATCATTGTTATGTGGGTGATGATTGTAAGGATAATGTTCATCACAAATCCCCCTAACTCCCCTGATCGGCATTCAACTCTGATAACCACCTCCTGGAAATCCTCTTCTCCCTTGACTCCCCAGATTCTACACTACACTTAAAATTTCTTGGCCAGGCGCAGTGGCTTACGCCTGTAATCTCAGTACTTTGGGAGGCCGAGGCGGGTGGATCACAAGGTCGGGAGATCAAGACCATCCTGGCTAACATGGTGAAACCCAGTCTCTACTAAAAAATATGAAAAATTAGCCGGGCGTGGTGGCGGGAGCCTGTAGTCCCAGCTACTCGGGAGACTGAGGCAGGAGAATGGCATGAACCCAGGAGGTGGAGCTTGCAGTGAGCCGAGATCACACCACTGCACTCCAGCCTGAGCGACGGAGCAAGACTCCGTCTAAAAAAAAAAAAATTTCTTTTATGGTTATTAATACATTTGCTGCCTCTTCTTTTCTCTTCAGGGACTCTAACTATAAATTCTGCCCCAAAGTTTTATGTTGTTTTTCTCTCTATTCTTTCTCTCTTAGCAAACTCACTCACTCCTACAATTTCAACTCTAATTCCTCTTGCAGAACAATCCCGACTGAGCACCTGACCCTGGCTTCTCTTCAGGTTCCAGACTGAATAGACACCTCTGCGTGGATGATCTTTTGGCCTCTAGAACTCAGCATATTTCCCCTCCATCCTTATTACTCCTGACTTAAATTGGACTGAGAGTGTCAGCTGACTTTTTCCCTTCTCTCTTCCTACATCACATGAGTTGTTTCCTGGCTCTGTATTACTCTTTTCCTTTCTGTTACCATTACCCTAATCCACTTTACACTTACTACTTCTCCCCTGGACTCTTCCTGGGTCTCCTTGCTCCTTCTGCTCCACCTGCTGCTTGTAGTATTACCGTTGCAAATAAGTCAATCATGTATCATCATTCAGGTCTATTCATACAGCTCCCCTACTCAAAAGCTTTCAACTGCTCCCCACTGCCTAACAGCTCCACTAGCCTGCCTACCCCTCATCCTCCATTGTACCTACATGTGCCCTAAACATCATCTAGGGTAGACTATTTTTTTCTGCCTAAATATACCAATATTTTCTTGTATATAAATATTTGGTAATGCTATTTTTACCAGAATATGGGATTGCTTAATTTTTCAGACTTGCATCAATTCCAAATAATAATACAATACTGTTGTGAGTAGTTGAATGGGTTTCCAAAATGGAGGTGAAGCTAGGAGAGAAAATGAAAGAACTGATAGTATGGCTAGGTACGCAGGTGGCTAATGAATGAAGACGGCAAAGTCATGTAATTTTTAGGAGCTGGGGAAAGCGATGCTAGGTCTGGGCTCACATTCTGAACTGACAGTAAGGTGACAAGAGTAAACCGACAGATATATATACTATTAAAGATGTTCATCTTCATTTAAATGGCTAATAATTATTAAAAAAAAACTTTGATATTCATATGGATCCAAAACTAATAAGATCCATAAAATATGTAGTGTTGACTTTTTCACATTTTGATCAGTTGGGTTATCACAGCCCAGAATAAATTAGATGTAACAAGCAGAATTAACTAAATATGTTACATCTTTACATTGTGGGCAAGATTTATGTACATATGTACATGAAGAGAGATATATACACATATACACACGTGTATATGTATATGTGTGTGTGTTTACCTATGTATGGAAGAGAGTGACAGGAGAGAGATGATGCTTGGAGCTCAAAGGGATACATTCTCTTGGGAATCATCAAACCTTTTTGAAGAGGGGAAGGTAGAGGATACTTGCATAATTTAGGCAAGGGGCATATTCAAGGCTTAGAGAACTGACATTCAAAGGCTCCTTTCAAAGTGTGGCCTAAAAAAGAAAACAAAATCCAATTGACAGATGAAGACTGGCCAGACCGAGAGAGAAGAGGTGGCTTTGGTGTTCTTCAGCTCCTTGGAGATGAATTTATGGAAGAAGGAAAGTCAATCGACGGCTGGGCGTGGTGACTCACTCCTGTAATCCCAGCACTTTGGGAGGCCGAGGCGGGCGGATCACGAGGTCAGGAGATCGAGACCATCCTGGCTAACATGGTGAAACCCCGTCTCTACTAAAAATACAAAAAAAATTAGCCAGGCGTGGTGGCTGGTGCCTGTATTCCCAGCTACTTGGGAGGCTGAGGCAGGAGAATGGTGTGAACCCAGCAGGCAGAGCTTGCAGTGAGCTGAGATCGTGCCACTGCACTCCATCCTGGGCGACAGAGCGAGACTCCATCTCAAAAAAAGAAAAAAAGAAAGTCAATTGACTTGACGTGAGAGGGAATAATAGCTGTTAAAGAAATGGAGGGATTGAAACGAACTATTATTTGTGAAATATTTGAATTTTGCCTTCACAAGAGTATGTTTTCTAGGAACCAATGTGTAGCACAACACTTTGGTACAGCTCTTAAAATAAATTCTAAATTGTTCTTTAGACAGTATAGGTTTTCATTAGCTATATTTAGATTTTATTATGTTTTTGTTTCCAAAGTTAATATAATTTGTATCCTGTGCAGATTTGGATTTGCTGTTCCCCAGAATAAAAACAGCAATTTCAGAAGGCTACGTAATAATTTTAATGATTTCCACAGGTTCTAATTGTCTGCCTACCTGGTAACCCCCCGGACCACCACTAGCTGGTAGAAAGACACACCCTACTCACATATTATGCATTTCCATAAAGCTGCCAGAATCCTGAGTTGCCATGTACTGTCTACCTACCTTTCTGTAAAGCACAGCAATGGAAACAGTATGCAGGGAAAGTGAGAATGACCAATGTATGGTGATTATACTGTGGTTTCAGTTGTCAGTGTGCTATACTTTGAATGTGTTTTCCAATTATTTTGTGCCTTATGTCTGCCATTCTTACTTTTTATGTCCAGTTTTCTCTTTCCTGACCCAACATTAGCCAATTTTGCTTGGCGAAGGTGATTTTTGGCATGAATGCAAGCCTCATTATAGTTCTGCACTGCCGATAAGCACAGCTCTCTGCCTTACTTGGTTCTTGCTTTTGAGTATCGCCCACAGCACCCACCTACACAGAGGGCAAAGTCTTTGTTCACATCTCCTCATCAAAAGTGAAAATTAGAGCAGGACCCAGACAGTTCTAACCCAACTTACTTTCTAGTACTATTTTGGTCACTATTTACATTTGCTGGTGAAAAAAGCAGAGGGTTTTTTTTGTTGTTGCTCAAAGCCCTTTTGAAGCCCCACAGCACAGCAGAAATTATATGTTTGTCTGGGCTTTGCCAGTCAGATAGAAGAGGGCGGTAACTACATGATGAGGATAGTGACGCGAATAGCCCTGTCCTGTTTTATGTTATTTCTGCAAGCATTTTTAATATGCCATAAATCAAAAGTACTTGAAACTATTTCTGCCTGAGATATAAGCAATGTTAGCCGTCATTTCTCCAGGCAGCGTTCCACCTGACATATAAATACAGAATATTTCAGTCTCCTTAGAGATCTAAAAGAAGTGGATAAGGAGGTGTTTATTTTTTGTTCCGCTATTCATCTTCTGTATATCATAGCCATGAATTACAGAAGAAATGATCATAATTGCCCCATGGCGGCCAGACCATTAATTTCATACTCTGATTTTCCTTACTTATGGCATCTCAAAAATTATTTTGTTGAGCACAGTGGGCATTCAAGTACCTATCCATTAAATGAACAGAGGGTGGTGGTAAGTCTCCCTTTCAACATGCTGACTCTCAGATGTTGGTGTGAGGGTGGCAGTGCCCTCTGACCAAGCAGGGAAGGGCTGCTGGGCATGCAGCACTCGCAGCAGTCGATGGACTCTGTGATGCAAATTAACCTGAGCAGTAGGTGCCTCTGGCTGTGGGGAAAGTGATAGTGGTGTTTTATTTTTGCTTTGTTTCTACCCTTGTACTTTGCCAAAATGCATGCAGTGAGTACATGCTACTTTGGTAATGGGCAAAGTGTCGGGGGAGTTATGTGTTCAGTCGTGTGGTTGTTTGGTAACGGACGTGGTACCTGAAACAGAAAGTGGAATCTGTCTGCTCTACCAGAAGATCGTGAATGAGCTCCCAACCCTCTTGCACTTCTTGTACTTTATTGCCATTTGTTCATTTTTGTGACTATAGCAGGGGGAGATAGAGGGAATGGAAATTTATGTTAAAAATGTTTTGACTTCACAAATGCTTTGACTCAGGCATTTGATAAAATCTTGATGAATTTCTAAAAAGCTGGAGAGTGCCAGCTTGGTCAGCAGTATACAGTTAGATGGCCCTAATATAGAGTTTCCATAAGAAAAATAATCACAAAAACTTAACAAAAGTGTGATATATAACATATAGGTAAATATGGTTGCCCATTTCTTATTCCCCAGTTGTGATAAAATAGCAACTAACATCTATTGAGCTCTTATATGTGCTAACATTGTGTTTTTATGTAATAATCCTCATGTCCACCATATGAGATAGGTACTGTTATTATTCCTTTATTTACAAATGAGTAAACTGAGGCCCAGAAAAATGTAAATAACTTGCCCAAAGTCACATGACTAGCAAAGAGTTGGAGCAGAGATTCCAACTCAGGCAGCCAGACTGGAAACCTTGAATGCTTCATTACTCTACCATGCATTTGAAGGTTTCACCACTAGACTAATGACCTCTCTAATACTAGAAACTCAATTGATCGTATGACAGTTGAATTTAGTGCTGGGAGATGACCTCTCAAATGTCTTGCTGTGATATAGATGAAAACATGGGTTCAAAGAGGTCACATGTCCTGCCTCCAGCCACGCTGCTAGAGAGAAAGTGAAGCTCCAGTTCGCCACCCACTCGTCGCCACCAACGAGCCATGCTGTCTCACCCAGGAATGCCATGACAAGCAGTTGACTGTCATTACATGAACCTGTTTGTGTTTTGTCTTATGTCTCCACAGGAATTAATTAGTTTTTAGACAGAAGCGCCCAGTTTTCACTTTTTAATGAAGGTTGCCACTTTGGAGCCCAGCTCATGACAGAAAAGACCAACAGCAGAAAGTCCTTATTTAGAAAAGAGCGGGGACGCAGAGTAAGCTGGGACCTGGATGGCCAGTGCACTTCTTAAGCTACAGAGAAACCTAGACCTCCCACTGTGACATCCAGCCTGCCACGAGCCTTAACACCAATGCTCTCTTGCCTTCATATCTTCAGTTCCTCTTACATAAGAGGTTTCTATGGAAAATACCTCTAGGTTTGTGACGAAAGTATCTGACATGAGGCTTCTGCACACACAGACATGTTGGATTGGGAGAAGTTAGCACTGGTGTTAAACATACCATTTAGGGCAAGGAAAGGCCAGGAAATGAAATATTTGTTGACTTTATTACTTCCTTGCTGTCTTACACGCATACAAATATCATGGGCTCATACCTCACCAAATCCCTAAAAGTATTTCAGGTGACTTAGAGAGATGCATATGGTACAAAAGGATAAAAATTAATAAGAAAATCACAGAAAAAAAGATATGAAAATAATATGAAATCAAGAATAGAATTCATAAACAAAATGCCTGCCATGAAGTCCAATAAAGCTGCTATAAGGAGAGCTCCATGTTTGGCCTGGGCTTCATAGCAGCTAAAGACAAGAAGAAATCGAATTTCAGTAGCCCGTGTCCTTAATAGAAACCAAGTCAAGTGCTCAGGAGAAGCACAGCTTTTCCTAGCACTGACACCAGAGAGGAATTTCAGCTGTAGGACCCTCATGAAGGGTGCACTGTATAAGTGCTTCTCACACCTGAATGTGCCTGCAGGTCACCTGGGAATTTTGTTAAGATGTAGGCTCTGATGCTGTCAGTCTGGGGTAGGGCTCAAGATCCTACAACGCTGCTGGCTCTCAGAGCAGGCGTTGAGTAGCAAGTATATATGCCATGCTTAGGGGTCTGAAATTATTCTGTAGATAGAGCAGAACTACTGATGATTTTTCAGCAGAGGATCTCAGTCAGGTTTGTTTTGGAAAGATCATTGGTAGCAATGTAGAAGACATTGCAGAGCAAAGAAAGATCAGTGGAAGAAAAACTGTAAGATGTAGCTGATGTTCTTAAGAATATTCTTAAAGGAAAAGCAGTATCAAGTTTCTCAGAGCTATTTTGTATAATGCCGCTCAATGTGGACTGATGGCACACACCTAAAGCACATGCTTCCACCTGGAACCAGATGATGGTTTTATCCATGAATTAAAATTTGAATATTGATATGGTTTTGCAGTGTCCCTGCCCAAATCTCATCTTGAATTGTAGCTCCTATAATTCCCACGTGTTGTGGGAGGGACCCAGTGGGAGATAATTGAATCATGGGGGCAGTTCCCCCATACGGTTCTCATGGTAGTGAATAAGTCTCACGAGATCCGATGGTTTCATAAGGGGAAACCCCTTTCACTTGGCTCTCATTCTCTCTCTTTTCTGCCTCCATGTAAGATGTCCCTTGCTCTTCCGCCGTGATTGTGAGGCTGCCCCAGCCATGTGGAACTGTGAGTCAATTAAACCTCTTTCCTTTATAAATTATCCAGTCTCAGGTATGTCTTTATCAGCAGTGTGAAACCAGACTGATACAAATATCTAAGAATTGTTGTAACATATATATTGCAAATCTTTATTAATGTTAGTTAATTAAAGTAATCTTTTTATTATAATTAGGCCGCAGATTTGATGTTTTACTCTCTTGCAAGAACCTGGAGTTCAGGCAGCTTATTTCCCTATAAAGGGGAGATTATTGTTATTTTGACCTTTATCTGCAGAAGGGAGATGAGAGTGAAGAGGAGTATTCATCCAGCAGGCCAAGAAAAATGCACAGAGACCTGCAACAAAGAGCTGAAGCCGGGGAAATAGGATAAAACAGACGTTGAGGGATACTCCCAGAGGAGAACAGAATATAACAAGTAGGAGGGTGAGGCCAGGAGACACCTACACATCCAGTCCAATCTTAGTCATCATTAGGGACATTGGTGTGTGAGGCAGGCACCACGACCACCCCACTGGGGTTCAAGTCCCTGGGTCAAAGACAAACAGGAAGTAAAAGTACCTTGATGATAGGTCAAATAACGGTGTTCTGGAATCCTTTAGATATGTCTTGCCTTACGTTAAATTGCTCTTAAGAACCATTTAAATTTCGGTTGAGAACGATCTAAATGTTTTAAAACTTTGTCTGCAGTTTAAAGTGACTGTAGGACTAGAGTGACCTGAAAAATCAAGGCACCCTTCTGAATTTTCACCAAGGGGCAAGAGAAGAACTGTCTCCACTAAGCAGGATTAAAGGAACAGTGGGAGATGAGAGAGAGAAGCTTCTACGATTACACTCAGGGAGTCCTACAGAGCCAACGTGCCAGTTTCATATGAATAGGAAAAAGACGTGGAAAGAAGGCACTGTGCTAATAGTGGTTATATCTGAGTGCAGGAATTATGGAAATCTTTTTCCCTCTTAATGCTTTTCCATTTTTCTTCAATTAGCCTGTATTATTTTATAATCTGAGGTAAAACATAAATTTTTAAAATTGATATTAGGTCCTAAAATAGGGTTTGATCCCTTAGTGGGAGATCAAATGGACTTAGCATTTCAGAAATTGGACTGACAAACCATACTAACAGCACATCAATGGGGAAATAGAATTTTTGAGAATTAATTTTAAAAGTCAGATTTCCTAGACCACACTTATTTCAAGAAGACTGGTCATGTAATACAAAAAAAAAAAGTGCGGGGGGTTGTCAGTTTTGAAAAGAAACACTATATCTTAAGCTTTAGATGTTTGGTTTGTGGTGGTTCATTTCAAAGAAGCCATGCTAACCTTAGCGTTTTAGTTACAGGCATGATTCATTAGCAAAGGAAAGCCTTAGATGAAAGGTTAAGGTTGAACACATTTTCAACTACACTGTTAAAATTTTGGCTACACTGCCAAGAACCAGTCTTGGTTTGTGCTTAATAATATATTTTTGACTATTTGCATTCCTCTGTTAAGTATGCTGGGTGTTTGGAATCACACCAGTTCTTTCACAGTACATGAAGTTCTGATTCACCTTGCACATTGTCTCTTTAATTAAAGTTACTTTGAAAGGTGTTAAAACAATATTAAGAGTTTTTCTTTGTAAAACACACATTTTTCTATTCCTTATATACTGCTAGTGTGACAAGAAAATGCTTATACGTTCCTGACAAGAAACTTTAATCAGAAAGATTAAAGATGAAAGAAGGGAAGTGCTAATGGTAATGAATTTGTAAGGTTCAGAGAATAGTAGGAAGGCAAGTGTGGCTGGACCAAAGTGGAGACTGGTACAAGGAGAAGCCTGAGAGGCATGTGGAAGCCACACCTTGTAGGACCTTCTAAGCATGGTGAGGAGCTTAGATATTATTCTAAGTGTAATTGTAAGTCATTGGAGAACTTTGAGCAGGTAAGAGAGATGAATGGACAGACCTGACGTGTAGAATGTATGGGAGGGAGATGGAGACTGCTATGCTATTGGAGTCATCTTTAGGTAAAAGATGGCCATGACTTGGACCAAGGAGGTAGTACTAGAGATGGAGAGAAGTGGGTAGGTTATGCATGTTTTTAAGGTTTTTCTTTGTCAAAGACTTATAATTTTCTATTCATCCTGCGCCACTCCTAGTGAAAATTGAATGTGGCAGGGTAAAGTGAGGGAACAAAGGGATTCAATGATAACTCCTACATAATGACTTCCAAAGTAAGTGGCTGCTGTATGAAGATGAGACCGAGGGGAGCCCGGAGGAATGGATGGAGACCAGAAAAGGGACAATATAATCAGAGAATGTCAGTAAAAATGGCATGAAGTGGACCAAATTAAAAGAGATTGAATCCACAGGGGTTAGTGGCAAATAAACAGGAGTCTTTGGGAGGGAACATGTGGAATAGAAGCAAGTTGTCAAAGAGATCTCCTGAGTTTTTGCCTTGGATAATGTGATAGATCATGTGGGTGGTAGTGGTACTGTGCAGTGAGATAGAGAAACTTGAAGATGATGCGGAATATTGCTCTGGCAATAATGAATTGGAACGAAGAGATCTATGAGTGTAGTCATCATCCAGAGGAAAAGAGACAAGGGCAATAGCCATAGGGCTGAAGAGGAGAAATATTTGGAAGGCCGGTAAATGGTTAGATGGCAGAGAAAATTCAAGGGTGTCCTCGCAGTTCCTGATTTGGATAACTAGGTGAATATGGGTTCCGTTAATCTAGATCTGAATATATAGGAACATAATTAGATTGAGGCAAAGGGGTGAGTGGAAGGAGAGGGAAATAAAGTGGGAAAACTGATAATACGTCCAGTTTTGAACCTGTTAAGCCTGGGACGCATGTTGTAAATGTCTAGGAAGTAACTGTGTGTATCTTTCTTGATTTTAGGCATTGCACAAAAGCCCCTCTCCTTTTCACCAAGTTAAGTGTAACTAAAGCCTGTGCTCTGAAGTTCACTGTGCTCTGGCCTCCTCTTTTCAGGTCTGCCTCCCCTTCACATATTCCAGGTCCTGCTCCAGGGACTGCACCAGGGTGTCCTGAGCACACCCCCATTTTCCTTGTATTTACTTTTGCAAATGCAACTTCTTTGGCAGACAATTCTTTCCCCTTTCCACCTTAGGCCTGTCAGAACTGTAGCTATTATTCAAGGCTTTTCCCAAATACTGCGTCCTTCCTGAAGACGTTCCCAGTCTCTTTGTGTTTTTCTTATATCATTTTACTGTACATAAAATGTTTGTTTCTTTTTTAGTTTTATTATGAAAATTTTCAAACATACCCAAAAGTAGAGATAATAGTACTATGAACTCCTGTGTGCTTGTCACCCACCTTCAGTAACTATCAAGATTTGGTCACATTTACTCTGTCATTTCCCCCTCATTCTTTGCTAAAATATTTTAAAGCAAATTCCAGACATCAAGTCGTTTTACACTGTGTATTTCAGAATGCCTCTCAGAAACCATGGGCATTGTCTTACACAGACACAGTGCCATTGTCATACCTAAGACAGTGAACAATTATCTTTTAGTATCATCTAATATTTACTTCATAACTAAGTATCCCAAATTAACTTTAAAATGCCATTTTACAGTTGATTTGTCTGAATCAGGATCCAAACATTACATTTGATTGTTACAGCTCTCATGTCTTTTCAAATCTAAAGCAGACCCTTCCTCACTTTTTTCCCATGTCATTGACTTCTTGCAGAAACCAAGTCAGTTGTCCTGTAGAATGTCCCACATTCTGGATTTATCTGCCTGCTTCCTTGTGGTGTCATTGAACATCTTCCTCTGTCCTTCCTTTTTCTTTTTGTTCTCTCAATTGAACACTTAACACACTTACCATGCTCTCCTGCTTTTTGTCCTTATCACATACTTTCTATGATAATGTAAGTGCCGTAAAAGGTGAGACTATGTCTTACCCAACTCTGTACCTTCTAATACATTGTACAGACTCAAAAAATAGTATTCGCTTGAATTATTCAGAAAGAGTTTTATTCCCCTTGCCAAAACACGAACTGAAGCTTATTCTCAATCTGAAGAAATTTACATTAGGAATTAAGTTGCCAGAGGAATCTTCTCAATAATGTAGGTCACTATTTCCTCATTTGCACTGAAAGAATCACAGCCTCACTTGAAGTGGCAGATTCTTATATCTGAAAATTCTTGCAGTTTGGAGCATTATGATACAAATGAAATTTCCATGTCCCTTGCATTATCCCTAGGTCCATATAGAAGTGATTTCAGAAATCAACGGTTTTGTGCATTCAGCATGAAAAGTAGGTCACTAATCATTTTTCTGATCAGGAGAACTGAATTTTGCTTAGTAGTTCAGAAATCAAACTGAAAGGCTGACTCTAAAAACACCATCACGTGTATGCTTTGTTGTTGATAACTAACTGCAATCCAAGCTTTAATAACTAGGAGGGAGTGGAAGAAACTTCAAAAGGTTGCATGATAAACGTTTTTGACAATGTGTCAGCTGAACATTAAACAGGATCTTTGTAAATCCTCTCATTCTAAGTGGTTTAAACGGAAAGTTTTAAACTTCTTCCTTCATGAGTATTGGCTCCAGATATCACAGAATCCTAAGGTTAAAAAAAGAAAAACATTTTATCTGGCGTGAATGATTTCTATCCGTCATGTGAATGTGAGGTGTGAGAGGCAGGCTCACCTGAGGATCTCCACCTCTGCACCTCAAGCAGTATCTCTTTCATCAGCTAAGAAGGAGCCATCTATTCTATTGGAGTGGCTTCCTTAATGATCTGATACGACCATGTACACACACAAAATTAAGAAAATACCGATAGATCAATATAACATAGTAATACCCTAATGCCATTTTCCGGATTGTCTCATAATGATTGGACTGTTGGCCCTCACATGGGTAAAATGAGGTCTAGTAGGACTGGGTAGTTGAAAGAAATGTTTGTGTGTGTGTGTGTGTGTGTGTGTGTGTGTGTGTATTTTACACGTTTTACAAGAGAAAATGTGGAAAACAAGGGACGTTTCTTCCCATGTGTATTTGTTTCCTAGTGCTGCTGTAACAAAGAACCAAAAACTGGGTGGGTTGAAACAACGAGAAGCTATTATCTCACAGTTCTAGAGGCCACAAGTCCGAAGTCAAGGTGTGGGCAGGGCTGTGCTCCCTCAGAAGGCTCTAGGGAGGAATCCTTCCTTGTCTCTTTCAGCTTCTGATGTTTCCCAGCAATCCTTGGTGTCCATGGCTTCTAGATGATCACTCCCATCTGTGGCCCTGTCGTCGCAGGGCCAACCTCTTCCTGTGCGTCTCTTGTTGTGAGGACGTCCGTCATACTGGATTAAGAGCCCACTCTACTCCAGGGTGACCTCGTCTGATTATGTCTGCAAGGATCCTATTTCCAAATAAGGCCACGTTCTGAGGTACTGGGGATTAGGACTTCAACATGTCTCTCTGGAGGATATAATTCAACTCATCACTTTGTGTAATACCCTGTCGTTTTGGCTCCACATTCTAATAGGGAAGCCTTCGGAATCATTATGACTGTTGAATCTGTGACACAAAAACTTGTTTTTCTGGGTTTTTTTTTTTGTACATTTTAATTTGTTAGATTAAAGACTAAATATCTTAATAGTAAATCCAGAGCATTTGGGGACAAAGAAGGCTTTTGAAGGATGGAAGTAATAGCAGGAGAATGGCATTCTAGATATGATGAAGATAAGACCCACAGAGCTCACAGGGCAATGTGTGGAGCTGGGCCCATTGGTGGCAAAACGTAGAGGCTGAGAGGCAGAGGGACCTGGGCCATTTCCTGTCTGCAAGACTTCGCAGCTGGGTAGCCTTGAGTAGCCTCTAGGAACCTTAGCTTTTTTTTTTTTTTTTCCTTCTTTTTTTTGAGATGGAGTCTCACTCTGTTGCCCATTCTGGAGTGCAGTGGCACAATCTCGACTCACTGCAACCTTCACCTCCCAGGTTCAAGCAATTCTCCTGTCTCAGCCTCCCAAGTAGCTGGGATTATAGGCACCTGCAACCATGCCTGGCTAATTTTTGTAGTTTTAGTAGAGACAGGGTTTCACCACGTTGGCCAAGCTGGTCTTGAACTCTTGACCTCATGATCCACCCGCCTCAGCCTCCCAAAGTGTGAGCCACTGTGGCTGGCCCTTCACTCTTTCTTATAAGGTGAGGTTTCTACCTCAGAGGGACATTGTGAAAGTCAGTAAAGCTGTTACAGCCACAGCACAGTGCCTGCATATTGGACCTAGCATGACAGCTTTGAGTTAGGACACCAATCCCCTCTTATGCACAGGGGTTCCATTCCAAGATCCCAGTGGTTGCTTGAAACTACAGATAGCAATGAACCTGATGTATCATATGTTTTTCCTGTATATACATACTTATTGATATGATTTGGCTCTGTGTCCCCACCCAGATCTCACCTTGAATTGTAATAATCCCCACGTGTCATGGGAGGGACTGGAAGGGGGTTAACTGAATCATGGGGGCGAGTTTTTCCCATTCTGTTCTTGTGACAGTGAATAAGTCTCACAAGATCTGATGGTTTTATAAAGGGCAGTTCCCTTACACATTCTGTCTCTTTGCCTGCCTCCATGTAAGACGTGCCTTTGCTCCTCATTCACCTTCCGCCATGATTATGAGGCCTCCCCAGCCATGTGGAACTGTGAGTCCATTAAACCTCTTTCCTTTATAAATTACCCAGTCTCGGGTATGTCTTTATTAGCAGCATGAGAATGGACTAATACATTTATTATGAAGTTTAATATATAAATTAGGCACTATAAGAGACTACCAACAATAATAAAATAGAACAATTACAACAATATACTGTGATAAAAATTATGTGGTCTTTCTCTCTCTTTCTTTCCTCTCTCACAATATATATTCTTGTCTGTATTTGTACTCACCTCTTTTTGGACCACAGTTGACCATGGGTAACTGAAACTGTGGAAAATAAAACCACAGATAAATGGGGATTCCTGTATATTGAGCACAGTAAGAAAGAAGTCCAGATAGATACATGAAGCTAGTTTAGGAAGGGATTCAGAGCCAGGGAAGAAATTTTAACCTTGACAGGATAAGGATGCAGGGTGCAGGATGCTAATCTTAACACATCCTACATGCCAGGATGCAGGAGGACACAACTGGGAAAGAGTCTGGAATCCTGGTGGGCAGAAATCAGGACGTAGAGTGGAGTCATTTCAAATAGAAGTTAGGCCAGGCGCAGTGGCTCATGCCTGTAATCCCAGCATTTTGGGAGGCCGAGGCGGGCAGATCACCTGAGGTCAGGAGTTCAACACCAGCCTGGCCAACATGGCAAAACTCCATCTCTACTAAAAATATAAAAACTAGCCAGGTGTGATGGCGGGTGCCTACAATCCCAGCTACTCAGGAGGCTGAGGCAGGAGAATTGCTTGAAGCCAGGAGGCAGAGGTTGCAGTGACAGCCTGGGCAACAGAGCAAGACTCCGTCTCAAAAAAAAAAAAAAAAAACAAAAAAAAAAAGAAGTTGAAGGAATGTGGGCAACTAACTAGGAGGGAGAACAGAGAGAGTAGGGCTTACAAATGATTGTGAGATTTAAAACCAGGAACTTGGTAATTGAATGAATGACTTTGTCATTGATCAGCAGGACAGGTGGAAGGGAAGCTGGTTGAGGGGGAAAATTATGAGTTTAGTCTTGGACTTGGAAGTTTGAGATGATGGTAAGGCCACCATATACACACATAAGAGAGACAGTTGGAGATGTCAGATTAGAGGATTTGTGCGATCCTGGGTATGGAGATGAGTATAGGAGTCGTCACTAGGCAAGCCCTAGTTAGAGCTAGTGTTTCTGTTGCCCATATCAGGCAGGAGAGCTGGATGTCGTGATATGCATTCAAACTCAGTGACTTTAAAATGGAACTCATGATCTTACTTCCCCAAAACTGTTCCTTCCATGATTTCTTTTTTGACACCATACTCTAATGGTCAAGCCATTGGCATCATCATTCCTGTTGAATCCGTGTCATGCAGAAACTTATTCTTCCCCTTCCTTTCTGTATATTTTAATTCTACTGTGTTCTCTGTCTTAGTTAATGACAGCACCCTAGCCACCTATTCTGAAAGCCTCAGAGTCATTCTTTAAACTTCCTTCTTGCACCTGGCACATTCGTTGCATGACCAAGCCCTGCAACCTGTCTTGTGGCTCTGCTGCCATCCCGGCACATGCATTCCCCCGGGCCCATCATTTCTCGCCATCTCTTGTCCAAATCAAGCTCATCTCCCACGTGATACTACATGGCCTCCTAATGGCCTCCCAGCCATGGCAGAGTGAACTCCTGAGACAGATTTTCTTGCATGTTTGGTTACACAGTCTGTAAAATTGTGCTTTTTTATTCTTTTCATTTTTAGAGTTTCTAAAGCATTTCTCATTGACCGAAAATTTAATGTCCTAAGCCTCATTCTGTATTCCTGGACTTTTTACAAATGATCGTGAAGCTTACAGGTGTATTTTTCTGGGCCTGGTTTTCTCCTATATGCTGAGAGGGCTGAGTGGAATCTGATCCTTGCCTCTGTCTTGTCCCATAGATTCACCCATGTCTTGCCAAGACTCTGTTAACTGTCCCCAGCAGGCCTCCCTGCCACCATTTTCCACACTGTCACCTGAATGTTCATCCTGTATTGGAAATCTGATCATCTTAGGCCCTTTTGTGGTTCCCATTCCTACAGGGTAAAATCTATAGTCCTCCTGGCACACAAGACCCTTGAGTTTAGTCTTGGACTTGATAAGTTTGAGCCGCAACCCATGTAGCCTCTCCTGCTTCAGTGCCACCCCTCTGCTTGGCCATGCCTTCGGTGTAGCCAACAAGCATTGCAGGTCTATGCCACCATGCCTTTCCCTCTGTGATTCACTCCCCAGGACCACTCTCCTCTCCTCCTGGGAAACCCTCCAGCTCCCACATTACCTCCTTGAGGAAGTTCTCACTGTCTAAACTTTCCCTGGCGTTTGTTGCTTTCCTCCTGTGTTCAGTCACAATGCTTGGTAAGACTTCTTTTTAGCAGTGCTCATGTGGTATTGTAATAGTTCCT
Source organism: Homo sapiens (assembly GCF_000001405.40). Taxonomy (NCBI): domain Eukaryota; kingdom Metazoa; phylum Chordata; class Mammalia; order Primates; family Hominidae; genus Homo; species Homo sapiens. The sequence goes on along the minus strand of NC_000017.11, from coordinate 65,700,322 downwards.
TTATAAGCTTGCCGTACACATTAGATTAGATGCTTTTTGAGGGTAATGTTTAGTACCACGTCTGGTACATGCGATATGCCCAGATTATAGAAATACTTCCATTAACTTACGGAAGTAATGATCTGAAGGACACAGTGTATAGAAAGAAGGCTAGAGAGGTAAGAACCTAGTTAGGGAAATATCCGCAAGTGAGAGAGAAGAGGAGGAGGAGGAGGAGGAGGAAGAGGAGGAGGAGCAGAAAGCATGTGGGAAGGAGGAGGAGGACAGCATGACATGGTGGTGTCAAAGGGAAGGATTTCTGGAAGTAGAGTGTTCTAATAGTGCCCGGTGCAACAGAGAGGTCCAGGAGAATAGAGTTGTGGAAAAGGCCACTGGATCATCAGTAAGAGAATCATCGCTGACCTTGCAGAGAACAAGTCTCATAACTGGTTAGAAACCAAAATCAGATCACTGATGAGGAAGGAGTTCACTAATGGGGGAGAAATAAGGGTACTGGAGTCAAACACTTGAGAAATGTGGCCAACAAAAACAGCCAGGTGCAGTGGTGCGCCTCTGTAGTTCCAGCTTCTTGGGAGGCTGATGTAGGAAGATGACTTGAGCCCAGGAGTTCCAGGCTATAGGGTGCTATGATCATGCCTGTGAGTCACTGCACTCCGGCCTGGGCAACATAGTGAGACCCCCATCTCTTCAAACAAACAAACAAAAGAAATGTGGCCAATTTCTTGAAGGGCAAACGGGTAAAGACAACGTGCCAGTGTAGACACTGAGAAGGGACTTAGCAAAAGGGAGAGAGCAACAGTGGTGACCAGCCCTCTAGATCGTGAAAAAAGGGCACTGATAGATGTGTTATTATTAAAAAACAAGAAGGGAGGCCACTTCTGACACTCGAGGGAGCAGACTGGGTAAAACTCAGTTATTTTTCTCTAGGGACAGAATGAGAGGAAATATAGCTTAAGGGGGAAAAAAAAATCTGAGAATTTTAATGGGAGTACCCCAACTGTTTTAAATGAAAGGCAACTTGCTCTTTATAGAGTTGGTTAATGTTACCAGTAAATGCTCATTACCGTAGTGTAAATAACACTTTGCCAAGCATTTCAGAGACCACTTAACAAATAATGGAGGGGCAAAGGCCGCTGCTCTGGTGAAGTTCAGAGCCTAAAATGAGAAAAGAAGTTAGATAAATTCACAATAGGAAGAGATCTATAAATATGTTATCATATAGGGAATATAATAACAATGCGAAATAGTTTAATCTGTATTTGAAATATTTCATGGAAGAAATGAATCTTCAGTTTTCACGGAGGAGAAATACACAGTTTGGTGGAGGGGATTGGAAATGATACTGCAGGTTCAGGGGACGGCATGTGTGAATTAGTCTTTGTAAGAAAATCGAAATTTAAATGAATGGCTTATGGGTCCTCCCTCTTCCCTGGGCTTGCACTGAAGAGGGGTGGTCTGTGAGGATTTAACAGTTAACACTCTGTTCCACAGAGACTGAACTCAAGTTTGAGTGCTTATCATCCTGGCCAGACGAGGAAATTCCTCTATGATCTTGCAAAATCCTAGCTGTGGTTCTTGAATTTGATCCTAGATTTCTACCACCCGAGATAAGAACTTGTTCACAAGTGAAGCTGTTTAGAGCCACGAAGCGGGGGAATGTGCTTTGAATTTCCTGAGTAGAAATAGACTGGCCCCTTTAAGAGGAGCTGCGGGTAATGTCAGGATGGTCTTTTGTGTGACTAGGAAAACATGAATGAGGTGCGTTAGGAGATTCCGGCTTCCTTAGATCATCAAAGTCTTGAAATAACATGATTTCTTTTCCTGGAACCTCTGTTAAGACCAGGAAACATTAACTTTTTAAAAAGTGCATTTTTAAGACCTTTAAAGGAAGTCCTTTAGGAATTTTAAAGGACTGAAAATAGGTGAGCGAGAGAAGGAAAGAGAAAAAGTGAAAACTTTCGTACTTGGAGAATAACAAACAAGAAAAACTCTTGCTTTATATAGTGGCCACAGTATTTTTGCCTTTGATGTTGAATCAGTAGCCTAATAAGTACTATAGCAATAGCTCATATGAAAGTGCAGTTTCTCATGCATGTGGTTTGTCGCAGCAACAACTAAAAAGTTTTCACGTGGAAGGAATTTTGCCTTATGTGAAGAGTAACATATGTATTGGGTAAAAACCTTCACATCAGTATCACAAAAGAGACAGAATTATCAGGGTTTTTTGTTTTGTTTTGTTTTTTTAAGAAAAAAAAATAAGTGTTGCTGGGAATGTGAAAAAAAACTGAAAACCTGAACAAAAAATAAGTGTTGCTTGGATGTGAAAAAAAACTGAAAACCTGAACATAAGCCATAGGGGAAAATAATTATACAGTTGCGTTGTGAATGCATTAGTGGCCTCTGCAGTAGTAGCTGCGGCTCTGGCTTTAGATCTGCAGCATAACCTGTTTTCCATGACTGTAGAATCACTAATAAAACTTTTTTTATGGTTTGTTATTCATCCTGGGTAGGTCTGAATGAAGAAATCGCTTTAAAAGAAATCTTGAGTGGCATTTCAGTTGAAGAAGACTAGTTACTTTTGTTAGTAGATTTAGCCTATTTAAAAATGATAATAAAACAGAAACTATAGTGGCCTCTGTAAATAGCCCGTGAGACCACCCAGTAAAAATGTCACGCTGCCACTGTGTCACTTTCGGTAGCCCCACATTTATCGCTCCTTGTGTGGATGACAGGGCTTGATCCTCTTGCTTTGTCCTAGTCGTTTACAATATGATTAAAAAAAAAATAAGTCTGTAAATCTCACATGAAAATAGAGTGAGATTTTACTGCTTTATTTGTATTTTACCTTAGCCTTCATTTAGCAGTAGTAGAAAGAAAAACATTTACTGTTTCGGTGTCAATTTACATGGCAAAAGGAGACCTACTCATCAGAAATATTATCAGCCCAGTTAATAGACTGAATTGGAGTAATGCTGCTTAAACAAATGTGGGCATTATTAAGAAGGCAATTAAGGTTTAAATGAGAGTCACCCTTATTTCACCTTTATAATTAGTGTCTCTTCACTGTAGTCACAGCTCAGGCATCACGTCTGTCTGAAGGACCAAGCAGCCAGGGGAAGAGAGGTTTACGTCAAGATTTTATAACTTAACAAATATTTGATGACACACATTTAAAAATCATCTTACATGTTTTAAATGGAAAACAGACCATTACCATGAAAAAATAAACATTGAATTGGATTGTATGTAAATTATACCTCAATAAAAATAAAAATAGGCCTTCCTCTTCTAGTTATCTTCTCCTTTAGTCAAAATATGCACATCCTACCCCCCTGGTCTCTTCATTCTGTGTTCAAAACATTCATGGGGTAAATCCTCCCGCATCCCTCCTCCCCACTGAGTGGCAAATGAATCATCTGTTTTCTCCAAAGTAGGATAGTAAATTCAAGCCTCGTGAAGGAAAGGATATGATGACCTCATTTTTTTTTAAGTGGGACTTTTTTTCTTTTTTCAATGTTTTGACTTTTTATTACGGAAGCTTTTAAACATACACAAAAGTAGGGAGAAGAGTACACAGATCCGCCATCTACCCATCACCCCGCTTCAAGCAGTTGCCCGCAGTTTGCCAGGGTGACTTCTTCTTGGCAGCATCTTCAGTATAAATACTCTGGCTTTTTCTTATTGTTAAAACTCAGTTTTGCAGAGCTTGCAGCTCGCAAGTCCCCTTTCTGCGTTTCACCCAGCGGAGGTTCATCTGGTTCCTTGTTTCACGGCCACAGACTGTACCCAAGGCCCTTAAAATCCACAACTCTACCGACCCCAGTTTTGTATTTATATAGGGCAAAACTTTAATCAACACTCTTTTTGCTTACATATGATTCAATCCAGTTTATTTTAAATAACAGAACACTATAGCATTCAAGGTTCCCACTTCCCAAAGGACATGTGGGTGAACCTACGGACAGAACCAAGGACAAGATCCATTTACACTCTGCCCCATCATGCAGGGCAGGCCCAGAAAAACGTGCTCAGAGACCTCATGATGATTTGTGAAAAGGCCAGGCACTATTAGCATTTTACCAAGACGTAACAACATAGAATGAGGCAGAATATGTGTCAAACACATTAAATTTCAACTCAATGAGAACTGCTTTGAAACTCTCTAAAAGGGGGCAAGAATGCGACTCTACAAGCTGCATGACAGAAAATGTGTAAGAGAATGTGTCTCTGCAGTCCACTCTGCTAGGACAGTGTTTCCAGGACCACTGACTCAGAAGGGTGACTTTTATACTGCTGATGATTCTGTCTTGATTTGCAAGTGGATTTTTCCAGATGTCTCATAAATGGAGTTTTGATAAAGACGGGAAAGTAGAGTTTGAAATTGTATTCTCTAGTACGAACTTAGAGTACCAATATTCTGAGCTATAAGCTGAAGACCAATTTATACGCTTAGACAGCCTGTTGGGAAAAGGGTACTAAGGTAGCAGCTCTTGGGTTGCTGGAATGGAGCTGGCTAAGAAGTGGGCCAAAGGCGAGAGCAGAAATCTCTAGAAAGACGTCCGGTCTTGCTACAGTACTACATCTGAAAGCCTCTCTCTGTTATATACCTTGTATTCTGGGAACATTTTTTAAAAAATTGTTTTTATCATTGTGACCTAGTATTTCTCTCTTCCAATAAAGTTTTCCTTTATTAAAAAACCTTTTAACCACTTTATAATTGAAATGAACTTGTGTTTCATTTATTCATTATTAAAAGGCATGTATCTGCCATCACTTTATTCTTGTTTAATTGACGCAGAACTACAAGAGAAAACTTTGGTAAGACTATACATAATTCCTTAATGTGTGGTTTTACAAGTTAAGGAGTGGCTTGAGCTGAATTATGTTCATACATATTATTAAAATAGCATTGACTAGATACTCTTTTTTCCCCAAACTCACAGAAAAGCCCTGTACTGTCACAAGTGCCATTCAATGGGCATGTTAGCTACCAGGTCCTTTTCCTCACCCTGAAGAGCCCATTAACATGTTCAATTTTTGACACTTTAATTTGCTCTCATTATTTTCAGATTTGGAACAAATCAAATTATCCTACAATGCTCTCCCTTTTAAAGAGTGCGGTGTGCGCTCATTGTTCTTGTGGAGCTGCTTATGTCGTTTACATTTTTCTTCTGGAAAGTGTCATTCTTTATTCCCGACCAGCAGAAAGCACTCTGAAAGTCAGGAGCGGTGTAGCTTCCCACAGCCAGCTGACTTACAGTATATTTAAAGGCAGATTTAATTGGGAGAAAAGAACTGTCTTTTCAGTAATGATGCCAGTTAACACTGCAGAGCTAGGAGAGGAGGGACAGTTCTGCAGAATAAACAATTTAACTGTTCAAGTTGGGTTTTGTTTCATATTTTTGACCCAGTGTTGGACATTCTGTTCTTTAATTATCTTGGGCTTTTCTCAGGAAGAAACTAAAAGTTGTGATTTTGTGTGTGTGTGAAATGTCAAATTTGAAGCTTTTTTGAATAAGGATGACACAACTTAAAGTCCGCGGTTGTACTTATTGAGCAATTGTGGTCATTTTCACATAGTCCTTATGTCAAATTCTGAGGTTGGAACTCTAATAACCTAATAATCTTTTAGAATATAAAACCAGGACCAGCTGCCAATATAAACTGTCATTTTCCTTTCATGCCGTACATTTTAACTTTTTTGAAAGTGAAATATTATTTGGTGACTTTTCAGTTTTTTAACTGATCTTTAATAGGTAACGAAAGTCATTTCTAAATACAACTGCTTTCTCTGATTAACTTTAGAAAGATCACACTTTACATCTTTATAAGGAAATTTTTAAAGGCCTGCCTTTTTGAAAAGCAAATGTAATTTGAATTCCATTTTAATAATACTGATAAAATATGGTTGACTTCGTAGTCTGTTCACTATGTGAAGTATGGAAAAAGGATCAGATCTAGTTATGTTACCCTGCCTTCTTTGGAACTTTCTTTTGGCTAGATTTCCGTAATATGTCATCCTAACTTCTCCTCAATTGCCTCCTGCCTATCTGGACTTCCACCAGATTTCTTGGCCTCCATCTCCTCCTCTGCCTGTCTGAGTGTGGGCATCACCCAAAGGGCAGGTTTTAGAACCTCTTCTCATTTTAGGAAACTTCCCTAAGGAAGTTTCCGCATTTGCACCTCTGTCTGAGAGCATGCCCCACTGTTCAGACCCACTGAGCAACGTGATCTGCTAGCCAGGGGTCCTAGTGAGCTCTGGTTGCTGTAACAATATCCCTTGGACAGGTTGGCTCCTAAACACAAAAGCTTATTTCCCATAGCTCTGGAGGCTGGGACATCCAAGATCAAAGCACCAGCAGATTCAGGGTCTGGGGAGAGCCTGCCTGATTCCTAGTTCGTTGACACCCATCTTTGTACTGTGTCCTCCCATGGTGGAAGGGGCCAGGGACCTCACTCAGAGCTTTTAGAAGGGCACCAGTCCCATTCTTGAGGACATTCCCTGCCAGAGGTCCTGTCTCCTAATAACCTTGGGGGTTAAGATTTCAACATACGAATTTGGAGGGGGCACGGATAGTGTCTAGCAATATTTGGAGTCTAGCAATAGTTCCTCCTTGAAGTCCCGCCAGCACCTTCAACCCAGCATGTCAGAAAGCACACTGCCCCACCGCTTCTGACTTGTGCTTAGCAAGAATTCACTATTTTCTGGTCACTCCATCTTAAAGCCTTGGGGTATCTCTGAGTCCCTTTTTTCCAATTCCCTGTCAACGGTTCCACTTCACCCATCCCCTTCTCCATATCCATCACCCTCTTTCCAGGCCTGTTGTCTTTGGCCTTCACTTTTGCAGCATCCTCTTTTTTTTTTTTAATCCCTTGACTTCACTGAGCAGAATTATTTCCTCAAGATTCAAGAGAAAAACACAATTGGGCGTGAATAGGGCCAAATGCTTCTGTGGAAAAAGGAAGAAAGTTAGCTTCTGGTTTTGGCATTTGGTAGATGACAAGTGACTGGTGTGAAAACTGACTCAGGAGAGCAGTGGGGACAGGGGGCAGGTGTAACGGGGTATGTAGTGAATGGGGCAGGGTGTGGGACGCCGAGTGTAGCACTCTCAGGGTTCTGCAGGTGAAGGCAAGGAGGGAGAGAAGCCAGGAAGTGGGGAACAACTCTTCGTTTAAGAGAAGGGAGAGGCATGCCATCTTTCTCTTCTGTGAAATAAAATTAAAGGAGTATTTTTTATTGTAGCAGAAACCAGATAATATATTATCAATTATTATCATTATGATATGTGTGTGTGTGTTCAGAGATAGATATAGACATTTGGAGGATATATTTGTGTATTTTGTGTCTCAGGACACATAATCACCTTTGGTTAAATGTGCCACATGAAGGACAGTCAGAAGCCCTGATGATTGAAGTAAATATCTTTAGGGAGTAGAGTTCAAATGTTTATGAGTTCCTTCCACAAACATGAATTCAGTGTCACCTGTGTACCAGGCATTGAGCTGGCTTGGCACTGGGCTTGCAGAGATGAAGAGAGGAGAGCCCTGAGCTGCAGTTGCATGCCACCCAGACATGTAAATTAATTCTCTTAAACACTAGATGGATGAAAGCCCAGAGAAGTCCATACTTAGCTCTTGTATAGATTAGGGCAATTACATCATTGAGCAGAGTAGGTGCGGTAGGGACTTCCAGGCAAAGAAAAGAGAAAATCAGTACAGAGTGGGAAAGAGGCAGCATGGAGTAGCACAAACATATTCAATTTGAAGTTACAAAAATATGTTAAAATTCCAGTCCAGGCCAGGCGTGGTGACTCACGCCTGTGATCCCAGCACTTTGGGAGGCTGAGATGGGTGGATCACAAGGACAGGAGATCGAGACCATCCTGGCTAACATGGTGAAACCTCGTCTCTACTAAAAATATAAAAAATTAGCCGGGTGTGGTGGCACATGCCTTTAATCCCAGCTACTTGGAGGCTGAGGCAGGAGAATCGCTTGAACCCGGGAGGTGGAGGTCGCAATGAGTCGAGATTGTGCCACTGCACTCCAGCCTGGGTGACAGAGCAAAACTCCGTCTCAAAAAAAAAAAAAAAAAAAAAATTCCAGTGCAGTGTCTTACTGCTAACCACATGGACTTGAGCAAGGTAGTTAACTGCATGGAGCCTCAATTACATCCTCTCTAACATAGATGGAATAATACTGGGTGCACAAAATTGTCGTAAGGGTTAAAAATAAAATCCACTCCGTGGATGATAGCTCCTGTTGTTATTGCTGATAATGACATCTGCACGGCATGCCAAGGCTTCCTACGGCACAGCGTGGCTGGAGACCAAGCCAGTTGATGAAGCCCCTTGTATGCTGTGCTAAGGAGTGAGAGCTGTCTCTCAGCGGGGCTGGAGTGTTGTTTAAGCATTTCAGTCAGGGAACAACATAATCAGATTTAAGTTTAAGAAGTTCACTCTGACAGTGGTGTGAGGATGGATTAGAGAGCAGGAAAAAGTGGTGACAAAAAAAATAGATAACTATTCTTCCCAATACAGTAATCATTACTTTCCCCAATTATGCAATAAAAGAAGCTGATAAGATCCTATTTGTTGGTAGCTATGAAAGTAGGGGGTGGGGGAAAGGCTACCTCATCAACAAGCACAGGAACTATTGCATTCATCCTTTTGGAAGTAGAACACAACAACAGAATTATAGACAATTCAAGAATGGAGAGATTTCCAAGCTCATTCTCAGACCTGGTTGAGTTGTAGATTTATGATCAAGTCTAATATCAAAGACACCCTAAAGCATGCAAGCTCATTCACAGACCATTTCACTTTTTAAATTAGTTCTTAGCCTGGGGTCCATTCACAGATGGGCTTCAGGCAATCTATGAATGTCCTACAGTGAGAGGCAAAATCATAAAACTATGGTTTTTCTCTTTCTAGGGAGTAACTACATAGCTTTCATCAGATTCTCAAAGGAGTCTAGAACCTCCCAAAAGGTTAAGAACCACTGTTTATCTGGACATAAAAAAGACTGGCATTGTGTTTGCAGGAATCTTTAATGGACACTAATTTAGCCATTGTGTCTGAACTCGTGTCTCCACCTGGATGTGTAATAGGCATTTCAAACTGAAGCCAACTGAGGCTGAGCTCCGGCTCCTCTCCCCCAACACCTGCCCTGTCTCTGTGAATGCCAACTGCAGTCTTAGCTCCTCAGGCCAGAATCCCTGGGGTCCTGTTTTTTCCTCTCTCTGCTTCCACTCCTTCAGGGCCATCATCTCTATTTCATACCTGGACCTGATCCTTCCTTCATCAGCTGCTACCACCTGGCCCCGCTCTCCATCTTCCCTTTCCTGGTGTTACAGTGGCCTCTCCCCTGCTCTCTGCCTCTGCCTTGCCCCTCAGTCTGCTCTTCAGACAACAATGAAAGCAGCACCTGCTCCCCACCCCCCAGCAACTTCCTGTCTATCTCTGGGCAAAATCTAAAGCCTTTGACCTGCAAGACTCCACGTAACCTGATGTGACTTGAACCCTGTTATGTCCTTGACTTCACTGCTGCTGCTTTGATCACTCTCAACAGTGACCTTATGGCTTCCACAAACATACCATCTCGGAGTCATTCCACATGCAGTGGCTATTGCTTGGAAGGCTCTTCCTGTGGAAATTTACATGTGACTTGCTCTCTCTTGTCCTTCAGGTCTTCGCCCAGCTGGGCCTTCTTGGACCATCTATTTAAAATCTCAATCCCCTCTTCCTCACACCACTCCAGAATGTCCCCTTCCCTGCTTTATTTTTCTTCTGCACTCATCACGGTTATATAATACACTTACTGTTTGCTTATTGCCTACCTCCACCCCATTATAATCTAAGCATGTGAATGCAAGGATTTTTTTTTTTTTTTTTTTTTTTGAGACAGGGTCTCATTCTGTCACCCAGACTGGAGTGCAGTGACACAATCATAGCCCACTGCAGCTTCAAACTCCTGGGCTCAAGTGATCCTCCTGCCTCAGCATCCTAAGTAGCTGGGACCACAGGTTTGCACCCCCACACCCAGCTAATTAAATTTTAAAAAATTGTAGAAAAGATCTTGCTATGTTGCCCAGGCTGATCTTGAATTCCTAGTTTCAAGTGATCCTCCTGCCTTAGCCTTTGAAAGTGCTGAGATCACAGATGTGAACCACTGTGCCCGACCGGAGTTTTTTTTTTTTTTTTTTTTTTTTTGGTCTGTTTTCTTTCATTGCTATGTCTAGAGTACCTATCGTAATTCTTGACACACAGCAGGAACTCACTAATATTGACTGGATGAAATGAATTTTGTGAATTTGGCACCTTTGCTGTTACCACCCCATGCATTCTGCTCACTGTAACTTTCCATGTAGTATTTCTGTAATTACATTGGATTGTTTGAATGGACAATCCAGTGTCATTATAGAAATAGCACATGGAAACTACAAGTTCTTTTTCTAGTTCATCTCTTTACTTAACATAGTAATTGATGCAGTGGTAATTATTGGTCTTTGTGGTTTCCATTTCCCATATTAACCTGAATGCTATTTCAAACAGCTACTTGGCAAAGGAAAGAGTTCACCTCTTTCCATTTCTTACAAGTTCCTCAAGTTCCATACCATCCTCTCTGACTTTATAAAGAAATTCCTTTAAGGCTGCTATAATTTACTCAAATTATCATAATATAATTTTGAAAAATGTTATGCTGGTCAGATATTACAATTCCTATCCGTCACAATGATATTCAGAGTGTAAGTGTACATTGCAGGTGTCCTGAGGGAGCCATTTTCATTGCAATAGTGTTATGCTTTATTACATATGCTTTATTACATGCTTGTGGTTCTGTGCTGGGAATATGAGACATTTTAATATATGATTGACATCTGCCAATTTGTCTATTTTATAACTTTGGAATTTTTTATACTAGGTATTCTTAAAGCAGAAAACATCTTGGCCTGACACACAAAAGTCTGGTATTGTTTGCCTGAATGCTTTGGAACAAGAGTAATAAACTAGAGATCTGAGGCCTTTTTAGTGCCAGTTCATGGTGTAGAACTATTTTTCCAAGTGTGCTAATTATTAATGATATCTTTATTTTATACCGTTTCAGGTTTTACAAGATGAATTAGAAAACCGTTCTAATCAGGTGCGATGTGCAGAGAAAAAATTACAACACAAAGAATTGGAGTCACAGGAACAGGTACCCTCTCCTTTACTATTTGACTCTCTTGTTTACTTTCTCTAGGTCAAGAAGTGTGTGCAGCCAGGTGCAGTGGCTCACACCTGTAATCTCAGCACTTTGGGAGGCCGAGGTGGGTGGATCACCTGAAGTTAGGAGTTCGAGACTAGCCTGGCCAACATGGTGAAACCCTGTCTCTACTAAAAATACAAAAATTAACTGGGTGTGGTGGCAGGTGCCTGTAATCCCAGTTACTTGGGAGGCTGAGGCAGGGGAATTACTTGAACCCGGGAGGCAGAGGTTGCAGTGAGCCGAGATCGCACCATTGCACTCCAGCCTGGGTGACAAGAACAAAACTCCGTCTCAAAAAAAAAAACAAGTTTACACATTGCCTGTTTCAGTTAAGATGCTTTGGGTGCAAGTAACAGAATATCCCACCCATGGTTCACATAAAAAATAAAGCAATTTATTACCTCACAGAACAAGAAGTCCACAAGTAAAGCATTCTCATGACTCTCCCTCCGGTGCTGGCTTCATTCTAGAACCAACTTCAAGATGGCTGCAGCAGTGCCAGGCATTCTGCCCAGATCTGCACTATTCGGAGGCAGAAAAGGGCTGCCAGTTTCTAGGGCCTAATGAGTAAGGAAATCTTTCCTGGAAACTACCCCCTCCCTTTACATGTCATTGGCCAGAGAAGGTCACATGCTTAGCCTGGCATACCCAGTCCCTGGCTAAAGAACTGAGTATACAAAACTAGCCTAGAATAATCAGGACCCACCTGCTGGTGATGAAACTGGGAGAAGAATGAAAACTGGAACAAAAAGGAGGGGAAATGGAGTGTTGAGTATGCAGCCAACAGTGTCTGCTATGTCATCATTTCAAAATAAATGGATATTATTTTGCTTAGAGGCATAAATCACATTTTCTTTTGAATTTTAGTTTTCTCCTTTTTCTTTCCATTCTTTTCAAAATAATGTAATATAACCCAGAATAGTATGGCTGTGACAATAGCTAATGACCTATTTTATTTTTAAATGACAGCATTATTTTCACCCAACTCTTCTGGTTATAATAAATTACACTTAGTGGTAATTTTGACAATTTAAACTAAAAAGTCAACATGTATCACTAGAGACCATGAATCTTGATGAAACCCTTTATAAATGCATTGCCCTCAGCTGTTGAGTGTAGCGTTGCTAATATTGATCTAAGTGCCACCAATCCATTATGTACAGAAACAGTCATAGGAATTGACAGATGTTTATACATTGGTTGTAAAACTCAGTACAGGAATATTGGCATATTATATTAGCTTATTCTGAATTTGGGGGAAGGGAAAACACAAAAGTAAGGCTGATAGGGAAGGTTTTCTTTTCTTCTTTAATCTCTGGAGATGTTTACAAACAGGATCCCACGATAGAGGATTGTACAAAATGATGAAAGTAAGCACCTAATAGATGCTGACTGTTAATACTTACTGAATTGACTTGCCTTCCTATAATTCCTTCCTACTCTCTAATGAACTCTGTGTCATATGTATATCACATATGTATGTACATATCATGTATATGAGATGCATAAATATACATATATACATATACGTTTTATATAATGTCTATGTAATACACCCAACAATAGGATAACAAAATAGAATAATACTAGAATAAAAAATTAATAATAACTAGGCCGGGCGCAGTGGCTCACACCTGTAATCCCAACACTTAGGGAGGCCAAGGTGGGCGGATCAACGAGGTCAGGAGTTCGAGACCAGCCTGGCCAACATGGTGAAACCCTGTCTCTCCTAAAAATACAAAAATTAGCTGGGCGTGGTGGCAGGTGCCTATAGTCCTAGCTACTCAGGAGGCTGAGGCAGGAGAATTGCTTGAACTGGGGAGGCGGAGGTTGCAGTGAGCCGAGATCACGCCACTGCGCTCCAGCCTAGGAGACAGAGCAAGACTCCATCTCAAAAAAAAAAAAAAAAAAAAAAAATTAATAATAACTATACCTTATCAAATGCTGACAAGATGACAGACACTGTACAATAAATGTTACACATACTGGTTCATTTAATTTTCACAATAACCATGTAAGATCAGTATTATCATCTGCATTTTGTGAATAGCATGCCAAAATCCAGAGTGATTAACTCATCCAAGATCACACAGCAGTAGATCCAAGATCACACAGTAGTAGAAGAGTATTCAGATCCAGGTTTATCTGAACTCCAAACTTTTGCTCCTTCCATGACAATTTTCAAGTTACATATCTAGCAAATAAAAAAAAAACTGGATAGCAATGATAGAGAAAGTAAACTTATCAAGGATGGCAGGCAAACAGACATTGTATTCCTGCTTCCTGGTAGAGGAGCAAATGCCATTGACTTTCCATGGGCAGAGAAAAGCAACGAGCAAAGGAAACACAAGCACAGCACACTTGCCCATCGTGTGCCAAGTCAAAGAGATGAAAATGCCTCCTCGGATGGGAGCATGGATTTGTTCATGTCAAATCAGCAGGTCTAATTGTCACTGAAGGTCAACTGAGCCCCATCCTCTGTAGATGATGCTTGTAATTAAAAGAAGAAGAAGAGACAAGCTTCTTAAAGGCAGGAAAAGGTGCTCCCTGGAGGACTGGGGCTTCTCTAGTTTGTGGTAAAATATGACTTAAGGTAAAACTTTTGTTGACATCAATTTAATTCATGGCAAAACTTCACACAGAAAATTCCATAATATATTGAGAGTAGGGAAATTAAGAAATCCCAAATGAACAATAGAGAAGGATTCAGGAACTACTTTCAGTCTTTTTTTATTGACTTCTTTTTGATCATCAAAGTTACTTTCATCTTTGTAGTGACAATAGCTTTTTAGAATATTTCTTACACTAATTCCTGATATCTTCTATTAGGCTACAGTTTACCAAAGAAATGTCAGGAAATACCCATGGGTAAAGCTGAATATTTCATAATCTTTGTAACCAAGAGATGTTGGGTTCTTTCCACAAGGTCCTAGGATGTAGCTGAAAAAAAAAAAAAAAAAAAAAGCCAGTTGTTTCAATTAAACTGCATAACAAATAATAGATATTTAACAAATACTATTCATCCATATTTAACTTAATCTTTTATCTAAATTTGACCTATGTCCCCCTTTAAATCTGTGACACTAACACAAGTAGT